>NC_000005.10:2510000-3760000 GCF_000001405.40 Homo sapiens | reverse complement strand
TGCTAATGGAATAAGAAGTTTCCCCAGTCCACCACCCCTTATTATCAACCTTTTATTCTTACTAAATGTAAGTCGATTCATCCTTAAAGAAAAAGACAAATATAGCATTGTTTAGCTCTATTGAATAAACTAACTAGTTAGCAAATACTTCATAAGAGTTTTGTAGTGATAACAGAGAGAGAAACTCATATTTCAGTAACCATGACAAGGAAAACCAAATTTTTACTTAGATATGTGGCTATTTTTTCAACATCTTGCCATGCCTATCCACATATTTGGAAGTATTCAGGTAATTAGCTCTATTGACAAATTCTGTGGAAGCCTAGATAAAACTGAACTAAGTGATTAAATAGTTTGAGAGAGTAAAGCAAATCTGTAGAGTTGATAGGTTAATAAAAATTACTTTTGATTTTTAAAATTATATTCTTTATACACTATTACCTATCTTTTGTATTTTTACCAGATTAATCCTCCTAAAACTCTTCCTATCATGGTATTCCCTGTTCTAAACCTCCCAGCTCCCCTTCACCCCAACCCCATTGATGTAAGAAAACCTCTTGGTGGCTGACGCCTGTAATCCCAGCACTTTGGGAGGCCGAGGCGGGTGGATCACGAGGTCAGGAGATGGAGACCATCCTGCCTAACCGGTGAAATTCCGTGTCTACTAAAAGTACAGAAAATTAGCCGGGCGCAGTCGCGGGCGCCTGTAGTCCCAGCTACTGGAAAGGCTGAAGCAGGAGAATGGCATGAACCCGGGAGGCGGAGCTTGCAGTGAGCCGAGATCACGCCACTGCACTCCAGCCTGGGCAACAGAGTGAGACTCCGTCTACAAAAAAAAAAAAAAAAAATCCTCTTAAAGAAACTGTTAGGAATTTTGCTTCCTTGACTCGGAATCACAGGCAGTGGTCCATGTTTGTGTTCTGCCAGGCTGCAGTGTGTGGTGGTGCTGTTTGCGTCTGCTCACCCCTCTGTTACATATCAAATAATATTACCAGCCTCCCTCAATGCCACCTTTCTACATTTGCCTAATCAAGCATCTATCTACAATAATTCATGTTTCCTTATATCTTGAATACAAAAAAAAATTTTCCCAATGCAATAAGCAATTCATGACATGTCACTGTTATTTACACGTGTGCTTATTTTTGCTTATGGTACAGTAAAATATTTTACATAAGTGTATTAACTACTTGTAAGTCTTTGTACATTGAATATTCATAGCCTTTGTTAGTTTTTAGATTGTCATGCTTTCTTTTTGATTGTATCAGTTTTTATGTATTAAGATTTTCAAACTTCATTCTAATTTGTCAAGTGCCTTTTAATTCTTATGGTATTTTTGACAATTACAATTTTTACATTTTTATAATGTTAAACCTCAATATTTCCCCTTATGATTTTTTTTAACTTTACTATTTAGAATGGCTTCACCCAACCCCATAGTTTAGGGTTCCAGTTTTGATACTGAACACAAATCTATCTGAACGTATGCTGTGGTGTTGAGAAGCATAGAATATGATTTTTGTTGCTGTTTTTACTATTTCATGGCTCATTGCTTTCTCTGTGCCATTCATCAGCTCTTTTATCCATTCTTCAGACACAGGCCTTTTAATGGAGAGGGACCTGAATGCATCAGTCACAGGACTTTTTTTTTTTTTTTTTTTTTTTTGAGATGGAGTCTCCCACTGTCGCCTGCGCTGGAGTGCAATGGTGCAATCTCGGCTCACTGCAACCTCCACTTCCCAGGTTCATGCGATTCTCCTGCCTCAGCCTCCCAAGTAGCTGGGATTACAGGTGCACACCACCACACCTGGCTAATTTTTCTTTTTTTTTTTTTTTTGTACTTTTAGGAGAGATGGGGCTTCACTATGTTGGCCACACTGGTCTCTAACTCCTGACCTTGTGATCAGCCTGCCTCTGTCACAGGACTTTTTAACTGAAACTGTTGTTCTTAAAAGCCTCTCCTTTTAGAGAGCACAGAGATTTAAAGAACGTCTGTAGTGTGTTGCTGACATAAACCCCACCCTCAGGGCCACGCCAGGAGAAACCCTGCATCGTTGCATCGTTCCTGCAAAGTGGACATAGCTGTCACCCGCTTTGAGGTTCCAGCCTACAGAGATGGCCTGTGCAGGATGGGCCGTTACGAAAAGGGTCCCTGGTGAGTAAGGAAATGTCAATTAGCCTTTCCAGATTGCCCGCAGGGAGCTCAATTTTAGATTCCAGCATCTTTTTTCCTTTTTTTTTTTTAAGACAGAGTGAGTCTTGCTTTGTTGCCCATGCTACAGTGAAGTGTCACAATCTTGGCTTACTGCAGCCTCTGCCTCCTGGGTTCAAGCAATTCTCATGCCTCAGTCTCCCAAGTAGCTGGTATCACAGCTACGCACCACCACATCCAGGTGATTTTTGTATTTTTAGTACAGACAGGGTTTTGCCATATTGGCCGGGCTTGTCTCGAACTCCTGAGATCAAGTGATCTTCCGGCCTCAGCCTCCGGAAGTGCTGGGATTACAGGCGTGAGCCCCCACGCCCAGCCCCAGCACTGGTTTTCAACGTGTCCCAGGAATCATCAGAGAACTCTTGTGTTGGAAAGCGAGACTGAGAAATGGCTACCAAAAGCGCCCAGGGCTTGTGTTTGAAGGTGGAGATGTTTTCAATGTCTTTGCCTTTGAATGCCCTCCACACCTTGGAACAAGGAGGGCAGGCTCTCTAAGAACATTTGTTCTGGTATTTGGTGATTTGACAAGGAAAGGGGAAGATACATTTTATTTAAAATTTCCTTGAAAACAAGATAATGGGACATATCCTTATGTCATGTTTTTATTTCAAACTTTTTTATATTGTAACAAAGGTGCTTTCTGAATATGTCTTTTAATATCTTGTGGAAAATGATGTGCGTTTTCTTGATAATATTGTTTAACAACCTGAATAACAGATTGCATGTTCTCTTTCAAGTAATATGTTTCAAAGAGTGGTGTTTCTTTTTCTTCTGTTTTTGCTTAAAAGTGAGCTTCTTCCGAGATTTATTTAAAAATTAATTTATTTTTCTTCGTTATAACTAGGCAAAACATTTGACAAGCCTATGGTGTGCTTCAAAGTTGACTGTAATAAAACTTGTGTTAGCAAGGCATACCTATTAAAAAACAAGCCAGTATTGACATATACATACTTTCATGTCACATGTTATATCAATGATATTAAAATCATATACAAAGTTCATGTAATTCTCATGTAAAAATACACATATATTTTAAATTAACCTTTTTATATACAGTTAGGAGATAGGTATGAATATATAAAAAGGTATCCCTGGCTGGGTGCAGTGGCTCACACCTGTAATTCTAGCACTTTGGGAGGCCAAGTTGGATGGATCACTTGAGGTCAGGATTTGAAAACCAGCCTGGCCAACATGGTGAAACACTGACTCTACTAAAAATACAAAAAAGTTAGCCAGGCGTACGTGGTGGGGGGTGCCTGTAGTCCCAGCTACTCAGGAGGTTGAGGCAGGAAAGTTGCTTGAACCGGGAGGCGAGGCGGAGGTTGCAGTGAGCTGAGATCACGCCACTGCACTCCAGCCTGGGCAACCGAGTGAGACTCCATCTCAAAAAAAGTATTCCCCCATCTCCTTTAAGAATATATCCTGGCAATAACTATAAAATCAATTAAATTACATAACCAAGTTTAATGTTTTATTTGTCATACAATAGTTTAAAAAGATTATACTTTGTTTGAAATTAAAGTTATTTGAGGTGGTCAGGGTGGCTCATACCTGTAATCCCAGCACTTTGGGAGGCTGAGGCGGGTGGATTACCTGAGGTCAGGAGTTCGAGACCAGCCTGGCCAAGATGGCGAAACCCTATCTCTACTAAAAATACAAAAATTAGCCAGGCATGGTGGTGGGCGCCTGTAATCCCAGCTACTCAGGAGGCTGAGGCAGGAAAATCGCTTGAACCCAAGAGGCGAAGGTTGCAGTAAGCCGAGATCATGCCATTGCACTCCAGCCTTGGTGACAAGAGCGAAACTGCATTGCAAAACAAAACAAAACAAAAACAAAAATAAAGTTGTTTGAAGCTCTTATTTGAGACATATTTGTGATGCAGATTTGTGACAAAGCTATTCAGTGAACTGTCTACATTGTGAAGTCTGTTTTGTTTTGTTTGTTAAAAAAAAAACAAAACAAAAAACTCTGTTTCTCTTCCTTAAGAAAAAAGTAGAAGAGAATTTGGGCCGGGTACAGTGCCCATGCCTGTCTTCCCAAAACTTTGGGAGGCCAAGGTGGGTGGATCACTTGAGCTCAGGAGTTCAAGACCAGACTGGCCAACATAGCAAAACTCTGTGTCTACCAGCAACACAAAAACTAGGTGGGCATCTTGATGCATGCCTGTGGTCCAGGTACTTGGGAGGCTGAGTTGGGAGGCTCACCTGAGCCTGGGAGGCTGGGGTTGCAGTGAGGTGAAATAGCTGAGATTGTGCTACTGTACTCCAGCCTCAGTGACAAAGTGACACCCTTATCTCAATTAAAAAAAAAAAAAGAAAGAAAAAAAAAGAGAGAGAGGGAGAGAGAGAATTTAAATGACATGATTGAAAATTATCACTGTTATGGCTGGGTGCGGTGGCTCACGCCTGTAATCCCAGCACTTTGGGAGGCTGAGGCGGGTGGATCACGAGGTCAGGAGATCGAGACCATCCTGGCTAACACGGTGAAACCCCGTCTCTACTAAAAATACAAAAAAAAATTAGCCAGGCGTGGTGGCGGGCGCCTGTAGTCCCAGCTACTCGGGAGGCTGAGGCAGGAGAATGGCGTGAACCCAGGGGGCAGAGCCTGCAGTGAGCCGAGATCGCGCCACTGCACTCCAGCCTGGGCGACAGCAAGACTCCGTCTCAAAAAAAAAAAAAAAGAAAATTATCACAGTTATGAGGCAGGCTGTCCCAGAGGCCCTGTGCCTGTGTCCCATCGGCTCCCTGCCCTCCTCTCCTGCCTTGGGACAAGTGCTCTGACTTTCTCGCCCACAGAGTCACCCCCACAAGGCCTGCCAGCCAGCCGCCTCTCCTCGGCCCCTGCGCTTTTCCCTGGTGGTGCCCAGGGCTGGGGTCACACATTAACAAGGCTTATACCTCCCCCAGATGCAGATGACTCCCCTTGAGGCAGGACCCAGGTATGCAGCGGGCAAGAGACCCTAACTCAACAGAGTCACACACCACTCACCCGTTCATTCTTTGACCTATTTTCATAGCCCTCCACCTCCTCTCTGGGGAGAAGGTTAAGACTTAAACCTCAAGTCAGTGTTTTGTTTCAGCCCTCCCCGGTGTGGCAGCCTGTTCCAGGCTCTGATACAGGACTCAGACTTCCAGAGAGTCAGTGGTGGGGAGGGAGAAGAAAAAGTTCCCCACTAGGCTTGAGCTGCCAGTCCCCTAAGGCCACCCCCAAAGCCCATGCCCTGTAGCTCCCTGACCCCCAGCCTCTCTCCCAGGTTCTCCTCCTGGGACACAGGAACTGCTGTGAGGTTTCCAGGGTCCCCTCCTCAGGATGCCCCGGTAGAAACTCTGCTCCCTCCGGCCCCAGCCCAGGGACGGCTCTTTCTGGGGACTGTGTGTAGGGAGAGAGGTGATAGTGAATCCCGACTCCCTGGCCACTCCAGGGTTCTGTGACTCTCTTGGCTTAGTGCTTCCTTCGGGAGTTCCTGTATAATCTGAAGGATGAGTTTGGGCTTTTAGAAACAAATTACACATCCACAGATTTCCCCGAAGATGAAGAAGCAGGAGGATGCTCTCCACCTGTATTGCAAAAGGTAAATGGAACACAAAGTAATAAAAATATGGTCATATTGCAAAATAGCATCCACCTATTAATGCATGGACCTGTTCTCGTTAAGGAAATATACAAAAGCAAATGGAGATCGGTTCCATGCTTCCATGGGAAGGGCCTCTCTCTAGAGAAGAATATTCAGAAAGTGTACATTTCTAAAGTGCCACTCTAGAAGCTTCACGTTACGTATGCAGCAGCAATTTTGTATTGGTATTTTCCATTTCCATTTTCTGGGTCTTCACATATATTCAATCAGCGACTAAAAGGGCTTCCCCAACAGACAATGAAAGCCATACAACAAGAAAATCATACATCTCGAGTAGGGGTTATTAGTACATATGTGTTAGACAACTCTGCTCTGAGAACTAACAAGCATCCCCTACAAGAAGTGAAATTGTAAGCATTGGGAAGCAGGTGGCAGAGGCCTATGAAAGTGAAGACGCGTGATGTGGGAAAGTTTGTGTCTGAGAAGACAGCATTCTTCTGCAGAGCCGCTGACGGGGACAACCCCCAGGTACAATGGCATTCTCATTGCTTGAGAGAGTGCCAGGAGTCTGAGATGGGGAAATAATAGTATCCCTGATGGTTGAGTCCACGAGGGCATTATCATTTTGGAAATGCTGCAAGGATATGTGCCATCTTGTGTCATCAAAAATATCAAAAATAGGTAATCTTAGAGCAATACAGTTCCTATAACTCACCAGCAGAAAGGTTCAGGGCACCTTGATGAGGGTGCAGAAATGCCTCCCCCCAGCCTGGTGTCTGGGCTGGTTTCTTACAGCTGATGAAGGAGGCTCAGGCGTCCAGTAAGGTTTGCATTGCAAATGCTCTGGAATTGTTTCTTCTTCCTCCCTTGCTCCAGAGGGCTTTTTCCTTCTGTATTTGCTTATCCTGATGTTTCTGTTTGCATAAAAAGCAGCCCCATAATCCTATGGATCAAAGAACGTCGGGTTTATTGACTGACTTCCTGGTGTCAGAGGTGAGAACGTACCGCCAGACATAGGGGATACTAAGAAATAAAAAAGGTTACAAATATGAAAGCCGGGATAAAATGCCAGCATCGAGAGACCTTCAGCTCTGAAATAATCAGCTGCAGTAGATTTGATGTGCCGCTTTGGCAGCCAGTCCAATAATCTGAATAAGAAAGCAAATCATCCTCAGCTCTTTGGATCAGATCCGAGGAGCCGTTGCACCACCAGCCTGCAGAGCCTCAGAGGGAGGGTCAGGGTGGTGAGCGCTCCGTAGGGTGACTCTCCAGAGGAAGATCTCAGGGCGGAGGGGTTAAGCGACTTGTCCAAGTCCGTGGCAGAGTGCAGCATGAATACAGATTGCATTAAGGAGTCCTATGAAGCCCTGTGAAAATGCTGGCTTATCTCAGTGGTTCCTCTCAGGCCGAGGCTGCACAGCAGAAATGCAGCGCAGGATTGAACAGTTTTGGCAGAATAAAGACGAGCGCCTGTCTTTGCCCATCATGTTGATATTGCAATTAATCTAATTAGACCGATTGGTTTGTTTCTGGGAATCTCCATTCCTTTTGACTATAGACCATACATACACCGCTAAGGTGGGGGTGGCACAGACACAGGCCTGTGCCCATACCCTTGGTTGTCCTGATGAAGATGGAGGGTTTGTTTGCCATTTTCTGTTTCTGACTGGCTCTAGCATCTTCCAAAGACCTCAAGGACAAGGTAATGCCTACAATATGCATTGTGCATGGGTGTGGGTGCTGGTGTTATATGCAGATATCTCTGTGTGCCTGTGCCTGTGTGCGTGTGCGTGTGCATGTGTGCATGTGAAGGTTGGTTGTGAGGACACTTGCAGTAATCAGCACTTTGCAACTGATTCATGTACTCAGTACTACTATTAGCATCTACTACTAGTAAGTTCATCACTGATTACTAGTAAATCAAGAGAAAAATGCTTCCTTTGACATAAGAAGGCTTCCTGGGTCTTCAGTGCTGCAAACCCCTCATAGTGCCACACCCTTTCCTGGGGGGAGGGCCTAGACTACCTCTGACTACCTGGGGGTGTCGCACACTGATGGCCACAAGGAGGGTCTCCCTACATATTTTACAGGAGATGGTGCCTCTCCTTCCTGGACCCACCAGGCTTATAATTTACATCTCTAATAAAATATTTTCTGCTGACCCATCTGTGTTCTAAACACAGAATTCCAACTACAGTTGCCCAAAGCCTCCTCATCAGACACTCCACAAAAGCTGGTCAATACCTTACCTGGAAATGGCTCCTTCCATCCATGAAGTACTGGAGGGTCAGGACTTTTCTATTCCCATGATCCCGGCAAGCCCTGGGGTAGAACCTGGCACATCATAGTTAATCTATGCATGCTGGAGAAGGAGGTCACCAAAGAGCCCTTCCTTTCTTCCATCCTTCCTTCCTCTCTTCCTCTATTCCTTCATCCCTTCCTCCTGTTCTTCCTTCCTTCCCTCCCTTCTTCTTTCCTTCCTTCACTCTCTTTCCCGATGGACTCACATGTAATGCTTCCTTCCTCCTTTCTACTTACTTAGTCCCTTCTTTCCTGCCTTTTTCAATTTCTCCTTTTTTCTTCATCTTCCTTTCTTCTTTTATGTTTTTTCTTCCTTCTTTTTTTCTTCCTCCTGCCTTCATTCCTTCCTCCCTCCACCCTCCCTTCTCACCCTCCATCCTTTCTTTCTCCCTTCTTCTTTCTTTCCTTCTCGCCTTCCTTCATCAACTCTGCAGACTTTGCAAAGTAACCACTCATTCCAGAGCTCATTCTGAATCATCACCAGGTTCATTCAACTTACTGAGTGATTCCTTTCAACATACTGAAATTACTTGCCAAGAATGATTTAGGTGAGATATTGCATATATGAAACCCACATGTCTACCCGCTTTTAACAAAGGGCCCAATCTGGCCTCACTGGGGCTGTTATCTGCTGGTTACTGTCTACCAGACACAGATGCCACATCTTTTAGATGTGGCCACAGCACTGTATGTGGCCACAGTCCCGCCAAATACCAGTCCCAAGGGAGGACTCTCACATCATGGAGGCCACCACCTACCATCACTGTGCCAGCCACGAGAAACAGGAGTCCGGACACTCCTGCCACTGCATCTTGGGTTACAGTTTTACTAATTGTTTGAGTCCAGTGAGACAGAATAAATTCATAACAAGCTGCACGATGCAGGTTTACTACTTACAGACAGGCAGAGAGAAACAAAAGAAACCTTGGATGCATCATGAGCTGGTCCCCCAAGCCTTGAGAAAGCTGTCCACGTCAGACAGGGTCCCGGCTGTGTGTGCCCCATTTGTACCACAGCTGAGGGACCCTGGTGGGCAGCCCACCCTGGTTGTATATATCAGAAGCAACAGAACTCACTGAACAATACTTTGAGGGACATCCTGCTGCCAGGGGAGGGAAGAGGAAAGCTTGGCTTCCCGGGGCAGTTTCTCCCTAACTTGAGATGCTGCATTCCCTGGGAGGGACAGGGAGGAGGTTCCAGCTGCTTCAGATAGTTCCACCCTATCTCAGGGTGCTGCGTTCTTATGCTTTGGTTATTCTGAGAGCTGCACACAGAAAGTAAGGGAGAGGACCCAGTCCTCCAATGCCACCTGGAGAACTGTCTGCAAATCCCACCAGCTTCAACAGACTTCAGACTCTCCTGGCCTCTGCATCTACCTGTTTGTCTCCTTAAGCTGATAAATGACAGTGAGTGTTGTTAATGAAACTTTATATCCACAAGAACTAGTGCCGGGTCTGCCATAGAGAGGAGGGCTGATTAATACTTCTGGATGAATGGGTGGATGAATAAATAAATGCACTAGTGTTAAATATCCTGCCGTGTCCCATATATTGTTAAGGATATTCATGTAAAAACCAGCTAAAATTAGAAATGCTGTCCTATTAATATGCTTCAGTCAAATTCTGCTGAAAATAGTAATTTTGGTTAAAATTTGCATAACATATGGTGTAGCCTATTGAGTTATTTACAAAGCATTCAATATAAAGGTAATTAAAAGAAGTTTGTCGTAAGTAAAGATTCAAAATCAGCAACTTGCTCCTCTGCTTATCTGTCCTTTTAACATTACTTTTGGTAAATGTCAACATTTTAAGACCCAGCATGCATTATGCAATTTAGGGTAAATACAAATGCACTCAGATTAATGTCTTCTTCATCAAGAAAGTGCAGAGATTTGCATGAATGATGAAACTCAAAGTGGCAGTGTTACAAATTCAAGGCTCTGCCCCATTTCCTGACAGCTGGGTCCTTATGACTGATGATATCACAGAGGACAGCTGTACTTCTCTTGCCCACCTGCTTGTCCATGTCCGTGGTTCCTGAAATTGACTAGAACCCAGCACTTTCATTCAATCTATCCATTTCTCTGCATCCCAGACTCAAGGCTTTCATGACATATTTGTCCAGATAGTAGTCCTGTCCTGTAGTGTGTGGAAGTGAGACCAGTAATTATTGGAAAGCCACTGCATTTAGGGAATATTTAGTGGGTCACTTCCACCAGGTAGAACTGGGGCTGAGCTTGGGCTCAGAAGACACTGCAATCTTAGGCCCTGCCCTTAGGAAAGAACAGGGCTGTGTTTGCTCATCTTTTAGCCACAGGTTAGAACCCACGGTGGACTCATAATGCTCAACAAATGCTGATTCCATGAATTTATAGTGAATGTTTTATTGCAAAAGAAGGTAACTATTGACCACCAAAGGACCACCAAAGGACAAATAAATCTGTGCACTGAGAAAGAAAACACAAATGATTTCCCTTCCGGGGTTGAACAGTTCTGCCATTCCCTGTGGTCCTGCTCTTCCCTGTGGTCACTGGAAGCATTTTCTCCTTTCTCACCGCCTCTAGAGAACAAGCCAAGCTCTAAAGCAATGTGGCCCTATGGCTACTGGAAGTCAGGAAGCAGATGCTCCAAGAAGGATGGACCAATCTCCCTGATGCTGTATGTGTGAGACGAAGTTCGCCCATCATTACCCAGCAGGGACCCTGGAACAGTGGTGTCAGTGGAGAATCTAATTAAAGGAAGCACTACTTGAGAAGGAAATATTTCCCTGTGATGAAAACAAGCCTCTTTAGCTCAGCAGCCCTGGTGAAGGAGGCACCAGGGCACTACTGCTTAGGAGCAAGAACTTCAGGGCAAGAAGGTGATGACACCCAGGAGCCTCAGAGCTGTGGCCTCACACCTTAGAAGTATCTTGACAGGGTGAAGGTCTGACCAAGAGGGACATCCCTGCAGGGGGACAGCTCAGAGGGCAGAGTTGGCAGCTCACATCAGTGGGGGACATGGGCCTGCCCAAACTATGATGCCTGCCAGGCACCAACAAAGTGAAGGGTGGATGGTCTCAGCAGGCAGAGGATGCAGGCTCTGGTCAGGGGCATGGCAGTGAGGGCTGCTCTTCTTCATGTGTGTCCTGAGGCCACCTAAATGGTTCAGGCATGGGGGAGTGTATTCGTCCATTCTCACTCTGCCGTAAAGAACTCCCTGAGAACAGATAATTTATAAACAAAAGAGGTTTAATTGACTCAAAGTCCTGCATAGCTGGGGAGGCCTCAGGAAACTCACAGTCATGGTGGAAGACTAAGGAGAAGCAAGAACCTTCTTCACATTGTTGCAGGGGAGAGAGAGGGAGGGCGGGAGGGAGAGAGAGAGAGAGAGAGACAAGGAAGGGTTAAGTGCCACTTTTACACCATCAGATCTCATGAGAACTCACTCATTATCATGAAAAAAACATGTGGAAAACTGCCTCCATGATCCAATCACCTTCCACCAGGCACATTCCTTGACACATGGGGATTACAGTTCAAGATGATATTTGGGTAGGGACGCAGAGCCAAATCGTATTATTTTGCCCCTGGTGCCTCCCAAATCTCATGTCCTTTTCACATTTCAAAACCAATCATGTCTTCCCAACAATCCCTCAATGTCTTAACTCATTCTAGCATTAACTCAAAAGTCTAAGTACAAAGTCCCATCTGAGACAAGGCAGTCCTTTCCACCTATAAACCTGTGAAATCCAAAATAACTTAGTTACTTCCAAGATACAATAGGGGTACAGGTATTGGGTAAATATTCCCATTCCAAATGGGAGAAATTGGCCAAAACAAAAGGGCCAAAAGTCCCCACACAAGTTCAAAATCCAACAGGAGCACTCATTAAATTTTAAAGCTACAAAATAAACACTTTTGACTCCATGTTTCACATCCAGGGCACACTGATGCAAGGGGTGAGCTCCCAAGGTGCAGCCCTACCCCTGTGGCTCTGCAGGGTACAGCTCCTGTGGCTGTGTTCAAGTCTGGCATTGAGTGTCTGCAGCTTTTCCAGGTGCACAGTGCAAGCTGTCAGTGGATCTACCATTCTGGGGTCTGGAGGATGGTGGTCCTCTTCTCATAGCTTCACTAGGCAGTGCCCCAGTGGGGGCTCTGTGTGAGGGCTCCAACACTACATTTTCCCCCTGCATTGCCCTAGCAGAGGTTCTCCAAGAGGTCTCCACCACTGCAGCAGACTTCTGCCTGGACATCCATGTGTTTCCATACATCCTCTGAAATCTAAGTGGAGGTTCCCAAACCTCAGTTCTTGTCTTCTGCATGCCTGCCGGCCTAACATTATGTGGAAGCCACCAAGTCTTGGGGCTTGTACCATCTGAAGCCATGGCCCAAGCTGTACCCTGGCCCCTTTTAGCCATGGGTGGACCTGGAGTGGCTTGGATGCAGGGCACCTTGTCCTGAGGCTGAACAGAGCACCAGGGCCCTGGACCTGACCCATGAAACCATTTTTTCATCCTAGGCCTCTGGACCTATGATAAGAGGAGCTGCCATAAAGCTCTCTGAAATGCCCTGAAGACATTTTCCTCATTGTCTTGGCTATTAACATTTGGCTCCTCATTACTTAGACAAATTCCAGCAGCTGGCTAGGGCTTTGAAGTCCTCCCCAGAAAATGAGTATTTCTTTTCTATCACAGGCTGCAAATTTTCGACCTTTGTGCTCTGTTTACCTTTTAAACATAAGTTCCAATTTCAAACCATCTCTTTGTGAATGCATATGCTTTTAGAAAAAGCCAGGTCACTTGAATGCCTTGCTGCTTAGAAATTTCTTATTTCTCCCCTAAGTCATCTCTCCAGAGTTCAAGGTACCACAGATTCCTAGGGCAGGGGAAAAATGCCACCAGTCTCTTTGCTAAAGTGTAGCAAGAGTGACCTTTGCTCCGATTCCCAGTGAGTTCCTCATCTACATCTGAGACCACCTCAGCCTGGACTTCATTGTCCATATCACTGTCAGCATTTCGGTCAAAGCCATTCAACAAGTCTCTATGAATTTCCAAATTTTCCCACATCTTCCTCTCTTCTTCTGAGCCCTCCAAACTGTTCCAACATCTACTTATTACCCAGTTCCAAAGTCACTTTCACATTTTCAGGTTGTCTATATAGCAGAACCTCACTATCCTCCTACCAATTTTCTTTATTAGACCATTTTCACACTGCTATAAAGAACTCTCTGAGACTGGGTAATTTATAAACAAAAGAGGTTTAATTAACTTACAGTTCCGCATGGCGGGGAGGACCTCAGGAAACTTACAATTGTGGCAGAAGGTGAAGGGAAAGCAGGCACCTTCTTCACAAGGCAACAGGAGAGAGAGAAAGAGAAAGAGAAGGGGGCAGTGTCACTTTTTACCCATCAGATCTCATGAGAACTCACTATCACGAGAATAGCATGGGAGAAACTGCCTCCATGATCCAATCACCTCCCACCAGATCTTTCCCTCAATATGGGGGGATTATAATTTGAGATGAGATTTGAATGGGGACACAGAGTCAAGCCATATCAGGGAATGACCACGCCCATCAGCTGCTGTGGTTCACCTCAACCAGAAAGCAGTCCCTTGATGAGAAGCCCATCCCAACCTTGGGTCCGGTCCACACACATGGGCGATAACAGGGGCCATGTTCCCGGGAATGTTTGAGTCCAGAAGAATGGGAGAGACTGAGGTTCTTGCCATCCCTGAGATGTCTGACGCAGCAGCTAAAATTCAGTCTGAAGCTCCAGCTTGTGTAGTTGCAGCTTGCAGGTTTCTCCCAGTCCAATGGGTATTGCCTGGAAAGAAAGCTGATGGCCCTGCCCAGGGAGGTAGTTCTGTGTGCTGTTTTCCATGGGCCAGACACAATCACCTGTGAGACGCCACCAAGGCCCAGCATTCCTGACACAGAGGACCGGCCATTTGGAGGTGTCTCTGCAGTTCTTCCCTTCTCGCACTCTTCTTTCTGTCATACAGCATGGAGAAGAGACAAGTGCCAAGAAAAATGTTTTTATTTTATACTATTTTAACATCAATGGGGCAGTTCAGCTGTCAAACACATCATCCTAACATATACTACTCACATTAATACTAAAGCATTACAGCCAATTAAATGCAAGAGAAGACAGGGTCCTCTGTCTTCCCTCAGGGATGGTTTCCTGCTGTTGCTCTGTGCAGACTCAGCCAGGAGCAATTCCATCACCCACTTTTGCTTTCATATTATTACATGAGGGGCAAGAAGGACATTTTAGCTTCTTCTGACCCACCATTTACACCAATTAGTCAGGCACAGAGGGAAAGCTAAGAAGCAGAAGTTAGAGAAAACGTTGATGGTGCTTACACCACGTCAGGCACTGTTCCTAGAGCTTGACATGTATTTTCTTATTTATCCCACAGCAGCCCCAGGGGGCTGGTTCTGTTGAGGGTGGGGTTCTGTTGTCTCTTTTAGATCACAAAAGCAATACAGGCTTGTAGTTAAAAGTCTAACTATAGAGTTTTTGTATGCACATTGGTATTCCCAGGAAAACAAATATATATAGCCATGTTTACTGTTTTAGACTAGAAGTTATGAAGGAGCTTAAACTATAATGTGTTTAATAACATGAATGAAAATAGCACCTTGACTCATGCTTGCTTTGCTGTTAAATAGGAAAGAAATGTGGCAATGGAACAACTTCTTTTGAAAGAAATTGGCAATGATGTTTTCACTTGGTGCCTGAGAGACCAGGTATGCCTGTTCTTCTCTTTCGATTTTCTGATATTGAGCCTTTTGTTGTCTTGAGGGACAAGTCTGAGTGGAGGGCAGGCTCTCTCAGTTCTGGACACATCTGTGACTGCTGATGGATCAGGCGACTACTGCCTTGCTGCTTTTTGATCTTCATTTCGGACCTGCAGAGACTTCAGATGTTAGCGGTTGAACTGTCAGATGATGGAGAACCAGCTCGGGGCATTCAAGTGGGGCTGAAGGGATCCTGAGATAAAGTACTGAGTCTGGTGTGAATACTTGTACAGAACAAAAAAAAAAGGGAAACTGAACTTCAAATCTTTCCTTTCCTATTTAATTTCAGAGACATAACTCTTTTTTCTAATAATAGTTTTGAATTTTCCATGTTGATTTTTTCTTATACATCTCAAAGAGATTTTTTTTTTATGTATCTTCATCCCCATGTATCATCTATTTCCCACAATGGAAGACAGGAGGCATCCTGCTAAATGTGTTCCAGGAAGGGTAGATGGGTTACATACATTACAAATTCAGGGAGTCATTGTGCAGATTAGAGCTGGGGATAAACCAACATTTTTCCTTATATGAATAGCATTGCCAAATTGAGTTGGATGATCCAAGTGCATGATGGAGAAACAAAGGAAACTCTATTAACGTACAAGAGAAAGAAGGAATAAAGCAGAGACACTTTTTGGCCACACACAGTCATACACACATTTTAAATATCACATATACAATTTAATAGGCTGATGGTTGGCTTTCTGGTTGGAAGATGGGGCTTCATTTGCTTATGTTGGGTTTTTGATAGTTACTGTTGCTTAATTTTTTAAAATTATCTCAAAACTTAACATCGTAAAGCTACCACATTGTTTTGTTCATGGGTTTGTAGGTAGGGAATGCAGGAAGGGTTCTGCTAGGTGGTTTGTCTCTGATCCACATGACTTCACAGGAGTGGCTGCACCTGGGGCCACGCCTCCATGATGGCTCCTCCTACATGGAGGTGTTTCAGCCTCCAGCATTCTTTCCTAACTGAAGTCCTTCTGAACTACAAAACACAGAGTAGAGTTTGAATAGCTATTTTCTCATTGTCCTAATTACGATTAAAAACTGTTGTTATTTTAGATGCACACAAACAAGATAATTAATTACCTCTCATGAATACCTTAGGGCGTTAAGGTTTAATTATTTCCCAGAACTCCAATTCTGAATGGCTATTTCAGTACATCTCCACACCATGGCTTGGGATTCCTAGAGCATGGGAGCCTCAATATAGTCAATCTCCTCATGTGGCTTCTCACGGGTTCAAGAAACCAAGGTGACAGCTGCCAGTCCTCTCAGAGTTTAAGCCTCTCAGAGGTCAGGCCTGGCACCAGCTTGGTACCTCCAGTGCCACACTCCACTGGTGAGAACAGCGGGGAGCCAGCTCAGATTCACAAGAGGGGCATAGGCCCCCCTCTTTATGGTGACAGTGTCAAAGAAGCTGCAGTCGTCTAGAAAAATAGCAGTGATTTATAAGAGGTATTCATTTCATACTATCTAAGAGTGAGCTTGTTCACATCAGAAAATATTATATGGTTTATGATCTTCCTCCTCTTCTCCTCTTCCTCCTCCTCATCATGTTGAACACACTCTCATGGGTTAGAGAATGAGGAATATTTTCTCATTGTTTTCCAAGCCATGCTTTTGAATAATATTAATGACAAAAAGGAAAGCAGAGGAGAAACATAAAAGTTGGTTTCCCAGCTAACAATTAATGAACCATTTCTCTACTGGTCAGAGTATAGAACCAGTTTTTAATATCTTCTAATTGAGCAAATGCCATTCTGTAAGAAACCTACTAAATATATGCCTGAATAATAGAAGAAGCAATACAGATGCCTTCCACGGAGGACATTCTATGAACACTTTGATTAAAGTAGCCATACTTTCTATTGAATTTACTGCTAAGAAAAACACATCTAACGCACTTGATAATGGGCCCACTTTAACCCCTTTCTTGCACAGCTCTCACTCACCTGGCTACAAATAAATACAACTCCAGACGGCATCTACGTAGTTATCTGTAAAGCAATTAAATTCCACCTCAGCCGCTTGGTTATAAATCACAAAGTGGTTTTCAGACATTCACAAAATAAACATGACAATGGAAGGGTCAAACATTCAAAAAGTTCAGCTCCACACAATATTTATTACTCAGTCTCTGGGGACATGCAGGAAAGGAAATAAAAGATCTCTCCTGAAACCCCTAGGTCAGGCAGGGTAACCAGAACATCTAATCTGTCTGGTAGCTGAAGATGCTATTTGGTTATAGCAGGAAGCTGAGTTGTTCCAGGAAAATGAAGGCAACACCCCAGTATGAAGGAGCACATTCAGTGTTTGACTTGACTTCTGATGCCATTCTTCAAGAAAATGAACCAGGGTTCCTTGGACAAACAGTTGACTGTAGGACTGTGCCTGCAGACATTCAAGAGGAGCCTGGAGCATCTTGAAGCACCAAAAAGTAAGGGAGTCCCCCAAAAACTAAAGGGTGGGGACACACCTATAGGACATGGGAGAACCTGAAAGTGTCCCTTGTGGCCAAAGCTGAAGTGATTTGAACAGCAAAACAAATTGCATAGTGTTGGATTATAAAACAAGAAATCAAATAAATATCCTTTGCCCATACCTATATGCCTAAATAACCAGATGTACAGAAGAGACAAGTCTTCCATACAGAAACATTGCAAATAATTTATGCTGATACTCTGCCTTCAATGACATATAGCGTAATTCTCTTTCCTCTCATTCGGCTGTGGGATGCACTTAGTAACTTGTTTCCAAAAAGTACATCACAGAAATGGGCAAAAAGTAACTTTACAGTAGACAAACTTGGCACACGCTACTTCTGCCAGGTGATCAAAATGAACACATGAACGCTGAGCCTCACGGATAGCATGTGCCCCTGCTATGATGGGACGAGAACGGCACTGGACCCTCTGCTCATCTCCTCTGACATCCGTAAGCCCTGTCTCACCATAAGAAAGTCACTATAAACCCAAGTGGAGGGACATTTTACTAAATACCTGAGCAGTTGTCCCTCAAAATTCTGAATGCCATTAAAGCAAGAAAAGTCTCAGAAACTCTCAGAGGTCAGAGCAGCCTAGGGAGATATGAGGATGACATGCAATGTGGTCCCCTGGACTGGATCTTGGGTCAGAATAGGATATTAGATAGAAATTAGGTGTAGTTTAGCACACAGTGATGTACCAGCGTTGGTTCCTTAGTCACGTCAACATGCAGTCATATAAGACGTTAACAAATGGAGAGACAGGGTAGGGGTACGGGGAACTCATTGTTCTATTCTCAACTGCTCCATTAAGCCTATACCGATACTAAAAGTTCCATTAAAAGTTTGTGGGGACAATCTTCATTGCAATCCTCAGATATGTGCTTCCCAACAGGAGCTCAATCCAAGGTGTGTGTCTAGTGCTCAGCAAGGCTGCCTGGAAGGAGCAGGACCATGATCCTCAGACACTTACAAAGCAATGCGTGATACGCCAGCTCTGAGTGCTGTTACCACGAAGACAAAGGCATCCAGCCCACGCCGGCCTCTGCCATGGAAGCCACTCCTTTAAGGATGTTTACCTAACAAGGCCTGCCAAAAGAATCCTTGATTTGTGTAATTCCAGGATATTAAACAAAGAGATGTTTCACGATGTGACTGTCATAAACAGTGTAAGCAAATAGACTGCGTAAGAGTTTGACAGAATTGCAGATCAGGGAGAAGCACATTCACGGGCAGGTGGCAGAAAACTTACCAGGGGGTATAAAATATTTGGTTCCAATTGGAGTAATTGTTCATTAAAATATGGGGGTGGGTGTTACAGACTGGCGCTAAATTTTACGCTGTTTGTACTATTTGTATAAAGCTCTCCTCAGACACGTAACCCGGTCCTGGGCATTTGCCAAAGTCAGTTCAAGGGAGCTTTTTATGAATAGAGCAGACTTTTACACCAAGGAACATTCTTTCCAGGTGAGCTGTATGAACAATCCTTTCTCTAAACACATGAGGATTAATGAATCATTAAATACTCCCATGCCCCGGCTTTGTCTGGTCTCCCTGTAGCGATCTGAGTTTAATTCCCAGGCCTACACTGTGGCCCTGCCATGCTGTCCCCTCCCCACAGGGTTGTCACCAGGGGGTCCCGTGGGCAGATGTAGAGGAGGGGCAAGGGTCGCCTTTCCCTCTTCTCCTGAACAGTGAGGTGTGAGGAAAGCCGGTAGGCACGCTGGGGTGGGTCAGAAGATAGAAGCCGCCAGCTGCGCGCAGGAGAGAAGGCGATGTGAAGGTTTGACCGAGCAGTGGGTAGGGCTGGGAGCACAGACACCCTGAGGCACCTGCAGGGGCTGCACCCCCACCCCGGGCTGAGGACACAGAAGAGGTTGGGTGATGGGCATCGGAAACCAGGGGAGGGCCCGCGGGGGACATGTGGACCTGCAGGGACGCGGCGCTGAAGATTGTGGAGGGGCCCATACAGCCTGACTCCAGAAATGGGAACAAGCCGCGTCCTCCCAGTGAGGAAGCCGTGCTGGGATGACGGCCTGGGAAGCAGCCTCTCCCTCCCTCCCCCAGATTCTCCCGCCCACTTGGGCAGACAGAGACTGGGACTGGGACGTCGGGGTCTAGGCCTGGCCCTGCAGAGCACAGCACGCGGTCACCTCACACCGGACTCAGACCCTCCGGCCCAGGCCTTGAGCCTCCCTGGGACACTCAAGGAACCGATGACAGTGGGGCCTGGCTCTCACCTGCCCAGTGAACCTGAAGGTCATGGCAGCCCGTCTGGGGATGAGCCTGTCAAGAAAACAGCTTCTGGAGAAAAGAAACTTGATCAATTATCTAAAGTGAAGTTTCCTCATTTTTGTGTCTGAGTAAACCTGCAAAATACACAATATTTTACTTTAATGACCTTCTTTGAATGATATTCTGACTACAATGCTTATTCTATTTCTGGATTATTGGGCACCAAACTCAGTGGAATATTATATGGTGTCATCTCTATGATAATGTATAATATTATAAACAGTGTTGGTGTTTGCAATACTTACAAACCACGTGAAATGCTTCTATTTGTTAATGGAGAATTGTTTAGTATCCAATTAACTCACTTGAAGAAATGCCGCTGAATAAGATCCTAAAACCAGGCAAGTCCATCCGTCACTTAACTGAAGGGGAGAGTGGCTGACACGGGCCCTCCATGGAAGAGCTTTAGAGCTTCCTTCAGCCACCAAAGCACAGGCCAGCTCTTGCACTCCTTTCAGGAACCTCTAGGCAATAAAGCAACGTGGGTCTTAGAACACAAGAGTCACAAACGAGGTCCCTCACACGGTGACATTTGTCACATCGTCTTCAGAGCAACTTTTGGATCATGAGGAGGAAAGGGTACCTTCCCATTGTTGCAGAGCGAAACCGAGGCCGGGCCTGGCTGGCACCGGCATGGAGCTGGGCTGGCTCAGGGCATCACAGAGGCCTCACCTGCATCTAAGTCAATGCGGCCCACCTGAAAACTCTAAGTGTGCGGCTTCACTGCCCTTAGAGAAGGCTTCCAGCTCCACCACTGCAAGTACAGCTCCTAAAAGAGGACAGCGAATGAAGAAACGCCCAGGGACACGTATAGGCAAAAGCACAAATCCTCCTTCCATCCTGGACTGCTCAGCAGCTATCCTCAAGAAGTGAAAGGAGAAAAGCACCTTAAACGTACTATCACCAAGAGTCAGCTTGAGTCTGGAAGCTTCTCCATCACGTGCAGTCCCATTCATCCTGACAGGACACTGTGAAGGGAAGCCCAGCTGTGCAGCCTGAAGCTGGAGGGGCCGGCATAGAAGCAGGAGATGTCACCCCAGCTTTCGGCCAGGGCTCACTGCTGTGGCTGGAGTCTTCCCTACTTTTGAGGACCATTTCCTAACTTGCAGAGTGTTTTCCTTCACATCAATTCATTTGCTTCATTCAAGCGCCTCCTGAGATGAGCAAGGCAAATCGTGTTCCTTCTTACAAAAGAGAAAGCAGAAACAACTTCCCAAGGTTCCACAGACAGGCAGTTCAAGAAACCTCAGCTGCACCTGCCTTCCTTTCAAGCCTGAGGGTCTCAGCTGCTGATATTTAGCCTACTGGGTTGAGATTTGCATTAAGGAAATTAAGTTACATTTTCTTTCCTTTTTTTTTTTTCCCAGACAGAGTCTCACTCTTGTTGCCTGGGCTGGAGTGCAATGGTGCATTCTCAGCTCACTGCAACCTCCGCCTCCCGGGTTCAAGTGATTATCCTGCCTCAGCCTCCTGAGTAGCTGGGATTACAGGTGCCAACCACCACAGCTGGCTAATTTTTGTATTTTTAGTAGATTCGGGGTTTCACCATGTTGGCCAGGTTGGTCTCAAACTCCTGACCTCAGGTGATCTGCCCACCTCAGACTCCTAAACTGCTGGGATTACAGGCATGAGCCACCGCGCCCGGCAAGTTACATTTTCATTTTCAAAAGTTTCCCCAGTGTAAGTCTTGCAGGAACAGTGAGGCCAACAGGGATGCGGGAAGGGCCTGATGGTGCGCCCTCACCCTGGTCCAAACAGCTCATCCGATGTGCTTAGTGTGCACGTCCGCCAGGAGCCTTCACTAGCTGGGTTAAGACTGTAAGCAGGCTTAGTTTTTCTCCCAAGCGCAAAAGCTAAAAAGAGTACCTGTGATATTTTCACTCAAAATTTAAGAGATGTCTCAGCATTTCTGGTTCTTCTAAAGAAAGCCATGCCTGGCTCCAGCAGCAGGCTCTGCTGCATCTCCTGGGTCATACTAAGGGCTTCACCTGCAGGTTGTGTAGGCCAAATCTCAGGGAACAAGCCCTACATTGCAAAACCCTAACCAAGAGTCAGAAAACTGAAAGCATCGTTATTCTTGGGAAGGCCACCACCTGTTGAATTGCCGAGACCCTCTCAGGCAATCTCCTCTGCAGCTTTCAGTCCAATGTCTGAGTAGATCCCACCGAGCCTGCAATACCCCTTCTAGCTTCCCTAATTATAAGACGACAAACACTTCTGAGTCATCAAATAGCTGCATTCCATAACCTTCTTTTAGAAATCCTGTAATAGGGCCCTGGGATTTAGTTGGCTTCTGTATTAACGTGGGTTCCTCCAGTCAGCAATATATTTTTAGGGCTCTGTCACACACAATGAAGACAGCTTGCTTTTAGTAACATATAATTAGTGTAACCAGAAAAACCTTAGAAAATAATGCTCGGAGCTTCAAAGTGGATGCAGATTTATCAGCAGAATTTTAAAAGAAACTCACTCCTTTCAGAGTCTATTCGTCAGGAGTCATCTCTGCACTGTGTCATGCGGTTGACAGATCTTCACCTGACACAGGCCCCCACCACGAAGCAGCACCGGCTTCTACCTACAGTGCCAGGCCAGGACCCATCCCATCGTGTGTGCAAGCCTCTATCAGGCACCCTCACCCTGCTGGTGCCTAAAGGGAAACCAAAGTGGAGAGAATACTCCAGGCCTGGGCACAAGGTGTCAATGTCCCAGGCTCCCAAGTTGGCTGTTTTTAAAGAAGGATGACCAGACATACCCACGTTGCAGGTGCCCCTTTAGCCTCTAAGTGAATCATGACCCAAACCCATCCAACTAGATGCAATGTGTCCAGTGGACCCACACGGTGGTTGCAGGGCGGGTGGGCTTGCGGACAGAGCAGGTGCTGAGGCCAGGAGCCTCAGCCTCACCACTTGCCTGGGCTGGCTGCTTCAGAGCACAGAAGTGACCCGTCACCTGTCTGGACAGTGGTCGGATTCCCAATGTGCCCATGTTCTTCCGTCGCATGCATTTTTGTCAGACGGTCTATGGTTTTCAAAAGTGAATCTTTCCCTTGCAGGAGAAGTTCCGGTAGGACAAGGCTGTGCTGACACGTGGCCTTTCCCAGGGCCCTTCGCAGGAGATAAAACCCTCATTAGGGAACAACCTTTGCGCCATGTGATGTGGTGCCAGGAAGGGCACTTCTCAGCTGTGACGTCATGCCGTCTTATGTATGTTTGTGTTGGCTCCCTGTAGAATTCATTCCCTTTTTAGCCGTTTCTTTGTATTCTCTATTTATACTTAAGATTGCTTTAAGGCGAAGGAAAGATCTGTCCTGGATATGCCATGTGGTTTTGACTAAACAAAGCATTTTTAAAAGTCAGTAAACTAGGAGTTAGGGTGAGCTCTGAAAGAAACTTTTGTGAGTGCTCAGCGTGAACTCAGTTATAATTTATTCTTTTCTTATTTGTTTTGTTTTCAAAATAGCACAGACGGCCCACTTGTGTTTCTTTTTCACTTCCACTCCAACAGAGATATGTTGTTTCCCAACAGCTTTTTCTTCTTCAACTTCTCATTCCCAAAAAGGCAGAAATAAGAAAAGAGCTAGAACTTCAAGATAAATCCCAGAGTAAATAACTGGCACGGGCTCCTCAAGGATGCGCTCAGCCGGGGGCCTCGAAGCTGAGCCCCTCCCGGGCTTCCCTGATGCCTGCCCCGCAACCAGCTCCCCTCTCTGGCCTCGCCTTTCCTACCTCGGCCTTCTTAAGGCCTCAGTGCAAACGCTGGACCTGACCCTCTGTGACTGGAACCGCACAGCTCCGCTCTGTTTGGAGCGTGGCCATGTGCGTGCTCGGCTTGTGTTGAGCGCAGTGTGAACACAGAGGCTCCTCCACCCGTGGCTCCAAATGGCCCTGTTTTGTCCCCTAATCACACCCTGATATCTTCTGAGGTCTGCAAAATTTCAGAAGACAGAGACCCCGGACACTCTAGAGAATTCCCTCCCGGGACCACGGAATAGTGTTATATTTGCAAATAGCTATAAATGAATATTATCTGCTCAGTTTCCTTATTTGCAGACTGAAGTTCAAAAAATAGGTAGTTATGACAGGTGCTAATTTGGAAGTGTGTCGGATACTCAATACATTCTTATTTGATTGAAAAGTATTCGCTTGAAAATTAAAAAAAAAACCTTGGGAGAATTATATATCCATTGTTGTTGATTCTGAAAAACTTAGATTGTTCTAAGAGTTTAGTAACTCTAGGGAACAAGTAAGATGTGCCAGCATCGCAGAAACATCTATCAGATCAACCAGAGTTCTCCAGAGAAGTAAATCCAATAGAATGTGTGTGTGTGTGTGTCTGTGTATATGTTTGTGTGTGTGTATACATATACACACACACACACACACGTCTGTTACACACCACATAACAAGGTCTTGGTGAGCAACAGTCCATATATATGACAGTAGTCCCATAAGATTATACTACTATATTTTTACATATTTTTTCTATGTTTAAATATATTTAGTTTAATATATATATTCCATGTTTAAATATATTTGTATAAATATATATTTATACAAATACCTACCATTGTGTTACAATTGCCTGCAGCACTCAGGACAGTCACATGCTACACTGGATTGTAGCCTAGGAGTCCTAGATTAAATTATACAGCCTAGAGGTGTAGTAGGCTGTACCATTTAGGTTGTCTAAGTGCACTCTCTGATGTTGGCATAAAGATAAAATCGCAATGCACATTTCTCAGAAAACATTCCAGTCATTTATATTTATATATATAATTATACATATATGTATATATGTATATATGTTTATATATTTATATATACATTTTTATATATGTTTACCTATAGTATATATTATATGTGTACATGTATATGTAGTATATATATCTGTGTGTATGTGTGGGTGCATTTAGTTTGCTCTAAACTAAATCTTAGAAATGTAACAAATTAGGCTTAATCTCTGCCTTCAAAGGTGAAAATCACCTGAACCCAAAGGCAGTGGAGTGAGGTCATGCTGGAGGGGTGGGGACGTCAGACGTGGAGGATGAAACAAGCCCTGTTCCTGGGAGGACCTCCTGGGTGTGGGGCTCAGGCTGAACCTCAAGGGTAAGTGAGGGTGAGCACACGGGCAGCAGAAACAGCCAGGACGGATGTTGATTTCAGCAGGTGAAGTGCAGCCTCGTCCCTGTACCTGGAAGAGGACACCTGTCAGAGGGAAGCATGGTGCCTGGTGCCACAGAAGCGTCTGCCTCTGAGAGGTGTGTGCAGTGCTTCATAGGGGGTAATATGGAGCACTACAAAAGAGGAAAAAGAACCCCAGAGTGACCTATAATAGTTCAACAGTAGCTGGACTGATTTGTGCTCTGTGAAAGAGTCACCAAAGACAATGATGAGTGCGAATGTTGAAGAAGAGATGACCGGAAGGGCGTGACACCTTGACACAGCCTTATTGTCACTGTGAATCCCACAATAATCCCACAGGGTGCAGCTTTGTATTTCCCAAAACACTTTGTTAATCCAGAACACCAGAGGACGCTATATTCCCTTTTACAGGGGAGAAAACTGAGGTTCAAGAGAGTCCAGTGTCTTCTCCAAAACCACGTCACTGAGGGGTCATGAATCCCTCAACAGAACCAAAGATGCCTAACACTTGGCTTGAGAGTCCGATATTTTAAGAGGGAAACAGAGTGGATCTAACCTGTATTCTCCCCCCAAGGAAAATTTTTGCCAATAAGTGAAAGTAACAAAAAAGCAAATGTTGGCTTGATAGAAGAAAACATTTTGAAACCATTAGAATTCTTTAGAATCCTTGGAATGGGCCAGTTTTTAAAGAGGCTCATAGAAGAACTCTAATGTGGTTTTTACAATTGTAGAGGTGTCATAGCAAGAGTTCAAGTCCAGTTTAAATTTTAGAATTATCTATGTATTTAAAAATTTGTCCCGATGGATATATTTAATAAATTACATGCCAGATATTAAGATACCTGTAGACAGGTTGTTTCCAGAATAGCTCATTCTTCATTTGACCAAGGTCTGGGAAAAACCTTCCAATATAAATGGCCCCTGGGATGCAACCTGGAATCCAACTAGTTATAAGAGTCTTGCAGGCAATTCTCCTGTCAGGGATATTAGCAATCTGAGCTTTTCCTCCAACTTACTGTAAACACGCTTTTTAAAAATTAACTTCTACTTAAAGAAGTATTACCAGCTAGCATGTTGAGAGAAATAAACTAATAAAAGAACATATGTTTTGCTTAAAGCTCCTAAAAGTAGTAAGCAATAAAACACATGACCTAAAGTTCTCTATTCCTTCTATTTTTCACATTTTAAATGAATGAATTCCACCTGGTATCTGCTGGATGTCACCACACCATAAAGTGACCACAGACCTCTGAGACAGCCTGTGAAACAGTCAACAGGGTCAGACACGTCCTGGAAACAAATGTGGCCTCTGGCACAGCTCGAGATCCACAGGTGACTTATCGCTGCTGACAGCAGTTAGCAGGAGGGGCCCAGAGCTGCAGCCCTCAGGAAACCCAGCCGCATTGAGGCACGAAAGATTGGCTTCATCCTTTGGATTTAGTATCAAAACTGGGATTAAAAAAATGTGGTGTGGAGGTTAATTGGTTAGGTGGACAGAAAGGTCATCCTTAAATAGGGACTTTTTGTCAATAAAGTTTGGCTTCAAGATGTGGAGAAAATCGTATTTTGGGGATTTAGTGCTAGCAAAAACAAGAGCTAGCTCGATAGACAGCAGAGGCATCAAAGATGGGCTCTGAGACATCTTTCTGCCAAATATTCTTCCTCATCACTCCAGGGACTGCTTTTTCTAGGGAGAAATGAGATTTTGCTTCCTACGGCAGCCAGGAGTTTTCTTGTTCTACGAAAAAGAAAGGGATTTCAGTATTCACAGTTGCTCTTATGGATTTCTTAACAACACCCTAAAAAAATAAGTTGCAAAAGAAAAAAGAAAATAAAGAAATGGGGGCAGCCTACATTTCAGGCAAAGGAAAATTAATAATTACAATTCCCCAGAATTTAAGGTTGTATCTGTGCCTGCGCAGGTCCACGACTATCACCCTTCATGCCTGTCTACGAAAATGGTTTGTTCTGGAAGTTTCCTTCAGACCAGCTGACCACCCCAATTTGCACACACTGAGGGTGGGGTCTGCATCCTACTCTTCTTCTATCAGACTCTCTGCAGCACATTTTTTTTTTTTTTGAGACGGAGTCTCGCTCTGTCGCCCAGGCTGGAGTGCAGTGGCGCGATCTCCGCTCACTGCAAGCTCCGCCTCCCGGGTTCACGCCATTCTCCTGCCTCAGCCTCCCGGGTAGCTGGGACTACAGGCGCCCGCTACCACGCCCGGCTAATTTTTTGTATTTTTAGTAGAGACGGGGTTTCACCGTGTTAGCCAGGATGGTCTCGATCTCCTGATCTCGTGATCCGCCGCCTCGGCCTCTCAAAGTGCTGGGATTACAGGCGTGAGCCACCGCGCCCGGCCCTCTCTGCAGCACATTTAAGATCAGCAGCATTTCAGATCCACGGTGGTCAGAGGTCCTGGCATGCCTTGGAACACACATCCTTCTGATCAGGAGGTTCAGCTCCATCTCTTTACAGGCTTACAAGGTGAGTCCAGGGACAGGGCGATCAGTCACCAGTCACATTGCTATGCAGAGGCAGAAGCAGCACTGAAGCTCAGGTCTCCTAGTTTATTATCACATCCCCTGTGTGTCTCCAGAAGCCACGACAGTTCATGGGCTGAGATTCCTGTCTGTATTTCTGTGTGGCGAACACTTTGCTGCTCTCCTCACTCCCTGCAGGTCGGGGCCGCAGATCTGCCTTGTGGAGAAGTCCGCTGGAGTCTCACCCTTACATGTGCCTCCAGATAGTTTCTAGTATGCACCAGTTTTGTCTGGAGAATAATGTCTTGCTGTTCTTATTTAAGTGGAAAATAATTAACTTCCTAAATGTTTATTTAACTTCAAGCTGCATTAGTTAGAGCTCATTAAAATATTTAGGATAAACTGACAAGCTGGAATCTTAAGAATTATTGACTTTAAAATGCATTCACCATTAAATACAAATGTTGTATACCCTATGCAAGCATAACATTATCTAACAAAATGTTCAAACACCTTTCACTAACCTCCTGTTATTGAAGCTGTACACTTTTTCATGATGCCAACACCATGGGAGGATATATGCTTACACTGGAAAAGGTACAATAAATAATTTTTATAGTTGTACCTCCAAATTCTGAAAAGCACACTTTTTATTAAGCAAATATTAGTTTACCTGACATCCAAATGACACCACTAAGGAGCTACTAAGGATTCCCTGGGGAAATGGCTGACTCCACGACTGGGGCTGGACATGGAAAAGATGAGTCTGTGATGCCTTGTCATGCAAACAAGAAAGGATGCCACACTAGGACTATGTCCAAAGGACAAGAGTGCCAGCGCAGGGGCTCCCACTGGACAAATATGGGCAATCGTAGCACGGGGTGACGCTGGAAGGGGCCTTGCCGATCCCCACTTGAGACCCCACCCAGCTCTTTCTCCAAAGCACCTGCTTCTCACAGCATCTGGTCAAGTCCCCTGTGCTTCAGGGGCACCTGTGTCTTCTTCCATCTCCAGCACACCTCCCTGAACTGGGATGCTTGTTCATGTCCTTTCTCTCCACCATGAAAATACAACTGGTTAACAGTAGGAGCTGTGTCTTATACGTCACTGATTCTTGGTTGCTAGGATAGTACTTTGCTCATGTTATGTGATCAATGAATATTTAAAGATCAATAAAGATCAATCTGCACGTTGACTGCATCTCCATGACTGGGATGCAGAAGTTCCAAGGAGTCGCAGCTATAGAATAAATTGAAGGGTATTGTTTCCTTCCTGTTAAGATTTTTTTGTGTGTATTCAATGATGACGTGAGCTGGTCTAGCAGTCAGTAGTGCAAATCTCACTGCTAAGATGACGCTTACTGTTGAATACAAGAAGAAAAGGATGTCCTAGTTTACATGCAGAAAATCAATGTTCCTGGGCTCTTGTGGGACTCTGAGAAGCCTGTAAAGGGCGTCCAGGGCTGAGTCTGCATCCTCCAGTGCACAGCCACACCAGCACTGTAAGCATTTTATTCTCAAGTCATAGTGACATTTTTAATGTCTACAGATGTGTGCCATGATGAAATGGTCCATATGACATTTACCCATCATGGTGGTCAATAAGCTACAGCCAAAATTAATTTAAAAGAAAAAGTGAGTGGCCACAGAACTTTTTAGCTAAAAGGGGAAGAATTAAAGAAAAACAAGTTTAAGTAAGCTTTGTAGTACAAAACCCTCTCGCTGGTGAGGTCTTGGACAAGAGTAGCAGGGAAGGTGCCACGTTAGGGGTAGGTGGAGGCTGTGGTTTGGTGTTTGATTTGAGCCTGAAACCAGACATTTAGTGGTGGAAAACATCACTAAATAGGCCACTTCATTTTTGTTGCCCCCAAGTCCAGCCATCTGAAGTCTGTTATGCAGACCCAGCCACAATTATTAACTCCATCCTCAGAGATATATATATATATATTTTTTTTTTAAAAAAGCAAAATTTATTGAAGCTTCTCTCAAGGGGATTTATGTTCAAATCTTGTATCATTTTGGAGCTCTCTTCTGAAACTTCCATAAGCTCTCCATGTTGTGCTCATTTTTTTTTCTCATTCTATTATACCTGTCAAACTCAGCTCCATCATAAGTAGTTGTGACAGTCAAAAAACGAAATCAAAAAACGAAAAAAAAGAGACCCTTCAAGATTCAAAGCATGAAAGCCTGAGTCTCTCAGGTTATATCTGCAAGAGCCTTGCAGCAGGGCAATCTTTGTGTTAAACAACCAAAACTGTGACATGTAAGTGGGGACAGATGCCTAACTTTAGGATATAATAAATGTTCAGCAATCCTGCTCCAAATCTGCAGTGCATACAAGTAGCATTCGAGGTCAGTTTTCAAAATGCCCCCTAATTCTTTCATGACAATACGTCACTTTACCAACAACCCTAACAAAAACAGTTAGCTGCCCTCATATCACACAAATCCCAGAGGCAAACAGAATGATTTCATGCATAACATAAACAGCCACTTAGAGAATAAAGTCAAATCATGTAAAACTACGTTGAAGAAACAGCCACAATTGGGGGCTAACAATTTCCATCCATGGAAATAGTTTTCTACCCTATAGTAACGCACAAATGGTAACACCACAAATCCAAGTGTGAGCTGTAATAGCCAAGAAAGAGAATTCCCTTTCAAAGCTTGTGGTTCTCCACCCCTTACCCTGTGTTTAATAAAGAAATGGTTGTATAAGAAAATGACACCAGGCACAACTGAAATTATGAGACACAAGTCAAGCCCAGTGGTAATGCTGGGGCCAGCTGCTGGTAGCCAAGACGGCTGTTGGATCACCCAAAAATGGCAAGTGAAAGGGACTTCTTTTCCTTTGCCCCTCGAACTGTTCAATGAATCAGCCGCCACTCTGTTAAAACATGTGCAAGTCAGCCACTGTAAGAAAGCAAAACCACAGTGAAAGGGTGAAACAGGATGAAGTGAAAAGCAACAGATTAGACAACACGTAAACTATAGCACGGTTTTTACTTACATCACGCTTCAGTTTCAAGTGAATAAAATCTGAATATCTTGTGCTCACTTCGGCAGCATGTATAGTAACATCCGAATATTCCCAGGAGAAAATGTTTCAAAAACAATGAGCTGGCAAAAAATGGAGACAATAAACACAACAATTCTCATCTTAGAAATTATTCTATGTAATTTTTTTTTAAATGATTGTTTCAGTCCATTAAAGTCATTGATCTTTTGCAAACAAGCACCCAGAACTACCTGGGTGATTTAGACCATGTGGACCTCACTCACTCCTTTTTCCTGCTCTTCCTCACAGAGACAGATGTTAATTGTTCTATGAAATCAAAATATATCATTGCTTATAGTATTCAACAAGGTAATTACTAGTCATTTCTAGAACAAGATGCTAGTTGGAGAAAGGGTAAGGAAGCAAGTAGACTGTTCAGAGGGACTGTTTATGGGACAACCATGGTGATGTCTTTGCCGGGGGTGTCTGCCCCACTCAAGGGTGCTTATCCCTGGGGCCCCCACACCCTCAGGATGCAGAAACTCTCACTGATTTCTTTAACAGTGATACTTCAGATAACAAGATGCTTTCCTCTGATAATTCCTATGACAGCTTCATGTTACTCCTTAGAAACAGTGACATGTGATACAACCTCAAACATAATCATAGCACACACAGCCATTCTCTAAAACAAAGGTTAAGGGATTGAACATGCAGGCTTTCCCCACATTTCCAGTGTCCAAGGTTGTTAGCCCTTTGGAAAGTGACCTCCCTTCAAAAACCTAATACCAGAGACTAGAGCATGACGACGACAAGGAGGCTCTCAGAGGCTTATGTGGGCTCAGAAATCCACACTAAACTGTTAGATAAAAGGATTTGCTTTGCTTTGCTTTGTTTTGACGTTGTGCTATTTCCCACTAGCAAGTGTATAAACCTTGTGTTTTATTAAACTGGTTCCTGCCAATCCAAAGTATGGCAAGAAAGAATTACAAGGTCTCCGTTCCTAAAGAAAGTTTTATTTTGAAGAAGGCACGTCTGTGTGGTGGAATGCAAAGGGGACTCCTTGAACTGAGAGAGGCGTCTACAGGCAGGGACACAGCCCATCTGGGAAGAAACCAGTTGACTCACAGAATGGTGAGGATGAAGAGCGCTGGGCCTGGAACCAGAAAACCAGCTCAAGTGGCCCCAGACAATGTGAGGTAATTAGGATCGTTACTAAAAATCTTCCAGGGGATAATGCCACACTCACCATGTTGTGCTCATAGCTCCCACCCCGCTGCTTGGAGCAGAGACGTGCAGGTGTCCGTTCGCCCCATGAGACAGAAGGCACAGATGAAGTGGCAGCGTGACCCAACAGGGTCCCAGGACCTGGTACTGTGCCTGGCACTCAGGCACTGGCGGAATGAATAGGGCAGTGTATGGAAGAGATGGGCACCATGTGATGAGTTTTCCACTGGTCATGGCTAAGGGGCAGATGGGGCAGCTGCTGAAATGACAAACGGGGGCCAGGCACACCATGAACAGGAGAGTGTGTGTGTGTGTGTGTGTGCGCGCGCTAGAGTGAGAGTGTGTGTGTGAGTGTATGAGCATGTGTGCTAGAGTATGTGTTTGTGTGTGAGCATATGAGTGTGTGTTTGGGCATATGTGTGTGTGCTAGAGTATGAGTGTGTGTATGTATGTGTGCATGTGAGTGTAGGGGGTTGAGAGTGTGAGATATGAGTGTGTATATGTGTGTGAGGATGTATGTGTGTGAATGTATGGGTGTGTGTGAGTACATGTGTGTGAGTGTATAAGTGTAAGTGTGAGTGTATGTGAGAGTGGATAAGTGTGTGTATGTGTGTGTATATGTGTGAGTGTATGAGACTGTGTATGCATGAATGTGTGAGTGTATGTGTGGGAGTATGAGAGTGTATGTGTAAGAGTGAATGAGTGTATGAGTGTGTGTATATGAGGCTGTGTGAATGTGTGAGTGTGTGTGTGAGTGTAACAGTGTGTGTGAGTGTGTGTATGTGTGTGAGGGTAGTTGGGTGTATTTGTGTGAGTGTATGGGTGTGAGTGCGTGTGTGTGAGTGTATAAGTTTAAGTGTGTGTGTGAGTGGATGAGTGTGTGTGAGTAAATGAGTCTGTGTGTATGAATGTGTGAGTGTATGAGTGTGTGTGAGTGTATGAGTGTGTGAGTGGATGTGTGTGTATGTGTGTATGAGGCTGTGTGTGCATGTGAATGTGTGAGTGTATGAGTGTGTGTTTGTAAGTGTGAGAGAGAAAGAGTGTGTGTGTATATGTGTGTGTGTGTTTTGTGCTGGCCTGCACCAGCCATGCTGCTCCACGAGAAGGGAGTGGTCCCAGCTCTGTGCCCCCCACTCACCGCCCAATCCAAAGGTGTCTGCAGCATCACACGCTCTCCCACCCCAGCTCCCGGTATACGGAGAAGGAAACCGCCTCTCTTTCCAGCTCCCAGCAGAGCTGTCTCGTCCTGACACATGGCCAGATGCTCATAACCCTGAACTGGGAGGGTCACAGAAACCAATAAGCCTTCTCCAGGGTGGCTTAGAGCTGTGTCCCTGTTCCGGCACCACTCCTTTGGTGCATTGAGGTTGGAATAGTGACTGTGTTGACTTGAGGTTGATTCTGCAGAGCTTCCAGCACTCACATGCACTTCTGACTTTAACGCTTCTTGCTGCCTAATTTTCTTCCAGATTTCACTGGTGGTTGCTCCTGATTTACAGCACAACTTCTTATGCAATACCAGAACCTCATGGCTACAACCACGTGCAGTCTCTGAAATGTGAATGCATTCTCAGGGCAGCTGTTTTCTCCATCCAGCTTCTTGAAGAAACTCCTTGGGTGGAAGTTGGGTGCACTGAGCCCAGGTCTCACAATGATGCTATGGGATGGATTGAAGAGAAAACCAGGAGTGGAGAAGATTTTACCCCAGGTTCCAGGAGGGCAGTGACCCACAGACCTTGCCTGGAGAAGGGTACCTGCCTGGTGAGGCTGAGCACAGGCTCCTGTGGCCCCTGAGCTGCACTTGGTGCTGATGCAGGAATTGCTACAGCTCTGGGCAATGCAGGTGCGATGCTTTCACAGAGCACTGTGGCCTCTCACCCAAGGCCTGGAAGTGCCACGGCAGATTCCAGGGTCATCACTGAGGTGGAGCTGTATGATATCAGACAGACCCAAGACCTGGCCAAGCCAGGGAACAGCACCAGGTGCTTCCCTCCTACCCCTAAAGATGCCAACTGTGCCTAAGCAGCTGCACCAAATACTTCTCCCCAGAGGAGACCTGCCAGTGTGCACCATCGACAGGACCAGCTGCCCATGCCACTAGGAAGGCAGCGAAAGCTATACTCTGCACCAGGGAGCCCAGCCAAGGGGCAGGAGTGCTGGAATCCAGCCCCCTCTCTCAGCTAGACATGGCCCCTTCTTTCCGATTCTCACACAGGTGCTGAGAGGCCTTGAAAGGACCACTCATGTCAGGTCCTTCCCACTCTGGGATAAGGGCAGTGAGCTTTCTGCACACTCAGGGTCCACGAAGAAGGGGACAGCCAAAGCCAGGCGGGCTCTGTCTGAGCGCTGCCACCACCTCGTCCCAGGGAGTGCATCATGTTCTATGCCAGGGACCAACAGCTCAGCTGTCGAGGCGGACAACATGAACACCTCCCCACGGTGTTATGGAGTTTCAGTTGAGCTTATAGACACAGGAAATACTGAGATGAGTCTGATGCAGGGTAAATGTTATAGAAGTGGGTGTATTAGATAAAGTACTAAAAGGTTGAGGCAGGGGCCCCTGATATCTGAAAACTGGCCACTCCCTGTGTAAGAATTGGGGGCAAGGTGCCTTTTGACAAAGTTGTTGATAAAAGGAAGGGAAAATTTAAAAAAAAATGAACATTGACCTGGAAAGAAAACTTCATAAGGGGTCGTAAGGGGGAAGTTCATTCTGCAGGGGTTTTGCCAGGGATTGGAGCCTATTTGAGGCCATAGAAGGGTCCCTGTCAGGGACAGGAGTGAAAATGAAGAAGACGGAGGCAGGCAGGGCAGTTTAAAACGGCGGAGAAAGGAAGTTAGGGCACCCTATGTGGCTAATATCAGTGCAGGGTCCGTGCCTGTGTCCGGGAAGATTTGTGAAGCCGAGGACTCTTCAGCCTCAAGATTTCTTTCCTAGTGCCTGGGAGGGAACCCCACAATACCATCTCCTTTTCCTTCATGCCCGCCCCCCCATTCATGTGAATCTTGGATGCCACAAAGCCTGGTGCACCCTGCAGCCCTGGTGTCCCACATTTGACTTAAGACTCTCTTCCAGACAGGAACAGCGGCTCACCCTTGCAATCCCACACTTTGGGAGGCCAAGATGGGTGGCTCAGTTGAGGCCAAGAGTTTGAGACTAGCCTGGGAAACATAGTGAAACCCCATCTCTACCAAAACTACAAAAATTAGCTGGATGTCATGGTACATTCCTATAATCCCAGCTACTCCGGAGACTGGGTCAGGAGAATCACTTGAACTCGGGAGGTAGAGGTTGCGGTGAGCTGAGATCGTGACACTGCACTTCAGCCTGGAAAACAGAGTGAGACTCCATAAAAAAAAAAAAAGACTCTTTTCTGATAAATAAAGATAATTTTAAAGAAATACCTACAGGGAGGGGCCAAGATGCCTGGCTAGAAACAGCTGCAGGCGGAGATTTTATCGAGAAGAACACAAACAGTGAGTGAATCCTGCGCCAGCAACTGAGGTATCCAGGCTCTCTCATTGGGACTGACTAGGCAGCTGGCACGAGCTGCGGGGAGTGAGGAAAAGCAGGGTGGTGCAATGGCCCACCTGGGAGCCACATGAGCAAAAGGGGTTCCCACTCCAAGCCAAGGGCGGCGGTGGGTGATTGTGCTACCCTGCCTGGGAAACCACACTTTTTCCACGGATCAGTGCAAACGTGGATCTGGAGATCCCCCTTGTGAGCCCACGACACCAGGGCCTTGGGTCTCAGGCACAGAGCTGTGCAGATTCTAGGCAGCCACTCAGCTGAAGATTGCCTAAGACTACCAAGTTCCCAGGGGGAGGAGCAGCCGCCATCACTGGGGATGGCTGCTGCCTAAGACGACTAAGCTCCTTGGGGAAGGGGTGATCGCCATCACTGTAGCTCCAGTCTGCCATTTTTCTCCTGCTGGTGCCAGGGAGATTGGACAGTTTGGACTCAGGAGGAATTAGTGGCTGTGGTGGGTTGTGGCCAGACAACCTCTTTAGGCTGGACTTTGACCCATACCTCCTCAAAGTGTGGAGCCTCCCTGCAGGAATTTCTGCAAATCCAGCCCGGGTTTTAGGGACAGAACTCTGATCTCCCTGGGACTGAGCTCCTGGGGGAAGGGGCTGCCGTGGTCTCCATGGATCAGCAGACTTGCTCTTTCCCCTGCTGGCTCTGAGGAATCCAGGCAGCCTGGACGAGTGGGATTGCCCCCAATGCAGTGCACTCCCTCCGCCAAGGGGCAGCCAGAGTGCTTCGTTAAGGAGGTCCTGATCCTGTGCCTCCTGACCGGGTGAGACCCCCAAAACAGTGGTTTCCAGACACCAAATACAGGAGAGTTCCTGCTGGCATCAGGTCGGTGCCCCTCAGGGACAGAAACCCGAGAGGAAGGAGCAGGCAGCCATTGTTGCTGTTCTGCAGCCTCCACTGGTAAAACCTCCAGGTATGGGAGGGAACCAGGTGAATAGGGTCTGGAGTGGACCCCCAGCAAACCATAGCATCCCTAAGGAAGGGGAGCCTGGCTGTTAAAAGAAAAACAAACAAATAGAAAGCAACAACAACAGCATCAACAATAAAGTCCCCACAAAAACCCCATCCAAAGGTCAGCAGTCTCAAAGATCAAAGGTAGATAAACTCATGAAGATGAAAAAGAATCAATGAAAAAATGCAGAAAACTCAAAAAGCTAGGGTGCCCCTTCTCCAAATGATTGCAACACCTCTTCAGCAAAGGCACAGGACAGGGCAGAGGCTGAGATGGATAAACTGACAGAAGCAGGCTTTAGAAGGTGGGTAATAATGAACTATGCTGAGCTAAAGGAGCATGTTCTAATCCAATGCAAAGAAGTTAAGAACCATGATAAAACGTTACAGGAGTTGTTAACCGAAATAACCAGTTTAGAGAGTAACATAAATAACCTGATGGAGCTGAACAACACAGAACAGGAACTTTGCAATGTGACCACAGGTATCAATAACCAAATAGATGAAGCAAAGGTAAGAATTTCAGAGCTTAAAGACTATCTTGCTGAAATAAGACAAGCAGAAAAGATTAGAGAAAAAAATGAAAAGGAATGAACAAAACCTTTGAGAACTATGGGATTATGTAAAAAGACTGTACATAAGACTGATTGAGGTACTCAAAATAGATGGTGAGAATGGAACAAAGTTGGAAAACCTACTTCGGGATATCATCCAGAACTTCCCCAACCTAACAAGATAGGCCAATGTTCAAATTCAGGAAACCCAGATAACCTCAGTGATCTGGTTTGGATGTGTCCCCACACAAATATAATCTTGAATTGTAGCTTTCATAATCCTCACATGTCATGGGAGGGACCCAGTAGAAGGAAATTGAATCACAGGGGCAGGTTTTTCCTATGCTGTTCTTGCGATAGTGAATAAGTCTCATGAGATCTGATGGTTTTATGAAGGGCAGTTCCCCAGCACATGCTGTCTTGCCTGCTGCAATGTAGAGACATGCCTTTGCTCCTCCTTTACTTCCACCATGATTGTGAGGCTTCCCCAGCCATGTGGAACTGTGAGTCACTTAAACTTCTTTTTCTTTTTAAATTACAGAGTCTCGGGTATATCTTTATAGAAGTATAAAAAGGTACTAATACACCCAGTGAGATAATCCATGAGAAATCAACACCAAAACACATAATCATCAGATTCTCCAAGATCAAAATGGAGGAAAAAAATGTTTGTAGCCAGAAAGAAAGGCCAGGTCACCTACAAAGGAAAGCCTATCAGACTAACAGAAGACCTACAAGCCAGAAGAGATTGAAGGCCAATATTCAACATTCTTAAAGAAAAGAATTTTTAACCCAGAATTTATATCCAGCCAAACTAAGCTTCATAAGCAAAGGAGAAATAAAATCTGTTTCAGACAAGCAAATGCTGAGGGAATTCATCATCACCAGGCCTGCCTTGCCAGAGCTCCTAAAGGAAGCACTAAATATGAAAAGGAAAAATCATTGCCAGCCACTGCAAAGCCACACTGAAGTACAGAGACTAATAGCGCTATGGAGCAACTATATAAACAAGTCTGCAAAATAACCAACTAGCATCATGATGACAGGATCAAATTCACACATAACAATATTAACCTTAAAGGTAAATGAGATAAATGCCCCAACTAAAAGACACAGAATGGCAAGAGGAATAAAGAGTCAAGACCCATTGGTGTACTGTATTCAAGAGATCCATATCACATGCAAAGACACACACATGCTCAAAATAAAGGGATGGAGAAAAATTTACAAAGCAAATGGAAGGCAGAAAAAAGCAGGTGTTGCAATCCTAGTTTCTGACCAAAAGACTTTAAACCAACAAAGAAAGACAAAGAAGGGCATAACATAATGCAGGGGATCAATGCAACAAGAATAGCTAACTATCCTAAATGTATATGTACCAAATATAGGAACACCCAGATTCATAAAACAAGTTCTTAGAGATATACAAAGAGACTTAGACTCCCACACAATAATAATGGGAGACTTTAACACCCAACTGTCAATATTAGACAGATCATTGAGGCAGAAAATTAACAAGAATATTTAGGACCTGAGCTCAGCTCTGGATCAAATGGACCGATAGATATCCACAGAAGTCTCCACCCAAAAACAACAGAATATATATTCTTCTAGGCATCACATAGCACTTACTCTAAAATTGATTAAATTATTGGAAGTAAAACACTCCTCAGCAAATGCAAAAGAATTGAAATCATAACAAACAGTCTCTCTCAGACCACAGCACAATCAAATTAGAACTCAAGATTAAGAAACTCAAAACCACACAACAACATGGAAATTGAACAACCTGCTCCTGAATGACTTCTGGGTAAATAACAAAATTAAGGCAGAAATCAAGAAGTTATTTTGAACCAATGAGAACAAAGAGACAACATACCAGAATCTCTGGGATGCACCCAAAAAAAGGGTTAAGAGGGAAATTTATAGCCCAAAATGCCCACATCAAAAAGCTGGAAAGATATCAAATCGACACGCTAACATAACAACTAAAAGAACTAGAGAAGCCAGAGCAAACGAACCCCAAAGCTAGCAGAAGACAAGAAATAACAAAGATCAGAGCTGAACTAAAAGAGATAGAGATATGAAAACCCCTTCAAAGAGACGATGAATCCAGGAGGTGATTTTTGAAAAAATTAATAAAATGCATAGACCACTAGATAGACTAATAAAGAACAAAAGAAAGAAGAATCAAATAGACACAATAAAAATGATAAAGGGGATATCACCACTAACCACCCAGAAATAAAAACAGCCATCAGAGAACACTGTAAATAACTCTATTGAAATAAACTAGAAAATCTAGAAGAAATTGATAGGGTATTCAAATAGGAAGAGAGGAAGTTAAATTGTCTCTGCTTGCAGATGATATGATCCTATATCTAGAAAAAACCCTCAACTCATCCCAAAAGTGTCTTAAGCTGAAAAGCAACTTCAACAAAGTGTCAGGATATAAAATCAATGTGCAAAAATCACAAGCATTCCTATACCCCAACAATGGACAGTCAGAGAGCCACGTCATGATTGAACTCCTATTCACAATTACTAAAAAAGAGAATAAAATTCCTAGGAATACAGCTATCAGGGAAGTGACAGACTTCTTCAAGAAGAATTGCAAACCACTGATCAAGGAAATCAGAAAAAAATACAAACAAATGGAAAAACATTCCATGCTCATGGATAGGAAAAATCAGTAACATGAAAATAGTCATACTGCCCAAAGTAATTTATAGATTCAATGCTAATCCTGTTAAACTAACATTGACATTTTTCACAGAATTAGAAAAAAATACTTTAAAACTCATACAGAACCAAAAAAGAGCCCAAATAGCCAAGACAATACTAAGCAAAAATAACAAAGCTGGAGGCATCATTCTACCTGACTTCAAGCTATATTACAAGGCTACAGTAACCAAAACAGCATGGTACTGGTACAAAAACAGACATATAGACCAATGGAACAAAATAGAGATCTCAGAAATAAGACTGTATATCTACAATCTTTGACAAACCTGACCAAAAAGTGCAATGGGGAAAGGATTTCCTATTTAATAAATGGTGCTGGGAAAACTGGCTAGCCATATGCAGAAAACTGAAAATGGACCCATTCCTTACACCTTGTACAAAAATTAACTCAAGATGGATTAAAGACTTACATATAAAACCCAAAACTGTAAAACCCTAGAAGAAAGCCTAGGCAGTATCATTTAGGACATAGTCACTGGCAAAGATGTCATGATGAAAACACCAAAAATAATTGCAACAAAAGCAAAAGCTGACAAATGGGATCTAATTAAACTAAAGAGCTTCTGCACAGCAAAAGAACTATCATTAGAGTGAACAGACACCCTACAAAATGGGGCTTTTTTTCATATGCTTTCTGGTCACATGGATGTCTTCTTTGTCTACAGAATGGGACAAAATTTTTGCAATCTATCCATCTGACAAAGATCTAATATCAAGAATCTCCAAGGAGCTTAAACAAATTTACAAGAAAAAAGCAGACAACCCCATTAAAAAGTGGGCAAAGGACCTGAACAGACACTTCTCAAAAAAAAAAAAAGACATTTATGTGGCCAAGAAACATGAAAAAAAACCTCAACATCACTGATCATTAGAGAAATTCAGATGAAAACCACAGTGAGACACCATCTCATGCCAGGCAGAATGGCAATTATTAGGCTGGTGCAAAAGTACTTGTGGTTTTTGCCATTACTTTTGGTGACAAAACCTGCAATTACTTTTGCACCAACCTAATATTAAGTCAAGAAACAACAGACGCTGGCAAGGTTGAGGAGTAATAGGAACATTTTTACACTGTTGGTGGGAATGTGAATTAATTCAACCATTGTGAAAGACAGTATCGCGATTTCTCAAAGACCTAGAACCAGAAATACTATTTGACCCAGCAATCCTATTACTGGGTATATGCCCAAGGTAATATAAATCATTCTATTATTAACATATATGCAGGCATACGTAACATACATTACAGCACTACTCACAATAGCAAAGTTAGAATCAACCCAAATGTCCACCAATGATAGACTGGATAGAAAATGTGGTACATATACACCATGGAATACTATGAAGCCATAAAAAAGAATGAGATCATGTCCTTTGCAGGGACATGGATGGAGCTGGAAGCCATTATCCTCAGTAAACTCACAGAGAAACAGAAAAACCACACACTGCATGTTCTCTCTTATAAGTGAGAGTGGAACAATGAGAACACATGGACAAAAGGAGGGGAACAACACACACTGGAGCCTGTTAGGGGTGTGAGATTGGAGAGAACATCAGGATATATAGCTAACGCATGTGGGGCTTAATACCTAGGTGATGGGTTGAAAGGTGCGGCAAACCACCATGGCACACATTTACCTATGTAACAAACCTGCACGTCCTGCACATGTATCCTAGAACTTAAAATAAAGTAAAATTAAATTTAAAAAAAGAAAAGAAACACATAGATGCAGGACAAGAGTGTCCTCAGAACATCTAAACTCTCAGCATGGTTTCCTGACTTTCCATATTGTAACTCACACCTTGGTTTAAATATTAGGTTATAAGGTAACATGTTTGTATAAACATCTCCTCCTGATAGTTTCAGGAACTAATGTCTCGCTAAGGACCCTGCCCCTTTAACAAGTTGTCATCTCTGTTTGCCCTCTGGGGCTGCCATAACAAAGCCCCACAGACTCTGTGGCTTCATTCACAGAAATTTATTTACAGAATTGATTTCTCACTATTCTGGAGGCTGGATGTTTAACATCCAGGGCTTGGCAAGGCTGGTCCCTTCTGAGACCTCTGTCCTTGGCTTGTTGGCGGCCATCTTCTCTCTGGGTCTTCAGAGGTCTATCACAGCGCTCTGTGTGCTAATGTCTCATTAAAAAGACATCACTGATGTTGAGCTTTTTTTCATATGCTTGCTGGTCACATGGATGTTTTCTTTTGAAAAGTGTCTGTTTATGTCCTTTGCCCACTTTTTTATGGTGTTGTTTGTTTTGTTCTCATAAATATGTTTAAGTTTCTTATAGATGCTGGGTATAAGACCTCTGTCGAATGCATAGTTTGCAAAGATTTTCTCCCGTTCTGTAGGTTGTCTGTTTACCCTGTTGATAGTTTCGTTTGCTGGATAAAGAAATGGTGGTACATATATACCATAGAATAAGCTACAGCCATAAAAAAAGAATGAGATCATGTCCTTTGCAGGGACATGAATGGAGCCGAAGGCCATTATCCTTAGCAAACTGTCACAGGAATAGAAAACCAATACTTCATGTTCTCGCTTGTAAGTGGGAGCTAAATGATGAGAACACATGGACACATAGAGGGGAACAACACACGCTGGGGCCTTTCAGAGGGTGGAGAGTGGGAGGAGGGAGGGGATCAGGAAAAATAACTAATGAGTATTGGGCTTAATACCTGGGTGATGAAATAACCTGTACAAAAAAAAAAAAAAAAAACCCATGAGGCAAGTTTACCTAAGTAACAAACCTGCGCGTGTACCCCAAACTTAAAAATTAAAAAAACAAACAAACGAAAGGACATCAGTCTCATTGGGTCAACCCTAAAGACCTTGTTTTACTTGCAGTTACCTCTTTAAAGACGCTATTTCCAAAACAGCCACACTCTGGGGTAGCCGAGGTCAGGACTCCAGCATTAGAATTTAAGGGAGCACGAGCCAGCCAGTCACAGTCTCTGTTTTCTGTTTGCTGAACCACCAGCATTTTTCCTCTCTCCCCCCGCCCTCAGCAAGAAATTATCCATAAGCAAAAGTTTCCCCTAAATGCATTGGGAGGTGAAAAGCAAAAATCCCTCTTGTGGTCCTCTTAAACAGAGCTGCAAACAAAGATCTACTCAGAAAAAGAAGGTCTCTCCTCTAAGTAATTCTTTCCTGGTTCGTTTAGCAACTGCTCCAATTCAGATACAAATTTATTTCTTTTACTGCACTTCTGGTTACAAATATATAGTTATTCTAAAACAGAACTTTAAAAATTAATAACATATTTAAGTAGAAGACTTTACAGGTTTTAAACATAAATTTAAAGTGTTTCCATGACATACGGTAATAACTTTCTGAAGTGAGAATGGAACCGCTAAGTCTAACCTGTACATAATGTAATTCATCAAGACGTATTAGCACAGCATTTATAACATATTTCAGGAGCAATATTAATATTTCATCAAATATGAAGCAAATAGCCTTTCAATCCATATATTAAAATCCTAATAGTTGCTATTACACTAGAGGCTAAAGGCAACAATAAGCCATATGGAAGTAGAACCATTCATCTCCATCAAGTGCTCATATTTTCAGAAATTATGCTGAGCCCTGGCTTCCTGACAGCTCTTGTTCCTATTACCTCGCCTGTGTTTATTGCACATCTTTATAGAAAAGTTAAAAATATTATAAGAGTGAAGTCTTAATGGAATATAACCTGGAAAATCTCTAAGTAGGAAACACGAACTCTTAGGAGAACATTGTTCCAAAGAGCAAGCCTACAGTGGAGTCCTTAGAAAGACTCAAGCCAGCCACCACCTGGAAGCAACCATTTCAGGGCTGTGAATCACAGGCTGGGGAGCAAGTGCCTTAATGTCAAGTTCAACTTCTCAATGTGGGAAGTTTATGGCAATGTGTGATCAATAAAGTCCACCCAAGGGCGGGCAGAGGGAGTCGTTAAGTAGTTATAAAAACAATTCCTAAATTAGTTTTCTACATCTGAAAAATAAAATTTAGTATGGCATGTTTTGCACTTCTTGAAATGCCATAATACTGTGCAGTGGGTTTGTTAATCTCCTGCAGGGTATGACAGGGAAAAGTTTGCCCTTTTTTTTTTTTAAGTAACATAGCTTTGGCTGGGCATGGTGGCTCATGCCTGTAATCCCAGCACTTTGGGAGGCCGAGGCGGGCAGATCACCTGAGGTCAGGAGTTAGAGACCACCCTGACCAACATGACAAAACCCCATCTCTACTAAAAATACAAAATATTAGCCGGGCATGGTGGCACACACCTGTACTCCCAACTATTCGGGAGACTGAGACAGGAGAATAATCTCTTGAACCCAGAAGGCAGAGGTTGCAGTGAGCCGAGATCATGCCACTGCACTCCAGCCTGGGCTACAGAGCGAGACTCCGTCTCAAAAAAAAATAAATAAATAAAAATGAAATACAAATAAAGTAATGTAGCTTTATGTAAAGTATGTCTTAAGTCAATCTTAAGAATTTAGTACATTTGTTTTTTATACTCATTACAAATTCATGAGCGTATGCGTAGGTGTTGTTCTGTGTCTATTCATCTTCGCAACCAAAAAGTTGGCAGTCTTCAATTTCACCACATAAAAATAAATGATGTTTATGGTAAGTCAAAGCAGCAGCAGGTAAAACTCCCTTCCCACTTTTGGATTTTTAATAGTTTGCCTCAAATGCTTAATTCTGGAATTGCATTTTTCTTGATTTTTTTAAATGCAGTTACTTTAATTCATTTAACTAATTTAACGCAGCCCTTCCAGGAATTGCACTTGAGTTGGTCCATGTATGTGTGTAAAGAACATGATGAATGGGAAAGACAGCAGGATGGGGAGGCAGGTGGACGAGGGGAAGAGCCACCGTAACCACTCACCCTCAGCTACACAACCTCCTGTTTCCACTAACATTGGTGTGGCTCAGAACATTCCTAGAATGTGTAGTTTAGAATCCTCTCCAGAGTCCACAGCATAGCAAAGGAAAAAAAAAAAATAAACATTCAGGGAGGGGCTACCCCATGCCAGATATTGTCAGAAGCACAGTCAAATCTCAATTTATTTACCCAGTACTAGAGAATTGTCTTTTGTTTTCTGCATGTTTGTTTGCTTTGATATCATGGCTTAGCTCTTATTGTTGTTGTTATATTTTACAGATGAAACAGCTGGGATTTGATGAGATTAAGTAATGTCAGTATCCTCAGTGGTTTGCAACCTCTGTGATAGAAGCTGCATTTGATTTTCGGAAATGGCAAAAGCCATTTAGAGCCAAGTCTGTTGACTGATGTGGTAACCACACTGGGGAGTTTCATAAACTCAATTTTTTAAAAAGCCGCTCTTGACGTTCTTGCTGCATGCTCACGGGGCAGTTTTGATGCCAGTTCCATGGGCAGCTCCCCGCATGTGGGGTTCTGCCTCCGTACAAAGTCTTCCCAGCTCTGTGCCTTTCCGTGGCTGGAAGGACTCTCCTGCAAGACCTGGGCCCACACTGTCTAGGCAGCAAGCCCAGGCTCCGCCTCCTCTGGTCTCCCAGGCCAGGGCTGTTTCTCATCTCCCTCATGACCCCTTGAGCTTGATCGCTGCTTCTCTGTTTCCCTTCTATTTGTTTTAATTTCTTTCTAAGTGGCACCGCTTGGATTTTCCTCCATTTTTAGAAGGTCCCTGGAGACCCATACCCTGTGCTATCTTTGAGTAAGGGATAATTTATGACCTCTAAATTCTTCCAAAGTATTATACTGAAAGATGTAATACTTCGAATATGTCAGTTCCAATATTTTCAAAAATGACTAAAAAATGTGTATGAACCCTACGACAATATAAACACACATTATGATATTTTGGATTAGAACTTCAAAAGTTTGAATTAAGGATCTTACAATGCAAACAGTTAACAGACAACTCACTTGGAGCTCCAAGTGAGCACAAAAGGATGATGCAGACACTTCTTTGGAGAATGCTTTCCTTTTCCCCCTATTCCTATTTCCCTTAGAATAATGGCAAGCAGATGGAAAAGACAAGGACCCATGCTGTCTCCTCCTGGTCCTTGCAGAAGGGAAGGTCTCTACTCTTCTAAGTCATATACACCCATGTGGTCTGAGTCACTGATATGACAATGTCATTTGTAGAGTGCAAAAAATTATTTTTCCTACCATCCTCCTAGGTTCTCCAGCTGAAGCCCTGTAGATTAGACTAACAGAAGATAGATTAACAAGAGAAAAGCACACATTCATTTAATATAATTTTTACATGACACAGAAGCCTTCATAAGGAAACAAAGACCCAAAGGCACCATTAAACTTGAGGTTTTCATACCAGGTTTCATGAAAAGTGGAAAGTTGAGGAAAGACGTGGTAAGACAAAGGGTATGCACTGGGGGAGTCCATGGGGAAGCCTAGCAAGGCCTGCTCACTAGGATTCCTCCAGGAGACCCTCTGTCTCCTGAGATAAGGATGCTCCTTCCCTCTTAGTACAGGGAAAGCATCTCTCCCATGAGGGGCTGTATCTTTTCTCAGGGGAGAAGGAGGAGGTCAGAGAATGCTACCACACCTGCTCTTCTCAAATCACTTCAGCTTAAAGTATTCAACACTTCAAGCTCTCCTATTTGTGAGTAGCAGGTTCTGAACTCTGTTGGGTCTAAGTGATCTTCAAGGACACAGTCAGAATAGTCAGCCAGCAAGGGCTCCTCTGCAGATTTCGAGTAAAAGTGGTCCCCCTTTAGAATGGCTTGGTGGAGTGTTGAGTAAGTTCCCTGGGATCTCTGTCTTTCTATCCCAAGTTAGGGATCAGAGGAGCCTGCCTCCCACCAGCTTCTTGTGAGAGGTCCTTTTCCAATCTTCTCTACCTCTACCTCAAATTCTTTTTCTCAAAATAAATAAATAAATAAAATGAGATTCCTAAGTTGAAAAATATTACTTGTAAGTCTATCTCAGACTTCACTCTTCTCATGCACATCTCTCAATGTTGGCACATTTACAGAGATGAATTTGAACTTGGGAGTAGTCTAACGTTCTGATTAAACCTTCCTACTTTATGCTGTTGACAAAAGCAGTCTTAATTTGTAAACAACATCTTCACTATGATCTTAAACCCCCAAATATCATAGATGGGAATGGAAGTCATTTGAAATATGAAGGCTTCCTGACAGTATTTCCTGACCATAGGTATAGGGTAATGCTTGTGATACTCTGAAGAGAAGTGGGATATTTAATAGTAAAATGCTCAATCTTCAAGCACCAATAGAACTTAGTGTCCTCACATCTAAAATGTGGGTGGAGGGAAGGAGAATGAGTCATCGCCAGGCAACTCCACGTCACTATCTTATCACCCCACTATCCTGAGAAGGAGCTGCAGCAGCCACTGGCTCTTCCATCACTTACTAGAAAACCACAGACTAAGAAGTAGTGAAAATTCCTTCAAGTACGAACAAAAGGACTCTCCCTTAACCGTGCTTTGTGTTTTTGTTTTGTTTTGTTTTATGTTGTTTTCCATAAAAAAATTGATGTCCTTACCAATGTTCTAGAGTCTTCCATTTCTTCGAAGAAGAACCAAGTTGAGACTGATAGACCCACACCTGCTTGCAGCATACTGGACTCTAGGGAAAGGCATTATCTTCCAGCTCCCAGTACCTGGACCACTTCACACAGAATATCCCAGGGGATATGGAAGGCATTCTGGTTCATTCTGAATCATACAAAAGTGATCAACTTACTAATGCCAACACTCTCCCTGTCCTCAAGAATCCTTGAATTTTGTTACTTGTCCTAGCAAGTTACATGGGCCAAGGTGCCCCACTCTGGGCATCACACTTCACACACTTCTACCTGTGAGGTCTGCTATTCTGTGAAAAACCACCTAAGGGGCTCACAATCAATTTAAAAAGCATCCTGTCTGACTTGAAGGTGTGTGAAAAAGTAAGACAAACATAAGGACAAGCAAATAATGAAGCTAGGCTTTGTTCATTGATAGATACCAAACTGTGCCCCAGGGGAGGAGAACACTGAGGTGTGTATTATCAGGGTTCTCCAAAGACACAGAGCCAATAGGATGGATGGATGGATAGATAGATGATAGATAGATAGATAGATAGATAGATAGATAGATAGATAGATAATAGATTTATGAATGGATGGGTGGCTAGATGGATGAATGGATGGGTAGATAGAGAATAGACACATGGATGAATGGATACATAGATGCATGGATGGATGAATGGATAGATTGTTTGATGATTGATTGATGAAAGAAAGAAAGAAGAAAGGAAGGAAGAAAATAGATAGATGCATGGATGGATTGATGGATAGATAAATAGATGGATGGGTGCATAGATGAATGGATGGATAGATAGATAGATAGATAGATAGATAGATAGATATCAAATAGATCCATGGATGGATGGATGGATGGCTAGATGAATGAATGGATGGATAGATAGAAAATAGATGCATGGATGATGGGTAGATAGATGGATAGATGAATAAATAGATGGGAGCCTGAATAGATAGATAAATGATAGATAAATAGATAGACAATAGATTCACAGATAGATGGCTAGATAGATGAATGAATGGATAGATAGAAAATAGATGCATGGATAAATGGATAGATGCATGGATGGATAGATAGATGATAGGTAGATAGATAGATAGAAAATAGATAGATGAATGGACTGATGGATGGATAAATAGGTACATAGAGAAATGGAAGAGGATATTTACTAAGGGAGTTGGCTCATGTGATTATAGGTGCTAAAGAGCCCCAAAATATGCTCTATGCTAGCTGGGGGACCAGGGAAGCCAGCAGTGTGTCTGGTTTAAATCCAAAGACCTGAGAACCTGGAGTTCTTACGTTCAAGGGCAGGAGAACATCAGAACTCCAGGTGTCCCAGCTCCAGGAAACAGAGAGCAAATTTGCCTGTCCTCTGCCTTTTCTTTGTATGCAGGCTCTCAGCTGATTGGATGGAGCCTGTCCACATAGAGGAAAGGTGAAATTTTCTTACTCAGTCCAGTGATTCAAGTGCCAGTCTCTTTGAGAAATAGTCTCACAGACATACCCAGAAATAATGTTTTGCTGGCTATCTGTGGGTCCCTTAACCCAGCCAAGTGGACACCTTTAATCAACCATGATAGGTGTGGAAGGTTTGCTGGAACAGAGTGTTTGCCTTCATCTTGAATTCATATTCTGACATAATTCCCTAGAACTCCAAAATACAGATTGCTACCATTACTCTCTCTTGACCACTGCTTCGTAGCAAGCTGTAACAGATCTTAGGTATGTTTTATTTTATCAGCTGCTCACATAACATCCTCTATGTTCCAGATAATCCTCAAAGTTCCTCCCAATTACTGAGGCCCTGAATTCTCAAAATAAGCCTGTATGATAGATAGCTATTCCAGTTTTACAGATGAGAAAACTGAGGCCCAAAGATTCATGCAGCTAGTGAGTGGAAGAGCCAGAACTCAAACCCAATCTGTCCCAACAGCAGTGCTCTCAGCTTGACACCATGGTGACATCAAACAGAGACACCCCTAGTCCAAGAATGAAATCTTGAGGGGAGAATGGATTGTCATCAAAACTTCATACCTGCTCATTGGTACATCCCAGGACAGGGTAACATGTCTGCTCTCTAAGTGTCTGCCTGTGGAAGTCAATCAGGGCAGCCCATCACAGGTCACCTGCCAAGAGTACACAGCACACTCGCTATGAGCTAAGGTGTACAAGGGCAAGTGGTCCTCTCCACTGGGCATGGAATATCGTCTTTACTTTTCATGTTTTTTAGATGACCAAAACCATAAATTTGAGTGTGAGATTTATACCTATTAGTTTGGAAGACTATTTCATTTTCTTGCCAATTATGGTCTACAGTAGATTCAAATATTGTGTGTATTCAGTGATAATACTAGATTCACCCTAGCAGATAGTCTGACAAGTGCATAGACTAGCCATAATAATATAAGTAATTTTAAAATGTAGAATCAAGTGGTTTAGACATGTATTTAAATAATCAAATATCATAATTTACTGAATAAAGAACACAGTATGAGATTCAGTTCATAAAACGTGAGACCCATAGCTCAGGCTCACAATTCTGCCATCACTTTGTATAGTAAGGACGTTTTCACTCCCCTACTTAGGCGTCCCTCTACTTGAATCATTGGGTCATGCATCTCTCTAGTGTCCCATGTTAGACGTTCTTCCTCTGGAAATCAACTTTATGATCAATGAACCTAGCGGAGGACACTTATGCTTCTGTGGAGAGAGCATGAATTGAAATCGTAGTGAAGAGGAAGAGCTTTACCCAGCAATGGAAGGCAGAGTTCCCCAACTCTGGGTTTGGCATTGGACGCTGATGCTGCCCCATGCCTCCACCTATTTGACCACTCCCAAAAAATGATTTCCTGATTTGGGCTCAGCATCTAGGAAGCCCGTTTTCCACCTCAAAGAATTCCATAATGCATCTAATGCATCTCTTCGCACTGTCTCTTGTCCCATCTTAGTCCCTGTGGAGAAGGGAAGGAATCAATGGTCACCAGCTTTTAGCTCCCTGGAACCTTCCTGGCTGTGCTCTCTGGAGGGTGGCATTCAAATGTGTGAGGAGAGGCCCCACACTGAGTCATTCTAAACATGAACAAAAGACTTCCATTTTAATGGCACCTTTCATTAAAATTTTCCTCAACAAAAAAGAGATATTTCAATGCTTGAAAGATGACAGACCCCCTCTGTACCCCCTTCGGACATGCAGGAAGCGTGCTAATTACCTTGCAAGGTCGCACTAGTATCAGCAATGAAGTTCACTCCATGTTGGCGACTCGATTTTAGAAATCTCTTTAAACTCATGAGGAAAGACAGGAGGGGGCCGGGAATGAATGTACCCCACTTCTTCCTGATGAGACGAGGTAAGCTACACCTGACCCACTGCCTTGGCACAGATTCGCTCCATTTATGTGTATTTTTCATTCCTCCCACCAGCTCTGAAAGCAAAGCAGAGGTTTACTGCATGCTGTAAATATGTAATATGAAAGCTGTGCTGGCTGAGAATATTCCAGGCTTAATGACAGTTCTCAAGCCGTGAGCTTTGCAGATCCTACATATCAGAGTCGCCTCAGCCACTGTGCTGCAGCCATGCTTCTGCGGAATTTATTTGAATATTTCAGCATTTTAAGCTATTTGCATGCGTCCGAGGCTAACCCAAGCCTGAAATCTCTGAGTAAGTGCTTTTCACAAGCCTTGTTTTGGAATCACAAAGGAAAAAGTCAAAAGCAGAGACTGAGTGAAGAGGCTCTTGCAGACAATCCACCCCACAAGGTGCAAAAAGACACTGTCAAAAACTAAACTTGTCCTGCTTTCCTGAGTCAGCCAGAAAACAAAAAAGTGTACTGAGCTAAACACAGAGCCACAACAAAAGGCACAAACACTACGTGAGGAGCAGAGCCTAGTTTCGAATCTGGGTGTGCTGCCTGCGCATGGGGGAGTTTTAAAGGGAGCTGCAGACTGTGCTACCAAGAGCAACTAATTACAACAGCACTGGCTTAGGAGCTCTGCTGGCACGTGAAGACTGCCTGTTTGCCTATAACATTCTGCGTTGTACTCATATGTTTCATGAAATTATGTTTATGGGCGTTATTATGTCTTTTTCAATTTTATTTAGAATTCATTATTTAATAGACAGAAGTGTAGTTACGGCTGCCATTCATAAATACCCTTTCTTCATCACACGTTTCCACGTTAATATAATTTAAATTATTTGCTCAGAGGTGCTACAAAAAAAAATAGAAAGAAAGCAATCGTGTATTTTAATAAGATTTTTTAAAATGTATTTATACAACCTCAGCTTTAACTTTTCAGGAATTATTGGTTCTGGACTTCTTTCCTTTGAGGTTAATTGTAGTTTCATTTCTGAGATCCAATTCCCTACAGCTTCTCAAATTGTGTAGCAGACATCTATATACAATACATAATATATATATATAATTATATAATATACACATATATAATATATACACATGTAATATATAAAAATATATACATATATAACTTTTTTTTAATCTAACACTATAGATTCTTATTTTTTTTGAGATGGAGTCTCTTTCTGTCACCCAGACTGGAGTGCAGTGGCGCCATCTTGGCTCACTGCAACCTCCGCCTCCTGGGTTCAAGCAATTCTCCTGTCTCAGCCTCCGGAGTAGCTGGGACTACAAGTGCCCGCCACCATGCCCAACTAATTTTTGTATTTTTGGTAGAGAGGGGGTTTCACCATGTTGGCCATGCTGGTCTCGAACTCCTGACCTCAGGGGATTCATTAGCCTTTGCCTCACATATCCTGGGATTACAGGTGTGAGCCACCAAGCCCAGCCTATAGATTCTTATCTTATATAGCTTTTGCTCATTTTAAACTTTCATAACTGATTTGTAAGTTGAGTCTGAAAGTCTGAATTAATTTCCAAAGGGCTTTGCTTCAAGAGAAAGTGCATTGTGGCGCAGAGGATCCAACCTTTTAAGCACAGTGCACGTGAATGCAGGGTAATGATCCTGTCCGTAGAACAGGACCAGAGCAGTGAGCTCAGCAGAACCCATGAATTTCAGGGACTCATCCTATCTTGTCTTTGCTAGAAAACGAGGTTCAGCTTATATTTAATGCAGGGTTTTAAAATGTACTAAAACACTTTTCTGTGAAGGGTACTGGTTTATATTTTCAGATTTTAAAATTCCAAGAATCAACTGGATGAGATCAAAGCTGAGTTGATCTGCAGGGCTCTGCAGAGGTCCTTTACCACCTGGCAACAATGGTCTCTCCCCACCCTTAGTCAAGATGGAAATGTTGACTCCAGCGAGTCTTCACTGGGTGAGGCTAGTGCACCTCTAATTTTCCAAAATTGACTTTTCTACCTCTGAGCCTGTTAGAGATAAGCATACATGGATCTCAGGCACTGGCATCTCTCCTAATGAGTGTGTGAGCAAGTCTGGGACAGACATTGTAGTTGCATTCCAATCTATGAAACAGAATATTTTGTGAATATGCAATCAATGGAAAAACCAGAAATTATTAGAACTTGAAAAATGTGTATAGACACAAATTCAATGCAGTGTTTTTCTGTCATAAAATACAGATGAACTATACATTGAAAATAATCAATTCAAGCATCATCACTCTGTTCTTGGACTTTTATCTCTGGCATCACCTGGGCAAAGGCTGGGATGCACGCACCCCACATCTAAATGTGGGAAGGTTCTGATGACATCTTTTACATACATCTGATGGAATTATTCTCTTTCTCTATTTAATAGCATCATAGGGGTTCTTGACTTTTTTGCTCTTTAAAACTTCCCCTTATTTTACAGAATTTTAAAGCAATGGGAGTGAAATGTAAATATATGGTGACAGAAATAGTGGGACCGCACTGCACATTTTGCCACAGACTCCTCCGTCACAGTGCATGCACATGACTGAAGCCGGCCCTGGAAGTGTGCAAAAGAATGGGAAATGCATGTGTTGTTTTCCCCCAGAAGTGTGCAAGAGAATGGGAAATGAATGTGTTGTTTTCCCCCGGAAGTGTGCAAGAGAATGGGAAATGAATGTGTTGTTTTCTAATATTGGAAACACGAAGTTTGGAACAGAAACCCAGTGGGAAAAAGAGGAAAGAAATATAGGAAGAAAGGAAAAAAGAAGGAAGGAAGGAGATAAGGAAGAAAAGTAGGGAGAAAAGAACCAGGAGGGACAAATAAAAGGAAGGAAAAAAGGGAGGACAGGAGGGTGAGAGGAAGGGAGGGAGCAAGGAAGGAAGTGAGAGAGGGAGAAGGGAGGAGGAGAGAGTGAGAGGAAGAGAAAGAGAGAGAGAGATAACAATGCACAGAAAACAGCTTTATCTGGGCCTTTTGGTTCTGGCAAGGTCTAGGCTCCACCCCTGGAACCAATCGCAAACTGAGAAACACGGAGGCCTGGATGTGAGGAGCCACATGAAGCTGTGAGAAAAACCTGGAGGAGCCAAGGCTTATTGCAATTACAGGGCTGGAGAGAGGTCTTTAGGGGTTTTCGAACCCCTGGGCTCTCAGTTCTGAAGCTCATCTCTCCCTTCTTTGCGCAGAGCAGCATGTCCCCAACACACATCACCAAACAGAGCCATGGATGCCCCAGGCACAGGTTTCTAGGTGACCGTGACAGACCTTGAAACACAACCGTCACGTGACTGCCCACAGGGACCCAGGCATGTGCAGAACCTGAAGGGGGCTGTTGATACAGACGGGTGATTTAAAATATGCCTGAGAAATGGCCTTTAAAGGTGGTCATGATCAACACATGCACCTACCTTCCCGGAGATGGGTCTTTCCACTGTAGAGAGACGTATGTAATAGTAACTCCGCCAATCCTCCAATGGGTTTAAGAGCTAGTTGCTCTTATAATGCCCATTTTCAGGATTGGAAAACAAGGGCACAGGGAAATTAAGTAATTTGCTTTAGACCACAGAACTGGAAAGGAGCAAAGCTGGACTGGAATTCAAGTAGTCTGCCTCCAGACTAAAAAGAAATATTGAAATACTGAAACACTGAAAACCATAGTGGTTGAAATAAGGCAGACAACAGATGAGCGAGTATGCCGAATAGATGCAAGCAAGGCAAAAAGCTTGTTTGTGAACCTACCAGAGGGCATCAGAAAAGGATAAGAATAATAGAGACATGGAAGGAAAATTATGAGGTCAGGAGGATAAAATGAGACATGTCCATATTCACTTAGCAGAAGTCCCACAGGAGAGAAAAGGTCATGGGAAAATTATTCAAAATATAAATGAAAGATGTGAGGTTGCAAGGGTGTAGAGAGAACAGAGAAGGTCAGAGAAGACCAAACCCACTCCTGGCACATGACGGGAAAATGTGAGTGCTCCAGGGGGTCAGAGGATATCCCGACGGCTTCCAGAGAAAGACGGCAGATCACCTAGCAAGAACAAGGAGCACGGGGAAGTTTGTCATCAGAATTCTCAACAGCAACACTGGATCCAAGAATAATGATTTTAAACTAAGGAAGGCGGAAAAAAAATCTTTGAACCTAAAGTTATGCATTCAGTCAAATTTTTATTTAAAATCTGAAAGCAAATTACAAATATTTTCAGACACACAAAACCTTAGAAGACTAATTATAGGAAAATCAATCTTGAAAACATTCTTGGAGGAAGACCAAAAAATACAAGTCCAAGAGAGTTTCTGCAAGAGATTTGAAAAATAAGGGAGACCAGAGAAGTTAGTAGAAGTTTTTACATAAAAAATAAAAACAAATGAAAAAGAGAGGGATAAATGTATATTCACCCAGAACTAAAATTATAACATTTATAACAATATGAAGATGGAATAGGCAAAAAAAAACTATCAAAAGTTTATAATGATACATTAAAAGTCTTCTTTAGTTAGGAAGAAAATATGGATATCTAAAAATAAGGTTAAATGAATAGAACAAAGATAGAGAAAGATATACTTTTCTTGGAACAAAAGCCTCAAAGTTGTAAAGATGTTAATTCTTGAACTGATCTATAGCTTCAGTGCAAACACTATCAAAATCCCAGAAGCATTTTTTTAAGGAATAGATAAGCTGCTTTTAAAATCTATTTGGAAAAAGAAAGAACATAGTGTAGTGAAAACAATCTTTAAAGAGAAGAACAAATTTGAAGGACTAATGCAAATTGCAAGACCTATTATAAAGCTTCTGGATGAGCTGATATTGAGATAAAGATAGGCAGAGAGGGCAACAGAACAGATGAGGGAGAACAGAAACAGACTCAGAAATGCTACCAAGTGATTTTTGTCTGAGATGCCAAGTCAATTCCAATGGAGGAGAAATGTATTTTTAACAAATCCCACCAGAACAATAAAAAGCCAGCTGGATGAAAAATACACTTGGACCTCATCTCACTGCATACACAAAAATTAATCCAAGACCAGACATAGACTTCAATGTGAAGTCAAAAATCATAATGTTTCTAGGAGAAAACATAATAGAATACTTTTATAAACTTGAGGTAGACAAAGATTTCCAGGAAAGGACACAAAAATCAGGCCCCACAAAAAATATAACCGACTACTTTGACTTCATAAAAATTAACTTTTTTGCTAACCAATGTATCATAAGTTGTATAAAAATGTAGCATATGCATCTGATTTGTATAGATAAAAATTTTGCAAGTTTGGTAATAAAAAGACAGACAATTTAATTTTTAAAATTGATCAAAAGATTTAATTAAACAGGCACTTCACATAATAATGGCCAATAAGCACATGAAGAGACATTTCATATCCTTGGTCATCAAGGAAATGAAGATTAAAATTTCAATGAGATATTATTTCACACTCACTGAAATGACCAAAAAGACTGAGAGCACATGTGTTGGTGAGGAAGCGGAGCACCTGGTAGGCTGGTACATCCTCAGTGAAAGTGTAACGAGATATAATGTTTCCAGCACTGTTTGTCAAGTTCTCACATAGTTAAACACGCATGCACCCTATGACCCCGCAATTCTAGGGTAGACTTTTACTTGCGAGAAATAAAAACCAATGACAAAATAAAAAATAATAGGTAAGAATGTTGATCGTAGTTTTATGCATAGTAGCCCAAACTGGAAATAACCCAAGTGTTTACCAAAGGAGAATGAATTATTAAAAATCAGGATATAGCCATACATTCATAGAATAGGATGCTATTCAGTGATAAAAAGCACAACAGAGATCATTGCAAAAATGAATGAATCTCAAAACAATTATGTTAAACAAAAGAAGCCTCCCACTGTATATATTATAATATACATAAATATATACAATATAATTATATATGATTAATAATATATATTATTATTCAGGAGTACAAGAATAGGCAAAACCATCTACAAAAGTGAAAATATTGTCATTTCTGGGGAATAGGAGAGATGACTTAGAACAAACTTGGAGGTCTCTGGGGTAATACAAATATTTGAGGTGGGGGTTACAGAGGTGTATGCAATTGTCAAAACCCATCAAACTAAAGACTTAAGACTCATGCATCTTATTGTTAATTTTACCTTAATTATTATTAATTTTACTTTAATTTAGAAAAATCAGTAGAAGTTAGTAAATATAATTACGGGTTTCTAATCTTAGGAAACCAAGATAAGAATAAAATAAAATAATTTTAACATAATTTAAACCTAATCTGTTCAACAAGAATGATGAAAGAAAAATCAAAAACAAGTATAGTAAATTGGAAACATAAGTTTAAGGTAGAAATAAATCACAATACAGTAGTAATTATGATAAATGAAAATGTTAAACTCAGTAATAAAAAGACCAATAATTCCAGACTGGTTAAAAAAATACAACATTCCAAATGACTCAAGAAAGGCTAAATTGAAGAACGAAAAATACATACTATAGAAATATTACCCACAAAAAAGCTGTAATGACAATTTTAATATTTGACTAAATAAATATCAAGACAAAAATGTCCTAAGAAAAAAAGATGAATGTTATACCAATAAAAATAACATGTAACCACTGTGAGCCTGTATACACTTAACAATATATCTTTAAAATATGCGAAACAACTGACAAACTGAAGAGATAAATAAATACAAAAACATTAGTTGTCGGACATTTTAACCCATCCCCTCCCCACCTAATGGAGACAAAAATAAGCAGTGGTAGAGGCCATAAGAATAATACAATTTATAACTAAAGTGATTAAATTTGCAGTGCTAAGACTAGCAAACCAAGTACACGCAGTCTTTCTGGTTACTTGATGCCTGTCAGCCCCTGTTTTTTACCTGTCTGCAATGAAATAAATGTAAAAATTGAGAGTAATAAAAAATTTATAACAGTTTTCTATTGTTGAGACATATGATTTCATAATTTTTTGTATTTTATTTTATTAAAATTTGAAAAATGATAGTTTGTAACGAAATTAACAATTTTTTAAACTGGTCCTTCACCACAGAAAGTTTGAGAAGTACTATTTTTATGCATACAATGAAGAGTCACATATATTGACTGTATATTAGGCCACAAATGAATCCTCAATAAAATTTAAAGAACCAGTATCATAAAATATGTCCTCTCACCACAGCAAATATAACTAGAAATTCATACAAAAGTATAACTCAAAACAATCCTCTATTTCAAAAATTTTGACAACATGCATTTTTCTAAAAAGGAAATGATAAAATTGACATAGTTAGAACTGAACAACATAAAACATTACATTTTAAAATGTGTGGGACTCATCTAGAATGGTATGTAAAGTAAAATTTATATGTTAAAATACATTTTCATGAGGCAAGAAAGATTAAAAACAAATGAGCTAATTGAAGGCAAAATATGTTGAATTTATTGCATTAAACTAAGGATTGATTTTAATGAAAAACACATGGGCCAAGTTACCAACAGATCGAGAGAATATATTTGCAATATCTAAAACCAACAAGGGGCCATATTATCTAGAATATTCAGGAAATGCCTATAAATCAAAAAGAAAAACCACAATAGATATGGAGGCAAAAAAGATTAAAAGACAATTCACATGAAGAGGAAACCCAAAAGGCTAATAAAATATGAAAAGATGCTCAAGCTCATTAATAATTAGAGAACTGACATTTAAAACAGCAAGGAGATTTCACTTTGCAACCAACAGACTAGCAAATATTAGAAAGTTGGATTGGCAAGTGTTGGCGAACATGTAGAAAAAGGAAAACACTTTGGCCTGTGGTTATCCCAGGTAGTCACAACCTTTTGGAGAGCAAGTTGGCTCTACTGAGTTAAATGTAAGACGCATAAAAAAAAAGAGTAGAATAGTGGTTACCAGAGGCCGGGGGATAGAGGAAATGGGAACAGGATGATCAAAGGATATAAGGTTTCAGTCAGACCGCAAGAATCAGTTTTTTGAGGTCTATTGCAAAGGATGGTGCTTACAGTTACTAATGATGTATTTAAAAATTGCTAAGGGTACATTTCAAATGTTCTCACTACAAAAATAAGTATTTGAGATAATGGTGAAGTTAATTAGCTTGATTTAATCATTCCACATTGTGTATACATACATCATAACATTACATTCTCATCAATAAATGTACAAAATTATAATTTGCCAAGGTAGAATTAAAAATAAATTAAAATAAATAAATAAACTAAATTACTGATCCATATCATCTGGTTCAGTAATTTCACCCCCAGGAAAAAACACTTCAGAAAACCAAATGACACATGCACAATAATGTTTCCTATAGTGTCAGGTGCAGTAATGGGGACTCAGAAGCATTCTAAATGTCCATGCTTTGGGGAAAAAAAGAAAGTCAAATCACATAGTTGCACACCATGAAACAATGAGTAGGCACAAAGTTATGTGAATATTCTGCCATGGAGGGATATTTAAAATAGAATATTTGGGGGAGAAGCAAAAGAAGAAAAAGATGAAGGGGAAGAAGGAGAAGAAGGAGAAGAAAAAGGAGAAGGAGAAGGAGAAGAAGAAGAAGAAAAGAAGAAGAAGAAGAAGAAAAAGGAGGAGGAGGAGGAGAAGGAGGAGAAGAAGGAGGGAGAAGAAGAGGGAAGAAGAAGAAAAGAAGGAGGAGGAGGAGAAGAGGAAGAGGGAGGAGGAGGAGGAGTGGAGGAAGAGGGGGAGGAGAAGAAGAAAAGAAGAAGAAGAAGAAGAAGAAGAAGAAGGAGGAGGAGGAGGACAAGGAGGAGAAGAAGGAGGGAGAAGAAGAGGGAAGAAGAAGAAGAAAAGAAGGAGGAGGAGGAGAAGAGGAAGAGGGAGGAGGAGGAGTGGAGGAAGAGGGGGAGGAGAAGAAGAAAAGAAGAAGAAGGAGGGAGGAGGAGAAGGGAGGAGAAGAAGGAGAAGAAAAAGGAGAATGAGAAGAAGAAGAAGAAAAAGGAGAGGAGGAGGAGAAGGAAGAGAAGAAGGAGGGAGAAGAAGAGGGAAGAAGAAGAAAGCAAGGAGGAGGAGGAGAAAAGAAGGATGAGGAGAAGAGGAAGAGGAAGAGGGAGGAGGAGGAGAAGAAGAAAAGAAGGAGGAGGAGGAGAAGGAGAAGAAGAGGGAAGAAGAAGAAAAGAAGGAGGAGGAGGAGAAAAGAAGAAGGAGGAGGAGAAGAGGAAGAGGGAGGAGGAGGAGTGGAGGAAGGGGGGAGGAGGAGAAGAAAAGAAGAAGAAGGAGGAGGAGGAGAAACAGAACATTTTACTAGCAGCATCGTTTCAAAACTATTATCAGAATATATATAAGGTAAAATTTCTCAGTTTAATTATTCTTAACCACGTACAATTCTGTGACATTAAGTACTTTCCCATTTCTGTACTTTCGCCATCACCACGACCCACCTCTAGAACTTCTTTCATCCTCTCCACCTAAAACCCTGCACCCATTAAGCATTATCTCCCCCTCCCCTACCCCTGCCTTTGCTACCCACCCTTCCACTTTGTCTCTGAATTGACTTCTCTGGGGACCTCATACAAGTGGAATCAGGCAGTATTTATCTTTTTATGCCTATCTTATTTCACTGGACACAGTATCTTCAAAGTTCATCCATGTTGTGGCATGTGTCAGAACTTCCTTACTGTTGAAGGCTGACTACAGTTCCATCACATGGACGTGCCACGTTTGTTGATCTGTTCGTGCATCGCCACATGCTTGGGTTGCCTCCCTGTCTTAGCCCCTGGGAATAACGCTGTTGGAATGTGGATAAACACCTGTTTGGGGCCCTCTTTCAATCCTTTCAATTATTTGTGGGTATACCCACAATTAGAATGGTAATTTCATCTTGAATGTTCTAAGAATCTCCCATACTGTATTCGACAGGGGCTGTGCCATCTTACATTCCCACCATCCGAGCCATTACCATCGATTTAAAATACATGTGCAAATGGCAACAGGACGGGCCTTCATAAGATCACACAGCAATAGAAAGGTGGCTCCTCACCCACTGCAAGGCTCTGGAGTTGAGGGGATGCAGCAGGAAATGGGAATATAAGGGGTAATATAACTAAATCAACAAGGGGTGGAGGGCTTCCCCCGACAAGTGAAAATGATGGGTCAAAAGCTGACGAGTTTGAGTAATGGAACACTCTGCACTGCCAGAAATTCAAAACCAGAATTGACTCTTTTCATTTCAGAAATGTTAATACCTCTGTCTCCCTCTTCTTCATAGCAAAAGTAATCATTAGTTAACAAATTATTTTGCTTGGATACGTTTCTATTTTCTCGTTAGGTTTCTGGATTTTTTTGAAATTTGATTCAGCTAACCTAGGCAGATGCAGAAGAGTCCAAGGAGGAAGACACTGTCCCCCCTGCAGAGCGCTCAGAGCCAGCAGTGTCCCCACGAGGAGCTACCATCCCAAGTCGTCCGCAGTACCCACACTTTTCATCTGCGCAAAAAGAGACTTGGAGAGCTCGTCCTCTGAAAAACTATACAGTCAAGTGATTCATTATTGGCACAAGAATAAACGAGTTCTCTAGAAAAATATTTAAACAGTTATTTCTACCTTTGGACATTTTCAAATTGTCTCTGTACATATTGTCAGGTGAAAAAAGCATGATGGCAGCTAGGAAAAAAAAATGGTAGAAAGCAACCAATCACCAATAAAGTTTCAAATTAAGCAACTTACTTGGCAGTATTCCTTCCTTTCCAAATCCTAAACTGTTCCCTGCTTCATACAGCTATGGCTTTTGGAGGAGGCCTGGAAAGCATTCATGAGGAAGGCTGGTAAAACAATAATTTGTTTATGTGGACATTTTCTCCAGAACGGTGCACTGGGGAAACATCTCCAAAATTAAATAGTAGAAAAGCAACGGCAGCTCATTTGTTTCTTTTTCTCCTGCAGATGCATGTCCAGCACAAATCGCTACCATTTATGATTTATGTGGCAGTTCTGGAGCTGACAGGCCAGTGGACTGACTCCAGAAACTGCAAACTTGCACCCTGTAGCTTCTCACTCTCTCTGGAACATGGCTCATTCGGGGACATCTCACGGCAGGTAAGTCAGAAGGAACTCTGTTCACCATCGCTGAGCATACACAAGTGCTTCCTGGAGCCCCTTGGTGGGCTCAGCTGGAGAGGCTGGCTGGCGCCAGGCCACGCTGGCGCACTCTCCAGAGTGCCTTGCCTCTGAGTAGGTATGAGGAACAGACCCCACTCTGAGGCTGGGTACACCCTTATCCCAGTTGCACAGCGGAAAGAGGAGCTGGGCTCAGGGCCGGGAGGGCCGGGAGGGTCACATAAGGAGGATGCCACAGGTTTGCTTTCTCATCCCTTTTCAGACACCTGCGTTGCAGAGTGCTTCCACGTGGTGTGCAGATCAGGCTTCACACGGAAAGTCTGAGGGTAGGATGTCTGCAGTTTCTGGCACAAACACCCAGCCCCAGCCCTGGGAGTGGGGTCGGGAGCTGATAACCCTCCCAGCATGTTCCAGGGACAATGGGAAGAGCTCCCCAGTGGGCAAGTCCAGTACAATAATTGGTACAGTCTAATAACTCAGAGCAAGGCTGAACATCTTCCTGAAGGGCTCAAGAGCTGGCGAGAGTCAATAAAAAGGAAGAGAAGGAATGATAAACCAAGCAGAATGAACCTTCATGGTAATATATGTTCTTACTAGGAACTCTGAAATAGCTGGATAAGGAATTATAAATTTGCACAGATAGAATCACAGTTGTCCAGTCTTTTTTTTTAACTCCTTTTTTCCAGTAAACAAAACCAAACTACCTCATGAGACATTGCTAATTATTGAATGTACTGTTTTACATGTGGTAAAATTTCAATTAATAAAAATGTTAAGGAAAGCATGATCTTCCAAGGAATGGATTAAACTGGTCAATGGGGGATTCAGCAGAAATTATTTCATATGGGTCTTAGTGTTGGAAACCTTTCTAAAATATATTACTTCTATGTTCTTGCCTCGCTAAGCAGTAAAGAATTCAATAGAGGCTGGGCGCAGTGGCTCATGCCTGTAATATCAGCACTTTGGGAGGCTGAGGTGGGTGGATCATGAGGCCAAGAGATCGAGACCAGCCTGGCCAACATAGTGATAACCCGTCTCTACTAAAAATACAAAAATTAGCTGGGCCTGGTGACACGTGCCTGCAGTCCCAGCTACTTTGGAGGCCGAGGCAGGAGAATTGCTTGAACCCGGGAGGCGGAGGTTGCAGTGAGCCGAGATCGCGCCCCTACACTCCAGCCTGGGTAACAGAGTGAGACTCCATCTCAAAAAAAAAAATTAATAAAATCTAGGTGTCTAGGACATAGCAGTTACTCTGATTAGGCAGAGAAGATAGGAAAATAAACAATTTCATTAACAGCATAAAGCTAGAGTTTGAGTTTTGACCTCATCAGATAGTCCCTGCTTTTCATGGAAGAATTCAGTTCCTTCACAAATGATATCAGGATGAATATACTCGACTTTAATCTCTACTTTATTTTACAATTTTTACTTATTTTGGTTAATTTTTCCTATTGGATTTATTTGCTGGTTCAATGCTTTCGTTTTTCCTGCTCATCAATTCAGGAGTTCCATTTATTCTTTATTCTTTTCTTGCTTACCTGTTCTTTCCTCACATTTATAGTGCAACACATTTCTTTTTAGAGATATGGATATTATTTTCCACAAGAAGTTGTTTTACTTTTTCAACTGCTCCGCCCGCCCCCCACCCGCCCGCTGCACCTCACCACACACAACATCCCATTCCAATTAAACTGGATGCTGTGAAGTGCAGGATATTGAGTCTTTAGCACTGTCCATCCCGTGCCCTAAGGCAGATTCCCTAGAACCTGGCCACTCCCCAGGTTTTGCTGAAAGGGTTTAGCTGATTTTGCTTCAGATCATCATAAGATTTTCCCTAGCAATATGTCTCTTCTATTTCAAGAAACAAAATGTGGTACATAATTACACATTCCCAGAGAGTAAGTATATAATCATGCATTCAGAGTGAGAGAGAGAGAGGCCCACTCAGGCTCAGCTTGGAGCGGCTGGGGCTGTCCTCTTTGCTGTTTCTTTAGATTTTCCTTGGGTATTTGGCTCAGATTAGCTTGCAGTTTGTGTATTTGGTAGACTCACAGTTTGAGTATTCTCTGAAACATGTATATTTTTAAATGTCTTACACCTGAATAGGTCAGTGATTGCTTGGCTGGGTATAGAAATCCTAGTGTGCAGTCCTTTTCTTGAGCCACCTGGCATGTACCTGATTATGTTTGACTGTATTTCACTGCATTTTACTTGCACTGTTTGTACTTGAAAAAAAAACAAATAGCAACCTAATGCCTTTGTTTGGTTAATGGCTGGGTATTTGAGCCTAGAAACTTGTTAGAATTTTTTTCTTTGATTTTAGAGACATCTAGGTGTGGATGTTGATTAACCATTTCAATTTGCAGAGGTGGGAATCTCCTTAGCTCAGAAATTCTCATCTATTATTTGTCGGGTTGTTTTTCCCATGTGTCCCTTTTCTGCCCCCAGAACCCCAATCATTTTCTATTGCAACTCTCAGATCTTGCCCCTATTCCTCTGGTATTTTTCCCCTGAGTCCTGTCTCTTGCTGCTTTAGTTCATTTACATGCCATTAATTCCTGACACAAGTGCTATCTTCTTCAATTAATACCCTGATTTGGTTGGTTTTCCTTTGTTTTGTTTTTCAGTTCAGGTCTATGTCCTAAGGCTCTCAGGTTACATCAGCCCAGAAGACAAAGTCAGAAAGCAGGTATGTGCCTGCCCTGGCTATTGGCCCTCCCATCCTAACTCTTCTTAGCTCAGGGTGATGGGCAGGTGGGCTGGGCCTTGAGAGGCAAGGAAAAGGCCGACCCAGAGATCTCCCAAAAGTTTAAAAGTACAAAAGCATAAGAATAATCTAAAAGAAATTAGAGAAGTCCTTTATAGCCATACACATACAGATAGCATCCACACATACACACACGCAAATACACTTACTCATGCATATACACATACACAGACACACACTCACAACACACACAAATACACTCACTCATGTATATACACATACACAAACATGTATGCATACACAGGCACTCACACACATACACACACAAACACACTTATGCACATACACATACACACACTAACAAGCTGTGTCATACAGACTGATAGACATCAGAGTTCAATCAGAGAAGGTCACTAGAAATGATGTAGAGTGAGGGATTTCTTTTTAACCTTTGATTTCATGCCATTGTGGGAGCTTCGAAAACAGTCTTGGGCCTCTGCTTCTGAGCTTGAGGTTGCAGGACAGGTGGTCTGGATTGAAGATGGACATAAAGTGGGGGAGGTGGAGGGAAGAAGGTTCCTTCTGGAAACCGGAAGCAAGGAGCTTAGGCCTCCATCTGACTTCCCCGCCCCCAAGCCTCCAATGCACGGCCACCTCGCAACTCCCCCAACACCACGGCCACCAACAGCCTCCCATTAGCTTACCCAGAGCCTGGGCAGGCCAGATGCTGCTTAACCCACACTCTTTACCCCAGCACTCCACACCTCACACCCCAGCATCCCACCCCACTGAGCACTGTTGCTTGCAGCCGTCAGTGAAGCCGACTCTGCAGTGTACATGATGTCATGCTCAGTATGGCAGTATAGCCCAGGTGCATGGCAGGCAGGTGTGGACTCACCTGCTCCATCCTCCTGAGCGTGGTGACAGTGTAGTGAGCAGCCACCCATTCCCAGTGGCAGCTCCTAAGTCCCGTCTCCACCAGCATGGTGGTTACTCACCACATTGCACCAAAACCACGCCTTTCCTGGGAAAGAATATCTCAATTGAGAGCAATCTGGGTGCAAATTCATTCAAAAGCCACAAGTATTCAAGAGCTGTGCTGACTACCCAGGATTAAAATGCAAATGTATGTTGAGAATCAAAGTTCCATTTAGTTTGAAGAGCAACTACCCTCAGTAAAGTGTCCTCAAATTATCCTTATTCCTGATGGTAAGAAAAAATCAGAAGAGCTGCGAACAGGACTTACATTAAAATTGGGGAGGGGGCAGCATGTTGGGGAAGTTCTTCTGTCTCCACTAAGGCTCGGGCTAACCCAGACCCAGGTCGCACTCTCTTGATGGGTTTAAAGGGCTTTACATGAAGTGCAGTTTATATTGAATTTCTTTGTTTCTTGTTTTGAAGGTCCCTGAAGACATGGCAACTACAAAGCAGCCCTGAATAACAGAAATGTTGGAACAGATGTTATTTAGGCATTTCCACATAATAAAGACTTCTAAGAATCCCCAATGCCCAATTATCCTAACAGTTACTCCAAAGTTTTCACTCAATGCATGACAAATGCAGACAATATTGACTTGAATCAAAACGCAATTATTTAGGACACAGGTGATGCCAATCAAAGGAGACATGTAAACAATCGAGCACCACATTTTGAGGACCGGAATAAGCCAAGAACCTAGCTTTGTACTTTCATAGAACCAATTAGCAAAGTAATAATTCCCTGATAAAGTCTATGTTCTCTGTTGAAAAGAATCTAATTGTTTCTGCATTTCTACATCAAAAATATGTCATATAGTTCACAGTAGGTGTATTTGATAGCATATCTTGCTTCCATCCTTTGCCCTAATTAGAAGGGAGTAATGTACAATCAGGGAAGACAGAGTGTTTCTCCACAACTACTTTAACTTGCTTTTTAAAGTATAGGTCAAGGATAATCGCAGTACTGGAAAGAAATTTCAGTACCTCTACCTATTTTTTTTTGTTTGTTTTATACTGAAAGTGGAAACACAATTCACAAATATAGCTTCTGACAACTTCTAGCTTAAAAAACAAATTTACGTGAAGCAAAGATAGCAGATTGATGCACTAAGGTATTTCTTCACTTTTCTCTTTAATGCACTTTCCATTCATACCCTTAACGCTGTGGCCTGGTGATAATATGAGGCTTTGATTAATCAGAAGAGTTTGGAAGACCAGGCCAAGCTCAGCTTAAGAATTCCGTATTTTTGTATCAAAAAGAAGCACATACCTTTTCACTGCATCCGAATAATGCATATTTTAGAAAGGAGACAAATAACCTTGTGTCAAAAAAGCAGATCTGATGGTTGACAGCAATCTCCATAGGAGCTGTAATCCCTTCTGAAAAAGACATAAAAGAATTTAAACAAGAAGCCAGAAATTAATAACCCTTTCTCTCCACTGCTCGTGCTCTCCCAGATGAACATTAAAGAGGAGTGAAGGGAACGCATGGTGAACAAGGCGTCGTTCAACGCCCCTCAGAATTCAAGGTAGACGCAGCTTGGCAGGGAAAAATGGTAAAGGGTCTGACTTTCTTTCAAGGAGTGAGTCTGCCCAGAGAGACAGATTGAGGAGGAGGAGTGTGTGTTCTTGCCGACCACACCAGTCTGTCCTTGATGCTGACGACTGTCGGAATTCACAGAAGCGGCTCTGGCCACAGATGCTTGTGGAGCTCCACCTCTGCTGTGGATGGGGCTGTTTGCTGTTTCTTGGCTAGAAAACAAGGAACTCTGTGATCCCCAACCCAAAACCACTGCTTGGGATCACTTAGGCGATTATTGACCATGATAGGAGACGTGTCTCCAACTCAGTGGCCTTTTGACCTTCGTGCAAGGACAGGACCGGCTTCCAGCAGCTGGGCACCCCTGTCAGGCTTCAAAATCCAGCTCATGAAGATTTCTCTTTTCAATTTGAGAATGCTTTAAGTATAACATACACGAAACAACAGAAAATGAATATTCCCATACTCACCAGCAAAATCTACGTTAACATTTTTCTATATTTCTTTTTGATATAAAACCTTCCGAAACTTATTTTATGGAGGCATGGAGATTTCTGCAAATCTCTCTACATAATACTTGCTAATTTGTGCTGCCACCAAGACTCTGAGATTGCAGAGTATCCAAGGAGCAACTTCTACCCCACCCCTCACTTTATAACTCTTATTTTAACCTGTTCACATTCAATGGTGGTGACTTGTATGATTTCATCTAACCTCTAAGACAGTGAAACTCTCAGTATTGGACAACTGACCCACAAACCCTAACTACTGTTCCGAGTTCCGATGAAAGGGATGACTCCGGACTGAACATGTCCAAATAAATATTGCAATAGTCGAACCGCAAAAGGCTACTCGTAAAGAAAAAAATTGAATTTCATAAAACTCTTATTTTATAGTCAGCACAAAATGTAACTGTCGAAAATATTCATAAAATGAAAAATCCACTTCCTATAGCAACCCTACCTTTGGAATCACCAAATCAAAAAGTCCTAGATAGAGATCATCTAATTTGTCAGTAAGGAAAACTGCAGCCCATCAGCTGCAGAGCCAGGACGTGGTCCCAGGTTCCTGGATCCCAGAGAAATGCAACAAAGGTGTTCTAGGGTCAACCTGGAAAGAGAAAACTCACTGCATTGATTTCTGCCTTGCTGAATATCTACCTTCCTCTATTTGTTACTGGAGAATGAAAAAAGATAAGTGACAACTAGTAACATTTTCTAGTTTTATCTCCACAAACGTTTTCTGGCTATCTAGTTGTTGGGGAAGGTTTTCTAATCAGAAGACACTATTCTTTAATTGTCTTATTAACCGTAATTTCACTGTAAATGCTGGCTGAAAAGATGGCAGCATTGTTGCCATACCTATAATATTATAGATGCTCTATATTTATTTCATGAATGCAGCTTTAAATTTCATTTCACTCCATCCTTTTATTTTCTCTGATTACAAAAAGTATAAATGTGTATGAATGTAGAAAACTTTGAGAGCACAGAAGTGTATGAGAATTACAGGTAAACACTGTTAACTTTTGACACATTTATTATAAGGGCTTTCTATGACTTTTTAAAATTAACATATTTTAACTTACTTTGATGAATAATATATCTACATTTTCTTACACCTTTAAAAATACCTTGAAACATAATTTCAATGGCTGCATAATATTTTCTCAAATGGACATACCCTAATTCACTTAACCACTTTCCAGTTTTCCCTATCCTGCCTGATTATAAATAATACTTTTACAATGAATTTCTTTGTACAAAATATTGGTAACACCTCTGAGTGTATTCTATAGATAGATTCATAAAATAGACTTAATTTATATATATATATTAATTCATTCAGTCCATATTTATTAAACAGTAGGTCAGATAATCTCAGAACCCTCCAGACACAGAACTTCTAAAATTATAAATAAAATATAATTGAATATATATGTATGTGTATATACATATGTGTGTATATATATGCATACATACATATATTTCTCAGTATTTCCTTCAATGCACACAAAGAAAGGATGAGTGACTAAAGCAAAAATTAATAAGAAAGGGCAAATTCCAAGGTATTCCAAGACCTAATTGTATCTGTTCATCCTTTAAGGTCTAGAGCTCTCAGTTTAGTAAAGCGTGTGCATGGAGGAAAGAGATAAAGCTGAGGCTCACTGTGAGGTATAAAATCAGATCCACATCCACAAAATGGAAATATGAAACTCTATACCTGTAGTTAAAAGGTGAAAGAAAATGGCAAATTAATAGTAATAATAAAAACAATAAAACACAGTTGTCTAAGGCTTGGCTCTGCGTAAAGAAGCAAGTTTTTCCTGAGACTCTGTAACCACAAACTGGCCTTTACATGGGTTTAGGCCTCTAAGTCATGCCACCGTATAGCCTCATAACACCACACTGAGAATTTAGTTTACACTGACCATGATATGATACCCTGAGAAGGGTACATTATTTTTATGCTATTCTCGGCCAAAATGTGTAAGTTCAATTTAGTCATGAAAAAAAATATTGGATAAATGCAAGTTGAGAGATATTCTATCAAACAACTCACTAGTACTCTTTGGAAGTGTCAAGATCATGGAAGAAAAGGGATGACTAAGGAATGACACGGATATGAGGAGACTAAGGAGATGTAGAAATGCAATATGGTGCCCTGGATTTGATACTGAAACAGAAATGGGGCAATAGTGGGAAACTGGTAGATTTTGAAAAAGACCTATAGTTTAACTGTAAGTACTGTAGTAATATTAATTCCCCGATTTTGATAATTATACTATGGACAGGTGAACGTTAACAGTAGGTGAACCTGGGAGAAGGGAATATGAAAAATCTGAACTATTTTCACAACTTTTATGTAAGTCTAATTATTTTCAAAAGGAGAAGTTAGAACTCATGATAATAAAATGTTCCTGACTTGACTCTGCACTCAGGAACCTGGCTGAAGTCATCAGATCTCTCTGGAAAAAAATGTGCCTTAAACAAAAGCTTCAAGAATTTTTCATGGATAAGGTTCTAATAATCATGAGTTTATAATTCTTTAAAAAAAGTGACAGAGCATTTGGGAAAACAAAACACTACTTTCCAAATTCAGCGGAAAAGTAAATGAAACAACCAACACAATAAGGATCACAGAGATCTCAAATAACTGAATTACTAGAGTAAAAATATATTTAATACTTGATATTATATTAAATATGTTGAAAGGAAAAATAGAATACTGAAGATATGAGAAAACAATAGAATATTATCAAAGTAAATAGGCAGACTTGTAAAATAAGTACATACAATCTCTAGAAATGGAAAATGTAGTAGTTAAAGTAAGAAAAACAATGGAGATTCGAATATTAGCTATTAGATAAATGTTAGACACAGCTGAGGAGAGAAATGAACTGGAATGTATGCCTAAAGAAAGTACTCCTAATTCAACAGAGATAATCAAAAATGAAAAGAAACACTAAGAGAGTGAAAAATAGACAAATGAGACCTAATATGCATCTATCTAGGTACCAGAAGAATAAAATAACAGACAATTAGGAAAAGAAGATATTTGAAGAAATCAGGACTGATAAGTTTCCAAAGTGGGCAAAAAAAAGATCTTTATATGAAGAAAGCCAAATAAATTATAAACAGAAATGAATTGTCACTTACATGTACGATGGTGACTTTGTAGGACATCAAAGGCAAAGACAAGATCTTCAATGAAGCCAGAAAGAAAAAATGACCGCCAACCCAGAATTGGATGCCCCAAAGTACTCTTCAAGAGTGAGGGCAAATGAGGATGTTTTCCTGTAATCAGAAACTGAGAAGTTTATTACCAAGTTGAAATAAAAGATAGGCTGTCTATGAAGGAAAGTCATCCAAACTGAAAGCTGATTTCTCAAAATCACTAGTAGAAACCAGAAGACAATGGAATGACTTCTAAATATTGAGAGAAAGTTACTGTCACCTAGAGTCAGAAAGTTGCTGTCACCAGAATCCCCATCTTAAAGAACGAGGGCACTAGGAAGATATTTTTTCTGACAAAGAAAAATTGAGAGTGTTCACTACAGTCTGAAAGAAAGCAACCCCAAAGGAAGATTTGGAATGCCAAAAGAAATGGGCAACAGAGAAAATATACACATGATGGTAAATCTCAACAAGCATTGCCTTTAGAAACAATAATAATAGGGTGAAAAAGTGCCAAGCTAAGAAATAAAATACAGAAATAAAATATTAGAAACTATAAAATGCTGGATAGCACACAATATAAAAGATGTGATTAAACTGAAGGAAATCCAAGTCTCTTTTACTGTTTAGAAGGAAAGTAAGGATCTATTTCACTTGGGGTTAATCAAGTTAAAAAACCTTGTTACAACTCCTATGAAAACCAGTAAAAGGAGTTATAAAAGTCTTCATTTTGCAAGCTAGTTGAGGATTAAAAAAAAAAGGAATGTGAAAAAAATTAAAAATAGAACCAAAGAAAGAAAGATAAGAAAAAATTACGGAGTATAACACACATGGATTTATTTGTAAATAAATCCAAATGTATTGGAAATCACAAAAAATGTAAACTTCTAGTTTAAAGACTTATTGTTAAAATAATTATAATTAAATTCATCAATATGCTTTTAAAAATAGACCTCTTAAAAAAGATTACAGAAAGTTTGGAATTAAAAGACTGAAAAAGAAGTCACAGGCCAACTACTAATTCAAATAAAGCTGGTATGATGATGTTAACCTCAGACAAAATAGATATTAGCTAGGAAAGCCACACTAGTGCATAATCCACCCAGAAAAATGGAAACATATAATTTTACCAGAAAGATATATAAATTCTAATCTTGTAAAAATAGTAGAACTCCAAAATAAATACAGCAAAAATTACATTTTTGAATAAATTAAAATATCTACCACAATAGTGAGAGATTATATCTCCTTTGAAAAATAATGGATAAGAACTGACATAAAAATCAGTATTGATACACAATTTCTAAAGATGAGTCTCACAGACAGGATATTACTGAAGAAAATCATGGCGTTGGGATTTGTTTCTATCAGATATTAGCATTCAGCCACGGCAAGGAAGAGAGTGTATAACTGACAAAGGATTCTGTCTAGAACGTCTTCGGTACGGAATGGAGTCCAGAAAGAGTCCTACCCATAGGTGAAAATGAAATAGGACAGAAGTGCTTGCAATCATCGGTTATTGATGAACTATTCGATAAGATCTAACCAGAGCAATTGGTTATCTATATGAGATAACTAATCATATATAAAAGTCAATTACTGATGAAAACTTTAAAATGTTAGAACACTGGGACTAACTACTAGGGGGAGAGAGGGAGAAAGGAGGAAGAAAAGGGTTGAAAACCCGGTTATTAGTTACTATGCTCACTACCTGAGTGATGGGGTGATCCCTACCCCAACTCTCACTGTCACACAGTATGCCCACGTAAAAAACCTGCACATGTACCTTCTGAATCTAAAATAAAAGTTGAAATTATTTTTAAAAATAAATAAAATGGAACTTCTCTACCAAAATAGCACCCTCTAACCTGGGAGTGCATGAAAATCACCAGGGAGGTGTCTTAGTTAGTTGCCTTTGCTTCGTTAAGGTATTTTACACAAGCTAGGCATGGTGGCTCACACCTATGATCCCAGCACTTTGGGAGACCAGGACGAGAGGATTACTTGAGCCCCTGAGGTCGAGGCTGTAGTGAGCCATAATTGTGCCACACTGCACTGCAGCCTGGGTGACACAGTGAGACCCTGTCTCAAAAAACAAACCATACCAAAACAAAACAAAATCTATAGTCTAAACACAATGCACAGGTCTTAAGTGTACAGTCCATGTATTTTGACAAATATATACACCCATGTAACTCTCACCCCAATATAGACAAAGCATTGCCAAAGAAGTTTCCCCTGTACCCCCTCCCTAGCTAACTTCCCCTCACCCACAGTCAAATACTCTTTAAATCCTGTCACTATTTAAATGGAATCCGAAGCATGTACTCCTCAGTATCTGGCTTCTTTCACTCACAGTGTCTGTGAAAGTCAGTCACTCGCTCCTTTGCATTATTGAGTAGTATTTCATGGGATGAATATACCTGCAACAGAATGGGAGCCCCAATATTTCATATGTTGAAGTCCTAGCCCCAGTGTGATTGAATTTGGAGATAGGGCTTTTACTAGGCAATTAGGACCCTATAAAGGTGGGATCCTAAACCAAAAGGATTGGTGAATTCATAAGAAGAGACAGAGCTCTCCCTGCCCACCCCACTCCTCTCTCTATGTGCATACACCAAAGAAAGGTCCTGTAAGGTCACTGGGAGAGGGGCTGTCTGCAAGCTAGGAAGAGGCCTCACCAGAAACTGACTCAGCCCACACCTTGATCTTGAACTTCCCAGCTACCAGAATCATGAGAGATACATTTATGTTGTTTAAAAAAAATTTACAATAGAATAGGCAGAATATCTTTGTCACCTTAGTATAGGAAAAGTTTTATTAATAAGAGAAAAAAACTGTCATTTTGGAATAAGCATAAATAAACTATACGATATATTAAAATTAAGAATTTCAATAAAGCTGTATAAAGAAATTGTGAGAAATGTGCCTAAAAACTAACAGGAGATATTTGCAACACACACAACAATGAAAAATCAGTATCTGGAATTTATGCTGCATATATAAGCTTCTTAATGCAAAGAATTTTACACTGCATATTTTATACTGCATATATAAGTTTCTTGATGTACACAAGAAAATTAGAACCTAAAACAAAAAAGAGCAAAAGGTGTTGATATGGTTTGGCTGTGTCCCCACCAAAATTTCTTCTTGAATTGTAGCTTCCACAATTCCCACATGTTGTGGGAGGGATCTGGTGGGTAATTGAATCATGGGGGTGGGTCTTTCCCATGCTATTCTCGTGATAGTAAATAAGTCTCACGAAATCTGATGGTTTTATAAAAGGGAGTTTCTCTGCACAAGTCCTCTTCCCTTGTCCGCCGCCATGTGAAACGTGCCTTTCACCTTCCGCCATGATTGTGAGGCCTCCCCTGCCACATGGAACTGTGAGTCCATTAAACCTCTTTCTTTTGTAAATTGTCCAGTCTCGGGTATGTCTTTATCAGCAGAGTGAAAACAGACTAATACAGGTGTGAATAGGAGAATTAACAAAAGAAAAAACACAGGAAAAACAAATGAACGTATGAAAAGATAGTCCACATTAGGGAAATGCAAATTAAACCCTCAAAGAGAACAATTTCTAATCATCATATTGGAACAACCAATATATCCATCACTACCATATGGAAATTATCTCTCCAAGAATACTGGAGAAATGAAAACACTCACAGCTGATATGGGTACAACGATATTCCATAAAACTGGAGATGTGTGTATCCAACAAGCCAGCGAGGCCATTCCTACACATGTATACTAGAGGGAAACTCTCACATCTATTTCAGGGATCATGTACAAGAAGGTTTCCAGAAGAGAAGAATATAGAAGAAGCTGGATGTTAGTGGACAAGAGAATGGATAGGTTGCAATATTTTCGTCTGAAGAAACAGCATGCAGAGTGAAAATGATTGAACTAGCATTCAAAACTTAATTATTAGGCCAGGCACAGTGGCTCATGCCTGTAAGTAATTACAACAGTTTGGGAGGCTGAGGAGGGCTGATCATTTGAGCCCAGGAGATTGAGACCAGCCACGGTGAAACCCCATCTCTACAAGAAATACAAAGATTAGCCAGACATGGTGGCACACACCTATAGTCCCAGCTACTTGGGAGGCTGAGGTGGGAGGACTGCTTGAGCCTGGGAGGTGGAGGTTGCAGTGAGCCAAGATCACACCACTGCACTCCAGCCTGGGCAACAGAGCAAGACACTCTCTCGAAAAGCAACAACGATGAAACATAATTCTTAATGAAAAAAAGCAAGTCCCAGAAGGAAAATAAAATCATCTACAGATGAAATTATGTGCAAAAAAGTAACAATATGTGGCTGAGTGAGCAACCGCTCCTGATAGAACCGTAAGTAGTAACAAAGAATTATGAACAAGAAATTCGAGATGCGAGTCAAATGCCGACAGCATCCGAGAAGGCATATAGGATCCCTGAGAGGTGATGGCGTGTCTTCTTAAATTATAGTATGGGCTCCAAGGTGTATCTTTTATTACCATTTATTTGCATGATATTTACTTTGCAGATTACATGATACCTTTAATAAATGAGCCAATAAAAAGGCATCACCTGTCACGAGCGTGGTGCTCAATGCCATGAGAGAAACAGGCCAGAGGTGAAATAATTCATTACAACATACAGTTCTTCTTCAAAGATGTTTACAATTGAGTCGATTCAGCAGAAAAAGTTTGAAAATGAGTTTTTCAGTAGTAGTCCAGCCAGGTTAGAGAGAAGTCCCTGCAGGCTGGAGAAAGCCAGGGGTGCTGTGAAGAGCCTAGACAAGGTCCAGAGGGGAGGTCAAGGCCTGGGCCGAGCCCCGCCCCGGGTCACAGGGCTCTAGTGAGAGAAAAAGGCTCCTGGGCTCCCCAGAGACAGAGGGACCAGGGGTGGCAGGGTGGGGACTTTCTCACAGGATAGGCCTGTGGGGTCCTCTGGGTGGGCCTTGCTTTCCAAGGGGCTCTGTTCCCATGCGGAGACGCTGTGTGCGGTGCGCACACAGCACTGGACTCAGTCCCAGCAGGCCGAGGAGGAAGGAGGTGTTCCGTGGGGAGGTGTTAGATTCACTCAGAGAGGGAGACATGATTCTGGGACACCTTTAGGTTTGTAAACCTCATGACATTTTGTTAGCAAAGCTTTCCCTGAGCTCCCTGACTGGAGGTTGGAGTTGGGTTTTCAAAAGTCTCAAGGTTGCACGGGGCCAACTATTTATAGGGTGAATATAACCGGTTTCAGCAAAGCCAAATGAGAGGATTGGTCTAATCTTTCTGCCCTGTATTTCTTTCTGTGACCTAAGGTCTAATGTTGAAAATCTATTAAAAGACTTCCTGATAATAAAAAAAAATGTTGACATTTCACTTGGTCAAAATTGAAACCCAGCAGGGACAGCCTCGACTTCTGATGCTCCCGGATTGACACAGCTGCATTTTTGCTGATGAGCCTGTCAGACGCCAGCCCCGGCACAGCAGGCCAGTCAGGACAGGGGCACCTGGAGGGCAGCCTGGGAGCCGGTGGGCAACATCTGTGCAAACACGCTTTACAGGTGCGGGATCACAGGTGCGGGATCAGCCACCGAGGGCGCCCAGATGACCCACTTCTTCCAGTGTGGATACTGGCTTTTCCTATTAGGTGTCCCCCATCTTGGAAGCCAACCTTACACATGGGCGGGAGGCACGGGGACTCAGGAGCACGTCTGTCTCCTCTGGGCTAAAGCAGAGACAAGCCTGGCCCCTGCTCAGGGGAATTTGTATTTCAGGAATCTCCTGGTGCTTTTCACGTAACTGACCCTCACAAGAAGCACAGAGCTCTGCACTTAGAAAATGTGAAGGCGGACGTCTATGAACAACAGGTCCTGGGAAAACCATGGCGTGCACGGAAGCCGTAGTTTCACATTTTTAATTGATCTCACCCTTAATCTCATTTCATTCTCCCCCAGCTCAGCGGAGGATGAAGGAGGCCTGTGGTCTCTGTTTCACAGGAGAGGATGCTCTTCGGGGGCCCTTTTCTCCTTTGTCTTTCTGACCAGATGCCTGCGAAGAATAGCCCCTGGAGCATGCATTTGGGAGGGGCCATTGCAAGCTCAGAAATGCCCTCTGGGCTGAACAGGGCCGGCTTGCTCTCTGGGCAATGGCAGGGCTGCCTGGGCAAGAGGCTGAGCTTTGCGCTGAGTGAGAGGGGTGCAGGTGAATTGAAAGCATGCAGGGAGACAAGAGAATGTATACCAGATTGAAAAGTTATCATCTGTCAAATGCAGTCAGAAGTATTTTAAATACATGTTTAAGAGAGTCTGAATGAGTGGGTGATGCCTGTGGCTTCAGGACTTTGAGATTGGGCTTCTGGGTTCCAGGTTCTAATAAAATCAGCCCTGGTGCTGGCACCGTCACAACCCTCCCTGTTCATGCCATTTTCTTCTGCTTCTGTAGACCCCTCCCACCCTCCCACTACCTAAGGAGCCAGCACAGGAGAGAGAGAGAGAAAGAGAGAGGGAGAGAGAGGGAGAGAAAGAAGGCAAAAGATTCTCTACATATTTCAGACTGCAAGTGATTGGTGACATTTATGAACACGCACCGTGGGCCAGGCCCCAGTGCCCAAATGAGCACCTCACCCACGTCATCTCACGTGTTCCTCACAACAGCTAAAGGAGGGGACCGTTACCTCACTTTTCAGATAAGGATGCCAATACCCCTAGAGCTGGGATGATGTGCCAACATCACCCAGCTAGACAGCAACGAGCTGGGATTACAATCCTGACTGTGGGACCCCAGAACCACTCAGGCCGGTGTTTGTGATGACAGGTACAGTCAGTCCTCTAAACCCCTGAGATCTGCACCTGCAGATTCAACTCATGGAGAATAGAAAATATTTGGAAACTATTTCAGGAATGGGAAACCAAACATGGTATGTTCTTGCTCATAAGTGAGAGCTGAGCTATGAGGATGCAAAGGCATAAGAATGATGCAATGGACTCTGGGGACTCAGGGGAGAGGGTGGGCGGGGATGAGGGATAAAAAACTACACAATGGGTACAGTATACACTGCTCAGGTGATGGGTGCATCAAATTCACAGAAATCACCACTAAAGAGCTTATTCCTGTAACCAAACACCACCTGTTCCCCAAAAACCTATAGAGATAAAAAAAAAATGTAAAAATATGACTATTAAATGGGCAAAAAAAGAAATAAAATATTTGGAAAATAATTGTGTCTATGGCAAACATGAACAGACTTTTCTCATCATTATTCTTAAATAATTAGCATAACCACTATTAGTGTTTACATTGTGTTAGGTACTATATGTAGTCTAGAGATGATTTAAAGTATACGGGGGATGTGCATAGGTTATATCAAATGCTTCACCATTTTATATAACAGACTTAAGCATACATAGATTTTGGTATTTAAGGGGGTCCTGGAATCAGCCCCCCAGGGTCACTGAGAGATGACTGTGTATTCCCTGTAACATAAACCTAAATTAAAAGGTTCACTCGCTCACACAATAATTAATTTTGGTGAGATAAAACAGGAATTATGTTAGGCATCTTTGTTTCTAACACTGTAAGTCAGTTTGAATCAGTTCTTCACAACATAAAATTAAAACAAGTATCATTTACAAACCAAAGTAAGACTAAAACAACTCTTGTTCTGCCAACATTAACTTGGAAAAAAAATCACTGTTATAAAGATCCTAAGACCATTTCTAAACTTCTCAAGGTTGTCCAAACAGGAAAGAAAAATAAAATTAAAAAGGAAAACTAACACAAGTTCCCTGGAAGCATTAAAATGCAAAATGATTCATCTGCCCTCCACCCCCTCCAAATGGGATGGCTTTGGACTCTTTATGTCCACAGACTCAACACCCAATTAAAAAGCCATCAGCCCACCACCCACGGTGCAAGCTGACTCTCTGAGCATCAGGCCAGACCCTCCACCCAGCCATGGCCAGGAGAGAACTGGGGACCTAGCGGACAAAGAAGAGATAGCGAGAGAAGAGAAAGAATCTGGCTGCTCCAAACAATCCCTTGAAGTGGAGTGTCCTGATTACACTGGTGGTGATTGACTCGGAAAGCCCTCAGTCTGGCAGTGAGAATGGGCCTCCTTCTATCCTCAGGAGAAGTGTGGACAGCATCACCCTCTGGGAATGCACAGGACTTAGGGACCACTTGAGGCCAACTTTCTTCCAAGCCCTGCAGGTCTGAGCTTCCAGGAAACCTCAGGAAATCTCCCTCCACGGAGCCGCTCATGGTGTTGAATGCTCGGTAAACTGCCTGCGATGTAGGTGAAACTGCTCTGCCTGCCTAGATCCGAGCTTCGTCTGTACGCTAATACCTCCAGAGAGTTTCCAAACACTTAATCTGAGCCAGACAATTTGTTCAAACCATGTATGTGTGTCCTCAGGAATCCTTGGAATACCTAAAGCACGCATTCTTACTTTCCCATTTTACAAATGAGGAAACTGAGACCTGGAATGGTCCAGTGACTTTCCCCACCTACCGAGGGCGGGGCCCCGCTATTCAGCCAGAGTCTAGTGGTTTCCTCAGCCTGCTCCATTCCCATACTGTTCATACACTGATCAAAGCTGAAACAGAGCGTTTGGTTTAGATATATTGTTGAAGTTTTCTGAATACAAATTGCTTGATTGGCGCATCCTGAACTCAGCTGGTTCTTATTTCACATCCCTGTTCTTAAAGAGAACCCATTCACAAAGACCCAAGCAACAGGATTGTGCTTCTATCTGGAAACACTTGAAAGCAGCAGTGTTTTCTCTCACTTGTCCTTCCCTCTGATGGATTAAGTGATCAGGAGGGAGAATGGTGACTGCCCTGGATGGGAGCCAAGAACCGCTCCAAATAGTTCCTATCTGAAAGGCGGGGAGAGGATTCTCTGTGTCCATCAAAACCCCCAGCACCATGTGTCCTCAGATCAATGGGACGGGGTTACCCTGCAACTGAACTTCTAAGAAAGTCATCTAAATGCAAGTACAGCAGGAATAAAGGAGAGAAAGGCAGCGCCGTGAACTGGAGTCAGGTGCAAGCCTCCCTCTGCATTCATTGGCTTTCCTCATACAGTGGTCAAGAACCACACTCTGTTCTTGCCGGTCATGAGGTTACTTCTAAAACATCATTTTCTTTTTCTTTTAGACGGAGTCTTGCTCTGTCGCCCAGGTTGGAGTGCAGTGGTGCAATCTCAGCTCACTGCAACCTCTGCCTCCTGGGTTCAAGCAATTCTCCTGCCTCAGCCTCCTGAGTAGCTGGGATTACAGGTGCCCGCCACCATGCCTGGCTAATTTTTGTATTTTTAGTGGATACTGGGTTTCACCATGTTGGCCAAGCTGGTCATGAACTCCCAGCCTCAAGTGATCAGCCTGGGCCTCCCAAAGCGCTGGGATTACAAGCATGAGCCACCGCACCTGACCTAAAACATCATTTTCAAAAGGAATAAAATGAGTAAACAACTTCAAATTTAAAGCAGTCAAGTAACCCTTTTAAAAGATGCAGATCTTTTCTGCTGTAATTGGCAGTATAGAGGTGTAACTTTCATCTGGGTCTCTGATAATTTGTAGGTATGGAACATAGAATCAGAAGAAAACACATTTAGTGGATAGAGATGGGTAGGTAGACAGAGATCCATAGAACAAAACCTGACTGTGAACTGCTTATTCCCAAGGGAAATCATTAATTTGGTGAGTATATGGAACACTTTTTCTATTGAAAGTATCTGCCACATCAACACAAATGGCCATTACAGGAAGTTCATCCTGCTTCCTGGAGGTGTTTTTGGGGATAAGTCAACTGAGACCTCCAGGGCGAATGGACATTAAATCGATTGATTGATTGATTGATTGATTGATTCAATTAAAAGAAGACTGTAAACTGAGGGATTGGGGTATGGAAAAAGGGAGACATCAGTCAGTGGGTGTAAAGATTCAGCTGGATGGGAGGAATCAGCTTTGCTGATCTATTGCACAATGTGATGACCGTGGTTAATCATAATTTGTACATTTTAAAAATGTTGGCAGGGCGTGGTGGCTCACACCTGTAATCCCAGCACTTTGGGAAGCCGAGGCAGGCAGATCACGGCCAGGAGATTGAGAATATCCTGGCTAACACGGTGAAACCTCGTCTCTACTGAAAACACAAAAAATTAGCCAGGCATGGTGGCGGGCGCCTGTAGTCTCAGCTACTCGGGAGGCTGAAATAGGAGAATGGCATGAACCTGGGAGGTGGAGCTTGCAGTGAGCCGAGATCACGCCACTGCACTCCAGCCTGGGCAACAGAGCGAGACTCCATCTCAAAAAAAAAAAAAATGTTAAAAGGGTATATTTTAAATGTTCTCACCACAAAACGTGATAAGTTGGTGAGGTGCTCGATGTTTTCATTAGCTTAATTTAACCACTAGGCTGTATGCATAGGTCAAGCATCACAGAGAACCCTATAAATATATGCAATTAGTATATGTCAATTAAAAATAATTTCTAAAATTTGAAAAAGAAGATTGTGAATAGAAAAAAAAGGATGAGGGAAGGGAGAGTGGGAAGGAAGGAAGGAGGGAGAGAGGAAAAGTAACTAGAAGGATGTCATACACATCAGTCTAAGAAAGAATTGTTTGAGAATAAGAGAAAATTTAATAACTGATATACCCTTTTTTGTTTGCTTGAGTAATTATACTTCATAAAAATGTACAGGATTATAAACACTGTCACAACCAAAAAGACTCATACGACAAATTGACTGCTTATAAAAGCATTTCTTGGACATAAATCACCATGACAAATGTTTCAAAAGAGATTCAGTTCTAATTTTCTTTATCATAATTTATTATGAAGCAATGCAAGAATCTATTGCATAATCAACTCATTTGTTCACTCAACAAATATGTAGGAATGCCCAGCACGAGTGAAGCTGCAGTGTAGCACGGGGCTGGGGAGGGGGCAGTGATGGAGGGATGGCAGTGGGCAGGCTCCACTCCTATGGAATTCACATCCTTGATACACAATGCGGGGGTGGGAAGGAGGTGGTGATGGAGGGACAGCAGTGGTCAGGCTCCGCTCCTATGAAATTGACATGCTTGAAACACAACGTGGGGCTGAGGAGAAGGTGGTGATGGAGGGATGGTAGTGGTCAGGTTCCATTCCTATGGAATCCTTGATACACAACGCTTTAGCCATAAATGCAGCTCTTGTCATTTCATAGAGAACTTTATTTTTTACTCAAATTTCTACTCACATTACATTTTTGTGTGCCTGTTAAGTTTTCTTCTTTCTTGAATTCCTAGATATGGTGGACTTCAGGTGAACTCCGCAGAACAGAACAGACCCTCTAGTGGTCCACAGTTACATGCTTTTAGGGCTGGACCTCCCAGGTTTTGTCCGGCTGCACAAGGCCCTTCTTTATAGGACTGAGTAGGGTCTCCCTTGTTCATTCGGCTCCAGTAGTGAATGCCAGATGAAGGGCGTAGCTCCCATACTGGAAGAAGAACCTCCATTACTGGACTATCTGTCCTTATGTCCCCTCAAGATATTTTCTACTGAAGTGTGTGTGGAATTCCCCACGTCCAGTCTCCTCCCCTCTCAGAATGAGCCCACACCAGTGCAAGGACAGTTACCACCCTGACTCTAGGTACTTCCCAAGCCCAGTCTGTCTTGACCCCATACCTTTGGGCCTAGTTTTGAACTGAATTGAAGGATCTGTGGGGTCCTTCAAAGGGCCTTGGAAAATTAAACACCTCCCAGAAGGTGTCATCCACACAGGGAAGCAGGGCAGCATTTCAGGTGAGACCTTTCACCCTCTTATGGGACCAGGAACAGCCTGCCCACAGCCCCACAGTCTGAGCAGCTGGGTCTACAGGCCCCATCACAGAAGCAGAGGAGAAAAAGCCAGAACCACAAGCACCCTCTTCCAGGAGGGCCCTGCTGAGGCCACACTGGCCCTTTTTTGGGGGCACTGTCTCCTCCTAGAGGGTCTTCCTTTTTACAGATGTCACAACAAGGAGACTCCCTTCTGGGACTGAAAATGGAGAGGCTTCCACCAAACACACCCAGGACTGGCCAGTGCCCACTGCCAGGCTGGGAGTCTGCTGGGGCAGGTGCTCCCCATGTGCTGCAGGAGGCACCCTCTCATGGTCCACACAGCTGCCTTCCCACCATGAAAAGAACAGATGCTCACTCACTGCTTTTCTCCCTGCTTTCTAAAAGCCCCCATACTATAGCAAGGTGGGCACTGATGTTAGAATTAAGAGAAGATGTTAGAATTAGCTGGGCTGAGGAAGGACAATATACTTAATAACCAGGTAACCCATGCTTGGGAGAAGAACAGTTGTAAGAAGTGGCTGGTTCACCATGTTTGCCAGTTCCCATGGTGTAAATTCTCCCAACAACAGGGCTCCCAGGTGTGGCCCTGAATGTCAGGTTGGCAGTCAGGGCTATCACCCTGATGCACACCATGGGCACTCCTCAGCCCAGGAGGAGGCTCCAGCAAAGGGCAGGAAGAGGCTAAGGCAAGCCAGACTCTCAGGGCGTGGCCTGGAAGGAGCTATCCATGCTTGGGGCCATCCTGTGTGACCTGAGCCTGGGCATCGCCCCGAATGCCCCTCCTGAGCTGCTGCCTGCTCCAGCTTGACTTGGGAGCTGTCTGCTTGGGATTCCATTTATTATTGATCAACAGCAGCTTTGAGAGGCTGTGAAAACCTCAGGGAAGCCACACTCGCTTCTTCACATCTCCTTTGCCTTGATTGGGACCCTGCTGGTAGCTCAAAAGGTGAAATCGTCGCCCCGTGAAACCAGAGAGGAAGCCCTGGGAAGCAGAGTTTTAAAGGGAATCCAGGGTTGAGGAAGGACTGCAGAAGAGGGGGCAACATCCTGGCCATGAGGGACCGAGAACCCCACCCCGAAGACAGGAACTATAGGGACAAAGATCAAAGCGAAGAATTACCGCCTCCAGGACCACACCTGGACCAGGAAGTCATTCTCAGGGGGAAAGTGCCATCCTCTTCCTTCCCACTTGAATGTCATCTGCAAACCCAAGAAAGCCACACTGAAGCTCAAAGGAACAGAGTCCCCACATGACTGCTGCCTGGCTGTGACAGTCCTGACAGTTATGATCTTCTCCTCCTGAAACATGAATGTATTCATTCACTTCAGATGCAGAGGGAAGAGAGCAGAGAGGGATGGTGTCTCAGTCCCACCCGTGAGCTTGTCAGAGGGCCGGCTGCCAGGCATATGGGCTGTTAGGCCTCACAGCTGGAGGCCCCATGGGTGGCACAGTTGGCCAGAGCAGAGGCTGGGCAGGCACACGCCGGGTCAATGGCATGCCTTGTGTTGGGAAGAGGCAGCAAGGTGCATGTCCAGGGTCTCTGCAGCCACCCCCTGCGATGTCCTCCAACCCTGCTGCTCAGTTCTCTGCTGTGTGCAGTCGCTCAGCCATGGGGAGCTTCTGCTTTGAGTCTGCCGGGCAAAGGCAAACCTTTTATGCTGTCTTGAAAGCCAAAAATTAAATCACATCTAGGAAAATGCCCACAGTGGAGCTGAGGTCCTGCTCTGTCTCGAGAGGGAGGATGTGTTCCCAAAGCTACTCTTCCATTTCCTGTCTTGTCTTCCCAACACACTTGAGGACACTGATGTCTTAAGGAGTTTAAAAACAAAGACACACCCATGGGGAGGGACCATTATGCCTAAGAGTAAACAGACACTCACGATGAGGCCAGGTGATGTCTCAGGAGGAAATCCAGCAGCCTGGAGGGTCCAGAGAGTGGAGATGGTGACGGGAAGGCCACAGCAGCTCTGAATTCAAACCCTGCTCAGCTGCTCACCAGCTGCCGGCTGGCCAGCCTTATGAATATTCCTTAGGCTTCCTGGGTTCCCATCTTTTCTTCCAGAAAAGAGGATCATGAGCACTCCCTTGAAGTTTGCTTTGAGGCTAATGTAAGTTTAAATGTAAAATGTCTTAATACAGTTTAAATGTAAAAATGCCCCTCAAACAGTAGGTGTTTAGTAATTGTCCCTCTGTCTTCTTCGCTCCCCTTGGCTCTGCTTCACTGTGATTGATTGAAGCTTCTTTCATCAGACAGCCTTAGATTCGGGTCTTGTCTATTGATTAACTCTAGAGACCTAGACATGCATTAGCCTGTGTGAAGCCTTTGTCTCCCTATCTCTTAAATTCAGAGTTGTGATATCTATGTCCTTGCATTGTTGTGAGAATTAAATGAGATAATATATGTCAAAAGCTTAGCATACAGTTAGGCCATAGCTAACACTTAGTAAATGGCAGCTACTGGTATCTTTCTTTCCTCAGACAGAAATTTCATAAAAGGTGAGTATTGAGTAAGTTGTCATTTCTCTATTCATAACAAATTGAGAATGTGAATAAATCATGAACCTCTAACACTATGGTAATCCACGAACAAGATGAGAAATTCCAGTTAGGAAGGGTTTTTATAAGCTTGCATAGCCCACTCAAATAGCAGCATGACAATCCTAACTGAGAGACGGAAGAACGGTTTCGGCTATTTTTTAAAATTGTCGATAATGTTGAGTTAGAATTATTTATTTTTGCTGAAAGTAATATGTTCATAAGACAAATTTTAAGCTAAGACACCATAGACATATAAATGCTTTGCTAAGGTTTTTACAAGTTATTTATGATTTTCTAATGACTTTCCTAATAATTCTAACATCAAATTAATTCCATATCATCAGCTTAATACAAAGTACATTTCACCTTCAAATTAGCATAAGAAAACTTAAAAAAATTTAAGGAAGAAGACGTAACTTTTGATTAAATTTCATTGAGAATTTCTTTTCGCGGTGACTACAGCAAAAGCATGGCTCTTCCTGTGATCTGGAGTGAACTTCATTCAGCAGGATTAATCTGTATCAAATGCTAATTTACTTCTATTGAAATTGTGCTTCTTGAAGACATTTAGTTATTAAAGATATGTAGCAGCAGGCCAACAGGACCAAGAAAGAAATATCTGGCTTTAATCCTATCCTGACTGGCAGCCCCCAAAAGCTCTAAATAATTTAACAAAAGGCTAAACTTCTAACAGCCTAGAAGCGACGTGAACAGAAGAGACTTCCAGCAGGTGAGGAGTCGCACAGGGAAGCAGAGCCTCACCCGACCTTCCCGCTCCTGGAACAGACGTCTCCATTTTCCCTCTCCTGAATCCACTGACTGTCAGAAACCACAATTGCGGTGGCTTTATAGCCTCTCTTGTTTAGTAGCTTGTTTCATAATTTAAAAGATTAAACTTGAAAGAAAACTTGAGGTCAGGGAAGGTAAATAGTCCCTGGGACCATCCCCTCTTCCCATCTCTCACCTGGGGAATTTGGGAGGTTTGTGTTGGCAAGGATGCACCTGCACGGTATGCTGGCTGTCAGGAGCGTGGCTGGCTGGCCGCTGGCGAGGGGCCTAGTGAGCACACCGTCCACTGTCCCTCAAATCCACTCATGTGTCCTTTGACAAAGATGCTTGCTCTGGGCTTGTGGAATCCACTGGGGAACAAAATGGACAAAGATCTCTGATCCCTGCCCTCCGGGGGTTTACATTCTGGTGGTTGGGGAATGGTAGTACCATAAAAGTAAACATACAAATAAGTAAATTATCTATATGGGAAAAAATATATATATATATATTTGCTTCATATATATATATATATATATATATATATATATATATGAAGCAGAAAGTAGAGGGAGAGAGCCAGCTCTGTAGAAAGAGGGTGGTCAGGGCATGCTTACCGGAGAAGGTGGCATCCAGGAAGGAGCTGAGGGATGAGCCCTGCAGGAAGGCCGGGAGCAGCATCTGTGCAGAAGGAACCACCAGCACAAACACGCCCAGACCCAGCTGCCGGGGGTGCTGAGGAAAACATAAGGAGCAGCCGGAGCGGAGTGACTGGCAGAGAAAACGGCAGGAGGCGAGAAGTGAGCTGAGTAGAACCAAGGCTGGAGCTGTCCCTGTGACGATGTGAGCATTCTCAACAGGGAAGCCAGGACCTTGGCTGGGTTTGGTCCCATGATAAGTCAAATAAAACCTGCAGTTAAAGACCCAAGACAAACAATACATTCAATGCCGAAAGCAGTGTGCAAAAATCACAGAGCTGGATGGATAGAAGAGAGGTGTCAGTATTTGCAGGTGGTGGTAGGATTCACTGCACTTTGCTTCTCCCATCAGAGAGTTGGTGGGCTCCTTTCCTATCTATGAACAAGTGTCTGCCAGTGAAAGGTTTCCAGAGACTTCTCTGTGTGGTGATAGGGCTTGGAGGGGATCCTCGTCACTGCAGCACATTCCAAGCTCCAAGGAGCATGCCTCTTAGGCCAGCCCATGCATGCCCGTGAGAGGCTGCCCATGAGGAGGAGCTGGGAGGCCTCTGGACTGTTCAGATGACTGAAGGGAGGAGGCCGATTTGCAAAGGGGCCAAGAGTTTCCTAGAAGCCCAACGTAAAGACCTTGAGCCTTGGCCCTGAGAGTGGTGTTATCAAAAGTTTTCTGATTGATTGAGAAAGGCCTGACCAAGACTCCCTGAATTTACCCTGGAAACCCAACGGGCAGTACCCCAACTTGGAGTTCTGGGGTGGTAAGTGAGGAAACACGACTCAAGAAGCCCTTAGCAGTAAAAGGAAGAATTCCAGAGTGTATTAGTTCCTTCCCACACTGCTATAAAGAAATACCCGAGACTGGGTAATTTATAAAAGAAAGAGCTTTAATTGACTCACAGTTCTACATGGCTGGGGAGGCCTCAGGAAACTTACAATCATGGCAGAAGGCAAAGGGGAAGCAAATTTGGACCTTTCACGTGGCAGGAAAGAAAGGAAAGCACAAGCACGAGAAACACTGGATGCTTGTGAACCCCTCAGATCATGTGAGAACTCACTCACTATCACGAGAACAGTATCGGGGAACTGCCCCCATGACCCAGTCACCTCCCTCCCTCCACATGTGGGGATTACAATTCAACATGAGATTTAGGTGGGGACACAGAGCCAAACCATATCACAGACGTAAGGCGGGCCTTAGGTGGGCTTGACCCCGTGGCCACTGTGACCTCAGGGCTGTGGCTCAGTTCCTCTGGCTCTCCCGGCTCTGTGACTGCTGTGTGTTTACTTCTGCCTTGGCAGTTGTTCCCTGTGTCACAGCAGCTCCTAGGACAAGTGTCTCCACTCACATCAGGGCAGGCTTTTGGGATTCATCCTGACTGCACAGTCCTAATGTGTGAGCATAGTGCAGTGGGGCAGGGTTAACCCAGAGGGCTCAGACCAGGCAGCGCTCTCCCCTTGAGGTGGAGAAGTGCCCATCCCACCCAACCCTCCCAGCTGCCATGTCATGGGGATGGGTGATGTGGGTGAAGCAGGGACAGAAGGGCACTCACTGAGAGTCCACCTGATGGCACTGGGAGCCCAGGCTCCCTGCACACTCCAGCCATGGCCCGGTGGGCCTGCTGATCCAGGCTGTGTAGCTCGGGGGAGGCCTTGAGCACATGCCTGGGCAGCCCCTTTGCCAAACAAAACACAGAGGAAGCAGGCAGCCTTTCTTTTTGGGGTCACCATACCTCACTTGGCCCCACCAGCCCCGGGGTTATCCAGCAGTTGAGGAACCGTCTTAGGAAGGGTCTTGGCCAAACCCAATGGCATCTCCTTTATGCTGCTCAGCTCAGCACAGAAAGTATCTCCACAGGGCCTTTTCTTACCCTTGTTTCGTGTGGCTCTCTGGGGGCTTATTTGGCCCTTCCTGCCCCCTACAGCCTCTGGAGTACAAGGTCAGCACCATCACAGACAAAGCCTCGCTGAGCCTCTGCTCACCCCCAACACAGTTAAGGTCCAGGAGCGGCACAGGTCTTAGTCGAGTCCACACAAGTTTCTACTAGAGGTGTTGGGTGGACTCTGTTTATCACTCAGGGGTTCAGAGCAGCAAAGACCACACACCATGAGCAAGGAGACCCTCTTCCCTGGCTTGTAAGGAAGCCGTTCACACAGGAGAGAGCAGGGCTAAAACCCAACAAGCAATGCAGCCAAGTGGCAAGAGGAAGCCATGACGCCACTGTCTCAGTCTTTCCTTCCACCCAGGCCTGAGCCTTTTACCCCAGACTTTTCGATTATGTGAACCAAAATTTCCCTCCCCAGGGTTAGGAGGTGGGAGTCGGGCCTTTAGTCAGAGCAACCAGCAGGGCCCTGGGGCACACACACATTGAACATTCATGACTCCCCAGTACAAAGCCTGGCCACAGCACTGCCTTGCTCTCAGATATCTCCCTGCAAACACCTGCTTCTCCCATGTGACTCATCTCAGTCACCTTCCATCCTCTCTCTCCCAGCAGGGTGCATTCTCCCTGTCTGTGTCCCTCCCTACCACATCACATTACATCAGTCCACGCTGGATTGAATCAACTGGCTTGCAATTCTCCCTCCCCACTGGCCCATGGGTTCCTCTGGACACAGCTCAGAAGGCATATCTGTGCCTGAGTCAGCTTCGATTCTGCAGTCCTCAGCACAGTGCTGGCACACATTAGATGCCAAATAAATAGGTAAATCCCTAAACTAGCAACTGAGCTGCAGGCTGTGGCTCTCGGCAGCCTTATCCTCTTTACATAAAGGTACAAATTCACACTAAACAAGCAAATACTATGAAGAACATACATGGAAGACATATTCAAACTCCCTGGAAAATCACTGATTACCCAAGTCCCATGTGGAGTTTGTTCATGTATCCCAAACCCACATCAAGTCCTCTTGTAGGAATCTATTGAGAACATCCAAATATGCCTAGGATGGTGAGCAATAAGATTGTTACCATAGATTAAAGTTTTTAAATTGCACAAGAACTTTGTAAATATGTGATAACTGTATCCACATATGGGGAGGGGATAAAGTTACACTAGTAAGTAAATATTTGAAAAGATGAAGGTGCAGAACCGTGTGTAGTCTTCTGCCACTGTGCAGAAGCAATTGTGCATGGCTATGCGGACAAGAACGTATCTCTGGCGATACACAGATCCTAGCAATGTCAGTTTCCTATTAGAAAGGAAAGGTGGCTAAGCCACAGGAGAGGAAGGGAGGTGTTTTCTTTTTTAAATATCCTTTTATTTATTTGTTTGTTTTAATTATGAACCATAATATTGTATTAGGTATTCAAAAATTTTCATGTTTTAAACACGGTCAAGTCTCTGAAGGGGGATTAATATAGTTGTATTTGTTTGCAGAGAGAAGCTCACCAATGAATGAGCATTGTCTCAATCACTGCTTCTCACCTCTTTTGCTCATCTCATCCATGTGGCTTTTCAACAACAAAAGGTCACTTCAGGGAGCAAGGCCGGGAAGCTAATCAATAAAGGAATTGGACTGCTCTTGATGCTTTAACATAATATTTGTATTTTCCTTTCCTGTAAATGTAATGAAGTTATGTCCTCACAGGGAAATCTGAACTAATTCAAGGTCGTATCTGCATAACTTAAGAAAACTTGGTCTTCGAGTGGCTGGCAAGATGGCTGAATAGGAACAACTCTGGTCTGCAGCTCCCAGCCAGATCAATGCAGAAAGCGGGTGATTTCTGCATTTCCAGCTGAGGTACATGGCTCATCTCACTGGGACTGGTTAGACAGGGGGTGCAGCCCATGGAGGGCTAGCCAAAGCAGGGTGTGGTATCACCTCACCTGGGAAGTGCAAGGGGTCGGGGAACTCCCTCCCCTAGCCAAGGGAAGCCATGAGGGACTGTGCCATGACAGATGGTGCATTCTGGCGCAGATACTATGCTTTTCCCGTGGTCTTTGCAACACACAGACCAGGAGATTCCTTGGGTACCTTCACCACCAGGGCCCTGGGCTTCAAGCACAAAACTGGGCGTCCATTTGGGCAGACACCAAGCTAGCTATAGGAGTTTTTTTTGTACCCCAGTGGCACCTGGAATGCTACTGACACAGAACCATTCACTCCCCTGGAAAGGGGGCTAAAGCCAGGGAGCCAATTGTTCTAGCTCAGCTGATCCCACCCCATGGAGCCCAGCAAGCTAAGATCCACTGGCTTGAAATTCTCTCTTCCAACACAGCAGGCTGAAGTCAATCTGGGATGCCCAAGCTTAGTCAGGGGTGGGGTATCCACCATTACGAAGGCTTGAGTAGGTGGGTTTCCCCTCACAGTGTAAAGGGGAAGTTCAAACTGGGTGGAGCCCACCGCAGCTCTGCAAAGCTCCTGTAGCCAGAATGCCTCTCTAGATTCCTCCTCTCTGGGCAGGGCATCTCTGAAAGAAAGGCAAGAGCCCCAGTTAGGGGCTTATAGATAAAACTCCCATCTCCCTGGGACAGAGCACCCAGAGGAAGGGGCAGCTGTGGGCACAGCTTCAACAGACTTAAACTTTCCTGCCTGCCAGCTCTGAAGAGAGCAGTGGATCTCCCAGCACAGTGTTTGAGCTCTGATAAGAGACAGATTGCCTCCTCAAGTGGGTTCCTGACCCCCATGCCTCCTGACTGGGAGACACCTCCCAGTAGAGGTCAACAGTCACCTCATACAGGAGAGCTCTGGCTGGCATCTGGCCGGTGCCCCTCTGGGACAAAGCTTCCAGAGGAAGAAACAGAATCTTTGCTGTTCTGCAGCCTCCACTGGTGATACCCATGCAAACAGGGTCTGGACAGGACCTCCAGCAAACTCCCAGCAGACCAGCAGCAGAGGGGCTTGACTGTTAGAAGGAAAACTAACAAACAGAAAGGAATAGCATCCACATCCACAAAAAGGACATCCACGGAAAAACCCCATCCAAAGGTCACCAGCATCAAAGACCAAAGGTAGATAAATCCATGAAGATTAGAAAAAAAACAACACTAAAGGACTAAAAATTCCAAAAACCAGAATGCCTCTTCTCCTCCAAAGGATCACAACTCCTCACCAGCAAGGGGACAAAACTGGAGGGAAACTTAGTTTGATGAATTGACAGAAGTAGGCTTCAGAAGGTGGGTAATAACAAGCTCCTCTGAGATAAAGGAGCATGTTCTAACCCAATGCAAGAAAGCTAAGAACCTTGAAAAAAGGTTAGAGGAATCACTAACTAGAATAACCAGTTTAGAACATAAATGACCTGATAGAGCTGAAAAACACAGCACGAGAACATTGTAAAGCATACACAAGTATCAATAGCTGGCTTGATCAAGTGGAAGAAAGGATTTCAGACATTGAAGATCAACTTAATGATATAAAGCATGAAGAAAATATTGGAGAAAAAAAAAGGAACGAACAAAGCCTCCAAGAAATGGACTATGTGAAAAAACCAAACCTACGTTTGATTTGTGAACTTGAAAGTGATGGGGAGAATGGAACCAAGTTGGAAAACACTCTTCAGGATATCATCCAGGAGAGCTTCCCCAACCTAGCAAGACAGGCCAAGGTTCAAATTCAGGAAATACAGAGAACACCACAAAGATACTCCTCAAGAAGAGCAACCCCAAGACACACAATCATCAGATTCACCAAGGTTGAAATGAAGGAAAAAATGTTAAGGGCAGCCAGAGAGAAAGGCTGGGTTACCCACAAAGGGAAGCCCGTCAGACTAACAGCAGATCTTTCTGCAGAAACCCTACAAGCCAAAAGATAGTGGGGGCCAACGTTCAAGATTCTTAAAGAAAAGAATTTTCAACCCAGAATTTCATATCCAGCCAAACTAAGCTTCATAAGTGAAGGAGAAATAAAATCCTTTACAGACAAGCAAATGCTGAGAGATTTTGTCACCACTAGGCCTGTCTTACAAGAGCTCTAAATACGGAAAGGAAAAATCGGTACCAGCCACTGCAAAACATACCAAATTTTAAAGACCATTGACACTATGAAGAAACTGCATCAACTAGCAGGCAAAATAACCAGCTAGCATCACAATGACAGGATCAAATTCACACATAACAATATTAACCTTAAATGTAAACTGGCTAAATGCATCAATTAAAAGACAGACTGGCAAATTGGATAGAGTCAAGAACCATCGATGTGCTGTATTCAGGAGACCCATCTCACATGCAAAGACTGACATAGGCTCAAAATAAAGGGATGGAGGAAGATTAACCAAGCAAATGGAAAGCAAAAAGAAGCAAGGGTTGCAATCCTAGTCTCTGATAAAATAGACTTTAAACCAAAAAAGATCAAAGGAGACAAAGAAGGGCATTACATAATGGTAAAGGGATCAAAGCAACAAGAAGAGCTAACTATCCTAAATATATATGCACCCAATACAGGAGCACCTAGATTCATAAAGCAAGTTCTTAGAGACCTACAAAGAGACTTAGACTCCCACACAATAATAGTAGGATAATTTAACACCACAATGTCAATATTAGACAGATCAATGAGACAGAAAGTTAACAAGAATATTCAGGACTTGAACTCAGCTCTGGACTCAGCAGACCTAATAGACACATACAGAACTCTCCACCTCAAGTCAACAGAATATACATTCTTCTCAGCACCACATCACACTTATTCTAAAATTAATCACATAATTGGAAGTAAAACACTCCTCAGCAAATGCAAAAGAACAGACATCATAGGCCTGGCACAGTGGGTCACGCCTCTAATCCCAGCACTTTGGGAGGCTGAGGTGGGCGGATCATGAGATCAGGAGATCGAGATCATCCTGGCTAATACAGTGAAAATCTGTCTCTATTAAAAACACAAAAAATTAGCCGGACGTGGTGGTGGGCACCTGTAGTCCCAGCTTCTCAGGAGGCTGAGGCAGGAGAATGGTGTGAACCTGGGAGGCAGAGCTTGGAGTGAGCTGAGATCACGCCATGGCACTCCAGCCTGGGTGACAGAGCCAGACTCCGTCTCAAAAAAAAAAAGAAAAGAAATCATAACAAACAGTCTCTCACACCACAGTGCAATCAAATTAGAACTCAGGATTAAGAAACTCACTAAAAACTGCGCAACTACATGGAAACAGAACAACCTTCTCATGAATGACTACTGGGTAAATAATGAAATGAAGGCAGAAATAAATAAGTTCTTTGAAAACAATGAGAACAAAGACACAACGTACCAGAATCTCTGGAACACAGCTAAATAAATGTTTAGAGGAAAATGTATAGCACTAAATGCCCACAGGAGAAAATGGGAATGATCTAAAATCGACACCCTAACATCACAATTAAAAGAACTAGAGAAGCAGGAGCAAACAAATTCAAAAGCTAGCAGAAGATAAGAAATAACTAAGATCAGAGCAGAACTGAAGGAGACAGAGACATGAAGAACCCTTCAAAAAAAAATCAGTGAATCCAAGAGTTGGTGTTTTGAAAAGATTAACAAAATAGATAGACCGCTAGCCAGACTAGTAAAGAAGAAAATAGAGAAGAATCAAATAGACACAATAAATAATGATAAAGGGGCTATCACCAATGATCTCACAGAAATACAAACTACTATCAGAAAATACTTTAAACACCTCTACGCAAATAGGCTAGAAAATCTAGAAGAAATGGACACATTCCTGGACACATACACCCTCCCAAGACTAAACCAGGAAGAAGTCGAATCCCTGAATAGACCAATAGTAAGTTCTGAAATTCAGGCAGTAATTAGTAGCCTACCAACCAAAAACAGCCCAGGACCAGACAGATTCACAGCCGAATTCTACCAGTGGTACAAAGAGGAGCAGGTACCATTCCTTCTGAAATTAATCCAAATGATAGAATAAAAGGAACTCCTCCCTAACTCCTTTTATGAGGCCAGCATCATCCTGATACCAAAACCTGGCAGAGACCCAACAAAAAAGAAAATTTCAGGCCAATATCCCTGATGGACATGGATGCAAAAATCTTCAATAAAATACTGGCAAACCTAATCCAGCAGCACATCAAAAAGCTTATCCACCACAAACAAGTCGGCTTCATCCCTAGGATGCAAGGCTGGTTCGACATACACAAATCAATAAATGTCATCCATCACATAAACAGAACCAATGGAAAAAAACACGATTATCTCAATAGATGCAGGAAAGGCCTTTGACAAAATTCAACACCCTTGCATGCTAAAAACTCTCAATAAACTAGGTATTGATGGAACACATCTCAAAATAATAAAAGATATTTATGACAAAACCACAGCCAATATTATACTGAATTGACAAAAGCAGGAAGCATTCTCTTTGAAAACCGGCACGAGACAAGGATACTCTCTCTCACTACTCCTATTCAACATAGTATTGGAAGTTCTGGCCAGGGCAATCAGGCAAGAGAAAGAAATAAAGGGTGTTCAAACAGGAAGAGACGGAGTCAAGTTGTCTCTGTTTGCAGACGACATGATTGTATCTTTAGAAAACTCCATCATCTCAGCCCAAAATCTCTTTAAGCTGATAAGGAATGTTAACAAAGTCTCAGGATACAAAATGAATGTGCAAAAATCACAAGCATTCCTATACACCAATAATAGACAATCAGAGAGCCAAATCATGAGTGAACTCCCATTCACAATTGCTACAAAGAGAATAAAATATCTAGGAATACAGCTTACAAGGGATGTGAAGGACCTCTTCAAGGAATACTGAAACCCACTGCTCAAGGAAACAAGAGAGGACACAAACAAATGGAAAAACATTCATGCTCATGGATAGGAAGAATCAATATCATGAAAATGGCCATACTGCCCAAAGTAATTTAAAAATGCTGTCCTCATCAAGCTACCATTGACTTTCTTCACAGAATTAGAAAAAACTACTTTAAATTTCATATGGAACAAAAAAGAGCTCATATAGCCAAAACAATCCTAAGCAAAAAGAACAAAGCTGGAGGCATCATGCTACCTGACTTCAAACTACACTACAAGGCTACAGTAACCAAAACAACATGGTACGGGTATCAAAACAGACATAAGACCAATGGAACAGAACAGAGGTCTCAGATATAATGCCACACATCTACAACTATCTGATCTTTGATGAACCTGACAAAAACAAGCAACGGGGAAATGATTCCCTATTTAATAAATGATGTTGGGAAAACTGGCTAGCCATATGCAGAAAACTGATACTGGACCCCTTCCTTACACCTTATACAAAAATTAACTCAAGATGGATTAAATACTTAAACATAAGACCTAAAACCATAAAAACTCTAGAAGAAAACCTAAGCAATACCATTCAGGACATAGGCATGGGCAAAGACTTCACGACTAAAACACAAAATGCAATGGCAACAAAAGCCAAAATAGACAAATGGGACCTAATTAAAGAGCTTCTGCACAGCAAAAGAAACTACCATCAGAATGAACAGACAGCCTACAGAATGGCAGAAAATTTTTTCAATCTATCCATCTGACAAAGGTCTAATATGAAGAATCTACAAGGAACTTAGGCAAATTTACAAGAAAAAAATCAAACAACCCCATCAAAAACTGGGGAAAGGATATGAACAGACACTTCTCCAAAGAAGACATTTATGCGGCCAACAAACATATGAAAAAAGCTCATCATCACTGTTTTTTAGAGAAATGCAAACCAAAACCACAATGAGATACTATCTCACACCAGTTAGAATGGCGATCATTAAAAAGTCAGGAAACAACAGATGCTGGAGGGGCTGTGGAGAAATAGGAACACTTTTACACTGTTGGAGTGTAAATTCGTTCAACCATTGTGAAAGACAGTGTGGCAATTCCTCAAGGATCTAGAATCAGAAACACAATTTGATCCAGCAATCCTATTACTGGGTATATACCCAAAGGATTATAAATCATTCTACTGTAAAGACAAATGCTCACATATGTTAACAATAGCAAAGACTTGGAACCAACCCAAATGCCCATCAATGATAGACGAGATAAAGAAAATGTGGCACATATACACCATGGAATACTATGCAGCCATAAAAAGGATGAGTTCACGTCCTTTTCAGGGACATAGATGAAGCTGAAAACCATCATTCTTAGCAAACTAACACAGAACAGAAAACCAAACACCACATGTTCTCATTGATAGGTGGGAGTGAACAATGAGAAGACATGGACACAGGGAGGGGAACATCACACACTGGGGCCTGTTAGGGGGTGGGGAGCTAGGAGAAAGATAGTATTAGGAGAAATAACTAATGTAGATGATGGGTTGATGGGTGCAGCAAACCACCATGGCATGTGTATACCTATGTAACAAACCTGCCCGTCCTGCACATGTATCCCAGAACTTAAAGCATAATAAAAAAAAGAGAAAGAAAAGAAAACTTGGTCTTCATATGATGAGATCTAAAGGTGTGTTTCTCTAATAGGCATTTTTTTCTTGCAAAAAGGGGTCCACAGGCACTTCCAGCAATGTATGCATTTGCCACGCCAAGATGCTTTTAATTTTTCACTGCAGTTTCAATTGCAATAAAAAATGTGTGCAGGGCCAGGTGCGGTGGCTAACACCTGTAATCTCAGCACTTTGGGAGGCCAAGGCGAGTGGATCACCAGAGGTCAGGAGCTCGAGGCCAGCCTGACCAACATGGCAAAACACCGTCTCTACTAAAAATACAAAAAAAATGGCTGGGCGTGGTGGCAGGAGCCTCTAATCTCAGCTACTTGGGAGGCTGAGGCAAGAGGATTGCTTGAATCCCGGAGGTGGAGGTTGCAGTGAGCTGAGATCAAGCCACTGCACTCCAGCCTGGGCGACAGAGTAAGACTACATCTCAAAAAAAATAATGTGTGGAGACCTATCCTATTTTGGCTTTGTTTCATGGGTAAAGTGGCCTTAAGAAAAGGACAGAATTGGATGTAATTAATAAGTGGTTCTTTTCTACCAAACTGAGAACATTTGGCACCGTGGTGGATGAAGGGATGCTTCTCTAAAGTTCGGTGGAGAAAACAGAATTGGAGAATTTTGTCATCAGATAATACATGGTATGTTTAACATACAGCAAACTGAACCCTAGAAATCACAATAATATTCACATTGTGAAGAGAAACTTAATTCCAACCAAACAACACTGATGCTACTAATTTAAATATTATTGATAGTAAAACTGTATTTGCATCTAATTTTCAAATTTTGTGCATAAAGGTAAATGGGAAGGGTTGATACTAGTTTTATTTGTGTACATCTTCAAGTAACAGAAATCAACATCATTTATGCCAACAGTAGAGATCACTGAGAAAATGTATCCCCTGGGCAGAGAGCCTATGTAATATTCATGTCCAAGAAACCCTGCCCTGTGGGATCTCTATAAACTAGGAAATCCAGGGTTCCTTTGTGAATTGCTAAGAACTCCTCGAAGCAGAAAGCAGGGTAGAGCCACCACAGGAAGCATTTTTCTAAATTGATGCATTTCCTGAAAAATCTCTATGCAAAGCCTCCTTTCTTCTCCACCCACTATCCAGGTCTAAGCATGCACACAGGGCTGTAGATACAGGAGAATGTTTCTGCTTCTCTAATCTGAAGCACAGTCTATATTTGTTCATGCTATTCTATAATAATTCCCAGTCAATTTATTTCTTCTCTAATGTGTCCATGTAGAATGATCTGAGAATAATGCACTTGGCCTCAGGCAACAGACAATCCTACAAAGAGTGGTGTCTTTATAGGCACATAAGGCTTTCTTTTCCTCTGTAGCAGATTTCTGGAGGTGGGTGACTTGGAGGCATGAGGGTGCCAGTGCTGCACTTTGTAAATCTCTCAGCCTCTTCTCGATGGCAATCACCATGCCTATGGTCTCAAGGCTACAGTGGGAGCCCCAGAGCCCAAATTTGTAGGACAGGCAGGGATAAGGCCACAGCTGCCAGGGCTTGCTGGAGAGACTCTTTCAGTTTCATTTTGTTTCTGAGAAAGAGAGTTCTCCCCAGCAGAGCTTCTTCCTAAACTCTAACCAAAACTTGACCCCATGCCCACAGTGAGGCCAACCACTGGTCTAAGGGAAATGAGGCTTCCAGAGCCCAGGACCCTGGCCCTGTAGGGCCTCGCCCCCCTAAGATTACAGGAGCTGAGCCAGCAACCTAGCTCTCTTGGTGGCATAGCAGGAAGGGCGGGAGGAGGTGGCCATTCCACCACAAACAAGCCTTTCATTCTCATTTTTGAAAACACTGTCATGTTGGCTGATAACTGTAAGAAACCTCAGAATTGTAGGAAAGTCCAAAATTTATGAAAACAAACGAAAGGTTTATAAAAATTGTTCAGAATATCAGCCTGTTGTATGTAATAACAAAAATACTCATTTGGTATATCCAATATTGTTTGGACAAGATTCAATTCTATTTTTAGGAGATTTCAATTTCCTTTCCCATAAACTCTATGAAATACAGTATGTGGCATATTTATAGTGACCCTTTTGAAGAGTGTTACACTTTGGGCCCTTTAATAAGTCTAAATGAGATGGTCTCCCCCTCACCTCACTCAGAAAATAAATAGCTGCCTGTGACAATCATTGGAATTAGGCACAGTGTCCCTTTGCCTCTCATGCTTAACAATCTCAAGGCTTCCAGTTCCTGTAACAAAAGCTCTCTGAAGACGGTTCTAGGTAATAAAGACAATATTTAGGGCCATCTGGTGATTCTATTCAATTTATTTCATTGACAATACTTGTAAATAAGAAAGCGCAATTTCCAAAAGCAATCATGAAATTTACTATGCAAACTACAAGCCGTAGCCCCTTCTGCCCCTCTTTCCTTCTAGTGTACATGTGGGGCCTCCTTACATCATGATAATTTTACACCACTTTGCATTTTCAAAGCACTCTGCAAAATTAACCCATTTATCCTCAGAGGATGGATGGCAGCAGTATCTGCAATGAAATGAAGCAAAGGCAGAGCTTTTACGCACCCGGTGAGAATCGCAGTGGACATGCCCTTTCTGTTTGCAGATATTTATTGCCACCCCCTGTGTTCCTTGGGTGCCTTCCATCTCACGGAGGCAGCCCCTAAAGAAGATGCATCTCACATGCTCTTCATGGAGCCACAGCACCCTGCCCTCCCAACTCTGGAGAACACAGCAAAGCCAGTGTCTCATCCTCAAGGCATCTAACAGCCTCCTCTCCAAAAGCATTCCCCTATAAGCCCAGGTGCCCGAAAGCCTGGGAGCTAGAACAGTCCCCTCTCCTGTGGTGATCCCCATCAGGGGAGGTGGGCACCAGGGAGGGCTTCAGGAGATGCTGCTTGGTTTTTCTAAATGAGCCCCACCACCTCCAGCCCACGTAGAGAGTCACACAAGTAACTCCTCTTGCATTGGCATAAACTCATCCCAGTGGCCCTACAATCTCTCAACACCCGTCAGGAATCCTTTCTTTGGAAGTTTTTCTAGGAACTATGAAAATGAGACCTGTATTGTGGAGGAGGGCTTAACAGGTTTTACCAAAGTTGCTAAAGATGACTACTGAGATATTCTGAGCAGCAAAAGCATTATTTTAAAAAGTGCCTTTCCATCCCTGCTCCAGGATTCTACGTAGCAAGGAAGAGGGATGAACTATCAGTACAGGCAGCAGCCGGCATGGGTCTCAAGGGGTTTATGTTGAGAGGAAAAAGCCAGTTCTGAAAGGTGGCATACTGTGTGATTCCATTTGCATAGCCTCCTTTCAATGACAAAATTCTAGAAATAGAAAGCAGATCAGTGGTTTCCAGGGATTAAGGAGGGGAAGAGGGAAGAAGATGAGATCATAACAGGGCAGGTCATCATATAGCATTCCTGCGGTGGTGGGAAGGTTCTGTGTGGTCATAACAGGGCAGGTCATCATGTAGCATTCCTGCAGAGGGGGGAAGGTTCTGTGAGGTCATAACGGGCAGGTCATCATATAGAATTCCTGCAGTGGTGGGAAGGTTATGTGTGGTCATAACAGGGCAGGCCATCATATAGAATTCCTGCGGTGGTGGGAAGGTTCTGTGAGGTCATAACGGGCAGGTCATCATATAGAATTCCTGAGGTGGTGGGAAGGTTCTGTGAGGTCATAACGGGGCAGGTCATCATATAGAATTCCTGCGGTGGTGGGAAGGTTCAGCGTCTTAACTGCGATGATGGGTGCATGAATCTGCCTGGGTGATAGCATTGCATAGAACTCAATGCTCATCTGAGTGAGTGAAGACCGATTGGGGAAATCTGAACAACATCAGTAGATGACATCAATGTCGCTATCTGGCTGTGAAGTGCGCTGTAGTTTCGCACGAATGTTATCATTGAGGGAAACTGGGCATTTGATATCTCCCTGCATTATTTTATGCTCCTGCATGTATATCTACAATTATTTCAAAACAAAGTTAAAAGTTGAGTTTTTTTAATAAAATGTATTACTTCTCGGAATTTGCTGGCACTGGGCAACGTAAATTCCATTCCTTGAATCTGCGCTCGTCATCCAACGTGCTGCTCTCTCACTGCTCTTATCGGAGCCGAGTCTGTGGCCCACACCACAGACCAGCCTCCCAGAGGCCTTCAGAGGCTGCCGGGCTGGGGCTGAGTGAGCACCCTCTAGGCCGTTTTGAAGCACTGCTCTTACTTTCTGGTGGTTCTTTGGCCAAATGTGATCCTACTTTTCTGTAAAAGGATGCTTAGAAGTTACTTCCGCATTATTATCAAATTTCTTCTATATCTCGCTGTTGAGAAAATCATTTCTCTGCTTGGCTGGATCCAAGAATGCCGAATAGATATGAATGCAGAGACAGGCCCCAGGCAGAATATCCACCGCGAAAATCCCACAGGCAACCCCAAGAGCCCTTCCTAACACGGAAGCAAGGACCATCCAGACCCAGAGCCCCAGGGACTCCACGGTCCCCTCCTAAGAGCCCAGTCCACGTCCATGGCCTCCCAGCCCTGCAGGCCACCCTTCTGCTCACTCTTGTGCCCTGCCCCAGTGTAATTTCATCAGTTCCAGCCACAGAGGCAACCTTGCCCCTCCCCAGACAGCCCAGGCCCTTTTACCCCGGGACTTTCGCACGTGTTTCCATCTACGTGTTTCCATCTGGAAAGCTTGCACCCTCAGTGTCTGCATACTAGGAGGGGCCTGGGTTTTGGATGCTAGAAGCCTAAAGCGAGAGTAGATCAGGAAGGCGGGGGTTTTTCAAGAAAGGAATACAAAACTACCAGTAGGAAATTGGGCACACAAGAAAATATTTCTTTAGAATGAGTACATAAATCACAAATTTTTAGTTTTATGAAGACCACATATATCACAACATCCAAAATGACAGCACATTTTATAAATCTCCTGCCAGACAGTCTAATACTGCTCCTCCACGTTTTCATTGCTTCTTATCATGACAATGATTTACTAACATCATTTTTCTGCAGAGAGAACAGATCAATGGTGTAACCTCGCTGATGGAAATTTGCGTTTTATCTTTGATGTTTGGAACGCATAACCATGCACCTTTACACACAGGTGTCCTCAGTTTTTGTAGAAATGCAACAAGTCTGTATTCTGTAAACAAATAAATCCTGCAAATTCTATTTTGATCTTTTCCCATTTTAAAAACAAAGAGAAGGGGGCTGGATGCGGTGGCTCACGCCTGTAATCCCAGCTCTTTGGGAGGCCAAGGCGGGTGGATCACGAGGTCAGGAAATCGAGACCACAGTGGAACCCCGTCTCTACTAAAAATACAAAAATTAGCCGGGCGCAGTGGTGGGCGCCTGTAGTCCCAGCTACTCGGGAGACTGAGGCAGGAGAATGGCGTGAACCCAGGAGGCAGAGCTTGCAGTGAGTCAAGATCGTGCCACTGCACTCCAGCCTGGGCGACAGAGAGAGCCTCCGTCTCAAAAAAAAAAAAAAAAAAACGCAGAGAGAAAGGAGAAGAGGAGGAAGTAGCCTGTATCTACAGAGGAGGATGCTGCCTAGGAGAGAGTGCCCCTGGGATGAAATCTCTTGTTTGGGCCAAGCATGGAAGAGAAACTAGTCCTCCTCCTATACAATCCTGTACAAGCCATGAGTGGAGGAATGTTCCAGCACTGTGCACTACGGACATGGTTTTTCCTCCTTCCTGCAGGTTTCCAGATAGGGGCACCCTGGGATATAGCCGAGGTGAGCTGGTCCCTCTGGCCTGGAATCTTCATGCCTCGACGCACTGGCGATGACCCGGAAAATGATGGACACCTTCCCATCAGGGCTGTGCAACTCAACAGAGAGTGGCCGCAAACCACATGCGCGTGGTTACTAAACCCAACCAAAGCATCCCAACTCAACCTTAGCCGGATCCCAAAATTGTCCGCAGCCCTCCAGGGCTACTCACTGCAGGGCAAAGTGACAGAGGGGAATTCAGGATGGAAATAGTCCTGACTGCAGAGAAATCATATGGACCTGGGAGCTGCAGGAACAGCCCATGCAGAAAGCGGGTCTTGAAGCTGAGGACCCGTGGCTTTGGGGCAAGCCCCTCCCCCTGCAGGGCTCTCCCTGACACAGTGCAGGTCCTCCCTCCACCCCTGTGAGTGCTCCCTCCCCTCACGTCCTCCCACACTCGCTTCCCCACTGCTTTTCCTACATGACACTTGCACGGTCGAATGTACTGTATGCCTTACATTAATTTCCTGATTGCTGGCGTCTCACCACTAAAATATGAGATGTTCCTTCTATTTGGTTCCCTGCTGAATCTCTAAACCTAGGAGCATCCTGGCACACAGAAGACACTCAGGAAATATTTGTTGAATGAATGAATAAACAGCTATAAGGTCCCTAATCATTCCTCCCTCCGCAGGTCCCACATACCCTATGATGGCAGCGTGGCATCAGGAAAACAGCTCAGCTCATGCCCATCACCTGCAGCCATCACCTCACCCGTGAGAATTTTTAGGATCAACAAGGAGTAAACAGAAAGAAGACCTGGGGGAGCTCAGAGGGAAGTCTGGAAAAAGTCTCGGTGAGAAAACCCTTCTCTGACAGCAGCTCTGAGAAGCACTGGGGAGTGGGGAACCCAGGAACAAGAGAGCATGGGAGGTGAGCATCCTCCTGCCCCCGACTTCAGGCCTGGTCCCCAAGCAGCACCCACCATCGCTGCCCAGGATGCTGGGTCTCCCCGGCACCTGGTTTGCACTCATTGGCCCTAAAGGAAACCAAGGGACTCAATCCTGTGCCGGCAGAGAGAAGAGCTGAGGTGCAGACTGGCTTGGCAGCCCAGACCCATAGCTCACGATCAGTGGCAGCTCACAAATAGCAGATGTGGGGCCATTAGAATCCTGCCTGCAATGATGCCTGGGTTAAGTAGCTTAGATTCCCAGGGATGCACTCAGCCCACTAAAGCATGGCATAGAGGAGGAGGAAACAGCCTATCTCCACTGTAAACACCTAAAGTCTTAAGAAAATCGTGCAGAAAAGAGACAGACTTACCTCAGTCTAACCCAGTGTTTCCCAAACTTACAGTATTTCCTAGGTGCTCGAGTGCTTTAAAATAAGAACTTCTGAAGTTTGGGTGCATCTAGGAAGTGCTGTTAGCATTACATGCCTAAGTGTCAGATGTATTCCAGAAAAACTGTCATTAAATTAATGAGGCATACTCCAGCTGTCAGCACCTGGGAATTAAGGAAATGTGATATTTAATTATCCACTGTTTCAAACATATCTCCCCCCACCCCCACCCCCAAACAATCAGAACAGAGTTTAGGAAAAGGAGTTTTACATGGAAAACAGAGCTGACCTGGCACATCGAGTGTCTGTAGATTGGAGAGGAGTAATTCCACAGAAGAGCACCCCACTGGGTGAACAGGCTGGGAGCCCAAGCACCCCCTCCCTGCTTACAGAAGGGCTTCTCCCCAAGATTTGGAAGCTGGGCCCCAAAGAGCAGGGTCTCCCTTGGGCCACCCAACTGTCCTGTCCAGGCCCCTGCTCTGTCTCCTCTGGAAAGCAACCCCTTCTTGCAGATGTGTCAGGGGATGTGGAGAAAAGAAAACCCTTGTGCACTGGAAATGGCGATTGGTGCAGCAGTTATGGAAAACAATCAGGAGTTGCCTCCAAAACTCAAAGAGAGAACTACCATCGGAGCTAGAGACCCTACTTGTGGGCATACATCTGAAGAAAACAAAACCAGCAGCTCAAAGAGACGTCTGCACTCCAGTGCCCATTGCAGCATTATTCACTGCTGCCAAGACGCAGAAACGAACTAAGCCTCCCTCGATGGATGAATAAAGACATACAGACATAACAGAATACTGTTCAGCCTTAAAAAAGAAGAAAATCCTGCTGTTAGTGACAATGTGGATGAATGTGGGGGCATTATGCTAAGTGAAATAAAAGTCAGACAGACAAAAACTAATACCACACGAGTTCTCTTATATGTGGCATCTAAGAGTCCAACTCATAGAAACAGAGTAGAATAGTGGTTCCCAGGGGCTGGTGATGGGGGCAAGAGGGAGATGTTGGTCAAAGGGTTGGGAGGTTCAGTTACAAGATTAATCAGTTCTGGAGATCTAATGAACAACACGGTGACTATAGCTAGCAATCCTGTATTGTATCATTGAAATTTGTTGAGAGTAGATCTTAAATGTTCTCAAGAACACACACACAAATGGTAACTAGGTGGGGTGCTGGATGTGTTAATTAACTTGATCGTGGTAATCATTTCACTACATATATATTATATTATAATAAATATAATATATATGTATATATATATATATAATCAGCATGCTATTTTCCCCCTTAATTCATACAGCTCTGTTTGTCTATTTTACCTTAATGAAACTGAGAATAAATTTTAAAATAATAAAATTAAATTGATAAAGATTTAAAAGGCAAATTATGCTGTTCAATTCACCAAGAGATGAATATAACTGTGATTTGATTGATAGCAAATCTACAAGAAAAAAATTGATTGAAGTCACCTTTGAACCAAATCCCTTGCTTTGAGATGTCCCAGCACACTCAGAGGCTGAGAGCAGGCAGAGAGCTGCCCTAGGAGGTGAGGGCAGTGGATTTCAGAGACAGGAGCAGAAGCAGGGAGGTCAGGAAGGGAGCCACCTCCCAGGGAGTTGGCAGGTGCTTCCTTTATGGTCAGATTCTACCTCCTTGGGTAACAATCAGTGCAGCAAATCACACTGACCACATTGGGTAGGATATGTGTTTTTGTCCCTGGAAAACTATATTGCCTGAAAATCCAGTTAGTGTCAATTTGCAGAGATCTGACTGGTCTGGGGGGCAGCAAGAATCAGTCCCCCATGGTTCTACAGTCCCATGGACAGCGGGCAATGCTCCTTCAGGCTGGGTCGGGGGCCAGGGAGAGCCCTTCAGAAGGATGGAGGCAGCTCCAGGCTTCATGTTGTCTCAACGCTTCCACGCTCTAACAACTGTGCAGCGCGACACAGCCACGAGTCCTGGGATCGCCACTTCATCTCGACAGATGTGGCTGAGGAGCATGTAAGTGGCACCTACTGAGAGTGGAAATGGACTTATTTCCTGGCTCTAAATTTTAACTTAGCATTTACTGTCTGGATTCAGATGAAGACCATGACAAATGAACAAACTCAGACATCTCCATTAGGCAGGTTGTCAAGGGCCCGTGCTAAATAGCTATCCAATATTTCCAAAGTCCCTCTCCCCACTCTGAGAATTAAGTGACACGGTAACGTGAGTTGGGTGACAGGAGAGTGGATCACTATTACCCCTGAGTTCTGACTGGGGCTTAATGAAAAGTGAGGCGGCAGGCATGCCGCATTCCAAACCTCCTGTATTTTCATAATTGTGGGCAATCTTTCACAGTGGGTTGTGTGTTTGTGTCTCATCAGATGTGTAATGCAATGGAAAAAAAAGTAATTTTCAGACTCCAACACACCTGGGTGCGAGGTTCCACTGTGCCATATCCTCAGTGGTGCCTAGATCTCCAGTGAGATGCATACATGTTTGGAGCCTCCGTTTTTCTCATCTGTAAAGTGTTATTCTTTTACTTACTTCATGGGTTTGTAAGGGTTGATTAAGACACTAAATTGGTAAGCAGATGGATCTCACACACAAGAAGCATTTGACAGTGGTGGTGCCTTTCCTTCTACCTCCTCAGTCGGGCCCTCTTGTGAGTCCACGAGTTGCTTCTCAGAGCACAGCAAACAAGGTAACATTGATAGGACAAGAATAACAGTTTCTAAATGACAATATATAAAGCCAGAAAAATAACTTATCAGGTAGTCTCTGATTCTAAGTTCATAAAGGAAGCTCACATGCTACATGGGTTCCCCAAGTAAAACCACTTACTCCTCCCAACTTTCATTCCAGCTTAGTCTTTTCTTTCTTTCTTTCTTTTTTCTTTCTTTCTTTCTTTCTTTCTTTCTTTCTTTCTTTTTCTCTCTTTCTCTCTCCTTTCCTTTCCCTCCCTCCCTCCCTTTCTTTCTTTCTTTTTTCTTTCTTTCTTTCTCTCTTTCTCTCTCTCTCCTTTCTTTCTCTCTTTCTCTCCCTTTCCTTTCCTTTCTTCTTTTCTTTCTTTCTTTCTCTCTCTTTCTTTCTTTCTTTCTCTTTCTTTCTTTTCTCTCTTTCTCTCTCCTTTCCTTTCCCTCCCTCCCTCCCTTTCTTTCTTTCTTTCTCTCTTTCTCTCTCTCTCCTTTCTTTCTTTCTCTCTTTCTCTCTTTCCTTTCCCTTCTTCTTTTCTTTCTTTCTTTCTCTCTCTTTCTTTCTTTTGTCTCTTTCTCTCTCCTTTCCTTTCCCTCCCTCCCTCCCTTTCTTTCTTTCTTTCTTCTTTCTTTCTTTCTCTCTCTCACCTTTCTTTCTTTCTTTCTTCTTTCTTTCTTTCTCTCTTTCTCTCTCTCTCCTTTCTTTCTTTCTTTCTCTTTCTTTCTTTCATCAGATTCTTGCTCTGTCACCCAAGCTGAAGTGCTGTGACATAATCAAGGCTCACAGCAACCTCTGCCTCCTGGTTCCAAGCCATCAAGCCATCCTCCCACCTCAGCCTCCTCAGTAGCTGGGACGACAGGTACATGCCAGCAAATCAGGCTAATTTTTTTTTTATATATAGCGGTGATGTTGCATCATGTTGTCCAGGCTGGTCTTGAACTCCAGGGCTCAAGCAATTCCACTGCCTCAGTCTCCCAAAGTACTGGAATTACAGGTGTGAGCCACCACACTCAGCCTCCAACTTAGTCTTTTTACCAGATTTTTCCCACTATAAATTTTAATCAATGAAATACAATGAACCAACCAGAATGCTTTCTTGCAGTGCAAAGTAAGTTCCTTATAGAAGCTATATCTTAGGTATTTTATGGTTCTGAAATGGTATGCTATGTCTATTGATTTGAAGTAAAACATGGACACCTAAACTTTATTGTTAGGAAATGAGACATTTTGGTCGGTGACAACATCATCTAAACGTTGGCCAATACTAAATATGCACTAAAGCCCTCCTCCCTCCACCCTCCTTGTCACCCCTGGTGGGAAGATCTAACCGTGCTGGGCTGTGCTTTCTATAAAGGGATGGATTTTCACCTCCCATTTCCCACTTTCCCTGCCCAACAACACTTCACAGTCACCACTGCAGACCAACACTCCTAGAAGATGTTGTTGGGGAAGAAATGTAGACTCGTGGTTAGGATTATACACTTCAAGAAACTTTAAGGTGAAAGTAGTTGAAAATCAAGGTCTGAGATTGCTTGGAATGCTTGACACTGACAAAGAAATATGGGGCTACAAGTTACAGATTGAGACATTAACTTGTTTTGTCACTCCAGGGAATTCTTCTGAGCACCAATCAATGAGTTCATTTGATGCTTCAATATCCTCCCTCATGGAGTCATTTCAGGGGTGAACATTCCCCAAATGATATAGAGGAAAAATAGCAGCAACTATTTTGTCAGGTATGATAATAAAAAACTCAAAAGGGAACATATGGGGATAATAACATTAGCAATGGAAGGTATCGCTACTGCCTTTTCAAGGGCATTCGGAATATTAAAATGCTGAATCCTATGGTGGCTGGGGATCCTGGCATGGGAGCTGCAACACACAGAATGCACAATGGTGGCCTAAGAAACACTTACCCTGTTTGACAGTTTGCTTGCTTTAGAAAAAAATGCAGATTAGATTTAGACTTCAAGGCTATTAAGGAGTGAGTTGAGAAGCAAAACAGGTACACAGAATGCATTGTTTTGAAACCTGTATCCACACCCAGTGCTACAGGAAACATGCTCTGCAGACACAGCTCTGTCATTCAGTCTGGAACATGGCAGGGATAAGGTACACACGAGCAGGGCTTTCAGGCAGCCAGTTCCCAGGGACCTGATTGCTCAGCCGCCTTGCCAAAGGAGACTGAACTGGAGCTGAGATGGAATGGATGGCCCCTGGTGATGCTGTCTGCTCAGGCACTCTATGGCAACCATGCTTACACAGTGATTACCACAAAACTACAGCTATGCATTTCTGGCTGCGTGGCTTGGGTTGGGCTTCTTGGACCCATTCTCCTCCATCTGCTCATCTCTAATGTGGGTTCATACCATCAAAAGTTTCTGAAGAGTCAACTACGTCTTGTCCACAGTGGGCTGCCCAGGACACCTGGAGCTTAGAATGCACTGAGTGTTGGCCCCTGATGTTGGTATCAAGAGACTTCTTGACTTTCCACCAAATAGGGTCTGGAAAACTCTCCTCCCAATGCCTCTGTTGAGGGCCCAGGTGCTGGGTGAGCACCGTCCTGTGGGTTATTACTGCCCTCGAGGCTCTTCTGAGACATGGAGGACCTATGGGAACTGGCAAGCAGAGAACCGGCAGTGCTCCAGGAGCACGTGTGTTTAGGGGGTCAAATTCGCCATGAGCAGCCAGGACCCCAAGAATGAAAATCATGGCAGGTGCCGCTTGGCTGGGGGTGCCTCTGAAATGGCTGCAATATTTATATTTAGGTGTAACCACCAACTGAAAGCACGCTGAGCCTAGAATACAAACACGGTTTCTCCCAAGAAAACAGTGGAGAAAATAGCATATCCGGTTGCATCATCCAGGCCCAGAAGAACAATCTCCAGCCCACGAGGCCCACAGCCTTACCTCAGTCAGAAGGTGGAATATTGTTCACAAGCTGAGTTGTAAAAAACACAAAGATTCTGTGTGTATGAAGGGGAAAAATCTAGCGGAAAGTTCAACCATTCCAAAAATGAAGCTCATAAAATAGTTTTGAGCAAATGACTCTGCTTTTAACAGTTATTTACTGGTTTTTATAGCCCAATGTTAACCAAAGTCATAAAAGTATAATGACTTAGACTGCACAAAAGCACCAGTACTTTTCAAATTTTATTCCCAGAATAGCAATGCATGGTTTTAATGTTTAATTGGGATTATGGGAGTGTCCCAAAAATGTGTTGTGAATTGTTGTAGAAATTAGAATTTGTTCAACAGAAAAATAAAAGAAACTATGGCTGCCCGCTCCTTCCCACTCTCAACCCCAGCACACTGTCCTTTGTGACATCTCCCTCAGGCGCCAGCCCAGTGAATGAGGCTGACAGGGGGAGCAGTTCCATGGGCAGACAGCAAACTTCCAATGACCTCCTTCTAGAGTTGCCTGACAGCCACAGCAGGCATTCCTGGAATGGATCTTCTCAATAGGAGAGGTTTCTGTTTCCCTCACTTCCTGTTGGAACTGACTGGTTACTGCTGAAAGAGGATAAGGTAAGGTAGGGTAAGGTTGTCCACCAACCAAGGAAGCATCAGCTTCTGAAAGGCAGAAGATGCCCCTGGAGGAGCTGAGGTCTGTACCTCACCCTGTTGTAAGAGGCAAGAAATGATGTCGCCACATTGATCTGTGGAGTCTTAAGCTCCAGGTAAAGGAAGGAAGGATTATTAGTCATTCTCACGCTGCTATAAAGATCTACCTGAGACTGGGTAACTTATAAAGGAAAGAGGTTTAATTGACTCATAGTTCACTATGTTTGGGAGACCTCAGGAAACTTACAATCATGGCACAAGGCAAAGGGTAAGAATGGCAGCTTCTTCACAAGGTGGAAGGAAGGAGAAGTGCCTGGCAAAGGGAAGCCCCGTATAAAACCATCAGATCTCGTGAGAACCCACTCACTGTCACAGAAACAGCATGGGGGAAACAGCCCCCATGATTCAATTACCTCCACCTGGTCTCTCCCTTGACATGTAGAGATTATGGGGAATATAAAGATTACAATTCAAGATGAGATTTGATGGGGATACAAAGCCTAATCATATAAGAGGGTCTCCAGAAACACAGCCGGATTCCCCCAGGCCAGCTGCACTGACTGAGCATCCCCACTGCCTCCACATTCGCCTAGCAATTAGGGTCATAGGAACTAAAGCTCAGAGAGTAGCCTAGCATCTCCTGACAGCCACCAGCCTGAGCCAGGGTGGTGGGACTGGCTTTGCCTCCATGAGGGGAACTCAGGCTGCAGTCATTGCTTTCCAGACCCCCTCCAGGTATGGGTCACAGTGAGGGATGGTTGGGAAGAACCTATCCCTGCAAAGACAGCTAGGAGAGGAAGAAAGAGAAAAGGAGCCCTGAACAAGTGGGTGACAAGTTCCCCACTCGCCCTGAATATGAGTTTAGCAATTGCTTAGCACCTTCTGCAGAACTTCAGACCTCAGGGAAGGACAGAGAAACCAGCCAAGGAAGATTCTGCAAAGCCCTCACAATGTGCTGGCATAGTCTTTATCATGAAGACTTGTCGGGACCTCTCTCTCTACCCCAGAACAGCAAAATGCAGAAAGAAACCCATGTTTATGAAGCACCTGCCATGCAACAGGGGCTGTGCCAAGAGCTCTCAGTGGATCATCCCCATTAGGCTTCACACTGGTGCACGAGGTGGGTAAGAGTGTCCCAACATTCGGCAATGCTAGGCAAGACACCCAAACTCACAGGGCTACAGGACGCAGCTGAGTCTCCCATGCAAGCCTTATGATCCCTCATCTTCTGCGCCACAGCTCTTAATGCACCTTAGATGCCTCAAGGATTTCACCAGGGGGTAAAATCAGGGGTGAGACCAGGGCAGCCTCAGCTCCTGAAAGGCAGAAAATGCCCCTGGAGGACCTGACGTCTGCACCTCACCCAGTGAAAGAGGCAGGAAGTGGTGTTGCCACATGGATCTGGAAGCTTTGGCGATAAAGGCAGGCTGAGTATGATCCCATCAGGAGCCAGGATGCTGGTCTTCATGTAGGGAAGGGAAGGGAGAGAGAAGCCCTGTCTAAAGTCTAAGCCCCTCTCTGTTTTGAGGGTTTCGTGTATTCAGAAGGGTGGACCAAGGAGCAATTAGTCCTGTGGGCATCTCACCTGTTTCCCCAGGACATGCAAGAGCTTGACCACCCAGGGTTTTTCTCCCTCACCACTGCAAGTAGTTGCCTGAGCCACTTCCACAGTTTGTTCCCTGCACACAGCTAAATCCAGACTACAAGGGTTTCCTTCCAAGGCCTCATGAAAACAAATAATCCTACTTATATTTGTATCTTTCACAAAGGATCTTTTATGATGATACAGAATATGTGTGAATTGTATTTTCTCCACTGGATGTACTCCCACTTATGAATGAAGGCTACGGAAAAGCTTCCACCCCTCCTGGTAGAAACAGCAGCCATTTGCCTTCGAGCCACCCTGACTGCCCTTCTTCCCACTCCTTGGTCAGTGTGCCGAACAAACAGGACCACAACTGCCACTGGTGAGAAGGACCCCAGGAGTCACCCCAGTGACCCCATCCTTCAACAGTGAAAAATAGAGCACAGAGTGATCCAACCAGCGCTACCCCCATGTCCACAGCCAAGCTGAGATGGGGAGCTGGGTTCCCTGATGCCCTACTCAGAATTCTTCCTACATATGAAAACAAAATTATAAGCAGAGTTTTGAAGTATGTAATGCCACAGCTAAGACAATGGAAAGATTTCAAAAAGCTAGATCATGACATAACAAAGTAATTTGGAAAACACTAGAAAATGACCATTCTCATCTATGTTTGGCCATTAAAAGGAAAGACTATAAAAAGGAAAGACTGTCTTTGAGGATTATGTCTTTATGTTACTAATGAACACATAACCAGGTCATGAAGCTCATCAGAGCCCCTCATTCCTGGAGCAAGTGCGAAGAGACCCCAGCAGGGGCTCTGCAATCCCCCACCAGCTGCACATCTCTGAAAACTGCCAGGGCTTCCACGTGACCTGCTGAGAAGCACTAAGATTCCTTCCTGGGTTCCTGGAGCTTCCTGAGGACAGACACCGTATGTGGGCATGACACCACCAAACATTTAATAAGCATCTGTTGAATTATTTGATTGATGGGTGATGGATTGATTGTCCCAGTGGGTGAGTGAGTTGATGACCTTTCAAACAACTGAAAAACATGTGTCAAGTCAAATTTCTGTTCAGGAATGCCTCCAGCAACAGAGGCAGTGCAGACATGGCACTGGGGGAAATGGCAAAAACAAAGCTCAAAATTAGGGGTCTTGCCAGGCCCATTTCTGTGGACAAAACATGGCTGTGGGGTTTGTTGAGAGAGAGGTTCTGTGGACCAGAACTGGTCTGGAAAATCTGGAAAAATCTAGGATCTATGCACGACAGTCCTTAGAAATCCAAGGCTCAGGCCGGGCACGGTGGCTCATACCTGTAATCCCAACACTTTGGGAGGCTGAGGCGAGTGGATCACGAGGTCAGGAGTTTGAGACCAGCCTGGTCAATATAGTGAAACCCTGTCTCTACTAAAAATACAAAAATTAGGCGGGCGTGGTGGCACACACCTGCAGTCCCAGCTACTTGGGAAAGTGAGGCTGCAGAATCACTTGAAACCTGGAGGCAGAGGTTGCAGTGAGCCGAGACCATGCCATTGCACTCCAGCCTGGGTAATGGAGTGAGACTCCATCTCAAAAAAAAAAAAGGAAAAGAAAGAAAGAAAGAAAGAAATCCAAGGTTCTTGGTGGGGAAGGCAGAGAATATTCCAAATGCTCAGTTGGCTTGATGGGAGTCTTCTTTTCAAGGTGCCCTCTAGAATAGCTAAAACTTTCTTTTTTATGATTTCAATTTTTATTTTATTTTCAGTGGGTACCTGTGCAGGTTTGTTACCAGAGTATACTGCGTGATGCTGAGATTTGGGGTACAATTGAAACTGTCACCCAAGTACTGAGCACAGTACTCAATAGGTCATTTTTCATACCTTGCCCCCTCTCTCTCTCCCTCCCTCCCTTCTTTGTAGAGCCCAGTGTCTATTGTTCCCATTGTTATGTCCATGTGTATCCCAAGTTTAGCTCCCACTTATAAGTGAGAACATGCAGTATTTGGTTTTCTGTTCCTGTGTTCATTTGCTTAGTATAATGGCCTCCAACTTCATCTATGTTGCTGGAAAGGACATGATTTCCTTCCTTTTGTTTGTCTGAGTAGTATTCCATTGTGTATATGTATCATATTTTCTTTATCCAGTCCAGTGTTGATGGATATTTAAGTTGATTTCATGTCTTTGCTATTGTGAATAGTGCTGTGATAAACATACGCACACATGTGTCTGTTTGGTAGAATTATTTATTTTCCTCTGGGTAAATACAAATACCCAGATATGGGATTGCAGGATCTAAAGGTAGTTTTGCTTTTAATTCTTTGAGAAATGTCCAAACTGCTTTCCACAGTAGTTGAACTAATTTACATCCCCACCAACAATGTATAAGCATAACCTTTTCTCTGCAGCCTCACCAGCTTCTGTTATTTTTTATTTTTATTTATTTATTTTTTTTTTTTTGAGACAGGGTCTTGGTCTGTCATGCAGGCTAGAGTACAGTGGCATGGTCATGGCTCACCATAGCCTCAACTTCCCGGGCTCAAGTGATCCTCCCACTTCAGCTTCCCAAGTAGCTGAGACTACAGGCATGTGCCACCATGCCCACCTTATTTTTAAATATTTTTTGTAGAGATGAGGTCTTGTTATGTTGTCTAAGATGGTCTTGAACTCTTGGGCTCAAGCGATTCTCCTGCCTCAGTCTCCCAAAGTGCTGGGATTACAGGCATAAACCACCATACCCAGCCAGCATCTGTTACTTTTTTACTTTTTCGTAATAGTCGTTCTGACTTGTGAGAGGTGGTATGTCATTGCGGTTTAAATTTGCATCTCTCTGAAGATGTTGAGCATTTTCTCATGTTTGTTGGCTGCTTGTATGTTTTCTTTGGAGAAGTGTTTGTTTATGTCTTTTGCCAAGTTTTCAACGGAATTATTTGTTTTTTGTTTGTGAGTTGTTTGAGTTTCTTGTAGATTCTGGACATTAGACCTTTGTGGAATGCATTGTTTGCAAATAGCTTCTACCATCCTGTAGGCTGTCTGTTCACTCTGTTGATAGTTTCTTTTGCTGTGCAGAAGCTCTTTAGTTTAATTAGGTACCACGTGTCAATTTTTGTTTTTGTTGTGACTGCTTTTGAGAACTTCATTATAAATTCTTTCCCATGGCTGATGCCCAGAATGGAACTTCCTAGGTTTTCTTTTAGGATTCTTATAGTTTGAGGTCTCATATTTAAATCTTTAATGCATCTTGAATTTATTTTTGTATACGATGAAAGGGAGAAGTTCAGTTTTATTCTTCCGCCTATGTCTAGCCAGGTATCCCAGCACCATTTATTGAGTAGGAAGTCTTTTTTCCTGTTGCTCATTTTTGTCGACTTTTTGGAAGATCAGGTGACTGGAATACGTGCAACTTATTTCTGGTAGAACCACGAAGACTTTCTGAGGACAGACTCCAAAACAAACTCTGGCCTCAGCGGCAGAAGGTGGCCCATTAGCTCCAATCTAATAAATCCACTTGAGCTCCCACTGCCAACAGACAGGAGACTCCCCAGCGCACCCCCGAGAGTCTGGGAGGGCTGTCTTGAGAGCCACCGAGCCCACCATCCACCACGGTGAGAGCCTGTCTCACGAGCCTGCCTCCCCACCTCTCTTCCTTCTCCCCTTTCCTCTCCTCATCCTTTCTTCTTCCCCTTCCCGTTGGTGGGGATGGAAAGAGCTTCAACTAATATCCTGAGGACAGTCTCACAACCTCCGCAGAGGAGACCAACAAAGTAGACCAGTTCGGGTCCTAAGCAATGCAGGAGGAAGCTGCCTTCCCCTACAGAGTCTGGAAACCCCCATAGTGGGTTTCATGGCAACTCAACTTGAGGGACACTGGGTTTGGCTCAGGAAGCAGGTATTTGTGAGGATTACACAGGAGGGCAGTTTCTGTTGGGTGTGCTTGGGGCCCAAGAAAGCCACTGTGAATATGAAGCCAGAAGGATGCAAAGGAAGTGAATACGTATACCTTTGACCCAAAGGAAATTTGAGTTTTTCCCTTGACTTTAGGAAGAAAAATGGAGCCTAGAGAATCCAGCACACTTGGACCTAAGTCTGGGCTGACTGCTCAGTTAAAGCAGACCTGTAGCAGGAGAACAGGCAATCTTCCTTTCTTGGCTGAGCCCCAGGGAGGAGCTTGACACATGCCTGGGATATGGAGACCACTGGATAAAAGAAATCTAAGCAAAGAACTTCAAATATGGCTCCATGTCCAGGGTTCTGCAAACTGTTGGTTTCCTAGGGACTTGCTGGGACAACAGCCATGCAGCCTGTCAGAGGGAATCCTTCCTCTTCTAGCAGCAAAACGTGGCTGTTAGAGAGAAGTTGTAACTCAGTGAGGCTGGCATCCTCTGGGCACCGAGGGCTCTCGTGCACACATCAGAGGTCCTTTCTGGGCTTCCAGACTGGAAGAAAATACACACTCCCGGGGCATGGAAAGGGTCCTCGTTATCCCCTGCTGCTGAGGGGCGGCCTTTTTCTGGATTTCCATCCTCAATTAATGCCCCCAGCCCTCTGCACCAGCCCTATCTGTATATGGTTTCCTGAAGTCAACGGGCTGGGCACAGAGTGAAATTGCAGGAAAGCTCCGAGTCCAACCACCATCTAAGAAACCAAGACAGAAGACACTCTTTCCCTGGCTGGGGCTTCTGTTTGTCTTCTTAAAAATTCAGAAAAAATTGTTGGTTTTCTGAAAACGTCCCAATGGCAGAATCATTCTCTGACTCGTACGTGCTTTTAGAGGGCTCTATGGCCCAGTTAAATGTGTTTGGCAAGTAGCGGAGAAAATAGTTTCCTTCCACAAGTCTGTTTCTGTAACAGGTTAACGCATTGTACTTACAGTATCCAGTTAACATTTATAAGGATGCCTATGTTTTAGTGCAAAGCAAATTAAGTATTAACAAGCCCCTTTCTGTCAAGAGCTGGCTTCTGCAATTTGATGTTCGCAATTTGATGCCCTCCTGCTGCTGTTTCCTCCTCTTTCATGCCATTGCTCTCCTTCTGCTCCGGGAGGCATAGCCAGCATCCGAGGTCTGACGCTGTCTCCAAAATGCAGACTCCAGAGGCAGGGCGAGATTTCTGAATGTTCTAGGAAAACTACTTATTTCCCACTCATTTTTTAACTAAAGCGATTACTCGTCATCTTTCCATTTTCATTACCTTCTGCCACTGGAGTAGAGGGAGGGGTAATAAGAGTAACGCAAACATGGGCTTCAGCATCTGGAGGGGGCAGGTGGGGGTTTGGCCTGTTCATAGAAATGGGGTCAGTAGGAATGACTCTGGATTCACCCTCAAGAACCCACAGTCCATATAATGACAATGGACATTTGTTTAGTGATTTGTAATTTTCAGCGTCTTTTCCTCCATCCTGCCTGCCTTACTTTTCATGGAGCTGGATGAAACCAGAGCCCCTTTGCACCCGGTCCCCCAAGGAATGTCCCTTGCCCTTCAGCCTGGTGACTATGACCAGGGGTGGGTGAACACGGAGGCTGCCTCCTAGAGGGCCCCAGGCTGCAAAGGCACAGAGGGAAGCTGCTTGGGATGGGGGGATGGAGGGGGAAGGCCGTGGTGTCAAGTTGGATCTACAGCGTGAACTATCTGCCTCCTCATTTCAGCCCCATAACAGGAGGACAGAGGGACTGCATCCAGATTACAGTCAGCAAAGAGATTTTGCAAGATGTTGTCACTTAAAAGCAACACTTTGAAGAGCAATTTGGTCAAATCCCTTCATCATAGGTTTAATCTCTCTCTCATGAAAGATTTGCCTACGCCATGGGCCACTCAGCCAAGAAGAGGTTTCTAGACTTTAACTCCACCAAGAAACCTCGGTCTGCAAGGAAAGTGCAGGACCCAGGAAGGAAGGAAACCCAGATGAGAAGGCTTCTCCCTCCCCGCCAAGAACAACCCCTCATTTCCCACAGCCCCTCCCCACTGCCCTGGGTGGACAGGGCCAAGTGCTCTTTCAGTTTTCATCTTTTATTCTCTTTTTGTTTTTTATTTTCTTCATTTCTTCAGGTTCTACAATCACTGGAGACAGCCGTTGGCTACAGGACCCAAGGAGGGAGAGGGCCTGTTTCTAACTTGCAGGCCCTGGGAGCTCAGAGGAGGGGGGTGCAGAGAGTGTTCGAGACATGGTATATGCATGCTCCAGGCTGCTCTGAACACTTATTTCCCTTTTCCTGCTTCTTCCTTTCACTGGTCCCTGAAAACAGGATTGAGTTTAGGACCTGGTGCCCTTTTCCTAAGAGCACAGAGAACTAGCTCAGCCAAGTCTCGATGCTTTTCACCAGGCCTGGCACAGGCGGGCCCTGGGACCTCTGCTGACTGAATCTTGGCCCAGTGGAAGAGAAAGACTAGGTCCTGCTCCGTCCTCCCTGCCTCACTCTGGGAGTGGCCACTCACCTCTAGCCTGGAAGCTTCTGCCCCCAGCCAGATGATAAAAGTGACCTCTCCCTGCTGCTCCAGCTGCCACTGAGAATCTTGAGACAGAATCAGCTGGGGAAATCTTGACAATGCAGATTCCTGGGCCACATCACAGACCTGCAGATCAGATTCTTGGGTGTACTGAGTATAGTTCCCAGTACTGGTGGTGAGGGGACATCTGCATTTAAACAATCATTCAAGATGATTCTTCTTCAGATTCAACTCTGAAAACTGCCATCTTTCAGCATCCAAGACAGCACTGGCTGAGAGGGGGTGGGGAAGGGGCTGGGGGAGAGGAAGAGCTTTGCAGAAAAATGGAATGGACAAGCGACCCAAGAAACCCATAAATGGAGCCTCATACCTTTGTGTATGGAAGGCACACACCTCTCACCTCATACCTTAGTGTGAATCCAGAGAGTGCATCCCGGTAAGATACGCCATGGCAGAAGGACATAGGAGTTGTTAGGATCAGTCAGGCAGCCAAATCAGAGAAAACGAGGATGTGGAAAGAGCAGGCTCAAAAGCTTCAGGAAGGCCAGGCACAGAGGCTCATGCCTCTAATCCCAGTGCTTTGGGAGGCCGAGGTGGGCAGATCACAAGGTCAAGAGATCGAGACCATCCTGGCCGACATGGTGAAACCCCGTCTCTACTAAAAATACAAAAATTAGCTGGGCATGGTGGGGCGTTTCTGTAGTTCCAGCTACTCAGGAGGCTGGGGCAGGAGAAGCGCTAGAACCTGGGAGGCGGAGGTTGCAGTGAGCTGAGATCGTTCCACTGCACTCCAGCCTGGTGACAGCAAGACTCCGTCAAAAAAAAAAAAAAAAAACTTCAGGAAAAGTCCACCCCAAACCCAAGGACCGCCATGGACAACAGTTAAAATCCCAAGATTTTATGAGCAAGATTATTTAGCAAATGGGCTCTTGACTGAACCCTCAACTCTCCTTTGCTTATCCCACTGTCTTGTCAGAGGAGTTGGCCCTGTACCTCCCTGTTCACATGCAACAGTGAGGATGTTCTCTACATTACAGCAGTATGGGGTATGGAGTTAGGTGAGGACAGAGAGGGGCCCCATGCACCAGCATGCTAATGGGACTTTTCTCTTGCCTGAAACCCCTTCTAGAATTCCGGAGAGTAGGATAACAGGGAAAAGCCAGCCCCACTTTCTAAAGGGACCTGAAAGGGAGGTGCAGAATTGCTCCTGGGACTCATCAAGGGTAGGATGTTGAACAGTGCCCCCCAAATGATACGTTCACATTTTAACCCCTGAGATCTGTGACAGTGACCTTATTTGGAAAAGGGGGTTTGACAGGTGTCATTAAGTTAAGGTTCCTCGAATGAGATCATTCTGGATTTAAATTGAGCCCTAAAAGCAATGACAAGTGTCCTTATAAGAATGAACCAGAGAGAGGCCAGGTGCGGTGGCTCACATCTGTAAGCCCAGCATGTCAGGAGGCTGAGACAGGCAGATGACTTGAGGTCAGGAGTTTGAGACCAGCCTGGCCAACATAGTGAAACCCTACCTCTACTAAAAATACAAAAATTAGCCTGGTGTGGTGGCTTGTACCTGTAGTTCCAGCTATTTGGGAGGCTGAGGCATGAGCGCTGCTTGAACCCAGGAGGCAGAGGTTGCAGTGAGCTGAGATTGCACCACTGCACTCCAGCCTGGGTGACAGAGCAAGATTCAGTCTCAAAAAAAAATAATTTAAAAATTATTTTAAAAAAGAATGAACCAGAGAGAGCTTTGGAGGAAGACCCAGAAGTGGACTTGCTGGATCACATGCTACTTCTATTTTTAGTTTATTTAGTCTGATGTTAGTGTGGCCATTCTCATCTCTTTATTCTTCATTGGCTATCTTTTTTTTATTCCTTCATTTTCAGGCTATGAGTGTCCTTAAATCTAAAGTGAATCTCTTGTACACAACTTATGGTTGGATCTTGGTTTTTTCTTTAATTTATTCAGCTGCTCTCTATCTTTTGAGTGGGGAATTTCCATGCTCGTTGCAGCACTACTCACAATAGCCAAGATGTGGGCTGCTCCTAATTATTCATCAAAGGATGAATGGATAAAAAAAGGTGGTATAGACAAAGAGTAGAATACTACATAGCCATAGCCATAAAACCAAAGGATATCCTGCCATGTGTGACAACATGGATGAACCCGGAGGACATTACACTGAGTGAAATAAACCAGTCACAGAAGGACACAGACTGAATGATCCCACTCCTACGAGGGATGTAAAATAGTCAAATACACATAGGCCGAGAACAGAACAGTGATTGCCAGGGCAGGGAGGGGAAATGAGGAGTTGCTAATCAAATTAAATCAATGGGCATAACATTTCAGTTAAGTAAAATGAATACATTCTAGAAGCCTACTGTCTAGTATTGGCTCTCTAGGTAACAGGACTGTTTTATACACTGAATCATTTGTCAAGACAGAGCTGAAGCGGAATTTGAATCTCGGACAGGCAGCAGAGAAGGCAGGGTGAAGAGGGAGGCAGGGATAGAACTGGCTGCAAGCCCAGGATCACGGGGGCCACCAGAGGCTGGAAGAGGCAAGAAAGCGCCCTTTCTGGAGCCTTTGGAAGGAGGCCCAACCCAGTGGACACCTTGGCTCTGGACTTCCAGCCTGCAGAAGTGCGAGGGGATGCACTTCTGTTGTTTTTGTCCGCCCAGAGCATGGTTAGTTCCAGCAGCCACAGGAAGCTCATGCATCAGGAAAGAGTTAAAGGGTCTCTGCCTGACATCCTCACCCCTCCCACCCATCTAATAAGAAGAAGGCGACCGTGCCTCAGAGGACAGACAGGTGTCAGGGAGTAGGAAGTGTGTGGCCAATGCACTAAGCTATGCACTAGGGAAGGCCGGGCCAGGAGAACCACCAAGGACGGAGGAGCTTCCTGCAGGAAGGGGACCTCATGCCTACCTCACTGTGGATGAGCTCAGAAATGCAGCTTCCTGCCTGTCCCATAGCAGTTCCCTGGCTGGCCCCTCCCAATGGCCACCTGCCAGTGAATCACACCACAAAGGGATGCTGGGCGTCTCTACTGCAAGACACACAGGGATGCTGGGCGTCTCCAGTGCAAGACACAGAGGGATGCTGGGCGTCTCCAGTGCAAGACACACAGGGATGCTGGGCGTCTCCAGTGCAAGACACACAGGGATGCTGGGCGTCTCCAGTGCAAGACACACAGGGATGCTGGGCGTCTCCAGTGCAAGACACACAGGGATGCTGGGCGTCTCCAGTGCAAGACACACAGGGATGCTGGGCGTCTCCAGTGCAAGACACACAGGGATGCTGGGCGTCTCCAGTGCAAGACACACAGGGATGCTGGGCGTCTCCAGTGCAAGACACACAGGGATGCTGGGCGTCTCCAGTGCAAGACACACAGGGATGCTGGGCGTCTCCAGTGCAAGACACACAGGGATGCTGGGCGTCTCCAGTGCAAGACACACAGGGATGCTGGGCGTCTCCAGTGCAAGACACACAGGGATGCTGGGCGTCTCCAGTGCAAGACACACAGGGATGCTGGGCGTCTCCAGTGCAAGACACACAGGGATGCTGGGCGTCTCCAGTGCAAGACACACAGGGATGCTGGGCGTCTCCAGTGCAAGACACAGAGGGATGCTGGGCGTCTCCAGTGCAAGACACACAGGGATTCTGGGCGTCTCCAGTGCAAGACACACAGGGATGCTGGGCGTCTCCAGTGCAAGACACACAGGGATGCTGGGCGTCTCCAGTGCAAGACACACAGGGATGCTGGGCGTCTCCAGTGCAAGACACACAGGGATGCTGGGCGTCTCCAGTGCAAGACACAGAGGGATGCTGGGCGTCTCCAGTGCAAGACACACAGGGATGCTGGGCGTCTCCAGTGCAAGACACACAGGGATGCTGGGCGTCTCCAGTGCAAGACACAGAGGGATGCTGGGCGTCTCCAGTGCAAGACACAGAGGGATGCTGGGCGTCTCCAGTGCAAGACACAGAGGGATGCTGGGCGTCTCCAGTGCAAGACACACAGGGATTCTGGGCGTCTCCAGTGCAAGACACAGAGGGATGCTGGGCGTCTCCAGTGCAAGACACACAGGGATGCTGGGCGTCTCCAGTGCAAGACACACAGGGATGCTGGGCGTCTCCAGTGCAAGACACACAGGGATGCTGGGCGTCTCCAGTGCAAGACACACAGGGATGCTGGGCGTCTCCAGTGCAAGACACACAGGGATGCTGGGCGTCTCCAGTGCAAGACACACAGGGATGCTGGGCGTCTCCAGTGCAAGACACACAGGGATGCTGGGCGTCTCCAGTGCAAGACACACAGGGATGCTGGGCGTCTCCAGTGCAAGACACACAGGGATGCTGGGCGTCTCCAGTGCAAGACACACAGGGATGCTGGGCGTCTGTAGTGCAAGACACAGAGGGATGCTGGGCGTCTCCAGTGCAAGACACAGAGGGATGCTGGTCGTCTGTAGTGCAAGACACAGAGGGATGCTGGGCGTCTCTAGTGCAAGACACACAGGGATGCTGGGCGTCTCCAGTGCAAGACACAGAGGGATGCTGGGCGTCTCCAGTGCAAGACACAGAAGGATGCTGGGTGTCTCCAGTGCAAGACACAGAGGGATGCTGGGCGTCTCCAGTGCAAGACACAGAGGGATGCTGGGCGTCTCCGGTGCAAGACACAGAAGGATGCTGGGCGTCTCTAGTGCAAGACACAGAGGGATGCTGGGCGTCTGTAGTGCAAGACACACAGGGATGCTGGGCGTCTCTAGTGCAAGACACAGAGGGATGCTGGGCGTCTCCAGTGCAAGACACAGAAGGATGCTGGGCGTCTCCAGTGCAAGACACAGAGGGATGCTGGGCGTCTCCGGTGCAAGACACAGAGGGATGCTGGGCGTCTGTAGTGCAAGACACAGAGGTATGCTGGGCGTCTGTAGTGCAAGACACAGAGGGATGCTGGGCCTCTGTAGTGCAAGACACAGAGGGATGCTGGGTGCCTGTAGTGCAAGACACAGAGGGATGCTGGGCCTCTGTACTGCAAGACACCGAGGGATGCTGGGCGTCTGTAGTGCAAGACACAGAGGGATGCTGGGCGTCTCCGGTGCAAGACACAGAGGGATGCTGGGCGTCTGTAGTGCAAGACACAGAGGGATGCTGGGCGTCTCTAGTGCAAGTCACAGAGGGATGCTGGGCATCTCTAGTGCAAGACTGTGTTAATTCTCTCTCTAACCACACCCCAACTTCCACTCTTAAAAGTGGCCTGAGGATAAAGGTCCCACCTGGCTCACACTTTATGGCAGCAAATACAATGTCACTAAGGAATCAATGACTAGTAAAGCCTGTGAGATGGGCCAGTGGAGGAACGGTAACATTTATCAAATCAGTTTGTAAAAACTACTTTATTTGCCCAAACTAAACAACGGGGGAATTTGTAAACAAATAGATTGGAGGCTCAAGTGGTGACAAGAGTGCGAATGCTCTTGGCGGCCATCGTGAATGGTGCAGCCCCTCCAGAGACTGCCAAAAGGCAACTCCAAAATACACATGTCCAAGGTGTCACCTAGGTGCATGAAACCAGGTTTTGCATTGACTGTGTGGGTTTTCTCCATCGTAGCCTTTTAAAAGACTGTCTGAGACCTCTGAATGTCTTTCTAATGAGCGTCCATATTAATTTTAATAAATCAGTAAGAAGTGCTGCTTGCCAAAAATAATGTAATTCTGTAATACAAATTAGACCAGCCTTCGATGTCTTTGAAATGTAGTGTGTTAAAAATGGTACGTACAGGTTAAAAGATACAGATTCGGAACACCAGGATTTACATGAAATTATCACACAGACTTTGATAGAGCCCTGGACTGATTCAAAAGAGCACGTTTCATATGAAGCTGTCTCATTCCCTTTGAAAGTACCTTGATCTCCTTGCAGTCATCTATTAATTATGTTACAGATAAGGTAAATAAAAGTGTGGCAATATGGAGATCACAGCCTTCTTTTTTCTTGTGGAGACTAAAGGTATGGGCTCCTGTGAAGTCTGTGGGCAATAAGGGATGATAAAGGCATGCGAGAACCAAGAGGCTGTATTTATTTTGACATGTGATGGAAAGATCTGAAGTTCAATAGCTGAGAGCAAAACTGAGAGGGGCATCTCAGATATGGCAGAGAAAAGGGTCCAGGAAGAACCACAATTTTCGGCCAGGGCTCAAAGTGAGGGAGATCATTCTTTTAAAATTATTGCTGTTGTTTATATTTTCATATACTTCATTTTTGGAACAGTTTTAAGTTCAGAAAAATTGAGGGGAAAGCACATAGACTTCCTATCCACCTCCTGCTCCCCCATGTACACAGTCTCCCACACTGTCAGCACCCCTCACCCTAGGGGTACACTTTTACAATCACCCTACACTAACAAGCCACTGTCATCCAAGACCACAGTTGACATTCTGTCTTCTTCAATTCTTCTAATTAAACAAATGTTACATGCCTTGCACACTATCTTAGTCTTGTCGGGGTGCCATAACAAAGGGCCATCAGCCTGGAGGCTCATGAGCCACAAAAATCTATTTCTCACAGCTCTGGAGGCTGGAAATTCCAAGTCAAGGCACAGGCAGCCTCCGTGCCTGCCAAGGGACCTTTCTGGTTCACAGATGGCACCTTCTTACTGTGTTCTCGTAGGTCGGGGGGAGGGGAGGGGCTCTCTGGGGCCCAGATCCCATTCACAGGAGCTCTGCCTTCCATGACAATCACCTCCCAGAGACCCCACCTCCTCATATCATCACCTTTGGGATTAGGATTTCAACATACGCAGTCCAGGGGGACACGCACATTCGCTGCATTGCAGACAGCGGCAGTGATTCTCCAGGGTCTGTGTGCCAGGACCAGGAAATGCCAGGCGTGTCCCCGAAGCCACGTGCTCGTGGTCAGTGTCAGTGGGTGTGCTGCTGAAGCTCCCAGAGCTAAGGGGATGAGGAGTACCGGTCCCAGAATGTAGGGGAACAAACCAGCACCTTCTCCCTGATTTTGAGGTAGAATTCTAGGGTCTCCTCAGGTGCTTATCAATGTGTTTAAGTGAAGTCAGATTTGTCTCTGGGGAAAATCCTTGACTTGTGCCTAAATCATGCCATGGGCTCCAAAGTGTCTGTACTCCCTCTGAAGAATCCAACCACCTCATCAGCACTCAAGCCCACCCAATCAGGAGGACGGACCGTGGCTTCTAACTCTGTGTTTAGTAAGAGCTCAAGGCAAGGCCTAATATCTTAGTCTGCTGGGAAGGCCATAATGAGTGCCATACACTGGGGCTTAAACAACAGAAATTCTTTGTCTCACAGCTCTGGAGGCTGGAAGTCCAAGATCAAGGTGTCGGCAGGGTTAGTTCCCACTGGGGCCTCGATCCCTTTATCCATGCTGTGCAGATGGAACGTCTGCCCCATGTCTTCTCACGCTCATCTCCCTATGTGACTGTGTCCTAATCACCTCTTGTACTTCTTTTTTTTTGAGACAGAGTCTAGCTCTGTTGCCCAGGCTGGAGTGCAGTGGCGCGATCTCGGCTCACTGCAAACTCCGCCTCCCAGGTTCATGCCATTCTCCTGCCCCAGACTCCCAAGTAGCTGGGACTACAGGTGCCCACCACAACACCCGGCTAATTTTTTGGTTTTTTTTTTAGTAGAGACGGGGTTTCACCATGTTAGCCAGGATGGTCTCGACCTACTGACCTCATGATCTGCCCGCCTCGGCCTCCCAAAGTGCTGGGATTACAGTCTTGAGCCGCCATGCCTGGCCCCTAATCACCTCTTCTTATAAGTACACTAGTCATTTGGGGTTAGGCCCACCCTAGTGACCACACTTTAACTCATTTACCTTTGTAGAGACCCCATCTCCAAATACAGTTACATTCTGAGGTCATGGGGCTTAGGGCTTCAGCAGATGAACATGGCGGGGCGGAGGCCCAGTGCAGCCCCTAGCACTCAGGATGTAGCGTGTTTGAGAAGCACCCTGCAGGGCCACAGGAGTGACTGGCCTCTGACTGTGCGCTGGCCCAGCCCCTGATCAGAGGCATTTGGGGAGGTGTGCCATGCTCTCCTCATGAGGCTCAGCCTTTGTGAGTCATCTGAAAACTGCTCTGCCTTTGGCTTAACACTCCCCATGGGCAGTGCCCATAAAGCTTCAGCAAACTGCGAATGTGACGCAGGAGAAACCTCCCACAGAACGCAGGGCAAAAGAACCTCACACTGTTCAAGGAATGACCTGCTTTTTTTTGTCTTTTTTCAATAACTGAGGGACAGCCCTTGAAGTGGGGACTGTGGGCCTTCAGCAAATAGCATCAACTGCACCATAGAGAATGTGGAGAACGACTCTGGGTCCCATGGGACCTCAGCCTGAAAATGCCACAGGATCCGACAGGCTCTGCTCCTCTAGGACACCTGCAATCTAGTGGGAGAAGCATGATATCAAAATAGAAACACAGAGATACATGACAAGTGATGCGACTGACAGAGAAACAGCCAGGTAAGGGGGACGTGGGGTGCAGGTGTTGGGAGGGTGGAGTCACCCTTGGTGCAAAGAGGCTCAGTTGGCGGGACATCTGGAGGGCAGTATCCTTGGCATAGGGCACCCGGCGGGCTCTCAAAGCAAGAGCAAGCCCCTGTAGCCAGAGAGAGCCACAGGACTCAGTGCTCAGGGCCTGGAAGACCAGTGGGAGGCCAGGCCTCTACCCAGGCAAGACAGGAGCCACTCAGCAGTGGAAGGATCTGATTGACACCAGAATGTGTCTGTGTGGGCTGCTGCACTGAGGATAGCATGGGGGACGGTAGGAGGCCCAGGACACTGGCTCTGACCTGCCAGCACAGCCACAGGGGAGGTGGGGAGCAATGCAGGGACCCTGAGTGCATTTTGAAGGGACCACACGCTGGGCAGTGGCCCAAGCCTGTAATCCCAGCACTTTGGGAGGCCGAGGTGGATGGATTACCAGGTCAGGAGATGGAGACCGTCCTGGCCAACATGGTGAAACCCTGTCTCTACTAAAAATAGAAAAAAAAATTAAAAAATAGCTGAGCGTGGTGGCGTGTTCCTGTAGTTCCAGCTACTCAGGAGGCTGAAGCAGGAGAATTGCTTGAACCCAGGAGGCAGAGGTTGCAGTGAGCCGAGATCGCACCACTGCACCTCAGCCTGTCAACAGAGTGAGACTCCCTCTCAAAAATGAAATAAAATAAAATAAAGAGACCACCAAGGAGATCTGCAGACCAATCCAACACGGAGTACAAGGGAACGTGAACAGTCAAGGGTGATCCAGACTTGGGCCGGGGGGCTCGTGTCCTCACATCCCCATCACCGGGCCCAGCACCTGGCAGGTAACAGAGCTGAAACAGGTGTTTGCTAAGTGGGTGTTTCCTGGGTCATCTATTTTCATTTGTGTTCCCAATTTCATTCCAGGCATTGTGTGTATATTAAACCTGGCTGTTGGTACATTTGCTTCTCCTTCCCATGTTCCCAACTGTATACACATAATTTATCCACCTTTCAGTGTGCGTGTGCCCCTACTGCAGACTCCTCAGAGCATTCCTAGAAATAGGTGGGAAATAAGGAAACCAACTAGAGCAAGTACATGCTTTGAATATCAACCTTATTCTTAATGCCTTGTGTTTAGGTAGAAGCCGAGCTGGTGGCCTTATTCTTCACCATGACTGATTATCTGTTTTTATTGCTTCAACTTGATGTAGCTTACAGAGCTTTTCAGAAAACCCTACACCTTTCTGTCTCTAAAAGGCTCTGAATGAATGGGCTCATTACACAAAGTCTTCCTGTAACTCACACATTCATTCATTCTGCAAGTGTGTATCAGGTATCTGCAGATTCCAGATCTTGCAGATAAAACAACACACAAGCAGGCAGGGTGGGACTCAGTCTCCCTGGGCGAAGGGGAGCAAGATAAAAAGTGCGAGGCTCGCAGTTGTCATTCTGTATGTAGATTCAGGATTAAAATATTTCAAAAAAAAATCTTTATCAGAAACAATTCCATGCTGGGCATGGTGGCTCATGCTTGTAATCTTGTAATCCCAGCACTTTGGGATGCTGAGTCAGGTAGACCCCTTGAGCTTGGGAGTCTGAGATCAGCCTGGCCAACATGGTAGAACCTCATCTCTATGAAAACAATACAAAACTTAGCTGCACATAATGGGCTCGCCTGTGGTCCCAGCTACTTGGGAGGCTGAGGTGGGAGGATTACTTGAGCCAGGGAGGTTGAGTGAGCTGTGTTCATGCCACTGCTCTCCAGTCTGGGTGACAAAGCAAGACCTTGCCAAGAAAGTAAGAAAGAAAGGGAGAGAGAGAGAGAGAGAGAGAGAGAAAGAGAAAGCGAGAGAGAAAGAAAGAAAGAAAGAAAGAAAGAAAGAAAGAAAGAAAGAAAGAAAGAAAGAAAGAAAGAAAGAAAGAAAGAGAGAAAGAGAAAGAAAGAGAGGCAGGCAGGAAGGAAGGAGAGAAAGAGAAAGAGAGAGAGGGAGAGAGGCAGGGAGGGAGGGAGGAAGGAAGGAAGGAAGGAGAAGGGAAGGAAGGAAGGGAGACGGGAGGAAAGGAGAGGATCCTCAGAGGGGTGATGGGAGCACCTTTCCCCAGGTCTGCAGGCCTTTTGCCCCTGTGAGGAGTTGGGTGGTCAGCCTCAGATTGAGCTGGTGGATAACAAACGGACAAGAGAGGAAAGGAAAGGAGAAAGGAAATGAAAGGGGAAGGGGAAAAAAGAGGGAAAGGAAAGGCTCCACACTTCACTTGGCAATGCTAGTGTACATTTCATAGAAAAAAAAATTAAGAGTCACCTATTGTGTTGAGAAAATATAAGTATTCTGGATGAAAATGTTTGTAATACTATCTTAGAAACTATCCGAACAAAAATGGGTGCTGGAACAAGGGAGAATGAGAAGCGGCTGTGAGCCCGACCTGGTGGTCAGCACAGGCATCTGAGGAGAAGAGCATAGTGATGGCCACTCAGCCTCAGTCAGAAGAAGGCTCACTGGCTTCTGGGCTCCCCATGGTCAATGCTGCTGCACTGAGTCTGAGGAGGGAGGGGTAATGCCACTCCAGGCATCTCTCTCTCTCTCTCTCTCTCTCTCTCTCTCAGAATGCCCACTCACATGCATGAGTCAAACTTGGAAACTTAGACAGGCCCATCTCCAGGAGTGAAGGAAGGAATCTTGAGGATTTCTAATTGATATCATCGTCCCCAAAATATCCCAAATGAAAATCAAGTTCTCGCCCTGGATGAAAATCAAGTTCTCGCCCTGGATGAAAATCAAGTTCTCGCCATGGATAAAAATCAAGTTCTCGCCATGGATAAAAATCAAGTTCTCGCCCTGGATGAAAATCAAGTTCTCGCCATGGATAAAAATCAAGTTCTCGCCCTGGATGAAAATCAAGTTCTTGCCCTGGATGAAAATCAAGTTCTTGCCATGGATAAAAATCAAGTTCTCGCCATGGATGAAAATCAAGTTCTCGCCATGGATAAAAATCAAGTTCTCGCCATGGATAGAAATCAAGTTCTCACCCTGGATGAAAATCAAGTTCTCGCCATGGTTGGAGACACAGCTTCCAGACACATTCTCTAATCTTCTGCCCGCAGCCCCAGCACAGAGATTTCAGAAATGGTGCTTGTTATCCACCAGCTCAATCCGAGACTGACCACCCAACTCCTCACAGGAGCAAAAGGCATGCAGACCTAGGGAAAGGTTCTCCCATCGCCCCTCTGAGGACCAAGGTGCCCTCACCAGCAGGGAAATGTGAGCTCCGATTTTCACTGATTCATCTGCTGCGTACTTCACATTGAAAACCTTGTTTTTGCTATAGCTCTTGGTATGTATGTTTTGTTTATGCCAAGACCATAATGATAAACTGCAACAATTATCCATTTGTAGTTACAAAGACCCTATTTTATATTATTTGTTTAGCTGGCTATTAATACTGGGCTTTTCATTAGAAAAAAAACTAAACAAATTCTGGTTGACTGTAGTGGACACAAGTATGTGAAGCTTTCTAATCTTAAAGAAGTCTGTTATCAATGCAACAATGACATTTTCGATTGAAAAATCAATTTTTTCCTTTCACTCCTTTTAACCTCTGTGCCATCTTCATTCCTTCCCAGCATCCAGATAACATAACTCACCATGAAAGCCAGACAGAAACAGCCCTGGGCGTGTCTATGGGAAACTCACATGCATCTCCTCTGCAGAAGGACTCATTTCCCTCCAGCTACTGGGCTTTCCCCAATCATACGTTTCAACTCCCCTTATAAGTCCTTACAATTCCTGGGGGAAAAAAAGTCGAGTTGTTTCTGTTAATAATGCAAGAAGGCGTGAATGCCAACCGGGCAGTTCTGGAAAAGAAGTGTTATGGCTCAATTAACCAGACGCCGTACTCAGCCTGAATACAAGCTGACGGGTGCAGCCCAGGGTGCTGGAAGCCCACTCTGGCCCCGCGAGTGAAGCCTGCATCATCAGAGCCTTCTGTGCTTCGCAAAGCTCCAGACCCTCATTTCCTTTCCTGAGACTGACCTAGAAGGAATTTGTGTGGTCAGTAAAGGGGTTAAGACCGAAGGCCCTGGAGCCGCTGGGTGGATGCCAGTGAGCACAGAAGAGATGCTCCCCGAGGACTGAAGATACTTTCCATGCATTACTGGGTGCTCTGCCCACAGACGGCACAGCCTCAACCTCTCTGGGAATCTCCTGGTTTAAGAATGCCTCCCCCAAGATCACACATCCACTGCGGCAGCCCACAGCCAATCCCAGGTTAGTGTGTGGGTAACAAAGCCCCCTCACCAGCCCCACGAGCACAGCCCAGGCTCCCGTGAGGCTGGCGGCATCCCGCGTGGAGACTGCATCCCAGCAAGGTGCCTGCCCTCCACCCTTCCTCCCACAGGCGTTCCTGCACGGAGCTCTCCTGCTGAGCTTCCTGCATGCTCACCTCCTTCCCAGCATCTGCTTCCCGGGAACAGGTTGAGCTTAACTTTACCCTCTGCAAACGCATGGCCTGGGCACGTCTTGTAACTTCACCTCGGTTTCCTCACCTGTAAAGCTGTAAAGCCAGGATCGTCACAGTGCCCACCTCTTAAGACTGCGGTCCTGATGCAGGCCAGGTGCTTGTAGCTCTTCCCAGGACGCAGGTCTTTGTAGCTACAAGTGGATAATTGTTGCAGTTTATCATTATGGTCTTGGCATAAACAAAACATACATACCAAGAGCTATAGCAAAAGCAAAGTTTTCAATGTGAAGAAGGCACCAGCTGAATCAGTGCAAATCAGAACTCACGCCTTCCCCTGATCCCATTCAGAATCTATTAGCGTTGATTCAGGCTCCTATCACAAAACTACCATAAACTGGGTGGCTTCAACAATAATCATTTATTTCCTCACATTCCCGGAGGCTGGGGGCGGCTCTCAGGTCCAGGCCCCGGTAGTGTCTGGTGAGGGCCGCTTGCTGGTTCATGGACCACACCTCAGGCCGCAGTCTCACCTGGCTCTACCCTAATGGCCGTGTCACCTCCCAAAGATGCTACCTCCTAAACCATCGCTTATATTATTTCAGCAGAGGAATTTGGGGGGAGACACAAACATTCCATGAATAATAATCAGTTATTACTCATATGATTGTAGCATGGCTTGAGCAGGTAATTTCAGTAAAGGGCTGATTTTTCTCCCATTTGTGAAATGGATACTTCATGCTCTTCTTTGTAAACCACAGTGAAAAGTTTATGTGTTTTGTTTTGTTTTGTTTTATGGCAAGAAGCAGCCGTCAACGGAAGCTCATAATCACAGCAATAAAGTGATATGGTTTACACTTTTAAAAGCCTTCCCTGGCTGCCTTCCCCATCCAGTAAAAGTTCGGTGGCTTTTCCAATTATCCAGGTAAGAGAAGGTGGTGGGTTGGGCCAGGGCAGTGGTTGCAGAAATGGTCAGGAGTGGTGGATTCAAGAGAGACCCCGGAGGTGGCGCACACAGGACTTGCTGATGGACAGGCCAGGGAATGAGAGGAGAAGAATGAGGAATGGCCCCAGGTCTTCAGTCTGAGCACCTGGAAGCAGAGGTCCTGTTCATTTGAAGAGTAGGAGGGGTGTGGGACAGGCTTGTGGTGGAGGTCAGGACACCTTTGGCCTAGAGGGCCCTTGGACGCCCTGCGTGGAGCCCTGCACAGGGCAGCTGGCAAGGCCAGTGTCTGGCTCTGGAGCCATCTGAACGTGGATGCTGCTCAGAGTCACCTAGGGGATGAGTCACCCGGGAGAGAGTAAGGAGCGGTGAGAAGGTGAACCTTGCACCCTACAGAATTAGAGGGCAGGAGGAGCCAGGAGAGGCAGCTGGAGGTAGATGGCCAGTGAGCGGGAAGGACAGCTAGGGTGTAGGCAAGCCCAGAAGCCACATCTAAATCATGCTTTCCCGCTACGGGGCCAGAGAGGCCAAGTGTGCCAGATGCGATGGAGAAGCTGAGTCAGGAGAAGAGGCGCCACACACCGTCGGATCTGCAGAAATGAAGGTCTCGGTGAGCATGGCGGCTGCAGGTCCAGGTCCGGCGGACAGGCCAGGAGTGCAGCACCCGAAAGGGAGTGGAGGAGAGGTGGAGAGATGAGACCTTGGGGGCCTGGATAACTTTCCAGAGATAGTTTTAATGAAGAGTCCATTGAAAGGGGACACAGGATCATGACAGGGGCGTTGCTGTGCTGGTTTGTTTTAGAGGAGAGATACTAGAATGGGTAAAAATGATCCCAGAGAGAGAAATACATAAATAAACCTGAGAAAGCAGAAAAGAAAGGCTGCACAGAACAAAGCCAAGTCTTAGGGGATAGAAGGGCATAAGACCCGCCGCAGGAAGGCAGGGTCCTGACTTAGCACAGAGACACTTCCTCTGCTGTGATATTAACAGGAGCAGGTCAGGAATATGGGCTGGCTCTTGTCTGGCTCTGGTGGTCAGCTGGGCATGAGGAGCTTGCAGCCTTCGAGAGGGAGGGGAAGAGGAAAGTGGTTATATTGATAAGAGAGGGAATCCGGGAGGCACTAACACAGTGGACCATCCTTCAGTCTCAGCAATGCCACCACTAGCTGGCCATGGTTTTGAAGGTTCCAGGAGGAGCTGAGTCCTAAGTGTGTCCTTTCTTACTCTGCATATGTCTGTAGGGAGGACGGCTAGATTCCCAGGTGTAGGTGGGTGCCTAGTAGGTTTGAGCCTTGTTGAGCATTCCGAAGATGTTTACCCAGCCTCATCAAATCTCAGAGATGGAAGGGGACGGTCAGCAGACACCGTGGTCAGTGCCTCCCTCATCCTCTCTGGCTGTCCCCACCCAGCCCTGCTCCAGTGACACTCACCGCTTCCTGTAGGCAAAGCCCTCGGACCATCCCAGAATCTAACGTAAGATGCTACCATCCCTGGCTTCCATGACAAATTCAACATGGAATGGGATCTAGTCTGGGTCACTGGGACCCAAGAAAAGAACTGCTGTGAGGCTTGTGGGAAAGGTTCTCTTGCATCTAAGAAACAAAGAGGTCAGGACTCTCTTCCTTGAAGGTGAGATCACAGGCATATGGTCCCTGGAACTAATGAGTCTTCCTGTGACCTTGATGTGTTCTTGAGGGGACACATGTCTCCTCCCACCTGGAGAAAGATGGCACATCCGAACTCTGGCAGCCGCATGGAGATGTTCACCAGGCCAGGACACTCCTGCCTTAGAGGACGGCCTCGTGGGAGGGTGAATGCAGACAGCATTTCAGAGATTCCAGACTGGCATCTCCTTACTGTAGCACAGGACACACTGATGGCTGGGGTCACTGCTCAGAACTTGTTCTCATCTCATTGTACATATTGTAAGAGTCCTTCTTGTAAAGTATATGCATTGGTGTTTGCCAGGATACAGATCATGGCATAAATTCAGTTGGTCACAACCAGCTGTAACATTAGAATGGAAGGCCAGGCATGGCGGCCCACACCTCTAATCCCAACACTTTGGGAAGCCAAGGCAGGTAGATCACTTGAGCCCAGGAGTTGGAGACCAGCCTGGGGAACATGACGAAACCCATCTCCACAAAAAATACAAAAATTAGCTGGACATGATGGTGCACACCTGTAGTCCCAGCTACTTGAGAGGCTGAGGTGGAAGGGTCAGTTGAGCCTGGGAGGTTGAGACTGCAGTGAGCTCATGATCACACCACTGCACTCCAGCCTGGGTGAGAGAGCGAGACCCTGTTTCAAACAAAAAAAAGGAAAACAAGATAAAAAATAACAAAACAAAGTGTGTTGCACGTGTACCCGCAAGCATATTTTTCTGAAGTCTTTCCTTGCCTGTAAATCTGCACGTATATGAACATATATGTACAAGTGCACTGAAAATATTTTTGTTTCTGTGCTATAGGTTAGTCTGTTTTATACTTCTGGAAAAGGAAAAACAAGTTTGAAGTCATCTTACTCAACGATATCTATGATTTTGACTCAATCGTTGACTCCATGAGAGATTGAGTGGCTTACCCCAGACTGCCTGGCTTACTAGATTCAGAAACCACAACTCACTGTGGGGCCCACCCCCAACACCAACGCATTTCCTATTGTACCATGCAGCTAATTGTGTTGGTGTTATTGCTAGGTGTAAAATAGTCACAAGTGCTAACAATTAGAAGAATCTTACAATGATAGACTTCCAGAATGAGTTACATGAGGGAGATATAAACGTTATAAATTAGTACATGAAATTTGGAAAAACAGAAATTATAATTATCCTCAAGTATGGCCTTCTAATGTGACTAGAAATGGTGTGGTTTCTACCCTGTGCATTTATGGCAAAGCCCCAGGACAGACTGTCCTGTCACCAAGCCATCATGACGGTTTTCCTGCTATTAACAGGCATGCTGGTGCTCCTGCGTGAAGTGAACAGACACCTGTTCTATGACAGGAGAGGAAAGATGCTTGATATGGTTTGGCTGTGTCCTCGCCCAAATCTCAACTTGACTTGTAGCTCCCACAATTCCCAATTCCCATGTGTCATGGGAGGAGCCCAGTGGGAGCTGATTGACTCATGGAGGTCGGTCTTTCCCATGCTGTTCTTGTGATAGTGAATGAGTCTCATGAGATCTGATGGTGCTAAAAACGGGAGTTTCCCTGCACAAGCTCTCTCTCTGCCTGCTGTCATACACGTACGACGTGACTTACTCCTCCTTGCCCTCCGCCATGATCGGGAGGCCTCTCCAGCCACGTGAACTGTGGGTCCAATTAAACCTCTTTCTTTTGTAAATTGCCCTGTCTCGGGCATGTCTTTATCAGCAGTGTGAAAACGGATTAATACAGTGCTCTCTCACTGTCCAGTGATTTTGAACCTTTTATTCTTTTGCTAAAGATCGTTTTAAAAATTCAGTTAATAGCCAAAGTTTTTATTTTTGTAAGTTTATTTTTTACAAACAGGAATGCCATCAGGGAGGCTTTATCTGAGTTGTGAGCCTGATGGCTAGAGTCGGGGGTTTGGGAACAGTAAGGACCTGGCCATTGTTACTGTGTCTCCTATAGGTGAACGTAAAGGTGTTTGAAATGGTGCATCACCCACAAGACAGGCATTTGGAGGGTTCAAGGGTGTTGACTGTCAGGACACACATTGTACGGGCTGAGTGTGTTTATATGAGATGGCTTTTCATTGCTAAGTGGCACTTGGAATATGGAGTTCTTTATTTTTACTTTCCACAATCTCATAAGGATTGCTATCCATCTAGCACCGTTTGCAAATATGCATCTCTACGTGGTGTGAAAGAGCTACTATAAGTGATCTCTGCCTGTTCATTCTATGTCTACCTTCATTGGCTGAAATGTGCACACACACAAGAATTACATCTGATTTTAAAGGACATTCTGGGATAAACCCAGATCTCAAAAAACTGGTGTAATTAATTTTATAACTTGAAGTAAAAATTATTCCGAAACTATTTGAACTATTACTGTTTTATTACAAAGCTTTTCTGTCTCATTTAGTAATGTCAAAAACTCATTCAAGTATAAAGAAGAAACACCAATCAGCACTATCACACCATTTAATAGGAAAAACACAATATGTTTGTAAACTTCTCTTTAGGTTTGTTTCAGTGTATTCATGTGGATAGAGATATGGTAATACATAAAAAACTATATATTGTTTTCAGAATTAAGATCAAGTCATAAATATAGTCAGTTTCCATATTTTGTCACTTAGCAATGCAACATAAACATGTTCACATTGTTAAATTTTGGGGAAATTTGCTTTTTAATGCCTGCATATTTTTCCTTTGAGTGCTTGGATCAAAATCCATTTAAGGAATTCTCTCCTCTGAGACTTTTAGGTTGGTTTTCATGTTTCACTTTCATAAATAACTTGATGATGGCAGATCTTCCCCTGAAACCCGAGAATTATTTCATACTCTTTTCTTCTCTCCTTACGTTTTCTTGTAATTCTTATTCTTCCCTCACTTCCTTTTTTTTAAAAAATATACATATATATGTATATATATGTATACACACACACACACAGAGATAAGAAATTCCTTGGGACTACTCTTGGGTTGAAAATCAAAATTAGTGCCATTTTCCTGGGGCAATGCCATACAAGCAGAGCCAGAGTGGAAGCTGAGGTCTGGAGGCAGCCTCAAAGCTGGAATCCTTCAGGGATGTTCGGGAGACCTGTTTCTCTCAATGGATCTAAAGAAGTCAGTCACTTTGAGATAACACAGCTGGCCTTTCAGGCCCTATCGGCTTCCCCAGGTTTGGAGGGATGAAGCTCGAATTTTGTGGACTCTTACGACCACAGATGCCACAGAAGGGATCTCAGGGGCTCTTTTCCCTCTGGAAAGTATCTCGGGGTCTCCTTTCCCTCTGGAAAGTTTCTCGGGGTCTCCTTTCCCTCTGGAAAGTTGAGCATTTCAGCTCAATCCTATTACCTACCTGGTCATGATTGCCAATCTGTCCTATTAAAGAATCATTTAGTCAGTTTGTTTTTAAAGCAATCTCTCAAATTCAGTATTTTTTACTGAAATGAAAACATAAAAAATAGAGTATTTCTCAAGGAGCCCACCGTTTGGTCTATTGTGAAGAAGGCCCAGCGGGTGCAGTGAGTTTTGTCTAGCCAGCACATAAGATTCATAACTAGTGGCTCAATCCATGGTCCGTGGCACTGTGCACACATAGATGGAGAAGATTGCACCTTTTCCATGACGTGGGCCTGAGATTGCTTCACCTGGGTGTGTGAGAAACAATACCTGGCACCTTTCCATTTCAGAAGTGCCGGCGGTGCTCACCAGAGCCTGCTCCCGTGGGCTCATTTCCCTGAACCGCATGCTTGAGGGTGCACCGTGGGATCATCTAACTCTGTAGATGCCATGAAGTCCAAGTGCAGATGAACATATTCCCATAACCAAGGAGCCCATGTATTCCGGGTCCTGATTGCAAATAAAGGGGGTACCGGTGAGCTTCCTGAAGCACACAGAGGTGCCTGGACTGCCGTTCCCTTGACCCCAGACACACCACAGCTGGTTCATGGGAAAGCTTCCTCCTACAGCACCTCGTGGAAAGGTGAGCTTGCTTGTTTTCTGAATGTTTTGGACTGAATTTGTCCTTTCTTGCTTCCTTTTCTGATTGGCTGTTGATTGTAGACATCTTTCTCACCTTTCAGTCATTGCAATGTAGTGCTTTCCATTTCAGAAAGCAAGGGTAGGTCCTAGGACCATCAGCCCAGGTGTGAAATGAGATTTTATCCCTGTATGTTGTAACAGTTTAGGGAAAAGAAGGCCTTTCCAGCTGGCTTTCTAAGGAGGGAAAGGAATTCTATCTGCCTCTGCCTTTTCAGAAACACAGATGATGTTATGCAAAGTTCCTGACCATGGCAATAACTAAACAGAAGTGAATGGCAATCACCAGGCCCGAAGAGCTGGTCAGCATGAGCCGGCCAGGCTTCTGAGCTCTGAGTGCCAGCCCCTCTTCCTAGGCACTGGGATGATCCTGGTAGGTGTAGGTGAAGTCTTCCTGTGCAGCTACCTCCTGAACTAGGGGAGAAAACATAGCATTGGCCCCTGTGCATTGAGGTGTCACCCTTGCTGCCTAACTCACTCTGTCTGTACTCCCAACTCTTTGATTTTCTTCTTCCTAAATATTCTTCAAGTGATATAAAAACTCAAAGGGATTGTCCTCAGATGCCTGACAGTTTACCCTTTTACAAACCAGAGCTGGTTTTAATTCACATTGAGATGCATATGGTGGCCAACATGCTCTCTACAGAGGGGCTGCAAGGACCCCTTGGCTATGCCCGCTGGAGACACTGAGTGTGGGCCACTGATCAGAAGACCTAATTCATGAAATTCAAATGTAAGGTTCCTATTCTTTTTGACTGCTGACATCTGGCCATCTGGGAGCATTCAGATATTAAGCTTCCTTTACTTGAGGTGAATGTCTTGTGTAAGCTGCAGCAGGAGTGGTGTCTTTCTCCCAGCTCAGTATCTTTCACCAGAAACACAAGCACAGGACAGTCAGCCCATTCAGAAGTCCAAACAACACTCTGTTGAACCAGAAAGAGAGCACTGGCTCCCAGATGGGTAAACTGAGGCCCAGATGTGATGGTAACCAAGGTCACACAGTGAGTGTGTAGAGGAAAACAGGGCCAGGTCTTGCATCTGAGAGTGTCCTGATTAAATTGATTATCAAATTATAATATCAAAGGTTAAAATAAAATTTGGATGAGTGATCTCTAGATATGAATATGACACTTCATGAGAAAAAAGAAGTACTGGGGAATTAACAAAAGAGGGAGATAACAGTGGTGGAAAGATGCCCATTGGAGCGGCTGGAGTCCTCAGCTCTGCCTTTCAGCCTTCCAGCCTTCCAGCCTCAGGCACTGGCACAATGTCAGGATCTGCTCTTCAGTAAAACGGAGTTCACTCACAGGCCTCCGCTGATGCATGACCCCCAGAGTTGCAACTCATCTGATCCCCACTCCTCCTGTGCCTAGAGGAAAATTGTGCTCAGCCCTGGGATTGCATGTCCCCTCCCTATGACACTTCTTGAAGAAAGGCAAGAGGTCCTCTATGTCCACTCTGCAGATAGGAAGACAGAGGCCTAGAGACACTGTGACCTGAAGAAGATGCTGTCGCATGCATGCTGGGCCTGGGGCTGGAACCCTGGCCTTTCTCCATCCACAGCCATGAAGGAAGGAGCATGCACATGCGGCGCTACCCAGCTTCTCTGCTCTGGCTCTGCTGACATTGGGGCTGGATAATTCTCTGCTGCAGAAAGGGGAGGGTGTCCCATGCATTACAAGATGCAAAGCAGTGTCCCCGGACTCTATCCACTAAATGCCAGCCGCACTCACTGTCAACACCCATCGATGTCTCCAGATATTTGGAAATGTCCTCAGGGCAGGGAGAAAACCACTCCACTAACGGAGAGAGCGGAGGGGAAAGCAATTTATCACCAACGTGTGTGCAAAAAAATTCATGGTCACTATCAATGACAGAGGCCCACCCCAAGTCCAAATTATTGTTTGCTAGGAAACTATTGAGGCTCCTCCAGAAATGTCCCCTAAGATACAGGCTGTGCAATTTAGACCCAAGACAAACTGTTGTCAAGCTGGCCTCCCTTCCCTTACTCTGTCACCTGGAAGCCACCACCCCAGCTTAAGCTCTTGTCCCACTTCATTCTCATGGGGCCACGTGGCCTGGCCACCTGCCCTCCCACCGTGGCTTTCCTGCCGCCCTCGCTGTGAGCCCCCTGAAGCCAGGGGCCCCCCTGGTGTCTCTGCACAGCCCCAGGACAAAGCAGAAATTGGTCCTGCTTCGATATACAGCATTGAGCCAGTGCTTTCTCTCAACCAATTCCAAAGGACATCAGTTCTTGTGAACTCCTCAGTGGTAAATTAGGCAAAACTTTGATTGAAAAGAAAATGTGAGCAAAGGAGTTGACCCCAGAGAGCCTTGAGAAGGAGGGAAGACTTGGAAAGGCAGCTTTCACCTTCCAACACGGTGGGCAGCTGTTCCAGTCCTGTGCTTCAGAAAGCCTGCCTCGTGACCTGTAGCAGGCAGGCTGTGGTGGACTTGGTGCAGCGGGAGGCCTCTCTGGTGTGCCTGGGTTCACAGATGGCTGGCGGATCACCAGAGGCTGGAGGGGGTGCTGGGTGCAGGGCCTCTTTCCTCTGTCTCTTCTGGACTGAGCTGAGAGTCTGTGCCATGGAGAAATGGCCTCCGAGGCTTAAGTTCCTTTATCCACTGACACTTCCTCTGGCTTTCAGAAAACTGGCAGTAGGTGGACACTCTTGCCCTCTTTGATGGCAGTGATTAGACAGGTACAAATGATCACACATGAGCTTCGTTATCTCCTTTCCTTCCCCTGCTCAGAGACAGTTGGACACCACAAAACTTCATTGTATGAATCACAGCGTGGCTGCCACAGGGGCTGGGCAGCTCTCTGAAAGGCCAGGTCCCTGCAGGGCTGGGGGAGGGTTGTGGAAGCTGCCTCCGCCCTAGTTTTTTTTGGCCTTTACTTCCCACTTCACTCAAGATCCTCTTCAGTTCCTATCCAGGAAACAGGATGTCAGCATACGTTCATTTCAACTTGGTGGCATTTCTGTTTGATTCATACCACAGTTGCAAGGAAAGCTGGAGTGACCAACTCTTTCCAATGATTCATTCCAGTGGTAATAGTAAGGGGACAAAACAATTGAGGATCCTGTGGAATCTGGAGGTCTCACGTTCCCCACACACTAAACTTCCTTATCGGAGATGATCCCAAGGATCGGATCTAAATACCATCTCCCTGCAGCCACTCTGGGCTGATGCCAGCTGCGGGTGACTGAAGGACTGTGCTGTCCTCGGGGGTCATGGGCTGGCCCCCCAGCTTGTTCTTCTCATCTTCTTTCAGCTTCCAGTGCCCACCAACTGTCACAAGGGGAGTTGGTCCTCCAAGCTAGAGAGACAACAGCCTTGGAGACATAAACTTGGCTTAACGTGGAACATTCCTTCTCTGATAGGGACACTCAACTCTGGAGTGCACTGATACCTGGAAGCCTCACAGTGAAGCAGCAAGGACATTCCTGAGACTGAGAAGCCCTCACTGCTGAGCACCTGTCATGTGCAGTGATGGGCCGGTGTGCTTCCAGCCTGCAGAATGAGGGGACAGCTGGGAGACAGAGGCACAGAAAAAATAACACAAAAAGACACATTCTTGGAAAGTCCTGCAGAAACTTTGGAGGAAATATTGGGTTTTATACTGTGGTTTACAATTATTTGCCCTGGACAAGAGCAGGAGCTGGTATCAGGGAGGCTTAGAGACCCAGAGCTTGGGTCCTTTCTGTATTCCCGGGTGAGAGTTATTTGGTTTGTCACTGATATATGCTTCATTGTCATAAACGACATTTTTCATCATGAGCTTATACATTTTTAAACATCATCCTTATGGTCAAAGAGACATGCATGTTAAAAAGTCAACAAATAATTGTCATGGTAGAACCATTTGTCTGCCTCCAAATAAAATTACTTGAGTATAGTTATATGATTTTCATATCACTTCCATTTATGGGAAAGATCAGCTATCTATCTGAATTAGGGAATGTCTTATTTTATATTTGCTAGGGTGCATTCTTAAAAATAAACTCGTAAGACTTTAATATTTATTCATGTTCCGTTATGAGAACACACATCTTGGACACATCACGAAAGATGAGACAGAAATAAATAGTTGTACTCATTTCGTAGTGACCTGCATTTATCATCAGATGTAAAAATCAGAACATGAAATTTTGGTAGAAAGATAAAAGTCGGACCACATGCCGAACGATATTGGTGGCAGATGTGATTGTCAGAGGAGCGATGGCATTTCCTCTGAATGGGAGGGTATGTTCCTCCAACTTGGATGCTAGCATGATGAGCAATGAAAGTGTGCTTTGTTCCCTAGCCTTCACATGCTCTCCATACTGGCAGTTATCATTTACTGGTATTTTTGAAATCAAACACTATCCCATCCCCCGGATGGACGCTGCCTCAGTGCCGCTTTTGAGCTGGGCCATACAGTCAGCTGTTCATAAATATCCAGCTCCATGAGCTAAAAATAAGTGCCACAGGCCAAATGCTTTGCCTTTTGACTTAATGCAACTCTATACCTACCCACACAAACATTCCCATACATACACATACACCCCTGGCTTTCTCTGTGGGTGCCTCGGGTGCTCAGCCCAAGGACGTGTTCTCTTAGCATCAACGCCCCTCAGATAGCTCTCCAACCCCCAGACACCCATTAATTGACTGCAAATGCAACTTTATTGCAAAATGACTGCAGCTTTATTAAGCAACTGGATTTACAGGCAATAACATAATCAATATAACATTAATATAGCACATAATTAAATAAGATTCCTACAAGGTCCTGCCTGGATCCTGAAATATAGAGAAGTTAATTGTTTTCATGGATGGCATTAACTAGAGGGATCTGAAACCAAAGTTGGAAGAACACAGTTCCCAGTGGTTCTTTTTTCTGGTCCAGCATATTCCATCTGATAAAAATAGGATATGATCCCCCAACCCACAGGCATGCAGTATCACCAGTAACTCCCTCAAGACCCCCTCTCTCCCAGCCCCTGGGGGACAGCAGTCACTCAGCCGACTAATGATCTCATGATGAACTGAGGGGTGAAAGGCAAATAGCAAATTGTGTTTAACTTGTTTCCCACCAACAGAAACAGGACAACCCACCACGGGCTCTTGGAAAGTGACCACAGAATGCACCATGTCTGTCGGAAAATGGAAGAGCTCAGTCCTCCTGGAATGAAGTCAGCCAGCACTGTCTCTAAAGTCATGAGCTCAGATTTCAAATTCAGGGAAATCCGTGTAGAATGTTCTTGCAAAGGGCCAGGTAAGGAAAATACTGCGAGAAGGAAGCCCGTTCAGTGGGAACATGGCACATGTTTGCAGCCTAGAGAGTATTTGAAAGACAAACATTGCACACAAGGAAGAGTCCTAAGGGAGGAAGTCACTGTCTCATTAACTCCACCCAGTCCGGCCTCGTAACCACGCTTTGCCCCACGGAGCTTCCTACCTGTGCCCTCCATAATTTCAGGAACTTAGACACTAGCTGCTCACATGTTCCATTACCCTTCATTACCACCTACCACTGCCAAAATTAAGTGTTTAATTTAAATAAAGAACTAAAGTTGATGTAGCTCTTGAACACAGGGTGTACAAAACCATCCTTAAGCCACTTGGCATCATATGCAACTCAGTGAGATGAGGAAACAGAGGCATCACCATTAGCAACGCTTTACACAGATTCCATTTTGTATATGATGCTGGCTGGGTAACTTGCAGAAAGACCTCTACCCTTAAGAGGGTCCCAGTCTTAGAAAGAAAGCAATGCAATCGGGCACAGGGCCTCAGTTGCAAAGAGAAGACTTTGAATGCACTTAGGTATGGAGCCCAATATTGATCCAGAATCAAGGCAATTGCTATTCATCAAGTGAATTTCAACAGGTCCTTGTAAAATCCCTCTGAATGAGAAAGTCTTAGAGTCCAGACAATACAGGAAAACAAAGCTGTTCATGTGCAAAGGGTCCAAAGACTGAGTTCAGGGTCCGGGCAGTGGTGATGGTTGACAGCATCATGACCACAACCAGTGTGGCCAGGCCAGGAGATGCTGGGAGACTCGGAGTGGGAGGAGACACACACGCAGCCACTCTGGCCCAACTTCAAGGTCAATGAGGACCACCTGCTGGGGCATGTGTGAGTTCTTAGGGATGGAGTCAGGGAATGAAGGCTGAGCTCAGGAAAATGGAAGCAGGCAGATCTGTGGAACCTGGCGTGAATGTGCCAAGCCCTGGAGACCAGAAGGCCAATGCTGAGGCCCTGTCCGCTCATATCTCCCAGATGCCCTCTGCCCCCCCTTTACTGGCCACCTTTCTCAGGTGGCCTGAAGACCTTGGGAATGTGCTGACATGGAGTCACTTCCTCACACATGCTGTCACATGTTCACACTGGCCACAGGTGGCCCTGACTAGCATATTCCTTCTTCTCTCCATTCGTAGACAGATTTGTGGGTACTTAGCAACTTCACTCAGCCTTATGGGGTTCATTTTCCTACCAGTAAAATGAGCTGTGTGTACCCTGCAGGGTCCGTGAGGTTATAGCAATGAGACAAAGACATTTGGGATAGGAGACTTTCCCTCGGTAAACACATGAGGTTCACAGGCCTCAGTCATCCGCGCTGGTGTCTACTTGAATCAAGTTAGCAACGCTGATCCTTGTCTCTCCCCATGCCCTTCCCACACCACCTCCAACACCCACACACCTCACACATGCGCAGACATTACGTGCACATGTCACTTACCATTCAGAAGCATCGTTAGATCCCTCACATCATAGACAAAACCCGACCACAATCACGAGGGTGGATGTCATATCCATGGCGATTGCACCTTCAGTCTCCAGAGCGATCTGGGGCAGCCATGCCTCCTCCTTTTCTACGTGAGCCTTTCTGCCCCTCGCTGCTCCCACAGAGCCTTGTCACCAGAAGGACACTCTCAGAGATGCCCTTCCTGGGGTGTGGGGAGCCTCAGAAACTTTGGGGAGAGACACAAAGAGATAGATGCAAACCACTGAAAGACACTGGCTCCTCTGCTTTTTGCCTCTCGGCTGCTGAGTGCCTTTTCTTCCCCAAACCCTGACTCACTCACCTTTGCTTTCTCTTTTGTGTGGCTCCCCAAAGGGCACCTGGGTTGTGTATGTAAATCAGGCTGGAGCTGGACAGCTGTTCCTCTGGGTTTGCATCAGAACATCAAGGACAAGTTCTGGGGGACAGTGTTGGTGGCATCCCAGGTCCTGTCCTCAAGGATGTAGGACACACTGCAGGGTTAGCATAGCAACACTAGGGAACGAAAAGGCTAGAAACTTACCTGGGTAAACAGAAACACACACACACAAGCAATTTTGATGATGAAGACCTAAAGAATGCAAAAAGGCTGCTTCTATCATGAATTCACAGCCTCTGAGAATCAGAAGAAACCGGAAGCTGTCAAAAAGTCCAAATCATCCCAGTGGAAAAATGCCCTCCACAACACCATAGCAAATGCTTTCCATCTTCTGGAATGACTCCTCCTTGGGTCATTTCTGGAAACTCCTAACACCTTCCCTCTGAGCCTCTCTCGTTAGAACACTCTTCCTTAGATGAGCTGATTTCTTCCTGGACTTCTCTCCACAGCAGTACTCCTTCCAGCCTCTTAGTAAAAGAGGAAAAATCTGCTAACTCCTCATGAGACGACCCTAAAACAGCCAATGGTGTCATCTTAGCCTTCTCCTTCCCATGCTGAGCAGACACACTATCCCAAACCATCAGCAGCAAACACTCAGCCCTTCTCCTGCATTAGGAGCCCTGATGAGACATAAGTCACAAAACCAGAAAAAGGTGGGGGAACCTGAACATGAGACCCAGAATTAAAGTAAATCAAGATGGTCCTCAGGTACTACAGGAAATCCCACTCATAAAGAACTTTGAAAAATGTAATGAATATGCATGTCTGGCCTGTGCACATGATGTAGGGGTTTCATCTGTGTTTGCTTCTGAGTCACCGAGAGAGGAGGCATCAAAGGCATGAATATGAAGAAGCAGGTGCATCTGCCTATAAAGAATGACCTAGGCCAGCGTGGCGGCTCATGCCTGTCATCTCAGCACTTTGGGAGGCCAAGGCGTGAGAGTCGCTGCAGTCCAGGAGTTTGAGACAAGCCTGGGCAACATAGTGAGACCCCATGTCTGTAAGAAAAAATTTTAAAATGAGCTGTGTATGGTGGTGTGCACCAGCTACTCAGGAAGCTGAAGCAGGAAGATCACTTGAGATTGTAGTGAGCTAAGATTGTGCCACTGCACTGCAGCCTGGGTGACAGTGAGACCCCGTCTCAGAAAAAAAAAAGAAAGAAAACAGAAAGCAAAAGAAGCTATGTGGTCATCGTTGTGAGTTGACATTTAATTCTAAAGATCCAGCAAATACCATCACTAGCCCCTGAAAATCCTGTTAAATAAAGTGTATGCATCTCCAGGGAAGTCAGAACAAACAACATATTTCTTCTCTCTCTCTTGTGTACAGAGGAGAAAGGAAATCGGCATTCATGGATAGCCTAAAATTTGCTCAGCATCTTACTTGAGAGGAATTATAAGTATCATATTATTTTAAATGTGCATTTCTAGAAGAGGTTAAAATCTCAGTGGTCCAACTACACAAATAAAGAAGCCAAGAGAAAGGCAGGACCAAGGCCCTGGATGGCACCGTGGTCTGATGCAAAGCCTGGGCTGTTTTCTCGAGGCTCCCGAGCCTGAGCCCTGTAGGTAGAGCATCCTGTGAGGCCCACTGGACTTTCAGTCCTGAAGGCCGAGGGCATCCCATTTACCCACCCATGGAGGCAGAAGATGGCTCAGCCCTTGCCGGTGGGGGTACACAGGGCCCTGGCTGCTCTCCCAGTGTGGGAGTGTCCCCCGCAAGGGCTCACTGTGACACTCAGAGGAACACAGGAAATGTGTGCATTGGCAGCCCTCTGCATGCCACGGCAGTGTGGGTCTCCTCTTCCATCCCGTACACACCGGGCGGGGGGTGGCAATACAGGAGTAACCAGGATCTTCACTGTCAATGGAAGGGAGAACTGGAGAACCAGGAAGATGGAACCAACTGCAAGTTCTGAGAACCGTGGACACCTGTTTTACATAGAACTCAGATGTCTGTGGCAATGGAGAAACAAGCGCTTTTCTCCTACAAAAAGAAGGTTGCTAACGATACGCCGGCCTGTTTTATTCTGGTGTGAAAAGACATCATTAAGAAAAGAAATAGTATTGCCTATTGATGAGAGAAAATTGAGAAAATTGCAGCCCAATTTTAAAAGGAAAATATTGCAACAGATCAGCCCCATCCCTAGGCGTTAGTGAAGCAATGGCAGGGGCTGAGGGCCACAGAGGGCCATCAGGGAGCAAGGCACACAGAGGCTCCCATGGCAGGGGAGCTCCCACAGCCCTTCAAGGCTCAGAAAGACAGCCACACCGTCACACACCAGGCAGGCATGGCAAGAGCCCCTCCTCCTCCCATGCCATTGGGCCAGGGGCAGGGGGTTATATTCAGAGGCAATAGACCTCGAGCTTCCGAGGTGACTTCTGTGTCCCAGTCCCACAAGCCTTAAAATTACATGAATAGTAACTCCAGCCTCACCAGATCCATTACTCCGTGTCAACTACAAAGAATGCCTGGCACCCCACAATTGTTCCTTAAGGTTCAGGAATTTTAATGATCCTAAGTCAGGACTAAGATACGTTCTCCTCTATCTGCCTGCGTACATGTGTTGACACCCGTGGGAAGTCATTTTAAAGACATCTCTTCAGGGCTGGGAGATAGGCTTTAACTTTCTAAAATATGAACTGCTTTTACATAACACATGCCACAGCACTGATTTTTGACTCATTGAAATTAAAATGTCATCGGTAAAACTCATCCACGAGCGGAAATTCCAGAGAACTTGCCTGTATCTGAGCCCTTCAGGAGGTGGAAGGCAGGGAATGAGAACAAGGGCTCACTCTCATTCCTACCTAAGAGTCACAAGTCATGACCTGCACTGATGAGCTCTGGACTCTCCCTCCAACAGTAACATCTTCCTACCATGGATAAGGCATTTCTGCAACTTTGATACTCCCTAGCACTTAGCAGCCAAGAGGCTGGAGTCAGTATGCAATGTGAGGGACGAGGAGGTTATGCAACTCTGGGAAGTTACACCCTTCTACTTCCAAAAGGGAAAAGAGATTGCAGAGTGATTGTTAAAGCCCCAGAGGAATTCTTCCACATCAAAAGCTATCCAGAATGAACAGTTGACTCTGGTAATTGTAAATATATCCAAAACATGTGCATTGAATTCAGCCCCTTAAAATTATGGATGGGTGTACCCAATTGCACAGTGTTTGAACACCTCGAACTTTCCAAAAATATTTGGGGTTCAAAGTAAGCTTCTCAAAAAAAATCAAAGCCATATGTTTCTTTTTCATTTATACTCACCTTATCAAAATGTTTGCTTTTAACAGATATTTGATGCCCAAAATGTTTGGAGGGCCTTTCTTTTTCTTTTTTTTGAGACAGAGTCTTGCTCTCTCACCCAGGCTGGAATGTAGTTGTGTGATCTTGGCTCTCTGCAACCTCCATATAAACATGGCATCTTATAAAATAACAAAATAGTATTTAAATATAGGCATAAGTTACAACATGGAAAGTCAGAAAACCATGGAGAGAGTTTAGATGTTTTGAGGTCAGGGGATCGAGACCAACCTGGCAAACATGGCGAAACCCTGTCTCTACTAAAAATACATGGTCCTGACCACATCTATGTATTTCCTTACATTTCTCTTGATTTGATTAGAAGAGTCTTTTTTTTTTTTTTTTTTTTTTTTTTTGAGATGGAGTCTCCCTCTGTCACCCAGGCTGGAGTGCAGTGGGGCTATCTGGGCTCACTGCAACCTGTACCTCCCAGGTTCAAGGGATTCTCCTGCCTCAACCTCCCAAGTAGCTGGAATTACTGGCATGCACCACCATGCCCTGCTAATTTTTATATTTTTAGTAGAGACGAGGTTTCACCATGTTGCCCAGGCTGATCTCAAAAACGTCCGCCTCGGCTCAAGTGATATGCCTGCCTTGGCCTCCCAAAGTGCTGAGATTACAGGCGTGAGCCCTTGTGCCCAGCCACCTTTCTTAACAAAGTCAAAAAAAATCTTCCTTCTTAGAAGTATTGCCCAAGATAAAATGAACATCAGTCCATGTAAATTAGGCTGGTTTCAAACTTGGCTAAGAAACTCTTTTCTATCTTTATTTTTCTACGTGGGTGACAGAGGGAGGAAAAATGAAGAGGAAAGCAAGTGTCTTGGGTGTGGTGATCTTTTTGCTTTTTTTCCCTGGAAAGGTCTCCTGGGTTTTGTGTTCCTTGTCCTACCTTGGAGGCCACCTGGGGTCAGCACTCAGGTCTCATTCACAACACTGTACTCAACAACATTTTGTTATTCCCCAGTATTTTATTATTACAATTATTTTATTATTCCTTTCACTGGGGGCTTCCTTCAATGTGGACTTTCTATCAAGGGTCCGCAGCCTCGTTCACCAAATGAGAGACTCTCACTCACGGCATCCATTTCATTACGTCTTGGACAACTGCCATCTACTTTTGGAATTAGCAACTGCATGAATAGTAAAAAGGAAAATGTGCATGAGTAAAGGTTAATTATGTCACAAATAATCAGCGGCCCTCCATTGCAGAGAAGACCCTTGGAATGAACTGTCCCTAGAATACAGAGCCCAAAATGCCACCGCTGCTGCTGGCTGACAAATGAATCTGCCATGCATTTCGGTTCCAGCTATAAGTTGGGGATCAGGCAACATTTCATTATCCCCTTTTTAACTGCTGGGAATTGATAAATGGCCCTGACGTCCATGGACACAGTAGGACATCAGCGAAGATCTGTTGTCGCCGTGGGTTCTGCACAACCAGAATGTGTTCACAGTGACCAGGCCCCTCCCCCAGGAGCTGGCCAGGGGAGCACTGCAGAGAGCTCCCAGAGGTCCCCTCCCTTGGTGAGCAGAAGCAATGCTCACCATTAAAGATTAATTTGTTTGGCTCTGCAATAAGTTAAAACCTTCCCATCCCAGTTCAAGTGTTAATAAACCAGGGCGGGTGACACTGGACTCTTTTAGTGGGGTCTTCTCTAGCAAGAAGTCATTTAACGCAGCTTAGGGTCGAAGCCTAGGCTACACCTTCAGCTTCAGAATGATCCTGATTTAAAATGCACATTCCTGGGCCCACTCCACTCCTGCTGAAACAGGAATTCAGGAGGGGGTGGCTGAGGAATATGCATTTGTAACAAGCTTCTCTAAGAGTCTTCTCCCGAGGGTGAGAGGTATCTGGGAGGAGGATAAAGAGAGAGTAGATTACACAGAGGGAGAAACCCAGTTCTAGGCCTCCTCCCCAACATCCCCATCCTGAGAGCTAGCGTGCTCTCTCTCTCTCTCACACACACACCACACACACACGAACACACACTTGGACAACTCTTGAGCCCACGATGCTGGAGGACCCTCCGTCTGAATGCCATGTGGGAGTGACCACTGGGGCTTCCCCTGCCTTCTTGGCAAGGTTTCCTCATGCCTCTCCTTCTGGGAGCCCTTGCCTACCTGTAGGCTCTGGCAGCTCACGTTTACTGGTAATACGGCAAGTTATAGAATTTTAATAGGGAACCACTAGAATTCTTCCACCAATACATCTCTGCACATCCTTGCTACTGGCGCAAAAATGCCAAATGTGTCTTTAGGAGCATTTAAAGTCAGAGAAAAAACAAATATAAAATAAAATAAAACCATCAGAGCAATATGTTCTTGTGTATACTAAACCTATTTATTTTCCTTCACAATTCCATATGCTTCGCTATTATTGTTACACTGATCTTTAGTTTTATTCCATATGCTTCACTATTATTGTTACACTGATCTTTAGTTTTCTTTTTTTCACAAACAAGATGTTATCTGAAATTAAATTTACAAACCCCATCCCAACACCGTGCTGAGCAAGGAAAGCAGACAGCTGACCACAGGAGAGTTCAAAAGAGAAGGACAAGGAGAATGATAAAAACTCCTGGATGAAAAAGAACAAACAAAGGAATACAGGAGCAAAATGTCCACCCTCGGGATGTGATCCATCCACACGGAAGCACCAACAACGACCTGTCCAGTGCTGGGAAGAGAACACAGAAGTAACACATTCTAATTCAGGGACTAAGATTGAAAAAAAAAAATCCTGTAAGTGTTCAAAGCTGGAGGTGCAATTCACAACCTAATCAGAATTCAGGAACTGGGCAAGTGGCGTGATGCAAGAGCAAAGAGACGGAAGGAAGGAAGCCTTTGGCATGTATTTCTGTCTTAGCCCAGGGAGCAATGAGGGGAAACCAGGGTCTGACGGGGAAATATGTGGCACACACACGCCACCCTCGAAGAGTCCACAAGGCCGGCCGCCGAGCATCCACCTGTGTTCCCTCTGGGGTGGCCGGGAGGCACGCTGGAGACAGGCCCTCGTCTGCTGAAGCTTGCAGAGGTCTCGATGCCGGGGGTGGGTGTCGGGGAAATCAGCCACTCTGCTGGGGTGTATTTATCGTGAGTAATCTTTCAGCCAGAAACCAACTGAGACTCTGGCCCTGTGCTTTTCATGGAGAGGTTTCCTTTACAGGCAATACAAAAATACATGGGTTTCTTATCAAATAAGAGCTGTGAGAAAAGGGAAAGGAAGGAAAAAAGTCTTACCAGAATCTCGAACCTGCCCTGGACATCCTCCTTTGAAGCCCCATGTTTTCAATGATGCCTCCTGAATCTACATGGATGCTAATATGTTTGCATTGCTGGGTTTCATTTTATTTTTTTACAATTCACTGCAGGACAGCAAAGTCAAAAATACACTATTCTGATCAACAGGACACATCTGTGGTGAATCCACACAGAAGCAATTAATTTCCTGGTGGTATTTTTACACTGGGGGCCTAATGCAGGCCCCCATTATACAAACAAAAACTCCAGACAGCTCCTGCTGCCTGATAAAAAATAAATCAGATTGCAGAGGGCTGTGTGGCCTAGGACCGCTACAGGCTATGACTTGTAATGAGGCATCCCAACACTAATTATGAAGCTTATTAAAAAGAATTGTCGAACTTGTACTAAAGTGCACGCTGTAATCACGTTAAAGAAGGCAGGCCTCAGAACAAGCAGCCTGCAGTCACCTTGCTCAGCAGAGTGGGCCGTGCAGGCGTAGCCAGGGCGTGGATCAAATCACAGGAACAGTCTTATTGTGTTTGGCAAATTGGTCACCATAAATTCGATAGAAGAGCAGGTGAGAATCACAACAGCTTGGTGAGGACTCACACATCAGAGTCTCCCCCACTCACTAACACCTGGAAGGGAAGGGTCCGGGACACCATCAGGTACACACATCGCCAACGCAGTATTTTATTATTAAGCTTATTCTGAATCTTCTCTAAGGTTGCAAAAGCAATATTTCAATGTACTCTTTCAGGAGGGAAGGAGAAAAAAGATTAATAAAGATGTTAGGAAGCTGAACTGCTGTGAGATTTGTTTAATTATTCCCCACAGGACTGCCCCCGCAATCTGCTGACATTTAACCCCAACCTTGCAAATCCTCAGTAAATATTAATATATCAACTCAAACAGGGACCGTTGTTTTATTGGTTCACGGAGCTCGGAGAGATTCGCCACAGCAGTGAAAAATAATGTGCACAACTGAGGAGGACCGGCTTCTTTGATTTCACCTTCTGCTGCGCACATGAGCTGGGAGCATCAACAAAATGGAAATGCTGTTACTTTGCACAGCTGTAGAGTGACACTTCAGATGCCTTCGCTTCCCTTTGTACAGCCTGCTGGAATAATCCCAAAACCACAGTGGCAAGAGATTAGAAAGGAGGCAGAAGGGGAGACAGAGAGAGGAGAAATCACACTTTATTATCTGGAAGAGTGGAAATTTTAATAATGCAGAAGACCCACCCTCCAATCTGATCAGCTTTGCCAGAACAGCGGGCCCAGGATGGGGGTCAGGAAGGGAAAAGCGGACTCCAGCCCCTCCTCTCGTATCAGCCCTGCCTGCCCTCCCTGACCCAGGGCCACATATCCCACGTGCATATCTGAGAATGGAAATGGCCTGCTTTGGTTGAGAGTTTGCTAAAAGAAAAAAAAATTTTAAAAATTACTGGTTGCTTTTTAATGTTGCCATGTGTTTGTGTGTTAAGGAGGGCAGGGGGAGAGGGAGGTGGAGGCATTTTTGGAGGGTTTTTCTTTTGAGGGGGTAGCTCAAACTTAGATATCGCTTATTGACTTATCTTCTCATAAATACTCTGAAATTCCTAATGGTTGAATGCTTGCTGTGGGCCAGGGAAGGCTCCAAATTCTTAGGTGTAAGAAAGGGGGCTTCGGGTCCACATTTGGCTTTCAGATGTACTGTGCTGCAGAGTTTAATGCGTGATTAATTTTATTCATAAAAATGTTAATCACTGCATTGTGAGATCTTTTTAACATTCACTGCAGAGAGCACCTTTTTTAATTTCTCTTGCCCACCATCTCACAGATGTATTTAATATTTTCAGTCATTTCTGCAGCTATCCAAGGCTCTGGCAATTAAGCATATGTTTAAAATTCAGTAACAAGCAAAGATACAGCAGCGACAAACAGCAAACAGGAGAAGACAGAGAAACACACACACACACACCACACACACACACACACACACACCAAGAATGAAAGTGACCAGCTGGGGAATCCTGCAGGCTGTCACCCCGCTATCAGGGCGTCCGCAGCCTGGGTGACCTTCCAGAGCGCCGCGCTCACAGGTAGATCATAAACACGCACGCAGAAACCGAGCTGGCTTCTTCCCTCATCGAAAGGGCTGTTTCAAAGGGGAATCGGAATTTAAAATAAAAGCCCTTCAATTTGGAAGATTTCACCGACCTTGGCGTCATTCCCACCATTGCGTTCTGCCTGAGGGCGTGGGACCCGTGGAGGGTGGGTCGTGGCTCAGCGTCTCGGGTGGGGCGGGAGGAGGGTGGCGCTAGCTGAGTGCCCGGTCTCCCTCCACCCCCGCCACCTCCTGCCGTTGTGTCCCCGCACCAGCCATTGCGCTCGGGACTCTGGATAAATGGATTAGGGGATCAGAGACACCCGCTGCGTCTTCAGAAGCCCAACAGCAGCCGCGGAGAGGGCGGCCACTTATGCCCCGCCCGAGGGGAAGGAGGGGCGCTGACTGCTCGGCCTCTTCCCCGGGTCGGCCTGACCCCCCTCACTGCCCAGAAAGGGCCAGGGCCGGCCTTTCCTCGCGGAGGGGCGCCGGGTTCAGGCGGGGAGCTGGGACGGCGCGGACGCGAGCTGACTCCGACTCCGCGTGGTCACCATTCAGGCCCACAGCCTGGGATCCTGCGGCGCGGCCGAGCCTTCTCTAGGTCCCAGCTGCCTGGCTTGCCATGTCTTGCCACCCAGGGCGCAGCTCCATCCCTTGCTCCCTCCCGGGTTCAAGGCCGCCCTTTCTCTGCCTCCTCATTTAGAGCAATCCTAACATTTTAGGTCGCTCCTGAAGCCTCCTCAGTCCCAGGCCACGTGGTGACTTCCGTGGGCCTAAGGCAGACTCCTTCTTCGTGAGAAACTTATTAAAAATTTTGTTTTACCACTCCATTGGTATGAAGATGAATATATTGATAGACATTAACACATTTTCTTCGACCCAAAAATTACCGGGTATTTTTATACGAAAAAAATTAAACCATTTTCCTGGGCCCCTCAAAATACTCGGGGCCCCCAGGCCCAGGGCTCGCAGTGCTGAAGTCACCGGGCCGGGACCGCCTTGGCATCTGGCCCCGTCCGCGCTCGCCCTAAGAGGTCCATTTTCAGACGTCATTCTGGGGCGAGGGAAGGGGATCCGCGTCCAGCCGCCAGTCACCGGGTACAAAAGGCGGCCAGCAGCCCCCGTGGGATGACCTTGGCAGGCCTCTCAGCTCAGGAGTCATAATTGGAGTCGCTGGCTTTGTGGGGAGTGCCGGAGAAGACCTGGAAAGCATGGCCTCTCCCTGGAGCCGCTCCTATTGCTCTGGGGTTGTCCATGCGCCAGGGTCGGCGGCCAAGTCACAGAAAAAGTCTCCGGGTGGGAGAGGCGGCTGGGTGCCCTGAGTGGGGAGCTCTCCTTCCACACATCTACGCATTCCCCACGCTCGCTGGCTCAAGGGACACCTAAAGGTGGGTGGGCTTCTTAATTCCCCCAGAATGCGCCCCCTCCACTGTTTGCCCTGTCTCCCGGCCCCCAACTTGGACTTACGGCCCCAGGGCCACCCCACATTCCCTCCCCACCTGGTGCCACATGCTGACTTCGGGGCCAGTGAGATGGCAGGGCCCTCTGTGGGGACAGAGAAGTCACCAGGCATTGGGAGCACGCTCAGTGTGTGGCTCCCCAAAGCCTCCCTTTCCTTTCTGGAGGGCTCAGAGCCTGGCTGACTCCTATGGCAGTGCTGGGTCCTGTGGTGTGGCCCGCGTTGCAGAGGCAGTGGCCACTGACCACTGGAGGTTCCTCTGGCCTTGCAAGTTCTTTCCACAAGGGCACCACGAAGCTCCGCTCCTCCGTGGGGCCAATGCTCCCCCAGCCTTGCAGGCGACCCTCCCCAGGCTCTGCTACCTTCCCTTTTTTTTTGACCTCCAACTTGCAGTCCCCACCAACAAACAGGGCCCTGTCATTTTGAGAAGTGCATTCAGTGGTCCACTCTTCCCAAGTCGAAGTCCACAAACCCCATCTCCACTTGGAATCCCCAACCCCACCCTAGACCTTGCCTCTGTGAGAGGAGGCACCAGCGACCCACTGGCATCATGGTTGGGTTGGGCAGGGGAGGGTGGAATTAGGATTCCCCTCTCAGGCAAGAGATTCAAAAGCAGAGAGGACAGGGCCTGCCTGAATCCTCCATGTTGAAAAGCCAAAGGCCAGTGCCTGTCCCAGGTACCCCTGGGTGCTGTGACCCACCGTGTCCTCTCTCCTTTCTGCCTCCCTCCCTCACTCCAGCTTCCTTGCTCTCTGGCAGAGTCCCATCTACAAGGACGACTGAAACTTTATAGGGCATGATTCATCGGTGGCGCACCCCTTGGAGCCGAGGCGCGTATTACATTAATCAGTGTCAGACCACTAAAACCAAGATATGAATATGAATTCCCCATATTGCAGGCGAGATAAATGTGCTGGTGAATGAAATTGATCAGAGGGCGGTGGGCAGGATGGTGGGAGCAGGGAGATTTCAGAGACTCCAGCTCAACCTTTGGGCTGGGGCTGCCAGGGCTGTAACACAGAACGCGGGAGCCCGGGACCAGATTTGTGTCTTGTTCCCCCCCCCACACACACACACCCCTCCAGAAAAAGCCCAGTATAACCAGAAAAGGGAACTTTTCTATAGGAAACCCATTTCTGATGACAAGAAATGTCTGGAAATTGGTCCTGTGGACAATCTCCCCTTAGTCTGTTCAGGGACTGTCTCCTCCCTGCTGGCCACAGAGCAGCTGCCACCTCTGAAACCATCCTGGGCACTGCTGAGGTAGGGAAGCCCCTTTCCTCAGGCAGAAAGCTCCTCCAGAACTAACAGGGCTTTGTTTTTAGAAGCAAAGGATATTTGTGGATTTTCTATGTCCACTCCAGATTTTTCAGGAGCTGAAGCACCAGGCACGTGGGGTGTTCCCATGGGAGCCTGCACACCTAGATGGCTCCCGTGGCCAGAAAGATGTAAACAAATAGTGCCCAAAGGACAAAAATGCCTTCAGTGCTCCATCACAAATTCATTTTAGCTTTTCACTGGAGAAAAATAATTCTGAGGCTGGCGATCTGATTTCCTTGTATGGAAAACCTAGCTCTCAGGAAGGTGCACAGACCTTTCATGACTCTAGGCCACGCAGCTCAGTAGCCAGGACTCCCAAGGATGAGCACGTGCTGGCCGAGCCACCTCAGCAGCAGTTCTTGTGGGGGTGGGGGGGGTTCCCAAATGTCTTGCATTGACAAAAAAATCAGGAAAGGGTGGAAATAGGGGTGTGCAAAGCAGCAGGCGCCAGCACAGACCATCCAATTTGATTCAGGGAAATAAAGAGCTGAGCTTGCCCAGGGGCAGAGAACTCTACCTGGCCCACCTGAATCCAACCTGCTGTTTCCAGCGTCACCCAGAAGGCATCTCCCAGCACACTGGTTGCTGGAGCAGCATGTCTCTGTGGCTGGGAACACAATTCCTCACCAGAGGCGAAGGGCGTAGCTGGTCAAGTCTCTCTAGAGACACGATTTGGCTAAGGACACAAGATCCATTTGGGCCCAGCAGTCAAAGTAGGCTCTAGGGCCCCATTGCAGAACCTCTGGAATGATGAGCCCAGGGCTCTGATGATCCATGAAGGACTAGGGCCGAGGGCAGATGAGAAACACCTCTCTGATTTAGCAAGGAAGGCACTGGACAGTAAGAGCACCCCACGTAGAGCCCAGTGCCCACTCCCTCCAAATGCCAGTAGCCTAACCTGCAGGCCCGGCACTCCCCCAAAACACACAAAAAGAACCAGTGGGTGCAGCCTTGGAACACAAATTGGTTCCCATCACTACAAATGCAGGCTCGTGCCCACGGAGCCCCAAGGCCCAGCGCCCCCAGAGTTGCCCCCACACCCCAGGAGCGAGATGGGCGCTGCTCAAGGCCGCATTCCGCTTTCGGACCATAGAGGGCGCCTGGAGCACGTCCATTCCGACTGCGGAGCTGCTCCCCGGGGCCCGGCCCGAGTCCGTCCGCCCGCGGTCCACTCCACTCCGCTCCGGCCCGGCTCCTCCCTGCCTCATCCCACCCCGCCCACTCCCCGCTCCCCGACGCGCCCCCGGTGTCCTCGGCCCACTTGCCCTACGCGGCGCCCTTCGAGCCTCCTCTTCGCCGCTTTTCCTCCCGCCTCGGGGCAGGGAGAGGACCTTCCCCTCTACAGGGACCAGGAACGGGGTGGAGGGCTGTAGAAGGATGCGGGCGTCGGGAGCGGGTAGGAGCCGTGGACTGGCACCTCCTAGTCCTAACGCGAGCCTCCCTCTTTCCTGGAACCTCTGAAAAGACACCAGCGCCCCGACTTTCCCCCTCGCTTCGGCCATGCACGGAGTCCCCACGCGCAGCACTGGCGCCAGTGGGTCTCGAGCAAGCCGGGAAGGGCGGGTCACAGGCTGGGGGTGCGAGCGGAGGACGGCCGCTCTGACCTCGGGACTCGGCTCTGACTTCGGGACTCGGCCCTGTCCCCACTAGACCGTTTTTCCCGGCAGCCCACATCCTCGCTGGCAGTTTTGGAAATGTTTGCTGGCTCAGTTTTCACGCATTCAACGCTGAGTCGCCTGCGCCCTGAAGGCCCCGCGCCGGGTCCGCAAAGCCTCCTGAAGGTGCCTGCTGCGGCGCGTGGCGCGCGTCCCGCTCCGAACCCACTGATGCTGATGTCCCGGATCCGCAGCGATGTCCAGGCTCCTAGGCCTTTCCCCACTCGCGCGCGCCCGAGGCCAGCCCCGCTGCGAGTGTTTCCCAACATCGCTGCTCCCAGCTGCCTCCCCGCTGCCCGGCCGCGGCCATCTAAGGGCAATTTGCTCTGGACTCCCGCGGTGCGCGCGCCTGAGGGCAAAGGACGCAGTCCGTGGAGCCCAAGTGTAAAGGGGCTTCCCTGGGAGACCAAAGCCACCTCCTCTTTCTCGCTTCCCACCACAGCCTCAGCCCCTCGTTCACACCTCACACCGCAGAGAAGCCCCGCACCGCATCCCGGCTGGCCCATCTGTGGAGTTTTAAAGAGCCTTCCAATTTCTTCCCGTGTTTGATTTAACCGAATCACTAAAAATACATGCAAAGCGATACTCCATTATTTTCACACTCAACTCAGAAAACGACCAGGCGCCACGATGCGCCGTTGAGACAACTAGTTGTAAACTGGTTTCTAATCCGAAGTTCTCCTCTGGGGTCGCAATAAAAATTCTTTTTCCTCTGTTTTTACCGACGTTATAAAATCGTTTTGTAAAACTGCCTCAAATTGAACTTATTTATGTCCTGAGAAAATTATGTCTCAGAAAAATGTTCGTGAAAGCAATTGAACTGCCAGCAAGAAACTGCCACAGTGACAATATTTAAAAATTCAACAACAACCACAAACAACGAAGAGATGTTTAAAGCACCTGCGTCTTGGGTGGCAACAGTCTCTAAAGGCCCCCATTGAGAAGCCCATCTCCCCCAGCCACAGACCCTTGGGTCCCACCCAGGGTTCCAGGATCCCTGTATCCCCCACTTCTCTCTCTCTGTCTCTGTTTCTGCCACACAGACACTCACACACACACATTCACACACAAACACACACTCACACACACGCTGGACAGGCACACAGCAGCAGGAGCGGGGAGGGGGTGTCATTTCATTTAGTTTATTAGACAAAAATATATGATTTAGACAAGTTCGCTGACGCGCTATTTACAATCTGAAACCACTCTATATACAGAAAAGGGGGGAAAGAGACACAAGCACGTGGGGGCATTTACCGAACCCGATAATCGCAGCCACTGGAGCCGCCGGCAGAGGCCTGGCCACCTGGACGCGAGCTCGGGACCGAAGAAGCCCCTTTCTGCAGAAAGCGACGGATGCGAGTCCTTGACGTCGTTGTCATATTTGTCCTTTACACCAGTCTGAAATATTTGTCTTAATTCCTCCCACATTCCCTCCCTCCCCAACTCCTCCCCCCTCCCCCCCGCAAAAGTAAAAGAAGACCCTTAATCAGGCGGACGGGAGGGCTGCTAGGATCCGCGGCGTTCCCTCCTGCGGGGCCAGAGAGCTGCATGGGAAACACAGCGAGACAAGAAGACAGGGGCACTGTGAGTGGGGGACGCAGCGCCGGGCGACGCCGGTTCCAGTAGCGGAGCCCTGGGGGCGGGGTCGACAGCCAGCGCGGCTCCCGGCTGGGGAGAAACTCCAGTCTCCTCGGCTCGCCCGGCGCCCAGGGCTGGCGGGGAGCGCTCCTTCAACTAGGACTGCGCGACCCCCACCGCCACCCAGCCAGCTCCGCCCGGGTCCCGACCACTCCTCCTCCCCCCTCCCCACCGCCTTCTCCCATAGCAAAAGCAAACAGCACTCACTTGTCGCGTACCGGCTGGAAGGGCGACTTTAACTGCTGTGCCGGCGAATCTGGCCTGGGGACGAGGTCTCTCTCTGCGAGAGATCGGAAGAGGCAGAGTTAGGACGGAGAGACGGGCGGGAGAGGTCCCAGGCCTCCTTCCCACCAACTTCTGCCGGCTGCCCAGGCAGATTCGCCGAAAAACGTCACCCCTCACCCCACCACCACCCCGTAGCAGGCCCGCCGGTAGGGCAAAGCTCTCTTGGGAGAGCCCTAGGGCCTTGTCTGGCTTTCTAAATTGAAGCAGGGATTAAGCGCAGCCCCAGGGCTCAGCGGCCACTGCCTGGTACCCTCCCGGCTCATGCTGCACCCCACGCTACCACACCTAGCCAGGCCTCTGCATTCCCAGCTAGGGGACAGGTGGACGCGGCCTGGAGCTGTACCTGGGAGCGTGGGGCTGCTGCGGACCGAGGCCTTGTCTCCATTGAGTGCCCCCGGGGCAATAGCGACCGGCGGCTGCGGTGGTGGAGGTGCAGGAAGGTGAGGGCCATGGGGCGCGGCGTGGGGAGCGCCAACGCCCAGGAAGGAGCGCATGTTGAGCAGGGAGCCCTGTGCGAGGAATGCGCTGTTGGTCCAGTTGGAGAACTTGCCGATGTGGCAGGTGTACAGTCCGTGGCTAGGCAGGAAGGCGGGGTGTTGCAGCGGCGCCCCGGCGGAGGGCCCGTGCGCGCCGGGGTGGCCCGCGGGTGGTGGTGGCGAAGCCTTGGGCGCACCGTCGGGGCTCGTGGCTGTCTCCGCCAGCGACCAGATCTTGGGCTTGCCGTGCGGCGCACCCTGCAGGCCGCCCGCTGCAGCGCCGGGGCTCAGCAGGCGCGTGCTGCCCGGCTCTGGGGCCTCCTTTGCCAGGCCCAAGGGCGAGTCCTGGGGCTTGAGAACGTCGGCTGCTGCCAGCGGCGAGCCTTGGTCCCGGGCAAGAGCAGAAGGGGCTGCGGGCGCGTGCGGAGCCTCGGCCTTGTCCTCGTCATCCTCGTTGCTCTGGTCGCCATCGTGCTCGTCGATCTTGTCAATGTCGATGCTTTCCAGGTCGATCTCCTCGTCGTCCTCGGCCTTCTCCGGGTCGCCCTCGGTGTCGCTGCCGAAGAGCGCTCCATCTTCCTGGTCCTTGCTGCGCGCTCCCCATGTCACCTTGTTCTCCTTCTTGAGGCGCCGGCGCGCGTTGGCGAACCAGGTGGAGACCTGCGTGAGGGTCATCTTGGTGATGATGGCCAGCATGATCTTCTCGCCCTTGGTGGGGTAGGGATTCTTGCGGTGCTCGTTGAGCCAGGCCTTGAGCGTGCTGGTGCTCTCGCGGGTGGCGTTCTTGGGCCGCCCGGGGTCCCCGTATTGGAACTGGCCGTAGGGGTAATAAGCCGGCGCCGTGTGGGCTGCGAAGGTGGCGGGGTGCACCCCAGGGTTGTCCTTCAGTTCATACTGCGAGCCCTGAAGCCACAGGGCAGATCCATCGAGGAGAGAGAGGAGGGAAGTGGAGAGAGAAAGGGAGAGAGAGAGAGAGACATGAGTCCCCAAGACGGGAGAGTGGGAAGCAGCCGCTTCAATGGACTCGAGGGCCTCCCAGGCGCTTTGCGGGGCTCTCCTGTGCTGGGCAGATCAGGAAGTCACCCCCAGTTCACTGCTGGGGAGAAGGGGAGCCAGGACCATGAGCTGACTTCAGGAACTGCCCTTTCACCGACAGTGGAGATCGTTTTTGCCACTCTAGAAAAGTTCCACAAACAGTGCACTCTCCAGAAGAGCACAACAGAGGCCGCGGCCCCTGCAAGTTCCCTAGGCGACCCCTGTCCCCACCACCAACCGCTGGAGAAACCTGCATTTCCAAGTTTATCTTTCACTAGCTAGAGGGAAAAACCTTTCAACTGAGCTGATAAAGCCATTTCTCCAAACGTAAAGGGCCCAGAGCCCAAGCCTCCTCTCTGCCACCCAGAGGGGGCTCAATCAAAATAAACCATCCCGGGTTTTCTACCGGTCTAAATCCGCCAGCAATTTAAAACGAAAGCACAGTCCTTTGCCTTCCAAATTAATCTGCATATAATGGTTTACCCACATTAAAAGGTCTTTAGAGGTGACAGGTAATTTAAAATTTTAATCCCGGCCATCATCGACAACAATAACAAAAACACCATTTTTTTTTTTAATACAAAAGGAAGGCTTAGCCTGTAAAATATTAACGCAAGGGCTGGGAGCCACCGGCGGCCAGGAGGGGAACCGGTTCAGTATCCTAGGCCTCTTCTCAGTTACTTCATCTCTTAAGTTTGACTTTGATCTGGAGGGAGCAAACACTAGCTGTTTGCAGGCATTTAGAGGCGCTGATTTATTTGCAATCGATATTCTTTTTATAATCAGTAGTAAAACACAGCAAGTCAAATTATCCCATCAGGTTTTTTGGTAAATAACATTTTATCTTTCTAACAACCTCATTAGGCCTCATTATTACCATAAATTGCGCAGACAGACATTCAAATACAATTTTATCTTTTGACTTCCAAACACCCAATTATAATGGCTTGGAAACCTAGGCCTAGAATCAGGGTTTGGGTTTGAGTTTACTCTCTCAGAACCAGTGGGAGAGCTGGAGAAACACACACCTTTTGGGTGGGAATAATTTTTACATATTATCCCTCTAGGTGGGAAAAACAACTCAGAACAGCAAACATCTCCCTTCCCCAGCTCTCCACAAAGGGTGCAGGTCCTCACACTGAAGCTCTCTCCCTCCCCCGCAAACACAGGCAGGGTTCCCAAATGGCACACAACTGCATTCGCAATTTCTGTAAAAAATATTCATCCTCTGAAAAAATGGTCTAGTTGCAATGTTAGCAAAGGGAGTTCCGGACTCTGAGAAAGTTGTAAAGACCAGAAGATTTCTTGGACTAATTAGTTTGGTGACTGAGGCCGCAGAGAAAACATTTCTGCGGCTAGATTTCGTTTTTGCCCAATCGTTCCAAAATGTACTTTGCGCTTTTCTAATTATTTTGGTTGTAATTGTAAAGAAGACGTTTCAGCCTCGTCTCCACTGGGAATTCTTTTTGAAAGGACACCTTGTAAATCTCTCATCGCGTCCCGGCCTCCCCGCCGCCTGAACAAAATGGGGGCTGATCTTTTTCGATAGTAAGAGACCTGAAAGGCAGCCGGGCCGCTTTCTTTCAAAACTACAAGAAAAGTTACAGGGAAACCCGCTCTTTGCTTGTGCACACTTGAGGGGCGTTTACTCCCCGCTTCTCCTGCGGGGAGCGGGGAGATATCGCGGGTGCTTGGAAATTGCTTTATCCCGCGGGCAGCGACCCAGGAGGGGGCTGCCTCCCAGGGCCCCGCGCCCGCCGCACAATTCACCAGCCGTCCGAAGTTTAAGCACCGACCTTGCAGTCAGACCAAGGAAAATGGATGATTTGGACCGGCAGACAGGCCAATGCCCCCGCGGAGAATTAAGTGTGCAGCCGCCTGCCCCGACATCTAACGCCCACTGGGACGGGAGACTAAGAGGACACCATTTGTTTTAAGCCAAGGGACACTGTTTTCTTTAATCCTCCATTATGTAACGCAGGAAGAAAAGTGCTTTTCTTTCTGTGCAAATGAAATGAAAACTTGGGCAACTTACAAAAGTAAAATCAAACACCGTTTCAGACACCAGCACATTACTGCAACTTAATTTTTGTTTAATCTCAAATTCGCACTCACGCCGTGGAGAGACCTCTCCATCCCTTTGGACCTCTATTGTTAAGATTATTTTGATTGACTCTACCAGGCTTAGAAGGGGTCTGTCTGGCAAACTCGGATACAACTATCTCGGAGCTGCTAAAGAGGGAGAAAACCAAGTTTTCCAGACTCGGTTCGAAAACTAAAGAGGCCGCGCGAGTGGAACCCGCGGCCAGGAAGGGAAGTCCTGCTACGCTACGCCGGGCCGACCTGCAGGAACCCCGTGGGCCTGCCCGGGCGCCCTGGCCGAGCCAGGCGAGTTTGCCCCCGACCTCCAGCGCGGGCACCGCTCCACGGGCCTGCTTCTGCGGCCTCTCTGAATTCACTCGCTACCCGCTCCCTGGCCCGGGCCTTCCGCTTTCCCAGGCCGAGATGGCCCAGCCGTCACCCGCCCGGCCTCCCAGCCCTCTTGCGTCCCCGGGGGCCGCGGCCTCGGCCACCGGGAACCTGCCCCCGGACCTTTCTAGTTCCTCTTCCGGACCAGGTCCACCCGTAGTCTCTCCCTCCCGGGCGACCCGCCACCCTTGCCCTGGCGCGGGTGAGACAGAGGAGAAGCGGGGGAGGCCGGGCGCACTCACCATCTGCGAGAAGAGGCTGAGATCCGCGGCGTAGGGCAGGAAGGCGCTGTAGTTGGGCGCGCCCGCGTACGGCCCCGCCGCCGCGTACATGCCCAGCACCGAGGTGACTGCAGCCGCGCCTGCCCCGCCGCCCAGCTCCGCGGCCCCCGGTCGGCCCGACGAGGCGGCGGCAGCCGCCGCAGCGGCCGCGGCCAGCACCCCCGGGCGCTCGCCGCCGTAGGCGCCCGGCCCCGCGGCGCTCAGGTACTGCGGGTAGCCCAGCTGCGGGAAGGACATGTCCGCGGACTCGGCGACCGCCGCAGCGGGCGAGTATTAAAGGCGCGGGGAGGGAGGCGGAGGCCGGCCGGAGGGGGTTGCAGGGGGCGCCGCGAGGGGTCTAGGGAGGAGCGGGCGGCCGGCCGGGCGCGCTCGGGCGGGCCGGGAGATGGAGGCCGGTCGCGGCTCCTCTGCCCGGTGCTCGCAGGCGCCCGGCTCCCGGCTGCGCCCGGATCCGCAATCGCGCGCCGACTGCGGCGGCCGCCCTCCGCTCGGCGGCGGGGCTTTCAGACACAATTTGAAGTTGATGCTTTGATTGGCATCCCCTTGAGCGCAGGCCCCGCCCCTGGCTCCCCTCCCGCCCCCTCCCTGCCTCCCGCCCGCCCTCGCCGGCCGCTCCCGCCCCTCCCGCGAGCACGTGGTGCCCCGTGCCGGCCCGGCCAGCTACTCTCGCGGTGGGCGCGCGCGTCGGGGCGGCGGGGTGTGGGCCCGGAGGCCGTGGGCTCCTTCCCGACCAGCCCCCGCAGCTGTCTGACAACCTGTCGACACGGGTTTACAGCTGTCTGACACCGGGTTTGCAGTTTCGCGGCCGAGGTGTGTCCCCTTTTTAACAAAAACAACTTGGCGCCTGCTTTTCTACTGTTTGGGCAGCGGGGAAGGGGCCGGCGGCCTGGACGCTGGTGACAGCGAGGGGGGAGCGGCCTCTCCCCCGAGTCCCGCGCGGCCGGGGCCTCCAGGGGACATCTTTGGCAGAAGTGCACCCGGACGCTCTCCGCGAGCCACTGAACCGGCGTGGCGTGACACCCCCGACTCCAGATGCGGGTTCCCGTGGGCCCCTACTGGGTAGTAACCGATCGTCTGCCAATGACCGGCCTCGCCGCCCTTGGGGAAGCGGGGAGCGGCCGAGCTCTGCGGGCTCTTTCAATTGTGCAAACTTTGAGCGAGGGCAAATCCCGCGGAGAAGTCGCCAGCTCGGGGGAAGCAGGCGCAGTCGGCGCCGCGGGTTCTCGGAGGGAGGGGTGGGGGAGACGCGGGGGGAGGGGCTTTCTCTTCACCCAGAAAGCCCCCTGGCAGCCGGAGGGAAACATCCCCCGCGCCCCCGCGAAGGGGGAAGACGGTGTGGCCTGGACGCCCGGTTTGTCCACCAGGTGTGCAGAGGCAGACAGGAAACTTGTGTGGAACGCGCGAACCCGAGTCGGCGCCGCCGCCAGACCGGCAACGGAGCGGCCTCTTGGGTCCAAGTCCCGCGTCCCTCTTCTCCCTGCGTCTCCCCTCTCCATCCTCAGCCTCGTCGGGCTACAGGACGCGGCCAGGCGCGGCGCACTTGAGATGGGCTCCGTTTCGCCGCGGCCCTGGCCGTGCGGCTCCCGGGAGAAGATGCCAAGTGCACGGGCCTCCTCGCCTCCCTGAGCCTGGGAAGGCGCTGGCAGGCCACTTCTGCGCCTCGTGGCTGGAGAGCTCCGGACGGTGCCGTGGGGAACCGGGTACCAGTCCCGGCTCCCGGGGCCACTTTGCGAACCACCTCCTACGCAGAGACGGGGCCGGGAGTTCACCCCGCTGCGGCTCTCCAGCACACCGGACTCCGCGGGAATTTCAGCAGCGCACTCTGGCGTCTTCTCGGCTTTAGGCCGGGTTGGGGCTACGGGATGAAGGCGGCCATCGGGCCAGAGTCGGCATGCTGTTCTGCTGGTGGTTTGAGCCACCCGTATCCTGGACACCGGCCAGGCGGTCCCTTCACCCCCTGCCTCGCTTCCCTCTCTTCACGGAGCCTCGAGGCCCAGGGACTTCAGCAGCATCAGGAGGGGCTCCGGTTTTCCGGGCCTGAGGACAGACACTGAGACATCGCCTATAATTAGCAACAATAATGCCCGTGATGGTAGTAATTACTAATAACCAGCTCCGACATCGGGCTTGATTTTTCCCTGCTCTGAGTCAGATTGTCTTGCTAGTCATGCTGCTTCCCGCGCTCAATTCGCCCCTCCACACTCCAGGATCCGCCTACAACCTCCAGGGTTCCTTTCCTGCTTTTACATAGATTCCGGGCTGGGTTTGTGGGGACGCCGAGGGTTGGTGGGGAGTGGATTCTTGGTGACACAAATCCGGGAAGCCCCTAACTGCAGCTTTTTCCTGTTCCCCAGCCTACCACCAGACACCTTCTAACCCTAAGACAGATTTCCGATCTTCAACCTCCTCTCCTCTATACCCAAAACAAATCCATCCATTGCCTGTGACTCACTGTGTGAGAAGTGGGCCAGTCCCACCCACCCCTGTCCTGTTCAGCAAACTACAGTGTCACATTTCAGGTTGACAGGGGAGATACGCCCTCTTGAGTGACCTGGAGAATGAGGTGGGATGTAAGTCCAGGGACACTTCTCAGCCTTGGGATTCAGCTACAGCTTATCTGCCTCCATCCAACCCACTGAGCACCACCGCCCACCCCACCCGCAAGCCTCAGGTCTCTCTGCAGCTGGCAGAGCTCTGTGGGGAGGCAGGAATAGGGGAGTGGAGGCTTCATCCTAACTCAACCAGCCCACTCCTCTGTGCCCCGGCTGCATCACCTCCATTGGCATCACATCACAAAGTGATTGCAGGCTCCTCAAAACACCAGGGAGCTGGGTGGGGAGGAGCTGGGTGGGGAGGACCTGGCTGGGCCCCACCTGGAGACTCCCCTGTGAATCCTGCCTGAGGACTGCACAGTTCCTGGGGAAGCGGCACTAGCAAAGCTGGGTAACTTGCTCCCTGGAGAGCCCTGCAAAGGTGCAGAAGGGGAGATTGTGGTCTATTCTCTGCCCAAGGCCAGGGCCTGAGGCTGCACTCCAGGTCCCTCGCCTAAAACCAATTCTAGGAAGTCCTTTCTAGGAAGCTCTAGCAGAGCCTGGCAGGCCCTGACTCACCTCCTCTCTTCTTTCTCCTTGGCCCTTGTCCCCAAAACTTTCACCTAGGATACTAGGAAGCAGGGTAGACTGAGAGAAAGAGAGAGAGAATTGCCACCAAAGCATCCCATCAGAGAGGGGGAGGGGCGGAGAAGGAGCTAGAATCTCCTGGCTCAGCCCCTCCTGGTAGAGTTTCCTCCCACTCGTTCTGCCACTCATTTTCAGCAGCAAATGTTTCAGTGGGGCCCAGGGCTTCATGGCCTCAGATGCTGGAGCAGGCAGAAGGGCTGTGCGTCTGGAATCCGTGGGCCTGATTTGAACGTCCTTTTAAAAATGTCGTGAGAAGGTCTAAAACTTTCCCTCAAAGAGACTGCCCCTGCCGCTGCCCGGACTCAGCATCACTGGCATCTAGGACCATCCCTCTGGTGGCCCTAGGGGTGCCAGGCAAAGGCGATGGACATTGGAATGGGAGGTTGTGTGGTTCCCTCTGCTTGGCCTTCGAAACCGACGCCCCAGCTGTGAGGCGCTGGACCTCTGAGGCAGGAGAGAGCCACTTTGTTGGCCCCTCAGCCACTTTTCCTGCCTCCAAAGGGGGTGGCTGAGGCAGGCCCTGCCGCTGCTCCGGAAGTTGCTCCTGGCGGAGCTGGCCGCACCCGGTGGCTGCCCCCTGGTCACTGTGCCAGAGACAAAGACGAGGAGCCTGACAAAACCAGGTCTAGGGGTCGCTGCGCAGCGGAATCGGAGCTCCTCCTGCTTAGCGCCGGGGATCCAGTCCGGAAGCCCTTGGGCCCCAGTGCTCCGGGGACCCAAGGCACGTGGCCCAGAAGGCTGGCAAGACCCCGCGAAGCTCGGCAATGGGGGGTGACTGGGACACCCCTGCTGGGAAGCTAGGACCTTCAGCGCGTCCAGGGCTGGGACAGATGCAGGCCTCCGGCTGCAGCGGCATGGGCAGAGAGCGCGCGTGTCTCGGGGAGCGCAGGGGGCAGGCTGTGGGGGTGGGGGTTGGGCGGGGAGGAGAGGAAAGGCCCAGAGGCGGTAGTGGAGGGGGACGGGCGTTGGTGTGCAACTGCAGTTTAAGCTAACTTGATTAAGCTGGTGTTAAGGCTTCATGGAAAGTTTACTTGCAAGGTGCTGCTGTTGTTATCATTATTATTATGAGTCAGTTTTCTAAATGGGAGGGATTTTTTATTCCTGGAGAAGATCGTTTCCCTTTTCTCTCTCCCAACCCTCGGTGAGGATTCCACCCGCCCTGCCCCACCCTCCTGGGGCATATTTACATCAGGACAAGATTAAACATACCCAACAGCTTCCTAATTTACAATTTTATTTCTTGGGAAACAGTTCGCTGGTCTTGAAGCTCTGCAGTCCGGGGGTCGCTAAGGAAGAGGAGGATGCTCGTGGGGACGCATCACTCCCGGAAGCCGTCTGTGGGACCAGCCTTTGGCGCCGAGAACCAGGCGACACAGACCTGCCGCGGGATGCAACGGGTGGCGCGGCCCTGGCCTCCTGCCTTCACAATGGCCACTGTCAGCTCCAGATGGCGGGGCTCTGCGCTGGGCCGCGGCTCGGTGGCGACGGAGGCGGCCTGACCTGGCGCCGCGCCCCGACTCGCGCGCAGACTTAGGAGTCTGCTTAAAAACGCACTAGGACTTCGCACCGTCCCTCAGCAGCAGCTGGGAGGCCACCCAAGTCGGCGACATTGAGGCAATAGTCAGACAGTCCTCAGCTGTTGAGACCCCCGGTGGGTCCGGCCGCTGCGACTCGATGGTTCCCTAGGCTCCGACCCCTGTGTCCAGTCTGCGCTTTCCTGCCACGCCAGGCAGGGACCGGTGGCCCCTGGGGACCAAGAATAGTCTACAATGAGCGCCCCGAGGGTGCAGGGCTGCAGGGACCCAGTGGCGAGCGGAGCTGAGTTGGGCAGGCGGGAGGAGTCGACTCGAGCCGCTCCAAGGAAACCCCAGAAGGAAACGCCCAGAAGCGAAGGACGCAGGACGGTCGCAGGCTGCGGGGAGTGCCCCCCGCGGCAAGCATCGCGGAACCAGGTCCTCAGCAGCGTGGGGACACCACCCGGGAACGCGGCGGGCGGACCAAGGGCGACCCAGGCCCTAAAGCTGCGGCACTGGGCCCGTATTTCCCACAAACGCAGGGCAGAGGAATGGACCGCAGTGGCCTGGCCTGGAGTGCCGCTACGACGCCGTCCCCAGTGTCGAAGGAAGTGAATTACATGCGTGTGCACACACGTAAATATTTTATAAACCTCCCCTTAATTAACCAGATCATTTCCATTATGCCTCCAATATGAACAACAGCAGCGGTGTGAGAGTTCTCAGGGCTTCTTATTTGATGTCACCAGACGGTTGCTCGGGGGCAGAGGCACCATCGCCGTGCCAGCTGCACTTGTATTTATTTGTTTTTCTGCCTTGTTCCTGTAGGGCTCCATTATGCGGTTTTTAATTAGTTTGTGTTTGTATTTCACCCGTCCCAAATCAATGCCATCCCGAAGCAAGGCGATGTAAATTCTCTCAGTACAGGTGTAGCTGCCTGCGCGGGTACACCGGCAAACGCGTGTCTGACAAATGAAAGCGGGGCCGCTGCGCAGCCGACTGTCAGCTCTCGGCAGCGGAGAGGCGCGGATCAAAGCCAGCGGGACTTCTGCGCCCCCGTGAGCGCCGTCGTGGCTGCGGCTCCTAATGTCATTAGAGGAGGCCGGGCTGCGCACGGCGTGAGGAACAAAGTGACTTTTCATTTTGCTCAGGTCCTCTGGTCTTTGGGCCAGCGCTGGCCTCAGAATCGCCTCCCGCTTGGGGCCTATCGGATGCAGCTGAAACCGCAGTGGCTCCCGCCAGGATCCCTGGCTGTGCGCACCCGCACCCGCACCCGCACCCGCAGTGACCCAGAGCCCTGGGATCACTGTGGCTTCCCAACGGGTCCCGCTAACCTTAACCCGCAGCCTTAAGCTGAAACTGCCCTGGAATCTCTAGACAGGAGACATCCCCTCTCCGTGTTGTGTTTGCATCTCCGCCTTCTTGAAATGACCTCTGTGGAGCGCGTGTGTATCTGTTCTTCCAGCCATGGGGAATTCTTTTAAAGCTTTCTTTTTTTGTCAGGAGCAAGAGATAGCTCATCTTTAACTAGGCCACATAGAAATTATGATTCAACAGCAGTGTATATTTAATTAGAGTAATCTCACTTGAATTTAATTACCTAATGAATTATTTGTTTAAAAGGTAGAACGTCTTGTTTGCGAAGTACCATGCAGACCTCCGATAAGAATTTCTGTTACGAGGACGTTACAGTTTAAGAGCAGGCATGTGTAAGGTTTCTATTTTAACTCTTTGAGTATGTGACTGTTACTGTACACTCCAACAAAAACTAAGATGGTGGGTACAGTCTGGTGGGTAGAGTCCGGAGGGCAGTGGGCATGACCCTGGCCACACAGAGGTGCGCTCCTGTTATGTACACGTGTGTGCCCAAGTCGCTTTGGAAATTAATATCCTTTGACTGTCATGTGAGTCGAGTTTATCTTAAAACTTATTTCATGTTGCTTTCAGTGCCATTTTTTCCCTCCTGGTGCAAGTCAGGACAGTTCTCTACTAGTGAACTCATTTTATGAAAGTGTTTAAAACAAAATAATGCATCCTTCAGAAGACTCCAGTCAAGCCACCGAGTCCCACGCACTCCTTGAGCCTCTCCCATCCTAGCTCCTCTTGATCCCTGAGGCATTCACACTACCAACAAGAAGTCTGTCAGGGAGTTGTTGTTTTGTTTGTTTGTTTGTTGTTTGTTTTAACTTACAGCAATGGGAGGTACCACATCCCAGACTTTGACCTAAACTCTTAAGTCTTAAACTGTGGAGCAACCTCATTTCCTCTTGGTTTCCAAAAGCAAGAACCACTAACTCCAAGCCATGACAACTTTTGAGAGGCTCCAAAGGTAATTTGTCTCCACACAATGCCAACAACTGGTGCATCTAATGCAACTTTAAGAATTTTCTATCACTGCTGCATGATGAAATGCCAGCAGGGAAACTTACATAGGGGTTTAGGGAGGGGGCAGAGAGCATTTCACCCTCTTCCTGAAAAGAAGATAGGAAATAAGAAGAACTCAAATCAACTTGGTTGAATTCCACTGTCATTTTCATTAATATTTCAATAATCAAATAATTTTTTTAATTGTAAGCTCATGAACTATTGTCAGATAAATATCAAATATTATTAGTATAGTGTTCAATCAAGTAGGAAGGGGTTTAGAAAATGCAACAAGTTGATAAAAATGATTGACTTTTTATTTCTTTTTAGAATTCCTGACTCTTATCATAACTGTGCATTTTGAAATTGATGTTCTAACAACCAATAGTGGTTAAAATATACTATCCACTTAATTACATTCAATTATGGTTATAGTAGCATGTCTCATTCAAAGAACCAGATCTACATGGATGCATACTTAAAACTTATTTATCAATTTACTTCACATATTCTTCCCAATAACAACAGACAGTAACGACCAGAGAGGAAGTAAGATACTAGCTTAGAAAGGAAAATACATTTCCCAGAGCTGAGCAAATCCAGAGAAGATTTCAGGGTAAAACCCTCAAAGGATTTATATGTGTGTGATGGAAGCAGGGGAAAGTACTAAATGGTGTATTTGTGTTTGATGTTTCAAAAATATTTAAAATTTAGACCAGTGTTCTGTCTCCAATGACTTCATATCAGCCCTCAACCACTTATACATTATTAAAGATAAAAGCCCACCTACTACAAATCTCTTTAAAAATCCACTGACAAATATATGCCCAAAAAACACCTCCCAAGCAGAAAGCATAGCACATTTCAGGTTTTTAATGAACGTGTGCAACAGCAGACCTCCTGGGCCCATAGGTTAAAATCTGTTCATCAGACTTTAGGGACACCAGCTCAACAGCACAGCGTAGTGTCTCAAAGCCTAACAGACATTGGAAGTTCAGGGAAAGTTTCTGGGAAGTTCTGAAGACACTTACAGTCTACCAGCATATTCCAAGACCACTGTTATAGAAAAATCTGGGGTATGAAATGAGTCTAAGGAGGAAAACTTAAAATATCCCTTGAACCATGGGTCCCATATCTGTTCTTGCTCTGACTTTGCCTCTTACATAACTGTCACCCAACATCATCTCCAGAGCTGTACCCTAGTCTGGGGTTCTTAGCCAGGCCCCCACCACTCCCATCCTCTCTTTTGTAGGACATGAAGAAAGGCCTCCGGACCTTCCAATCTTACACCAGCTTTGGGTGCTGTGTGAGTGCATGCATGCTTGTGAAAGGTGAAAATACCATGGGGGTGGAAGAGAAGAGAGGAAGAAGAGGAAACATTTTCTTCTCCCAGACACATTTCCAGTGGGGAATTTAGCCCCTAGAACATAATACACCTGTGACCAAGAGGAGCCCAATCTAGGCAAAATCCCCAGATCGGGAAGTTCCTCTTCTCAGTCCTCTGCATTCCTCCAGATGCCCTTCCCAAACCCCCCTATTTTAGAGCCCGCCCTAAAGGTCCTCATGCTGATGGCAGGCTGCCTGGGTTGACCTTCAATGCCACCTATGACCCATTTTTGGGCTCCCGCCACCTCCAGTGAAGATTGATGGGGCCTGTGGTCCATTCTCTTGGGAATAAACTGAGGGACTGGCAGACGAATCAAAGATTCTAATATGACCTAGGATATTTGTTAATTGACAGGGATAGGTTAGCTTAATCTCCTGCAGAGAGAACATCTACATTTTAATAAGGGGCCATAGAGCAGTCACCCAAAGCTCCTAGGGGACACCCACACTTTTGCTGGAGGTTTAGGGGAGAAGCAGCTTCCTTCCCAATCACTCTTTGGGGGAAGGAGGACTTCTGCATCCCCCTTGTCAGTGATTTCCTTCTCAGATGCTGCTGATGGTAGAGCCAGGTTTGAGAGAGGCTGCAGAATCCTGTCCACCTGTGTGCCTTGGCTGGGAGTGCTGAAGCAAAGTCCCAGGGACCGGGGGCTTCAATAGCAGACGTTCGTCTTCTCCCTGCTCTGGAGCTTAAGAGTCCAAGGCTAAGTTGTTGGCAAGGTTGGTTCCTTCTGTGTTCTCTCCCTCGCTTAGAGGTGGCCCAGCAGCCTCTTGTTGTGTCGCCTCCTGGCCACTCGGTGCATGGGCATCCCTGGTGTCTTTCTATGTGTCCAAATTTCCTCCTTTTGAAGGGACACCAGTTCAATTGGACAGAAGTCCATTCTAATGGCCTCGTTTTACCTTGATCACCTCTTTAAAAGCCCTGCCTCCAAATGCACTGGCATTATGGTGTACTGAGGATTAGGGCTTCAATGTATGAATTTGGGGATGGGGCGGAGCATGATTCAGCCTATTATACCATCCATGAACACCTATACCTCTCCCACTACCACCCATGATCACCTACACCTTCCCACTACCATCTATAATCACCTATACCTCTCCCGCTACCATGCATGACCACCTATACTTCTCCCACTACCATCGATAATCACCTATACCTTCCCACTACCTTCTATAATTACCTACACCTTCCCACTACCATCTATAATAACCTATACCTTCCCACTACCATCTATAATCACCTACACCTTCCCACTACCATCTATAATCACCTATACCTCTCCCACTACCATCCATGATCACCTATACCTTCCCACTACCATCTATAATTACCTATACCTTCCCACTACCACCCATGATCACCTACACCTTCCCACTACCATCTATGATCACCTATACCTTCCCACTACAATCTATAATCACCTATACCTCTCCCACTACCATCCATGATCACCTATACCTTCCCATTACCATCTATGATCACCTACACCTTCCCACTACCATCTATAATCACCTATACCTTCCCACTATAATCTATAATCACCTACACATTCCCACTACCATCCATGATCACCTACACCTTCCCACTACCATCTATAATCACCTATACCTTCACACTACCATCCATGATCACCTATACTTTCCCACTACAATCCATGATCACCTATGCCTCTCCCACGCAATCAACACCAGAGTTCATTAGCTGGGTATGTTCATTGCTCACACTGCAATATATTCTTTAGCTTTGGGGCAAAAGGTCTTAGAAAAAGCTCTAGAGTTTCCCCTCTTCAGTGTTAAATAAAATAAAAATATGTCATGTTTAGGAGAATTATATTATTCCATATATTAAAAATTTCCAATATTGGTTATTATCAAAGGTTAAATTTGCCACCCTGATACAGCGTATTCCTGTGTAAAAAGACTTCTGAATTTTGTCTGGCTTATAGACTCTCTAGACAAGAAGGGGCTTCGATTTTAGAAAATGAATTTGATCCTGGGCTCCGAGCTACTTCTACTTCTTCCTTCTTGACTCCAGGGTAGTCAGCTAGCTGGTAGGATGTCTTCATAAACCAAGGAGGCCAGCGTGCTGCTTTTACTCCATACAATAGATGTGCCAATTGTGCTATCTCGATGTCATTTCTGCCACGCATATTTCAAAGCTGTCAGTTAAGCCCCATCTCTAGATTTTGCAAAAGAGGAAACCTTTAGTAGCCCGTCAAGTGAATATGCTTGGGTCCCAAGGTCGTGGCTTACCGTATGTACATTAGGCAAGAAAAAACTGCCATAAAAACACAACATTCGAGCCCCCTTGTGTTTTATCAGCTGCTGTGCCTCACTGCCAGCAGATACATTGCCACTGTGGCTGTGATAGCAGTGGCAAAGGATCAGTGATCATTTTACAAACTGAGGACTGTGTGACATTATCTCTAGGGTTGAGTTAAGTGGTTTGTCGAAGGTCGCTCAGCAAGTGTTTAATAAATCCAGGATTAGAACCTCAGCACCTCCTTCAACAGCCCGCCCACTGGGCCCGGGACTGACAGACTTGTTGATCTCATGATGTCACCCTTCCCACACTGTCTTCTCCCAGACCCTGTGACAGTCCCCTGCTCTCTGCACTTCTAGGGGCAGCTCATCATGTTACAGGGCCATCACCAGCACAGCTGTTACCAGTGCCTGACTGCTGTTTCCTCCCTCCTTCCATCCTCCCATCCCTCCTCCCTCCTTCCTTCCTCCCATTTCTCTTCCTTCCTTCCTTCCTTCCCGCCTCCCTCTTTCCTTCCTCCTGTCCCTCCTCCCTCCTTCCTTCCTCTTGTCCCTCCTCCCTCTTTTCCTCCTCCTGTCCCTCCTTCTTCCTTCCTTTCTCCCATTTCTCTTCCTTCCTTTCTCCTGTCCTGCCTCCCTCTTTCCTTCCTCATCCTCCTCACTTCCTCCTATCCCTCCTCCCTCCTTCCTTCCTCCTGTCCTTCTTCCTTCCTTCCTCCCATCCCTCCTCCCTCCTTCCTTTCTCCCATTTCTCTTCCTTCCTTCTGTCCTGTGTCCCTTTTTCCTTCCTCCTGTCCCTCCCCCCTTCTTCCTTTCATTCCTCCTTCCTTCCTCCCATTTCTCTTCCTTCCTTTCTCCTGTCCTGCCTCCCTCTTTCCTTCCTTCTTTCTTCCTTCCTCCCATCCCTCTGCCTCCTTCCTTCCTCCCATCCCTCCTCACTCCTTTCTTCCTCCCATTTCTCTTCCTTCCTCCTGCCCCGCCTCCCTCTTTCCTTACTCCTGTCCCTCCTCACTCCTTCCTTCTTCCTGTCTTTCCTCCTTCCTTCCTTCCTCCCATCCCTCCTCCCTCCGTTCTTTCCTCCCATTTCTCTTCCTTCCTTCCTCCTGTCCTGCCTCCCTCCTTCTTTCCTCTTGTCCCCCCTCTCTCCTTCCTTCCTCCTTTTCCCTTTGTTCGTTTATTCCCTGAAGGCTTTATGGAACCACTATAAGGAATAGACAGTATCTTGTGCTCTGGGAGAAACTGAAATCAATTAGACAGTTGTCTGAATATCTGTGTTACATGTCTAAATTAGACAATTAGGTGAAACACATACAGACGCCTAATTTTTCTATAAGGCAAAAGTAAGTGCTAGGAGGGATATGCCATTATGACATGTCCATCTCCGAGTTGCCAGCCCCCCTTCTACATTCTGCTGCACAATGCCAGGCTCTGCTAAACGCACTTCTCCACAGCGGCCTCACCCCTCCTGCCCAGGTCACTTCCTGTTACTCTCCACATCAGCTCGGTCACCTGACTTCACCAGGCAGCAACTAGTCCAGTGGTCCAGGTGTCCAGCACTTACCAAGCCAGACCGTCAGATTCCCTCAGACAACACCATACCAGCCCAGCCTCTGTTCGTCTTAGAGGCCTGAGTTTCAGCCTCTGCGCTCCTCCAATCCATCTGCCTGCTCTCCCTTGTCCCCTAGCTAAGGGGTGGCAGCTGCTTCCCGCATTGCCTCTGTCATAACTTCATGTTGGCTCTTTGGGTTTTCTGCTAACTTGTTGAAAATCCATCATAATGTCTTCATTTGCTAGGGCAGTTGTAACAAAGTGCCAAGACAGGGAACCTAAACAACAGAAACTTATTGCCTGGCAGTTCCAGAGGCTGGAGGTCCAAGTTCAAGGTGGCAGCAGAGTGGGTTCCTCAGAGGGCTGTGAGGGAAGAGCTCAAAGATCTCAAAGCCATGTTCTCTGCCAGTAGCTGAGGGTGTACTGGCAGTTCCGGTGTTCCTGGACTTGCAGATGCCTCACCCCAATCTCTGCCTTCAGCTTCAGATGGAGGCATTTTTCCTCTGGGCTCTCTGTGCTCAAATATCCCCTTCTTATAAGGTCATTAGCCATATTAGATTGGGGGCCCACCCTACTCCAGTGTGACCTCACTTTAACTACTTACATGTTCAGCAATTCAATTTTTGAATAAGGTCTGAGATACTGAGGATGAGGACTTTCACATCAATTTTAGGAACATGCAATTAAACCCATACCCATATCTAGTTAAGAATTTTTTTCTCTCTCCAAATAATTCAGAGTTTCTGTCCCCTAGCTAGACCCTCAGTGATAGCAGAGCTGTGGACTTCAGGGGTCAAAGGAGGACATGACTCATTCTGTCAATGAGGAAAGAGTACAATGACCTGCCATTTGGACCAGGCTTTGGAAGGCGACAAGGATTTTGATAGAGAATATGAGTTAAGGGGATTCCATCATCTCAGAAAACGTCTCAGGGACCAGTGAGCAGTAGGTGAGGCTGTGGCGTGGACTTGATCAAGGATGCAGTCAAGGACACCGAGGTCTCATTTAAGGGATTTCAGTCGCATATGAATGAGTCTGGGCTTTATCCTCTGAGCAGGGGGAGTTATCAAAGGTGTCTGAAGAGGAGCAGGACAGGATTTAATGTGTCAGAGGATGATTACGAGACTGATCGAGGTCATATCTGCAGGGTGGAAACACTATCAGCAAAGATGATTCTGCATTGCTGCTGATGTTCATGCACAGTGGGAGTGAAGAGCCAGCCCAGGATTGAGAATCGTTGGCCCCATCATCTGCTGGTGCATAAGGGACATCTCTGTCCCCTGGCACTCAGATACTTCTATGAATTGATGAGGAAGATGGTTGGCTCAGGGGCAGCAAAACATGATCTTAACCCCACCAATGTTATTGGAAGCTCAGAAACCACATGGAGTGGGACGGTGTGGTGAGAGAAGTCCAATTTGGGAGGACACTAGGAACATTTCTCCTTGTCCTTTAAACAGAACAGCTCCAATTTCCTTGTTTTACATATCAAATTTCCAGATAAGGTTTTGTTTGAACAAAGTTTTTCTTTGCCTAAATGTGAATTGAAAAATCACTGAAGTATATGACTGTTAGAGTTCGATTCTAATGTCTTCAACTGATTTGATGATGCATACACCTCTGATTGTTTGGGAAATACAGCACATTAATTAGCACATCTCCTTTCCAAGGGCAGATTCAGCGGCCATCTGCACATGTGCAGAGTATGTGCCCACATCCCTCATTACAGAAATGTTAAGCATTTGTTTGATTCTTTACGATATATGAAATGTTAAATTAAACAGTAATCTGGAATGACAGAAATTAACAAGGAAAATAATACTTTCGAGTAATGGTAATTACCACTATTATTACTATTAACACTGATGAAAATAATTTATTTGCAAGCCTTCCCTTGGCATCAAAACATTCATGCTGTATCACAAAGTCTGTGTTAATAGTTTCTTCATGGGGGAGGACAAATACGGTGCCTATAAAGTACAATGACGCTCCTCCTGAGTTATATCACAAAACTCATCATAGTCATGTACAGGAGGAATAATTAGATATCACAGGAACAAAACATGTTCCTATCTCCATGGTTTCCTTGCTAGTGCCACACATGCACAATCTGTGAAAAACATCTCATTGATTATCATCTGCGTGCAGCTCCAACTCAATGCCAATTAAGAACTTTTTCTCAATGCCCCTTGGAATCTTCGCTTGGAAATACACTCTGCCATGCTTCCAGTAGTCACGTCAATTTCATCTGTGTAGAGGAAGGACGGGAAGGTGCTCCTGCTGCAGTTCTCTAAACAGTGGCATAGTCTAAATCCTCATCAAGTCTGTAGTCAATTTCTGGGTAGCTTGCCCCTAACTTAACTATGTCACTATGTAACCAGGTTATGTAATTAGTTAAATAAAAGAAGCTGTAGTGAAACACTAGCCTTAACGTTCTTCCCTCCATGATGATTGTAAGTCTTAACAGAAGGGAAATGATTTTGTAGAACTCTGTGTTTGTGTAGGTTTATCTGTCCATGCCTGGGAATATCTATCATGACACAAGGATAAAACCCTACTCCTCGCGACTCATTCTCTAATAAGTGGAAACCCTGCAAGTTTGTAACAGAAATTTGTTTATTTCAAGAATTTGATTGTTGTTGATGTTCTAAAAATTCTTTTTGCCCCTTAAATTACATCTTCCCTTTTTGACATTGAGCTAACCCACCAGAGGAAACCCCCGCTTCTTACAAACTGTATTAGGGTTCTCCAGATAAACAGAGCCAATCGTGTGTGTGTGTATACACACATGCACGCATGCACACACACACACTTATATATAAAAAGCAATTTGTTATGATGAATGGATTCGTGCGATTATGGAAGATAAGAAATCCCATGATTTGTTGGAGACCCACAAAACCCCATGGTATAATTCTAGGCTGAGTCTAAAGGTCTGAGAACCAGGAGAGTCCACGGTGCAAATCCTAGTCCATGGGCAGGAGAAGATCTATGTCTCAGCTCCAGCAGGCAGCCAGGAAGCAAAAGCGTTCATTGTTTTCCTCCTCTGTGTTTGCTCTTTCCGGACCCTCAGGGGATTGGATGACACCTGTCATCTTGGGGTGTGGGGGGGGGGCAATCTACTCCATTGACTCACATGGTGATCTCCCCTAAAACGCCCTTCCAGACACATCCAGCAGTAATGTTTAATCTGGGCACCCTGTGTCCCTGCAAAGTTGACACATAAAAGTAACCATCACCCTGCCTGACACCAGAAAGGTGCATCTGTGAAAATTTCCAAATGCCTGATTACCATGTGTCCTACTTTCTTGCCCAGATGAATCACCTTTCACCCCTCCCCTCCACATCCTCCCATCATCCACCTCAGTGAATGCTTTCTCCTGCAGCCCAGGAGCCTGTTTTACTTCCCTTTTTACATGCTGCCTACATCTGTTTACTATGATCTGCCAAGCCTATCTCAAAAGCATCTTTGAGATCATGTTCATCCCTCCCAAGTTCAAGCCCTTAGAGTTGCCTATCTGGGTTATTACCAGGGCCTTGAATAATCATTATTTTTATCACTCTTTCATTCTCGCGTGCACTAGTCATTTTGCAATCAGAGTTACCTTTATTTTATTACTCTACTAAAATATCCTGAGTTTCATCTTCACAAGAGAATGAAGACTTCATCTCCATACATATCATATGTCTTCATGTTCATGGCTAAAATACATCAAGTGAAGCTTGAAGGAATTAGCAACTGTGGATCTATTCTCCTCATCTCCTAGAAAGTTTATTTTAATCTTGTCCACGTTTTCTTCACATGAGAGGAGTGTTCTTGGTGAAATGTGTGGTTGGCATCTGCCCAGATCTATTGTTTATTCCTATTTATTGCTTTCACTTTTACAACCCACAGTTCTCAGCCCAGAATTGTCTTCTCCTTTCTAAGCCCATCTTTTATTCCTTGGTCTTCAAAATCCAAGTGGAAAGGCCATATATTACCCTAGGATTCTAAAACTTCAGAGTCCCTCAGAAAACATGTTAAAATTCCTGGACCTTGCTCAGAGATATTCGGATTCATTAAGTGCAGGATTGGTTCCAACATCTGAATTTTAAATAAGCACTTGAGGTGATTGGGATTCTGGGGGTTGAAGGAACATATTCCATGAAATAGAGTGCTCGAAGCAGTTTGATCCTGCAACCCAAGGGACCTCATTCCATTCTGCTGCAGACTTCTAAGTCAAGCTTCAGTGGCTGTGGCTCTGACACCCACCGTCACTGATACAACCCCTTCTAAAGTGTTCTTTTATCTCTCTGGTCACTCCTTCTCCATCTAACTTTCCCTTAATTTCTTCTTTGCCTACTTCCTAACTTCCATGCTGTCATACATTCTGTTTTTCCCCTCTCCTCAGCCCAGGCACCCTCCTCGGAAAATCTTATTTGCACTCTGGGGATCCCAAGGTGTGAATAAGTTGTCCATCTTCAATTCTGTCTTCTTCAACATCCATTTATTCAAAGGTTATTTATTGAGCGCCATGATGTTCCTGGTAATGGAGCAGCTCTGGAGATAAATGGTAAATGATGAACAGAAAAGGAGATGTGCTCCTGCTTTCATGGAGATATCAGGCAATATGTTACTGTATGGATATCATCCCAGTGTTTCTCTTCTTTGTCGCCTATTACTGGGATGATCATACATTCCAGTTTACCTGGGACATTCCCAATTTATGCCTTCTGTCCCAATGTCTCTCTGGCTACCATATTTCATTTTTTTAGGTTTTCTTGGGTTGGACAATAAATTATATGGTCACCCTACATGGTAGCATCCTTTTACTTAAACTGACATCGTGAACAGACTGGGCTATTGTCATTATTCCCTAAAAGATCTCTCTGCCTTAAGTCTGGTTCCATTTTCATGTACCTTCCATTATACTTAAATATGATCTTTGTACTTGATAAACTAACCAAATTATTCTCATCAAGATAATAGTTATCAAGTTTTTCTCCATCATCTAGAAAGTACGTCCAAAATTCTAAGCAAAGGCATAAATGATTCCTAATTGTTGATTTGGTTTCTGTCCACTTTTCTGACCTAGCTCCAGTCTATTCCAGGGTAGTCCTTTTCCAGCTGGGCTGCCCAGCACATGGGCTTCTGGGACCTCATGCTATCCGTGCCTTGTCCCTCTTTTTGCCTGAAGGTCATGCTGCCCCTCCCAGCCTGATGGGCTTTGGCCCCTCGCCCACCTTCAGTTACAAGGACCTCCTTCGCCAGCCCCCATGGAGTTTCTATGGTAAAATGTCACCCTCTTGTAGGTAGCCCTGGAAGACATGATGTTTGGCTGGAACCCGAGTTTTTTTCTCTGAACAATATCTTGCCTGTTTTTTTAATGTCAGCACATATAGATTTTCCCCGTGTTTTAAAAACTGTTGCTCAGGATTGCAGGGCATGAGTGTGCTGTAGTTTATCTAATTACCTGCTTCATAAAGGACACTTAAATGGTTTCTAATTAGTAACAAGTGTACGTGGTGCTGCAGGAGCTGGCTGTGCACATGCCTTTTTGTGTCTCTGTGTAAGAGTCTCTCTAGGGTGTTTGCTTTTAAGGCTTCTGATTTGGGAGAGTATCCATAAGCCTTCTTTGTGACTGTCCAGGGGTGAGCTCACCTGAGATCTTCAGGGCATGAACCTCCCTGGGATGGAAACTCCTGGTGTGGGAACTACTGGCCTGTGTGGGGTAGAAGCTGCACCGCAGCACTTGCAATGGGTTGTCCACCCTGCATGTCTCTGTCACTCCCCTGGGAAAGCCTGGCAAAGTATGAAGGGTGCAGGGGCCGAGGGGGCACCTCTGGGAAGCCCCGCCTGGGAAGAAGAGGATAAGCACAGGACACTTTCTGAGGAGGGTGAGATGCTTGCTGCTGGCATTGATCTCCTGGGCCAGCCCCATGGAGGTCAAAGCTGAACACCAAGGCAACAGGAGCCAATGCATGCAATGGGCAATCTGCTGCATGTCTAAATGTCCTGGCCCACAGGCACTTCTGGACATGGACCCCTGTGGAATGGTAGCTCAAGGGACTGTGCACAGGCAGCATGAAGGAGACATGGCCAAGGGAGGAGCCACGAACTTGCCCACAAGGCCACCGAAGACTGGCTGGTAGAAATGCAGAGACTGTACAGTTTGGACAGGTGGAGGCTGGGAGTCTGTGCCCAAGGGAGAGGGGCCATGGGCCTGGCACTCAGTGCCCACCAGGGCCTGAATCAACATAGTAAGACCCCATCTCTCTCTCTCTCTCTCTCTCTCTATATATATATATATATATATATATATATATATAGAGAGAGAGAGAGAGAGAGAGAGAGAGAGAGATCTATCTATCTATCTATCTATCTATCTATCTATCTATCTATCTATCATCTATCTATCCGTGTACATATATATAGACAGATGGGGTCTTACTATGTTGACCAGTTTGGTCTCGAACTCCTGGCCTCAAATGATCCTCCTATCTTGGTCTCCCAAAGTGCTGGAAATAGAAGCATGAGCCACCATGCCCACTCAACCAAAGCCAATTATATTTAGTCTATTCTTGCACTACTATAAAGAAATACCTGAGACTGGGTAATCTATGAACAAAAGAGGCTTAATTGGTTCATGGTTCTACAGGCTGTAGAGGAAGCATGATGTTGGCATCTGCTTGCTTGGGTTCTGGGAAGGCCTTGGGAAACTTACAATCATGGCAGAAGGTGAAGGGGAAGCAGGCAGGTCACAGGACCAGAGCAGGAGCAAGAGAGATTGAGGGGACAGGTGCCACACACTCTTAATCAACCAGATTTCACAATAACTCACTCACTGCTAACACAAGAGTTGCACCAAAGGGATGGTGCCAAACCATTCTTGAGAACTTTGCAGCCATGATCTAATCACCTCCCATCAGGCCCCACTTCCAAGATTGCAGATTACAATTTGGCATGGGGTTTGGGTGCGAACACAAATCCAAACCGTATCACCAATGAATGAGAATGCTACTTTTGTTTGCAGAACAGATGTCCTCTACTTGGTGTCTCCCAATGTCTGCTGAGTGACCAGCAGGGAGGTGTGGAGGAAGCGTTAGTTACCTTGATTACCCATGACCACATGCTTAAAGGGTCAGTTTTGGGGCAAAACAACATTACATCAATAGAGTTTATTTTAGAGCATGTAGTGTATACCGCATTGTCTGCCTGCTTGTTGAATGGCTTTATGTCACAATCTGATTGCATTTCCTTCCAGAAACTTTAGTGAGATTGGAGATGGAATGGGATTGGTGCAAATAAAATCCTAAGGATGAGAAATGGTGGCCAGAGATAGAGCATCCTTTTCAAGGATGGTTGGTGAGTACGGCTGAGACCATCTTTTCCCTCCTGCTTATCCTGACCCAAGTTGGCCCTGGCCTCAGCCATGGCATGAGATTGGTCATCCAATCCCAGCACTCGCCTGGAAATCTTATTACCGAATAAATTAGGTACATCATGGGCAATATACCTTGAAGCTAAAACATGGAAGAACTTGAAATATGTCTTACCTTCATCCAAGTTTCTTTGCCGTTGGCACATATCCTCCTGAGTCTTACTTTAAAATTCACGGAGTCCTATACTCTGGAATTCTTCTTTCAGTATAGTTAGTTACCTAATATTTGTATTTCTTCTGCTCACAAAACACCATCAATAAATAGAAAAGCAAAAAGACGAAATGGGTTATGCTTAAAGCGCTGCCATTTCCTGTGTTTGGTCTTTGGAATAAGATGATTCTGGAGTCACGGGGTCTTCCAGGCATGTCTAAGGGCAGCGGTACCCAGAGTATATTCAGTAAGTTAGGAGGCAAGACCCAGGGGAGAAGACCTAACTACAACGGGACCCCAAATAGAAACTCAGCCGGTCAGTTAACACCACAAGAAACGTAGCAGGGGCTTTACAAAACACTCAAAATAATGTGAAGAATCATTTTTTTTAAATTACCTTTACGTGTGTTGAAAACTGAAAACCTCAATGACTTCCCACTGTGGATTTTTGCACCCAAGTTGTCAAGGGCATGCACAGTTTTCCTTAAGCAGGGTTACATAACAGATCAAAAGGCTGTCGCTGGACAGATATTTATTGAGGGATGACCACAAAGATGGCATGGGGCTGGGCTTTGGATGCAGCATTCAGAAGGCTCAATTATGAAGTTGAAACAGCCTGTTCACTGACTTTGGGGCTTCTGAATTTCCTGAGATGAGCTTTGGCAAGCAGAGTGCCCTGCATAAAACAGCTGCTTCATGAAAGATTGCCAGAGGAAGGGTTGGTTCTATGAGTGTCCTTGAGGCCTGCCAGCCTTCCCCAGAGTTCCTAGAAGCTTCTGTGTGGACGGTCAGGGCCTAGCCTGGTCTCTGCCATTGCCAGAGGCCCAGATGTGTCTGCTTGTGAGGACTGGAGTGCCTGGTTGAGGGCACCTGGGAGGCCGATGTGTCCCTGTGCTTCCTACACACCATCAGCGACACCGAAGCCAGAGGACGCCTCAGCTCAGGGCCCTCAGGAGCAAAGCGGGAAGGGGCTGGGATCCGCATTCTGCAGCTGCTATCACAAATCACCAGGACCTGGGTGGCTTGGAACAACAGAAGTCTGTTCTGTCACGCTTCTGGAAGTCAGAAGTCTGAAATCACGCTGTTGGCAGGTCTACACTGTCTTCGGAGGCTCGAGGGGAGGGTCCTTCTCTTCAAGGTTCTGGTGGCTCCCAGTGTCCCTGGACTTGTGGTCACATCAATATGCTCTCCACCTCCTCAGCTCATGACCTTCTTTGTGTGTGTGTCTTTTCTCCTGTTTCTTGCAAGGACACTTAATAGATTTACGGGCCATCCAGATAATCCGTAATAATTTGTGCATATTGAGATCCTTAAATTAGTTACTACAAAGAGCCTTTTTCCGAATGAGGCCGCATCCACAGGTGCCAGGGCTTGGGCTGTGGATGTACCTTTAGGGGGCATTGTTCAACCCACTATAGGGCTTAACACCTGGAGCTTCTGGCTCTTGTTGGGGAAGGTCTTAGCCAAACTCACAGTCAGTGAGCACATGTGGACAGGACCTTTTCCCACGGCCCATGCAGACCACAGCCTGGGGGCACCCTAGGGAGAGGGGAGGGAGAGAACACCCTGGGTTTCCATGTGATGATGTGAAGATGGTCAGAGTAAGGCCCTAGAAAATTGGCAGCGGCTCCAGCCAGTCCCACATGAGGCAGTGGGATCAGCCCATTGACATCCTGAGCTCTAGCCAGTCCCACATGAGGGTGGTGGGACCAGCCCCTTGACATCCTGAGCTGGGGTCAGTCCCACATGAGGGTGTTGGGACCAGCCCCCCTTCACATCCTGAGATCCAGTTAGTCCCACATGTGGGTGGTGGCACCAACCCCTTGACATCCTGAGCTCCAGGTGTCTGGCAGTTTCTTCCCTCTGCCACTTCCTGGGGAAGCTCCATGAGTTTACTTGTGTCCCATAAATGAGCACCTCCTCTTATTTTTCCAAATACTCTTGTCATTCTGAGACTTGGAGAGAAGTTTTCTTTTACCTCTTTGCTCACCTGTTATGATCTTAGGGAGTTTAATCCTCTCTCCCCTTTTCCTTTCCACACTATAAATCATCCTGTTTTATCTTTGCGTATCATTCTGGAATTCAGTGTTCAGACTGGTGAACTGAAAGGACACCTTTTGATGTGTCTTTTTAGTTCAGCACTGATTCAATGCTGTCCGAATCACAATGGATCAAATTAAAGAGAGCAAAACTGCCAGATTTTAATGGAGTTTAATTAAAGCTACCCTCATTAAGGACAGGAAAGGAAAGCTCCTTCAATTGCTTTTAAAATTCCTTCAATTGCTGTTGCCAGCTTCAAACTTCTCAAATTTTCTACAGTTAATTACACTCCGAGTTTCTAGAGCTGCTTTCATCTGGAATTCTGAGGTCTATTCAAGTTACTTGCAGCCTCCTGCTAAGTCAGGTGCTACCTTCTGTGCTAGATGAAGGTAGGAATCAGAGCCCACTGAATGACAGAGATGTAAACTGATAGCCATATGCAGTGACAGATATTGGCAGAGAGGACCAGGATGTCCAGAGGCGAGGTGATCTGCCACCTTCTGCCTGCTGCAGCACAAGTGGACCCAACACCCCTGATGAAGCCGCTCCCCTGCTGCCTGTCCCTTCCACCTTCTCTGTGAGGTCCTGTCATCAGGGAGGCCCTGCCCACCTGTGATGCAGAGACCACAGCCTCTGTGTTTTAAACCTGCCGGTTTTCTGACTATAGAAGTGAGGTATCCTCATTCATTCTGCTTTCCCGTGGCATTGGTGATAAACACTGTGATCAACTGAGTCTCTAGCACCCAGGATCTAGCGCAAAGCCTGGTGCTGAGTCAGTGAACCATGACCAAATGAGAGGTTACCAGAAAGGATGCTGTCCCTTGCAGGCAGTCTCTGCAGACAATGTCTGTATTCCAGGTGCCAACCGATCTGTCAGCATCTTTACTCCTCAAGAGACTGTCTGCAACTGCCCCAGTGGAATGAGTTCTCCTTCCTGGGGAACTCATTCACTGAATGTTACTGAATGTTAGCTCTTCACTGAATGTTAGATCTCTATTGCAATGCTGCCAAGTCTATGCTGTAGCTCGTTATTTGCAGAACTGTGATTGTGTCAGTTTGGATTCATTCATCTACAAGCAATAAAATATCTGACTAATTGACTAATCAAGGCTTAAACAGAAAAGTAGCTCCATTGTCTCACATAAGAAGCCTGAGGTGTGTAGTTCAGAGTTAGGTGTGGAAGCACTCTGGTGTCATGCATTCGTTCTCAGGCCCTCTTTATTTTCCTTCTCTGTCACTATCAGCTTGTTGGAGTTGCCTTGTGGCTTCAAAATAGCTGCCACAGATCCAAACATCACATCCTCACACAAACTCATTCAAACAGGGAGAAAGACAGGCAGAAGAAAAGGGATTCACTTATATCTGAAAGAACACTCCTTCCTAAGAATCTTCCAGCAGAGTTTGTTCCCAGGGCTGGGCACATTCCCGCCTATGGTGGTCCTTACTCTGATCACACATTCCTAGCCTCTTCTTCTGTGAACGTGGTGGTCATCTCTTCTTCACTCACTTGAGGCTGGATGTGGTCACATGATACTTGGAGCAGTGAAATGCAAACTGAGAAGCATCTCTCAATTCCAAGAGCACCGTTTGGGGCTGGTGCACCAGCAGCAGGTATCCTTTCCTCTGCTCTGATGATCTGGAAGCTTGTGTTCAGAGGAAGCCTCTATCAGCTGGACCCTTGCCTATGAGGGTGAGCAGAGGACCCTGTGCTCCTCGAGGGACACAGGATATTAACAAGAAAGAAACCTTTGCTCCGTGAAGTCACTGTAAGTCCAGGGCTGTTGGTTACTGCAGTGTAGGGTGTCCCATCCTGACTGATTCTCCCTCATCTTTGACTTGATACAACTGCCTGCCTTTGGCAAGGGGAAAGAGACATAGAATGGGCACCTCAGGGGTCTGTCAGACTCTCTTCTCCACAATTATGTCCCCCTCCCCCCAGGGCAGAGAACATGCCTTCTCTTTCTGCCATACTTTGTGCTTGATATAACTCCTGTGCACAAGAGGGTATTCATATATTGTTTTTGGTTTCTTAAAATTTATTTTTAATTGACAAATAATAGTTGTATAAATGTATGGGGTACGATGTGATGTTTTAATATTTGGATACATTGTAGAGTGATTAAAGCTAATTAACATATCCATCAGTTTATATTTTTCTAATGAGAACATTTAAAATATACTGTTAGCAATTTTGAGATATGAAGTACATTATCATTAACCGTAGTCACCATGCTGTGCAATAGATCTCACATTTTCCTGCCTAACTGAGGTTTTGTACCCTTTGGCCAGTATCTCTTTTCCTGCCTAAGTGAGGTTTTGCACCCTTTGGCCAGTATCTCTTTCCCTAGCCTCTGGAAACCACCATTCTACTCTCTACTTGCATGACTTTGACTTTTTTAGATTTGACATATAAGTGTGATCATGCAGTATTAATATTTCTGCACCTAATTTCACACCACATAATTTTACTGACCATAACTCTAGGTTCATTCTTGTTGTTGGAAATGATAGAACATCATTATTTTTAATCGATACATAGCACTCCACTATGTATATATACTACATTTTCTTTATTCATTCATCTGATTAGCGACACTAAAGTTGACTCCATAACTTAGCTGTTGTGCATAGTGCCACAATAAACATGGAGGTGCAGATATCTCTTTGACATGTTGATTTCATTTCCTTTGGATATGTATCCAGTAGTGGGATTGCTGGATTATATGAGAGTTCTATGTTTAATTTTTTAGGAACGTCCATCCACTCTTCTATAATGGCGGTAGCAATTTTATCTTCCCAGAAGTATTGGGTTTCCTTTTCTCCGCATCTTCACTAACATTTGCTGTCTTTTTTCTTTTTGATAATCAGGTATGAGGTTGTAACTCATGGTTCTAATTTGCAAGTCCTTGATAATTATTGATTTCCAACACCTTTTCATATACCTGTTGTTCATTTGTATGTCTCATCTTTTGAGAAAGGTCCATTTGGGCCTTTTGTCCATTTTTAAATTATCTTATCTGTTTTTCTGCAGTTTAGTTGTTTGAGTTTCTTATATCTTTTTGATATTAGCCAGATGTATGGTTGGCAAATTTATTCTCCCAATTGGTAGTTTGTCTCTTCACCCTGTTAATTGTTTCCTCGGCTGTGAAAAAGCTTTTAGTTTGATGTAATCCCTTAGTCTATTTTTACTTCTGTTGCCTGTGCTTTGAGGGTCATATTCAGAAAATCACTGCCAAGACCCACGTCATGAAGCTTTGACTCTACGTTTTCTTCTAACAGTTTTACAATTTCAGAACGTATATGTAAATCTTTCATCCATTTTGAGTTGATTTCTGGATGTGGTGTGAGATAGGGATCCAATGTTATTTTTCTGAGTGCAGATATTAGTATCAAGTTTTTCCAGTTTAATTAAGATCAGCTCTTTTTACTTAGCTCATCACTTTGTGTTTTAAGGGGACAAGGAGAAAAGGTGAATACAGAGAAGAAGGAAAAGTGGAAAGAAAGCCAGGAGTAACTGTTGCAGAATTTCACAGAGACTCAGAGGCATGAGCATGGTGTTACATTCTCCAACAAAGTGAAGAGTTTCTTTCTAATTTCCCCCACCCTAACACCTTGATTCTCTCCCCATGTGATACCTATTATGGACTTGCCTGCCTCTATGCAATAGATGTTTCCATTTTGAAAGACAATGAGACAGTGTGTATAATGAAAGTCGATTAGTTTAAACTAGATTTGGAAGTTTAACATATAAATGAGGGCAATCACGAATATGTTTGAAAAATAAAGAATTACCTCCAATTTATCCTTAAAACATCACTACATTTGCTTAAAGATCTACCTATAGTCAGAATTGGTGCCAGTGACAGAAACAAACAGTTCTTCAAGGAGCAAGAGTCAGCTCCTTGACTCTTGTTGTCACCTGAGATCACTTTGCCCACACTAAGTATGCCCAAGCAGAGACACTCATTCACTGCAGCCAGTTATTGTTGTCCCATTGTTTTCTTTTAGAATTATTCCCTGATGTTAAGAAAGTATGTTTTTCAGGTTAGAACAGAGAAAAAGAGATTTTCCGAGAAAGTGTTCTTTAGGTCGTTCTGTGACGTTTTACACATGCAGTATTTTATATTCTATTGTTCTGGGGGTTTTTGTTTCATTTATTTTGTTTTAGCTTAAGATACAAGATGTGTAATGTGACCCAGTTACCATTCTTGTAGAATCTTGTAGAAATTGGGGGGTAAAACAGACCTTTTGGATGTTAGGCTTTCAAGCTGAACTTTGTGAGAACATAGTTGCGTGAGTTCTGATGTGAAATCCATTTCCAGATAGGGACGGGGCAGAGTTCAGCCCGCTGTCAGATGTGAACAGCATGACAGGAGAGATACCTCCTGGGTTAGGGAAATTGGGGTTCACTTCTGACTGACAGCAGGAAGTTCGTCTATCAGTGGAATGTGCTGGATGATTTGTCATCCATTTATTTATTTTAAAAAGTGGCACCTTCCTCTGCAAATCGTTAAATATGGGGAAAATATGGTCTGTGATTTATACTTTATTTTGCTGGTAATTGGGACTTTGGTGGTTTTCTAAAAATATTGGATAATAGTTTAGGCAAACTCTGTGTCAAAATGAGAATTTCTAAGTGAGATTTGAGGGTCACTACTTTTTTTGAAAGTTCATTTTTTATCAATCATTTATTTGGAGGGATGTTTACTTTCTGTAGGAGGGAGAGGCTGATGGAACAGAGATGAGACGGAAGCCTGACAGGAGAGAGTGCCGGGAGTGTGACAGGGTGGAGGGCTCTGCTTCTGGGGGAGCCACATGCCTTCCTGACATCTGTCTTGGGAGGAGAGGCTGTGCAAGGCAGCTGATGCCTGGGGCAGGATGTCAGTCGGGCACCTTCTCTCCTTCAATTATCCAGCAGCTGATAAAAAATAAAATAAAATGAAGTTTAAAATTTGACATGATTCACTAAGTTAGTCATCACAAGTTTGCATAGAATTCAATTTTGGAGCGGTTGCCTGGCCCTCCTGGGGGGGTGGAATTAGATTGTGCACCCCAGGAAGCACATCTATACTCTCAGCCGCCTGGGCCCCTTGCAAGCTGCAGTTGTGGAGAAAGGACCCACAAGGAGGGAGCGATGCCTTCCACTTCCTAGAGCTTCCAAATGTGTGCCTAGCTGCAAGGTGTAAGGTGGTTACTTCTCAGAGTCCATCAACTTCCATCACTGGGTTTTCGTGTTTGATTGTGTGGCAGCTATTATTAGTTTAACAGGTGAATGTTCCACAGTGTCAGTGTCTACGCTGTTGCTCCCTCGGAACCAGAGTTTCCATGGGACCCGACTCTTTGCAGAGCTGCACTCAGCCAGGAGAGAAAGAGAGCATCTGAAAATAATCCACACATTAAACCACTAGTCAATTAATTTATTCAGCTAGAATGCACGTAACTGGTACCCAAATAGCTTGGAAAGAGTAAGTGCCGAGAGCTGTCTACTCGTCTCCCTGGGTACCATGTACTAGTTCAAATGCCCATTATCTGAATGACACACCACTGGACTGAAATAATTAATGTCATTGATTTTTTCTTTTGGTAAAAATAATTTAGGCACATTTAAGAAAATACAGTAAATTATAAAAGAAGAATAATTCTTTCATTTAGATGTGACCTTAGTCATATCTGTCTTTTCATTAGGCATCGAAATACATCTCCCTCTCTCTCTCTTTCTCTTTTTTATTAGACATGTAAACATAAACATAAACTAAGGGTCATATTCCATGTATTATTTTATATTCAGACTTATTCAATTAAAAGGATATAAGCATTTTCTTGTGTCATTTAATATCCTTAGAAACATGCCATCCTTTTGGAGAAATAATCCATTTAATGATTGCTCTATTTTTGAACACTGAGTAGGTCTGGAATTTTTTATAATTTGAATTAATGATGTTATTGATAATTGTGCACCCTAATCTTTGTCTGAGCCTTCAATTATTTCTTTAGAAAAGATAACTAGAAATACAATTTCTGGGACGAAGTACATATACTTTTAAAAAGGCTTGATAATTGTGGCCAGTTGCATGTCTTAAAATTTATATATAGATGGATGGGTAGAGATAGACAAATAAATCACAGATAGATCATAGATAGATAAATAGATGGATGGACAGACAGGTAGATAATTGATAGATATATGGATGGATAGATGGATGGACAGATGATAGATGGATACATGGATAGATCATAGAAGGATGGATAGATGGATGGATAGATAGGTGATAAATTGATAGATGGATAGGTGATAGATAGATGGATAGATAAATTGATAGATGGATAGGTGATAGATAGATGGATAGATGTTGGATGATATATTGATAGACACTCCATTGGTCTACGAGGGTTTAATTTCTCCATGTGCTCACGAATATTGAGTATTTAATGGAAAAGAAGCAAATGAATGTTGCAAATATATGTCTGATAGGTTTAAAAAGTCACTGGTTTCATTAGTGTGTTTCTTTGACTACAAAATATCTTTTTTTTTTCTTTTTTGTTTTGGTCCAACTCTTTATTCAAAGTTCTGAAACTCTGCTGTCCAATGTGGTAGCCATACAGCACATGTGACTATTAAACTGAAGAGGTGGTAATAAAATCACATTTTAAATGTTTGTCAGTTTGACTGGGCAAATTTCACATGCTCTGAAGCCACACAAGGCTAATGGCTAGGGTACTGGACTGTGGAGCATTTCTGCCAGTGCAGAATGCCTGTTGGATAGTTTTGCTCTAGGATCATGCCTGAGCTGGGGGCCAGGATGTCCCTCCTGGACTAAGCAGACTTTGGCCATTGGCACTGGGTCCCTCTGGACATCAGTGGCAACTGGTGACTGTCATCTCTAAGCAGCCTGTCAGTGGCAAAAATATTCACCTTGTGGTGTTCCGTCCCTGCAGGGATTATCTCCCAGGCTTCGGGCCTTAAGGGTGAGGACTGTGTGGCACACACAGTCTAAGGAAGTGGGCATCACTGGGGAGGTTCCCTCCATCCCAGGCTGACGGACCTTCCTAGGCTCATCTTACGTCATAGTCACCTCAAGAAGTGTTCAGATCTCACTTTCAAATTAAAACACAGAAGTGTTCAGAGCTCACTTTCAAATTAAAACACAGGCCATGCTAACATGGCAGAAATTTCACACAGCAGACCTTTTTTTCTTTGTTTTGAGACGAAGTCTTGTTCTTTTCCCCCAGGCTGGAGTGCAATGGCGTGATCTCGGCTCACCGCAACCTCCGTCTCCCAGGTTCAAGTGATTCTCCTGCCTCAGCCTCCTGTGTAGCTGGGATTACAGGCACCTGCCACCACACCAGCTAATTTTTGTATTTTTCGTAGAGACGGGGGTTTCACTATGTTGGCTAGGCTGGTTTCGAACTCCTGACCTCAGGTGATTCGCCCACCTTGGCCTCCCAAAGTGCTGGGATTACAGGCATGAGCCATCGTGCCTGGCCATAGCATACCATTTTTGAAGGTTCCTGCTACTGTCATTAAAAACACTTTGTGATTCCATTTTCAATAGGCATTGAGGCATGGCAAAAATAAGTTAATTGGAAAAGTTACCGTGTGCTATGATGACACAGTTATTATTGGTGCTTAACTCTTTTTAATATTGGCAGATCATAAGGTTTTCTAGCCCATTCATCTAGTCCTGACCATGGTGGAGTCTTGACCATGGAGGGTTCAGCCACTTTATCAGGTAACACTGTGAAGCTACCGCGGTGGCCGAAGAGCCAAGTTGAGGCTCATGTCTGGGTCATTTTGCTTATTTAAAAAAAGTCTTTATTACAACTTAGCTTTGAGAATATTGATAATCAACATTAAGGTAAAGAATCTCTCAAAGATAAACCACGAAATTGGCCTTTAATGAGAAAATGTTCCATTTCAGCTTTGGAAGATCTGATGGTTTCATTTTCCAATGAACGGTTATGAAACCATCGACGAGGTGTGCATCACTGGGCCAGTTCCAGGTTCCGTTGCATGGCTCCCCTTGGTAAGCAGCAGTGTTTCCACATACCCCCTTTCTCTGCAGCATGCTGTGCGTTTCCTTGGAATGTTTTTCACTGTCCTGAAGTCAATGCATTCGGGTGGAAGGGGCAGCAGATCTTCCTCACATTGTCCTTTGAGGAGCAGGAGGGCAAGTGCCCTTCAGAGATGGTTGGCCGAAAGGCTCAGAGGCAATGGCATAGGGAAAAATAATTGATGTATTTATGACTTGATAAAACGCAAAGAGACTTTGTAATTTTAATGGGAGATCATAGAGTTATTGATCTTCAGTGATTTCTTTAGCATCTGTGCTTTTAACAGAATGTATCCCACCGACCCCCACACCTATAGGTATTTCCTGGGCCCGTGTGAGAGGTGGGCCCAGACAGATGGTGAGAGGCAGTGGCCGTGTGCATCCTGAGGTCACGTTGCACAAAGCTGAGCCCCACCTGGCACCAGGGTGCCATCCAATTGGACCTCTCTTCCTGCTATTCTGGAGACTCCAAATAAAGCAGAAAATAATATTTATGGAAAATGTTTCCTCAGAAATATTGGCCTCTCTGGCAGGTTGGTTTCTCTCCTGATGCTAGTGGGAGAATCGTCTGATGCCTTTTGAGTGAAATTAGATAGTGGACTATATGACAAAGTGGCTTGCAAGGAAAACCCTATTAATTCCTTATTTACAAAGTGCTGTGTGGTGCAGGGGTACATATATATAGGCTCTTTTCCAACACCTGGCCTCGTTGGGGGCCAGTGTCAGGGCAAAAGGGATGAACAGGTCTGTGTCCAACCACCATGCGCCACTGGGTGGGGAAACTATGGTTGGAGCCACCCGTACCCCATTTGGCTCCTTGTTATATGAGATCACATGGACAAATAAGCCACACCATTCCTTGATCTGCTGGGGGTTTTCAGGTTTTACTCCTGAAAAGTCTGAGTTCCAATAGATTCCTCCAACATGAGAAAATCAGGACTGTTGGCCACCCTCTGTATTCTGGCCAGGAAGAACTCGGTTCTTATTGTTTTCCCAAAGGAGTGCCTCTGGTTTGTTTGGTTGGTTGCAACCTGATACTCACAAGATCTTTACCCACTTACCCCCCATAAATTAATGTTGCTTGCACAGAACTCTGGCTTTGAGTCAGGAGGTGGGGACTCTGTCCAGTGGGAGGTTTTGCAAGTCTTAGCACAAGCCCCTGCCAGGGGAAGAGGCCGGTGCCCTTGTTGGGTTTACTGTGGGGAAGCGAGGGCTGAGAGGGGTCTCTGTGGGCTGAGACCAGACAAACACCTAGGATGCCTGCCTCTGGGCTCTTCATCTGGCACTGAGGGAGGCTGCAGGTTTGTTTCTAATCGGGGACTTAAAAGCAGATTCAGTAGCCACCCAGCAGAGAAGGGAACCAGGAAAGAAGGGGAGCAGCATGGCCCAGGGCGAAACTTCCTAATCCCAGCCCTGGGTATCTGAGTCATGGCCCCGAGAGGCGAGCAGGCGGGAAGAAATAGCCTCCTCAGTGTATTTACAAAAAGCCTGAGAACACTCCAAGGAAATGCGCTTCAGATTCTTTATGTTTCATTAAAGGAGAGGAAAGTATTCAATAATTTTATCTGAAATCTGAAGTACCCAGTGAGTAGAATAAATGTTTGGCTTTATTGCTGCCATGTTGAGAGATGTCTTTGATTTCTAGTGCTTGCTAACCTTTTAGTTTTCCTGAGTACAGGTAATTCCATTATAAATTAACAAGGGAAAGTAAACCAACAGTGGGGTTTTAATTGCATATAATTACTTGGTGTGCCAAAGTATTTTACAATTGAGATAATTTGCCTGAAAGTGTTGGTATTTAGTGAATAGAATTTATGGTAATTCCTTTATTTTCCCCCAACTGCCTAGTAATCTTTATAACAAGGGAGTAGAAGCAGAGTAAGAATTCTGAACTGAAACAAAGCTATACATAAAAGTGCTTAAAATGTATCTGTTTGTCTTTGTTTCAATAGGAATCCAAAACAAAGTTAATCTGATCAACAAGGATCAATAGGAAAGTGAGTGAAGATTCACATTTCTTTGAAGCTAGTAAAGGCAAGGAAATAATCCTTCCAAACAATGGAGGCCTTTAATTCGCAGGCTCCAACACTGAAAGCCATTGTGAAGTGGGATTTGCTGGGTTTCAGGTTTTAATTTGAACTGTACAAGCAGGTGCAGGGATGGAGGCAGAACTTCTGTTATTACACTGTTGCCACTCCTGGCAAATGAAATTCCTCATCCATCCTGCTTTATGCATTTGATAACAGAGATACTGCCAATGCTGGCCTTCTTTTTACTTGATTTTGCTCCCCAGGTACTTCTCATACCTCGGCACTTTATTTCTCCTAAGAGGAAGAAATAAAAATCAGTGAAGGCAAGTTCAGTGTCAAATGTGAAAAACAAAAATCCGTTGAAAAAAAATTCTAACCATATAACTATGTGGACGGAAACATTCTAGGAGCAACTGGAGTAGAAAATGCCTATTTCTAAAGCAAAGGCCTCTGACTTCACCCCTGGTTGGTGCCCAGGTGATCCAGCACTTGGAGGGGTGCCCCTGCCCCCTACCCAGCCCGCCTCTCCAGCAGACTCTGGAAGGGTAGCGTTAGTTCTTTAACAGCTCTCCTGTCAAGAGTGGGAAAAAACACAGTCACCTCCACTTCTCTCTGTTTCTTTTTGCATCATGGGCAGAATTTGAGAACAACAACATCAGGAGAAAAAGTCCACGACAACAACAAAGTGTGTGGGTATCCATTTCTGTTGGCCAATCACTATTCAGGCACATCCCCCAAGATGCTTCCTGGAGGGTCCTTGAGTTTCAGTTTATTGGAGTTTAGGGAAGGCAGAGAGGGTAAGGTAAGGAGTGAGAGGTTTCCGTGGGCAGGTTCACTCTTGGCACAGCTGTGCTGGTCTTCACTTCCTTCCCTGAGAGAAATCAGATCCCTTGCAGTGAAGCTTTGCCTGGCAACATTGTGTATATATTTTTCATCTCAGTCTTGAGCACCATATGCCTTCTCATTCTTGTACCCAGGGGTGGCAGACAACTAGTAGAGACACAGCTCCTGTATCATTACCTACATGAATAAATAGATAAATGAGAATTTTCTTTTTGCAATGTCCTCCTGACCACGACCTCCTGGTCAGTGAGGTGTGGTAAGACATGAATACTCTCTGCCATTCTAGCCATAAAAATATGAATAGGAAAATTGGAAAAAGAGCCCCCTCTTCAATCAATGGTGCTTGGAAAATTGGATAGCCACATGCAGAAGAATGAAACTGGATTCCTGTCCCTCACCATATAAAAAAGTCAACTCAAAATTAATAAAAAACTTAAATATAAGGCCGAAAACTATAAAAATGTTAGAAGAAAATATAGAATAAACTCTCCTGGACATTGGTCTAGACAAAGAACTTAGACTAAGACCTGAAAAGCCCAGGAAACAAAACCAAAAATATGCAAATGGGATTTATTTAAACAAAAATGTGTCTGCATAGCAAAAGAAATAATCAACAGAGTGGAGAGACACCCCGCAGAATGGGAGAAAATATTTGCAAAGTATACATCAATGGGGGACTAATATCCAGAATATGCAAGGAACTGAAACAACTCAACAAGGAAAACAAACAAACAATCTCATTAAAAAGTGGGCAAAGGACATGAATAGACATTTCTCTAAAGAAGACATACAAATGGCCAATATGTATGTGAAAAGAAATGCTCAACATTACTAATCATCAGAGAAGTACAAATTAGAACCAGAAAGAGCTTACCCCAGTCAAAATGGCTATTAATAAAGAGACAAACAGTAGCAGATGTTGACAAGGATGCAGAGAAAAGGGAACTCATACATGCTGTTAACAGGAATGTAAACTAGTACAACCTCTATGGAAAACAGAATGGAGATTTCTCAAAAACGAAAAAGAAAATTATCATCTGATCTAGGAATCCTAGTACATGATATTTACGCAAGGGAAAATAAATCAGTATATCTATAGGATATTGGCACTTACATGTTTATTACAGCACTATTCACAATAGCAAATATATAAAATCACCTAAATGGCCATTGCCAGGCAAAGAGATAGAGAAAATGTGGTATATATTCACAATGGCATACCATTCACCCACAAAAATGAATAAAATCATGTATTTTTCAGACATCTGGATGGAAATGGAGGTGATTATCTTAAGTGAAATAAGGCAGGCAAAAAAGACAAATATCGTGTGTTCTCACTTATATGTAAGAACTAAAAACTTCGATCACATGGAGATAGAGAGTAGGAAGATAGACAACAGAGACTGGAAATGGTGAGTGGGTGAGTATTAGTCCATTTTCACACTGCTATGAAGATATTACCTGAGACTGGGTGATTTATAAACAAAAGAGGTTTAATTGACTCACAGTTCCCCATGGTTGGAGAGGCCTCAGGAAACTTACAATCATTGGGAAAGGCAAAGGGAAAGCAAGACATGTCTTACATGGTAGCAGGAGAGAGAGAGAGCCAGCAGGCAGAAGCACCAGACACTTATCAAATAACCAGATCTCCTGAGAACTCATTCACTGTCATGAGAACAGCAAGGGGGAAATTCATCCCCATAATCCAATCACCTCTCACCAGGTTCCTCCATCAGCATGTGGGGATTAAAATTTGAGATGAGATTTGGGTGAGGACACAGAGCCAAATCATATCATGGCAGGAGAAGGGAAGGTGGAGAAGTGGGTGGCAAAGACATGGAATCAACCTAAATGTCCATCAGTCACAGACTGGATTAAAAAAATGTGGTACATATACACTATGGAATACTATGCAGCCACAAAAAAATACCAAGATTATGTCCCTTGCAAGGACATGGATGGAGCAAGAAGCCATTATTTTTATCAAACTAATGCAGCAACAGAAAACAAAATGCTGCATGTTCTCACTTATCAGTGGGAGCTGAATGATGAAAATACATGGACACATGGTGGGAAAAAACACACACTGGGACCTGTTGGAGGGTAGGGAGTGGGAAGAGGGAGGGCATCAGGAAGAATAGCTAATGGATACTGGGCTTAATACCTAGGTGACAGGATGATCCGTGCAGCGAACCACGATGACACACATTTACCTATATAACAAACCTGCACATCCTGCACATGTGCCCCTGAACTTAAATAAGTTGGAAATTAAAAAATAATCATATGAACATTAAAAAAAGTACAAACATATTGCAAGATAGAAGGAATAAACTCAATGTTTGATAGCAGAGGGGGGTGACTATATTTAACAAAATGTGTTATACTTGGGTGATGGAGACTGTAAATACCCTGACTTGATCACAAAACATTTAATACATGTAACAAAATTTCACATGAACCCCATAAATTTGTACAAATAAAAAATATGAATAGGAAAAGTGGAGATATGGAGGCTTCCCCTACCTCTGGGAATGACTTCCCATTAAAATAGTTTATTATCTCCTCCTTTTCACAATTACAATTTGCTAATGACTACCATGAGTGGGGCCCCATGCTGGGATCTGGGAATGCGGGAGGGGGCAAGAGGTTGTTCTCAAGAGCTCAGAGCACAGAAAGCAACAATGCCCAAGCCATGCCAGAGATGTGGGGAGGGAGGCAGGTGTGGATGCTGCTGTGAGGTCCTCAGAGCTCAGCTGACTTAGCTTCACTAAGGGCAGCTCAAAAGTGGAGGGTGAGGAGCTGATACAGTGGCATTATAAATGCAGCCATTAGGTGACTGTGAAGGACTTTGAGGTTGGAAACCTTCATGCAGAAGGCCTTTGGAAATGGAGGGAAGTGAGAATTGGCCTATAGATTCTGTGATTCTGTGCTGAGAGGAGCTGAGCCCAGTGTTGTGGGAGTGGAGGCTCTGGGAAGATGGGATGGGCCTGGCCCTGCAGGACATGGTATCAGGCTGAGGAGTTCAATCCACATCCCAAGAACTGCAAAGAGCTCTTAAGACTGTCTCAGCCTGGGGCAGTAGTGATAAAGTTTCCAAATAGTCATTAGGATAGTGACATGAAGGGTGGGTTTAGAAGAGGAAGGAGTTGAGGCAGAAGCTGTTCCGATGGGAGATGCCCGAGAGGATAAGGCTCAAGGTCTTCTTTACCATGTTGTAACTTTGAACTTGGGTAGATTACATACGTCTTTTTTGAATCATGTTTTACTAAAAATGGAAATTAAAAAATAACTTTTCAGTTCTGATAATTGAGAGAGCTACTGTATATAATAAAGTGGTTAATAGATGTGCCTCAAGATGTTGACTTAACATTGTTTTTTCTTCTCCTGTTGCTTAGTCTAGTAGGTGGAAAAACACAGCTCTGAAAAACCTCAGGAAAATCATGGCTAGAGGTGAGTATGTTGACTAAATAGGATGAATGAGACAGGATGACACCAATTGCCAATGTCGTTTTCTGTTTATTTTTTCTTGACATAACCTAGGAAGGTGCTTGCTTTCTAAGCATGGACTAGCCAATGGGCGACGATTAGTTTTTTGGTGATGACCGTGGTGTGACCTAAACAGAAGTGGGGAGGAGTGATATGCTCAAAAACACCACTGCAAGGCTGAGCTACTTGAATGACTGCTGCCAACGACTGTGACTGAGTTTTGCTGTGAAGACCACTGTCTGTCTCTGTATTCCTAATCCTTCAAACAACCCTGTCTGCCACTGTGTGCATGATTTCCCAGTGTGCAATCTCTGTACACATCATTTTGCCATTGTGTAGCCTGTTCTTCCCAAATGGTACAATCATGCAAAGTAGCACCCACTTCTGATACTTGGTGGTAGTTAAAAGAGAGTGTATCTTGATATTAGAGGTAAAACCTGGTCTTAAAATAATGCTAAAATAATGCCTTTATTAAGCCCTCACTCTCAAGAGAAACAGGACAAAGCACTTGTCATAGTTTTACCCTTTTATTTCCCTCAGCATCTTATGAGCTATTTTATTATCCTTAGTTTAAGAACAAGGAAACTAGGATTCAGGAAGTTGAAAAACTTGTCCAGGAGTTTCATAGCAAATAGGTAGAAAAGCCAGTATTTCAACAGGGGGCTTGACTCCAGAGTCCTTACTTAAATATTATGTTGCCTGCCACTGTGTGCATGATTTCCCAGTGTGCAATCTCTGTACACATCATTTTGCCATTGTGTAGCCTGTTCTTCCTAAATGGTACAATCATGCGAAGTAGCACCCACTTCTAGGGGAAAAGGAAAAAAAAATCAAGATTTTTTTGAGCAGCTCTAAATAGTTAGTATTCCTGAAAATGGCCAGTATATCTAATGTTTCAAAATGGAAATGCAGATCTCTCCCCATCAGGGTTTTACCATTCAGTATTTTATCCCACACCTAATGTTTATTGCAAGACCTTTCTCTCAGTCTGCCATTTGCTTAAGTTTGGTGGCTGTGTGGTCCTCTCAAGTTTCCTTATTATAGGAGCATCACTGAGTGTGCCTTATGACAGCAGATCTCTGTGAGTTCTTGGTCTATGTTTTTTGTGGAGGCTTCTGTCCTCCAGATGTCTTAGCTCAGCAACTAAGTTGGGGCTCAAAAAATAGAAGTTAAAATAGCTCTTTAAGTTTCCGGTGGGTAAAGCTTTCTTTAGGCAGCATAGTATGTGGGATGCTTCCTAAACAGAACTCACCTCCTTTTGCTTCTGCTCATGTTCTGTTTGGCACATATGATTTTTAATTGTAGCCATTGATAAAGAACACGTTAAGAATGACAAGTCAAGCATTGCACTATTGCCTTGTGTTAGTTCTTTTATTAACTCCACCAAGATTTAAGTGAGATTTGCCAGCTCCTCAATTTCATTATCTCCTTTGCACCTTGGCTTACCCCATTAGCAACTTCAAGACAACAGTTTTACCTTTTCAGTTCTCACTTTTTGGGCTGTTCAAAGTATCACACCTGTCTCAGCTCACCTGGCCAGACTTCAGTTTGTACAATAACCTAAAAACTTTTTCCCTTGAGGCTTTTATCCTTGTCTCAATTGTCATTAGATGCTTTCCCTTGGAGTGCCTCTGAATTGAATGATCCCTGCCGGCTGTGACCTGGTGAAGACATCTGTGCCTTCAATGGCCACCTCTTGTAGCAGCACCTCTGTTGATTTGATGGGCTCTGAATCACAAGCCTTGCTGCTTGTTCCACATGTAGTTATTGGATCTTCTGTTAAACCTTTTAATCTTTCTCTCTTTATAGTTGCCTCTGCCATTTTACATTTTCATTTGAGGCTAATCAGCTATTGTTTGTGCTGTGATCTTTCTCTAAATAGGAGTTGCTTTGTGGGGCTGAGCCACTGCCTTGCTCATTCACACAGGCAAGCTTTCTTTCTCCTGTCCCTTGGGGTTTGTCTTTCAAACTCTCTGGGCATCCCATGCAACATCCCAGTGTTTCCATGGAGTCTCCAAACTGACTTCATATTTTTTTAAGTTTTTTTTTTTTAACTTTTCTACTCAATGGGCTGTTAAATATTTTCTTCCAAGTTTTAAGTCCACCCTTTTGAAATTCTTTGTTTCTGTATTATCTCCAAGGAAATCCCCAAGTGCTTAAAATATCAAACCTGCTTGTGCAGTGACCATTGATCCTTGTGGGATGCCCTGGGTCTTCCCAACTCACTTCCTGGGCCGGAGAGCCTGAATGCCATTTGAAGAGTAAGCTATGCATTAGATTATTTTACAAATCAGAATAATGGGTTGTTTTCTTAGTGCTCTTGTGAGCACAGTGGTAGATTCTTTCCAGATTGGCTGAATTCCAGGAAACTGCATGAAAAGGACTGTAGTGTCTCTGCTTGCCTTCTCTCCAGATGCCACATCCCTGGATAAATGAGCTGGAGCCCACAGGACAGCCTGGACTCCATGTGGTAGACCTAGAAATAGCTACCACTTCTCTGAGCTAATGCATGTAAGAAGCCAACCCAAATAGCTGGAGTGTGTTAGACCATGCGGGCAGCTCAGCTGTTAGATGGAGCAGGCATATTTCCCACAAGGGACTCCATGAGGGCAAGAGAACTGGTGGTCCCATCTGAGACCCACTGTAGCCCTGACCTTCAAATCAGGGCTGTAGAAGAAGCACCCATGACAGTGGAAGTTCTTCTTTCTGAATCATAGTTTGCAATTGACATGTTCCAAACTCTCTGTTCAGTATGAATGAAAGACTTTCATACTTTCCCAAAAATGACTTAGCCCCTGCTCTCTCATATTTTATCTAACATGGTGAAGGTCAGCCTAGCACTGTTATCCTTAAGCACTGGGCAAAATATCCCAGCTCCGATTGATTTTCACTCTATTCTAAGGTGATATGCCTTGTGGAGAAACTCAGGGAGTTTATTTAAGTAACATGTGCATTATAGTGCAGCCATATGAAAAGAATGACAGTCCTTGGGAACTTAAAGCTTTAATTCTGCATCTTTAATAACCTGCCTAGGATCAGATTTTAGTTTTGTGGCAAGCTCCTGCTGAGTGATTACTCTGAGTGAGGTTTGTTATTAGATCCAAGGGAAATAGAGATAGGAATGAAGCCAGTGTCTTATGCTGTTGAAATTCCTCCTAATAGAGGCAATTGAACACAACAACTCTTATCGCAGAAAACGTTCCTCCACGTTCAGAGTACTGCATACGCTCAGCTCCTCCAAGCTCCATGAGGGGCTCCAGAAGTGTATTCACGTGGTCTTATGTTCTTAAAAATGTGCAAAAGTGAGATATTTTAACCACAGTCAGTCAGATAAGTTTATTGTAGTGGCATACAGAGTAGTTTCATTGCTTAAAATCCCTATTCATCCCTCTTTTTCCCTAATCCCTTTTTATTGTCTTCATACGTTTACCTTTTCCAGAATGTTGTATAGTTGGAATCATACAATATGTATCATTTTCAAATTGACTTCTTTCACTTAGTAATTTATATTTAAGCTTCCTCCATGTCTGTTTATGCCTTGATAGCCCATCTCTTTTTTTTTTTTGTAAATATTCCATTATCTAAATATCTCATGATCTGGATGTACCATGGTTTATTGATCTATTTGCCTGTTGAAGGACATCTTGGTTGCTTCTAAGTTTTGGTAATTATGTATTAAGCTGCTATAAACATCCATGTGTAGGTTTTTGTGTATACATAAGTTTTCAAATCCACTGGGTAAACATCAAGGAGTGTGACTGATGGACCATATAATAAAAGTATGTTTAGTTTTGTGAGAAGATGCCAAATTCTTCTCCAAAATGGCTGTATCATTTTGCATTTACACAAGCAATAATTGACAGTTCCTGTATTTCTCCATTTTCATTAGCATTCTGTCTTGCCAGTGTTCTGAATTTTGATCATTGTATTAGATGTGTGGTAGTATCTAGTTATTTTATTTTGCATTTCCCTGATAACCTATTATGTTTAAGATCTTTTCATATGCTTATTTGCCATCTACTTATCTTCTTTGGTGACATGCCTGTTAAGGTCTTTGGCCCATTTTTTAATCAGGTTGTTTCCACATTGTTGAATTTTAAGGATTCTTTATATATTTTTGATGAGTTATTTATCAGAATGTCTTTAATAAATATTTCCTCCAAGTCTGTGACTTGTCTTTTTACTCTTTTGACATTGTCTTTTACAGAACAGAAAATTTTAAGTATAATGAAGTCCAGCTAATAAGTTCTTTGTTTTCATGGATCACACCTTTGGTGATGTATTTGAAAAGGCATTCACATGCATCAACATTTGTTGAAAAGACTCTACATTTTATTGTCTTGAGTGCTTTGTCAAATATTAGTTGACTACATTCATTTGGGTTTATTTCTAGACTCCCCATTCTGCTCCACTGATCTATTTATTATTTTGCCAGTATCACACTATCTTGATTACTGTTGCCTTATAGTGTCTTGAAGTTGGATTGTATTAGTCCTCCAACTTTATTTCTGTCTTCAATATTGTGCTGGCTATTTTGGATGTTTTGCCTCTCCATAAAACCTTCAGAATCAGGTTGGTAATATTCACAAAATAATTGGCTAGAATTTTTACTGGGATTGCATTGAATCTGTAAATTATTTGAAAAGAACTGACATCTGGACAATATCAAGTCTTTCTATTTATGATTGTGGAATTTGTCTGCAGTTATTTTGCTTTTCTTTGATTTTTTTCAACAGTTTTGTAGTTCTCTTCATAAGGATTTTGTATATGTTTTGTTAGATTTATTCCTAAATATTTTCCTTTTTTAGTGCCAATGCCAATGGCATTATGTTTTTAATTTAATTTGCCAATGAAAATTTTTACTTGTTCATTTCTGATATATAGGAAAGCAATTGACTTTTGCATATTAACCTCATATCCTGCTATCTTGCTATAGTTTACTTATTAGTTCCAGTTTTTTTGTTGACTTTTTCTGAATTTCTACATAGATAATTACATCATCTGTGAATGAAGGCAATTTTATTTCTTCCTTTTCAATCTGTGTATTTTTTATTTTCTTCTCTTGGCATATTGCATTTACTAGTACAATATTGAAAAGGAGTCATGAGAGAAGAAATGTTTGCCTCATTCCTGATCTTAGTGGAAAAGCTCCTAGTTTCTCACCATTAAGTATGATATTAGCTGTAGGGTTTTTGTTAATATACTTTATTAAATTGAAGAAATTAAACTTCTAATCCCAGTTTATTCAAACTTTTTTATTATAAAATTTAATGGGTGTTGGATTTTGTCAAATGCCTTTTCTACATCTGTTCATATGATAAAGTGATTTTTTTTTTCTTATCTAGGCTGTAAATGTGATAGATTAAATTAATTTATTTTCAAATGTTGATCCAGCCTTGAATTCCTGGTCATTCCTGAGCTACATCACACTTAGTCATGGTATATAACTATTTTAATACATTGTTGGATTCAACTTGCTAATATTTTGTTGAGGATTTTTTCCAGCTATATTTATAAGAGATATCACTCTGTGGTTTCTTTACTTGTCATATTTTTAGATGGTTTTAATATTAGGACAATGCTTGCTTCACAGCATAGGTTAGGAAGTAATCCCTGTACTTCTATTTTATAGAGGAGATTGTGAAGAATTGATATAATTTCTTTTTTAAATGTTGGTGGAATTCACTGGTGAACCCATCTGGGCCTAGTGCTTTCTGTTTGCAAGGTTATTAATTATGGATTCAATTATACATATAGTCAGCCTTCTTTGGGATCTGTATCTGCAGATTCAACCAATTACAGATCATAAATATTTGAAAAACCAATAAAATCCACAACAATAAAAATAATAAAATTTTTAAAAATATTATATAGCATAACAATTATTTAACTATTATTTACATTGTATCAGGTATTATAAATAGTCTAGAAATTATTTAAAGTGTATGGGAGAATCTGTGTATATATATATATACAGTTGTTCCTCAGTCTCCTTGGGTAATTGGTTCCAGGAACCCCTACAGATACCAAAATTATATAAAACGGAATTGAGCATCCATGAATTTTAGAGCTAGAGCAGAAATCATTGAAATTGAAAACAGAAAACCAAATTTTAAATAATGGATAAAAATATAAACATATAGTTATATATTATATATAAATTTATATTTTATAAAAATATAAATATAGTTTTATACAATTTTGTATAATGGAATTGAGCATCCATGAATTTTGTTACCTGTGGGAAGTTGTGGAACCAATTGTTCAAGGAGACTGTGGAACAACTGTATTTATACACAGATTGTCTACTTTTTCTTCTGTGAATTTTGGCAGATTGTGCCTTCCAAGGAATTGGTTCATTTTGTCTAGGTTAGCAAATGTGTATGGTATTTGCGGTGATGTGCTCTCTTTAATTTTTGATAGCAGTTAATTTTCTTTTCTTTTCTTTCTCTTAGTTATCTTGTATAGAGGCTTGTTGGTTTTCCTGATCTTTTCAAAGAAACAACTTTTCTTGTAGTTGATGATACTTTCTATTGATTTCTTGTTTTCAATTTCAATGATTTCTGCTCTAGCTCTAATTATTTCTTTTATTCTGCTCTCTTCAGATATAATTTGCTCTTTGTTTTCTAGTTTTCTAAAGTGGAAACTTTGATTATTGATTTTAGCTCTTTATTTTTTCTAATATATGCCTTCAGTGCTATAAATCTCACTTTATACACTGCTTTTATTGTATCTAGAAAATTTTGATAAATTGTGTCATATTTTCATTTTTAAAAATTTTTAAAAAGTTTCCTTTGAGATTTTTAAATTTGACTCCTGTGTTATTTAGAAGTGTCTCCAGGTATTTTGAGATTTTCCATTTTCTTTCTGTTATTTTCTTTTAGTGTAATTTCATTGCTATCTGAGAACAGACATTGTATGTTTTTTTTTAGTTTGTTAAGATGTGTTTTCTGAACCCAGAATGTGATGTATTTTGGTAAATTTTCCATAAGAGCTTGAGAAGAATGTATATTTTGGTGTTGTTTGGTGAAGTAGTCTATAGTTGTCAATGAAATCCCGTTGATTGATGTGCTGTTGAGTTTAAGGCTGTTCTTACTGATTTTCTCTGTGCTGGATCTGTCCATTCTGATACAAGCATGTTGAAATCTGTAACTATGGTAGTGGATTTGTGAATTTATTCTTGCAGTTTAGTTTTTCACTCAAGTAGTTTGATGCTCTCTTGCTAAGCACATGTATGCAGAAGATTGTTATGTCTTCTTGGAGTATTAAACATTTTTATTATGTAATGGCATTTGTTTATGATAATTTTCATATCTATAAATTCTGTTCTATCTGAAATTTGTATAGCTAATTCCACTTTCTTCTGCCTTATATTAGAATAGTATATATTTCTCCAATCATTTATTATTTATTTATTTATTTATTTGTGTGTGTGTGTGTGTTGTGGCAGTGGATAAGTCAGCTTTTATTGTAAAAGTGTTTACGGAGAACTTCAGTTCTTTTTTAAAAAAATTCCTAAATTTTATTTAAGTTCAGGGGTACATGTGCAGGATGTGCAGGCTTGTTACATAACTAAATGTAGGCCATGGTCCTTTGCTGCACAGATCAGCCCATCACCTAGGTGTTAAGCCCAGCATTCATTAGCTATTCATCTTTATCCTCTCCCTCCTCTCAGGCCCCGCCCTCCAACAGGCCCAATGTGTGTTGTCTTCTTCCCATGTGTTTATCAGTTCTCATCATTCAACTCCCACATATAAATGAGAACATGCGGCATTTGGTTTTCTGTTCCTGAGTTAGTTTGCTAAGGATAATGGCCTCCAGCTCCATTCATGTCTCTGAAAAGGACATGATCTCATTCCTTATTATGGCTGCATAGTATTCGATTGTGTATATACATACATATATCATATTTTCTTTATCCAGTATACTATTGATGGACATTTAGGTTGATTCCTTGTCTTTGCTATTGTGAATAATGCTGCAATGGACATACAAATGCATCTGTCCTTATAATAGAAAGATTTACTTTTCTTGGAGTGTATACCCAGTAATGGGATTGCTGGGTCAAATGGTATTTCTGCATCTAGGACTTTCAGGAATCATCACGCTGTCTTCACAACAGTTGAACTAATTTACACTCTCACCAACAGAGTAAAAGCATTCCTTTTTCTCCACAGCCTCACCAGTATCTGTTGTTTTTTGACCTTTTACTAATAGCCATTCTGACGGGTGTGAGATGGCATCTCATTGTGGTTTTAATTTGCATTTCTCTAATGATCAGTGGTGTTGAGCTTTTATTCATATGTTTGTTTGTTGGTTGCATGTATGTCTTCTTTTGAGAAGTGTCTGTTCATGTCCTATACCCACTTTTTAATGGGGTTGCTTGTTTTTTTCTTGTAAATGTTTTTAACTTCCTTATGGACACTGGGTATTAGACTTTTGTCAGACAGATAGTTTGCAAAATATTGTCCCATTCTGTAGCTTGTCCGTTTACTGTGTTGATAGTTTCTCTTGCTGTGTGGAAGCTCTTTAGTTTAATTAGATCCCATTTGTCATTTTTTTATTTCGTTGCAATTGCTTTTGACATTTTCATCATGAAATCTTTGCCTGTGCCTATATCCTGAATGGTTTTACCTAGGATTTCTTCTGGGATTCTTAGTTTTGGGTTTTAAATTTAAGTTTTTAATCCATCTTGAGTTGATTTTTGTATGTGGTGTAAGGAAGGGGTCCTGTTTCAATTTCACACACATGGATAGCCAGTTCTCCCAGTGCCATTTATTAAATAGGGAATCTGGCTAGGCATGGTGGCTCATGCCAGGCAGGATTCCGTATTTAATAAATCCCAGCACTTTGGGAGGCAGAGGTGGATGGATCACTTCTGGTCAAGAGTTCAAGACCAGCCTGGCCAACATGGTGAAACCCCATCTCTACTAAAAATAAAAAAATTAGCCAGGCATGGTGGTGGGCACCTTTAATCCCAGCTACTTCGGAGGCTGAGGCAGGAGAATCACTTGAACCTGGGGGCGGAGGTTGCAGTGAGCCAAGATTGCACCACTGTACTCCAGCCTGGGCAACAGGGAGAGGCTCTGTCTCAAAAACAATAAATAATAAATAAAAAATAAATATGGAATCCTTTTCTCATTGCTTGCTTATGTCAGGTTTGTTGAAAATCAGATGGTTGCAGGTGTGCAGTTTTATTTCTGGGTTCTCTATTCTGTTTAATTGGTCTAGGTGTCTGTTTTGGTACAAGTGCCATCCTGTTTTGGTTACAGTAGCCCTGTAGTATAGTTTGAAGTCAGGTAGCATGATGCCTCCAGCTTTGCTCTTTTTCCTTAGGATTGCTTTGGTTATGTGGGCTCTTTTTGTTGGTTCTATTGAACTTTAACATTTTTTCCCTCATTCTGTGAAGAATTTCAATAGTAGTTTAATAGGAATAGCTTTGAATCTATAAATTACTTTGGACAGTATGGCCATTTTCATGATATTGAGTCTTTCTATTCATGAGCATGGAATGTTTTTCCATTTGTTTGTATCATCTCTGATTTCTTTGAGCAGTGTTTTGTAGTTCTTTGAAGAGGTCCTTCACTTCCCTTGTTAGCTGTATTTTTTTTTCTTTTTCTTTTCTTTTTTTTTTTTTTTGAAATGAAGTTTTGCTCTTCTTGCCTAGGCTGAAGTGTAATGATGCGATCTCAGCTCACTGTAACCTCCACCACCCAGGTTCAAGCTATTCTGTTGCCTCAGCCTCCCGAGTAGCTGGGATTACAGGTGCGTGCCACTAAGCCCAGCTAATTTTGTATATTTTTAGTAGAGATGGGGTTTCACCATGTTGGCCAGGCTGGTCTCGGGTTCCTGACCTCAGGTGATCCACCAGCCTTGGCCTCCCAAAGTACTGGGATTATAGGCATGAGCCACCGTGCCCAGCCATTCCTAGGTTTTTAAGTTCTTTTTGTGGCAATTGTGAGTGGGAGTACATTAGTGATTTGGTTCTTGGCTCGCCTGCTCTTGGTGTACAGGAATGCTAGTGACTTTTGCACATTTATTTTGAATCTGGAGAGTTTGATAAAGTTGCTCATTAGCATAAGAAGCTTTTGGGCTGAGACAATTGGGATTTCTAGATATAAAATCAAGTCATCTGCAAGCAAAGGTAGCTTGACTTCTTTTCTTCCTATTTGAATACACTTTATTTTTTTCTCTTGCCTGATTGCCCAGGCCAGAACTTCCAATACTATGTTAAAGAGGAATGGTGAAAAAGGACAACCTTGTCTTGTGGTGATTTTCAAGGGGAGTGCTTCCAGTTTTTGCTCATTCAATATGATATCGGCTGTGGGTTTATCATATATGGCTCTTAATCTTCTGAGGTATGTTTCTTCAATACCTAGTTTTTTGGGGGAGAGCTTAACATGAAGTGATATTTAATTTTATCAAAGGCCTTTTCTGCATCTACTGAGATAATCATGGTCTTTTGATAATTATTTTGTCTTTGGTTCTATTTATATGATGAATCTCATTTATTAATTTGTATATATGAACCAGCCTTGCATCCTGGGGGTGAAGCCTACTTGATGGTGGCAAATAAGCTTTTTGACCTGCTGCTGTATTCGGTTTGCCAGTATTTTGTTGAGGATTTTTGTGTCAATGTTCATCAAAGATATTGTGCTGAAGTTTTTTGTTGTTGTTGTATCTCTGTCAGGTTTTGGTATCAGGATGATGCTAGCCTTGTAGAATGAGTTTGGGAGGAATTATTCCTTTTCAATTTTTTGGAATAGTTTCAATAGAAATGGTACCAGCTCTTCTTTGTACCTCTGGTAGAATGCAGCTGTAAATCTATCTGGTCCTGGGTTTTTTTTTGTTGTTGTTGGTAGTCTATTTATTACTGATTCAATTTCAGAACTCGTTATTGGTCTACTCAGGAATTCAGTTCTTTCCTGGTTCAGTCTTCGGTGGGTGTATGTGTCCAGAAATTTATTCATTTCTTCTAGATTTTCTAGTTGATGTGCATAGAGGTGTTTATAGTATTCTCTGATGATTGTATTTCTTTGGGGTCAGTGTTAATATCCCCCTTATCATTTCTGATTGTCCAACCTTTTTTTTTTTTTTTTCCTGAGACGACATTTGTTGCCCAGGCTGGAGTGCAATGGTGTGATCTCGGCTCGCTGCAACCTCCGCCTGCCGGGTTCAAACGATTCTCCTGCCTCAGCCTCCTGAGTAGCTGGGATTACAGGTACATGTCACTATGACTGGCTAATTTTTGTATTTTTAGTGGAGACAGGGCTTCACTATGTTGGCCAGGCTGGTCTTGAACTCCTGACCTCAGGTGTTCCGCCCACCTAAGCCTTCCAAAATGCCCAACCATTTATTTTTAATCTGTATGTGTATTAATATTTAAAGTTCATTTATCATAGATAACTTATAGATGAGTCTTATTTTTTGACACACTCTGATAATTTCTGTCTTCTAACTGGTACATTTAGATCATTGACATTTAATGTGATTATTAATATAGTCAGATTAATATCTACCATATATGTCACTATTTTTAATTTATTGCCCTTATTAGTTGTTTCTATTTTTGTTTTCCACATTTTCGTCTGCCTTTTGTGGTTTTAATTGAGCAGTTTGAATGCTTCTGTTTTCTCACTTTTCTTAGTCCATTAGTTACACATTTTTTTTTTACTTTTTTACTTGTTGCTCTAAAGTTTGTCATATATTTTTACAACTAATCCAAGTCCACTTCCAAATAGCACTATACCACTTTAAGCATAGTGCAAGAATCCTTTAATAACAAAGGAATTCTAATTCATCCCTTCCATTTCATGCGTAATTGCTATCATTTACTTCACTTATATATAAGCATATATATATATTCAAATAAATTATCAAGATTATTAATTTGGACAATTATCTCTTAGACCAATCAAGAATAAGAAAAATAAAAGTCTTGCCATGACTTCACTTACTCCTTCTCTAATGCTTTTTCTTTCTGTATGCAGATCTGAGTTGCTGATCTATTTTATAACCTTAAGTTATCTATAGAGCTAGGAGCTTCTTTTAAAATTTCTTGAAAGACTGGTCTACTGGCAGCACATTTTTACAATTTTTGTTTGTGTAAGAAAGTCTTCATTTCTCCTTCATTAATAAAGAATAATTTTGCAGGATAAAAAATTCTAGGTTGGTAGGCTTTTGTTTTGTTTTATTTTTTCCCTGAGCATTTACATATTTTACTTACTACTTGCTTGCATGGTTTCCGAGGAGAAATTAGATTTGATTGTTACCTTTGCTCTTCTATAGGTGTTTTCCCCCTCTGGCTCCTTTCAGGATTTTTTCTCTTATTATTAACTTTCTGTAATTTGAATAAGTTATGACTAGGTATAATGTTTTATTTTAAAATTTTGTTTTGTTGTGTGTGTGTGTCTGTCTGTGGTATTTATCCTGTTTGATATTCTGTCAGCCTCTTTGATTAGTGGTTTTGTGTCTTGTATTAATTTGATGGCATCTCTCAGTCATTACTGTTTCAAATATTTCTCCTGTTGTTTTTCCTCTTTCTTTTTTTTCTGGAGTTTCTCATGCACTTGTGTTGCATTGTTTGTAGCTGTTCCAGTTTTTAAATATTCTGATCTGGTTTTTGTTTGTGTGTTAGTTTTTTAATCTTTTTTATCTTTGCTTTTTTTTTTGTTTTGGAGGTTTTTATTGATACATCCTCAAGCTCAGAGATTGTTTCCTCAGCTATGTTCAGTCTACTGATAAGCCCATCAAAGGCATTCTTCATTTTGATTCTTCCTTAGAATTTTAATCTATCTGATTAAATTACCCATCTGTTTATGTATGCTGCCTACTTTATCCTGTAGGTTTCTTAGCATATTTATCATAGTTATTTTAAATTCCCAGTCGAATTCCAACATCTCTGCCAACATCCAACATCCCTGTCTGGTTTTCATGCTTACTGTGTCTCTTCAAATGTTTTTTTTTTCTTTAATTTGCCTTGTAATCTTTTCTTGAAAGCTGCGCATGATGTACCAGGTAAAAGGAACTAGTGTATACAGGACTTTACTAATGTGGTAGGAAGGTGTAGGGGAAGAAGAAGCATTTTATAGTCCTCTGAGTAGTGCTCAGTCTTTCAGTTAGCCTGTGCCTCTGGGTTGTGGACTTCACAGGTATTTCTCAGTCTTCCTCCCCCTTAGGTGAGACAGGGGTCTAGAGTGAGCTGGAGTTGGGTATTTCCTTCCTCCCAGTAGAAGACTAGAAGGGGCTTGAGTTGAACATTTTTTCTTCTTCCAAGTCAGTTATGATATGATAGAACCTCAACACATTAATCTCTGGCTAAATAGTTTCTTGTTGTGGCAGGTGTTGTTAAGAACGAATGCTCTTGCATGTTTCAGAATGGTTCTTTTTCTCTCCCCTGTTGAAAGCACAAGGGGATTGATTTCTGCTGCTCACCATGAGAACCTGGCAGAGCTCCTGGAGGTCAAACTTACAAAAATCTGGGGGCCTCCCAATGACTGGGGTCCTTTGTAGTTTTTTACTCTCAGACTTCCACACTGAGCCTCTAGGAATTCATCAATTAGAATTCAGGTTTTTCTGCTCCAGCACTGTTTCCTGTGGAGGCTTCAATTCTTAGGTTTCTGTTCCAGTAAGTTGTGATATCAGTATTGACTGTCTTCTTCAATATCAGTATTGATTGTCTTTCTTCAGTTTTGGAGTAGTGGTTTTTATCTGTGACCTAAATTCCCTGAGGGATCTAAGAAGAGTTGTCAATGTTTCAGTTTGTCCAGATTTTTACTTATTGTTAGAACGGAATGACTACTTCCAAGCTCTTTGCATGTGGAACCAGAAAACTGCAAGTCATTCTCTTCTTCAAAGTTTCATTCTTCTCCATATCTGAGCAAATATGAACACAGCTGGGAGGAGGAGTAGCATGCAACAGAGAAGGTATTGTCAGAATGGAAAAAGTTGTGCAGGTATGATCTGCATGTGACATTCTCGAAGCCAATGGGGCATGGTAAAGGGAGCCACTTGCAGTTTGCGTGAGCTACCTGGCTGCTGCTTCCTCCCGGGCACACCTGCCACATCAGGACAATTCGCCTTCCTCCTGACAAATAAGTAAGGGGCACAGTGGAGCTGCAGGTTTGCCTGAGCATCACTGAGATCATCAACAGTGCCCTCAAGCTGGAAGCGAGGTGTCCTGATTCTGACCTTGACCTCCTCCTGGCACTTAAAGGGATAGTGTTGCCTGCTGGTTGAGAGTGGCTTCTGAAGTCAGGCCTATACCTGGCTCCATTCTATGTTAGCTATGTTATCTCGCCAAGGTTCCCACCCTCTCTAGGCCTCAGCTGCCTCACCTGAGAAATGGGATGAATAAAGAGCCCTGCCTTATTCTGTTGCTGTGAGGAACAGGTGAGCCAATGCTGCTCACCACTCAGAACCTCTGGCTGGCCCATGGCAAGTGCTCAAAACTGTTGTGAGCTTTTATGATCAATACCCAGTGGATATCTGTGTGTTTCGAAGTCTGGTGGGTGTTTCCATACCATACTGGCATCATTGAAAAGGAGAGACTTTCTTTAGGAGTGACTAAAGTTGGGCCTATTCTAATTAGATATGTGTTAGGAGCAGAAGATTCCTTTGGAAATGTGAATGACTTGAAGAAATAAAAATTCATCAAAAAGATTAAGACGTTTAGCAGAAGGGAAGGATGCAGGTCTTAAACACTGGTGGTGCTCAGCACAGGCATGGCCCATCCTGCAGTGTCCTGTGGACAGGCTGGGGTAGCTCTGGAGCCTGCAATTCTATTTTGTAGGTTTTCTACCCAAACAGTACAAGACCTCTTTCTTCGCCCAACAAGGACTTCAACAGATGAAGACAAGAGTCAATAAAGTCACCAATAGGACATTTTTCTAACACCTCTTGTGTGTTCGATCCTTTTAATTTGTTATCTGAAAATTAATTATCTTCTGATAGCATATATGTAAATTAGGGAGTTCTAAGAGCAGATTTTGGGTACTACAACTCATTTGCTTTTGGCCGGGGAAGTTTAAGAAGCTGCCATCCAATTGTGCTTTTCAGAACTTCTTTGAGAACTTCAAAGTTTATTAAATCATTTCTATATCCTCAATATTACCCTTTTAACTTAAGTCTGATCAACTCTTGGTTTAAAATCTTGGATCTCCAATAACTAAATAAACAGGAAAATGGATGCAGTCATTGAGGATTGCAAATCATTCCACTGAGATGAAAAAAGGACCAGTTGCTGGTTTGAGGTTGGAATTTTAGGGGCTCCTGGGATTGGGATGTTTTGTGTCCTGGCAGTGATGACAGAGGAGAGTTGACTCTGTACTTCCCGAATTCAGGAAGACAGTCTCCTGGGATGTCCAGCCTTGGCAGCAAGGGAGTTCCAGGCTGGGTCTGCAGGGAGACCGTCTATCAGCAGCCAGCCAAGAGAAAAGGGATAATCATGACATGGCAAAATAAAATGTTATTTATCATGGTGCCAGTGTCACCAACCTGTAATTTTTATTGTTCTTCAGAGTAATGGAATTTATTAAGGCCATTCATCCTCAAGTCACATGGAAAACACTACGTTTGAATGACGAAGAGCATGGCTGAATATCCAAAAGGCACAAGAACCTGAAAATGAGTTACAAAGCTGTCTTTCAAAGCTTTAAAATTCTGCCCTTTAAGGAAAACAGAGACTACTCCAGGGATGTGGCAGCAAAGCAGAAGTAGAAGTTCCTGAAACAGCTCAATTTAGGAAAATGTGAAAATTACACGACGTTGGTGAAATCACAGACACAAAATAAAATGAAAACAGCTGTGGACACAAAAATCCCATGTGGACAGGGGGAGGCCATTTATCTTGGAAACTCGAGGAAGGAATTCCATGCGGTATTGACCAATGTGTATTTGGGAAAGGCCGGGAACCATGCAACATGCCCCAGTCACTAGGTGGCTGTTGATCCCTTGAAAGGCCTGTACCACTGAAGCATGAGACAGTGCCTTTCCCAGGGAGCAAGAGTCAAATGTAGGCATTGGTAGACTTTGCAGAAAAGATTTCCCACAGCACAAGAAGTGGGTGCTCCAGATACAGCCTGATGGAAGGTAAGTGCCTCCTGTGGACTTCCAGCTGCAAGGCAGTCCCATAGGATGAGCTATGCTGGCTGGCAGCCCAGGTAGCTCAGAGTCTCACAAACGCTTAGCCCTGACAGTGCAGTTAGCAGTGCAAGCTCTTTCTTCCTCTTAGGTACACAGGGCTCAGATGGAAATTCCAAACCAGGAGCGCAGGGCTGCTTCTTTGGATAGGCATGTCCTTCCATCCACCCTGTCTGGAGTTCACTAGCAGGGTAGATGAGCTGGCAGAGCTTCCAGGAGACAGGGACCACTAGCTGGCCAGCGGTGAGATCGAGGGGACTTCGCACGATTGCACACAGAGACAATGCCGCTGTCTAGAGTTATGGCTGTTGGGGCGGTTTCAGCATGTCAGAGTTCTTCTGAAGATAAACCCCAAGCTGGACATTCTCTCCCTGGCTGGGATGGAAGTGATTTGGTGGCGCCTCTCTGGATGAACCCGCGGGCGGCCCTGTGTTCTCCCAGGAGAGCCTTGCTGCTTGTCAGGTTACCAGGAGCGGCCACTGCTCTGTAGCCCAGGGCACCGTTGACTCAGGGATGCCCTCAAGTCCCAATTAGAAGAAAAACACTGCCTGAGAGAAAACGCAGGATAAATATGACTGGCCTTACTTTAATTAAGTTTGATTGAAAGTTATTCTGCACCCAGGGAAGCCAGAGCCAATTTTCACAATGTGGCTTGCAGACCAAAGGCAAGTCTTCTAAGACTATGGGAGAACACAGAACCTTACATTTGGCCTGGAGTGAGCTGAACCATACCTTGAGGCAGTGCACACAGAAAGGAAAGGCTCTGTGGTTCCTAAAGGCTCAGACTCTTAACTACAGCGCACTGTCCTCTTGTCAAATCCTTGGTGGCTCAATTCTCCTTCCTTACTTGGATAATCTTCCTGGAAATAGGTTTAGTTCACCAGGGGAGCATTCCGGGGTGAGTGGCTCAGACCTGGGTCCAAGTCTTCTCAGGCTTTCCCGAACCCATCCCCTACCATCACTCAAGGAAGACGTGGTAGTGACTGATTAGCCTAAGATGTTGGTCCCAGAGCAGGCTGCAGTTTGGACTGTGGGCTGGAGAGGGAAGGCATGGTGATGGCTTTGAAGGTGACACCTCGATAGCGTCTGCAACAACGGAAGACAGAATGCCACAGGATACTACACTGGGTAGCTGGAGAGCAGGGATTTATGTCTTTAAATCAATAAATTATATCTTATATCTCTATACCTGTTTATTTTTCTGCCGGGGAATGGAGAGGATGGTTATAGTTTCTTGAAGTGAAGGATTTTACACAAAAAAATGTACACAGTCACACAAACGATTTGTGTAAAACTCCACAGGCTGCCGTGATCTCCTGTCTTCCTGTGGTTGAGGCAGAGGTGCTGGAGGAACACGTGTCTGTGTCCTGAGAGAGCCTGAGCATGCAGCCGTGGGCAGGCTGGTGGGAGCTCGTTCTATGCCTGGTTGCTCTGCAGCAGGAGCACACAAAATGTGACCTGGGCTGTCCCTGCCATCCATCCTGGGAATGAGACTGGCCTGGGGCATCTCCATGACTCAGCTCTCTCATGGTAAAGCATGCTGTGGTTGCGGTTTTTGGGGGTGGTGAGCATCAGTGTTGTTCACAAATGTTAAGAGCTGAGAGTGACTGACCTCTGCATACCTCAGTGTTCTCATCTATAAAATGGGCACAGTGATAGTATCCATTTCACAGGGTGGTATCAGATGACTTACTGTATGTGGGAAAGGTTTTAGACCAATGCATGACATATAATAATCACAAATAGAACTTTCTTGAGTATTTCTGCTTTTATTCTGGAAGTCTGGAATAAACATTTCAAGTAAAACGTGGCTTTTTTATAGGGCAGAAGCCTTTAGTCTAATTTATAGATTAGTTTGGGCATACTTATTCATTTATTATTATTATTTTTTTTGAGATGGAGTCTCACTTTGTCACCCAGCCTGGAGTACAATGGCAACATCTCAGCTCACTGCAACCTCCACCTACCAAGTTCAAGTGATTTTCCTGCTTCAGCCTCCTGAGTAGCTGGGATTACAGGCACCCACCACCATGCCCAGCTAATTTTTGTATTTTTAGTAGAGACGGGGTTTCACCATGTTGGCCTGGCTTGTCTTGAACTCTTGACCTCAGGTGATCCACCCACCTCAGCCTTCTAAAGTGCTGGGGTTACAGGCGTGAGCCACCATGCCCGGCCTGGGCATCTTTCTAATATGGAGTCTTCTCATCTGGAAGAATGGATGTCTCCTTAATTACTTAGCTAATTCTTTATCTCCTTTCATGTTTTTTAACATTCTTTTTAACATAAGTTTAACATTCTTTTTAACATAATTTTTTAACATAAGTGTTTTACAATTATCATTATTAGTGCTAGGATCATTTTCCACTGTATTTCTAAACTACTGCTGCCCTACAGAAGGAAACTATATTTTTAAACATATATTTAGACATTGAGCTTTCTTATGAATTCAAATCCTTTTTTCATTTGATTATCCTGATTTCTTTTTGAAAAGTTATCAAAATCAGAAAAAAATATGTTTGGACTGTTTTCCCCAATATCTTGTAACTTCATGTTATTTCTTAGCTAGGAAGATCACATATTTGTTATTGAGATCAGGGCACTTGTAAAATAAGAAGGGTTGGAGTCGCTTAGGAGCATCACCTGTAAACAGGGAGGACAGTCTCATGACAGCGGGTGTTTGCTTCCCTGGTGGGGAGGCCAGGGTTGCATTGTGATGGCAGCGAGGGCGGATTGCTGGTGTTCCTGGTAGTGTGTCAGCATCCAGTTCAACATGTGCTGTGGCTATTTGATTTCAGTGTGTAGAAATGACTGTACGGTGAGGCATGCTGCTTATATACGTATATCTACATGTATCTATATATGGGCACATATATGTGTATGCACACACAGGTACACACATCGAGATACAGGTATAGGTATATACCTGTAGGAAGTTAAAGAGCTTTCTCCTAACCCACTAAAAAATTCAGAAATCTATGTAAAGTTTATCATTGTCTCACATGGTTTTCATCCTCCTGGTCACAATATGTCATCTTTAAACCACTGCTAGCTCAGGCTGCTAACGTTTTATTTAGAACATGGTTGTCACCTGCATACCCAGAGGTCTGTGTGTGTGTCCGCCTGTGTATGTGTATGTGTGTATGTGTACATGTGCTATGTGAGTCAGGTTTTATTTTGTGTGTGCTTGTGTTGGTAGGATAAATCAGAAATTATTTCCACTTAAAACTATTTTCCCCTAGTTTATGCAACAGTATGACGCATGAGAGGAGAAAACACCACCATAGTGAAATGATCCAGGTCTTGAAGCCTTTGACATGAGGCTTTGACCTTAGTCCCACAGGCACCCTTAGAAATAAATTGTTCCATGTCCATACAGGACTTTCCAGGAATGCGGCTTAGAACAACACCTGCCTGCATGGTTCCTGAAGGAGCCATGCATGGAGAGGTAAGTCCAATTCACAAGTGGCTTTTGCTAACAATGTCCCTTGCGTGATAATCCCTTCCTACAGATCTCCTTAACTGTAAATGATGAGGTTCTCATTTTTCTTAATGGCAATGACATGAGATGCTGTCTGCAAAGTGGGAAAGGACTGTGCATTCACTCCCTTTTTTGATGAGACTCCTTTTCCCAAGTTTATGAATGGAAGGAGGACTCCAGGTCATCATGGAACCAAAGGCTTCCCTTCCCTTTCCGTGCCCCCCAGACCACCAGCCTCCTCTGCAGCCAGACCACTGTTAGATGGAAACTTTAGCCATGCTGAGTATCAGGCAACCACCTAAGGGTACTTTGTCCTCATAATTCCAATTCCATGAGTTTATTCCTGTCTAGCCCAGCGTCTCCTGCCATGTCTGCTAGTGACCCTCTGGCATCCTTTAGGCAACCTGGAAGCTAAGCCTCCCTCCAGCAGCAACCGCTGGGCAGGGCGCATGCTCTCTCCCCCACTTGTATTGCACGGTGCTGGTGTGCCGGGCCAATCTCACTCAATTGCATGGTCCTTCCTGGGCTCAGGTGGGGTCCTGAACATTTTAGTGCTTCTAACCCCTAGCACAACTCCCAGTACTTGGGAAGTAAAGCTCTGAGTTCATGTTCAGTGAGTGAGCAAGAGAAGGACCACGTAGCTCTTCCCAATGCAGCCCTGAGATGCAGAGCAGAGAAGGTGCCAGGGAGCAGGTGATGGCTAGTGACCCAGCCCTTCTTACTCATGGGCTCCATCCTCCCAACAGACCTCACTTGCTTGACTCTCAAGAGCACGAGATCAGCCAAATTACAACCAGCCCTTCCAGACCCCAAGTCACCATGTTCCTGAGCTTGGAAGTATACCTGATTCCCAATCCTGCTGGAAGTATTATTTTTATGAGCTACGAAATGGTTATAGAAACTCATTTGCATCAACAATTTATAAACTCCAAAGATGCAGCAATGCTTTGGGGATGTCAGAAAAATGTTATTTACAAGTCACACTTCACTATAATTTATAGAGATTTACCCCCCGGGTTCCTGGAATTGAATTGGAAAGTAAGAAGAGCATTTCCAGATCTATCATTTGCATGTTTATTGGCACTTATCTGCAGATGTGACGATGACAGCGTCTTTCCTGCTCTGCCTTTCCCGCATTCCATGTTTGCGGTCATGGGTCATGGATGTTTATTAAGCACCCACTGTGTACCAGGCGCTGGATGAAGCCCTGGGTCAGAGCTAAGAGGACCCTATGCCTGCCCTTGAGGCATCTGCATTTCAGGGCAAGGGCAAGGACAAGGGGAAGAAGGCTGGGGCTGCGGGTAGTAAGTGCTGGGAATGCATGTCTGGGCTTCTTCACCTGTGCACAGGCACCGTCCATCTTCTTCCTGTCTTCCTTGTCCAGGAGGAAGAACTCAGGCAGGGACGCATCAGACCTCTGCCTTCCACACGCAGAAGGCCCGTGGGCATCAGAGGACCCGAGCGTCCCTTCCTCTCCTGGTGGCCAGGCTGGATGTTCCTGGGGAGCTGCAGTTCCTGGGGTTGAGCCTGGGCCCCTGCTGGGCAGCCTCCTTCCCCTCCTTATGACACTGTGGAGTGTCACTTTTCACCAAAGAACAAGAAGTGGAGTAGCCCCCTAGGCCCCTGTGGACTCCAGTGGCTGTCCCACACACTGCTGAAATCCACCAACACTGCAGGCCAGACAGCCCGGGAACACCAAGGTCTTAGGCTCAGCCTGTTTGTGTCCCCAGCCCCTGCCCAGCAAGAGTGGGTCTCCCTCCAAAGACAGGCCTGGGGTCAACCCTGCGGCCTTGGTGACCGATGCGTTCCCAGACTCAGGTGTGACCCCTTGCTCCTGAGGCTGCTGAACCTGGGTGGGGAGTGTCTGTCCTCAGCCCGATTTCTGAGTAGAGCACAGGGGGTCCTAAGACAAGAGGAACCCTCAGTGGAGCCTCCAGTGTGGGGAGGTGGGGATGAGGATGCAGGGGTGGGGCTGTGGGGTCCCCTGTGTGCCCCCCTGTGGGGCAGCCCAGCCACTGCCAGGGTGCTGCTGTCTGGGGACATCACATCCCCATGGTAAGCAGAGTGCCAGGCAAGGCCCATAGGAGGGGCTGAGGAGTCTGTCCCTGAAGCCAAGTTCCTGTTGGCTGAAGCTGCTGCATGGCAACTGTGGTAGAAGATTGCCACAAGCAGAAGGAAATCAATGGCCCCCGACTAAAAACCGGGGTGCACCACCTAGGCCTGGAGAGCTGACACCTGTCAGTGGCAGCGTCTGATACGAGTGGAGGTTGTGAGCCAGCCGTAGGCGTGGGGCATGGGCTGCAGGGGAGGCTGTGCCTTTGCATGGCACCTGTGCCTTTGCATAGCACCTGGACACCTGTGTCATGTAGGTAAGGGCATTTGCACAGAGTATAAGGGACCTACATGCATAGGTAAACATATACGCAGTGGGCTACCTGGAAATGGTTTAATCGGTTTAACTTCATAATCACAGAGTGAGCCACAGATAATGTGAATGAGGTGATGGAATTTGCCGGATTCCCGTGAAACGCTCCCTCCACTTCCTCAGAGTCCCCAGCCAAAGCGGGCACGGGCTTCTCCGGCATCTGCTTTCTTTGAGTCAAGCTAAATGTGATCCTTGCCCTGAGCCTTGCTCCACTATTAGTAGCCAAATGCTAAAGTATATCAGGGAGACTGGTGGGCGTGTACGGCTTTCCCTAAGGGACAGGAGTTATGCTGTATAGGAGAGGGAGTAAGAACAAAATCCACAGGCCCCAGAACAGCTGGGCCCCTGGATTCATCTGTTTCGACACTGCTTTAAAGAACTACTTGAGACTGGATCATTTATAAACAAAACAGGTTTAACTGATTCACAGTTCCACATGGCCGGGAAGGCCTCAGGAAACTTACAATCATGGCAGAAGGCGAAGGGGAAGCAAGGCAGGTCTTACATGGTGGCAGGTGAGACAGAGAGCAAAGAAGTGCCACCGTTTAAAACCATCAGCTCTTGTGAAAACTCACTCATAATCACAGGAGCAGCACAGGGGCAACCGCCCCCATGATCCAATCACCTTCCACAATTCTTGATGAGATTTGGGTGGGGACACAGAGCCAAACCATATCAGACCCACTGTGTGACGGAGTTCAGGGCCTGCCTTTGTTTCCCTCTGTGAAACTGGGTGAGTGGCTCAAAATGTCTGAGCCTCCTTTCCCTTACTTGGGAAAAGAGGAGTTTGAGCTGGGTCAATAGGAAAGCCTCTTCTGATCCTTGCATTGCGGGAATCTAAGTTATGTCCTCTATAGGGGAAACTAAACAGGGTTATCCTTCCAGGATTATCCTTCCAGGGTGTCATGTCTTTCTGTCTCGTTCACCATGCAGCTCTGAGCACTTACTGCGCATGAACCTACTGGGTAAGGGGACCGGTGGGGTTCACGGTAGAGCAGGAGGCTTTTCCCTGTGGAGCAGGCATTCCTGAGTGGGGACTCTGGCATCAAAGCATCCCGAAGTCTAGTAGAAACATTTAGGAGGGAACAGTCTTGCGAGTTGGGGACTTTTGCTTGCACTTCATATCACTATACCAAGCAAGCTCAAATATAATCATAAGTTAAAGTTAAAACATATTCATTTCATTTCTGATTCGGGTTTTTAGTGCTTAGCCAAGAAGCCGAGGAAAGTCCTCTTTGCCCTAACAGCAGCTTGTTTGCCGAGGGGCCCCATGTACCCCTCAAGTAGAAGCAGCTGCCCTCTGTGGCCTACAGCCCACCCCTCCCGTCCACACTCCCACAGGCTCCCGAGTGGAAAGTACTTGCCATATTTACTTTTTCTTGGATTCCGCAGTGTGAGCCTAGACAGATATTCTTTTGCAAGGGAAGGATGAGGTCAGCTGGGAGAAAGCAATATTTCCTTGTTTTAGATAACATTATGTTTTGAGAGTGCTCTCAAATTACTCACTTATATTTTTAAAGTCCTGTTTTTCTGTTAGATTAACAATATATTTGTTATCCAACTTCCAAACCCTAATGCATGGGAAAGTGTATGCCGGGCGTATTATACTCGGACCCCAGGAATATTATCCCAGCGATCTTCAGGCTGAGCCAACAGCTGATTGCATTGGGCACAAACCTTCCATAAACATCAGACCCTGCATCCATGTGGACGTTTTCATCCCTCAAAGCTAGTGCTTCATAAAGACACTGAAACAGACGAAGGATGACTTGGGACAGCCCGGATGCCACTGCTGGCGGCGGCCGCTCTCGGGGTGTAGGCGCAGGAGGTGGCGGTGGCGCACGCCTGGGTCCAGCGCACCTGGGTCCCCGCACCTGGGTCCAGCGTAGCCGGGTCAGCGCGGGTGAGCGTGCGCGCGGGAGTGCGCATGCGCGGCCTGCCGGGGGCGGCCTCTTGCAGTTCCCGCCCTGACGCAGCGCGAGATTAGAGCTCCTGCTAGTCCCCAGCTGACCCTGGGCCTCAAAGGCAAGCCCTGACCTCAGTCACACGGGGTGGCGGTGATATGGTTTGGCTCTGTGTGCTTCACTCTGCCTCACTCGCCTTCCGCCTGCTGGACGCTGCCCTGTTCCCCGCAGGCGGCCGCCGTGGAGGGCAGGCACCGCGCTCCCTGGCTGCTCCCGGGGCCTTCCAAGCACAGCCACGGCCATGGGGCCGAAACCCAGACCTCGAGGGGCCTGCGGGCAGAGCTCGACAAGCCCAGGTCAGTGTGGTCAGGGCCCTAGAAGTCCACTCAGCCCACGGAAAACTTGCTTCTTAAAGAATTTCAAAATGTTTCTCCCTCGGGCCGAGAAGCCTGAGAAGTCCGAGGCTGGGTGGGGCAGACAAGGCCTCCAGTCTGGGCGTCCCCGGCCGCAGCCTTCCCTCGGACCCACGCTGCTCTCCGCAACGTCGGATGACTGGTCAGCTGCGCAGGGCGTTTCCCATAAGCTCGCGGGAGAGAAGTCGCTGCATGTGCATTAGGGGAGACACGTGCATGCCTATGCTTATTGCACGCTCTCTTCCACTCACTGCATTCTCTGCCTTAGTATCGTGGTGAAGAATGGTACACAACACATTTTACACGCGAACGCTCTTCCGGGAGGAAGGTCCCACTGAGAGATTTGTAACAACATGCAGCTGTGAGGCCGGCGCTTGGCCGGCCAGGCCTTCCTTGCAAGGTCTGTGCAGACGGGAATGTTGGGTGCCCAGGCCTTGAAGGGTTCGCTTTCTGGGGATCCTATTAAAATAAGGAGATGGCAGTGCCTTCTGATCTCCTCGTCCAGGTTCATTCTTAGCCCACAGGTGTTCCTGAGAAGCCGCTAGGAAGGCAGTGGTCGAGTGACTCAGCGATTCATGGAGATTTTGAGTCAGGTCACATGTCTACATTGTGTGGACCTTGCCTCAGGACGCGCTTGATGGGCAGTAAATGTCAGGTCCAAACCAGGAGCCAAGACTTGTTATGACACCATCAAGCAGGAGATAAGGATTCAGTAAGGAAGGCTCAATTTCCCTTAATCTCTGTGGTGTTGGGAAACCTGGGTTTTGAAAAGCTTAGCCGCTGTTTTTTTTGAGCAACTCCCTTTATTGAATTATTTATTTATTTTATTATACTTCAAGTTCTAGGGTACATGTGCACAACATGCAGGTTTGTTACATAGGTATACATGTGCAATGTTGGTTTGCTGCACCCGTCAACTCATTTACATTAGGTATTTCTCCTAATGCTATCCCCTCCCCCAGCCCCACAGGCCCCCGTGTGTGATGTTCGCAGCCCTCCCCGCCCCCTCCCGCCTCCGTGTCCAAGTGTTCTCATTGTTCAATTTCCACCTATGAGTGAGAACATGCGGTGTTTGGTTTTCTGTCTTTGTGATAGTTTGCTGAGAATGATGGTTTCCGGCTTCATCCATGTCCCTGCAAAGGACATGAACTCATCCTTTTTATGGCTGCATAGTATTCCATGGTGTATGTGTGCCACATTTTCTTAATCCAGTCTATCATTGATGGACATTTGGGTTGGTTCCAAGTCTTTGCTATTGTGAATAGTGCCACAATAAACATACGTGTGCATGTGTCTTTGGCCTTTATTCGTTTTGGTCACATGCAGAATTTGACTCGGACAGGTTACACCCAACACAGTTAAGTTTTCTTTGGAACTGAGCTCAGCCGTATGGTGTTCCAATCCTTGGATCTGGCTGGAGATAGCACAGCCCTGCCAGGGGAAGCTGTCCTTTTGCTGATGGTGAGCTTGGAGTACTCTGTTCACATTTTAAAACAATGTGAGAAGGATCGAGAGCCAAAATGTGAGATAATTTCCATGTTTCCATAGATGGTTGTAACAGTCTAATGAGGTGATCAGACAGGGATTTATCCAGTCCCCAGCCCACAGACAGGTTTACGAAGTGTTTCTTTGTTTGATTTGGGGAAAATGAGTTAGAATTTTGTCTTACTGATCATCAAAAGAAACAGCAGGCTCTTGTCTGTGCAACAGCGTCCGTGTTGCCCAGACATGAGGCAAATATCTTCAAATGAAAATAAGTTTGTTGTAGAGGAGATACAATTCTGTCCTAATGCAAAATGCCTTGTTTAGAAAGGTTGTTCCGTCTGTTTCTGTTAAAGATGGCATGAGGGCCTGCGGGAGGAAGTACTGGGGATTGGAGCATGTGGGTTTCCCTCTGCTATTGGGGTAACTGTGCTGTGATCTAGAAATGTGAGGTCATCTGGGCCTTGGGCTCCTCGTTTGTGAAATGAGGGAGTTGGATCCATTCAGCTTCAAAAACCCTTGACCCAGTTGGGTTGCAAAGTCAGCAGTCACTTCTTCCTGCACACCCCATCTGGATGGAGGAAACCAATGAGCACATCACAAAGTCAAGCCATGGAGCAGCCCCACTAAGGAGGCTAGGCCCGCTACTCACACAGGAGCAGGAAGACTTGGGTGGGCTTTGACGGGGGTGTGAGGAAACTTGAATGGGATCCTTACAAGCTGGGTCCTGGAATGAAATGAGCAAAGGCTCTAGGAGTGCACAGGAATACTGGCTGAGCACCGCCTCTGGGAGGGGCCCCAGATGCTCTTAGCTTTATAGGACACGACCACACTGTGGGGCCCTCATCTTCAGGCCAAAACCTTTTTGATTAAATTGGCAGACCAGAGTTTCTCAACCTCAGTGCCATAGACATTTTGGGCCGGGTGGTTCTTTGCATGGGGGCGCTGACCTGTACACTGCAGGCCACCTGACAGCATCCCTGCATCCCCCCACCACCTGGATGCCAGCAGAACCCCCTCCGATGTGAGGGCCAAAGTGTCTCCAGACCTGGCCCAGGAACCCAGATCACCCTGGATTGAGAACCATTGTGGTACACTAATAGTATCTCCAAGTTTTACAATTTTTCACTCCATGTGTGGAAAAAAAAATGAGCGAAAATCTTCAATATATGAAAAATTATTTAGAAATTACATACACAGACTATTGTCAATATAAAACCATTAGGAAGCTTAATTTCTCTAGGCTTTAATTGCTAACTTTTGTCCTGCATCTCAATTGATCAACTTGCTTACAGCCTCCATTTTGGAAATGACTTTTGGAGACTGTGACAGTCCATTGGCTGTTTTTGAACAGAAATATCAGAATGAAAAAAATGGAAGGAAAATGTCAAGAGGCACCTTGAAAAAAATGCTATTAATATTGTTGAGAGAACAAAGTTAAGATTTACAAAAGAGTGCCCAGATGTGGCCTGAATTAGTTAAGAAGTGGGGAAATACAACTTTCTCCCTGAAATGCAGGTGGGCGTGGGCTCTGGAAAGGTCTGGAAGTGCTTTCAGCCACCACAGTGATTAGAGGTCCCTGGTGGGACATAGGGGTTGGTAGCTGGGGATGCCGCTCTGTGGAGGAGGTTTACCAACACAACAAAAGCCTGTACCCCAGAATATACAGGAAGGTCCCGTAGCAAAGGCATTCTTATCAGTTTGTCAGGGTGGTCTCTGAAGTTAAAGTTTCAACATGAATAAAATTATAAAATTATATACCAGTAGAGAAGCACTGCCCCACTCCCTTCAGAGACCAGGGTTCTGGGATCCTCCTAGAGTGAAACTATCACCCCACTCCACTCCACAGTCATCGTTCTCATTCTCAACACCCCAATTTTTTTCAGGCTCATTTTCTAGACTAATACTTTCATACTTGGCATTTTCTTTGACTGTGAAACTTAGGATTCCCGAAGTCGGTGCCTTGCTGCCAGGGTTCTGTCTCTGCGATTCAGGGCACTTTCTTGCCATCAAACCTTATCTCCTCATTAGGCCTAAGCTTCTTTCTATTTGTGAGAGGCAAAGCACGTTGCCCAGGTAGCATTAGAATGTGCTGCAGGCAATGCCACACACCTGCTGGGGGTCCGGGATAGACGTGTATTTGTGCTGGCAACACAAGACTTCTGCTGACATCCAAGGAGACCAGGAATGTCAATGCAGACCCTTTCTAGGGACCCTCACATTTGTCCTTCCCAGAACCGTTGACCACTCAGGTTTGTTCCAAGAAGAACAGGTGCATTTGGAGTCTCTTTTGGAAAAAATACGAAACAAATAAAGCCAGTTTCATTTTCAACTTCTATTTCAGCTGCTACACTGAAGGGAAAAACCTGAGGAAGCCCCTGACCTTCTTGAATAACCTGGATATTGCAGAATCATGCCTGGCACACGGCACTGGCAGAGACGCAGAAGGGAAAGTGTCCAGCGATGAGAGGTAAGGTGAGACAGAGACCTGCCCAGACCTCTGGACGTGGCATGGGGGCACATCTTGCAGTCAAGAGAATTTTTACATTGTGGCAACTAAGGAGCGTTGTTTAAAAATTCTTTGCTACCCCAACGAAACTTGTCAATGGGAAGGATTTGAGACTTCAAAAAAAAAAAAAAAATCTAGCAGTTGGAATTTTAGTGGAGGTGGCATTCCTGAGATTCCACTCTAGGGCTGGTACCTGTCTGTGCTCTGGGAGGTTCCTGGGGCCTTCTCTGCTGGGGATTGCTGTGCTCTCAAAAGCCAGTTTCCCCTGCCTATTGAAGTTAAAAGCACACTTCCCTTGCTCAATGGTTCCCTCAATATATTCTATCTTTTTTATTTTTTTGCCCATTGGAATATCTTTCATGAGAGCTCAGCAGCTACAGACAACTGCCTTTCTATAAAACTGAGCGAGGTTATTCAGTACAAATGGAATGAACGTGATTTTTTCTTTCTGATCAAAGCAAAACTCTTTTGAAGTTTAGCTATTTGATAGAAAGTGGCTTTTATAACAAGCTGATATATGAGTTAATAGGACATAAAGATATTTTATTAAACTGCAAACCATTGTTAATATTGCAGTTTCAACTTGAAAGAAATATGTAGAATGACACCGGAAATTAATTAGATTATTTCATCATTCTTTTACATTACAAACTTTGATACACTTGCACGGATATATAGGTACATTGATAAAAAGACACAAAGACAAACAGAATTTTAATGAGTGGGGAGCTTTTATCTGCTAACACTTTGTGACTTAATTTTTTCTGTTTATTCTGTCTATTGATTCCAGTTGAAACCTGCTGTTTTAATGTTGTTATTGATATTCTCTCTGGGTTTTCTTCTAATTCTGGCATTGATATTACCTTGATCGGATTTAGTTTATTTGAATTGCCTGTAGGTTTTGGTCTCCGGAGTTTTTCACTGCTTATAGACATGCAAAGATAAAACCTCTCTTTTTATCTAAAAATCCTTGAGAGACTCTGAAAGATACAGCCGTTTTCTGAGAACATTAAAAAGCAAGAGACAACAATCAAAAGGAATCTACTTCTCACCCAGTTTATTCAAGACTTCATTTCTATACTCCCTGCATATCCCGACACCCACTGACTTCTAAGCTCCTCAGTTCCATTTTCTTTTGCAAACTGTGCATGGAGAAAGGGTTTTGTCCCAATATCATAAGTGGTTCAAGCTTTGGGTCACTGCCTTTGCCTTGCAAGTGGGTAATTTTTGCAAGAGAAGATTATGCATAGAAGTACTTTGGAGGAGGATGCATATTTCTTTACTAAAGAAGGCATCAGCATATGCATTACCATGAACCAGATGAAATTGACCTTTCTTATGGGTCAAACAGGTTCAAATATAGGCTGTTTCATGTTCTTCAAACTAATGTGAATAACCGTCTTCTGAGATGGGAGACAAGTAATTTTCCAATCACTTAAAATGAGAGACAACATGTATTAATTAATTACAAATAGAAGCGAGGAATTTTCCATAGAAGTAATTTGGAGAGTGGGGGCTAAATGCAGGTGGTACTGTTGAACAACATTTTTCTAGTTTAATTATTTTTATTCAAAATATGTTATAAATTCCTGAGAATAATGAGCACAGTTATCAAAGTAACTTTCTATATCCTATTACATTCATCAAGGGCTTCTTGGCTTTAGTGTCTGTAATTTATTTTAGGTTTTCGTTGGCTTTCACTGGGGTGTCTTTCCAGCTCCCCCCATGATTCTCTGTGTCTGGTTTATTATTTCAGAGTCTGTGATCTTTTCCCGCACCCCGGCTTCTACTTTACTTTTGTTTTTATAGTTTTTGCCTTAAATAATGTTGAAAACGGAGCCACTGATTGCAGCGGTCCAAGCTGTGAACTCACTTACACTAGCAGAGTGGGGTCGTTAACGATTTCTTCTTAGATTTTCGAAGTCATCAATCCATTGGTTTCTCTTTTCTGTGAGTATTAGGGGCTTAAAAATCTAGTGTTTGGGCTGCCTAGAAGGTGCTGAGGGAGAAGGAGAGAAAAGAGGGGGCTTTCCTCTGCCTGGGAAGAAGGAAGTCTGTTTCATAGTAACTAGAAAAGAAGTAAGAGGGAGAAAAGGAAGCAGGTGACCCATTTCCTCCTCTTGCCTCTACTGGTTTGTCTTCTGAGTAATCCCTAGGCACTTACCCCATCTACTGTGAGCAACTCAACTATTTTATAAATATGTAGCTCTCATTGCAGGAAGAAGTCTTACCTGGTATCTGGTATTGCTTTAATTATTGTAACACCTAATTCACTAGGAAGCCATGTGACTTGCATGTTCTAGAGAAACTCTGCGTTCACCTAAGTGTCAAAGCATAAAGAAAAAGTAGCACATTGGATGAAACTCTTCCCAAATTTGTTAGATACTTTTACGTTTAGGGGGAAAAAAAAAAGAAAGAAACAACATAGAAAACTCTCAACATAATCTATAATTTCCTTAGTAAGTCACTCATCACCAGGAGTCAGTATTATTGGCAATGCTCTCAAAGTGATGGAGTTGTGGAATCTTATAGGACCCTACTATTCAATGGCCTCCGTGATGCTGCACTAAACACTGGTTTGTGTAGAGTTTTCATCCCCTGCCTTGTGGTTTCTAGCAAAAGAACATCTATGATCAAAATCACGTACAACTGTGCTATGATCAGCAGAGAGAAGCCTTGAGTAGAAGGTTCTCTTCAATTCTTGGACCCGTGACACATGAAGATAATTGGATAATTATTAAATAATTATTTGCATATTAATGTAATTATGATCCATATTTTAAGGTTTACTAAACCTACTCTTTAATATGTATAGCAGCCATCATTTGGATGATGTCTTTACTTATGTTCTTATTATATCTTAGAACTGGCTTCTGAATTCAGCACCCTCATAAAACATGACCTTGGGGAGCTTTACAGTTTTCTAGACCCACAAGATGGTGCTGACTCTTCCTGCAGAAAGAACATTATTCATAGGAAGCAGGAGACAATTAATTACCTGGAGAAATTCAGAAATGTAGCTGTCTGAATATAAAGCTAAATATAAAGACAATTAAACTGAGAACAAATTGGTAACTGGAAAGTCCTTAGAGGGAAGATGAAGGCTATGCAGCCGGGGGCCGAGCCACGTGTGGTTCACTTCCATGTCTGTCCATCCTGGGCTCAGCTGTGGTTCCCAGCACGGGTAAAAACACTGGCCCAGCTTGTGTGTTGAGAGAGAAAGCGTATAGAACTTGACAGGGGGTTGGGGATTTTTTTTTTTTTTTTTTTTAGATGGAGTTTTGCTCCTGTTGCCCAGGCTGGAGTGCAATGGCGCAATCTCAGCTCACTGCAACCTCCTCCTCCCGGGTTCAAGCAATTCTCCTGCCTCAGCCTCCCTAGTAGCTGTGATTACAGGTGCCTGCCACCATGCACAGATAAGTTTTTTGTATTTTTAGTAGAGATTGGGTTTCACTCTATTGGCCAGGATGGTCTCCAACTTTTGATCTCAGGCGATCCACCTGCCTCAGCCTCCCAAAGTGCTGGGATTACAGGCATGAGCCACCATGCCTGGCTGGGTTGAGGACTTTTTAAGGAACATGACTCTGTTCTAGTTCATCAATAGTTGACGCAGAAGACCAGCACTTAGACAAGCCAGCAGTAACAGAACCCTGGCTAAATCTTGTTCTGATTCATATAAATTACCTTTCTGAGCCATCCAGGTCATTTTTTGAACCAAGCACACAAGAGATATAGGCATGTGGATTAATTATGCAATAACAATTAAAATGTGTCTTATTTTACCCAGTTCAGAGTTGGTTGTAGGGTTGTAAGGAGCCAGGGCCAGGTTGGTGCCTCATCTGAAGACCTGAGCTCTTATCGGAAGCTTTCATTTTCATTTAGACACTTGGGTGTTGGGTCAGGTTCATGGATGATGTTTCCATTTGCGGTGAAACTGGAGTTCTTAGTTGGTTTTTCCTATTATATAGCAAACAATCTTGTCATCGTATAGAGTATGTCTTAGATATGTACTCTTTCTAAGATAACTTTTATTGTATACTATATCTTAAAATCCATACCATACGTTCATAAGGCAGTATAATAAATTACACTGATAAGTCTTTGCTATATTATTGCTTCAGGTGTTATTGTTTGGTAATCTCAAAACGCCATTCTAAATCAGTCTTATATTAAGCTGTATTATAGATGCAGTGGTATTCAACCTGGCTGAACACTTGTCCACACTCTTAAAACATTTGACATTCATGTATCTCCTGCCTTTTTCTATAAGCCACATTTACCATCCTAATAGTGAACGCATTGCATCCCTCCTCTCTTTGCATCTGCCATGGGTGTGTGGCCAGCCCTGTAAAACAGCTGCATTCCATTTATGTCATAATTTGGAGAAGTTGCCCGACACTTCTCAGCCTTGTGAGTTGATGGGTGCATACCTGTGTGTGTTGGTGAGGGGTGGTATTTAGGGTGTGGGCACCTTTGGACCAAATGCCTGGTCTTGGTAACCAATATGGAATGTTCCAGACACTCAGATTGTGCTAACCAGAGATGGCAGCCTGGGTCCCTGTGTGGAGGGCAGACCTCCAGGGTCCACTGTCAGGGCTGTGTGTGTGTGTGTGTGTATGTGTGTATGTGTGTGTGTGTATAAGACTCTGTGGTCACTGTGGGCTGCCACCAAGCCTCAGGCTGGAAAGCAACACCGTCAGCTCTGTGTCTCAAAGCCTAGCCCAGCTGGCTGCATTTTGAAGCAGGGGTTAGGTGGGTTGTGGGGTGGAAGCCAGGGCCTGAGGGGTGTTTCTGAGGTGTTGACGTGTGTGGGTTCATCCCTCTGCCTTTACAAAGAGCAGGAAACTGAGATTTTGAACAAATGGTTATTCTATAGGGATTAGAAAGAGTTTTAGAGAAAAGCAGACATTAAGAGTCTTCAAACAATGAAGACAAAGAAGAAGGAACATGCTTAACAAAACTTTTATTCATACCAGCATCCCTCAAACCCACCACGACTCAATAGTCCTAACTAAACCTCTACAAATGTGAGTCATGAATCTGTCTGAATGCATTGCACAGCATATTCTAGAGTTTATACCACGAGGAAAGAACCTCAAGCTAAACTCCTTTCATGAATCATACTCTTTTATTACATAAAAGGTAATTTTTGGTTAAAAGCTGTTTCAAAAGGAAAAGAAAATATCAGCCTCTAAAATTCTGATTCCAATCTCATGTGCCTCAAATAGCTATAAAAATTGCTATAATGAAGACATGGATGTGTTGATATTACCAGATACTTTTATTATGAGAAAAATCAAGTCTAGATGGTGTCAGCATTTACATGGGAAAACTGTTTGGATAATAGCAACTAACATGATAATGACATGGAATTTACTTACCTGTCACAGAAGATGGAAACCACATTTCAAGAATTGGGTGTCAGTAAAATCTAGTACGGTATACACATTTTATTCCATGCAGCAGAAGCTGCCATTTGGAATGCCCCTATCGAGACTTCCCTCCTCCATGTTCAAGAGAAGGTGTATTTTGAGTGCTGCTAACAGCTAGGCCGGAAATCTAAGACATTAAAAAGCCCCATGTAGTCAATGACATTTTTACAGTGGGGCAAATTAGTGAATAATGCTTTGTGGGAGTTAATTTACCTCACATGAGTAAGCACTTTACACCCATCGAATTGCTTGTCTGCTGTGGAATCAGCTCCTTATGTTTTGCTTAATGAGATCAAGGTGAAGGGATGAGAAAGGCTGGGGGCAGTGAGCGGGATCAGTCACATTGCCTTCTCTGGCTCGCAGGCTGGTACCTGAGCAAGGTCACGCTTAAGACTCCAATAGGAGTGGAATTGGAAGAGAAAGGGGGCCATGAACATTGAGTCTTGCATTCCATGAGCCCGTGTTATCTTTTCTTTCTCTATCATAGTGTTCGAGTACCCCAAAATGTGGAATTCGTGGTAATCTGACTTGGTTGCCATGAAGATCACTTTTGAACTACATGTGAAGACAATTCAGGATAAGATGATTGCCAGGATAATTTCATTGGCTGAGGAACAGATGTTCCTGGCAGAGCAGGTGATGGTGAATTTTATGTGTCAACTAGACTGGATCATGGGGTGCCCAGATTTTTGGCTAAATATTATTTCTGCATGTGTCTGTGAGAGGGTTTCCAGATGAGATTAGCATTTGAATGGGTAGACTGGGTAAAGCAGATGGCACTTCCCCATATGAGTGGGCCTCGTCCAATCTGTTGAGGGCCTGGATAGAACAAAAGGCTGAGGAGGGGTGAATTTGCTCCCCATGCCTGACTACTTGAGCCAAGCCATCAGTCTCCTGCCCCTTCACCACCAGCTCTCCTGCGTACTGCAGAGAGGGGGATGTAGTCTTCATAAGTTCAGCACAAGAACCAGTTCCTTGCAGCAATTGTCTTCATAGCCATGTGTGCATACGTACATGGATGGATGCAAGAGGTCATTGCAGTATTTGTCTTTCTGTGTCTGGCTTTATTTTGTTTAACATAATGTCCTCCAAATTCATCCACATTGTTGTAAGTAACAGGATGTCCTTCTTTTTAAAGGCTGTATAGTATTCCACTGTGTGTAGATGCCACATTTTCTTTATTCATTCTTCCTTGATGGGCACTTACGTTGATTTCATATCTTTGCTCCTGTGAATAGTGCTACAATCAACGTGGGGGTGCAGATATCCATTTGACATACTGGCTATGTTTTATTTGGACAAACACCAGGACCGGGACTTGCTGGGTCCTGTGGTCGTTCTAGTTTTATTTTGCTGAGAAATCTCCCTAGCGTTTTCCATAATGACTGTACTGATTTGCATCCCCCCAGCCGCGTGCAAGGGCTTTCTTCTCCCCACCTCCTCACCAGTGCATGCTCTCCTTTTCCTTTTTGACAGTAGCCATTTGAACAGTTGTGGGGCAAGATCTCATTGTGGCTTTAATTTTCATTTCCCTGATGATTAGCCATGTTGGGCATTTTTTCATGAAGCTGTTGGCCATTCTTTCATCATTTAAAAAATGAACACAGTGGTGGGTACCTTTCAGAGCCGTGGTGAGAATTAGCAGTGATGCTTGTGAAACAATGAATGGAATAAGAACTCCATAAAGAACGGCTCATGTTTGCTATTAATAATGGGCTGGGTGCAGTGGCTCATGCCTGTAGTCCCAGCACTTTGGGAGGCCAAGGCGAGTGGATCACAAGATCAAGAGATCGAGACCATCCTGGCCAAAATGGCGAAACCCCATTTCTACTAAAGATACAAAAAATTAGCTGGGTGTGGTGGTGCACACCTGTGGTCCCAGCTACTCAGGAGGCTGAGGCAAGAGGATCGCTTGAGCCCTGGAGGCAGAGGTTGCAGTGAGCAGAGATGACACCATTGCACTCCAGCCTGGCTACAGAATGAGTCTGTGTCTCAAAAAAAAAAAAAAACAAACCCCCCAAAAATAATGGAGCAGAAAGCTCTGAGTATGTCAGGAACAAAACCCTGGCAGTAGCCGGATCAACACTAGAAAGAAATGTCAGGAAAGAGGAGTAGAAGAAGAGCTGGCGGTCATGGTGTCTTGGGCCACAGGGAGTTGTTTCTATGAGTCTGCATTGCTCCTGAGTGGATGTAGGGTGAGGACAGGTGCATTCAGCACACCAAGAGAAGAGCCAGAGCCCTGGATATGGAGTTGAGAAACTACCCTGGAGGCACTTAGATAAACAACGGTTTGTGGTAGCTACCTGCCCAGTGAGTGAAAGAGCACACAGAGGGTCAAAATTGAGCCCAAGTATTGGATATGGGTCAAGGAAGAAGAGCAGCACAGACTAAGACAGAAAGTTGTGGTTGAAAATACCCAGAATAGAGCCAGGGTAATGAGTTCAACTGAGTGTGTTTGAAGGGTGGGAAGGTTTTCAGCAGAGTCCCTCTGAGGAGTGGAAGTTATGGGATTGACACTCAGGTAGGAGAGCAGGACCAGAGTGGTAAATTCCAGAGGCCTGATTGACAGCAGTGGGAGAGAGGGCAGAGGCTGCATGCATTCTCCCTGGGAGTTGGAGGGGACAGAGGGCTGGAGAAGGGATTTGGAGACAGTCCATCACTAGTAGATGGGAGTGGGCACGAGTACAGGAGGACAGTTAGAATTGGGAAATTTCCATATCAAGGGTAGACTGGATGTGTGACCTTGGAAAAGGAAACTGACCTTGGCCATATCATCATTCAATGTGGGCCTGATGCCCCTGCCTCAGAGCTGTCTCTGTGGGTTGTCCCAAGAGGTTGCGCGATGCTGCCAGCCCCTGCTGGCCACAGGAAGTGCGCAGTGAACATTGCTTGATCAGCAGAGCTATGAAGCTGACAGTGCAAAGTCACGGATGATGCAGAATTGGCTATGGAGATGGCAGGAAGATGGACTAATGGCCTTTTGGAGTTTAAGTGGGAAGGTAGAGATGCTGCCATTTAAAGGAAATTAATAGTTTGGGGACGTCTTGGTATCAGTGCTGATTTAGTGGCAGAGGGAGAAGTAAAGGAGATGAGAGGAAGTAAGACATGCAGAGAGAGGACATGGATGTGATGGGAGGCGAGTGGCAAGAAGGCAGAGGTGTTTGCTGTTTTACAGGACAAGTAGGTAGAGGTACAACAGCCGCCCAGGACTCAGGTCCCCACAGCCCTTGCTGGCATGTGAGTGTCTGGTGGTATCACCCTCCTGTGCTCAGAGATGTACCCACAGATAGGAGGAAGGCTGATGGCCGTGGATGCCATAACAACACCAGAATGCCAATTCAGGCCATGTCGTTCATACAGACTCCCCTTCATCCACACTGGCCAGCGTGGAGGATCCGAGTTTCCTTCGCATGAGGGCAGATGATTTTTCACACCTGTCCCCTGTATTTTCTTACTGTGGCTGCCATGGCAAGTCTCTACAATCTGAGTGGCTTTCAGCAACAGCACTGTACTCTGGAAGCCAGAAGTCCAAAACCAAGGTGTCAGCAGTGTTGGCTCCTTCATGGGGGCTCACAGGGAGAATGTGTTCCCTGCCCATTCCTGGCCTTGGTGGCAGCAGGCAGGCCTTGGTGTTCCTTGATTGTGGCAGCACCACTGAAGTCCCTGCTCATATCTTCACAAGACCCTCTCTGTGTGTCTGCCTGGGCCTCTTCTATCCTAGGAAAGGCCATCATATTGGATTAGCGCCCACTCTCCTCCAGTAGGTCCTTAGCTTAGCTCACATCTTAATTATGTCTACAAAGGTTCTATTTCCATTGAAGGGCACAGTAACGAGTACCAGGTGTTAGGACTTCAACATATTGTTTGGGGGATGCTATTGAACTCACAGCACCCCATCAAGAAGCCCTGGACAAATTGCCCGCACACCTTCTTCGACACTTCACATGTGGGCAGCCTCCTGGTCCTTTCTTCCTCACTTCCCAAGTCCTTGGTGGCTTTCTACTCATGATCACTGAAGACAGCAACTCCAGGAGAGGCAGCCCCAGAAATCCATAGAGAGTGAATGGAGGTTTAATTTCTGCACCTGACACCTGCAGGTGATGCCTTGAAGAATCTCAACCCAAGCCTCTGCTGAGAGACTCAGCTCAGATACCTCTGGTTGGCCTGCCCAGCCCTGGGCTGGGGTGAGAGGCGCCTCAGTGCCCTGCGGTCATCTTCCCCATGTAGGCTATACAGAAACACTCATTAGAGGGACCTAATGCTTCGCAGCAAGGCTTGGGGGTCCCCATGCTTCATGACCATACAGACCATGCTGGAATCCAATTTCGTTACTTTCCCAATTGTTTGCTACTTATTTTTGTATTTTTTTCTACTCTAAAAGACCTTATTTTGGAGCTATCCTCTGTTCTCTTTGAAATCCCGTTTTCAGCACCATCCATCCCGTTTCTGGTGTAGGATTTTAAAGTGTGTAATTCTTGGCCTTTGAAATGCACTGGAATTTATTTTTGGTGGAGGGAGGCAAGGGAGCATAAGGGGGAGCCCCTGCAAGAACCAGGAAGACCCTGTGAGGTGCAGGGAAGAGGGGGCAGGCAGGGATTTCAGTGTCAAACCCGATTATTTAGAGAATCATTTTTCCTTCTTGGTTTTTGTTCTTCCCTTTCCAACTGGCAAAACCCTAATCATCTTCTAGACCCGGTTCAAACCCCAGCTCCTCTAGATGCCTGCCCAACCCAGACCTGCCTCATGGGCATCAGCTGCTCCCTATGAGACGTGGAAGCACTCACCCTGGAGCCCTGGTTCTTCCTGCCTTGCTGCTGACGGACAAGGCCCAGCTGCCACCACCTGGCTGCCTTGGGACCCCGTCGACTATGTGGGCCCTCCTTTCCTTTCCCCCCTTCTCCTCAGCTTTATTGAAGTATAATTAACAAATAAACATTGTACATTTACATCATTTAAGTGTATAATGCAATGATTTGATATACATGCAGTTTGTGAAATGAATACCACAATCAAGGTAATTAACATGTCCATCAACTCACAGAGTTACGTGTGTGTGTGTGTGGGGGGGGGGGGGGGTGAGGACACTTAAGCTCTACTCTCTCAGCTGATTCCAAACACACAATATGGTTGTATTAACTAAAGTCCCCAAGCTGCAGCTAAATCCCCAGAACTTACTCATCTTATAACTGAATGTCTGTATCCTTTGATCAAGAATCCCTTTGCCCTTTTTCCTTTTTTTGACTTTGTTGAAAGCAAAATAACAGTCCCACCTCCTCTCACTTAAAACGGGAAGGTTTACACCCATTACCCCGGAGTAAGAGGGAGTCCTTCACTTTCCTGAAGTGTAGAACTGTCCTTCTGCTGAGATGGGGTCCTGTGTCCTCAGCGGGACAGTGGTATCTGCAAGACCTGGCTCCTGCTGCAGCAGCTGCCTGGTGGTAGCATATGGCCCAGCGCTGGGTCCCAGGAATGCCACTAGGCATGCTCCGGGGGCAGTGGACTTCTCATCCTTACCACTCCCGTGGCTTCCGCATTGGGTCCGATGCGTAGATTCCACACAACTGGAGGGTGGAGTCTTAAGGGGACCTGCTGGTCCCTCCACACACAGGATGTGCCTGCTCCTCACTGGTCAGGAGCTAGGAAGGTGGAGAGGCCGGAAGTGAGGAGGCCTGCTGAGCTGTTGCTGCTGCTGCTGCTGGGCGTGTTTGCCATGGGAGCCCACACACTCCTTGGCATCTCTTGATTGTGGGCCAGAGTCACCACCCTCCTTTCAGAACTGGGGTAGCTGTACTCTCCCTGACTGGTCGCTTGTCATGGCACATCATGTCACAAAGGTGAAACAGTAGTAGGGAACAGAGCTCCACAGGTCACGTCTCAGTTCCACACGGCCTGTTACAGCTGCTGTCTCCTGAGTTGGCGCCGAGCTCACTGTGGGAAAACCCAGCCAGGGAAAGCATCCCCAGCATGGACGAAGACGTGGGGAATGCTAAGCGTCTGCATAATTACAGTCCACTGAATCTAACTCACACAGAAATTGCTACCTTTAGAAGGTAAAAATGCAACCACAATTCTGCTGTGTATTTTGTGACTGGACTTTGTGGGCCCTCACTCTAGGGAAGGCCTAAATTCTGGTCTCAGTAGGACATAATAGGAGGAGGCTGGCGAACCAGGCAACGCCCTCCTCCTGTGCAAGCCCATGCATGTGTGTGTGCATGTGCGTGTGTGCATGTACGTGTGCGTGTATGCATGTATGTGTGCGTATGTGGTGATTAATCGATAGAGATTTCTTAACCCACAGAACCAGAGCAACAGAGAGAGAGGTCACAGGACTACTTGGACCGGCTTTTCAGACTCCCCACACATCCAATCCTGTTTCAAGGAAAGCTCAGGGCTAAGCTTTCATTTATGAAAATTGCAGTGTGGAAAAGACAACATTGTGGAACATCCTTTGATATTTGGGAAATTGCAGCTTCCCGCCTTGAGTGCACCGCAGTCTTCCCTGAGGCTGCTTGCTAGCTTTTCGTCTGTCTTGGAGGCCAACCAAGTGCAGGGCAGCCGTGTCCACACAGACAGAAACAGCCTGGCCCAGGGTTGGTCCTGGCTTTGCACCTTGGTGCACAAGGCTAGAGCTGTCACCAGAAGAGATAGTAATTACTGGCTCTTTGTGAATAAAATATCTTTCTTTTCACATGTATATATTACATTTATATGTTTCTAATGATGAAATTAAAATCAGTAAATCTTTTATGTGTCAATATCATTGCTCTAAGTAGAAACCATTGAATCAAATTATATTCAAAAGCACAATCAACTCATTCTCTGATTGTTTCCTATTTCTCTAAGTACTGTCCATTGCGAACTATTAGATGTGATATCTCTAGAAATCACAGATAGATCACAAATAGATCACAAATAGAAATTGCAGATAGGTCTCTTTTTGAAGGATTTAGTATCTGCTGTGCATTATGCTATGTGATAGACTCTAATGATCAGCAGGATAGGCTCCTGCCCCTGGCGAGTTGCACGCTCATACAGGACAGACAGGTAGGCAGGGCCTGCTCTTCACCACATGGTTATTACATGGGGGAACTACAAAGTGGCTTTTCTATTTTTCAGGACAATAATCATGGCTAAGATTTCAGTGATTACGTGGTCCACACACACACCCGGAGTATTCCATAATTTTATTTGTTTAAGGCAAAAATATCTATGGGTGACTTTTAAAGGGAAGCCAACCTCAAGCATTATTTCCTTATAGGAAAGCAAAGTTCATCTGCACCCCAGAGCAGAAGTTGCTCCCGGCCTGTTGCAGGGCGGTGCGTCTTCCTGCCATGTCCTGTGTGTGCTCCTCCACACCCCCATCGCCACATGGGGATGCCCTCCCGGTCCCCGTGTCATGCCTTTTCTATGGGACAGGAGCTCCTCATGGGTCAGCTGTACCCCAAACCCCGTGCTTGGCCCTGGGTAGATGCCCAGGATGTGTTCATTGAATGGCATCGAATGAACAAGTGTGGCCAAAGAATGTGTAAACTTTGGGTAAAGAAAAATCTCTTTCAAACACAGCACACAAGGAAAGTGCCTCCTGGTGCTGCTGGTCTTCAGAGGTTATGGGAGCATGGCTCAGCATGGGCCAAGAGCCCGGATGGTCCACCTGGTCACCAGGACATTGGAGGTGTTTGAGCAGAGAAAAGGCGTGGAATTGCATGGAGGGAGGCCTAAACACAGGAGTCCTCTTTAAGTGAATGGCCTGAATGGCAATATTCCTCGTTATTTTAAGGATCCCTAGAAACATCCTTTTTTCTTTGGGACTGGAAGAGAACCAGCTTTGATGCTTTCAAGTTGCTGTTGTGATATCTGCCACATATTGATTGGCCTTATTCTTTTTCTATTAGGACATTTTGTTTTTCAAGGTGGCTCCAAGCTCCCGTGGCGGTGTGCACGCGCACAGCCAGCATTTTGCATTCCTGTCACCACCGCCGAGGTCATATCTGTTAGTGCTGGAGGTTGTTAGGCCATTATCAGCCACTGATGCCTCTCCAGCTGCGAGACTAATTTGGATTCAGGGAGGAAACATGGACTGATCTCCCCTCGGTCATTCACCAGCAGGACTAACAGCGTTTGCGTTCTCTGTGCTGTTAGGGGCTGATGGTACAGAGTAGCTTATTCACCTATCTCAGAACGACAAAACAAGAGGTTAAAGCCCAGTGAGAATCTAATGCCAGCTCCAAGAAAAGTGGCCATGCCTCTGTCATTCAGCAGGCAATCTACAGGGCTAAATTTTAAGTTTATATTAGATATGTATGAAGAGTACATCATGTCATTTATAATTCATCATGAATAGCAAATTATTCTAATGGACTTTCCCATTCTATTCATATTCTACCTTTTCATAGTGGGGGGGGGGAGAAACAAATTCATGATGTGGCTTTTGATTACTTCCTGTATTATGGTAGGGTATTTTCTTTTCCACTCTGCAAACTCTATGGTAATTAAGACACAGAAATTTAGAAAGAAGGAAAGAAGGACAGACATCTGTACCTCTATTCTCCCACAGTACATTTTGAGAATATATTTTTTTCTCTCTACTATTCTTTTATATGGCAGAAACAAAAGGGGAGAAATATGAGATCGAGCATGTGTCAGAAACTGACCAAAGCAGTTCTTGTGATTTCAAACAATACCAAGTCATTCAGCTGCCCTGGGCCAAGTCCTTCCCCTTCCGCATTCTTCACCACGCAAGCCTTTGATGCACAGAGCTCGCTTTGAAATCAAAGACCTCTAAGAAGGGGACTCAGAGCAGAAAGACGGGGGGAGGGGGTGGCGAGGTAGAGAGCAGACCCTGGTCTCCTGGGTCTCGGCCTCAATGTGGGAACGATGGCCCTAATGAGTGGATTCAATGCATCTAAATCGTGGGACACATTTGTAAGCATCAGCAAATGTCCAATATTGCCCTCAGGAAAGAAGGAACTCAGAATTTAGACCCTGGTCTAGTCCCAGGAGTTGAGTTTATAGAATTTACAATAGAAGAGGTAATTTCGAAATTCAGACCTCTGGCACCAAGACAGACTTTTCCATTAGTAAACATAACTATCTCCCTGGAAGAATTATATAGGGAGCATTTTAGCCTAGGATTCCTAGACCCTTCAAACTTAGGCTTGTTAGAATAAGCAAAAGCCACCCTTGAAGAATGTTTGGGCATTAAGAGCCTTGCTGACCTCTCCCTAGGTAGCAGGAGAGATAACGCCCAAAGTTGATGCCATCTGAGAGTTTGACCAATCAGCATCGGACCCCCAGCCCAGGTCATCTTCAGCTGTTCCAGATGACAGTGTCTTTCTTTTATTGACCATCAAAATTTGTCTCTTCTCACATCAAGTCCTGATTATTTTAACTTAGCTTTGCTTCCTGCAGGTACATTTACTTTTCAGCTTGAAAAGAAAATGATTCTTGCTTCATAGGTTTTTGGTCTCAGTAAATTTACACCAGGGTCCTGAAGACTTAAAAAAAAAAACAGTTTGCTGGTTGACTGATGATTGATCCATTCACCAAGTATTGATTATTTTGTATTGATCATTTGATTGCGAACCTTGCCACTGTACTGTGTTGAGGTCTGTCCCCAGGTTAGCTAAAAACCTCGCCCGAACTTATTTCTGTCGTTTTCCTTGCTGATAGGGCGTGTGCTTTTTTGACGTTTCTTAGCAAACTAATTGATATGGTTTGAATCTGTGTTCCCACCCAAATCTCATGTTGACATGTAACCCCAATGCTAGAGGTGGGGCCTAGTGGGATTTGATTGGATCACGGGGGTTGTTTCTGATGGTTTAGCACTATCCCCTTAGTGCTGCTCTCATGATAGAGTTCCCACAAGATCTGGTTGTTTAACAGTGTGTGGCACCTCCCCTTGCTCACTCTCGCTCCTACTCTGGCCACGTGAGATGCACCTGCCCCCCCCCTTTGCCTTCCATCATGACTGCAAGTTTCCTGAGGCCTCCCCAGAAGCTGAGCAGAAGCGAGCATCATGTTTCCTGCAAGATAATTTACAAAGAAAAGAGGTTTAATTGGCTCACAGACTACAGAACCCTGAGGCAATCATACCTCTTTTCTTTGTAAATTACCCAGTCTCAGGTATTTCTTTATAGCAATGCAAGAACAAACGAACACACTGATTATATAATTGGCATCAATCCTTTCACCTGTGATGTACATAGACCTTAAAATGGACTGATCCTTTGGAAAGTGAGAAATTACTATTGCTTGTTCTCATGGGGCATTTTGGGTTTCTGTATCTTGCTCCTTTTATCTTTTCTCTGTTCACTCCTCATTGCTCTTCTCCTCTGGGTCATGTCCCTTGCTTCTCTGGTGATTAACAAGCCCCTTCCACCTTGCCAGTCCCCACCCTCTTCTTCACTCTGTGTCTGTGGATTTAGTGAGTGCTGTGGTCAACTGAGCAGAACTTATCTTTCCTTGACCCCTATTTTAAAATAATGTTTGCCTTTTGGATAAATGATGCCCAAGATCCAGCAGTGTTTCTGCAAGACATGGCTCACCTAGAGGGGCCTCCTGCATTTGGGCAGGGGTGAAGGCTGCAGGCAGGCTGGGGGTTTACTCTCATCCACCAGAGGCAAGCTGCCAGGGCTGTTCACACCAGAAACCCTTAAAGCTACACTCAACTTTGTTTTCAACATGAATGATTCCACTCCGTTTCTGTTTTTTAAGAAGTATTTTTCTCTCTTCAGGACTTTTCAAACATTATATCTAAATACAATGTATACAGTTATTCAATTATACAATAATAATGGAAATGTGGATTGGACAAAACAAAACAAACAAACAAAAAACAAATCCCACACAGCAGGCCTGAGTAGGGAGTGGGCTGTGTTGGTCCTGATTTTGCCCTGAGTTAATCCCTCAATTTGAGGCACAGCATCCCCTTCCCCTGGGCCACTTCTCACCTAGAAGTGATGATTCCTGCTCAGTATCTCTCAGCAATGTTATGGGGATAAAACTCAGTTGTTACCCTGTGAGTTTTCTGACCCCCAAAGTAGAAGACAGATGCTGGTATTACTGGGGACACCGGGGCAGGGGGGCGGGTGTGCAGCTCTGCTTCCTGCCTCATGGAGAGACACTTGTCCCATGCCTGGGCCCTCCTGTCCTCAGCATCTTCCAGCATGGCAGAGTTGCCAGGTGCTCCATCTGCACCTCCCAGTGCTGGCCTGTGTGGGGGGCTGGAAAGAGAGGGCATTGGCTTTCACTGATGAGGAGGAGGATGGGTCTGAGTTTGCTGTGCCCTGGCTGGGGTGTGCATCTGGACTCCAGGTGACCAGTACATTTTCCAGTGATCAGCCTTCCACCTATTCCTGGAAGCCATTTCTTATTCCCCACTGTGTAGAAAGGCAAACATTTATTTTCTTTATTTTCACTTTGAAGTCCTCACATTTTCTTGTCTTTTTTTTTCTTTTTTTTTAAGATTGCACACAATTACAAAAGCAGAATCATCTCCAGACACTCTTGGGTTTACCATATCATTAGTTTGCTTCTTTACTGATCGTAAATATTAAAAGTCAAAGTGACAAGGCAGAAAAATAAGTTTAGATTTAAGCTTCTCCAAACCTGCCCCTAGCTGTGGGCTGTTCTCATCTCTATATTTCTCCCTAAGCTCCTTCTCTGGGCTGGTCTTCGTTTTTGCTCAGTAGCCAGGGTCCCAACTTTAGATTTATTATGCAGATAAAAATCACAGCGAGCGCATTACTAACATGAAAAAGGGCTTGTTTATTGATTTGCTGCAACGCAACCTGCTCATGGAAACTCAAGGCCACACCCCACCGCAACTCCCCAGCCAGAAGTCCCATGGAAACTTGCCTCAGGTTTTTACAAAAATCAGTGGGAAAAAAAAAAAAAAAAACCTTTAGTAAGGAGATAAATACCCAGGCAAACACATTATACATAGATGTCTGCAACAACTCAAATTACTTTCCTTTCCTATTGAATACTACAATTTTATTTGCTTTGCATGCCTTATTTTTTCTTGCATTTTAATGGCATTTTTTCTTCTGATTTTGATGTCAAACGGTAACATCCTGCTCTGTGTTATTATAGTGAAATGTGGTTGTTTATCTCTGAAATCAAATTCCCTGCATTGTCTCTTTTTTTCTAAAAAAAAAAGACGGAATTAAATATTTTGTGTTTTTCTTTTTAAATAAAAAACAGAACTATTGGAGGTAACCAAATATTGGAAGAGTTGTCTCCTATCTTTGAATGTTTTATGTAACGTGAAGTCATCTTAGAGTGAAAGGAACTCTGCAGAGGGTGGGAGGTGCTTTTGCCTCCTGCTTAGATGGTGGCTTATGCCTTTAGGTTTGGGCTGAAAAAATGGGTTTGCTGCACGATGATTTTGAATGCGATTTTTTCTGCGCCTGAGCTCTGGGTCTCGTGAGCAGGGCTGAGGGCAGAAGCGCTGACCTGGAGCTCTCCGAGGGGCCAGAGTGGCCACTCTAATGCCAGGCATTTGTTCAGAAAGGTTTGGAAGCTCCAGATTTCCATCACGGCTTTTATCAGTCTCATGTTAAAACAGCATTGATCCCAGCTGAAAAACCTAATCCAAACAATGAAGTTCAATAACAACTCCATTACAGCCAGGCCGCCGATTGGAGGAGGGTAATGCTGACATTAGTGGCACTCAGCTGGACCTGCCAGACATCGACCACACCATGAAATCTCTTGTTAAAGAAAGAAAAATGGTGTTTGCTGTGTAATTGAACAATTTTATTTTCTCTCTTTCTCACCCCTCTGTCTCTGTGTCTCCCCTTCTCCTTCTGCCTCTCCCGCACTCTCTCTCTTTTTCTTTGTGTGGGCACCCATCAAATCAAGACCCCGGATCGATCCCGTATGTCACTGTGTGAGGAGGTTATTTATGTGGGCATCCAATCTCCAGCCGCCGTTGTATCTGAGCAGGGAACAAGGCCAGAGATTTTGTTAACATTGAAAGGAACATCAAAGCAGCCACCTCTTTGCTCCTGAAGAATCATAGTGCTCGCCTCTCATGAAACGAGCACTTTCACAGCCAGTTAGCCTTTAAGTAATAGATATAGTGTGTTCATCCTTGTAAAATAGATAACTACTTTATTATTTTTTCCATCAGCTCGGATTTTGAAGGTTAAATAAACTGAACAAGGATGGATGCCCACAACACACCTCCCTTCCACACGCGCACACACAGGCACACATAAGCTCGTCTATCTGGCATAGAAATGAATGATCCTATTTATGTTAATGCATACACGGCTGTTACACAGGTTTTCCCATGATAAGGCAATAGGTTAATGAAATGCTCATTTCATTTTACCAGTTGTTTTCTCTGTGAAGTTCCGATAAGTAGCAAACCAATGAAGCTTGTAATTACAATCTTACAGAAACCCGGCCAATCTGTATATAAATCTCACCATCCAATTACAAGATGTAATAATTTTGCAGTCAAGCTGGTAATGAGGTCTAATACTCATGCATGCGATAATCCCCCCTGGATGCTGACTCTATCAGATGTTAGCTTTGTAATTATATGAGCAAAAAATCATTATTTCATGTTCAAGTAGAAAATGAGGTTGGTGGGAAGTTAATTTTCTCTATGCTCTGTGAAGCGTAGACAAGAATTTAATGATTTAATTACAGTTGTTAGCCCTTTTTTGCGAGAGGCTTAAATTGAGCTAAGCATTTTTCATAGCCTGACATCAAGAGTCGAGAAACATCAAGGATTTTGACAGCATACAAAATGACAAGCAGCCCGCAGGCCCTGGAATTTTGAAGAGAGAATCTCCTTGGCATTTTTAACAGCTTCAGAAAATGGTTATATCCGCATTGCCAAGGTAACCACAGCCCAGGGACACAAACCTGCTAGATAAAAGCAACATCAACAAATATTAACCGCTTAGTCTTTCTCCACCGGCTGCTAATCCAGTGTGTGTGAATTTGTCATATCAGATTACTATGACAGTCATGGTGAGAACGAGGGGGAAGCATCTTTCTGCCGAGAAAGGACAATGTAGTTTTCTCTCCCCCCCACATCCGTTTTTGAATTTCAAAACAGGCCATGAGTGGTGTCTGTAGCTCTCTGATTTCCATATATCCTTTATGGAAAAGACACAGTAAATAAACTCCTCTGAGTAATCCTTAAAAGGCTTCAGTTTGCTGCCCTTTTTTTTTTTTTTGAAAACTGCTTTAAGCTATTTAATTCTACTTCAGAAATACTATCTCCTTGTTTATTCAGTGGCTGTGCGTCTGGAGTGGAGTTTGAACTGCTTAACGTGGGCGGGTAAGACTGCTCATTACGGTTTTTTGGGCTTAGATTTGCTTTCACACAGTGTTTTGGGTTATGAATGTATATGTTGGCTCAGATTGCCACCTAAGAGAGGGGCATTCCTCTCTCTAGCGCGCACGCACACACACAGGCACACACACGCACACACGCACATACCCACTCAAACACACAGCCCCCCCCCCCACATATGCACATGAATTCACACACACACGTACCCATGTGCACGCATGTGAATTCACAGGCATGCAGTGGTCGCCATCTCCAGCCTGGGTTTGAGGATTCTGGTGAGAGCCTCCTGTCTCTTCATTTAAGTATGCATGGCAGCGAGTCCTAATTCCAGCTTCAAATATTTGCTCTAAGCTGTGTGGTGGCCAAATGGCAGGAGGAGATATTTTGCTCAGGCAGGACATACTTCCATAATTGCTTTTCAAATTTCAGATACAGTTACAAGAGTTATTGCTGCGTTGGAGCCCAGTTCATGGAAGCACTATGCATCATTTATGAAAGATTTTCATGCACTATTTGCAGAAAAAGTGACAAACACCTTTTCCGTTCAAGCAAAATATCCAATTTGGTAACTCACGAAGCCCATTCCCGCAAGCACGAGGAGAAAGTCTATTCTTATGCACAGGAGGGGTCTGAATACATGAAGGGAGGGCAGGGAGTGGACATGAAAGGGACATGTGACACTTGTGTCTCGGGTAGCGGGGAGAGCAAGACGTTTCAGGCAGCATCAAGTTTTCACAAATGTAGAGGCTCATAAAACAGTGTAACTGCATGACTTACTCCTGGCACATTCATAGCACAGGCATTTAAAAAGTCAACTACCAGCAGTGTCTTTTGACTTGGAGGAAAATCCATCCTTCACAAGTGGAGAAAGACAGGCGCCCAGAGCTCTGTGGTGGGAGGGTCTTCTGCCGTGAATGACGCCGCTGGAAAGCACTTATACCAGGCCCTCTCGCCTTTGCTCCTTCCTCTTCATCCCTCTTTATAACAAAGGTGGTCCTGCTTTCTCTGGCCATAGGGGTGTTAGCAGGGCTGCTGTGTGCAGGCAGGCTCTGGGGCCTTGCTGGTGACTCCAACCCATGCCGGTTGTATTATTCACTACGCTACTCACCTTCTCTCCACCCCCTCCCTTCCTGTCCTTTCCCCTGCTGTTTGTCTGCAGGAAGGCGCCTCTCCTTCACCGCTCCCATCATCCCCCATCCTGCTGCCAGCCCTGAGCTCGTGCTCTTCCCCCTGAGCTGAGAGGTTTCGCCTTGACCTCCTGCCCTGACATCCACCTTTCTTGTCTCCCCTGACACTCAGGAGCTTCGTGCCTCCTCCTGCCTGGTCTCCCGGGGCTCACGGCACAGGCTTGCCAAGCCCGTCCTTCGGGGCCTATTCCCTTGCAATTGTTGCAGCGAGTGTGAGTCGAAGCCAGCCAATGGCACTGCCACTGGTGGAGGACACGAACCACAGTCGTGATTCTCCCAGCCACACCCATTACTGAAATTCTCCCTGGATGTTGGTTTACCAATGGCAGAGTAGAAGCTTACTATCACACAGTGTATTATCACACAAATTTAGGAATTGCATGCATCTATTTCTTCTCTTGAAAATACTGACTGTGCCCAATGAACCCCCAATATAATAATTCCTGTCATTCTAGAATTATCTCATTGTTCTCCCAATGCAGCATTATAAAGGATCCACTTAGCATGTAGGTGTGAATGGAAATAGGCCATGGCCCTGTGAGATCAGGGCTGGGTAACGTGCTGGTTTGTTTTATTATTTACAGCATAGACACTGACTGCACGTGCGATATCTAGAAATAGAGACCCTACAGCAAGTCATAGGATGCAAATATTAAAATACAGTATTCTAATATTATCACCATACATTGCCTTATACTGTTTGTTAGTTATCTCCACACATCTGAGTCTTCCTTTCCAATTTTCCTGACTATTCTCGTAAGGAGGCTGTAATATGCTCTTATAAGAAGGACACTTTCTTGTTAGGAAGATACAGGACCACGTACAAAAGAGTTCATAACAGTGACAGCTGGTAGAGCAGTTGGCCAGCTGGACAGTCTTAAGGAAACGACTTACTATTTGTGGTGGTCTTAGCTTTGTCATCTGCAACATGGAGGTGCTGATTTAAAACTTCCTCTTTGTAGCAGCCCTCAGGATGTAGTAAGGGCTGAGGAAAGATAGCTATGGCCAGTAGGCTTATATTTTCCATAGTACAGTTTTTTTGCACAGCGTAAGAGGTAATGCATAGCCATTGATTGGCTACTTTCAAAGGTGGGATGGTGGTCTTTCATTCTATAGTCCTTATTATTTTTTGATTCTAGTGGACATTTAGATAATGCATGTAGACACACAGGTGACTATGGCCACTACTAATTCTCATACTAGTAGTGGTTGGTGAGTGCCTTGGACTGCACTCGGTTTGTTAAGAATATTCTTGGACCTAAGGCTGGCTTGGATATAACACTGCCTCCAGTGGTGAGATGGAGGAGGACAGTGGACACGTCCCCACACCTACACTGCTGAAGATCTGAGCCAAGCACAAACTTCTGCTTTACCTTCTGCAGGTCAGTTCCTTGTGAGACAGGTGGTTTGACTCCCAGCTCTGACAGGGAGATAAGTTTCTAAATTGGGGCAAGCTACTTAATCTTCCCGTCCCTCAATTTCTTTATCCTCAAAATGGTATGAGTGCTTATTCTGTATGGTGTTGTGAGGATTAAGTAAGTGAACTCAAAAGCCTAGTAATGTTTTACCAGCATATCGTAGATGCTAGATAAATATTGATTATTCTAAGTTCTGTTGATAATGTAGTTGTTAATAATTAGGTCTTTCAATGTCTGTCCAAAAAAAATATATGTTAGCATGCACATGGAGGGACACAGGATAGGGGGACCAAATAGTAGGTGAAGCTTGGAGTCCCATTCCATCAACCAGTCAGCACCAGGGGTGCTGCTTATGAGAGGACAGCAAAGACACGATGTGGGGCAGACTGGGGGTCTCAGAGCTTCACTGTGGGGAAAAGTGGGAATGGCTGCAAGATGTCAGCCCCAGGAAGAAAGCCAAGTTGAGGCCCAAAATGTGTTTAGTTAGCTTCATATAAATGAAGCTTAAACTTAGAAAACATGTCCTTTTTTTTTTTTTTTTTTTTTTTTTTTTTTTTTTTTTTTTTTTTTTTTTTTTTTTTTTTTGCGCAATTGTTTCCTCTGTGATCTGACATTAAGTGTTAAAAGTACCATGGACCACCCTACTCTGGCACAACTATAAGCCATCTAGTAGGAGAAGCCTCTTAGGAAGAAGGTTTGTTTTGACACTGTTTGAAGGGAGATCTGACTAGTTCTGAGTAAACATCAAGCCTTTTCTGTTGCTAAAGCTGAGTTTCAAAACCATTTGACAGCTGAGGACAGCATGTATTTTCAACTTAGAACTTGGAAATCACTTTATTATAATTAGGTGTTTTGGGTGCTGTGACAGCGCCAATTGCAGTGTTTCTGTGTTTAAGACAGGACCTGCTCCAGGGATAATCGTCATAACTCCTTCAGCAGGCACACTGCCTTTGGTGTCAAAATATGTTTTTAGGAACACTTAATTTATATAATATTGACAAATAGGCTATAACCGTCACTGAGAACTGTGTGTTTTAAATTAACATGCCATATAAACAGCTTACTATACAATATTTGAACAAGTTCAAATGTGAGTACTTATTGGTCACATTTTATGTGTGATACACACTTTCAGTAAAATCAGGTATTCCCCATAGAAAAATAATGATGGAATTTTTATAGTTTTAACTACTTACTAATCACATTGCATATTTCATAACCAGCGAAGAGTTTTATGTTACAGAGAATAAAACATGTGGGACATAAGGGATGTTTTTTCCCCTTTATTCTCAGAAGTTTAACCAATTCTGGGCAGCTTCAAGAGGATCACTCTGTGAACAGTATGCTGTTGTGAAATAAAACACAGCAGTATTTTTTTGATCCTAAAAGTGTAAACATCTTCTATTTTAGAATCCATATCAACATTTCAAAAGCATGTTTTTGAGCAATTCAGGAAGAACTTGTTGAATAAAAGGATAACAGACGAGGCAACAAATTGCCAAAGAAAATTGGATCCAGTTTTGGAAAGAGTCAAGCAAACCTCTAGTTGAATATGTGGGATTAGAAGAATAACATTGGATGTGAAGGGTCTCCAAGAGTTGGTTTTATTGCATCCCTGCCTAGGCCTTCGCCAGGCATATTCCAGAAAATTGGGGCACACATGGTCTTTGAATTGCAATCTGACCGATGGAAACCTGATCCGGGGACTTCTTCCTGGAAAGGTGATATTGGATACACCCCATTCCCACTTCCAAGTCACATGGTTAAAGTAACACCGGGCAGAACCCTCCCTTCACCACATCTCCGTCACCCACTGCAGTTGCTGTATGACCTTTTAAATCAATGACACCCAGTGATCAGGACAACACAAGAATCAGGATTGATTTAAATTTTCTTGAACCTAAGCACACTCCTCTCAACACCTTTTCTCCTTCGGGGTGATATAAATGCTTTTACACATCCATACACACATACGTAAAATATCCACAACTGAGTTTTTCCTCGTTGGTATTGAACTTCCTTACAGCTTTCTGTAAAATAATTTGTAAATGTCATACTTTTCAGTTAACCCTTATTTTTACGTTTGATTATAAAATAATCTCTTTATAGTTTCAACATATGGGGATAAGTGATTTTGGGAGTGAACATTAAAGGTTTGCTGAGAATGCATCAGCAGCTGTTTCTTGACCCCAGTGCTGTTCTACCTTCTTCCCTTCCCTATGTGTCTTGCGGGTGAAAACATGTAGCTTCAGGTATCTATCTGGCATTGTTTGTATTTTCCTTTGGAATAGAGTAAAATTGTTTTGCTTTCACACCTATACTATCTGCCTCATGTCTAGTCTCTCAAACTCTTAATTAGAATATTGACAAACAAAATCTGATTTACAAAATCAGAGATTTACAAAGTCTGATTAATGTTGAGGTTTGGGTACATCGAGGAAAGGCGAGTAGCCCATTCTAATATTCAGTGGGGACATGACAACCGTGGAAACCGTCTCTGCAATGCAGCCCAACAGACACCAGCAAACCTGCTCTTGAAAGCCGGGGTCACTATTTTGGAATCTATCCTCCACTTGTTTACTTTTCAGAGCAATGCTAAAAGCCTTGAGTTTGCAAGGCTCAATGCTCTCCCTGGAAATGCTAGGGCCAGGGTGCCTAAAACAAGGTCGTGTAGAGAGCAGAGTGTAAGCTCTGCCGGCTTGTCTCACATCATGTTTAAGGCTAACAGAAGCCAGAAATGTACACAATTAAACTTGCCGGAGCAGGGAAACATAATTAAAGGACACTCCTTGAGAACCATGAGTTAAAGATCACCTTTTAATTGCTTTCCTTCTGGGAGAGATGAGAATGAATGAGGTTGTCACCATTTTCCGGTCAATCTTGTATGTTCCCTTTTCATAATTGCTGTAGGAAGGTTCCAGGTTGAATTCAGGAGGCTGCTTCCTTGTCCCTTCGTTAGGAGGAGCCCGTCATTCTCTTGTCCTTCTGCCTGAGTTTGCAATCCCTGTGACCAACGCCTTCTTACCCCGGCCTTGTCACACTCTCTGTGTCTTACCCGCATCTGGAAATTTACCTACAGGAGAGCCAGTCAGTCAAAATCAACAGTGACCCCATGCCTTCTTCTGTAGTTTTCTCCTTTGGTCTTGTCTGTGTTCATTCCAGTTTTAGAGTAGCATTTGTGATAGCAAGGGATGGGGCCCACCCAGCACTGGTATCGTGGTGAAGTCTCATGCACACGGATTGCTTTATGTGAGCAGTTGATTTGAATAAAATTTGTCTAATTCTCAAAGTCTGTGTACTAGTCTAGTGGTCAGCAAACTGTAGCCCACAGGTTACACTTGGCCTACTACTTGCTTTTTTAAGGCCCTGGAGCTAATAATCACTTGTATAAATTTTTTAATGGTTGAACAACAACAAAAAAAAACAAATATATTTTTTGCCATGTAAAAATTCTAGAGAATTCAGTTTTCAGTGTCCATGAATAAAGTTTTATTAAACTCAACAATGCACATTGGCTTAGGTATTATCTGAGGCTGTGTTGCAGCAGAAATGCAGAGCTGAGTAGCTGCCACAGAGACAGAAGGGGCTCGGATGCCTGAAATGTTTACTGCATGATCCTCTGCAGAAGACACTTGCCAACTCCTGGTTCAGTAGAGCTGGGATCATGAATTTAAACATTTGCAAAGGCCAGTGGAGTCCAGTACAGCATGGTGAGCCCACAGTGGCGCGGAGAGCCCACCCAGCTCAGCCTGCTTCAGCCGATGGCAATCCCGTGGGAAGCTTGGTGTAGCTGGACTCACATGTTTTCAAGAAAAGACAGTGACCATCATTTTTGTGTGATTTTTTAAAATTTAAACACTGTGTAGGGGACACCAGATATATCTGCCCTCCCTGTGTGTGTGTGGGTTACCAAATAGCACTCTGCCCCACTCCAGCTGCCCGCAGGACTGGGGCCATGGGTGAGGCTCCTGCTCAGGCTGGCTGGCAATCTTCAGTGCTAAGAAAGCAAAAATGAAGGCTGTAACTACGGAATGAGAATACAGATCTTGCCTTAGCCCCTCCACATGTGCAGTGCATTTTTGCAGTTTTCACTGAAGAAGTTCCACCTGGTGTTTTCAAACTGTTAATGAATTAGAGTTAGTTCTCAAGGATACCACCGATACAAGTATGTTATTAGTACAATTATCAAGTCTGCTCATGTCTAAACCATTTAAATAAAGATTATTCTTGTCATAAAGAGCACCATCACTTTCAGTTGGACATCATAGAATGTTGAATCCAAGAGAGGAATTACAATATCAATATGGTCCTATATTTATATACACATTTAGTTGACACTCAAATAGTTGATTGAATAGATGAGTATTGAATGAAAATATGTGGACATATAGGTACACACATATATAAACTTTTCATATATATTTGTATGTGTATATTTGTCATACACTCACACCTGCCCACCCCAACACAAATACATACACACACACACACACACACACACACACACATAACTCAAAAGAGGGAAAGAGAGAGAGAGAACGAACACAGGCCATCATCACATGAAATGTTTGGAGCGCAGCTCACACTGGATGTTTGTAGAGAGATTTCAGTCCACGCCACCACCCCACAGGTGACCCTGCTATGCCAGTGCAGTGCCCAGCCTGTGCTGGGAATGGCTGACTTCCCACTACAAGGATTCTGTTACAGAAACATATCAGTAAAATGGGCAGGCTACCCTGAGACCCTCCCCTGGCCATGCCAGCCCCATGTTCCCAGCTTCTCTGTGGGGATTGGACCACAGTGGGAACTGGAAAAACGTCACCTATCAGAATCATTTCCCAGTGGCTGTGGAAGGGAGGCTCCAGGACTTGCTCTCCTTTCCAACGCGTTTCTGAGTGGCTGTGGCATTATTCAGAACAGGGACAATGGGGCCAGGCAGAAGGGCATTCTGAGAGGGCAGCTGGGTGGGCTTCGCGGTGATGCGTCTGGCCTGAGTGATGATAGCACATCCAAGTGGAAGTAAGGTGAGCAAGTAGGAAGGTGCGTGTGAGCACCTGCTCAATCCCTACCCTTCAGTCCCGGCCCACTGGGAAGAGGCAGCCGGCTGAGCGCGGGCAGGTGAGGAAAGTAGGCTGAAGCCAGGGTGGGGTGAAGTGCCTGGGGTCAGAGAAGAAGAAGGGTGGGGGCTGGCAGGGGACTCTGCATTTAAGGCAGGATCAGGGAGGAGTTTCTGGCAAAGGTCTTGTGAGAAAGCAGGGCACAACAGTGCCATAGCAACAATGAGGGGGTGGCCACCAGAAGGCATTGGCAACGTCTGTTGGGTCACAGCTTGGGTGGGGGCTGAGGGATGAGAGAGGGGCTCTTGCTGGGCCTGCGGAGGAGAGCAGGTGCATTTTCAAGAGAGGAGATACCCATAAAAAATTCAGGAAAAAGGTATATATATGTGTATATATATATATATATTTTTTTTTTTTCCCCCCCAGAAGTTTGGCCATGAAGGAAAGAAAAAAATGCAGTGTGGAGTTCCACTTGGTGTGTGTGTGAGTTTGTGAGCACGTTCGTGAGCAGATCCACACACTTGTTTAGTGCTTAGTTGATGAAGAAGTGGGGAAGGCTGAGGTCCCACACATTTGGGTGCACGACACCCATGTGTTTCCCAGAGACAGGAGACTGCCATGTATCAGAAGGCAGACGGCAGAGCAGTCCAAGAAGAACGCGGGGCCGAAGCCATCCCTCCAGCCCCACTATGTCCAGAGCAAGGCCTAGCTCACCTGGGAGAGCTCAGAACACTCTGGTCCACAGACCTCCCATCAGTCAGACACATGTTAGAACACTGCCATTCAAAGCTCTTACGCTTCTCTGGGCCTTAGATCGTGTTGTTCAAAATCCGTGTCCAGTACCCATGTTCATTGATTGAACACACAGAATGGTTTCCAGGTTGAAATGGCTGTTGGATGGTTCCATGGCAATACAAACTGGCAACTGAGTGGAGCACAGAGTCATTCTTCCCATCCATGCTGGGGACTTTCACCACAGCTTTCCCGGCCTCTGTCCCTAAGGGGTGGCTTGAGTTAGAAACCTCGTGTCACGCAGCCTGGGATTGTGGTCTTTCTCACTCTGCCCTGTCTTGTAAACCTCACATTTATGTGCATGTGGTGTGTTTGTGTGTGTGCAACTGATGTTAACTTTGCCATCGTTTCAAGTTTTTATTTGAAGATGGGGGCACGTACAGCAGATACTTCCGTATTTACTGACAGGGTCCTTGTGTGTTTTACTGAGGGCTGCCTCTCAAGCAGGAGTTATTTTATTTGACAGTTGGTTCTGAGATTTCATCTTGATTTTTCTGAATCAACCCATACCATATTACGCTTAACATGAAGTCAGAGTACCCCCAAACCAAACATATCAGTGTTTTAATGTTTTCAGTAATCTCTGAGTAGCTTAAGTTTTCCTGTCTCAAGAAGAATGGGCAACCTTATTTAAAGGCATCGACACTGATCCACAATGTGTAGGAGAAGTCACTGTGTGCCTATCTGCTCATCACTCTTCTTCCTATCTGTGTATGCCCAAAGCTCCCCTGTGCATTGCTGCATGGTTTCCCAAGCTTACAACACTGCTTCTAGGAGCTGCAGCCCAAAGGAATCACCTTATCAGTCACTCACCAGGCGCTGGCCCAGTACCGAGGATCCTTTCCCCACTCTCTGCTGACTGCCACATGGCTGGTTCCCTCTCCCAGCCTCTGCCTAGGGTTTGCTCTGAGTTCTGGTGGAATGTATCCTCTACTTACCTTCTAGAATTGCTCTTGGGTCCTGCTTTTTAAAAATAAATTTTGGGCCGGGCGCGGTGGCTCACGCCTGTAATCCCAGCACTTTGGGAGGCCGAGGCGGGTGGATCATGAGGTCAAGAGATCGAGACCATCCTGGCTAACAAGGTGAAACCCCGTCTCTACTAAAAATACAAAAAATTAGCCGGGCGCGGTGGCGGGCGCCTGTAGTCCCAGCTACTCGGGAGGCTGAGGCAGGAGAATGGCGTGAACCCGGGAAGCGGAGCTTGCAGTGAGCCGAGATTGCGCCACTGCACTCCGCAGTCCGGCCTGGGCGACAGAGCGAGACTCCGTCTCAAAAAAAAAAAAAAATAAAAAAAAAAAAAAATAAATTTTGTGAAAGTATAATTTTGCAAACAATACAATACACACATATTAAGTGTACATTTTGATGAGTCTGAAAAATGTGTACACTGCTGAAACTACTCCACTTCATGATATAGAAAATTCTCGTCATCGCAGAGGGTTTCCTGGGGCCCCTTTCCAGTCAATCCCCATCCTTCAGCCCCAGCGCAAAGCAGCCACTGATTGACCTTCTGTCACTACAGATCAGTTTTGCCTTCCTTGTGCTTTGTGTAAATGGGATTACACTTTTGTGTCTGACTTCCTTTGTGCAAAATAGTGCATTTACTATTCATCCATATTGTTGTGTGTCAGTAATTCACTCTTTTCACATGCTGAGTGGTATTACATTATGTGGATGTGCAAGAAGGTCTATTCACCTGTTGATGGATATTTGGTTTGGCTCCAACTTCCGGCAGTTATAATCAAAGTTACCAGGAGCATTCGTGCATAAGACTTTGGGTAAATACCTAGGAGCAGAATTGCATGAACATGTGGTAAGAGAGTGTTTACCTTTATAAGAAATTACCAAACTGTTTTCCTAAGTGGCTGTACCATTTCACACTTCTACTAGCTAAGTAGTTGCTCCACACTCACTAAAAATAGTGTCAATCTTGTCTAATTTTAGCCGCTCTAATGGGTGTATAGTGGTATCTGACTATGATTTTAATCTGCATTTCCCTAATGACTAATGTTGAGCATCTTTTCAAGTATGTATTGGCTATGCATATGTAGTTTTTGGTAAATTTTCTGTTTAATCTTTAGCCCCCTTCTTTTATTAAAATTGGGTTTTATGTCTCATAATTGAGTTGTAAATGTTTGTACTTATTCTGAATATAAGTAATATATCAAATATACATAGTGTGAAAAATTTTCCCATTTGTGGATTTGACTTTTAATTTTCTTATTGATGTATTTCAAAGAGCAGAAATTTTAATGTTCATGAATTTTATAATTTTTTACTTTATAAATTTAAGCAAAAACAGTTTAGATTTTAAAAACAGTTTAGATTTACATAAAAGTTGCAAAGGGAGTATAGAGAGTTCTCACATATCCCCCACCTATCTTTTCTCCTATTATTAGCATATTACATTACCATGGTACATTAGTCAAAACTAATGAATGAATATTGATACATTATTATTAATTAAAGTTGCTACTTTATGTAGTTTTCCCCGAATGCGAATGTCCTTTTTCTGTTCCAGAGTCCCAACCAGGGAACCACTTTGTGTTTTATGTTCATCTCCTTTGGCATCTCTTAGATGTGACAGTTTCCCAAACTTTTCTGGTTTTAATGTCTTTTATAGATTTGAGAATTACTGGTCAGGTATTTTGTAGATGTCCTTCACCTGGTATTTGTCTGATGTTTTACTTATGACTAGCCTGAATTTATAAGTTTTAGGGAAGAAGACCTCATTTTATTATTTAGTTTTCTTTTAGGTTTTGTGCTTTTGGTGTCCTAAAAAATTTTGACTGTGATAAAGTAAAATAAATTTTTCTTCTTGTATATTTTTGTCTAGAAAATTTATATTTTGGCTTTTACACTTGGGGTTATGAAGCATTCTGAAATAATTTTGTATATGGTGTCAATAAAGGGTCATAGTCTTTTTTATGTGTGATATGGATATTTATTTTTACAACAAAACTTATTTAAAGAATATTCTTTCTCCATTGAATCACCATGGTACCTTTAAAAAATTATTTGACTATATATACAGGAGTCTATTATAAAACTCTCTTCTGTTTCATTAATTTATAAGTCTATTCTTATGCCAATAAGATACTATCTTGACTCTTATAACTTTATAATAAGTCTTGGAGTCAAATAAGATAAATACTTCCACATTGTTCTGCTTTTATAAAAATTATTTTGGCTATGCTAGGTCCTTGAATTTCCACATTCATTTTATTTTTATTTTTTATTTTTTATGCCTATTATTTTATTTTGAGTTCTGGGATACATGTTCAGGATGTACAGGTTTGTTACATAGGTAAATGTGTCCCATGGTGGTTTGCTGCACCTATCAACCCATCACCTAGGTATTAAGCCCCACATGCATTAGCTATTTATTCTGATGCTCTTCTTCCCCCTGCCTCCTCACCCCTGACAGGTTCCAGTGTGTGTTGTTCCCTTCCCTGTGTTAATGTGTTCTCATTGTTCAGCTCCCACTTATAACATGTGGTGTTTAGTTTTCTGTTTCTGCATGAGTTTGCTGAGGATAAATGCCTTCGAGCTCCATCCATGTCCCTGCAAGATATGATCGCCTTTGTTTTTATGGCTGTATATTATTCCGTGTACCACATTTTCTTTATCCAGTCGATCATTGATGGGCATTTGGGTTTATTTAATGTCTTTGCTATTGTGAATAGTGCTGCAGTGAACATATGCATGCATGTATCTTTATAAGAGAATGATTTATATTTCTTTGCATATATACCTAGTAATGGGATTGCTGGGTCAAATGGTATTTTTGTTCCTAGGTCTTTGAGGAATTGCTACACTGTCTTCCACAATGGCTAAAGTAATTTACATTCCCACCAACATTGTAAAAGTATTCCTATTTCTCTGCAACATCACCAGCATCTGTTGTTTCTTGTCTTTTTAATAATTGCCATTCTGATTGGCATGAGATGGTATCTCATTGTAGTTTTGATTTGCATTTCTCTAATGATCAGTCATGTTGAACTTTTTTTCATGTTTGTTGGCCATATAAATGTCTGCTTTTTTTTTTTTTTTTTTTTTTTTTTGAGGCGGAGTCTCGCTCTGTCGCCCAGGCCGGACTGCGGACTGCAGTGGCGCAATCTCGGCTCACTGCAAGCTCTGCTTCCCGGGTTCACGCCATTCTCCTGCCTCAGCCTCCCGAGTAGCTGGGACTACAGGCGCCCGCCACCGCGCCCGGCTAATTTTTTGTATTTTTAGTAGAGACGGGGTTTCACCTTGTTAGCCAGGATGGTCTCGATCTCCTGACCTCGTGATCCACCCGCCTCGGCCTCCCAAAGTGCTGGGATTACAGGCGTGAGCCACCGCGCCCGGCATGTCTGCTTTTAAGAAGTGTCTGTTCATGTCATTTGCCCACTTTTTAATGGGGTTGTTTGTTTTTTTCTTGTAAATTTGTTTAAGTTCCTCGTAGATCCTGAATATTAGACCTTTGTCAGATGGATATATTGCAAAAGTTTTCTCCCTTTTCGTAGGTTGTCTGTTCACTCTGATAATAGTTTCTTTTGCTGTGTAGAAGCTCTTTAGTTTAATTCGATCCCATTTGTCAATTTTTGCTTTTGTTGCAATTGCTTTTAATGTCTTCATCATTAAATCTTTGCCCATGCCTACGTCCTGAATGGTACTGCCTAGATTTTTCTTCTAGGCTTTTTATAGTTTTGGGTTTTACATTTAGGTCTTTAATTCACCTTGAGTTAATTTTCTGTACAAGGTGTAAGGAAGGGGTCCAGTTTCAGTTTTCTGTATATGGCTAGCCAGTCTTCCCAGCACCATTTAATAATAGATAGTCCTTTTCCCATTCCATGTTTTTGTCAGGTTTGTCGAAGATCAGATGGTTGTAGACGTATGGTCTTATTTTTGATATCTCTATTCTGTTCCATTGGTTTTATGTATCTATTTTTGTACCAGTACCATGCTGTTTTGGTTACAGTAACCTTGTAGTATGGTGTGAAGTCAGGTAGCGTGATAGCTCCAGCTTTGTTCTTTTTGCTTAGCATTATCTTGGCTATATGGTCTCTTTTTTACTTCCATATGAATTTTAAAGTAGTTTTTTCTCATTCTTTGAAGAATGTCAATGATAGTTTAATGGGAATAGCAATGAATCTATAAATTACTTTGGGCAGTATGGCCATTTTCATAATATTGATTTTTCCTATCCATGAGCATGGAATGTTTTTCCATTTGTTTGTGTCCTCTGCTTTCCTTGAGCAATGGTTTGGTTCTCCTTGAAGAGACCCTTCACTTCCCTTGTTAGCTGTATTCTAGGTATTTTATTCTCTTTGTAGCAGTTGTGAATGGGAGTTCATTCATGATTTGGCTCTCTGCTCGTCTATTGTTGTATAGGAATGCTAGTGATTTTTGCACATGGATTTTGTATCCTGAGACATTGCTGAAGTTGCTTCTCAGCTTAAGAAGCTTTTGGGCTGAGACAATGGGGTTTTCTAGATATAGGATCATGTCATCTGCAAAGAGTGACAGTTTGACTTCTTTTATTGTTTGTTTTTTTGAAGGCGTATCTCTCTATCACCCAGGCTGGAGTGCAGTCATGCGATCTCGGCTCACTGCAACCTCCGCTTCCCAGATTCAAGCGATTCTTCTGCCTCAGCCTCTCGAGTAACTGGAATTACAGGCGTGTGCCACCATGCCTGGCTGATTTTTTTTTTTTTTTTGTATTTTTAGTAGAGACGGGGTTTCACCATGTTGGCCAGGATGGTTTCGATCTCTTGACCTTGTACTTCCTGTCTTTTTATCTGAATACCTTTTGTTTCTTTCTCTTGCTTGATTGCCCTGGCCAGAACTTCCAATACTATGTTGAGTTGAGTAGGAGTGGTGAGAGAGTGCATCCTTGTCTTGTGCCAGTTTTCAAGAGGAATGCTTCCAGCTTTTGCCAATTTAGTATAGCATCACATTCATTTTAAAATCACCTTATCAGTTTCCACAAAAATTTCTGCTGGGAGTTTTCCTGGGATCCCATTGAATCTATAAATCAGTTTTGGAGAAATGTCACATCATAATAAAAAACGCTACTTTACATGATTTTAAGTTTTTTTTTTTCTTTTTTGACAGAGTTTCACTCTTGTCTTCCAGGCTAGAGTGCAATGGGGCAACTGCAACCTCCACCTCCCAGGTTCAAGTGATTCTCCTGCCTCAGCCTCCTTAGTAGCTGGGATTACAGGCACCTGCTACCACGCCCAGCTAATTTTTGGATTTTTAGTAGAGACGGGATTTTGCCAGGTTGGCCAGGCTGGTCTCGAACTCCCAACCTCAGGTATCCGCCTGCCTCGTCCTCCCATAGTGTTGGGATTACAGGCATTAGCCACCACACCTGGCCAATTTTAAGATTTTTAACAAACTTTGGGGGATGCATTTTATGGCCCAGCATATGACTTATCTTTGTGCATGTTCCTTTTAAAATACTTTTTTTCCCTTTTAGTTTTGAAGTGACTTTTGCTAGCTTTAGAATTCTACATGGACTATTTTAGCACTTTAAATATGCTGTTTCATTGTTTCCTGGCCTGAAGAGTTTCTCATAAAAAGTCTGCTATAATTGCTACTTTTTTTTTCTATACCTATTGTGTGTTTTTCCTCTGCCCAATTTTAAGATTTTCTCTTTATCTTAGGCTTTCGTACATTTTGCTATGAGTTGTCTTGCGGTTTTCAATGTGGTTTTCTATATGGTCCATTGATCTTCTTGGAGTGTCTTCTCTGGATACAACTACATACCCTGATATATCAGCGAGGACTGTCCAGTCTGCTCATAGGAAGTTGTGTGACTCCAAAGCCTGGACCTCACAGTTCATTCATCAATCTCTGCCATACTTGTGGACTTTCATCCCACCATGATATTCATGTCATAGTATTCGGCAGTGCTCAAGAGTATCCCAAGAAATAACTGTGTTTTTATTCTGTGTAGCTTGGAACCGCCTTTTCTATATTGTGGTCCAAAATGTTTCTCCGTCTATAAAATTGAGAAAATAATATGTCTCATCTCATTTGTTCCCCTTTTGTCCCCAAGGATCATAGTCCTAATATACCTGTAGTTCAATATCTGAAGAGGATTCTTTTTCATATATTTTTTACAATTTTCTAGTTTTAAATTTGGGCATGTTGGATTTTTCAGGGTGTGCCTAACAAGATTTTTGCTAAAACAAAAGTATCAGTGCTGTTCATTGGATTTGAATATAATACAGGCTCTTATAACATAATATTTGAAGTGTCCAAGATACAATCCAAATCTACTTGACATAAAAGGAGCCAGAAAAATCTCAACTGCAATAGAAAAGACACAGAAAAGATGCCAACATCAAGACAATAGAAATGTTGGCATTACCTGACAAAGACTTTAAAGCAGCTCCAAGAAATAATCATGAACTTTTTGAAACAAATGAGAAAATAGAACATCTGGGCAAATAAATGGAAATTACAAAAAAAGAACTCAGAAATTTTAAAACTGAAAAATGTAATAACAGCAACCTTAAGAAGCCTGACTAGATTAAAACATTAACTATGACTCAGGGACCTATAACAAGGCTTTAATATTTATGTCATCATAGTCCCAGAGAAGAAGAAATTTGGTGTTAAAAAGCATTTCAAGATATAATAGCTGAAAACTTTCTATGTTTAGTGACAGGCATAAATCTACAGATTGAAAAAATTGAGTGACTCTCTAATAGAATTAAACAAAGGAAATCCATGTCAACACATCATCATAATAAAGATGAACACCTGAAACAAACTAAAGTAAGTGCCCAGTTAAAAATCATGTATTACCCATGTGGGAATGATTAGAAAGATATGTGGATTTTTCATCAAAAATGATGGAAGTCAGAAGGAAGAGACAGAATATGACTAAAGTGCTGAAGGGAAACAATTGCCCACCTTAAATTCTATATCTAATGACCACTTTTCTCAGCAATGAAAGCAGAATCAAAATATTCACAGATGAGACAAGGAAGTTTGTTACTAAAAGACTCAATCTAAAAGAATTGCTAAGAAAGTTTTCAGCAGATGGAAAATAATATTTGAATGTACATTTGACCACCAGAATGAAGAAAGAACAGCAGAAATGGTAAATGTTAAGTAAGTGTAATATATTATTTTTCTCTTAAGATCTTTAAAATATATTTTATGCTTGCAAAAATTATAAAGTTTTTCTGGTGGGATTATTAATATATGAAAACAACTATAATATAAAGGCAGAAGTTATAGTCTTTATTGTTGTAAGGCAAAATATTGATTCTAAATAGACAGTGAAAAATTCAGTACATATATTGCAGTCCCCAGAGAAACCCTAAAAAATTACACACACGCACACACACACACATACATACACACACACATATGTGTATGTATATATGTATATATTCATATATATGTGTACATGTATTTACAGAGAGAAAAAGAAAAAAATTGCAATAGATGAACTAAAATGAAATATTAAAATAATGCAGATAACCCAATAAAAGCAAAAAGGCAAAAGCAGACAGGACAAAGAAGAAACAAATAATAAAATGATAGACCTAAATCCAAATGTATTAATAATTACCATAAATATGAAATGATCCTAATATAACAATAAAAATACAAAGTTTATTGCAACTGATATAAAAATAATTTATATGCTATCCATACAAACTCACTTCAAAAATGATAATATAGGCAGATTAATGGAAAAGAATGGAAAAAGGTATATCATGAAAACTCTAAAAGAAAGCTAGAATATCTATATTAAAATCAGAAGAAGTAACTTTAGAGCAAAGAAAATGACTGTGCTAAAGAGGGACATCACATAATGATAAATGAATCAATTATTTAAGATGATGTAACAATATGAAATATGTATGCACCTAACAACATGAAGCAAAACACAGCAGAACTAAAAGAAAAAATAGACAAGTGTGCAATTCTAGTTGGGCCTATTGATATTCATTGTTCTGTAGTAGATAAAACTTTTATACAGACCATTTTATACAGAAAATCATCAAGAATATGAAAGATCTGAGTAACACCATTAGCCAACTGGACCTAATTAATATTTAAATAACATTTTATTCAAACAAAATAATACACATTATTTTCAAATGTACATGTAGCATTCACAGAGACAGTTTGTATTTCTAGTCATAAAAATGTAATTGAATAATATTTTTAGACCATAATAAAATAAAACTAGAAATATTTAAGAGAAAGATAACCAGAAAATATCTAAATATTTGGAAATTAATCAACATAATTCTAAATAATTCATGGAGAGAAGAAGTTCAAAGAACTTCAGAAATATTTTAAATAAAAAGAAAATAAGATTATGTCACATTAAATTTGTAAAATACACTTGACACATTTCTTTGAGGAAAAATATATAGCATTAGAAGTATATATAATAACTTTTTAAAAAAAGGTTTTAAATTAAGGCTCCATGCTTCTTCTTTGAGGAGCTAGAAAAAAGAGCAAAATAAACACAAATCAATGAATGACAGATCCCAATAAAAGAGCAGAAATTCATGAAATTAAAGACAGAAAAACCATAGAGAAAAATGAAAAAAAAAATCCTAAAAACTGGTTTTTTGAAATGGTCCATAAAGTAAACAAACTTGTAGCTAGATCAAGAAAGAAAAAAGATAGAAATTACACCTTACAGACATTAAAGGGATAATAAGCTGTTACAAATGACTCTACACTAAGAGTATCAACAATTTTAAAAAGTCAACTACACAAAAATATTATAAAAATTACTTCATCAAAATTAAAAACTTTGCTTTTCAAAAGTTAATGTTAAAAGAATGACATACAAATATAGACTGAGAGAAAATCTTTGTAAAACATGTACCATATCTGGCCATGGACATGTATCCAAAATACATAAAAAAGTCTCAAAACTAAACAGTAAAAAAATGAGCAAAATATTTAAACAGACATTTCACCAAAGATAGAAAAAGTTAAATGACCACATAAAAAGATATACAATATCATTGATTGACCAGTAGGGAAATAAAAATAAAACTAAGATGAGATACTGCTATGCATCTATTTGTAGGCTGGAATAAAAATAGTCACAATTTCAAGTGCTGGTGAAGACCTGGAGCAAATGAAACATACATTGCTGGTTGACATGAAGAATTATACAGATTATCTGGACAAGAGTTTGGAAATTTCTTGTAAAGCTAATGATTTATTAACCACATGATCCAGTAACCCCAACCCTGGGCATTTAGCCTAAAGAAATGTAATTTGTGTTCACACAAAAATCTGCACAGATTTATATATATATATATACACACACACACACACGTATATATATTCATATATATGTGTATATATCTACATATATGTATATATATATCTACATATACATGTAGATATGTAGATACTTTTATATATACACTTTCATATATACTTTTATTATATACATATATACTTTTATATATAAATAAACATATTTTTATATATTAGTTCTATGCTTATATGTATAAACAACTTTCTTTGTAATATCTGCACAATGGGAGCCTCCCAGTGCGCTTCCACAGGTGGATTAATTTACCAGCCCTGGCACACCCCATGCCAAGGAGCTACCCAGCAATAAAAAGGCAGGTGCTCCTGTAGGATCAGCTTGAGTGAATGTCAAGGACGTTCTACTGAGTGACAGAAGGCAGTTTCTGAAGGTCACATACTGTGTGACTTCATTTATATTCATATGATACTCTCAAACAGACAAAAGGATCATAATGATAATGATATGGTGATGTATCAGTGGTTGCTAAGCATCGAGGGTGAAGGGGAAGGTGCAGTTCTGAGGGGACGGACAGCACAAGGAAGTTCCTGTGATGTGATGGACTGTTCCGTGTTGTGGTTGTGGTGATGCTGGTACCCATCTGCACATATGCACGCCACTGTAGCGCACAAAGGCCAATCTTACTCACCATAGTTTAAACATGAAAACTAAGGAAAAAGAGACAAAACGACAAGTAACAGAGAAATAGGCAAATGATGACAATGCCACTTGCTGGGATAGTAAAATAATAACAGATCGTGCCAACGTGATAAAACACATAATAATAAGTAAAATGAATCACACTGAACATTATGTGTTATATTTAATCTTATGTAAAATGTTCATGTGAATAAAAGAAATAGACAAAGTGATAAAAGGTAAGTTCCTTTTGTCTGAAGGAGAAATGACTGGTTTACAGGCCCTTTGTGACCCTCCCAGTCTTTCCTGCCTCGGTCGGTCTTGCTGGTGTCTGTTTAACAAGAGGATTATGGATGATTTTCTCTCACTTTTTTTTTTCTAGAATTGCTGTAATGATGGAATTTAAGGGTACACCAGTGAAGTGCCTCTTATAGAAGCTCAACTTAGGACAAAAATGAAGATATTTGTGTAAAGTGAGATATGATATATGAATTAATAATTGTATAATGGACATTTTAACAGAAAACAGTAATATCAGGAAAAACTGAAGTCATAGTTCTTTATCTAAGGAGTATGTGACAAAAGCACACCTGTATTTTTTAAAATTTCAAATTAGTAGATGGAATAAAATTCCTACCTTATTGCAATAGATGTTTATTTCTTCTGGTAGGAGACAAAGGGGCACGGGCCATTTAGTGTCAGATGGCAATAATTTATTTATCAATTGCAGCTTATGTGATGTTTCAAAATGTCAGATATTCAAGAATCTCCCACTCGCAGGCTTTGGGAGCAGATACAGTCAGTATTAGTCAAAATGCACTTTGCATCCTGAGACCTCAGGGGCAGACCTGTGATTAAAACATTTTCTGAGCCACAAAACCTGCAGTGGCTACAGATTTTATTTCTTGTTAGAGGAATAAATAATCCTGCCTGGTGTTGCTGAAGTTGTACTTGGAGTGGTGCCTGCCTGTGTGTGCGTGAACACACACACACCCCACACATGTATAATGAGCTCTGCATGACCACGTCTGCCGCCCAGCGATCATAGAGCCAGAGCTGGGGACGAAGGCGTGGGAACATAAATTAATTCAGATCACCAGAATCAAAGAGTGCACAGGAAAGCATCTGTTTGGGCTAGAGGCTAAGTCTACAAAAACTAAACCAAACCAAAAACAAACAAACCCCCCCAAAGCACAAACATGGGCACCTTCAGGAAGTTCAGTGTCGGGTCCGAAGGGGAAATCGCTGGTTTACAGGCCATCTGTGACCTTCCTGGCCTTCCATTCCTCGGTCAGGCTTGCTGGTGTCTGTTTAACAAGAGGAGTGTTGTGACCCATAATTGCGGCAGAGCCCCAGCAGGTTGCGAGTGGCTTTCTGAGCCGGGCGCCCAAGCAGCCTCCATCTGCTGCAGCCTCCCGTGCCTCCCATGGGGCAACTGGGCTAATTTTTCAGTCAATTAGCAGAGGGCTGCTTTTGTTCTGCCCGCTCACCCCCTGGGCTCTGCTTACACTCGAGCCGGCGTTCAGATGAGGTGGGTTTGGAGAAGCATATTGTGTTGGTTTTTTTCATGACCCTGTGACATTGTCGGGCAAACGTTATCTCGGTAATCTCAGCGATTTGCTGAAAAGCTGGGCCGGGCTCCACTTTCATCGCTGTTTCTGAGTGAGTGAGTGTGTGTGTGTGTGTGTGTGTGTGTGTGTGTTGTGTGTGTGTGTGTAGGGGGGAAGCTAGGAATGAACTGTTTTAGATAAGCCATGTATTTTATAACTCTGTATGTCTTGTCTCAAGTTTATTTATTAAAAAAAAAGAGTCACCGTAACTAGCACAAGGTGGGGGTTGAACTGATGTGGAGATTTATTAGGTAAAAAAGAGTTAATTTATTCAAACCTGCCAGAAATGGTTTAGTTTTTGTCAGTCCTAGAAGAAATTGCAGATCCAGCCTTGGGGACTTCTGGACAGGAGGTTATCTAAGTCTCTGAAGCCCTCTGGAAAGTTCAGGGGCCTTAGTCTCTTCTTGACTCAGTTTCCCTGGCCAAGATGGGAGGGAACAGGGTGTGCGGGGCAGTCGGCTTGCCTAAGAGAGCCCACAGGGATGCAGACCTAGGCTCCCTTCCCTCTCCTTGCTGCACGGTGGGGAGACCCCAGTGTGCTTCCCCAACTTCTCCTGGCAACCTAGATTGCCAGCACTTTGCCTTTTCCGAAATCACCCTGCAGGGAAGGAGTCTGAAGTGTTTTTACTGAGATATTTCTGCATTGACGATGCATCTCATGTGGGTATCACACAGACAGCAGCCTTCTCCTCTTAAAGTCTGTGATTCTAAGTCATGCTTTGTTTCCCATTTTCCTGCAAAAATAAAAACTATCCTTTCTATTAGGATTAAAAACAGTTGGAGTCCAACATAGAGTCTGGATTTTCATTTTTCCAAGAAAATACGACCAGACAAAATCTACTCCTGAAATCTGCCTCCCTCCCTGGCCAGAGGTGTATGGTTTTTCCACTGCCAGATACGTGTGATGTGGCTTCCTCTAATGTCTTGGAATGGTCCAGCCCGAGTGTTTCCTGCAGGCCGGTCCGGGCTCCCTCTGCCCTCCCCATGGGATTTAATCCCGAGAGCCTCCAGGCCCGGCTGAATGGGTTAGGGTCCCTGCCCCACGCACCACCTTGCTTCGAGCCTTCCTGCTGGTGTCAAGTGGGTTCTGCTTCTCCCACCTTTCATCTGCCCAGCCTCTGGGCTGGATCTTTCTATAGTTAATAAATATACTTTTTCTCAGTGTTAAGCAATAAAATATTCACTGGGTCTGAGCTGGGGTTAACAGATTTCTGAAAATTTCATTGCGTGACAGCCTGTCCTGCATAATCCCCTCAGCTGTCTCATGTTCCGGGGCAGAAATGATCTTATGTGTCACTCTAATAGTCTAGAATTACACTTGTATCACTGTCGCCGGCATATGGGGCTGTGTATACCCCTAGGCCCAGCTCCCTCTCTTTCATGGCTTTTAAAATGATAGCATTTGGCAAAGCCAGCTCCGACAGAAAGTGCACTCTTTCCAGGGCGGTGACAAAGGGGCCACCAGAGGCCTGACCGCAGCGGCCAATCGCGGCGCTCTTGACCGGGTAATGAGAGGGGCTCCTCGTCTTAATAACGCCCAGTGCCGCAGGAGAGAGCCGGCCTCCACTTAATTATACAGTCCTCATCTTAAGTGCTCTGGCCACCCGGGGCTTCAGCTGTGCAGGCCCGCTCGGGGGCCTCCCTCCCCCACCAAACATATTGATCGCTGGACAGTCGATGGGGCCTGGAGGGCTCAAGGTAGATAATGCAGAGGAAGCAATCCCCTTGCTCAGCCACTTGGAGAGGAGGGAGAGAGAGAGGCCGGGTGGGGGCAAGACAGGAGAGAGGGAAAGAGACAGAGAGAGAGGGAGAGAGACAGGGAGAGAGAGAGAGAGACAGAGAGGGGGAGAGACAGAGACGATGATAGAGACAGGGAGAGGGAAAGAGAGACAGAGAGAGGGAGAGAGACAGAGATGATGGTAGAGATAGGGAAAGAGACAGGGAGAGGGAAAGAGACAGGGAGAAAGGGAGGGAGACAGAGATAGAGGGAGAGAGATAGGGAAAAAGGGAGAGAGAGGGAGAGGGGGAGAAAAACAAAGAGAGGGAGAGAGACAGCGAGAGGGAGAGAGAGAGATAATGATGATAGAGAAAGGGAGAGGGAGAGAGACAGGGAGACAGAAAGAGAAGGAGACAGACAGGAAGGGGGAGAGACACAGAGACAAAGGGGGAGAGAGAAAAATAGGGGAAGAGAGAGAAGAGGAGATGGGGAGAGAAGGGTGTAGAGAGACAGAGATGTGGGGGAAGAGGGAGGAACAGAAAGGGAGAGAGAAAGACAGGAATAGAAAGAAAAGAGGAGAGAGACAGAGAGAGACAGAGAGAAAGGGAGAGCGAGAGAGTGAGAGAGGGGCAGAGAGGCAGAGAGGTGGGATGGGGGTTAGAGTGAGCGTGCCAGGGCTGTAATAGGGCAGATGGCACATGTGCCCAGGCATCAGCGTTATGGGATGCCCCCAATTTTTTTTTCTCTGCTCAAAGCCATTTATTTAATTGAAATGGGGAGGGGGGATGATAAAAAGGGGAGGGAAGGAAAGTTGACAGTAAAACTAGCAGGGCACCCAATTTTTAGAACAAGAAAGGAAGACATTCCAGAGAAATGGAACATAGGCCAGGCCCAAGCGTTTCCAGCTCTGTGATAACATGGGCAGCGGGAGAGACCTGTGTGCACTGGCTGAGGGAGAGTGCAGAACACAATGTGTGATGATGAAGAGGCCTTTGTCACTGTCCCCAGCGGTGACAGCTGAGGACTCAGGGCGATGTCCACCAGCCCTGGGGCAGACCGTGGGGCTACAGAGGCCTGTGTCTTCTCTGCCCTCCCCCTTCCTCCCCTCTCTGCCTCCCTGGGGGTTCAGCTCCCTCTCCAGAGGGCAGACTCTGTGTTCCTGTTCAGGGAAGCTGGAGCCCACTGGAGCTTGCCGTTGAGTGTACGCTGTTGTTCTGAATGAAGCCAAGGCAGGTCTACCTAGAGAGGCTGATTTTGGGTTGGATGGTCTTGCACCATTGGTCCTAACATGTTAAAAGGCTTTGCTGTCATGAGAAAACACCCTGAGAGTAGGTCTGGCCAAAGGCCCGCGCACTGAGCGCGTTCACTCTGGGTATTGGGTGGGAAACACAGTGACTCTTTGCAGAAACAAGTGCGTATCTCAGCAGTTCCTCAAGGTCAGCCTTTCTTTGCAAGAAGGTGCCATGTTCTGGATGCCTGTTCATCGAGCTGTCTCTTGCTAAGCTGCATTTTCGGAAGTTGTAGCCTGATACCTTCTCATGGCGTTTGCTCTGCTGATTCAGTCCACGGTGATGTCTGTGGGTCCCCACATCACATCAGCTTTGAGCCACTGCTACCGTCTCTTTTCTTCCAAGTCGGTAGAGGGCTAAGTTCCCCGGAGAGTCAGTGTCTGGTCCATGCTGGCTGGAAGCTGCCAGACAGTGCCTTTGGGTGTCATCCAGAGATGATGTCCTGCTAAGTGGTGCAAAGCCACTGCTGATGTTTGTTAGAGCTTTTGGACAAAAGCAGAAACAAAGACATAAACAAAAAAACAACAGTGACAAAATGCTGTACCCAGCATGCATGCTCCATGTCCATGTTTCCTGGTGTGGGTTGGAGTTGCCCTCACTGACCTGGCCAGACTTAGACAGTGGAGGCTATACACTCACAATTGATTTACAAAAATTACGGTGAAATTCACATAGCATAAAATTAGTCATTTTAATATTTCTATTTATTTATATATTTTTGAGTTAATGTCTTGCTTTACCACCCAGACTGGAGTGCAGTGATGCAGTCGTGGTTCACTGCAGCCTCATTCTCCTGGGCTGAAGCGATTCTCCTGCCTGGATCAGCTGGGACTACAGGCATGTGCCACCATGCCAGGCTAATTTTTAAATTTTTTGTAGAGATAGAGCCTACCTATGTTGCCAAGGCTGGTCTGGGCTCAGGGGTTCCTCCCATCTCCACCTCCCAAAGTGTTAGGATTGCGCTGCTTTCAGAAAGAAAGAGAAGAAAAGAGAGGGAGAGAAGAGTGTAGAGAGACAGAAATGTGGGAGAAGAGGGAAGAACAGAAAAGAGGGGGAGAGACAGAAAGAAAGGAGGAGAGAGAAGGGAGAGAGAGAGATAGAGAAAGTGAGACAGAGTGAGTCAGGGAGAGCACATGCCTCTCGTTCAGTTGTGGGCTGCTATGCCCGGCCACAAATTTAATCATTTTAATGTGTACAGTTCAGTGGCATCTAGTATATTCACAGTGTTATGCAAACCTCACCTCTATGGAGTTCCAAAGCCTTTTTCATCATCCCAAACTAAACCTCTCTGGCCATTAAGCAATTTCTCCTCATTTCCCCCTCCCTCAGTGCCTGGCTACCTCCAATCTGCTTTCTGTTTCTATGGATTTACCAATTCTGGATGTTTCATGCAAATAAAATGATACAATGTGTGCCCTTTTGAGTCTCGTTCCTTTCACTCAGTGTATGTTTTTGAGGTTTATCGTGTTGCACCGTGTATCAGTACTTCTTTTCTTGCCCAAATTTTATTCTGTTTTATGGATGGAACACATTTTGTTTACCCATTCATCAGCTGATAGACATTTCATTTACTTATACCTTTTGACTACTCTAAATACTGCCTCTGTAAACATGTGTGTACATGCCTTTGTTTGAGTACCTATTTTCAACTCTCTTGGGTGTGCACCTAGCAGGAGAAGTCCTGGATCATATGGTAATTGATATGGTTTGGCTGTGTCCCTACCCAAATCTCATCTTGAATTGTATCTCCCATAATTCCCACCTGTTGTGGGAGGGAGTTGGTGGGAGGCAATTGAATCATGGGACCAGTTTCCCCCATACTGTTCTCGTGATAGTAAATAAGTCTCACGAGATCTGATGGTTTTGAAGGAGAAACCCCTTTCACGTGATTCTCATTCTCTCTTGCCTGCCACCACGTAAGATGTAACTTTGCTCCTCATTCACCTTCTACCATGATTGTGAGGTCCCCCAAGCCATGTGGAACTGTGAGTCCATTAAACCTCTTTCCTTTATAAATTAACCAGTCTTGGGTATGTCTTTATCAGCAGCATGAAAATGAACTAATACAGTAATTCTGTATTTCGCTTTTTGAGGAGCCTGGAAGGGAATATTGATAGCCTCCCACCTTGCCGGCTCTTATTAAGGATAGACTTCTGCAGTGTTTCCCTGAATGCTCTCAGGTCAGTGAAAGGCCCCATCCACTCGCACTGCCCAGACGCAGACTGAGCTGTGGCTGTTGGCTCTATTTGGCGTCAGCATTTAGGTGTAGATTCCTCAATCCACTCCAGGAATAAATTAACTTCTTGTAGTCCTAGGGCCTGAGAAAATTAGACGCTTGCACAGTGGCAGATTCACTACCTGCCTTGTGATGCTCTTCTAAGAGTTGTGTGTTGAGGACGTGGGCATGGGAGGGCTGTTCATGGCTTGTGTCACTAAAGGCGAATGTCTGTGTTGGAAAGCCAACAGGAACAGAGCCTGTAGGAACTCACAGCAAACACTTGCATTGTAAAGTTAAGGATGCATGCTGAGGCACAATTTACGTCAAGATACAATCCCCACAGCCCCAGGATAGCAGTGTAGCTCTGCTAGGCTGATGTGCAGGATTTGTACTATGGCCCTTAAGTCATTAAAATTTTCCTGCAATCTGGAGGATTTTGTAGAGTGGTTTGATTAGCTGAATTTCCCCACCCGACGGTTAGAATTATATCATTATTTAATCATAAGAATCATAACTCTGGCCAATTTAATTGTGGTGTCATGATTAGATTTTAACAGGTGCCTGTAAAATTCAAACTTTCATGCCTTCAGATGCTGAAGATTAAACTATTGTGCCTAGCCGTTTTATCAAATGAGACCTTGCTCTTACAGCCGTTGCAGAGTGCATGCTGTTTTTTGGCTGTGTCCTGCTGAGATCAATGCTGAAATTTTTATGCATAAAAAGAAAGTGATAGCCTAGATACAAAGTGTGACAATACCATCATGAAGGCGATTTTAACCAGCAAGCTAGAATGTGCACTTCAGATGAGTGTCCTCCCTCCACACTGCCTCGCAGGCAGTCTCTGCCTTGCTCCGGGGTCACAGCCCAGATGCTCCCAGTGTTTCCAGTTTTCCTCTTGGAATTGCCTTAAATTCCATAGCACCTCATTACCTTTGAGGATGTTTTAGACTCTGAAAAATACCAAACTTTCTGATTTAAGATGGTTGAAAGGGAAGTTTGAGCAACTTAATAGAATGTGCGGTGTGTGTGCACATATGTGTAGTGCATTACGTGTGTGTATTTGTGTATAGTGGGTATATGTGTATATATGCATGTATAGTGTGTGTATATGTGTATGTACAAATGTGTGCACATGTGTAGTGTGTGTATTATGTGTATTTGTGTATAGTGTGTATATGTGTATTTGTGTGTACTGTGTGTATATGTGTATTTGCATGTGTGTGCACATGTTTAGTATGTGTATTATGTGTGTGTATTTGTGTATAGGGTCTATAAATGTATATATGTCTGTATAGTGTGTGCATATGTGTAGTGTGGGTATTATGTGTATATGTGTGTATATATGAGTGTATAGTGTGTGGACATGTGTATGTGCATTGTGTGCATGTGTAGTGTGTATTACAGTGTGTATACATGTATATATGAGTGTATAGTATGCGTATATGTGTATGTGAAAGTGTGCATATGTGTAATGTATTATAGTGTGTATATGTGTATATATGGTGCATAGTGTGTGTATATGTGTATGTGCATGTGTGTGCATATGTGTAGTGTGTTACGTGTGTATAGTGTGTGCATATGTGTAATGTGTGTATTATGTGTGTGTATAGTGTGCATGTGTGGTGTGTGTATTATAGTGTATGAGTGTATAGTGTGTATATATTTGTATGTGCACATATGTGCATGCAGTGTGTATTATAGTGTGTAAACATGTATAGATGAGTGTATAGTGTGTATATGTGAATGTGTGTGCATATGTGGTGTGTGTATACATGTCTATGTGTATATACATGTATATAGTGCATATATGTGTACATGTATATATAGTGTGTATATATGTGCATGTGTGTGTACATGTGTGTGCATATGTGTAGTGTATTATGTATTTGTGTATAGTGTGTATGTGTGTATATATGTGTGTATAGTGTGTGTATAAGTGTATGTACATGTGTGTGCATGTGTGTGTTGTGTGTACACATGTGTATCCTGTGGATAAAAGAATGATGCATCCTGGGTCTGACTTTTTGTAGCTCACCCATGGGCAGAGTGGCCCCCAATTGTCCCTGAACATCAGCACCAGGAAGCAGGTGGGCCAGGGGAGGCACCACAAGCCACTCTCCTCAACTTCCATCACAAGGAGCCTGGTGCAAAATAGGCAATCAATAAATGCCTGCTGTGTGCATGAATATGAGTGCCTGCAATGCATTTGATACACAGCTAACAAGTGTTACCTTCAGGATGTTATTTCTTTAAAACTGTCTTGATACTTTACAACCAAATCTTGTGTAATGATAAAAGTACAGATATGTGTAAAATAACTAGTCAGCCCTATCCATCTCAATAGCCAAGGTAAACTCATTGATGAGCCGAAAAGTGCTAGGAAAATATATCAATTGGTCGCTTTATTCAAATTTTGGATTTGGTTTTATGGGAGAAAAAAATTAAACTTAAAATATAGAGTTAGCTTGTTTTTTTTTTTTCATTTTGAGAGAATCTAAAAGAACAGAAATCTAGACTTTCTCCTTTGAAAATCACGCAGCTTTTGTGGGAAAACCACAGATCACCCTCAATGAACCAGGGACCTTTCCATATGAACACACGCATGTGTGGAGACATCTTCCCTCCACCAGCCTCCTGGGCACACGAATGTTGCCAGGGAGGCGCCATGAAATCAGAATAGATGAAGACTGTAAAGATATTCTCTCACTTTAGCTCTTCCTTTTATGTCGGCTTCATTAAAGATGCTTTTAGTGTTTATCCAGGATATTTACCTCAAAATACTGAGGGGAGGCCGGGCGCAGTGGCTCATGCCTGTAATCCCAGCACTTTGGGAGATCGAGGCGTGCGGATCATGAGGTCAGGAGATCGACACCATCCTGGCTAACATGGTGAAGCCCCGTCTCTGCTAAAAATAGAAAAAATTAGCCGGGCGTGCTGGCGGGCACCTGTAGTCCCAGCTACTCAGGAGGCTGAGTCAGTAGAATGGCGTGAACCCGGGAGGCGGAGCTTGCAGTGAGCCAAGATCACGCCACTGCACTCCAGTCTGGGTGACAGAGTGAGACTCCATCTCAAAAAAAAAAAAAAAAAAAACAAAAACAAACAAACAAAAAACAACTGAGTGGAGACCTGCCCCAGCTTTATAAATTGTTTTGTTTTCATGCAAATCATACTTAGGTTAAGACTTCTGTTTTAACTGTAGGGCAGAGGAGTTAAAATCTCAGAAAAGCTGAGAGCAAGTTACTATAGGAGCAGAAGTGTGGCAGGCACACCTGTGAGTGCTTGTGTGTATGCATGTGTATGTGGGTGTGTGTGTGTGCATGTGTGTGTGGGAACACTGCACAATTCAAAGCAACACCTGATCAATGAGAGTATAAATGGTGAACAATACAGAGGGTTTGGCCCAGGATTGGGTCGGAAGAGTCATGGTTTCAGCTGAGCATCAGTGAATGTCAGTGATAGGACTGAATTGTGTCCTGGCAAAACTCATGCCTTGAAGCCTTAACCCTCAATGCGACTGTTTCCAGAAAGAGACCCTTTAAGGAAGTTATAGCATGGGGCCTTACTCAGATAGAACTGGTGTCCTTATAAGAAGTGGAAGAGGCACCCTTTGAGGACATAGCGAGAAGAGGCCATCTGCAAGCCAAAACAAGAGGCCTTACCAGGAACCTAACCCTGCCAGAACCTTGACCTTGGACTTTCTAGCCCCTAGAACTGTGAGAAAAAAAAAATCTGTTGTTTAAACACCCAGCTAAACTGTTGTTTTACCACCCAGTGTGATAATTTTTTTTTTTCTGACACAAAGTCTTGCTCTGTCACTCCAGCCTGGAGTGACACTCCAGCCTGAGTGACAGGCTGGATTGCAGTGGGGCGATCTCAGCTCACTGCAACCTCCACCTCCTGGATTCAAGCGATTCTCCTGCCTCAGCCTCCTGAGTAGCTGGAACTACAGGCGCCCACCACACCCAGCTAATTTTTTGTATTTTTAGTACAGACAGGGTTTCATCATGTTAGCCAGGATGGTCTGGATCTCCTGACCTCTTGATCAGCCTGCCTCGACCTCCCAAAGTGCTGGGGTTACAGGCGTGAGCCACCTCTCCCAGCCCGGGTGTGATGAGTTGATATCACAGCCTGAGCAGACTAAGTCAGTCTTGTAGAAGGTATGATGGAGATAGTAGCTGTGCTAGACACACCTAGGTATGCTTCAGCATAGATTCAGCCTTACCTACCAATAAAGTCACCTGTACTTCAGGAGCTGGCAGAATTTGTCTGCACACACCTCTGAAGACAATGCATTCTGATGAATACACATTCCAGGCAGTGCTCTTGCTTTCTGACCTCGTCTGACAAGCTGAATTCAGTGTCTTGGCATGTGCCCCCTATTGCTTTATAACAAAGAACAAGGTACTCCTGAGGTCATTTTGGCTCCTTCTGAACCTCGAGAAGTGTTACCTTCTTAGAAAGAGCATGTGGGCACTTTTAAAACACACTTCCTGAAAGGCAAGAGGCAGTCGTGGGCCTGTGTATGTGCAGCCTAATGTGGTGGTGCCTTTTATGGGTCTGAGAGGAGCCCCTGTCAGTATGATTTTCATGACTGCTTAATACATTGAGTCACAATAGGGATGTGATGCCGCTGCACAAGTCTCGTGGCTTTGAGGAGACAGAATTACAGACCCCAAGTGTCTGTTTCATGATCAGCGAATGTGGGATTTGGACGGCCCTCAGAGATGAAGGCTTGCCCAACGGCCTTATTTTAATAGATGAAAAACCTGTGTCGTAGCTTAACTAAGTGCACTGCCTTCTGTCCCAGCTAACCAGTGGGGAAGACACCCAGATCTTGGCTTCTGACGGGATCTTTATTTTTATTTTTATTTTTATTTTTTTTTATTATTATACTTTAAGTTTTAGGGTACATGTGCACATTGTGCAGGTTAGTTACATATGTATACATGTGCCATGCTGGTGCACTGCACCCACTAACTCGTCATCTAGCATTAGGTATATCTCCCGATGCTATCCCTCCCACCTCCCCCCACCCCACAACAGTCCCCAGAGTGTGATGTTCCCCTTCCTGTGTCCATGTGTTCTCATTGTTCAATTCCCACCTATGAGTGAGAATATGCGGTGTTTGGTTTTTTGTTCTTGTGATAGTTTACTGAGAATGATGATTTCCAATTTCATCCATGTCCCTACAAAGGACATGAACTCATCATTTTTTATGGCTGCATAGTATTCCATGGTGTATATGTGCTACATTTTCTTAATCCAGTCTATCATTGTTGGACATTTGGGTTGGTTCCAAGTCTTTGCTATTGTGAATAATGCCGCAATAAACATACGTGTGCATGTGTCTTTATAGCAGCATGATTTATAGTCCTTTGGGTATATACTCAGTAATGGGATGGCTGGGTCAAATGGTATTTCCAGTTCTAGATCCCTGAGGAATCGCCACACTGACTTCTACCTTATACAGCTGTGCAAACTTGGGGTCCCCTAGTTCCTGCTGGACAAATCTACTGTAGCCTGTTTGTAGCTAATATCCATCTACTGACCCATCCACATCAGCTGTCTGAAATCAGAAGACTGTACCCTTGTAGATGGCAATAGCAAGTTCTAAACAAAATACTCATTTACCACTTTTTGTGTCCACCACAGGCATATCAAAGACTTTTTCTACAAAATGAGGAAGACATTATTAATCACTATGTCTTGCCCTCTGTTTCCAGATCCTGGGATCCAGAGCAACAAAAAGACCTTAATTTAGTTAACATCTTTATGAATCTATTGTAATTCTTGTGTTAAAAATTGTGTCATGAGGCTGGGCACAGTGGCTCACATCTGTAATCCCAGCACTTTGGGAGGCCGAGGCGGGTGGATCACGAGTTCAGGAGATCGAGACTAGACTGGCCAACATGATGAAACCCCGTCTCTACTAAAAATACAAAATAAATTAGCTGGGCATGGTGGTGCACTCCTGTAGTCCCAGCTACTCGGGAGGCTGAGGCAGGAGAATCACTTGAACTGGGGAGGCAGAGGTTGCAGTGAACCGAGATCGCGCCACTGCACTCCAGCTTAGCAACAGAGCGAGACTCTGTCTCAAAAAAAAAAAAAAAAAAAGGTGTCATTAGCCGTATAAAACAATGTAAATAAAAACCTCTAATAATTGGCATCAAAATGTTTACTTTTCAGTTTTAGAAAGAAAGCATAATACTTTATAACAAAACCATTTGGATTGTTAAATTACTGGAAATTGCTAGTTAAGTCAGTTGCTTATTATATGAATATTTTGGAAGAATCTCACAAACTAGCCCCTGGACTATTTTACATTGTCAAAATAACAAGAAAGTAAGGTTAAAGAGAAACAAATAAGTCAATCTTGTTGGATATACACTTGAAAGTTGTACAGACTCTGTCTGAAGTAATCAGGATGAACTGCCATTTCAGGCACTTGGTGATGAAGAGAAAGCACGATTTACATTCTGTTCCACTGAATGTAAATCTGGATTCTCTGTTGTATTTGTTCAGTTGTCCAGTGAAATAAGGGGGTTGATGTGCCTGGCAGTAAAAAAATATATATTTTTTAAATAGAGGGATTTTATAGAAAACTTTTCTAACTAAAAAATTTTTGTCATTGATTCTGTTTATGTGATGGATTACGTATGTTGAACCAGCCTTGCATCCCAGGGATGAAGCCGATTTGATCGTGGTGGATAAGCTTTTTGATGTGCTGCTGGATTCGGTTTGCAAGTATTTCACTGAGGATTATTGCATTGATGTCGCAGGGATATTGGTCTGAAATTTTCTTTTTTTGTTGTGTCTCTGTCAGGTTTTGGTATCAGGATGATGCTGGCCTCATAAAATGAGTCAGGGAGGATTCCTTCTTTTTCTATTCTTTGGAATAGTTGCAGAAGGAATGGTACCAGCTCCTCTTAGTACCTCTGGTAGAATTCGGCTGTGAATCTGTCTGGTCCTGGGCTTTTTTTGGTTGGTAGGCTATTAATTGCTGCCTCAATTTTAGAACTTGTTTTTGGTCTATTCAGGGATTCGACTTCGTCATTCTCAGCAAACTAACACAGGAACAGAACACCAAACACCGCATATTCTCACTCATAAGTGGGAGTTGAACAATGAGAACACATGGACACAGGGAGGGGAACATCACAACGCTGGGGCCTGTCAGGGGGTGGGGGGCTAAGGGGGGGATAGCATTAGGAGAAATATGTAATGTAGATGAAGGGTTGATGGGTACAGCAAACCACCATGGAACATGTATACCTGTGTAACTAACCTGCACGTTCTGCACATGTATCCCAGAAGTTAAAGTATAATAAAAATAAATAAATATGAAAGTCAGAAAAAAGAAAAAAAATTATCCCAAAATATATGGAACACTGTAATAAATTGGTCAGATCTAAATTTCCAACGAATACCAACGTCAACACTATTTTTGTACTTTTGCGAGCTGGAAACAAATTTGTTTGTCATGATGAATTACAGGAGGCTTTGTATTGACTTTGATGGTGATGAAATAAAGCACCAGGCAGGAGGGAACAGTGAGGATGCAGGGAGACCTTTGAGAGAGGCTGGAACTCTCAGTAACAAAAAAATTAGGAGACAACATTTAAGATATTGGAGATTCACAGTAGCATTTAGGGAACTGAGAATGCACAGTAAATGATTTCTTATAGGCAGGCAGTACTCTTTCGTGTGCCATAGATAAATCAAGGCTGGAAGAGGAGCATTGCTGAAGGTCTACCTTAAGCTCCTGTGATGTGCTTAGAGATAGTGGCCTCAGAGGTCTCCAGGTCCTGTCGCAGGGAGCTCATCACAGTAACAGGCACAGACATGAAAGCAGATGCTCACCACTTGAAAAGGGGTTTGCATAGAGATAAATTGGAAGGATAGCTAAGTTAAAGAGGCATATGTTTCTGCTTCATTACTGTATTTTTCTCATTCTGATTAGAAACAGTAATAAAGTAGTTCCCTTTTGCATTCTCTTGCACCAACTTTTGGAATTTCACTGTTGAAAGCAACTGTTTCCTGAGGGCACCTTCCATCCTTTCTCAGCTTCTGTTTCCAAAACTTTGCAGCCAGTTAAGGTGGATGGAAGGTGGTGATGAGGGTGGTGTGTATGTCTGTGTGTGTGTGTGTGTGTAAGGAAAAGACTTTGCCTTGCAATTAAACAAGATGGGCGGCAAGTCTGAGATGTCCCCCAAGACTAGTGCAGGGACAATGGTTTTCGGTTCTTAGTTTGTCTCTGTTCCCTGGTAGGGCTTCAGAGGCAGATGGCTTCTAGAGAACACTGGGGAGAGGGAACTCTTGTCAGTGGAATTCCAGCTCCAGTAGAGAGCTTCTGTCAAGCAAGTGAAAGCAGGCCTGGCCAGCTGCCCTCAGGGGACCCCGTGGGCTGAGCGAAGACCACACTGTCTTTTTTTTTTTTCTTCCTCTTTATTGAACATTAACTTATATTCCCCCCACCAAGTTTCTATAACTGTGTGCCCAGATTCTTGTATTTTATTATTATTATTATACTTTAAGGGATCTAGAACTAGAAATACCATTTGACCCAGCCATCCTATTACTGGGTATATACCCAAAGGATTATAAATCATGCTGCTATAAAGACACATGCACACGTATGTTTATTGCGGCACTATTCACAATAGCAAAGACTTGGAACCAACCCAAATGTCCAACAATTATAGACTGGATTAAGAAAATGTGGCACATATACACCATGGAATACTATGCAGCCATAAAAAAGTGATGAGTTCATGTCCTTTGTAGAGACATGGATGAAGCTGGAAACCATCATTCTCAGCAAACTATCTCAAGGACAAAAAACCAAACACCTCATGTTCTCACTCATAGGTGGGAATTGAACAATGAGAACACATGGACACAGGAAGGGGAACATCACACACCGGGGACTGTTGTGGGGTGGGGGGAGGTGGGAGGGATAGCATTAGGAGATATACCTAATGCTAAATGATGAGTTAATGGGTGCAGCACACCAACATGGCATATGTATACATAGGTAACAAACCTGCACGTTGTGCACAGGTACCCTAAAACTTAAAGAAGACCACACTCTCTTTAACCACAAAGGACCACATGGCAGGAAGGCCACCATCCCCTTGCGTCCTAAGGAGAACGAAACCCCACAGCTTTCCCAGGAACCTGGGAGGGAGAAGCATCCCCAGGAATGACTGGATGAAATTTCCTTCCATGGAAATAATATAAAGTTAGAGCTAGATTTTCTTTTATGCCAAAAATAGTAGGAAAAAAACCATATGCACACATAAACATATGCATACATAAACATATGTGTATACACACAGATCATAACTGTACATCTCAAGGGATTTTATTTAGCATATAGATTAACAACTAGAGTTTTTTTTCAAACCTCAGAAGAATTCCCTGCCAATAAACATGGTTACTTTTCCTTCCCTATGTATTTTCATGCTGCCCTTCAGGACCTTTGTTGAATTCCAGATAAATGGTCTCACACAATGTGTATTCCTCTGTGTTTGTCTGTTGGTCAATGTCTATCTATTGCACTGAGTAGTTCACCCTTAATATTTATTGGATAAATATGCCAAAATTTATTTATTGTCTATACTGTTGATGAACATTTGAGTTGTTCCCTTGTTGGATTGCTATAAGTACAGTTGGATTTTTACAAGTATAGTTGTATCAGACATTGGTGCACATTTGTACTAGTTTCTCATGGATATGAATCTAGGAGTGGGTTCTGTGGTGGGCGTATGTTTGTTTTTGGTGGATACAGCCAAAGCAAAGACATTGTGCCAAGTTGCATTTCAACCAAGAATGCATGAGTGACAGTTGCTCCCCACATCCATCCACACTTGGTACTTTGGGTCCTAATTTTAGCCATCCTGGGGGGTGTGTATCTGGTAGTATCACATTGTGGTTTAACTTGAGTGTAACTGATTTGTATTGACATTGAGCTTTTCATAGCTTGCTCACCATTTGGATATTCTTTTCTGTAAAGTGACTGCTCAATGCTTTTTGCTGATAAAAAAATTGGTAGTTTTTTAAATTGATTTACAGGTGCTTTTTAAAATATATTCTAAACAAGAATCTTTTGCTGTATTGCAAATGCCTTATCCTAGACTGTGGCTTTTTTTTTTTATTTTTTTTAATGGAGTTTTTCCATGAACAGAAGTTCTTCATATTAATAAAGTATAAATCGTCTTTTTTTATTTTATTATCATATTTGCTTTTTCTGTATATGTCCTGTTTAAGAAATCTTGGCCTACCCCAAGGACATAAAGATAATTTCCTATGTTTTATTCCTGAAGCTTTATTATTTTACTCTCCACAATTCGTCCTAAGACATTTAAAAAAATAATGTTTGCATTAATTATTAATTCATTCTAAGACATATTTAAAAATAATTATGTGATGAAAGGGCCAAGACTTATTTTTCCCCTTATGGATACATAACATCTTCACCACTATTTACTGAAAGAGCATCCTTTTTCCAGTGAATTTCAATGGTGCCTTTTTCATAAATCAGGTGATTTGTGTATGTTTGTATGTGTGTGTGTGTGTTTCTGAACACTCTTCTGTGCAATGATCTATTGTCTACCTTTGGACAATATTTCTCTGTTTTGATTTCTGTACCTTTATAGAGAGACTTAATCTCTGTTACTACAAATTCACTAACATGTTTGTTGTTTAGGATCATATTATATTCTAAGTCCTTTGCATTTCCATGTAAATTTTAAAATAATCTTGTCAATTTTCTTCAAAAAGCCAGTGAAAATTTAAATTCTGATTACATTGAATGTGTTGAATGGCATCAATATATGGAGAACTGACATCTGAATACAACTGAGACCTCCAATCAAGAGCATGGTCTATCTCTCCATTTATTTACATGTTAGGTTAGGAATAAACCTAACATACTTTGGCAGGATTATTTCTAAACATTTGGTGATTTTGATTTACTGTTATAAATTGTATTTTAATTTTAATTTTCAATCATTTGTTGCTAGTATATGGAAATATTATTGAGTTTTGTATATGAATCTTGTATCCAGCAATATTTTGACAACTCACTTCCTAATTTCAATAGTTTGTTTATAGATCCTTTTGTATTTTCTCTATATGCAATCAAGCGATCTGCAAAAATGACAGGCTTGCTTTTTCCTTTTCCATAAGAAAGCTGTCAATTTCTTTCTAAGGGCCACTGTTGTATATCTAAAAAGTTTTAATAATATTGGGCGTTTAATATATTTTGGTTCAAAATATTTTTAATTTGTCATTGTGATTTCTTCTTTTATGCATATGTTATTTAGAATAATGTTTAATTTCTAAAGAGCTGTACACTTCTTTGTTATATTTTCCCCATAAGTATACATTTTATTCTTATTTTCTTTCATTATTAATCTGGCTGGGATCCCCACTATAATGTTATACTGATAATATAATATGATAGTGGCCATTTGTGTCTTTTTCCCAACCATCAGAGGACAAATATTTGATAATTTACCAATAAGAATTATGTTTCCTGTTCATGTTTTATAGATTTTTCTTATGGGATTGAGAATGTTCTATTTTTTTTTAAGTTATCCTAGGGCAGTGAAGTCTGTCTCAAAGATTTTGGCATATATTTACTTAATCATATCCATTTTTTTCTTTTTGCTAATAAAATGAATTGCATTGTTTGATATTCAAATGTTAAACCAACCTTGCCTTCCTGGAATAAACTTCACTTGGTTATGATATTTATTTATTTTACATATCATCAAGTTTGATTTGCTAATATTTTGTTTAGCTTCATAATGATGTGCTCATGAGAGATATTGGCCTCTGATTTTCTTTTTCTGCCATGTTTTTGCCAAGTTTTGGTGTCAGGGTTATGCCGACCTCAGAAACAAATTGTAATATGTTTCCCTTTTCTCTGTTTTTTGAAGGAGTTTGTATAAATGTAGTATTATTTTCTTCTTAAATAAGTGGAAGAATTAAGCAGTGAGAACATCTGAGTCTGTGACATTTTCTATAGAAATTTAAAAATTATGTGTTCATTAAAAAAAGTAGATATAGAACTAATACTTTGTCTATTTCTTGTGTTCATTTTGATACTTTTTAAAATGAATTTGTTAATTTCCTCTACACTGTCAAATTTATCAGCATAAATTAGTTTATAATATCCTCATTATTTATATTTTTCTAAAATTTAAGAAAATTGTTGTAATAGCTTCCTTTTCATTTCTTATGCTGCTAATTAGATTATTTTGGCTTTAAAAAATCTATCTTGCTAGGGGTTATTTATTTTATTAATCTTTTCCAAGAGCTACCCTTAGACTTTGTTGATGTCTTCTATTATATGCCAGTTTCCTATTTCCTTGACTTCTGCTTGTATCTTTCATTTAATTATTCATAGTCTTGTAGATTTTGAGTTGGTAGCTTACATCATTAATTTTATATATTTCTTGTTTTCCAAGGTATGCATTTGAAGCTGTCAATTTCTTTCTAAGTGCCACTGTAGTACACCTAAAAAGTTTTAATAATGTTGAACATTTAATATGTTTTGGTTCAAAATATTTTTAATTTTTCACTGTGATTTCTTCTTTTTTGCATATATTATTTAGAATAATGTTGCTTAATTTCCAAAGAGCTGTAGACTTCTTTGTTATATTTTAGTTATTGATTGCTAGTTTATTGCTACTATTTTTAAATACCGTAACTGTGTGCTTTCAATCCTCTAAATTTTGTTGATTCCTGCTTTATGGACCAGAGCATGATCTGTTTTTAAAAACCTTCCACATACACGGAAGAAAAGTGCTACCCCTGCAGTTGTCAGGCTTAGGCTGTGTGTCAGTCACATAAAATTGGTTTATTGTGTTATTTGAATCTCCTTTATAATACAATTTTCTTCTCCATGTTGTGTCAATTAATGAGAGAGGTGTACTAAACTCTCCAATCAAAATAATAGATTTATCTGTTTCTCCTTTTAGTTCTGTCCATTTTTGCTTTAAATAATATGAAGCTATGTTTTCAGGAGCATAGGAATTTAAGATTGTTGTGTCTCTCTGTTGACCTGACTTATGATCTTGAAATGTATCTATTTGACACTAGTAACACTTTTTTTGTTGAAATCACTTTTGTCTATTATTATTGTCACTGCATCTATTTTGCTTAATATATATGATGTGTCTTCTTCCATTTTTAAATGTCAGCACATGTGCATTATATTTCTGGTGACTTTTGGTGGTTAAAAACTTATATATGCATCTTGCTTCTCTTTATTCAAACTGACAATGTTTTTAATTTTTTTAAAATAAGATTTAGCTCATTTATATTAAAAGTATTCATTTATATAATTGGGTCTAAATCTACCATCTCACTGTATACTTTCTACATTTCCTACTGGATTATTTGTTCCTTTATTCTTTTTTCTTATTTTGAATTAATCAAATATTTTTTCCCATTTACTCTCCTCTGTTATCTCTTAAATTTTACATAGTCTTGTATTACCTTTTTTAGGGTTTACCATAGAAGTTTCAATATGCATCTTTAAATTATTGCAGCCTAACTTAAGTTTTGCTTTTGTTATGTTTTGAACAATATCTCATAATTTACCCATGCCCTTTTTTTCTAATCTTATTATGTTCTTTTATATATGTCAGTCTCCCACAGAATAGTATTATTTTGTGTATAACACTCATTATTCTTGTATATTTGCCCACATATTTGTTCTTTCTGGTAAATTTTATTTTTTCAGCAGTACCATACTCACATCTAGAATCAGTTGAGTCCAGGAAAGAATTTTCATTTTCTAATTATTATTATTACTATCATGTTTCTTATAGGATGAATTCACTCAATGTTTGCCTGAAAGCATTTCATTACATATTTTTACTCTAAATTAGCTGTATTGAGAGACAATACAAATCCAATAATATTCACCAATTTTAAGTGGAATCAGAACACATAATTTTTCCATCACCTCCCAAAATACCCTTGTGTGGTTTTTGAGTCAGTCTCCTCCTTTTTGGCTCAGTCCTTTGCAGTCACTGATCTACTTTTTGTAAGTATAGTATTTTACTAGAATTCTGTATAGTCACATTCATTGAACACAATGCATTTGAGAGTCATTTATATTGCTGTGTACAACAGTACTTTAGTCCTGTTTATTGCTGACTAGTATTTTGATATAGGGGTATACCACAATTTATTCATTCATTCACCAGTGAAATAAAATTTGGGTTTTTTTTGTTTTTGTTCATTATTAATAAAGTTGCTATGAGCATTTATGAATAAATACTTTTTATTACATGCTTTTAATTCTTTTGGAAAAGCACTTAAAAGTGAAATTGCTTGGCCATTTGGTAGGTATAAAGTTGTATAAAAAGAGCAAAATATTTCCCCACTGGCTATACCATTTTACATCCCCATGAGAAATTTATAAGAATTACAGCTGCTCTTTATCCTCATCAAAATTAGTATTGCCGGTCTTTTTACTTTAGCCATTCTAGTGACTGAAGACAGGTATTCTATAGTGGTTTTAATTGAATTTTACCTAATAATTGATAATTTTGAGCATTTTTTGTTATGACCATTTTCAATTCCTATATTCTTTTTGATGCACTATTAAAAACTTTACCTTTTAAAAATTTGATTATGTGTCTTATGAATATTGTGATATAACAGATTTTAAATATATTCTGAACACAAATTCTTGTTCAGATATATATTTGCAAGTGGTTTCCAGTTTGTGGCTTCCCTTTTCTTTTTCTAATGGTGTCTTTGAAAAGGCAAAAAAAATTGATGAAATGTAATTTATTGATTTATAACTTTATAATTTGTGGTTGCCTAATTCAAGGTCATAAAGATATTTTTTCTAGAAATTTTATAGGTTAAGCTCTTACATTTAGGTGTATTATTCACTTCTAGTTAATTTATATGAATGGTGAGAAGTGGATGATATTTATTTTTCCAAATGGTTATCTATCTTTTCTAAGACAATATGTTAAAAACTATATCATTTCTTATTGTATTACACTGATATTTTTGCCAAAGATTTATTGATTATATATATGTGGGTATATTTATAGACTCTTCATTATGTTCAGTTAATTTATATATGTATTCTTATACCAATACCACGCTGTCCTAATTACTAATTTTAGAGTAATGCTTAAAGTTATATATTAGAAAGCCTCCAAATTTGTTGTTAATTTTAAATGTTGATTTGGCTATTCTAGATTCTTCATTTACATGTAATTTAAAAAATCAACTAACCAATTTCTACAAAAGGGTTTGCTAGACTTTTGGTTGGAATTACATTAAATATATAGATCCATTTGGAAAGGCTAGATATATTATCAATATTGAATCCTATGCTTTGTTAAATTCTTGAGTATTTTATAATTTTAGGCTACTATATATGATACTTCTAAAACTTTTAATTTCTAAATATTTATCATATATATAAATGCAATTGATTTTCATATATTGACTGCTATCATTTGAATGTTCCCTCCAAAACTTATGTTGAAATTTAAATGCCATTGTACTAGTCTAAAGAGGTGGGATCATTAAGACCTGATTAGGTTGTGAGCGCTCTGCTCTCATCGATGGATTAATGCTATTATTGTGGGAATGGGTTCTTTATCACAAGGGTGGTTTCCTTATGAAAGGATGGGTTTGGCCCCCTTTTTTTCCTCTCTCTTGCCCTCTCTTTGCCCTTACAACATGAAGTAATGCAGTAAGAACACCCTGAAAGATCAATTTTGGACTGCCTAGCTTCCAGAATAATGAGCCATTAAATGTATGTTTATGACAAATTACCCTGTCCATAATTTTCTGTTATAGCGCCATAAAATGGACTGACATTGACCATCTCGCCTATGACCTTGATAAACTCACATATTAATTCTAGTAGCTTTTTGTACATTTTTCAGGAATTTTACAGAAATGTTTAGGATGCCTGTAAGTGAAGAGTTTTATTTTTTTCCTTTCTAATCTAAGTGCCTTTATTTATTTTTCTTGCCTCATCATGCTGGCTAGTATCTCTAGCATAATACTGAATAAGAAATGATGAGTGTAGGGCTGGCAGGGTGGCTCACGCCTATAATCCCACCATTTTGAGAGGCCAAATAACTTGAGGTCAGTAGTTTGAGAACAGCCTGGCCAACATGGTGAATTCCCATCTCTATTAAAAATACAAAAATTAGCTGGGCATGGTGGTGCACACCTGTAGTCCCAGCTACTTGGGAGGCTGAGGTAGGAGACTTGCTTGAACTTGGGAGGCAGAGGTTGCAGTGAGCCAAGATCGCCCCATTGCACTCTAACCTGGGTGACAGGGTGAGACTCCATCCATCTCAAAAACAAACAAACAAACAAACAGACAAAAAACATGATGAGTACAAACAACTTTGTCTTGGTTCACCTAATGATAAAAAAAAATTGTCCTTCACTATGAATATATGTTTGTTGTAAGGTTGCATGGGTTCTCTTTATTGGGCTAAAGGAATACCATTTTATTTCTAGTGTGCAGTTTTTATCAATATGAGAATGTTCTCTCTGCTTCTATTTTGTGGTGTGATTTAAAAAGTCTTGAATGCATCTTGAATTTTTTCAAATTCTTTTTTGTATCTATTGAGGTGATCATATGGTTTTTATTCTCTAAGTCTGTTAGTATGGTCAATTACATTTATTGATTTTTAAGTGCTAAAACAACGTGGTCTCCCTTAACTAAGCCATATATTATAAAGTGTTATCCTTTTCATATATTTCTGGAACCAGTTAGCTAAAAGTTTTGATAAGAATTTTAGTGTGTGATTTTACTTTTATAATGTCTGTGTCTGATCTTGGTGCCAGTGTCATGCTAGTTTCATAAAATTAGTTGGAAAGTTTTTACACCTGCTCTGTTTTTTTGGAAGAGTTTGTGTAGGGTTGGTATTACATTTTCCTTTAATGTTTGGAATAATTCACCATGCTAGCCATATGAACATGGGTTTCTTTATAAGCAGGTTTTTAATATACATTCAACTTCCAAAATCATTATAGGGCTACTATGTGATCTATTTTTTTCTTAAATGATTTTTGGGATTTTGTGGTGTTCAATAAATTTGTTCACTTAATCTCAGTTGCCAAATTTACTGGTATAAATGTACTTTCCTAATATGTTTTTATTTTTCTGTAGGATTTATAAGAAAGTACTCACTTTCATTTCTGTTATTGGTGATGTGTTTTCTTTTTTTTTTTTTCTTTCTTTTCAACTTGTCCCAACGTTTATCGAAACTGTGTTGATCGTTTGAAGTGATCAAATTAAATTCTTTGAGTTTTTAAAATTTTATGCGTTTTCTCTTTTATTGATTTCTGCTCTTATTTTTATAATTTTCTTTCTTCTGCTACTTGAGTTTCATTTGCTCTTTTAAAAAATATATATCTTTTGGGTAGAAGCCAAAATCATTGATTTTGACATTTCTTATTTTCTAATATAAGTATGTGACCCTATCAAATTAACTCTTTTCATGGCTTCATCTATGTCCCAGTTATTTTGATGTTTCTTTTTCATTTTTGGTCAGTTTAAAATATTTTCCAATGTTTCTTGTGATTTATTCTCTGATCCATATTTATATTATTGTGCATTATTTAATTTCCAATTATTTGTGGATTTTTCCAGATATCTTCTTGTTATTTATTTCCAATTTAATTGCATTGTGTATGTCAGTCCTCTTAGGTTTACAGAGATTTTAAAATATAGATATTTATATGTACATATTACATATATAATATATAATAAGATACAAATTTATAAATATATACAATAAAATGTGAATATATATAGTGATATATATTTTAAGTGCATTCCTTGTGGCTACTTATATTTTGGTCTTCATTACAAAAAATAATCTGAAATTTTTTGCCTTTTGTGACATTACAGGCATTTATATTTAATGTAATTATTGATGTTGTTGGATTTAAATGTGTCATATTACAATTATATTTTTGAGGCCAGGTGAGGTGTCTCACGCCTGTAATCCTAGAACTTTGGGAGGCCGAGGCAGGCAGATCACCTGATGTCAGGAGTTCAAGACCAGCCTGACCAAAATGGTGAAACCCTGTCTCTACTAAAAACACAAAATATTAGCTAGGTGTGGTGGCATGTGACTGTAATCCCAGCTACTCAGGAGGCTGAGGCATGACAATCACTTGAACCCGGGAGATGGAAGTTGCAGTGAATAGCGATTGCGCCACTGCATTCTAGCCTGGGCAACAAAGTGAGATCTGTCTCAAGAAAAAAAAAGAGATAAAAAAAAAAAACAACCTAAATTATCTTTTTGGTCCTACCTGTTATTTGTTCCTCCATTTCCTATTTATTTGTCTTCTTTTGCATTGATTATTATTTTTTGATTCCATTTTGTTTCTACTACTATTACATAACTTTATAAGGAATACATCACCTTACAATAGTATACTTACAGCTTCCATCCCTTGTGCTGTTTTTGTCACACGTTTTAATTCTACAAATGTTATAAAATTCATAAGACATTGTGGATTTGTTTTGTACGAAACCATGAATTGTCTTTCAAATTTATTAAAATATACAAAGGAGCACTTTATATATCTGTCTATACATTGATCACTTCTGGTGCTCTTCATTACTTTATATAGATCCAAATTTCTATCTGGAACCATTTTTCTTCTGCTTAAATAATTTTAGCATATTTTTTCTTGTGGATGTCTCCTGTTCATAAATTCTCCAGCTTCTGCTACTGTAATAAATCTTTGTATCTTTTTTATTTATAAGAGATATTTGTGCTAGATTTTAAAAATTGAATTTTTTTCTCTTTTATTTTCTCTTCTTTTTTCTTTCCTTTCCTCTTTCTTCCTTCCTTCTTTCCTCCTCTTTTTTCTTTCTGTCTTTCTCTTCCTTTGCTTCCTTTTTTCTTCTTTCTTTCCGTACTAAAGGATGTCTCTACTGTCTCTGACATGTTCTGTTTCTGAAGAAAATCTATGTTTTTTCTTTTTTGTCCCTCATTACATAATGTGTCTTCTCTCCTCTGTTTTTAAGTTTTCTTCCTATTGCTGGTAGCAGAATTTTGATTATGATATCTCGCTTTTTTATAATTTTAATCTTCTTAGGATTTGTAAAATTTGTTGAATCAGCTATTTATAGTTTGCATCAAATTTATAAAATTTTGGCCATTCTATTTTTATATTTTTTCTTCATTTCTTCCTTTTTTCTGAGATTCCAGTTGTAGATGTGTTAGACTGTTTGATATTGTCCCACAGATTATCAATACTATTTGCATTTTATTTATTTTTTTATTTCTTTGCTTCACATTTAATATTTTCTGTTGCTATGTCTTCAAGTTTGTGATCATTTCTTCTGCGATGTACATTTTGCTGATATTCCAATCTAGTGTATTTTAAATTCAGACTTCCTAGTGTCTATGGAAGTTTCATGTGCCTTTTAGAGAACTTTTATCACTCTCTTTCATGTCTCTGTTCTCCTTAATTTTTGTGATCATATGAAGTATTTTTTGCATCTGTTTTATGTCCTTTTTCTTCTAGTTCCATCATATCTGTCATTTCTGAGTAGTTTTTATTAATTAACTCTTACCCTGGTTAGTAGTCATGTTTTTCTCATTCTTTCTTATTGAGTGCCAGATACTGGGTTTTGTGTTTGTTTTTGGTTGATATATTTTGTTGTATTCCTTTAGATACTATTACATTTGCTTCTGATGCATAGTTCAGTTATTTGAGTCCGTTGGCTCTTTTTGAGGCTTTTTAAAAGTGCTGTCAAGGTTTGCCTAGAGAAACTTTTGTTCTAATACTAAGTTAGTTTTAGTACTAAGATGATAACTTAGGAGGAGTCTATTCATGTACCCTTTCCATTATAACCTATGCTGGTGAAAACGCAAGCAGTTCTCTGCCCTGAGTAAACTCTAAACATGGTTTCACCGACTCTTTTTCAATTAATACCAAATGTATGCAGGTTTCTCTTTACCCCGGTTCCTCTGCACTGTCTCAGGCTGCATTGACCCCAGAGAAGAAAAGAGACAGTGCACGTCGAGTCACCTAGCAAGGACTCTTTGCTCTCTGGAATGAAGTTATCTTATCCTTAGTGCATTCACGGTTATCAAGTATCTGTACAGAATGATTTTCCCACGTATCTTGTTATTTTGAGTCCTTATAGTGAAATGTTAGCTTTCATGACGTATTAGAGTCAACCTGGAAAAATGGAAGATTGCTTACAGACCCAAGTCTGTAGGGAAAACAAATGTATTAAATCCATAGATGTATCTTTATGAAATGTGCCATACTCAACAAGGTAGATTGTTTATTAATTCTTACAAAAGAATAGAGCTCATGAGGTAGCCACATATAAACTTGAAGGAGTCAAAAGTTCTACCTGTTAAAACATTAGAGTGTATTGAAACATTAAGAATCTCCCCTCCAACTCTCAACCCAGCATCTCTGCACCTTGTCATTCACTTTGTGGGATGGTTTCAGGTCAGTGTGGAAATTGACCAGAAATGCTCATAAGAGCATAATACTTGGAAGAGATATAGAATTCTATAAGTATTCAAGTAAAGGAAGGGGGGAAAGCTTTATGAGTGAGTGAACTTGGGATACATTTGAGATAGGTAAGTAAAATATGTGAATCAGAAACCGATCAGGTGGGCAAAGTGCATTCTAGATGGAAGAAACAGAATGAGCAAATCCATGGGGTCAAATGGTAAGAAAGATGATTTGGGCAGAGAAATGGAGATAAATTAAGACTTTTTGAGAAGCAAATTGTTATTCCTTTGGGAAAGGCCTTGGTGGCCAAAGAGAAGCATGAGTAGTTCTTTACTGGCAGATTTAAATGCTCTGAGGCAGAAACCATGTGTAGGTTTGTGTATTACTAAATTCGTGGTGGAGTCTCAATTTATACAGATTAGATTTTAAACTCAGTGTGGCAGGTAAAATTGTGAGCTGCTGAAAGTACCTTTTAATAATCTCTTCATTACTCCATTAAATATGATATACAGGAATACTGTCTCTTAAAAATTCCAACATCACCAGTTTTCTTCCAGCCCTGTAATAGATTTCCATATTTGAGAACAAGATAAAGTCATTGGCTTATGGACAGGAGCCACATTATATAGAAAGTTCATATCTGTAATAAGCAGACTAACTCGCTCTCAGCACTGAGGGAATTTAGTAGAGTTCACACATGTTAATTGCATGTAAGTTGTGGCTCCACTGGGATCTCATTAGGATGGATTGTGGTGGAAGATACTGCAGGTAGTGTGATGACTGGGGAGGCTTTCTGACTTCCAGGGGAAAAGTACCTAAAATTTCACTTGTGGCCCATTTTGAAAGGCTTGACAAGTTATTTGGTTTGAGTGCTGAGAATGTCAATGGTGAGAAGAGGCAAAAAAAAAAAAAAAAAAAAAAAAAAGACTTGCATGAGGGGAAGATGACGGAGCATTCACTAGAATAGGAGGCTCAGCCGTGCGGCTGCTTTCTGTGCAGTGAGGGGAAGGGCGTTGTGTTGAAGATGCTATGGGCTATCCAGTTAGTGATGCTTGGAGGACAGAAAAATACAGGGCTGGACATAGGAATGGCTAGATCTCCAGACTGACAGCTGTCTGCACATATCATGTTTGAAACTATGGCCTTGAGTAAGACTATACAGACTTAGCCAGAGATTAATAAATGGATTTATAGTTCAGAGAAGCCTTGGCATACTGGTAAGCATTACTTTTCCCTAATAGGGTCTACTAAATTTCATTACGTAGACCTTGGAAGATATGACCCAAGCCATAATCTCATCTCATGCAGCAGTAGCTCTTCATCTGTTTGCCCTCAGTGGGTGTTCAGGTAGGGAGTGGTTGTTATTTGCTGACCCTGATCTTACATGCTATGTCCCTAGAATGAGTATGTCAGCATGTGGCCAAGCCCATCTCATAGGACTGGTGACAAGTATTCATTCATTCATCAGACAGAAACTGATCACCTTGAAGTCACCAGCCGCATACTGAAATATCAGACCAGAGAAACTGATCAACTTTCAACTTCAGCAAAAGGTGTTTGAGTTTGGCCCCTCTGACAGACAAGTCATAATTCTGATTTTACTTAACTGGAATGGTAGAGAGAATAATGTGACATTTTATTTGCACAAAGAGTACTTTCCAATATCCCATTGTATATGCAGTATATAATTCACTAAGATCCTTGTCATGCTTTTCCTAATTATTTCTTTTTTTGGGGGGGAAAGTTATACAATTCATTTTTATAACATTTTAATGTAAAACTAACACCATATTATGAGCAAGATATCATAGTTTACATAATTCCCTTGGATTTATTGCTTGCGGTTCTGTGTATTACTCATAACAATATCACACATTAAAAATTGCTTCTCTACCTTGCCCATTATATTTATAGAGAGGGTCATAATTACCAAAGTATTCATTTTCAAAGTCTTTTGGTTTGACTCCAGTCTCATTTATTGTGGTTGCATTATTTCTGTAATGCTGTTTATTAGTTGCTGCCAATCAATATCATAATACATTTGCTGTGTTGCAGCCAAGTCATATAATAGATATAAAATTCTGTGAGTCACATCTTTTACTACCCTGTCAGTTGCCTGAGAATGAAACTAATTGAAAAATTTCTCCATATGCATTTAAAAGAGGCATATATTTACTGTGACATGGGCAGAGACAGCTCAGATTTGGAAGAGAGAACGCCGTTACCATATAGCAGGCCTCATTTTTCTCACTGGTAAAATCAGGTTCACCTATCTCAGGGTTTGTTAATCTAAGGTTTGCAGAGCCCGAATTTCCTTGGAGCCTTAGGGGAGGTTCTGAGAATTTGGGATCCCTCTCCACTCATGCCAACAAGAGCAGCTACACTTTTGTTTCATATATTGTATATGTGGATGTAAGGATCCATGCATAATTATGTTTGAATAAAAGTTCCCATGAGTCTAATATTATATGATTTCATGAAGGAAAATACTTAGATTCCTATCGATGTGACAGAAATAATAGATCATGAGCCCGTGGAGCTCTTTGTGTGAATGCCTGGATATTTGGAGGTACCTGAGGATGAGTGCAGGAAGCGGAATCTCGTTAAAATGAAGGAAGCTCACCTTCATGCGTGTACTGAGCATTGCTTCCTGGGGAAATACGATGTGTTGAGACAGTGTCCCTAGTGTCAAGGCTGGGGACATTGACAGTGTTGACATTGGGGACATTATCTCCACATGTTGTATTGAGGGGAAGGTTCAGGGCAGTTGAGGCAGGCACCCCAGACTGGGCCATGCTAGAAGGTTACCAAGGCACCAACCCTCTGGCTCACCATCTTCTGGAAGTCACAGTGGCTAACTTACATTCATATTGGTTTCTACCCTACCACAGCCTGCAGAATTTTGTGTCCATAACTTTTATTTAATGTTTCTTGAATAATATAAAGGAAAATATATCCAGGAAAGAAACATGAAAGGGATGTGGAGTGATAGGAATGGAGCTGATAGGAACTAACCACACTCAAGAGGACTTTGGGGTTCAGGTTCCCATAGGTAGGCTGACACACACCTGGGCAGATGTTGCAACAGCAGTCTTTCAGAGCTGTGAGGGCAAGGGATGTCCAAACAGGATGGAGTATTCCACCTCCGTCCTGAAACTGACAGTGTGGCTGTGTATGTACAGCTAATGTACCATGAAAGAGCGTGACCATAGTCCACATACCTGTGTGGAGATGTGAGTTCCGCAGGGGTGTTATATTGACCTACATCAGTCAAGCAAAAGTAGGAGATATTTTTTCTGAATGCAGGTAGATGTGTTGCATTGATTTTCAGGCTTCTTGAAACTATTAGTAGTGACCCTTTCCCAAGGCCACCACACTACACAACTCTGAGAAGCACTAGGCACATGGAAAACAAGAGGACAGGTAACTCCTGAAGCTGAGTGGTGTGGCAGCCCTGAATCCTAATATGAAGTCACCATCCTCCAGCTGTCTTTGGCCACCTCTGTCTAAACAGCTCAAGGGTGCATCAATAATCTACATTTTCCAAACCAAGCACACTCCCTACTTCCCTATCCTCACTTCCCTCTGACCCCCAGTCCCCTGTATGCTCTTCATGATGGTGGTGAAGCATTGTCACCCCTTGGTCACCTCCATCACATTTGCTTTCTCATTCCCTAAGATCAGCCAGCCACACAGCCAAGTGACACATCCTTCCCCTTTTGCTCTGTCAAGCTTCTGTAACTGGCATCATTAACCTTTGGGACCTCATAGAATCTTCACAGCTGAGAAGCTCTCTGACAGCTTCCTCTGGCTTGGGGACTCTACTCCTTTAGATGAGAGCTGGGTAGAACATCATCCAAGTCAACTTCTCAGAGCTTGGTGTTGGTTGCGGACCTTCATTCTTTCTTTCCTAGTGCATACAGGATAAAAGACAGACAGCTTAGTGCAAGGCGTTTCACTTTAAGACCCCCAAATGCTTACGAACTTAGCTCCTGATTATTTCTGTGCAAGGACCCCATGCTTGTGACTCAAGGCCATGCTCCTTTCCTTCATGATTTTGCATTCATTTTTCCACTGTCCCCTGGAAGGCCTGTTCTACCATCTCCACCCATCAAAGTTCTCACCATTAATTCCACTATATGTGGGCACCTGGGCACCCTTCCCACAGTACCTCTGCCCCACACAACTCAGACTTCCTATACTGAAAGTTGGATTTGCCCTTTTCATTCTGAAAACACAGCCAGTTGTCATGTTTTTCCTTTTCGGAGCTGAAAACATAGGCAGACAGACTCAATTACCATAGGTCAGAGGTTGAATCAACCCACAGCATTTCAAGCTTTTGCTGGAGAATCCTGAGTTATCCTTCTGAGGAAAATTACAAAATAAAAGTTTTTTTTTTTAATTGACATTTTATGACTCCAAGAACAGAGTGGGCAAATGCAGTGTTAAAGAGCTGGGTATATATAGCTATTTAGGGTTTGTCTTTTTAAATAAAATTTAAGAAACACGAAGCTTCCAAAGGTACTCAACTGTTACCCAAACTGTCTTACTTCATCTCTGAGTACTATAACTTTCCACTTGAAGGCTTGTGATGGTCACAGTGATTGGGCAATACTGTATATCGATTATTTCATATGATGTGTTTATTTGTAAGAAATGGAATTTGCTTGCTAATGTTGTATATGAACTCAGCAGCCTTCTGCTAATATACTTATAGTTCTAAACAGTAGACAATATATTGCTAAGTTTCTATATTAAATATTATAAAGGTGACAGATTCCTTTGTTGCTCTGAAAATGTAAGACTTTGATTTACCTTTCTCTTTTTAGGCATACTTTACCCAAAAATGTGACCCTAGCACATTCAATGCAAACAAACTGAAATCTATTTTTCTAGCATTTTCTCTAGACTGGAAGACAAAATATAATTAATTTATAGCTTGCTTTTCTAATTTATTAATCCCAACAATAATCCAAATTCATCTGAAGCCCATTTTCTCTTTATTTAGTAGTATTTTGTTGTTGTTGTTGTTGTTGTTTTTGTTTTTATTTTTTGTTTGTTTGAGATGGAGTCTCACTCTTGTCGCCCAGGCTGGGGTGCAATGGTGCAACCTCAGCTCACTGCAATCTCTGCCTCTCAGGCTCAAGCGATTGTCCTGCCTCAGCCTCCCTAGTAGCTGGTATTGCAGGCACACATCATCATGCCTGGCTAATTTTTTTTAAATGTATTTTTAGTACAGACGGGGTTTCACCACGTTGTCCAGGCTGGTCTTGAACTCCTGACCTCAGGTGATCCACCCACCTCTGCTTCCCAAATTGCTGGGATTACAGGTGTGAGCTACCACGTCTGGCCTGTTTTGTTTTTTTTTTTTCTAACCAGTGTCTTTACATTTGGATCATTCACAGTGAAATTCCTCTTTCTTTTTTTTTCTTTCAGTAACTGCATCTCCAACCCTATTTCTCATGAACTCTGTTCCGTTGAACAGTTTCAGGAATAGTCTTCTCTCCTGTCTATCTAAAGACACGTGTTGAGTTTTCAGCCTTTTGTTTCCAAATTGAGTCACCCTGTCTCCTTCCTATTTTTAATGCAAAACATCCTGTATCTGTTTTTCAGGCTACTGCGTACGTCTCCCTCTTTTTGGACTGTCCGTAATGACGTTCTCTTAGCTTTGTGGTTGTGGAGTGTCTGTGTCTTCTCCACCTTAGGAGATCTCTCAGGGATGCTCCTCATAAAGTGTGGGCATGGGGTAGCTACCATATGTGTGAATAAATTTTTAAAAATACCGTATATAGTATGCAGACATGGCATTGACCACTTATTCCAAAGTCATGTGTATTAGCTTAGAAACTATAAATTGTGTCAGATTGAACATCTGGTTGTCTATCTGGCGAAATGTCCTCATTATCTGATGAAGACTTCTTGTCCTGGCATATGGACGTTAGCGTTGGATGATTGGGAGCAGGCCTGTGCATGATGGGATCCCTACACTCAACCACTGGATGCCAGTAGCATCTCCCTCTCCCAAGGGTGACCACCCAAAATGTCTCCAGACTTTGCGAGATGTCCCTGTGGGTGACTGTGTGTGGCAAAATCATTCCTGGCTGAGAAAACCATCCAAGAGCAGGTACTAATTAAGGACAGATGTCCAATGCCAACATAGAGAAAGAAGAACACGTAGAAATGAAAGGCATTTAGAGTCCAGCATGTTGATGACTGTCAGAATACATTAAATACATCACATTATTCTGAGGCAAAACATTCTTTTTGAGTGATTTTGGTATGTGTCTGCATAACAGCAGTTTCAAAGGAAAAGAGTTTTGCTTGAAGTGAGAATTTATCCAAAGGTGAAATAAGAGGATCACATCCAACATTCGTCCTAGAAAGATTGAGAATTCTTTTGCTCTTGACAGAAGAGGGAGGGCTTTTTTTCCTTCATTTAAATTTTTTTTTTCACTTTTGGTCCATCAGGAATATCTCAGATTCAGAATAAAGTATTGGTATTCCACAGAAGACAAGGAAAAAGGCCCAGTGCCCCAGCTCTTGGTTGCAAATGTTTTGCAGAAAGATTTCCCTGAGTGCCAAGAAAAGGAATTTTTTTCCTTTTTAGCAAAAAGTGTAAAAACCTCAGTTAACTCACAGAAATAAAAAGGACACAGGGACTTGCCTGTCAATCAAAAATAGTTGTAAGAAATCAGGTATCTATGGGCAGAACCGGTTTTAAATAACTCATTCTCTCCACTTGGCTCAGCCTCGTTCCCCTGAAAACAGAAGCCTGGCCGGGTTGTTAGTGCCAGGCAGAAAGGACTGTGCCCAGCTCCCCGGAAGGGCACTTGTGGTTCCCTGCACACAGCTGGTGATGCCCAGGGTCACAGGGCATTGCTGGACCCACACAGGCACCTGTGGTGCCTTCAGTCTTCCTGCTTGTTGATGTCTACCTTTCTTCTAATCCTATACAGGTGGCAGAAAACTTGTTCTCAGAGCTGTTCTTGTTCAGATTCTGGGGTAAGGAAAAGATTGTTGTACATACAGGCTGAGTAAGGTGCAAGGGAATTTTGACATAAAGTGGAAGTTTTGAGTTTTTAAAGCTGGCACTGCTGGTCCTGGACGCATGCCATGAATTGGCCAAACCTTTCCATCCGTGAGTGGCAGCTCTCAGAAGCTCGTCCTTAAACCATGGCTGTTGGCCTCCATCCTAATGGATATTGTGAAGCATTTTTCCCACTTGAAGGAGACTGTATTTATCACTTAGAAAGTAGAGCAACCCGGAGCCTAGTGAGCATTTCTCCGCTTCATCAAAGGCCCTTGATTTCACTTCCTTTGCTTTAGAACATTAATTACATGGCCCTTGGCATAGGGAGGGTTTGTCACCAAGATTCCTTTCTTGCCTATAAGCCGCAGAATAGACTCTCACCCACCCGAGATGGAGCCATGGAGAAGGCACAGCTGTGCCCTTCCAGAGCCTTTCCCTATATGGACTTGCTGATTATGTTCACGATGTTCTAAGATGCTGACCCCAGAGGGGCTGCCCAGAGTTCTAATCTCAAGGAAAACTCTGAGTATTCTTCAGTCTCTCACACCTGGCAAAGCGCAGGGAACCAAGCTCACCTCCAGTTTGCCCACCAAATATCTTGGAGTCTCCAGCAAGACTGTGCACTTCAGTTTCTTTGTCCCTGCAGCGTGGGGGAAGGTGACCCCCCTCCTCCCACATGGACACTTTAGTGATGATTAAATTCAGCAACATGTGCTTGTATCAAGTATGAAAGTCAGCCCTGAGCCATAATAGCCTCCCCTAAAGTAGGCACAGAGCTATCAAAGTTCAGTGTTAGAAAAGCAAATCAAGCAAGCTGAACTCAAAGTTGTCCACCAGGAGATTCTAGAAAAGGATGGGCTTTCCTGGGCCGAGCCTCTGACTTGTCTTTATTCAAACATCATTCAGCAAACACGTATGACCCCATCCTATGTAGTGTGGAGGTCAGGGGAGTGATCCAAAAGACACAGCATCCCACCATCAAAATGCTGCATGCGTTCTCGTGGGACCCTGGCAGAGCAAAACCAGCTCAATGACGGGCATAACCCAGCCCAGGGAGACGTCCAGGTGGCAGAGGGAAGGCTGCACTTGACTCTCATTTGCCAATTAAGCATTTTTCCAAAGGGTTTAAACCCATCGCATTCTCATTTGAGCTGGCTCCTTTGTGGCATGTGGAAGGCCCCTCGGAGGGCTTGCTGGGGAGGACGAAGGGGAGCTTGACAGCCTTCCTTGTGTCGCAGGCCTCCAGACGGACAAAGTCTGAAACGGGCACAGGCAGGGCCCCGACCAGTGCTCCAGGACTGATGTTTCCTGGACATGGCAAAGTTGCTGGCAGTCAGGAAAGAGAACCTGCGTGTTGGTGCTCGGAAGCAGTTCCTGAAGATCTCAATCTTCGGCTGTCCCCAGCACACCTCCTGACACTGGGAGTCTCCACACACCTGAGCCAGCTGCTGCCTTCCAGAACCCACCTGTTCAGGAGGCCCAATTCCCTTTAAAGAATAGTCTTCCTTACACATGGTGCACAATAGTCTGCCCCAGTACGTGGTCCACGGGTCAGAAATTATGTTTCTCCCTCCACAGCAGCCTGTGCTCTCACTCACCCACAGACTCGCCCAGCTGGCAACCCTCCCTCCTCCCGGCTGGCTGGCTGTGGCTGGGGGCTGCTCCAAGGTGCCCCAGCACTGTTCCTGCTGTGCTCTAAGCCCGCATGCCCTCCCGCAGGATGCTCTGGTGGAGACACCACATCCTGGCTCCACGTTAAACCGTGTGGCTTTCAGAGCTGCTAAGGCCTCTCTTCTAGAAGGCGCCATTACACATCCCCTCTCAAGTCTCCTCCCATCCTGCCAGGGGCTGGCAGGGGCCCTGCATGTCTGGACAGCACTCCAGCACTGGATTGCCCTTCCGCATCTGACAACAATGCTCTGGGTGTTAGGAAACTCAGCTTTTCTGTAGCCTCTGGGTATGGGCGACAGTAATTGCCAAGTCACAGAGGGAGTTGCCACAGAACTGGAGGTGAAGCGTCTGACCCAGAGTCTCCTTCTGTGAGTGTGGACGTTGGAGGAGAAATCGGGCCCCTGAATTGGATTATCTTTCTGGAATAAGCATTCCTGTTAAGTTCTTCTCTCCGTCATTCTCCCTGCCTGGGGCTAGCTCCTTTCTATCCTCTGAAATTGCTTCCCATGTCTCCCACTTTTACTCTGTCTTGAATAGGAAAAAGAATACAACAGGAATAGACTGAGTGTGTGCCTTGTGCTGGCTTTGTTTGCAGTCTTAATTTTTCAGATCTTTGCTGTAGGTGCTGTAATGGGAAAGGCAAGCGTTGCCTTCAATGGATAACCATTATTAATTTAAAATCTACATGCTAAATGTGAGCGGGGAGAAGCCCAGGTCATTATCAAGATTCTAACACACACAGAAAAATGAGCTGGGCACCTGCCAGTTATAAATCCTCTCCTCTAAGAGATATTTGCAGCTGGTTAAGATGATCCTGATGTAATGGAAGCATTTAATGTAGAAAATGTTGTTCTATTTCTCTTCTTGATAGCACCAGACAACCAGGGCGTTGAGGTGGGGGAGAAGAGCTAGAGAGGAAGACTGCCGAAGAAAAGCAATATGTTTGCTACGCTGATCAATAAGAAGATTAACTTACCCAAGTAGAAGATGTATCAATCTTATTATTGATCAGTTTAGCACACATATTGGTGTGCTGGTATAGGATTACAGAGCTGTCTGGACAGCGCTTCATCAGGTCCTGGGTAGATAGCTATTCCTGGTGGCAACCGTGGGGCCTCACACTTGTGGTGCATGCATCCATAGCAAAGGTCACCTCTCTTCTCTTCCCATTCAAGATGATCTCTGGAGAAGGGGACTGAGGGAGAGAGTGAGGTGGGGTTATGTCAGTGGGCAGCATGTACTGGATTCAAGGTTAATCAACAAGCTCTTGTTTAGTGAGGGGCTCCTGGGACCCGGACTCAAAAAGATAATGATAATGCAAGCTTTTACGTGTTGAATATTTGGTGAGAGCTCAGAGAAAATCATTTTAAGCATCCACATTTGTGACTCAGCTGCGATCATTGAATGTACCCTATACCTGAGTGCTGAGAAGTAGACTAATGTCTATTTTCAGAAATAGCAAAAAAGCTGGCAGATTTTATTCTTTAGAAATAGCTATGATTTAAATATCTTTAGAAAAATGTCAAATGCTGTATTTTGAATCACAGATATGAAACAAGAGGTTTTTGAGGTGATATTTCATGTAGCTTTTAAAATTATGTGTTCATTCAATAAATATTTACTGCACACAAAGTCTAAATCTTTTGGCTTGTGACAAGAGATCAATCCACTGTGTACTTGTATTGCTAATCCACTTTGAGAAAGAGTGAATGGAGCAGAATGAGATGACATCCTTCCAGGAGCTGAAGAGCTTCTTTCACCCACATTCAGCTACAACTCCAAGGAAAGGGCAAATCCTTAGATTAATTCTTCACAATTATTATTATCTGCAACTTGAGTAATTGTATTATAAAACTAAATTTCATTCCTAGTTAATTCCACAATGGTTTGGCTCATTTCACCTCATTTCATAAAAGATAAATACTTGGCCCAAGATCCTTTGCTTCTTATTTCCCTTCAAAACCTTAGAACTGAAGCTCATTCCAGAGGGACTTGGATACCATCACGTCCTAAGGTATTACAGACAGGATGAACGCACTGTGGTTCTTACAGGGGGGATATTGTGCTTACATACAAGGAAGATGAATGTTGCCTCTTTCTCTGAGGAACTATTGATCCCTCTGGGGAATTCCCTCGGACATCCAGGAAAGAAGAGTCCAGGGCTGCCGTGTGTGTTAGTGGGTGACGCCCACCGTGCTAGCGGGAGCGTGTGTTAGTGGGTGACGCCCACCGTGCTAGCGGGAGCGTGTGTTAGTGGGTGACGCCCGCCGTGCTAGCGGGAGCGTGTGTTAGTGGGTGACGCCCGCCGTGCTAGCGGGAGCGTGTGTTAGTGGGTGACGCCTGCCGTGCTAGCGGGAGCGTGTGTTAGTGGGTGATGTCCACTGTGCTAGTGTGAGTGTTAGGGGCGGCGTTGCAGAGGCCTCACTGGGTGAGGACAGCAGACAGGGGCCTGTCAGCGTGGCTTTTTTATCTGGTGTGATTTTATATGCTTAGGCAGAGAAAGTGAGATGATCACCTACTGGTTAACTCATCCAAAAATATTTCTTGAATGCTAAATGTTTTGCCAGGAATTGAGAGTGAAAGATGAAAATAATTGTTCACTGCCTTCAAAAAAAAAAAAAAAAAAAAAAAAGGAGAGTCTGGGAGGGAAGGAGACTCAGGCCATTATGTGCATTTAGGAGGTGTCTAATGGCATGGCGCCTCTTTCTGTCTGGGTGCAGGTACCATCAAGCACTCACCTTGTGACAGCCTTCCTAGTGGGAAAGATTATTTCAGTGGCCTCCATTAGTTGTGTCAAAGCAAGGCAGAAACCATCCTTGTTCTAGGAAAAGGGAACAAACAGAAATCCGCCTCGTGATGTGTCTAGTTTATGCCTGAGCATAAACCAGAGCTTTCTGGTTATCAGAGTGCCCCCAGATGGAGCGCTCTCTTTAGGAGACCCCCTACTTTGCTTTTTCCAGAGGTGGTGAGAGACAGCTTGGGCAATGGCTTGTCACCAGGCACAGTAAGCGCGGATTGGTTACCTAAAAAGAGTGAGCTGTATGGATATTTCTAAACCTAAGGGTTTATAATTCTGTTAAATGATCAGTGAAAAACAAAAGTAAAATTGCATTCAAAAGTGTGTTTACCTTGTGGGTAACTAACAAAGAAGTGAAATCAATGACTCCACAAAGACAAAGGTTTAGAAACATGATCTCCAAAGCCGCTCCTCAATGAGATACCTGGACCTAACTAAACAAAATGTTTGTCTGCAGCTCAAAAGATTTATTTCTGTCATTCCTAAACAGTGAGACATCTCCTAACCTGCAGACAATCACTCACGTGCTGTCAGCTGCCTCTCCAGGCTGTGAGGACATCATCGCTGAACTGCCTCTCCCCTTACACTCCATTCCCCTTTGGGGTCAACATCACATATTTCTGGAATAGCTAACTGTGTTGAAGAGGGTAGCTTTTGACCACAGAACTGAGTTTTTCTCTTTGCACAGAGTTAATTGGCCATAAGGGGCCTGAGTCTCTATCTTGCTCTCATTAGCACCAAATTTTAACTAAATGGCCCAACTGACCCATGTCCAGAGCCAACTTCCTCTTCAAATGGTAAGATGAAAGTCCTCTGTGGCGCTTGTCATTCATTAGCATTTACATGGTGATGGCTGAGGCTCGGGAGGCTGTGGGTCTGAGGGGAACACGCTGGAAAACTTCTAAAGTTCCTTCCAGTTTGGCGTCCTGCATTTTTATGACATGCCTGTGATGCCACAATAGGACATTATATGGCAAGTAAGAAACAATTGGAAGCCATTTGCCTGAGACAGTGCCCGGGTGAGGGTCTGCCCCAGCTCCGGGAAACCAAGCTGAGGGAAGATGATTAACGCTAGCCTCACACAGCCTGCTTAGGCCCAAGATGATTCATTTTCAGCCAATATTGTGGGCAGCCTGGATATGGCTAAAGAGCGTGAGACCCACAGGGTGCCGAGCAAAGTTTGCTGAATGTATTTGGAGGGAATGGCCATGGGACGCAAAAGCTCCTTCATTCCTGTACTCATTTATTCCTTCACCAGCTCACCACTTCCTGGGCACAGGTGATGTGTAGAGGGTGAGCCGGGGTAGGGATGTGCAGGTGGGGACCTGGGTTTCTGGGAGCCTGACCTTGAGGGCTAATGCATAGCTATTGAGGGACGGCGTTGGGATCTCTGCATTCTTCGTCCCCTGCACAGTGTGTCTGGATGTCCTCAGCATTGTGATCCACATTGGCTCCTGGAAGTCTCTCCTGTGAACATAATTTCCAGGAGTCTCCCTGCCTCACCGGTAGAGTGCTGAGAACACAGATGTACACACCGCGAGTGCCGAAGGGAGAGGAGGCTGGCAGTGGTTCTCACCACACTCTGGCTGGCTATACTCGAGATAGCGAAGGCATGCGAATTAAGCTGTGGCATATCTGTAAGTGTTCTCTGTCTGGAAAGAGAAGAAATGGTAGAATTATAAACACTCAAAGGAGCCTGAGGGACTGCCTTAGCCTGAGCTCCTTGGAGTGGGGCATGCAGTGGTTTGCAGACAAGAGCTGGGGAGGTGTCTTTGTGGGGAGGCAGGGTTGAGCAGAAGAAGCTGGAGTTCAATGCAGCTGCAGCTGAGGCCTCAGCGATTCTGGAGCTTGGATGATCCTCCGGCTTGACTGGAGGTTGTCATCAAGCCAGTTGCTGTCCCCTGAGAAGGGTTGTGAACTTAGGCAAGTCAATTCTATGAGCTTTTAGCAGACAATATTGTCAACATCTGGGAGATGCTGCCTCAGCCCTGAGGTGGGGATCCAGGTGGAGAACCCCCATGTCCACCACAAGGATTACCCGGTCTAATACTCCATCCCCTCACGAGCCCCCGACGTCATGCTTCTGACAAATGGTCACCCAGCTTCTGTTGGAAACTTCCAGGAATGATGTTCCTGCCTCCATGCAAGTAGTTTATTCTGTTTTAGCTGAATTATCAAGCTATCAGACATGTCTTTCTTTTATTGAGCTAAATATGTCTTTCTACAATTTTCACCCTTCGCTGGCACAGGTACAAGAGGATAAGACATCCGCTGGCCCTATCTGTGGTAGAATAAGTTCATTTCTCCTTTCCATTCATACCCTTTAAATAATCAATGCCAATTACTATGTCCCTTTAATAACTTTTTATCTCTCAGCTAAGTAATAGCTACGGTAACATCAGAACATAATCACAGGAGTGATTTAAAAGACTCAGGGAGAAAAGATCTCTGGAATAATCTTAGAACTTATTTAGTCTTTGGTGGAGAAAGACTCGGTATGAATGGCTATTCCAGAGCAGAGCCTATGTTCTGATGGCCAGAGCTGGGCACAGGTGGTGGTACAGAATCCATCTCATGTGTTGTGGAGTGCCTGGCCCTGAAGGATAAAGTTTGGTCATGAGGGTGGGCCATGATTTCTGCTCCAGCGCGTTATTTTCCAGATACTTTCCAGAAGTGAATCCAGTGACATTTTAGTCCTACCTGCATTAGGTAATGCCACCGCCCCTAATGGCTTTGTACACAAAGCAATCGCCATCCTTTTTGTGGCTCACAAAGGCAGCTGGACATAATAATGTTTCTGTCTGGCGACTTTCTTTTTTTCTCTTTTTTTTTTTTTTTTTTTTTGAGGTGGAGTCTCACCCTGTCACCCATCACCCAGGCTGGAGTACAGTGGGGCTATCTTGGCTCACTGCAACCTCTGCCCCCCAGTTTCAAGCAATTCTCATGCCTCAGCCTCTCGAGTAGCTGGGATTACAGGTGTGTGCCACCATGCTTGGCTAATTTTTGTATTTTTAGTAGAGATAGGGTTTTATCATATTGGCCAGGCTGGTCTGGAACTCCTGACCCCAGGTGATCTGCCTGCTTTGGCCTCCCAAAGTGCTGGGATTACAGATGTGAGCCACCACACCCGACCTGTCTAGGGACTTTCTGTGATGCTGTGATACAGACAGATATTCTGAGAGGACAGAGTATGTTGCCTTCTACCATGAAACTGAAAAATCCACAATAGAAAAAAACAGAATGGCAAAGTGTCCCTCACAGGTGGGCGTGAGTGGCTCTTCCTTTCAGGCTGCAGTTTACGTGGCTGCAGCTAGACGGGCCCACCTTGGACGGGATCACCTGGGGCGCCCCCATGCTCTCTGCAATGCACGTGTGCAGAGCTGTCATAACACATGCGAACTGGAATGTCTGTCCTTAAGAGCTGCCTTTTCATGGAAAGATAGAAACGTAAATAGCTTAATTATCCTTGGTTTCATCATCTGTACAAGGAGGAAACGAGAATAGATGATCTTCAAGTGTCTTTCCCTTTAAGGATCTTGGAAATGATTTGAAATACACACACACTCACACACATACACACAAACACATACACAAACACACACACAACACATACATACATACACCAAAAAACCCACAAACATATATATATATATATATATATACACACACACACACACACATTTCATCATTATCTATCTATCCATCTATCTGATTTAATCATAGGTTATGGCTGAGCCCAGTGGCTCACACCTGTAATTACAATGCTTTGGGAGGCCAAGGCCAGAGGATCTCTTGAGGCCAGAAGTTTGAGGCTAGCCTGGGAAGCATCGGGAGATGTCCATTTCTACAAAGAAAAGTAGCCCAGTGGCCCAGCATGGTAAAAAGCACCCTTAGCGTCAGCTACTCAGGAAGCTGAAGCGGGAGGATTGCTTAGGCCCAGGAGTTTGAGGCTGCAGTGAGCTATGAACACATCACTGAACTCCAGCCTGGGTGGTAGAGCAAGACTCCATCTCTCAAAAATAAATAAATAAAATAAATAAATAAATAAATAAATAAATATATAATAAAAAATTTAAAATGGTGACAAGAAGTATTAAATAGAAAAAAAACCCACCTTGATCGTACTATCTTTAAGTCCAAAATTAGTGTAGTGTAATTAGTCAAGCAATTATTTCTGGCTGTTTAAATAGCAGTTTTGCTTTTGGGAGGTGTGCTTTGCTCCTGGTCACCGCCTTGTTCTTCATACTGACTGTCTCCCATCTGTGAAGCCTGTAGCAGAACCACTCTCATTTCTACTTTACAGACTCCAAGGGAAGGGATCTGAGTGTCCTGCTTTGGTCACGTACCCAGCCAGGCCTGGAGATAAAATCGTTGAGGGAGGGCATTAGCCCAGCCTGGGCCAGGTATCCACCTGAAGCCATCAGCAGTGGCAGGGGCATGCTGGACAATGGCTGGTCTTCTGGGTGGGATGCCTGAGGGGGCGGGGATCACCGTGGAGATTAGCTGGCTGTACAGGGGGTTAAAATACAGAAACATCTGTGTACCAACTGGTAAATAGAAGTTGTCGTGAGCGCCCAGATGCTGCAACTTAGTCAACAGGGTTTCTGAGATCCCCGAGACCTCCTCCCATCTAGCAACTAAAAGGATGACAATTGGGACTGCAGGGAACTCCAGGCCCCTGCTCAGACACTGAGACATGTCCCTTTGGGTCCCTTTGGTTGGTGAGTAGCCACTGTGTAGGACCGTTCAATGTTTTGTTACTGCCAGCCCTGGAATAGGGATGTTGTGGAGAGATGGTGCTTGGGTGGCAGGAGTGCTGTGAGTTCTCAGAAAAGCAGAGAGGGCGGAGTTGCAGACAAAACTCTGTTTCCAGTACAGTCCTGTGGGTTTGACCCTTGCAGCGGGACTTCCACCAGGCATTTTGCTTATGGAAGCCTCTGCTTCCTTATGTCTACAAGGGGTAAAATTCCATTCAGTCCTGTGGTGTGTAAAGTGCTTGGCATACAGTAGCCCAAAATAAGTGATCATTATAGGCATATGGGTTTTAGAATCATAATCTTCCTAAAAAAAAAATGCACCTTGTGGGGGTGGTTGGGATGCTAGAATGTGAAGGTGCACTCACAAGGCCCAGAACCGAAGGTGTGGTTTGGAGATGATTGGAGCCCTTGCCCGCTGCTCCCACTGCAAGCCCCACAGAGCAACTGGAGAACCTATGATTGGGTGAAAATGGTAGAACCAGCTGAGGAGAACCTATTCTGTCAGCATGGCACTGGTATGGGTGACTACAAGAGACAGTCCATTTTTGGATGGCAACTTCCCAAAATCTCGTCCCCGGAGGGTAGAAGTTAGCAGCCAAGGGTGATTTTTTTTTTCCCTCAAGGAACCTTCAGCAATGTCTGGAAACAGCTTTGCGTGTCACAACCAGGAGAACAGGGGCTACTGGTCTTGTGGGTGGAGGCCAGGGATGCTGCTGAAGCCCCTATATGGCACAGGGACCCTCACAATGAAGAGTAATTGGACACCAAATCCCACAGTAGCCTCCCTTCTTGAGGCAGGGGCCCTGGAGGAAGGCAGCTGTGCTGATGGGCAGGTGTCAGCGGTGAGACACTGTTTGGCCCCCTTTGGCAGTCAGGCGTGGCATCCTTGGTTGAATCAAGGACTTGAAAGCTGCCATGACCATAAACCTGCGGGGCTCAGGCCCAGGGTGTCCAATGAGGAGACAAGAGTTTCCCCAGCTCTTGGGTCACCAAAATATGCCTTAGTATTAAAATTAATTTAAAATGCAATTCCTGTTTATCCAATAGATTCTACTGCCAAGCCCTGGCATGGGCACTGGGGCTTCAGCAGTAAACCAGTTGGGTACCTCAACCTCCCTCAGCCTCATAGAGCTTAAATCCCAGAGTCCAGTCCCAATCTCAGTAATTGTAGGTGATTACATGTTGGAGACAGAAGGTACAGCACAGTAAGGGACTGAAACAGGAAGGCCTTGCTGGGGAGGGGACATTGCACCTGAGACCAGGTGAAGAGCATGTGTGCTCGGTGGGCCGCTGATCCCCACTGTGGAGCAAGGAGCAAGCAGAGCCTCCAGCATATCAGTTATCTGCCCAGCTCTCCAATCAGAGGAGGAAAAGGAGGGAGCTAGAGGCCACAAGAGTTCGAAGCATAAATAAATATACGGAAGAGGACGTGATGTATTCTGGATACTAGTGATCAGAGAGAGATATTGCAAATGCTCTTTCCCTGTGCATGGCTTGCATATTCACTCTATTAACTGTGTCTTTGCCTGAACAGAAATTCTCAATGTTATTGAAGTCAAATTCATGCATATTTACTTTCATAGTTAGTGCTTTTGTACAGTAGGCAAAGATTTCTTAAAATACTCCCATGTGTTGATTCCTAAAGGTTTTACAGTTTAAAGTCTCAGGTTTAGGGCTGTGATGCAACTGGAATTGGTTTTGGGTAGGCTGTGAGGTTTGGGGTAATGGTTTATTTATTTATTTATTTATTTGGTCTTAGATGGATTTCAAATTGATCTAGCACTATTTATTAAAATGACCGTCCTTCCCACCCCTGGGTTGCCTAGCTGCCTGCAATGTAATAAGGTGATGAGTGTGGTCCATTTCCGGTCCTCTGCTTTGTCTCTGTTGGTCTTCTCTGTCTTCTTCACCAATATCAAGTGGTCACAACAACTAGAGGTTTAAATAAATCGTGACACTCAGTTCATAAGTCCTTGTTCTTCTCCAAGGTTGCCCTGGCTATTCTTGATTTTTAGCATTTCCACATAAATCACGCATTATGCAGGCCAATTCTAACATTGTCATGGCCATCATCACCACCATCATCACCATCATTACTATCATCACTATCATCACCACCATCAGCATCATTACCATCATCACCATCACCATCACCATCATAACCTTCACCACCATCACCACCACCATCACCATCATCACCATCATCACTACCACCATCATCACTGTCACCACCACCATCACCACCATCATCACCATCATCATCACCATCACCACCATAATCATCATCACCATCATCACTATCACCATCAACACCACCATCACCATCACCACCGTCATCACCATAATCATCTTCACCATCATCACCATCACCACCATCACCACCATCATCACCATCATCACCATCATCATCACCATCACCACCATAATCATCACCATCATCACTACCACCATCATCACCATCATCACCACCATCACCATAATCATCATCACCATCATCACTATCATCACCATCACCACCGTCATCACCATCACCACCGTCATCACCATCACCACCATCACTATCATCACCATCACCATGATCACCATCATCACCATCACCACCATTACCACCATCATCACCGTCATCATCACCATCACCACCATAATCATCACCATCATCACTATCACCACCATCATCACCATAATCATCACCATCACCACTGTCATCACCACCACCATCATCACCATCATCACCATCACCACCATCACCACCATCAGCACCATCACCACCATCACCACCATCACCACCACCACCACCATCATCACCACCACCACCATCACCACCACCACCATCACCACCATCACCATCGCCACCATCGCCACCATCATCACCATCGCCACCATCATCACCATAACTACCATCATCACCGTCACCACCATCATCACCGTCACCATCACCGTCACCACCATCATCACCATCATCATCACCATCACCACCATCATCACCATCACCATCATCACCACCATCACCACCATCATCGCCATCATCACCATCATTGCCATCACCACCATCACCACCATCACCACCATCACCAGCATCATCACCACCATCATCACCATCACCACCATCATCACCATCACCACCATCATCACCATCATCACCATCACCACCATCACCACCATCATCACCATCATACCATCACCACCATCATCACCATCACCACCATCATCACCATCATACCATCACCACCATCATCACCATCACCACCATCATCACCACCATCATCATTGCCATCACCACCTTAATTATCACCATCATCACCATCACTACCATCATCACCATCATCATCATCATCATTTCTGATGCCATTTTGCTCAGGATTGCCTCAAATCTATATCTCAATTTGTAGAAATTGTTCCTTTAAAAATATTAACCCTTTCAACATATGGTCTTTGTATATTCTTCCTTATATAGATCATCTTCCATTTTTCCTCCTGTATATTTTTTAGTTTTCAGTGTAGAGGTCTTGCACATCTCCTGTTAGGTTTCATTCTAAACATTCTGTTGGTTTTGATAATAATATACACAATTTGTCTTTTATAGTTCACTTTTCATCACTTTGCTAATCTATAGCATATATTTGATTTTTGTACCTTGACCTTATATTCAGTGACCTGATAAATTTACGTATATTTTAATTGTTTGCAAATCGTTTTAGATTTTCTACATACAAAAATATGTCATTTGCAAATTACAACAGTTTCATTTGTTCCTCTCTAAGTGTATCTTTTCTTTACTTTTCTTGCCATATTGCATTTCTTTCCTTCCAATCTTTATATATTTTATTTATATTTCTATGTTAATTACATGGTTGATCATATGATACATTTAATAAATGTTCTGCATTCACTTAAATTGAACATTCTTATTTATTTATTTATTATTATACTTTAAGTTTTAGGGTACATGTGCACAATGTGCAGGTTAGTTACATATGTATACATGTGCCATGCTGGTGCGCTGCACCCACTAACTCGTCTTCTAGCATTAGGTATATCTCCCAATGCTATCCTTCCCCCCCGCCACCCCACAACAGTCCCCAGAGTGTGATGTTCCCCTTCCTGTGTCCATGTGTTCTCATTGTTCAGTTCCCACCTGTGAGTGAGAATATGTGGTGTTTGTTTTTTTGTTCTTGCGATAATTTACTGAGAATGATGATTTCCAATTTCATCCATGTCCCTACAAAGGACATGAACTCATCATTTTTTATGGCTGCATAATATTCCATGGTGTATATGTGCCACATTTTCTTAATCCAGTCTATCATTGTTGGACATTTGGGTTGGTTCCAAGTATTTGCTATTGTGAATAGTGCCACAATAAACATATGTGTGCATGTGTCTTCATAGCAGCATGATTTATAGTCCTTTGGGTATATACCCAGTAATGGGATGGCTGGGTCAAATGGTATTTCTAGTTCTAGATCCCTGAGGAATCGCCACACTGACTTCCACAATGGTTGAACTAGTTTACAGTCCCACCAACAGTGTAAAAGTGTTCCTATTTCTCCACATCCTCTCCAGCACCTGTTGTTTCCTGACTTTTTAATGATTGCAGTTCTAACTGGTGTGAGATGATATCTCATTGTGGTTTTGATTTGCATTTCTCTGATGGCCAGTGATGGTGAGCATTTTTTCATGTGTTTTTTGGCTGCATAAATGTCTTCTTTTGAGAAGTGTCTGTTCATGTCCTTCACCCACTTTTGGATGGGGTTGTTTGTTTTTTTCTTGTAAATTTGTTTGAGTTCATTGTAGATTCTGGATATTAGCCCTTTGTCAGATGAGTAGGTTGCAAAGATTTTCTCCCATTTTGTGGGTTGCCTGTTCACTCTGATGGTAGTTTCTTTTGCTGTGCAGAAGCTCTTTAGTTTAATTAGATCCCATTTGTCAATTTCGGCTTTTGTTGCCATTGCTTTTGGTGTTTTAGACATGAAGTCCTTGCCCATGCCTGTGTCCTGAATGGTAATGCCTAGGTTTTCTTCTAGGGTTTTTATGGTTTTAGGTCTAACGTTTAAGTCTTTAATCCATCTTGAATTGATTTTTATATAAGGTGTAAGGAAGGGATCCAGTTTCAGCTTTCTACATATGGCTAGCCAGTTTTCCCAGCACCATTTATTAAATAGGGAATCATTTCCCCATTGCTTGTTTTTCTCAGGTTTGTCAAAGATCAGATAGTTGTAGATATGCGGCGTTATTTCTGAGGGCTCTGTTCTGTTCCATTGATCTATATCTCTGTTTTGGTACCAGTACCATGCTGTTGTGGTTACTGTAGCCTTGTAGTATAGTTTGAAGTCAGGTAGTGTGATGCCTCCAGCTTTGTTCTTTTGGCTTAGGATTGACTTGGCGATGCAGGCTCTTTTTTGGTTCCATATGAACTTTAAAGTAGTTTTTTCCAATTCTGTGAAGATAGTCATTGGTAGCTTGATGGGGATGGCATTGAATCTATAAATTACCTTGGGCAGTATGGCCATTTTCATGATATTGATTCTTCCTACCCATGAGCATGGAATGTTCTTCCGTTTGTTTGTATCCTCTTTTATTTCATTGAGCAGTGGTTTGTAGTTCTCCTGGAGGAGGTCCTTCACGTCCCTTGTAAGGTGGATTCCTAGGTATTTTGTTCTCTTTGAAGCAATTGTGAATGGGAGTTCACTCATGATTTGGCTCTCTGTTTGTCTGTTATTGGTGTATAAGAATGCTTGTGATTTTTGTACATTGATTTTGTATCCTGAGACTTTGCTGAAATTGCTTATCAGCTTAAGGAGATTTTGGGCTGAGACAATGGGGTTTTCTAGATATACAATCATGTCATCTGCAAACAGGGACAATTTGACTTCCTCTTTTCCTAATTGAATACCCTTTATTTCCTTCTCCTGCCTAATTGCCCTGGCCAGAACTTCCAACACTATGTTGAATAGGAGTGGTGAGAGAGGGCATCCCTGTCTTGTGCCAGTTTTCAAAGGGAATGCTTCCAGTTTTTGCCCATTCAGTATGATATTGGCTGTGGGTTTGTCATAGATAGCTCTTATTATTTTGAGATACGTCCCATCAATACCTAATTTATTGAGAGTTTTTAGCATGAAGGGTTGTCGAATTTTGTCAAAGGCCTTTTCTGCATCTTTTGAGATAATCATGTGGTTTTTGTCTTTGGTTCTGTTTATCTGCTGGATTACATTTATTGATTTGTGTATATTGAACCAGCCTTGCATCCCAGGGATGAAGCCCACTTGATCATGGTGGAGAAGCTTTTTTATGTGCTGCTGGATTCGGTTTGCCAGTATTTTATTGAGGATTTTTGCATCAATGTTCATCAAGGATATTGGTCTAAAATTCTCTTTTTTGGTTGTGTTTCTGCCCGGCTTTGGTATCAGGATGATGCTGGCCTCATAAAATGAGTTAGGGAGGATTCCCTCTTTTTCTGTTGATTGGAATAGTTTCAGAAGGAATGGTACCAGTTCCTCCTTGTACCTCTGGTAGAATTCGGCTGTGAATCCATCTGGTCCTGGACTCTTTTTGGTTGGTAAGCTATTGATTATTGCCACAATTTCAGCTCCTGTTATTGGTCTATTCAGAGATTCAACTTCTTCCTGGTTTAGTCTTGGGAGAGTGTATGTGTCGAGGAATTTATCCATTTTTTCTAGATTTTCTAGTTTATTTGCGTAGAGATGTTTGTAGTAATCTCTGATGGTAGTTTGTATTTCTGTGGGATCAGTGGTGATATCCCCTTTATCATTTTTTTTTGTGTCTATTTGATTCTTCTCTCTTTTTTTCTTTATTAGTCTTGCTAGCGGTTTATCAATTTTGTTGATCCTTTCAAAAAACCAGCTCCTGGATTCATTAATTTTTTGAAGGGTTTTTTGTGTCTCTATTTCCTTCAGTTCTGCTCTGATTTTAGTTATTTCTTGCCTTCTGCTAGCTTTTGAATGTATTTGCTCTTGCTTTTCTAGTTCTTTTAATTGTGATGTTAGGGTGTCAATTTTGGATCTTTCCTGCTTTCTCTTGTGGGCATTTAGTACTATAAATTTCCCTCTACACACTGCTTTGAATGTGTCCCAGAGATTCTGGTATGTTGTGTCTTTGTTCTTGTTGGTTTCAAAGAACATCTTTATTTCTGCCTTCATTTCGTTATGTACCCAGTAGTCATTCAGGAGCAGGTTGTTCAGTTTCCATGTAGTTGAGCGGTTTTGAGTGAGTTTCTTAATGCTGAGTTCTAGTTTGATTGCACTGTGGTCTGAGAGACAGTTTGTTATAATTTCTGTTCCTTTACATTTGCTGACGAGAGCTTTACTTCCAAGTATGTGGTCAATTTTGGAATAGGTGTGGTGTGGTGCTGAAAAAAATGTATATTCTGTTGATTTGGGGTGGAGAGTTCTGTAGATGTCAATTAGGTCCGCTTGGTACAGAGCTGAGTTGAATTCCTGGGTATCCTTGTTAACTTTCTGTCTTGTTGATCTGTCGAATGTTGACAGTGGGGTGTTAAAGTCTCCCATTCTTAATGTGTGGGAGTCTAAGTCTCTTTGTAGGTCACTCAGGACTTGCTTCATGAATCTGGGTGCTCCTGTATTGGGTGCATATATATTTAGGATAGTTAGCTCCTCTTGTTGAATTGATCCCTTTACCATTATGTAATGGCCTTCTTTGTCTCTTTTGATCTTTGTTGGTTTAAAGTCTGTTTTATCAGAGACTAGGATTGCAAACCCTGCCTTTTTTTGTTTTCCATTTGCTTGGTAGATCTTCCTCCATCCTTTTATTTTGAGCCTATATGTGTCTCTGCATGTGAGATGGGTTTCCTGAATACAGCACACTGATGGGTCTTGACTCTTTATCCAATTTGCCAGTCTGTGTCTTTTAATTGGAGCATTTAGTCCATTTACACTTAAAGTTAATATTGTTATGTGTGAATTTGATCCTGTCATTATGATGTTAGCTGGTGATTTTGCTCGTTAGTTGATGCAGTTTCTTCCTAGTCTCGATGGTCTTTACATTTTGGCATGATTTTGCAGCGGCTGGTACCGGTTGTTCCTTTCCATGTTTAGCGCTTCCTTCAGGAGCTCTTTTAGGGCAGGCCTGGTGGTGACAAAATCTCTCAGCATTTGCTTGTCTGTAAAGTATTTTATTTCTCCTTCACTTATGAAGCTTAGTTTGGCTGGATATGAAATTCTGGGTTGAAAATTCTTTTCTTTAAGAATATTGAATATTGGCCCCCACTCTCTTCTGGCTTGTAGAGTTTCTGCCGAGAGATCTGCTGTTAGTCTGATGGGCTTCCCTTTGCGGGTAACCTGACCTTTCTCTCTGGCTGCCCTTAACATTTTTTCCTTCATTTCAACTTTGGTGAATCTGACAATTATGTGTCTTGGAGTTGCTCTTCTCGAGGAATATCTTTGTGGCATTCTCTATATTTCCTGAATCTGAATGTTAGCCTGCCTTGCTAGATTGGGGAAGTTCTCTTAGATAATATCCTGCAGAGTGTTTTCCAACTTGGTTCCATTCTCCCCGTCACTTTCAGGTACACCAATCAGATGTAGATTTGGTCTTTTCACACCGTCCCATATTTCTTGGAGGCTTTGTTCGTTTCTTTTTATTCTTTTTTCTCTAAACTTCCCTTCTCGCTTCATTTCATTCATTTCATCTTCCATCGCTGATACCCTTTCTTCCAGTTGATCTCATCAGCTCCTGAGGCTTCTGCATTCTTCATGTAGTTCTCGAGCCTTGGCTTTCAGCTCCATCGGCTCCTTTAAGCACTTCTCTGTATTGGTTATTCTAGTTATACATTCGTCTAAATTTTTTTCAAAGTTTTTGACTTCTTTGCCTTTGGTTTGAATTTCCTCCTGTAGCTCGTAGTTTGATCATCTGAAGCCTTCTTCTCTCAACTCGTCAAAGTCATTCTCCATCCAGCTTTGTTCCATTGCTGGTGAGGAACTGCGTTCCTTTGGAGGAGGAGAGGTGCTCTGCTTTTTAGAGTTTCCAGTTTTTCTGCTCTGTTTTTTCCCCATCTTTGTGGTTTTGTCTACTTTTGGTCTTTGATGATGGTGATGTACAGATGTGTTTTTGGTGTGGATGTCCTTTCTGTTTGTTAGTTTTCCTTCTAACAGACAGGACCCTCAGCTGCAGGTCTGTTGGAGTTTGCTAGAGGTCCACTCCAGACCCTGTTTGCCTGGGTATCAGCAGCGGTGTTTGCACAACAGTGGTTTTTCGTGAACCGCGAATGCTGTTGTCTGATAGTTCCTCTGGAAGTGTTATCTCAGAGGAGTATCCGGCCGTGTGAGGTGTCAGTGTGCCCCTACTGGGGGGTGCCTCCCATTTAGGCTGCTTGGGGGTCAGGGGTCAGGGACCCACTTGAGGAGGCAGTCTGCCTGTTCTCAGATCTCCAGCTGTGTGCTAGGAGAACCACTGCTCTCTTCAAAGCTGTCAGACAGGGACATTTAAGTCTGCAGAGGTTACTGCTGTCTTTTTGTTTGTCTGTGCCCTGCCCCCAGAGGTGGAGCCTACAGAGGCAGGCAGGCCTCCTTGAGCTGTGGTGGGCTCCACTCAGTTTGAGCTTCCCGGCTGCTTTGTTTACCTAAGCAAGCCTGGGCAATGGCGGGCGCCCCTCCCCTAGCCTCGCTGCCACCTTGCAGTTTGATCTCAGACTGCTGTGCTAGCAATCAGCGATTTTCCAGGTGCCGTCTGTCACCCCTTTCTTTGACTCAGAAAGGGAACTCGCTGACCCCTTGCGCTTCCCAAGTGAGGCAATGCCTCGCCCTGCTTCGGCTCGCGCACGGTGCGCGCACCCACTGACCTGCGCCCACTGTCTGGCACTCCCTAGTGAGATGAACCCGGTACCTCAGATGGAAATGCAGAAATCACCCGTCTTCTGCGTCGCTCATGCTGGGAGCTGTAGACCGGAGCTGTTCCTATTCGGCCATCTTGGCTCCTCCCCCAAATTGAACATTCTTGTGTATGTTCATTATGTTGATTTTTTATAATTTCGTACAAAATCACATTCTATTTTTGTCTGCTTGTTCTACCAATTACTTAAAGATTTATATTAAAATATCTAAGTATGAAAAAAGTTACACCCTCCATTGCCTCGTTATAATTAATAAACTATGTAACTAATTTTATCAAAACTTGAAAACATTGAAAATGTTGTTATAATCTGTAACTAGTCTGCTAACAAGTTAGTTCACTTAAGGAGCTGTCTTCTATCTAGAAACAACAGCTCTGACTGTCTCTACATATATATTCATATGAATAGAAATATCTTCATATCTCCTGATGCTCAAAAAGATATGGATACTGCTTAAATAAATAGATCATTTTGTGACATGCAATAATCAAACATATTTGGACATACTTGATTATTCAAATTCTAAAATATGGAATAAATAATCCTAGTAAATTTTATAATGAGAAAAACAACTATGTAGGTATCAAGAAAAGCAGGTCTTTATGAAATCAAGACAAAACTCAAGTAAGTAAACCTGAAGTGATTGTTCTTCACACACTGGAATATATTCATAGCAATGATGCCCATTTTCACTGCTGCCTTAGAAATTGGTTCCATTAGTTCCCCTGGGATTTCAGCCAGGAACTGTTGAGTGCTTCCAGGTTCTTCCTCTCCCTGACCATGAATCATCAACCAATCTAAAACTTCTCCCCATGGCTTCCCTCCCCACCATGTTCAACCGACTGACACACTCTCTCTATCGCGTTGCCGCCTACATAGAGCAAGGCACCATCTTCTCTTCTAAGTCATGGCAACAAACTCCTTCTCTGTACTTCCTTTTTTCATACACCCACAGTGTTTCTGCTCCATACTTACTAACATGGGTCAGACCACACCATCTCAGGGCTCTTTGCTGCCTTCCTGCATTGCATTTTAAATTAAGTCTGCTCCCCTGGTGGAACCTTCATGCATGTAAGCTCAGACTGCTGTCCCTCCTGCAGTCTCTCCTGTGATGCCTTTCTGCACTCCTGCCCACCCACAGCTTCCTCCCCTTCTCAAGAAGCTTCACCCAACATCATCATCTTCCCTCTGTTTTTCTTTACTCTTCCCTGCTTTTGACAAGATGGAATTATTTGCAACCTCAACTTAGTTTAAACATGATTCCCTGGAGTGCTTTCCTTGACTATTCAGCAAGTTTTGATCCTGACTGCATCGTTGTATGCTGTTCACATTATCCTTGGCACAGGCACATTTGTATCTTGGTTGGCTACTTGGTGTGCGTGTGCACTGTCAGTCTTGCTAGAATCTTAGCTTCCCAGGCGCAGAGCTTGCTTGTGTTACCTACTCCCAAATGTTCAATTATTTGCACAGTGACTGAAAAACTAATAAATAATTAACAACTCTTTACTAAGAAAAAAACAATATTTTAAAAACTGAGCACAAAATAAGCATATCATTACAATTTTTTCAAGTGCAAAGAAGGAAGAGGATTTCATCTTCTAAGGAGGTGTATCAAGCACCTTGTGCTTAAAAACTTAAAATCTAGTTTCTTATTTGCATATGCTAAAAACACTGCAATATTTAACATGGTACAACTGATTAATTATATAATTATGTAATCAATAATTATGTAATCAATAAGTATTGTTAAAATCCACAAGAGATAATAATAAGTGAATTCCCATAAATCACATACAGGACACCCTTTTTGGTGTGGGTTCTCCATAGACACAAGGATTCTTCTCTTGGGAGATCACCTTAAATTCTTCTTGCACAGTGTGACAATTTCTTGGTTCAGGGATGATTAGACATATCCAAAGAGTGGGAGACTAGTAATATTCTAGACACATCAAGAAATAGCACTGAGAAAATACCATATTATTATTAATCTGCTAGAGTATAATACAATCATTAAAAGGTCCTTCATTTCCATATTCTTCAATTGTATTACTCCAAATCTAGAGTCCCACATAATGGGTCCCATGTAATACTATCCCAGAATTTTTTTTTTTTTTTGAGACGGAGTCTCGCTCTGTTGCCCAGGCTGGAGTGCAGTGGCACGATCTCGACTCACTGCAACCTTTGCCTCCTGGGTACAAGTAATTCTTCTGCTTCAGCCTCCCAAGTAGCTGGGACTAGAGGCACCCACCACCATGTCCAGCTAATTTTTGTATTTTTAGTAGAGACGGGGTTTTGCCATATGGACCAGGCTGGTCTCAAACTCCTGACCTTGTGATCTGCCCTCCTCGGCCTCCCAAAGTGCTGAGATTACAGGCGTGAGCCACCGTGCCTGGCTGCTATCCCAGATTTTAACCAGCCAGACTGTCTGGAACTACATTGGTTTATAATATTCTTTTGTTTGTAAAATAATGAGGATTCTGAAGATTACATCCAGCCATTGAGGAAGTGTTATAAATAAACTAACATTACAAAGACATACTGAACTATTTTAATGCAAATTTATACATTAGGAATAGGAAACAAAGAAGTGTTCATTTGAAAAGTACTTTGCTTTGGCTTTTTAAATAGAGCATCATTTCAGGAATAGTACGTATCACTTATATAGAAAACACCAGAAGCATAATCAAAATTAAGGAGACGTTACTTTTATTGAGAAAATAATGAGGCCTCAGAATTGTGGAAGACCAAACTAGCTTTTCCCTTCAAAATTTGGGGTATTTCACCAGCTTTGGAAATATAATGAGACTCCATCACTACAAAAATGTCAGCAAAATTACTAGACATGATGTCAGGCACCTGCAGTCTCAGCTACTTGGGAGGCTGGGTCAGTAGGATTGCTTGAGCTCAGGAGTTTGAGATTACAGCAAGCTATGATCACATCACTGCACTCCAGCCTGGGCAACAGACTGAAACCATGTCTTAAAATTGGACAAATTAAAACCACAATGAAATACCACCTCGCTCTTGCAAGAATGGCCATAATTTAAAAGCCAAAAAATAATAGATGTTGGCATGGATGTGGAGAAAAGGGAACACTTTTACACTGGAGATGGGAATGTAAACTAGTACAACCACTATGGAAAACAGTATGGCAATTCCTTAAAGAACTACAAGTAGAACTACCATTCAATCCAGCAATCCCACTACTGGGTACCTACCCTAAGGAAATGAAGTTATTATATGAAAAAGAAACAGGTACACCTATGTTTTTAGCAGCGCAATTCACAATTGCAAAGATATGGAACCAACCTAAGTGGCCATCAACCCATGAGTGGATAAAGAAAATGTGGTATATATACACCATGAAATACTGCTCAGCTGTAAAAAGGAGCAAAATAATCTCTTTTGCAGCCACTTGGATGGAGCTGAGGGCCATTATTCTGCATAAAGTAACTCAAAACCAAACATCGTATATTCTCACTAATAAGCGGGAGCTAAACTATGAGGATGCAAAGGCATAAGAACTACATAATGGACTTTGGGGACTGGCGGGGGAAGGGTGAGGTAAGGGATAAAAGACTACATATCAGGTATTTTATTTCAAATACAAATAAACAAGTTTTAAAAAGAAAAATGTGGCTATTTGTAAAGGAGAAGATTAGTTATATTTCATAATTACAAAAATAATTGAGAAATTCTTTAGTCACGCACACATAAAAGTATTGTAATCACATATAATTTTATTCATTCCACAAATGTTTATGGACTGGCTATAGTGTCACAGACATTGACCTGGGTGCTGGGGATGCTGACGTGAGTGAAAGCAGCAGGCGTCCCTGCCCTTCTGGGGCTTACATTCAAGTGAGCCGACTGTAAAAGTCAACAGTTACGGGTGCTTCCGTTGTACTAAGAACTTTCCATGAATTCACTTATATAGAGAAGCACACATTTATTATCATGGTTTTGGAACCATGGCACAGAGAGGTCAATAACCTATTATGGTCACGGAGTTAATATCAAGTCCAGAACTCTGCCTCCAAAGCTGATGCACTCTCAATAAGTTGATCAATATTTATTGAACTTCTGCCATGTTCCAGGCCCTGTGTGAGACAGTGGAGGTATTCCAGTAAATGAGATGGTGATTCCCACCCTTGTGCATCTTTTGTGCTCATAGCCACTGCCCTGCATTGCTCCTGGAATGGTGTTTTCAATTGACTCAACTCAGCAGGTGCTTTGCCTTTTGCATGGAGGTGGGTGTCTAATCTAGGGGTAAAGTGCAATTTTTGAAATAAAATTTCAGTGAAGATATTGATAGTGTGTAGTAATCTCACTTTCAAATTTTTCTTTACCTTAGGAACAAAGTTCCTATGATCATGTAGGATATAATAGAGGAAGAACCTATTGGTTTCAAAGAACTCAGTCTTTTCCACAAAGTAAACTGGGAAGCTTGTGAGGATTTCATGTCTGACTGCACAAGAGGTAGAGCTTGGCAGATTAGGAATCAGGTAAAGGATGAAGTGCTCCGCTTCAGAGGGTGGTAGGCAGGATATTGGCCCTCAGAAAGGTTTACGTCCTACAGTTTGGAGCCTGAGGTTGCACTTAGAATGAAGGTTGCTTTTCATCTAACTTTGAGATGGGAAGATTTTTCTGATTTTTCCAGTGGGCTCAATGTAGGCACGGGATCCTTATAAGTGACAGAGGGGGCCAGGTGCGGTGGCTCATGCCTGTAATCCCAGCACTTTGGGAGGCCGAGGAGGGCAGATCACCTGAGATCAGGAGTTCAAGACCAGCCTGGACAATATGGCAAAACCCCATCTCTACTGAAAATACAAAAATTAGCCAGGCATGGTGGCACATGCCTGTAATCCCAGCTACTTGGGAGGCTGAGGCAGAGGAATTGCTTGAATCAGGGAGATGGAGGTTGCAGTGAGTCAAAATTGCACCACTGCACTCCAGCCTGGTTGGCAGAGCAAGACTCGGTCTCAAAAAAAGTGACAGAGGGAGGCAGGAGAGTCAGTGTCAGAGAGACCCTGGAAGTGGAGGTGGAGTGATGAGATTGCTGACTTGGAGATGGAGAAAGGAACCAGCAGCCACAGAGCATGGGCGCTTCTAGAAGCTGGAGAAAGCAACGCCTGGATTCTCCTCTAGAGGGTCCAGAAAGGAACGCTGCCTTGCTCACTCATGGATTTCAGCCCACGGAAACACATTTTCGGCTTCTGACTTCCAGGTCTATAAGACAATCAATCCATGTTGTTTTAAGCCACTAACTTTGTAGTGAGTTTTTACAGCAGAAATAGGATTCTAACGCAATCAGGTAGACAGCTTCCACCACAACCATGTCAACAACATTCCCGGAATTTCCTAGAAACACTGATGATTGTGTTTTCTTCTTGCATACTTGTGTCCTGTAGTTTTGGGGGGTCATATCTTATCCCTTAAGAGTTTAAGGTGGCCGGGCGCGGTGGCTCACGCCTGTAATCCCAGCACTTCGGGAGGCCAAGGCAGGCGGATTGCTTGAGGTCAGGAGTTTGAAACCAAACTGGCCAACATGGTGAAACCCTGTCTCTACTAAAAACATACAAAAAATTAGGCTGGCATGGTGGCATGTGCCTGTAATCCCAGCTACTTGGGAGGCTGAGGCATGAGAATTGCTTGAACCTGGGGGATGGAGGCTGCAGTGAGCCGAGATTGTACCACTGAACTCCAGCCCCTGGGAGACAGAGTGAGTTTCTGTCTCACAAAAAAATAAAAAGAGTTTAAGGTAAGCTCACTTTTGTCCTAATCTGTCAGGCTTCCCTTGCTACCCTAAATAAATTGCTTAGAATTAGACTTGTTAAAGACAATCACCAGCCTCACTCTATAGCTCAGCTCTCTTTAAATAACCTTTGGACATGTTCTGTGGATCTAACAGATCATTCCAACTGTAGATTCTCCAGTACTTTGGTGGATTATGTCTCCCTAAACATCGTCTCTAGAGATGAAAGTGCTTCTGTGTGTATAAATAGCATCAGGTGGGCAAGGCACCTGGAAATAGTGGTTCCATTTACAGATACTGCACAACCTGAAGTGGTCATCAAAAGCTTACCTTTCACTTTGACTAAAACAAACAAGATTGCTTTCTTTAGCCAACTAGTTAGGGATGACAGTACAGTCTTAGATTTTATTTTGGTCAACTTGTGGGTAATCTAAACCATTGCCAGCACTTCACGCTCTTCCTGGATCATGGACTAACACCATCATCTCCTCTTCATTATAATGTGTGTGGTGTTTTAATATCTGATGAGTACTTCTCTACAACTACTGCTCCACCAGATAATTCAACAAAGGATTCAAAGACCCAAATAGGGCAAACACACATTGATTGATGTGTAAAATGAGAAAACCAGATTATTTTGAATAGAATACCATCTTCAAGAGAAAAGTCAACAATATTAGAGAAGACCTGGACAATTCCCAGTAGCTTCTTCTGCAGTGTTGGCTGAGGGGCTCCTAAAAGGAGATGCTGAGAATTTTAATAGAGTTCCAGCACACCGAGGAAAATATGTCACTTTACAGCAGGGTGAATAGATGCATGATTCCAAGAATCCTGTTCAAACGCCAATCCACAGATCTACCGGATTCTGTTCAAATTCCTGTAATCAGTCAATGATGCATTTCCACAGTGCAGGTGCTTCAGGGGCTGTGCCCCCACGAATGTCAGCAAAATCACTAGAGTACCCACTTCCTGCCGCCCCTCACAGTGTGCCAATCCCTGAACCCCACACTAGACAAGATAGAAGCCCACTTAGCTTAGGGAAGCTGACTCTCACAGGCATAGCTCTCCTTTACTTACATAAGTAATAAAGTCAGCCTCTCTTCCACTGTTGAGTGGGGTCTGCTCCTTGATAGCCAGATCTGCTGCCTCTTGTCTCCTCACCAAACAGGAACTGATGTGGATGTGTGGGAAAAGGAGGTAAGAGGAGAAGCAGCCAGAAGTCAGAACATACGATAATGGCTGCAATTAAACTTGAGTGACTGGAGTATGCCCAGTGTTAAGTCCTAGAATGAAGTTAGAAAATATTTCCAATGACCATAGTAGAGGAAACAAAATTATTTAACTGTATGTTTATATGAACATTAATTATTAAATCCTAAAATACGTATATATGCAATTTCTTATTTTTATGCTACATTTAAGAATCCAATAGTCAGATTATTGTGCCAAAGTGTAACTTGCCTTTGGATGAATTTCAGTTGTTTATTCATTGATTTAAAAATAAGAATGAGATGTACACTTCTCAATAATAAGAATGAGATGTACATCTCTCTTTTCAATAATAAGAATAAGATGTACACCTCTCCTTTCAATAATGAGAATTAGATGTACACCTCTCTTTTCAATGAATAGGCACAACTTTGATTAGTTCCTGAGGTTGCAGAGCCCAAGGTGGAAGGAACGTGAATGTGCAGTTAGTCTTGTCTCCAGAGGGTAGGTTTGCTGACCTGATTAGTATGTAGTTAGCAGGACAATTTAAAACAATTTCCTGGGTCTACTTTGTGCTGTGTTCCTAATGGAAACATCAGAAAATGCCCAATTGTAGCTTTCATCTCCTGCTGTGTCCTAGCCACAGTTTCAGCATGCTATCTTCTTTTCACTTTTAGAAACCACAGTGGTGTATATAACAGACGCACTGGAGCACCAGAGATATCATTAAGAAATGGAAGGTCAAATATTTAGTTACAAGTATGGGAAATGCTTTAAAGTTTGTAGTTAAGTATGATTTTAAAATGTGAAGAATGATTTTAAGCAGGATGGATATTTTCACTTCCCTAAAACAGTATAACCAATTGAGGGATTTATTTGAGCTCAAGATCTTAACAATTAGGTGTTTCTTTTTTAAGTGCAAAGAAGAAACAAAGAATTAGAAAACTCAGTGTTCTTCCAAAATCAATCTTGTTCTCCAGATGATGCAATTTTCCTGTGTTATTTCCTTCTGTTTTATCATCATCATCAGTTATGAATTCTTCTATTCAGCAAGAATGATTTTGTGTGTCCCGAATTATGTAGGATGGCCATCAATGTGGAAAAGAAAAGAAAGGAAACAAAACACTCAGGGTGATAACCAGTACACAGCTGAAAGGAGGCAGAAACTCCCTCTTCAGGCCACCACCACCTCGCAGAATAGTCAAGGTCTTGTGAAAAGCATCATTAGCTTCCAATTAAGTCAGTCCCAGGAGGGTAAAATTCCTGAATGTAGGGAAAGTCTCAGTGGGAGGCTGGGATGGGCAAGAGCATTGGGGTTTGAAGGAGCAGTGGGGCTTTTGCTGAGCACCAGCTGTATGCAGCCTGTCTATTAGAAACCTTGCTTTGCGGCTAAGGGCTGGAATGTGCGTTCCTGGAAGCTGGTTAAGTCAGTGGCTGCAGCAGCCACAGCCGTGTCTGTCTGTGAGAGCAGAAGACCCAACTTCAGGGGACAGGGGCTCCAGGACACACACAGAAGATGGCAGAAGGAAGGCACAAGGCAAGGTGAGGTGTCAGGCTGAGGGTGATGCCAGCATGGGCACAGCTGGGGCTGGTGGGCCTTATAGTTGGCTGTGACCTCGGTGATCATCCAGACACGTGTTTCTGCCCTCACAGGAGCAGCGAGGGACCTGGCTGGGGAATGCCAAATGCATCTGTCGGCTGGCAGAGGCATGAAGTGTGCGCTGATTCTTTTCCGGAGAGAGGCAGGCTCCTGAGTGGGAGTGCTGGGTGGCTCATCCCTGGGTTCCTCCAGACTGTGTGTGGTTGAGTGCCTAGCACTCAGCCCCTCCTGCCGGTGCCATCGTCCTTCTGTGGAGAACTGCCTCAGTGCCCTGTCCCACTTCTTCCACCCCTGCTATGCCCATGGCCTGACTTGAGGCCAAGTCTTGAGTCAGAACAAAGCATTCATTTCAGAAGGAGCTGCAGTGCCAGCATCAGCTGCGCCAGTGCCCGCACCCACAGCCCCCTGCTGCCTGGACCTCTGCACCTGCTCCTCAAGCGTCCACTCCCCATCCCCCACACGCACCTGGACGCAGACTCCCTCCAGGAAAAAGACCCTCCAACACAGCATGCTCACTTAGCAAGTCATTATATTAAAGTACATTCAGATATAGCTCACAAATGAGATAGTGTATACAAAAAAACACAGACGTGAAGTTTTATAGCCCTGGGGAAACACTAACTCTTAGAGACACATGCATCAGAATCTAGGCACTGAAGGGTGCCCACAATACCTGGAGAATCTTTTCCCTGCTCAGTAAATAACCCTCAACCTTACCCATTTTCCATTGCTTTTGGGGGACAGGAATTTTTCCTACTAACATGAATTCCAGAGCTTTCTTTTAAGTACTAGTGGTAAAGGGTGTAAGTGGTGCTAAGCCAGTTGTCACTAATGGATACTGTGTATTCAAAGACTGAGATTTTGCCAGCTCTCAACACTGATCACATTTAGACTCTATACCTGGAATCTCATGTCTAGGATGTAGATTTTGAAGACAGCAAATACATGTATTAATGCAGATACATATTTGCATAGCTCTGAAGCTGGCTGGGCATCCATAATTATGCATACTGTCAGGAAAGAAGAACAATAAAGGAGCCAAAAATAAAGAAAGACGGATATGGGGACAGCAGAGTCAAATGAAGAATCTGGTGCGAGAGACTGGCACCATGCCCGACCGGTGGGGTGACCTCAAACCAAGCATGGGAAGTGCCTGATGCAGAGGCTTCCCTTGAATCAAGCAATTAAAAACAGCAGACAGTAAATCTATTTATTTCAAAAAGGTGTGTGGAATTCCAAAGGAACCTGCATTTATAGTGAATGTGTATATGCCTCTTAAACAGCCTAACAGGGAAGAGATGCCTAATGGGTTAATGCAAAGATTAGATGGACAGCAGAAAACATCACAGGCCAGGCTCCCCTCCACAGCAGTGGGACATGGACCCCGCCTTGGCCTCTTTAGGTAAGAGGCTGTGTAATTTCTAGCTTCTTGGAGACCTGGTCATGAGAAGCCCTGCCTATCTGTGTAATATTGTGAAAACGTGGCCAGCAAATCCTGAAGACAAACTCTGACCCTGCATTATCTGCGATTAAATCCTCCAAAATTACAGCAGCATGGCCACCTCTGCATTGATTTCTCAGGCATGTTTAAAATTACATCGCCTGTTAACTTGTTTGTACAAATAGGCAAAGAAAATCCCCCCAAATCAGGTCACGTGGTTGAGGATTTATGAAACATGCAGGCAGGATAAATATTTCCTCTTTAAAAAATTAGGCAACGTATGAATTGCCATTACAACGCAATGAGGCAGTTTAGCTCAATTTAGCAACTAAGGCAATGTTTAGCCAAGCCATCATGCGAGCGCCTTATTAAAATCCCAGTGGCCCTGGTGTGTCTGAGGTGGGAGAAAAAGGTTAAACTGCATATCAACTACTGAAGGGAGCGGAAAGGCTGTGGAGCCCAATTAAACCTTCAGCACGGCTGGCTCATAAACACTTGCTACTTCATTCCCCCCGGAACGCACCACCAGGCGGCTGGAGCGAGGACCTAGCAAGAACCTTTTCATGCAGCTCTGCCGCTGCGCCTGGGGTCTGGCCGAGCCCTCATGGGTGAGAGGCGACGCGCTCCCTCTCTATTAATCATCCTCTCGCTCTCAACACCTGGGACTGGCTCCAACTCCCCCGGTTGCTATATTGACAATATTCCCTGTTGATTTCCTCATTTTCTCAGCCAAGGCTAGACTGACCTCTTTAAAATTCTTTATAAACGTCAGTAATTGCTGCATCCAACTTCAATTCATTACTTTCCCAGGCCTCATGTATTTTGATGATATGAAAGTTGACCGCATTTACATGCAAATTGAAGTTTTATATTAATAAGGGCCGGTGAAAGGAGATCGCATGGTAATGCTCCATTATGACTTTTAAATACATTTGCCCACGTCTCGACTGGCATGAGCATGGTCAGACCACGAGGAAATCATGTTGGTCTGATTGCAATTTTGTTTTCCAATTGAAAGTACAATTTCATCAGGTTTCCCTGTCATTTCTAATAATGACTTAAGTTTGCTTGCTAAATTGGAGAATTTCTCCGGTCTTCGGATGGGCTGGCAAACAGGTGAGGCGACAGCTGCTTCTGCATGAAGTGCTTCATTACAGGCGTGGGCAACCATCCGCCCCAAGAGGCTGCTTTGATGACAGGAGCAAAATTACTGAAGGCGTCACTCCACGCAGTGGAGATTGATGATCTTAAGCACATTAACTTTATCATACAACTTGGAAAGCCCAACGTTTTGTTTGCTCACACACTACAGTTTTTAATACAATAATCAATGGATGCTTAATTTCCCCAACTGCAAGTTTGGTGATTTTCATCACAGCTCGTACATTTGTATTCTGTATTGTCAAAAGGAGCTGACTTTCTTTTTCTTTCTTCAAAGGGAATTTTCTGTATACAGCGAGAGCAGTGTGATGCTTCCGCATCATGAATAAGACTGTAAGATCCAGGGCTCCACCCAAACTAGATCTTCAACAGGGACATTTTTTCAGACTTACCTCCCATTAAATTGAATGTGGATTGTGTCCTACAGTCCACCCAGATTTGTCAAGATGCTAAATGGAAGTAAATGAAAAAATCCTCAAAGGTTAGAATAGTAGGAGAAGCAAAATACAAAGATGTATAGTAGAAAAAACGGAAATGTTGATCAGAAAGGACAGTCATAGAGCTTTTCCTTGACTCAGTTTACACAGTGAGAGTGTACATTGTGTTCACCTCAAAACTTGCTCTCAAAAAAAAAAAAAACTTGCTCTCAGCTCCACTAATTTATGAGTTTTTGAGGGCATCAACATTTGTTTCTTGCATTGTAATGATTTTCTAAGTAAATATTTTCTGGATGATATTCCAGGTAAAAAATTCACCACCAGCCATCATAGGTCTGGTCTCCCTAGCAAAGAGCCTTAACACAAGTCACTTGATTTAGATAATTCAGTAAACTTCTAATCAACAAGTTCTTCATGTATTTCATTTTATCTGCATTGTCTTTATCTCTGAGTAGAGAAGATGCTGGTAGCAAGTTGAATGTGAAAAAGGCCACTGGGTGTACAGTAGGATTCCATTGTCTCTGACCAGTACAAATATTTACCCAGAGAACTAGCAACATTCACACCTCCCATTCTCAACTGTACCCTTTGGCAATCTGAAGATAAGCATGATGCATTTTATGAATGAGTCCAATGACAAGAGGTGCAAGGGCTATCTATGTCAGAACAGAGATAGAAAAGATTGCTTGTCAGTTGACATGTTTCTGGTTTCAAAGTGAGATTAAGCCCAATATGTACACTGTTGTTTATTTACATATGTTTTTTTAAAAATCTTAGTGATTACAAAAATGTTTCATAGAAATGACATAAGCTGTGTCATGGCAAAAACACACGTTCTGGGTAAAGATGGACCCTTACTAGAGCCTCCAGGGACAGGGGGAATGGAGATGCTTTGAAGATTGACGAGAAATGTTTAATGATTGAATACAACTGCGTGTGTGGATTGGAAAAATGTATTTCACTCTTTCAAAGTGCTGGTAAGTCACCAGCAAAGAATCATACTTTGTAGTAAGTCACATAACAGAAAAATCACTTAGAGAAGTAAGGAATGGTTGTTTTATTTGTTTAAATTTGTGCTGGAGATGAGAGGAGAGGCCTGGAAGCACAAAAAGAGAATTTCAGCTTTTGTTTGGTTTATTTCAGGGACTTTAATTCTCCTTGTTGTCATGGTCAGTTACTCAGGAGATGACTTTTCTAAGAAGTAAACAGTAGATACTCATAGAGCAATCACCATCTAAATCTGTTTTCACCTTTTTCTCTCCTCAAAGCCATGTAAAACCAATTTAAAAAAAAATCTTAATCAGAAGCCCGATATATATAAACACAGAAACAGCAGCTCTGATGAAAGCTGGGGTGTGGGGTGAGTCACCCCCCATTCCCTGCTCCTTAACAAATAGCCCCTGGCAGGAGCGGGACAGAGGAGATCCCAGGTGGAGACCCAATTCGGGCTGAACACTGAGGGGGAGAACAACATTGGGGATGGGGGCAGGGCATCCTTCTCCTCTGTGTGTGGGGGATGGCAACAGAAGGTTCTTTGCTGGCATCAAAATTGCGTGTTGTGTGGCCAGGTGCAGTGGCTCACGCCTGTCATCTCAGCACTTTCAGAGGCCAAGGCAGGAGGATTACTTGGGTCCAGGAGTTTGAGACCAGACTGGGTGATGTAGGGAGACATCATGTCCTCAAAAAAATAAATAAATAATTAGCCGGGTATGGTGTTGCCTACCTGTGGTCCCAGATACTCAGGAAGCTGAGGCAGGAGGATCATTTGAGCCCAGGAGTTTGAGGCTGCGGTGAGCCATGATTGTGACACTGCACTCCAGCCTGGGTGACAGAGTGAGACCCTGTCTCCCCACCCCCCAATGGAAATTCTATGTGCTTTCTTCTACATAGGGTAGAATTCAAAGGGGACTCAAAACAGAAACATCCACATGGTAGAAATATGTTGGCCATATTTTTTTTTTCTTATTTCTTTTACCATTAATTCTGTACCCATCCACACACACACACACATACACACACACACAATCTAAGGCATTTCATGGGCTAAAGTGTGACAGGAAAACATTCTATGAGAACAGTGTCAACTAATCCTCCCAATAACTTATGCTTTCCTAGATTATTGAGGGAATTTAATAGATGGAAGTTCTTCTGGACAGTAACCCTCGTTGACCAGATATGTTATTTAGTAATAAAACTCATAACCCACTGTGCATCATGCCTAAACTTTCAAGGGTTTCCATGTCCGTTATCTCATTTTACTTTTATAGCACCTCTGTGAAATGTGTAGTATTGCTGTAATTAGCCTCTTCTTTTTCTTTTTTTTTTCTGAGGCAATTAAGGACAGCAACAGGCACAGGCAGCTACAGAACTGAAGCCAGGCCTCTGGTTTATTGCTGTCTTTATTCCCTTGCAAAGTTAACAGCTGCAAGACAGGAGTTGTTTTATTTTTGGCTCTACTATCAAGATAATTGTGTCTCTCCCCATTTGACTTTCTATTTTATAGGCCATAAGAGAAAGCCAAACTTGTTTTTTTTTGGGGGGGTGTTAATTTGTCCCAATTGCCCACTGATGTTGATCATGGACATTGGAAAGGCTGGTTAACTCTTTAAACCTTTACCTGTGTGGAAGCAGCAACTGGTTGGAATATTTTGTTTGAGTCAGGTAATTCAACTTATGCAAAATAATTCAATTCGATGAAAAAATAAAATAAAATATTCTAACCACTTGGTAGAAAACAACTGAAATGATTGTTCCCTGTAAGATTCCACAGGACAGTGACTTATCACTGCCTACACTGTACACATCCCTGCATACATCTTTTGGATGTAAACCTGGAAGAACCAATGCTTAATTACATGGCTCTGTCATTGTCTGTCTGTCTGTCTGTCTGTCTGTCTATCTATCTATCTATCTATCTATCTATCTATCTATCTATCATCATCATCTTTTCAGAGATAGGATCTCACTCAGTCGCCCAGGCTGGAGTCCAGTTGTGCCATCATAGCTCACTGCAGCCTCAAACTTCTGGGCTCAAGTGACCCTCCTGCCTCAGCCTCTCAAATAGCTGGTATTATAAGCACACACCACTATGCACAGTCCCCCAACGTACCTGGCTAATTCTCTGTTGTTGTTTTGAGGAACTACCATTCCATTTTTCACAGTGGCTTGCCATGTCACCTTCCTGCCACCAGTACACAAGAGCTCCAATTTCTAAACGTCCTCATCAACTTTCTTTGTCTTGAATAATAGCCATCCAAATGGAGGTGAAGTGGTATTTTATTGTTCTTCGGTTGCATTTCCCTAATGATTAGTGATGCTGAGCACCATTTCATGTATTTCTTGGCCGTTTGTCTGTCTTCTCTGGAGAAATGTCTATTCAAGTCTTTTGCCCATTTTTTTAAAATCGTGTTGTTTGTTTTTGTTATTGAGTTGTAGATATTTTTATATATTCTAGACTGTTATTTCTTTATTACTATATAATTTACAAATGTTTTCTCCCTTTCTGTGGGTGGCCTTTTTCCTCTGTTGTTTATGTCCTTCATTGAATAAATTTTTAAATTTTAATAATGGAGGGCCTAAAGCCCAATTTATCTATTTTTTTGTTTTATTACTCATGTTTCTGGTGTCACGTGCAAGATATCTTTGCCAAATCTAATGCTGTGAAGCTTTTTCCCTATGTGTTCTCCAGAGTTTTATAGTTTTGCTCTCATGTCTAGGTCTTTGATGCATTATGAGTTAATTTTTATGTATAATGAAAGGTAAGGGTCCAGGTTCCTGAGAGTTTTTCTTGTTTTTTGTGTTTGGCAAGTGGATGTCCAGTTTCCCCAACATCATCTGTTGAAAAGACTGTCCTTTCCCCATTGACTGGTCTTGGCACCCTCGTCAAAAATCATTTGACCTTATATATGAGGGTATATTTCTGGGATCTCTATTCCATTCCCTTGGTCTATATGTCAGTCTATGCCACAGCATACCACACTGTTTTGATTACTGTAGCTTTGTAGTAATTTTTGAAAGCAGGAAGTGTGGGATGTCCACATTTGTTATTTTTTGAGATTGTTTTGGCTGTTCAGGGTCTCTTGAAATTACATATTATTTGTAGGATAATTTATTTTTTTATTTCTGCAAAAAAGGTTGAGATTTTGATAGGGATTGAATGGAATCTGTAGATCACTTTTCCAATGTATTGACTTCTTTAGTTTTCCAATCTCAACAGGGAACATCTCACCATTTATTTGTTTTTCACTTCTTTCTGCAATGTTTTATAGTTTTCAGAGTACAAGTGTTAAGCCTCCTTGGTTAGGTTTATTTCTAAGTATTTTATTCTTTTTAATACTTTTGCAAATAGAATTGTTTTCTTAATTTTCTTTCCAGATTGTCTATTACTAGCATAAAAAACACAGCTGACTTTTGTGTGTTGATTACATATTCTGCAACTTTGCTGGGTTCATTTATTAGTTTTGACAGGTAGGTGCGTGTGTGTGTGTGTTTGTGTGTGATCTTTTAGCTTTTTGACATTTAAAGTCATGTCATCAGGTAAGTACATTCTTCAAATTATGAACAATTATACTTATTTATTGAAAGTAATCTTGAGCCTGTCTGAAAATAAGTGAAAGGGCACTACCAATTCCTCCTAGGTCACCCTGCTTTTAGGTGGGAAGAAATTCACCATCTCAGAGATGCACCCTCCACACTCGTAGTAACTGGCATTATATTCAGACATTTTTAATGGTGTAACTGGTTGATTCTTTTCATTTATGGCTTGTATTCATGTGTTTGTCTTTCTGCCCAGAAGTGACTCTCAGGTGCCTGCCATATATAAATGAATTTTAAGCCATTTAAAATATACTGAATGATTCTTCTTGGCTTTGTTTCCCACAGATACCGGCCAGGGGGCAAATCTTCAGCTTGCAGCACTCACTTTGCAGATCCAGTTGGAATTATTTGTGTTGACGCTCTCTGCTCTCTCCGCTCTCCCCTGGAAATGACGAGGAACTGAGTACAGTGGACAATGGCTTCCGTGTCCCTAGCTCCCCCCGAGCCATGAGCTGCTACATCAAAAGTCTGCAGTGGGCTGCCCTTCCCATAATATTTCAATTTAAGCACCGACTTGCTGCTGCGGAGTCATATCTCATTCATGCTGCAGCCTTTGCAGGAGTCAGGGATCATTATGGAGCAAGCACTGAGAAAAAACAGATTACAGCTTGGCACCGAGCAGCCAGGTAAGGGGACGCATTGGAAGGAGTCGCGTCCCAACGAACAACCAGGAGAAGGGGGGCTCTCGGGAGATGTCAGGGCCAGGGGAGTATAGGAACCCCGGCCACTCCAGATTGTCAGGCTGGAGTCAAGTGCATCCCTGCTGACACCACTGGCTCCCTACCTTGCTCTCAGAAGCCGCCTCTCAGCTTGTCTCTGGTTGGTGCAGTAAGTGCAATTCCCTTGTGCTTTCAGGGCCAAGATGATCCTCTTCTCTTTAGATTTCCCTTTATCCATTCTTATTTTTAGTCTTTTCTACACACACACGATGGGCCTTGCCGCGCATTATGCAGACCGCTCTTCTGCAGGCCCTGCCTTTAAATTGCATTCATTGGTTTAGACAGACCCTCCAGTGAGGAAATAGAAATCATCTTTTGTTTGTTTGTTTTATTTGCTCTCCAGCCTCTGCAATTCACAGCCTAATAATTTCATTTTAAAAGGAACACCTGTCATGAAGCTTTGCTCTATTTACCATTAAAACAGGAAGAAAGAACCTTATTAAATCTCCAGCTAGAACAAGCCTCCTCCTTTTATTCCCCTTCCTTCCTTTCTCTTTCTCTCTTTCTTTTTCTCTTGCTGTCTTCTTTCTTGTCTTTCTGTCTTTCCCCCTCCCTCTGCCCCTGTCATCACGTGCGAAGGATATCGCCAGGATGTGGCTCAGTCGCTTCAGGAAAAGTCCGGAAGTTTGGTCCACAGGGTCTTGTCTTGGTTCCCTTTGGATCACTACAACCTCTTGACATGGGTGCATATGTGGTTATTTGAATGGATGAATTTATAATACATGAATAACCAGTTCGTTTCGGCAAAAATTGTGATTTTAAAGGGAAAAAAACACTTGAGAGCTATTGACTCAAGCAAAGGTTCATATTTACAATATTTGGAAACAAACTTGGCCTGATGCTACGCAGCCTAACTGTGGATCCCGTGTTTCACCTATGCCTAGGTTGCACCCCAGATGCTTCAGGGACATGGTGCCTGCTCTGGAGAATGGGGCAGCTTCCACACTGCCCAGGAGCCAGGGCTTCTGACCCAGGAGCGAAAGTCTGTCTCTTCCATTTCTGGGAGCTGGCAGTATTTGCACGACTTTCTGGGCCTCAGGCATCCCATTGCCCACCAGGAATTACCTTCCTCCAGGATCATGGTGAAGATGACATGAGATGCTAATGCTTGGCCTGCGGTAAGTACGTTGTAAATGTATAAACTGTTATTTTAAATCACATGTGCTGACCCATTTCCTTTAAAGGACCTTTTAAAGGGTCCACTGAAAATCCCATATGATTAATTGTAGCTTTGACTGATGAACTGGCTGGAGGAGTCCAGAAATTGTGCTTCTGCAGTCTAGGGCTCATGTAGTCTGGGCTGCTTGAGGAGCTGGGGTCGCACTATAGGTTCATCCCGTGACCCCGTCACCTGCTTACAGGTGTACACTCCTCACCATCTCCCCATGACCCCACTACCTGCCCACAGGTATACTCTCCCACCATCGCCCCGTGACCCCACCACCTGCCCACAGCTGTATTCTGCCCACCATCCCCCTGTGACCCCATCACCTGCCCTCAGGTGTATTCTCCCCACCATCCCCCCATGACCCCACCACCTGCCCACAGCTGTATTCTGCCCACCATCCCCCTGTGACCCCATCACCTGCCCACAGGTGTGCTCTCCCCATCATCCCCCCGTGACCCAATCACCTGCCCACAGGTGTATTCTCCCCACCATCCCCCCATGACCCCACCACCTGCCCACAGCTGTATTCTGCCCACAATCCCCCTGTGACCCCATCACCTGCCCTCAGGTGTATTCTCCCCACCATCCCCCCATGTCCCCATCACCTGCCCACAGGTGTACACTCCTACCATCCCCCCTTGACCCCATCCCCTGCCCACAGGTGTACTCTCCCTACCATTCCCCTGTGACCCCATCCCCTGCCCGCAGTTGTACTCTCCCCACCAACCCCTGTGACCCCATCCCCTGCCCGCAGGTGTACTCTCCCACCATCTCCCCATGACCCCATCACCTGCCCACAAGTGTACTCTCCCCGCCATCCCCCCGTGAGCCCATCACCTGCCCACAGGTGTAGTCCCCCTTCCATGATCCCACCACCTGGCCATGTCATCCTCCGTTGCCCGTCCTCTTGGCCTCTGAGTGGTCCTGGCTGATGGCTAAAGTTTCCATGCCCCTGGGAGGTCTCAGGTGTCCAGGAGGGAGGGGCTTGCTTCAGTTGCCCTGGTCTCACAAGCTGGCTCTAACTCAATCTTTCACATTTTCATTCTTTCCTTCTCTGAGGAGGTTGGCAGAGAAATTACAGAAACTCATTGGAGATGGTTGGGTTCATGAACTTAATTCTTTCCTAGTGTTCAAATAGGTGTTTGCTTAGCATCTCCCTGTGAACATCTCCCTTCACCTCCTCACTGGACCTCTCCTTCATATGGCTCCCCTCTTCCACCCGCATTCCAGAGAGTGAGAAGACAGCAACAGTGTCCTCTAAGAAGTCAGTCATTTGGGGTTTTGGGGAGAACTTTTAAGAGACGAGTCTGTTTTATGTTTAGAACACACACCAAGAATATTTCAGTTTTAGGACCCTGGAAGACTCTTTACAAAAAGTTTTCTGCCCCCACACCTCCCACCCCTCACCCCCGCTCCTGAGTCTTGTTCCATCTATGCTGTAGAGAAGGGGTTCCTGGGAGCCATCCCATAGGACTTGCCCTTAAACAATGTGTTCGAGTCATTCAGCTGTTCAGAGGAAAGTGCTTGGTGAGTCAGAATCACCAGTGGACACAGTGGACCCACTCTGTCCATGTACACACGGCTCCAGGGCCACACCTGTCTTAGCAGCAGAGGCGGAGGCCAGGATAGCTCTTCAGGTAATTCAGACCAGGACAGATATTCCCATTCCTCATTTGAAACTTGTATTTTTTTCCATGTCCTTAGGTTGCTATTTTTAGTTCTCCACTTTCCTGGAAAGCATGCAGTTGAAGTTCATGACGGTATTCTCTCAACGTGTGACTCAAAGACAGAGGCCGTTTCCCATCCACCGGTTCTCACACTGCCCCATTCTGCAGCTTCACCATCCACGCGCTAAGAAGGCAGGCCCCAAAGTCTCAGCACCCAGCCGCTGGGGTCCTCGCTCTTATGGACAGAAAACTCAAGAATGAATATGTTTCCCCATCTTGTGCCCTTTTGCCTGGAAACTATACAGAGCAGGGGTCCCTGCTGGCATTCCTTCTCTGTACTAGTACGGCTTCGGAAAGTACTGGTTCTCTGAGGAGCGCTCAGTTGCATCTGGAAGGTGCAGTGTGCACAGCGATGCCCCTTGACACCAAGGTGTGAGCATTTGAGCTGTGCTGGAAGGTTCTCCATGGAATAGTGCCCACCCTGGAGGGTCCTGTGCCGCGCACTTGAGGAGGCTGTGGTGGTGAGGAGAGACTCTGGAGCAACCCACACTCCCGATAAGTCAGATAAGAGTGCCTCCTCTAGGTAAGTTTATGTTGCAAATTTAAAGAGAGGAACCAAGAAACAGCAAGGACACTGAGCCAGGACTGAGAGTTTGGGTCTTAGGTGGCTTTGGGTCATTACGCCCTCTCAAGTGGATTGCTCTAAGCCCTGTTTATTTGTTAATGTGAATAGTTGGATGGAATTGCCTTTGTTCTAAAATCTTTTATTCTGCCTAAAGTCTCTGGGTCAGCAAGCACATGCCACATGGCTTCTCTCTCTGCATGGGAATGCACACCTGAGTAGGGAGGCTGGCCAGCCCGTGCTGCCCTGGTGGGGTGAGTGTTAGCTGGCTAGGGTTGCTGGAACAGAGGGGATTCAACCACAGGAATTTATTCTCTCACACCATGGAGGCCCAAAGCCCCAGATCATGGTGCTGTAGGGCCAGGCTCCCTCTGAGGGCACTAGGGAGGACCTGTGCCCATCCTCTCCAGCTCCTGGTGGTTCCTTGGCTCGTGGCAGCACAGCTTGTACCTTCACGTGGCACTCTCCCTTTATGTGTGTGGATGTGTCCAATTTTCCTTTTCTGTTGGGGCCCCAGCCGTAGTGGCTTAGAGGCTCACCTACTCTAACAGGACCTCGTCTGAACTCATGACATCTGCAAGACTGTGTATCCAAATAAGAGCACATTCTGAGATGCTGGGGGTTAGGACTTAAGCACAGAAGATTTGTGGGGAGGTACACAGTTCAATCCATCTGGAAGGTGGATAGCCATGGCAGGGTGGAAAGACGTGTGTGGGTATAGGCCGGAGGTGGCCTCACTGGAGAAACCTGTGCACGGCCCCACAAGGCAGCAGCTGAGCGTGGAAGGGGCTGGAGCTGCCCCGTGGTAGGGAAGGGGCCGTGTGGCCAGCAGCAGCATCTGCCTTTGTCATCACTGGGTGGGACCACGAGGGCAATGCTACTCTTCCCCTCACACCTTCTACAGGCAAGTTGGCCAGGTGTCAATGCAGCCAGGTGACACGGCCGCCTGGAGGGCAGGAGCAGACAGCCCCATGGAGGCTCTAGGAGATAGACAGGGAGGCCGCAGCTGTCCAGGAGCTGAAGTGAGCAGCAGAGGGCGCCGGGGGAGATGCGCCCTAGCACCAGGCTCTGAGTGCCCCAGCGAGCTTCCTTGCCTTGACTTTCCTCACTGGGAACCCGGGCCTGGAGTCCATATGAAGCCTCAGCCCAGGGGAGGGTCTACCTGTCCAGGAGGCTCCCACCATCCAGCTCGCCCTGGATGGTGCCCTCAGAGGTGCCTGGGCATGGGGTCACCTCGGAGAGTCTGGAGGGGCCTCCGGACAGTGCGGCCACGGGCTGTCCTCTGCTTCTCAGTGCCCAAGACAGGGAACCAGAGCACAGCACTGAACACGTTTTAGTGCTCTTTTAGTTCATGTGCTGCTTGCTGAATTTCCCTGAATTCAGAGAAGAGCCTGACGCAGAGGAAGCATCTGAGATCTTCTGTATGTTTTCTCGTCTGTGCAAAGTGTTTTCAACTCTTTCAAAGGTCGGCATTCACTGAATTTCAGCTCCCCTTGGCTTGATCTCTCATACAAAGGTTCTCAAATTCCCTGAAAATATGCAATGATTTTCTCACTCAATAAACGACTTTTCTGTCACCATGAGAGGATTCCCAGCCCTGCCCCGCAAAGCGTATTTCAGTATCACTTCCTTTCAGCGGCGCAGCAATTATGAAGTCATCTGCTGCAGAAAAGTTAGTGTTCTAAACTCTCAGAAAACTTCAAGCCCTCTTCAAAAAAGTATTTTAAATACATTCTAGACACATCCACAGGCATGTCTTTGCCAGGGCTCCCCTAGACGAGCAGCCCTCCTGAAGTGGGGATGGAAGTGGCTCCCACCAGAGTCCTTCAACAGGAACCCTTGGAACAGAGAGGGGGCGAGCAGGGCCATGGCGGGCTTCTCTCCTTCGGGTGGTAGCCTGTACGTTTTGTTGTTGTTGTTTTTGAAAAGGGTTTTTTCTTGTGATCGGTCTCCAATTTCTACTCAGATATCTGAGATATTTGCTGTGGGTCTACCATGAACCAACTCGTTCTAGACAGGTACCCCTGGGGGGCGTTCCTTGTGGGGAGAGGGCCCTCCCCAGAGGGGAATTTTGCACAGGTCTCCTGTGTGCTTGGCAGGGAGGCGCAGCACGGGGGTCACAGGGCAGCTGTTCCTCTGCGGAGGGGATACCCCTGAACTCCCAAGGCCTGTGGATGGCGTGGGGGTGGAAGGGGCAGTGTGGGCAGGAGGAGCGCTTTTTCTGTGCCCGCAGACCCTAAAAGGGTAGAAGATTTATTCGACACATACCTGTTAGCACCTGTTACAGGTAAGGCTCTGTTCTCCTGGAACACAGAGCACACAAAATAAAAACAAACAATCCTGCCCTCCTGGAGCTGCCATCGGTGTGTGGGGGGTGCAGGTCATCAGTAACAGAGTGACCTGACTCCCCTGGGGTCCTTCGTGCAGCAGGACTGGAGAAGGATCACTGCGAGGAGGCACAGCGGATCTGGGTATATAATGGTTGTGCTCATTGTTAACTAGGGTGGTGAGAAACCCCCACGACAAAGGTGACTTTGCACAGAGGCCGGAAGGCAGTGAGCGAGAAACAGTCTGGGGGTATTGAGGGAAGGACCTTCCAGACACAGGGAGGAGCAGGAATGGGAGCCCGAGTTTGGGTTTGGAGCATCTGGGAGAAGCCAGAAGCTAGTGGAGGGGCAGGTGTGGGAGGACAGGTGAGGAAAGGTTGGGGCCTGGGGGCCACACAACCTCCTTCCCTGGGGAAACGGGGTCTATGGAAGGTGCAGGAAGAGCACTAGGCTCTGTGTCCTGTTTCTAGAGGGCCTTGGGTTGAGAACAGGTGACGGAGACAGAGAGAGACATGGGAAACCCTGGCTGGGAGGGGACAACGACAATCAAAGGGGATGGCCCTGGATAGGTCCAAGTAGGAGCAGAGAGTTTTCAGGAAGGGGTCTGTGGCCCCCTCAGGAGGGAATGATGCTCTGCACAGATGTTCACCCTCAGGGGCTTGGAGTAGATCCACTCCATGCAGCAACATTTTGACAGTCTGGGCCAGACTCTTTGGGAACAACACCCCACAATGATGCCATATTGTCTACGTCCAATTGTTTCCTGGCAGAGAAGTCAAAGTCATCATTTTTTAAAGTGGATTTATCGTGCAGTAGAGAACACATTAGTCAATTACAGATGAAAACAGAAAACAAAGGGCAGTATGTAAAATACCGGAATGTTTATTAGACCATGCTCTGGGTTCAACATAGACTATGTGAAAGCATCACTTTGAGTATTTTAAAGCCCTCCTTTTCTTTTCTAAAAAATTTATCTTTATCCACCATCTTCAAGAACATCTATCCCATATATCACCTTTTTTAAAAGGGGGGATTGAATTTCCCAAGCGCAGCCAAGACCACGAATAAGCTGTTGAAATTCTCTGTGTTCTTCATTCGACTCTAAGACCTTGGGTCATTGTCTTTATTATAATAATTACACACAAATCCCTGCACATGAAATGTTTAGACTTCCATTTTTAATTATTCATGAAATGTGCAGAACATGGTCCAATGCACACTTGAGCAAAATTCGCTAATGCCTCTGAACAAATCATAAACACCTCACCAGGGTGCCTGGGATGCAAGGCTCTCCGCTAATAGGTGCTTTACTATAATCTGCTCTTGGTACGTAGGCAGTGAATTCATGGCAGCGGTCCCCAGCACCCAACCACTGTGACTTCGCCACCATCTCACCCCAACAGGAGTTACATTCAGCAGCCTTCACAGGCTGAATGTTAACCCCAATTCTTCTGTGCTGAAGAAATAAGAGTCCAGTGACACCCTTCAGTTTTGGTGCCTGGATAAATCTTTACAAAACTCCAGTTAAGACCTGGCTTTACTGTGAGGCAACCTGACAGAAGCAGGAATTGCCACTGGAGAGATCCTGACTCTTACAGATTGGAATGAAGCCAGCGTGCTCACAATGACAGTCTGAGATTATTGCTTGGATGGTGCTCCATATTGTGTGAGATGTTCACAGAAACTGAAAGGAAAAAATATATGAAGATGCCAAGAAGGACACAGGTATGAGCACGTCACTCATACAAGAGAAAACTGGGAAATGTTCAAACTTATTTGCTAACAAAAGTCATAAAGTGTAGCAGCACTCAGCCACGTGTCTTTGAAAGGTATTTTTCGAGCATTGATTTTTGTCATGTGCGTTTGCAGATTCAGAAAATACAGCAATGAAAGAAGCAGGCTAGTCCCTGTTTTCATGGGGGTTACATCCTAGTGGGAAGATATAGGAAAACGAACAAAGAAATACACAGCATGTCAGGTAACATGGTCAGATGGGCTTGGAGCTGACATCTGAAGCCGTGTGGGCGTGGTCTACCCTGAATCTGCAGAGGGAGCACTCCAGGTAGAGTCAGGGACAAGTGTTCCATCAGGGTGTTCTACAAGTTCAAGGACCAGAAGGAGACAGTGTTGTGGGAGCAGAAGGAGAACCTGGGACAAAACCAGATGATGAGGCCGGACGGGAGGTGGGCCTGGTCCCCATGCTAAGTGGGATGGGAAGTCCTGCCAATGAAGTCACACAGTGTCAGGTATTTGGGATTTGCCTTGTTTCACACAAAATTATGTCTATGAGCTCCATCCAGGTTGTTGCACTTAATAGCGGGTCATTCATTTTTATTGCTATCTTGCTCCATTGTGTGACACCATCACAGTTGATCAATTCTACTGTTTGATTTACATTTGGGTGGTTTTCAGTTTTGCCTACTATGAATAATACTGCAATGAACATTCCTTCGTTTGTCTTATGTTGCACATACATTTTCACTAGTTTGCATTTGAGATCTAGGAGTGGACTCTCATTATCACTGGGCATTTGTGATAGTCACTCCTATGAGCAGCATGGCGTGCACTTTTCCGTGGTTCATATCCTCAACTACTTTTGGTATTGTCAACCTTTTCAAATTTGGCCATTCCGATGGGCATGGGGTTTACCGATGATGGTTTTATTTCTCAATTTTCAGATGACAAATAAGATGAAGTGTCTTTTTAAATGCATTATGAGCCCTGTTACTATCCTCTTTTGTCCAGGATCTTTTAAAGTCTCTTGATGTGTTTGCTATTTAATTAGTTCTTTTTTAATCTGTAGAGATGTTGTGGATTCAAGCCCTTTGGCAGATATTTTTGTTGCAAATATCCTTTCTCTGTGTGTGTGTGTGTGTGTTTCTGGCTTGCTTTCTATTTCTAAACAGTTTCTTGTGATAAATAGAAATATTTAACTTCAGTGTAGTGCAATTTATCAGTCTCTTCTTTTACAGATTGTGTGTGTGTGTGTGTGTGTGTGTATTTCCCTACCTTAAGCTCATAAGTTTTTACTTCTAGATCGACTCTTACGTAATTAATGTTTCACCTTACATTTAATATATAAACTACGTACATTTACATTTATAATATATAAACTACTACACATTAATTTATGAGTATGGTATAAAGTTAGTCAAACTTGCCAAACTACACACACACACACACACACACACACAGACATACACTACACACACACACACAGACATACACTACACACACACACAGACATACACTACACACACACACACACACACACACACACACACAGACATACACAGAGAGAGCTGGGATTTTTATTGGGAATTCAGTAAGTCTATTGATCAATTTGAAAATAAATAACATATTTTAGTATTGAGTTCTCAATTGATAAACATATTATGTCTTTCCATTTATTTAGATGTTTTAAAAATGTCCTATCAATAATATTTACAGTTTTCTGTAGGAGAGTTAAATAACTTTTAGCTATATTTCTGGGTCTGTGTTGTATTTGATGCTACTCTAAATGCTATATTCAATTAAAATTCTCTTTTCAATTAGTTTTTGACAGATTTTGACAGGATCACCTTGATTTCTGTCTGATAATAAAGTGTGAGGAGCAAAAAAAAACCCGCTCAAGGGGGCAAGTGTAATAATCCGCACCAGACACGGCAGGTAGTGGAGGATGGTGGTGAGACATAGCTAGAGTCTGACTATATTTGAAGGTATAGGTGACAAAATTCTATGTTGGGTCACATATAGAGTAGAAAAAATAGAAGACTTAATGACAACTTTAACACCTTAAAGCAAACTGAATAATATAGTTATTATTTATTAAGGTGGGGAAGACTGCTGGAGAAGTTTGGAGATAAGTATTGAGAGCTTGCTTGAAGACATTAAGAGTGAGATGTTTCTTAGACATCTAAGTGGAAAGAGTGAGGAGACAGTTGGATTTACAAGACTGTAATTCAGGAGAGAGGTATGGACTGGAGGATTTTGTGAATCATCAGTGCACAGTTAGTATTTTTAAATAACGGGCTGCATAATATTATCTGAAAAGTGAAAGTGAAAGAAACACCCAGTGAGGTAGAAGCAAAACTAAGAGAGATCTTCCAAGAACCCAGTAAAATGTTTGAAGAAAAGCTGTTGATCAAATCTGTCTATTATGAATAGGCCAAGTCATCTGAGTTCAATGAATTGTCCATTTGTTTATGTTATGGGCTGTAGTTTCTGCTTCCAAAATTCATAGGTTGCAATCCTAACCCCTGTACTTAAAAATATGACTGTATTTGGAGATAAGGCCTTTAAAGAGGCAATTAAGTTACAATGAGGACATTGTGGGAGGACCCTAATTCAATATGGCTGGTGTCTGTATAAGAAGAGGAGGTCAGAACATAGACACACAGAGGAGAGATGCCCTGAGCAAGTAGACAGCCTGTTATAGGCTAAGGAGAGAGACCTCAGAAGAGACCAACTCTGCTGGTATTTTGATCTTGGACTTCCAGCCTCCAGAAATGTGAGAAAATAAGATTCTGTTGTTTAAAGTCCCCAGTCTGTGGTACTTTGTTCTGACAGCCCTAGCAAGCTAATGCTAACTTGTCAAAGCACATGTGGTTACCAGGCACAATGCTGTGGCAGACATAGCTGGTTAGTGACCCAATATCTACTTCTTCATTTTCTACTAAGTTGGCCTTGTTTGGATGACCATGTACCTGTCTTTAAAAGAAAATTTATTATTGGCCTTTACCCTTTGCATGTAATCAGTCCAGAGAGCATGTTCTGACAAGAGATGTAAGAGGTTCTATGCTAAGGTTTTGGAGGGAGGGCTTGCTCTTTGATGAAGGAGAGATGTAGGAGAGGAGATGTCTTCTCTTCTTTCACTTTCACTCTCTAGAGACGAAGGAGAGAATAAATCCCTAATACTGCCATGCTCCTTGCACCTCTTTTATATGTTCACAGCCACGTAATAAAACTAGAAGTCCACAACTAAAAAAGGGCTTCCTTCTGATCTTTTCAAAATCAAACAACCCATATTTAGTTCAGTTGTTAAAGAAGAGATCACAACGGAATTACAAACATGCACACCAAAATCATGCATAAAAATCGTAGTAAATCAAACTTAGGAGAGAAGGCCAGAGCCAAATTCAACACTCTTCAAAGGAAGATAACAGAAGCCAGAGTCTCTACAATGTATTTTATGTAAACTCCAGCATGTATTTTGTAAAATATCATCAAAGATAAAGCAGTAAGTATCAAAGAATCAAGAGAGAAAACAGATGATTGAAGCAGATCAAAAGTAACTCAGGTTTTGTTATTAGCAGATAAGAACTTCAAAAAAACTATAATTAATGTTAAATAAAGCAGAGGATAATATGGGCAAATGAAGAAGAAAAAGCCTGAGCGAAAAGTAACCCCAAATATTCATTCTAAAATGGAAAGCTATAATATATCAAATGTGTGTGAATGTATAAAGAAAGAGGGAGTAAGTGTGTGTGTGTGTGTGTGTGTGTGTAGAGAAAGAGGGAATAATAAAAGTTAAAGCAGAAAAAAGGATCTTTAGCTTGAAAAAAATTCAGAATACAGTGTCTCAACTGAAGGATAAAAAGAAAAAGAATAGAAACAACAGACTAGAGCGTGGGAGAGATAAGGAGCATTGTGTGAATGAAAAATGATAAAATAGGAGCTTTATTTTGAAAAATTATAATCCAAAACTTTCCAAATAATAAAAGATCTTGACTCACAGATTTAAGAAACTCAGCAAACTCAAAAAAATTGCAATTCATCACATCATTGTCAAACTGTTCAAAACCAAAGATAAAGAGAAAATATTAAAAGAGCTTGGGGTGGGAGGTGGGGCCTGCATTACATTAGGGGAACAACTCTGAAGAGAGAAGACAACGATGTGACTATTTAAAGCTCTGAAATTCTATACACACAGAAAAAGTGTTCTAAAACTAAAGGGAAGCAATGATATTCTTAGACACACATAAAAAAAAAGCTGAGAGTATTTGCTTCTATCAGGTTTCATGCTATTATAAGTATTTTAAAATCTTCATGTATAAAGAAAATGATTCCAGAAAGAAGCAGAGAGCTGCAGAAAAAAGAAAGAAAAACATTGAAAAAGGAAAATGTAAAAGGTAATTGTTTACAACAAAAATAGTAACAGTGTCTTACGGGGCTTATGACATATATAGAAATAAAATATATGACAATAAGGGCAAAAATGACAGAGGTTTTAATTGAAGTTTACAGGCTCTTAGATGTTTTGATTGCTTGAAGTACTAAAGGTAAAAAGTAAAAAACTAAGAATCTATTTTTTAAAATTTTAAGGTAACTACTAAAAGCGTGATACTAAAAACAAAACAAAAATATAATAGAGAAATAATAACATAATACTTGATTTGTTGAAAAACAAGTTTGACAGTAATTATAAAAATGATGTATAGTTATCAAGTAGCATTTATCTGTGGAAAGTGAAGATAATTTAACATTAGAAAATCTATTCAGATTTAGTTTTTTGAAAAAATAAGATAGGTCACTAGCTAGACTAATAAAGAAGAAAAAAGAGAAGATCCAAATAAATGCAATTAGAAATGATAAAGGTGACATTATCACTAACCCAACAGAAATAAAAATAACCATCAGAAAGTACTACAAACACCTCTATGCACACAAACTAGAAAACCTGGAAGACATGGATAAATTCCTGGACATATACAACCTTCCAAGACTAAACAAGGAATAAATTGATTTCTTGAACTGATCAATAATGAGTTCTGAAATTGAATCAGTAATAAATAGCCTATCAACCAAAAAAAGCCCAGGACCTGATGGATTCAGAGCCGAATTCTACCAGGTGTACAAAGAAGAGCTGGTACCATATCCACTGAAACTATTCCACAAAATTGAGGATGGACTCCTCCCCAACTCATTCTATGAGGCCAGCATCACCCTGATACCAAAACCTGGCAGAGACACAACAAGAGAAGAAAACTTCAGGCCAATGTCATTGATGAACATCAATGCAAAAATCCTCAACGAGGCCGGGTGCTGTGGGTCACACCCGTAATCCCAGCACTTTGGGAGGCTGAAGTGGGCGGATCGCATGGTCAGGAGTTCCAGACCAGCCTGGCCAATATGGTGAAACCCCATCTCTACTAAAAGTACAAAAATTAGTTGGGTGTGGTGGCAGGCGCTTGTAGTCCCAGCTACTTGGGAGACTGAGGCAGGAGAATCGCTTGAACCCAGGAGGCGGAGGTTGCAGTGAGCCGAGATCACATCACTGCACTCCAGCCTGGGGGACAGAGCAAGACTCCGTCAAAAAAAAAAAAAAAAAAAAATCCTCAACAAAATACTGGCAAACTGAATCCAGCAGCACATCAAAAACTTATCCACCACGATCAAGTAAGCTTCATCCCCAAGATGCAAGGCTGGTTCAACATATGGAACTCAATAAATGTGGTTCATCATGTAAACAAAACTGAAGACAAAATCCACATGATTATCTCAATAGATGCAAAAAAAAAGCCTTTGCCCACTTTTGGATGGGGTTGTTTGTTTTTTTCTTGTAAATTTGTTTGAGTTCATTGTAGATTCTGGATATTAGCCCTTTGTCAGATGAGTAGTTTGTGAAAATTTTCTCCCATTTTGTAGGTTGCCTGTTCACTCTGATGGTAGTTTCTTTTGCTGTGCAGAAGCTCTTTAGTTTAATTAGATCCCATTTGTCAATTTTCTCTTTTGTTGCCATTGCTTTTGGTGTTTTAGACATGAAGTCCTTGCCCATGCCTATGTCCTGAATGGTAATGCCTAGGTTTTCTTCTAGGGTTTTTATGGTTTTAGGTCTAACGTTTAAGTCTTTAATCCATCTTGAATTAATTTTTGTATCGGGTGTAAGGAAGGGATCCAGTTTCAGCTTTCTACATATGGCTAGCCAGTTTTCCCAGCACCATTTATTAAACAGGGAATCATTTCCCCATTGCTTGTTTTTCTCAGGTTTGTCAAAGATCAGATAGTTGTAGATATGCGGCGTTATTTCTGAGGGCTCTGTTGTGTTCCATTGATCTATATCTCTGTTTTGGCACCAGTACCATGCTGTTGTGGTTACTGTAGCCTTGTAGTATAGTTTGAAGTCAGGTAGTGTGATGCCTCCAGCTTTGTTCTTTTGGCTTAGGATTGACTTGGCAATGCAGGCTCTTTTTTGGTTCCATATGAACTTTAAAGTAGTTTTTTCCAATTCTGTGAAGAAAGTTGTTGGTAGCTTGATGGGGATGGCATTGAATCTATAAATTACCTTGGGCAGCAAAGGACATGAACAGACACTTCTCAGAAGAAGACATTTATGCAGCCAAAAAACACATGAAAAAATGCTCCCCATCACTGGCCATCAGAGAAATCCAAATCAAAACCACAATGAGATACCATCTCACACCAGTTAGAATGGCAATCATTAAAAAGTCAGGAAACAACAGGTGCTGGAGAGGATGTGGAGAAATAGGAACACTTTTACACTGTTGCTGGGACTGTAAACTAATTCAACCATTGTGGAAGTCAGTGTGGCGATTCCTCAAGGATCTAGAACTAGAAATACCATTTGACCCAGCCATCCCATTACTGGGTATATACCCAAAGGACTATAAATCATGCTGCTATAAAGACACATGCACACGTATGTTTATTGCGGCACTATTCACAATAGCAAAGACTTGGAACCAACCCAAATGTCCAACAATGATAGACTGGATTAAGAAAATGTGGCACATATACACCACGGAATACTATGCAGCCATAAAAAAATGAAGAGTTCATGTCCTTTATAGGGACATGGATGAAATTGGAAATCATCATTCTTAGTAAACTATCGCAAGAACAAAAAACCAAACACCACATATTCTCACTCATAGGTGGAAATTGAACAATGAGAACACATGGACACAGGAAGGGGAACATCACACTCTGGAGACTGTTGTGGGGTGGGGGGAAGGGGGAGGGATAGCATTAGGAGATATACCTAATGCTAAATGACGAGTTAATGGGTGTAGCAGACCAGCATGGCACATGTATACATATGTAACTAACCTGCACATTGTGCACATGTACCCTAAAACTTAAAGTATAATAATAGTAAAATAAAATAAAATAAAAGCCTTCGATAAAATTCACCATCCATTCATGTTAAAAACTCTCAATAAAATAGGTATTGAAGGAACATACCTCAAAATAGTAAGAGGCATATATGACAAACCCACAGCCAACATCATGCTGAGTGGGCAAAAGCTGGAAGCATTTCCCTTTGAAAACTGGCACAAGACAAGGGTGCTCTTACCACTCCAACTCAACGTCGCATTGGAAGTTCTAGCCAGAGCAATCAGGCAAGAGAAAAAATAAAGGACACTAGAATAGGAAGAGAAGAAGTCAAACTATCCCTGCATGCAGATGACATAATTCTATGTCTAGAAAACCCCACAGTCTCAGCCCAATAGCTCCTTCAGCTGATAAACAATTTCTGCAAAGTTTCAGGATACAAAATCAATGCACAAAAATCACTAGCATTCCTATACACCAACAGCCAAGACAAGAGCCAAATAAGGAAGGCAATCCCGTTCATAATTGCCAAAAGAAAAATAAAATATCTAGGAATACAGCTAACTAGGGAGGTGAAAGATCTCTGCAATGAGAATTACAAAACGCTACCTAAAGAAATCGTAGATGACAAAAACAAATGGAAGAACATTTAATGCTCATGGATAGAAAGGTTCAATATCATTAAAATGGCCATACTGCACAAAGCAGTTTACCAATTCAATGCTATTCCTATCAAACTACCAATGACATTCTTCACAGAACTAGATAAAACTATTTAAAATTTATATAGAACCAAAAAAAAAGCCTGAATAGCCAAGGGAATCTGAAGAGAAAAGAACAAAGCTGGAGGCATCATGTTACCTGGCTTCAAACTATATTTCAGGGCTACAGTAATCAAAACAGCATGGTATTGGTACAAAAACAGGCACATAGACCAATGGAAAAGAGTAGAGAGACCAGGAATAAGGCCACACTCCTACAACCACCTGATCTTGCACAAAGCTGACAACAACAGGCAATGGGGAAAAGGCTCACCATTCAATAAATGTCCTGGGATATTGGCTAGCCATATTCAGAAGACAAAAACTGAACCCCTTCCTTCCACTATATTTAAAAATCAACTCAAGATGGATCAAAGACTTAAATGTAAAACCCAAAACTAAAAATCCTGGAAGACAACCTAGGCAATATCATCCTGGACATAGGAATAGGCAAAGATTTCATGACAAAGATACCAAAAGCAAAAATTAATAAATGGGATCTAATTAAACTTAAGAGCCTCTGCACAGCAAAGGAAACTATCAACAGAGTAAACAATCTACAGAATGAGAGAAAATATTTGCAAACTATGCGTCTGACAAAGGTCTAATATTCAGCATTTATAAGGTTCTTAAATCTACATGAGAAAAACAACCCCATTAAAAAGTGGGCAAAGGACATGAACACACTTTTCAAAAGATGACAAACATGCAGCCCACAAGCATATGAAAAAAAGCTCAATATAACTGATCATTAGATAAATGCAAATCAAAACCACAATGAGATATCATCTCACACCAATCAGAATGGCTAATATTAATAAGTCAAAAAACCATAGATACTGGCGAGGTTGTGGAGAAAAGAGAGCCCTCATACACTATTGGTAGGAGTATAAATTAGTTCAAGCATTGTTGAAAGCTGTAAGATGATTCCTCAGAGATCTAAAGCAGAACTACCAGTTGACTCAGCAATCTCATTCCTGGGTATATACTCAAAAGAATGTAAATCATTCTACTATAAAGACACATGCACATGTATGTTCATTGAAGCACTGTTCACAATAGCAAAGTCATGGAATCAACATAAATGCCCATCAATAACAGTGGATACAGAAAATGTGGTACATATTCACCATGGAATACTATGCAGCCATGAAAAAGAATGAGATCATGTCTTTTGCTGGAACACGCATGGAGCTGGAAGCCATTATCCTTAGCAAGCTAATGCAGGAACAGAAAACTAAGTACCACATCTTCTCACTTGTACATGGAGGCTAAGTGGTGGCAGAAAAGATCACCTCAAGCAAGAGATGGGTCCTTGCTATTTAGAACTGGAGGACTGATTGGACTTGTCATCACCCCCCAAGACCAGCCCTTAAGGTGGCCTTCTGACCTGGGAAACCCAAGGGTGGCCTTCTGACCTGGGAAACCCAAGGGTGGCCTTCTGACCTGGGAAACCCAAGGGTGGCCTTCTGACCTGGGAAACCAATCTCCTTCTGCCTCAGGTTTTTCTTCTAGAAAATGGTGATAATAGCATTGTTGTCAGTAAACATGTAATGATGTGTAAAACACACTTTTTGTGATACCTTATGTACAGATAGTGCTCTAGAAATGTTAGTGTCTATCTCACAATCATGTACAGACTTAAGTCACCCTCCGGCCCATATTCAAAATCAGGTGGATTTTTTAACCTTTCCACAAAAGATTCTAAACTTCATTTGGAGCATACACAGATAAGTGTCAGTGTGAAAATGTTCACAAATCAGAGTGGCTAGTGGGGCCTTGTCATTCACGATGTGAGATGCCAGCTTTTGTGGAACAGTACGACTCAAATGCTGAGGTCCGCAGAACAGCACAGACGCTCCACGAGAGAGCTTCTCATTCATGATGTGAGATGCCAGCTTTCTGGGACAGTACTACTCAAATGCTGAGGTCCACAGAATAGCATAGACGGTCCACAAGAGATCTTCCTGCTGGTCAGTCCCTGTTGTGTGGACAAAAGTGCAATGAACAGAATGAGGAAGGACATATCATTCAGAAAATAGGTTCCAAAAATGAATATTTGAAAAAACAGCCAAGTACTCAAATTATAGCCTTTGAAAAAATATTCTTCAAATGGATTAAAGAGTTATACAGAATACAATTTTTCTACATTATCTGATCTGAGACATGGGACATTTTGAGCATATTTATCAATGGAAGAGCTCAAAGGTTATGATATTAAATATTATAAATTTTAATATACAATTTCTACTAAAAATAATGAACAATAAAGACAATGATGCAAATACAAGATATGAAATGAAAAGACCCTATAAAGTTACAAAACATTGCCTGACATTATCGTATCCAGATAAAATGCAAGTTAGAGCAAATTGTGTCTGACTTATTGATATCTAGCATGTAATGCTGAATCCTGTCCAAGGTGTTCTGAGCCACTTCTCTCGTAGTTGTAGTGGGATTTTATATTTGGCATAAGTTTTCTGCAGAGCATTTTTACAATCGATAGAGTTTTAGCCCATCCAGACATTTGAGCTCAGCAATTCCACTGAAGGAATATCTCCTAAGGAAAAACTCAGGGATGCAGTTGGTAATTTAAACTGAGAGAGCTCAGGATGGGGAACATCACACCCCGGGGCCTGTTGTGGGGTGGGGGGAGGGGGGAGGGATAGCATTAGGAGATATACCTAATGTAAATGGCGAGTTAATGGGTGCAGCACACCAACAGGGTGCATGTATACATATGTAACAAACCTGCACCTTGTGCACATGTACCCTAGAACTTAAAGTATAATAAAATAAAAAAAAATAAAAAACAAAAAAAATAAACTGAGAGAGCTGTCTCAGTGTTGTGTGTAAGAGTGAAACACTGACATCTATCCAAATATCCAGGGACAGAGGAACTTAAATATCGGAGAGTGTACTGGAGAAGAGTAGGCTCCCATAACCATGTAATTCCAATGTGCCCAAAAGACCGATGTGCATTAAAAAGACTAAAAAGAAATATTTCAAAAGTGAATCATTTACCCCTGAAAGATACCCCCCATTTTATAAGGTAATACAATAATTCTATAGTTAAAAAATATCTTGAATTAACTTAAAAATATATATTGTGACTCTATAAAGGCATACTTGTGAGTATACAGTCAGGAGGCACTTAACGATGGGGATGCATTCTGATAAATGCATCATTAGGCCACTCTCTTGTGAAAGCATCACAGAGTCTATAACACAGACATAGGTGGTCCAACCTCCTATGCACTTAAGCTGTGTGGTGCAGCCTATCGTTTCTGAGCAACAAACTTGTGCAGCATGTCACTGTGCTGAATACTGCAGGCAACTGTAACACCATGGTAAGAATGTGTGTATCTAAACACATCTAAACATAGGAAAGCTACAGTAAAAACAAAGTACGAAAGATAAAAAATGGGACACCTGTCTAGTGCACCTACCGTGAATGGAGGTTACAGGATTGGAAGTGGCTCTGGGTGAGTCCGGGAGTGGTGAGTGGATGTGAGGACCTAGGGTGTTACTGCACACTCCTGTAGACTCTGTAAACACTGTACACTTAGGCTACACTAAATGTATACAAAACATGACCCTTCTTTAATGCTAAATTAATTATTGCTTACTGTAACTGTTTTAGTTTATACATTTTTGTGTTAAAATCTTAATTCTTTTGTAACACTTAGCTTAAAGCACAAACACATTGTACAGCTGTACAAAATTTTTTTTTTCATTATATTCTTGGTCTGTAACCTTTAAGCTTTATTCTCTCTTTTTTTTTTTTTTTTTTTGAGATGGGGTCTCACTCTGTCGCCCAGGCTGGAGTGCAATGGTGCAATCTTGGCCCACTGCAACCTCTGCCTCCCAGGTTCAAGTGATTCTTCCCCCTCAGCCTCCCGAGTAGCTGGGATTACAGGCACCCGCCACCATGCCCAGCTAATTTTTGTATTTTTAATAGAGATGGGGTTTCATCATGTTGGTCAGGCTGGTCTCGAACTCCTGATCTCAGGTGATTCACCTTCCTTGGCCTCCCAAAGTGTTGGGATTACAGGCACGAGCCACCGCACCCAGCCTCTATATTAATTTTTAATTTGTATTTATTTATTTATTTATTAAACTTCCTTGTTAAAAACTAAGACACACACCTTAGTCTGGGCCTACACAGGGTCAGTAGAACCCCATCACTGTCTTCCACTTCCACTCTTGTCCCACTAGAAGGTCTTCAGAGGCAAAAACAGGCATGGAGCTGGCAGCTCCTATGAGGATAATGCCTTCTTACAGATACCTCCTGAAGAAGCTGCCCGGGGCTATTGGCAGTTAACTTTTTAAAAATATGTAAGTAGAAGGAACACAGTCTAAAATAATGATAAATAGTATAGTGAACACATAAACCAGTAACATCGTTGTTTGTCACCACCGTCAAGCATTACGTGCTGTAATTATGTGCTAGACTTTCATACTCCCAGCAGCCCAGCAGGTTTACTTACACCAGCATCAACACAAGCACGTGAGGAATGTGCTGCACTGTGGCGTTGCAGCCCCATCTCTAGGTGATGGAAAAGTTTCAGCTCTAGTATCATCTTCGGGCACCATTGTCCTCTATGGGTCCCTAATTGACGACACGTGACTATGTATGGGAGAAAGAGCGGTGCCCAGTGGATGAAATGGAACAAGTAGAGGAAAACCATGACATCATCAGAGGAAAGGTGCTGCCCCAGGGCTGTGGGTTTCCTGGCTTGTCTACCTGTTCCAGAAGGCAGATGCCCAGTGGCCCCCCAGAACGGCCCACTGCCTCTTCCCTGGGCCTCAAGGGAAGGAGACTCAGGATACGCTGCAGCATCGCTCACTTCCCTTTGTAGCTTCTTTCATGCGTGCACCTTTTGGATGGGGGACATCCACTAAAGATCAGGGCTGAGCCAGAGGCTGGTGGTTGCCCTGCAGTTGGTTGACCTTGCACACTGTACTGAAGAGCCCTGTGTCTGTCTTTATTGATTAATCTCTATTAATAAGCCATAAGAGATGACAGGCACATCACGGGGCTGGAACACCCGTGTCATAAGTGTAAGGGAACCAGCCGAAGTCCCAGACCAAATCCCCGCCTCATTACAAAAGAGCCTGTGGCGTGTTTGTCAGTGCGGGGCCTGGGCCATGGCTCACTTCAGCTGGGCAATTATTGAACTGACCCTTGCAATTTTCAAAGGAATAACACTTCCCTTCTAAGATCTGACCTTTGCCTGCCTCTCCTCAGAGCAATTTCCCTACTCCAGAGAACTCTTGTTGTGGAATCGGAATCCAAGGAGCGCCATGCTCACTACAGGAAGGAGGATGCCACTGTGAATTAGAGACTCACGTTAGGCTTCCCTGCCTTGGCTGCAGGTTCTGTGCACGCAGAAGCGCTCCATGAGACATAAAGAAATGGAATTGCTCAATCGAGGCACTGTGCTCAGCTCACCCAGGGAAACTGTCCTGCATTCTGCAATGCAACAAAAGGTGACTCTGGCAGACGTGCTTATTTATTTGAAACAGCAACATGCAAATGAAGAAGTAAAAATTCCAGAGGAATTGTGAACCGGTCTCAGAGATAGAGGTGGGGTAGAGAAAGGCAGAGCAAACACCTGCGCTGTGCAGAGATGCTAAGGGCGGGGCTGGAGTGGGAAGCGTGTGAAGGAGGTCTGTGCCACCGAGTAAGTGAGAAGAATCCCTGTTTACGCTTCAAAGACCGAGGCATTAAAAATGCTGACTTGCCTTTTCATCTCAAAGATTTTTGTTTCTTTTCTGTTTGCTCATAACACTGGGTCTCAGTGAGCTACCATCAGGTAAATAGACCAGAAAGTCAGTGGCTTTTCTGCGTTCTCAGACATCTGTGTGCAGAAGAGTAACCTGGGAAATTTGTAAAAATGCAGAATCCCGGGCCCTGGTCCAGACCTACTAAATCGTAATCTCCAGCTGTGGGACATGAGAATCAGGATTTTTATCCGGCTTCTTGGATGGGAAAATCTGACTGAACAGATCATATTACACTTGGGCAGATTCAGTTATGGTGAATGATAGTAATTCAAGTATTAGCAAACGTATGTAAACATTTATTTAATGTATTTAAAGACTATATGGAAAAGCTGAACAATAAATAGATAAATAGAATGAAGGTAATCGCACATCTTTGTGTGGATACACCGACAGAAGTGGTGATGTAGGTGTCCAGCAGTCTATTAATGATAATGAAACACACAGAGCTTTATGTTGTGACTCTCCAAGCAGCTGCTCACCTCTCATCCATATGATCTTCTCATGCAATGCTACCGGAGGAATCAATAAGGTTCTGTATGTTTGTAAAGTGCCTAGAACAGTGTCTCCTATCAAGGAAATGCTCAATAAATAGCTCCATAACCGTTTTAGGGGGAAATCTATGATTTAATAGCAGGAATATAAACAGAAATCAGAAACGTATGCATGTAATTACATGAAGCAATGTGTGTGCTTTACAACATTTGAACAGGGTAGGTGATCAACATTGCTGCTGTGTCATTGACATTACTATAACTGTTATTGTTTTTATTCTCCTTTTTCATTCCCACTGCCACCATCTAATTTAAAGCCTCACCATCTGTCAATGGTTGGCTGTTAGGACCTGCTCGCCACCCCACTCTGTCCCCATTTCTCTGGGCCTTCAAGTTCTGTACATGCTAATCTAGTGGATTTGTGCTTCAGGAGAAGCTAACCTAAATTCACCTCTATAGCATTTGTGATATTACTCTCTTGCTCTAATATCTTTGTATACAAGCTAAAATCTAATTATCATAACAAAAATTTTAGATTTTCTTACTTTTTCAAATACTCATACACCCTACATTCGGCCTCCGGACTCTTGTGCCCAAGAGTGCTGTCCTTCTGCTGCAAGTTCGGATCTCATAGCCCCTCTTCTTTCCAAGCTTCCCCATTCTTCAAGGTCCTCCTCAGCCTGACCTTCCCCCAAGGTTGTCCCAGGATTAAACCATCCTTGTCTCCTCTCTTCACTGGACAATCATCTGAAATGAATCTGCAAGATAGACTTTTTTTTTTTTTTTCAAAGAAAAGACTCACCACTTATGTTGTTCTCCTGATTACTTTGAGCTTTTGTTCCCTGTCTGTGATGACAGGGCCTGTCTCATTCTTTAATTTTTTCATTTCATCTATACCAGAATCTGAATGTATAGCAGGTGCTTAACATATATTATGCTTAATTTTTATGAGAACTTATCATTGTTGCTGACACTAAAACTCACACCAAATTTACAATCTGAGTACTGTTATTATTCCCATCTTTTAGATAAAAAACAGAGGCAGGCCAGGTGTGGTGGCTTATGCCTATAATCCAAGCACTTTGGGAGGCTGAGGCAGGTGGATCATCTGAGATCAGGAGTTTGAGACCAGCCTGACCAACATGGAGGAACCCCATCTCTACTAAAACCACAAAATTAGCCGGGCATGGTGGCGCATGCCTGTAATCCCAGCTACTCAGAAGGCTGAGGCAGAAGAATTGCGAACCCGGGAGGCAGAGGTTGCAGTGAGCCAAGATCGCGCCATTGCACTTTAGCCTGGTCAACAAGACCGAAACTCCATCTCAAAAACAAAACAAAAACAAAAACAAAAACAAAGAAATAACAAAAAACAAAACACAAAAAACCGGAGGCAAACAGAACTTAAGCAGCTTGCCCAAGCTCTCAAATCAGTAACACTGTAAAGCCTAGATTCCAATCCAGACTTTAATTACAGAGCCTGGCATTTTAACATCTTTTGATTCATTGAAGCATTAATCAATCTGTGAAATCGTAATTTGTGTATGTGTCATGTGTTTACAGAGTCTTCTTTTTGCTCTGAGAACGGACCTGACCTCAGGGGAGCATAAGCTTGGGGGTTCTTTATAATAATAGCCCATCACATTCCTGCTCCATTGTAACCCATAGTGTGTTTCACATTTCCTGGCCAAGGGTGAGCTTCCTCTTGTGATGCTGAAATAGAGTGAGGCACCAGGCTCAAACAAGGCCCCTGGGTGCTATTATCTCAGAGGCTGACTATGTAAGAAGAAATGGCATCCCAGCTTCTCATGTCACCTGAATGGACTGGAAGTCACAAAAACACCTATGAATGACCACCCAAAGGCCAGGGATTATAGGAGCACACAGTGGGCCAGCAAGATGAACCAAACTTGCTTTCTTGCCCTGACAGACAGAATCCTCAGCAACCAAACAAAAGCCTCTCCATTGTGCCCTTTACTATTGAGAATTAGGAGCTTGAACCCCTATTTCTCTCTCTTCTCCCAAAGAGAACTCTGAGAAATTGAGGAACTAGCCCATTATGATATTTGGATATGTTCTATGCACAGATCGGGCAACCCTGAGCTACTTTGTCCTGAATTCCTTGACCAGGCACCATTGAGAGTTGGTTGGTGTCTGTGCTGGACTATGACAAATGATAGATTATATTTTAATTGAATCCTAAAGGGCCTCAAGTTAGGTCATGAGAAAGCTAAATTAGCATCATAAGCCTAATGAAAGTAACCTGAGCTCCTATTCTAGCTAGGCTGACATGTGATCATTAAAAAATAATTGGCTGGGTGCGGTGGCTCACGCCTGTAATACTAGCACTTTGGGAGGCTGAGGTGGGCAGATCACGAGGTCAGGAGATGGAGAACATCCTGGCTAACACAGTGAAACCCAGTCTCTACTGAAAATACAAAAAATTAGCTGGGTGTGGTGGCAGGTACCTGTAGTCCCAGCTACTTGGGAGGCTGAGGCAGGAGAATGGCATGAACCCTGGAGGCGGAGCTTGCAGTGAGCCGAGATCAGGCCACTGCACTCCAGCCTGGGCGACAGAGCGAGACTCCATCTCAAAAAAACAAAAAAAACTATCACTTTTGGTACACTGCTATAGAGATGACAGAGAAGTACATAAGTAAATGTTTCATTTGATCCTGTTTTAACTGAATTTCCATTTGTACTTTAAGCCATGCCCCTGTGCAAAGTCCTTCAGATGCTTGTTCTTGTCTATTGGGTAGAGGTGGGTGGCCTCCAAATGTCTGCGAACACTTCTGTGGTCTGACCTCAACTCCACTCTGCAGCCTCATCTTTAGCTACACCCTGCTCGACCCCATGAATCAGACAAAAATGAATGAGGCAACCAGCAGTGGGCTTCTCAAAATGGCAAGCGGCATCCCTACCTAGAAATGCCCATCACCCTTTGTTTACTACTCTCATGACAAGACGCAGCTGGTGGGACGAAAAGCCAGAACTCAAGAGCCAAGCAGTGCAGCCTCCCACCCATGAGCTGGTGTGGACTTGGGCGTGTTAACTCACCTCAGTTTCACCACAATATGGGGATAAAAATAATTACACCGCACAACATTACTCAGTTTATGCATGTAAAGCACTTAGAACAGACTGAAGCTAAGAAATGCTAAAAATGTGTTTTTACTACTAGGAGGCTCTCTTCATCTTCCTTCTGAGCACACACACATGCACACACCTCCATGACTCTGCGCAGGTCAGTTTCTAGAAGTTTCTCATCCACATATCACTAAGGTGCCTAGGTCCATGCCCTGCATATGGTAGTAATCAAATATATAGAAATATGCACTCTTTCTATAAGAATTCAGTCTTTCTACAAGAAATACACTGACCTAGATTTAGATAGGTAATAACTAAATGGAGTTGGAAACCAAAAGTTATCTAGATTGTTCTTACCACCTTATGCCCTACCAACAAAAAGCCTTTTTGTTTTACATATATGGTTATTTTGTTGGTTTGAAAGCCATCAAAAATTTGTCAGCCTGCAACGAACACAAAAATGTGTATGGTAGAATGTATAGGTGTATTAATTGAAACCAGTTTATCCTTCTAAGCATTGCATCTGCTTCTGTAATTTAGGTAAATGCTATGATTAGTAGCTAACTAGGCCAAAGCTAATAAGGATCATGAAATGTACCTGCCTTTGCAAAGGAGATTCATGGTTGTGTGTGTGTGTGTGTGTGTGTGTGTGTGTGTGTTTTAAGTTACTAATCCTATTTTAAAACAAAGTAGCACAGTCTATTTAAGTTTTTTTCTGTCAATTTTTCTTGGTCTTTACTAGGTGACAAACATGTTAGTAATAACATGAAAACAAGAACAAAAACTATTCTACTTGAGGGGATAGGGGAGACTGTGTAGCTGAGTAGATTGCATTTCTTTTACATTTGCAACACTGGACTCTGCAAATTCTACTTACTGTGAATATTCACTCAGTATTTACTTTAAAACATAACATGATAAAAACAAATCAGACCAAACAAATATACAAAACTACAATAATCTTTCCACTAAATAATTACATTTGTACTTGCGTATTCTAATTTTGATTTTTTTCTTAATAGTATGTGATTTTAAAATATTTATATGTTCAGATGTCTGATTACAAGTTTCTGAATAATTAGCAGAATGTTAGAACTATTGGTTTTCTAAGAGAACAGTAGAAATATGAAAATACTGTCTGAGGTGTTTACCATGAAAGCCCTTTGGAGCAAGCGCCTATATTCCTACATTATTTCTAAGATATTTGGCAAGATTAAAGGTCATCTTTATTTTGATATTATAGTTTTTGTTATTTTATAATTATTATTTATCAAAAACAACTTAGATCAGGTCTACACAAAGGAAAAGCCTATAGTGATCAAAATGCTGGTTAATATCAAACCTCCAATAACCTACTGCAGAAATGTATTTAAAATACAGAAGCAGTCCCCATCCTATTCAAATGACGATTGGTGGTGTTAGCACTGGGACCATGAACACCCAGAGTTGACTCAGATGGAAACCTACCAGCCCAGCTAATTCTCTCTAATTGACAGTTGTTTAATGGTATCGTTTCTCCAATAGGAATTTTTTAACTTTTTTTTTTCTGTTTCTATCTTGTTTGTCCTCACTAATTAAAGAAATGCGTCATGTTTAAAAACAAACAAAAAATAAATTGGATATGTTGGTAGAAAAATTAGCCAAGAGTTCTTGCCAAAAACCTGTGAGTGATTCAAAACAAGCAGTGCCCCCCCCTTTTTTTTTTGTTCAATAGCTATTTTAAGTTGCATGCTGAATAGGCATAACTTGGCTAAGAATAGGCATCCCCTAGTCCCTCTGAAATGCAGGGAAGTCTGTGCGGAACCGCGTGACTCTGCTGGGGCTTTTGCAAAGATTGATCTAAGGAGAGGACTGTCAGTTAAGACTCAACTTTCATTCTACGCTGTCTGCAGTTAGCAGTGGAGAAAGTTTAATTCTGAACTGTGAAAAGATTCAATAAGTCACCACAAATCACCCCGACTAAAGCCCAAACTGAGTAATTTACACAGCACTTTGTGATCTTCAAACAGTTTGCAGTGGGCAATTATTCATGCCCGCCATGGGGCCGCTGGGTCCAAGCTCCCTGTTTGTTCTAAGAGAGGTGTTTGAAACCGGCAAGAGACAACCAGGGGCTCAGAGATCACGGCTAATGTGACACCCCCAGGCCTAATCTTCTTATAGCACTGGGATAAAATAAGTATCCATTACAAAATCAGCCTTCATCCTGCCCCCTTCTGAGCCCGGCCACTCTGATAGCCAGCTCGGAGACAATTGCTCGATTCTAGACTTAATCAGGTATTAGAAGCCCAGGCAGGAGGAGAAGGGGCTAATCTCCATATTTAGTCCATCTGTACTTGTGGACCTGACTTGCCTGCCCCTGATACATCAAAAGGGTTTGGCAAAAATCAGATTAAGGCTGGAGAAGAGGGAGGGAGGGTCAAGCCGTGTAACAGCCAATTTTTTTTTCCTCCATGCTTTGGTTGTATCTACATTTATTACGACCACGCGGTTAATCCCATGAGCTCTCAATGCATTGTGCTTGTCTTTTCTTCTTTCTCCCCTTTTTCAACCAAAACAAAGTCATTAAAGTAAAATATTGCATTAATTATAAAAATAAGAGATGTGTGCATGGAGGGCCAGGAGAGCTGCAAGCATCAGGAGCTCAGTGAACTGCTTGTGCACCTTCCTGGGTCTCTTGTCCACCTGGGAAGGGGCAGAGGCCTGATGTTTTCCAAGACCAAGACACACGGCAGAGCAGTGTGGAGTCGGAGGAAGAGAAGATGCTAATTATGAATCCAGGCTGCCGTGGAGCCGGGCTGGCGGCGGGCAGGTGCAGGAGCGGTGCGGTGACATCTGATCTCCCCGCACAGCCACCGTGCTGCAGAGCCCTACGATGGGGAACATACGGGATTCACCAATTAAACCAACTCTTGTTTCCTCCTTTAAAACATGCTGCCGCATTAGGCGAAATAAAGTAGGTTATGTCTTCCTTCCTCCTATGTGCTTTTGTCAGCCAGGCCATCTTGCCTCTGTGGCCCTGGCTGCTGCTCTCTGTACCTGGGTCCCTCCAGCTCGAGACGTGTGGACAGATGGGTGAGAAGAGAGCAAGAGGGATTCACACTCCGGCTGCTGCTGCTGTTGGCAATCACCTGCTGTTTGTAAACAGTGACATGTGGCCACCAGCCGTGTCCTTCAAGCTAGGAGAAACATGTGCGGCGCTAAGTTGGACGTGCAGACAGGCAACCTTGAGTGCTACCCACCTAATGAGGAGTACCTCGTACACAGCACGGCGATTCTCAGGCAGGGATGGAGAGAACTCGCTGGTCGGGGGCGGGAAAGGGGGTGCAGAAAAAGCTAAGGAAACTTTGTCAAAGGCGTCCCAGCTTCTTTCCTGGAAAGCTGACAAAGTCCCTTCTTTTCAGGCTTCTTACAAAGCCCACTTGGGGCCGGAGGGAGCTGTGTGGCCGCTGGCTCCTGGCAGTTGAGCTCACCTCATTAGAGTGGATTAAGTCATGATGCTGAGAAGGATAAAAGGTGAAAAGCAAAGCACCGGGAATGGCGACCGCAGCACCTCCGAGTGTCATTGTATGTGGGTGCCATTATTGCCTGGCGCCCATGAGGCTTACACTTTTCAATGCCTGTCTGCTGGAAAGATGGTGGTGATTGCAGGGACTGGCACCCCCTTGCAGCACCAGGAGGGCCTCCCCCACCCCCTGCACCTCTTTTCCACTCCGGGATGTTCCAAGACAAAGGTCCAGAGCTTGTGGACCCCCGAGGACACGGTGGGGGGCGGGGGACTGGGCTATGAAAAAGTTAATAAATAAGAAGCACGCCCAGGCTTGCAAGATGGCAGTGGCGTCAGCGGCTGTGACTTGAGCCAGGCTGGGTCTCCAGCGGCCCTCACTGCACCGCACTGGTGAGTGCCGACGTTTGATGATACATCACAGGAGAGTAGAGGTGACGTGACAAGGACACACTCAGGTTCCCTTGGTGCCGTGCCTCTGCCATGAACGTGTTTTAGCAGGTGGTTCCGTCAGCTGAGGCCATGACACCCAGAGACTGGTGGTGTGGAGGCTTCCCATCAACCCGGTGGTACTTTTCTTCTGCTCAAATTATAGAAAATAAAGAAAACCAACTCCAGGTGTCAATAACTTTAAGAGCAAGAGATTAAGAAGTTCAAGAGGATTTTAGATTATTGGGAAGTCAGAGTTGACCAGGGTAGAGCCCCTCCGTGGCCAGGGCGGGACAAAGCAGACCAGGCGAACATTGAGAATGAAAATAAGGAGTTGTTGGACAACTCTCCTGACCATCCCAGGCTTCCCTTTACCTGCCTATAAACAGAATTACAAAAACTTGAGGGTAGGAGGACTTAAATTTCTTGGAAAGATTAATGAGAAAAATCCCTGGTGCTCATGCAGCATGCAGGAGGGTTGGTAGTAGCTGCAATGAGCTGTGGTTTGGGGTTGTGGGATGTGTAGATGACTCCTCCCACCAAGGCTGTTCAGGATACTCCCTCCCAAAACTGCTCAAGCTGCTAGGGCAAGAGAAAGATAGGCCCACCCTAGCCTCCCCAGCCTCCCCAGCCACCCTAGTCACCCCAGCCTCCCCAGCCTCCCCAGTCACCTGGGCCTCTCCAGCCTCTCTAGCCACCCCAGCCTCCCCGGCCTCCCCAGCCACCCCAGCCTCCCCGGCCTCCCCAGCCACCCCAGTCACCCCGGCCTCCCCAGCCACCCCAGCCTCCCCGGCCTCCCCAGTCACCCCAGCCTCCCTGGCCTCCCCAGCCACCCCAGTCACCCTGGCCTCCCCAGCCACCCCAGCCTCCCCAGCCACCCCCGTCACCCAGCCTTCCCAGCCACCCTAGCTACCCCAGCCTCCCCCGCCTCCCCAGCCTCCCCAGCCACCCTAGTCACCCTGGCATCTCCAGCCTCCCCAGCCTCCCCGGTCTCCCCAGCCACCCCAGTCAGTCACCCTGGCCTCTCTAGCCTCTCCAGCCACCCCAGCCTCCCCGGCCTCCCCAGCCACCCCAGTCAGTCACCCTGGCCTCTCCAGCCTCTCCAGCCACCCCAGCCTCCCCAGCCTCTCTGGCCACCCCAGTCTCCCCAGCCACTCATCTTCCCAGCCACCCCAGCCTCCCCAGCCACCCCAACATACTGCTCAGCTCCAGAAGAGCCCTCTTGAAAAATAAAGCCTTTGCTCCCGCACATCAGAGCATTTTTGTAAACAATAGAATAGGTTTACTTATAAATGAAAAAAACAGTATATATCACTAGCAATTTGAGCTCCTAAGAATTTTCACTTAAACTATTGCATATCAAGGTGCCCTTCTTCATTCTCAGCAAAGGTGAGCTGGCATAGCTGGCTTTTCTTATGGGTATTTAGTGTGTGTTTGTGTGCACGCACATGTATTTGTGTGTGTGTGTTTGTGTGTGTGTGCATGTCCATGTGTAAGGCTGAATCCGTCCTGCCTCAAAGACAGCAAACCTTTTCATAATGACTGTGGAACACGTAGCCTTCGCCAGAGTCGATGCTGAAGAGCTGAGTGCCTGCGGCCCCTCGTGCCATTTTCTGGTGCTCCCTCCACAGGTCTCACCATCCTGTCTCTCAAACCCCCTTGCAAAGCCCTGGCTTCAGCCAGTGAACGTGACATGCTGAGATGCGCTGATGCCCAGGAGTGGGAAGCAGCCCGGCAGAGTCAGGCCAGTAAAGGAACCCTGAGAAAATCAACCAGAAACGTGTGGACACTGGTGGGGGATCCCTGGAGGGCCGGATGCAGCTGCTGTTACAGAAGGAGCACTTTCCACCCTTGAAGCCTGAAGGCCTAGGAGACGAGAGAGCCTGGTGGGTGACCAGTTACCATTCTTACCCCTTCTGGCAAGGAAGGTGGGTAGGCTGCATGCTTCCCATCTCTTCTTGGAGTAACTGCCAGACACCTTTGGTGGGGTAGAGATCCTTAAACATCAAAATGGGCCCACAAGGCCGAGGCAAGATCCTCTCTCAGTTTCCCAGTGAGGGGCCCAAGTTCAGCACTCTGTGTCTCACTCCTCATCAATTACATCAACTTCCTTAAAGATGGGCAGCTAATGAGATCATGGAGAGGGAATCCAACAGATTTCAGCACCATGTTTGTCCCATCATCTGGATTACATGGCATGTCCTTAGGCTCAAGGAAACTATTCATGTACGACAGAGGTTGGGCAGATCCCTGGGAGCCGCCATATTTTGGAGGCCAGGTTGGCTCTTGACCACATGAGAAAAGGGGACTTGGACTGGAAGAGCCCCTTGCTGTAGCTGGGTCTGAGGTCCGTCTGCCTGTGGCTGCTCCCCTCAGCTCTCCTACATCATGGCCAGTGCCACAGATGGCCAGGACTTCCATCACCAGCAGTGTGCATGGAGTGCAGTGGGGCAATAGGTCCCAGCAAGGTGGGGCAATGCTGGAAAAACATGCCTCCCCGAGTGCCACGGAGAATCATGCCCTGCACCTTCGTCAGACTCTGCACCAGTGGACGGAGACTCATGCCCTGCACCTTCGTCAGACTCTGCACCAGTGGACGGAGAATCATGCCCTGCACCTTCGTCAGACTCTGCACCAGTGGAGAGGCTCTTTGGGTAAATGTAAATAAATGAAGTGTGAGATCATTCACCACCAAACTCCGGGCTTTTTGTAAGAAAATAGCGCAATTGAGGTCAAGCGTGTTGGCTCACGCCTGTAATCCCGTTACTTTGGGAGGCTGAGGTGGGTGGATCACTTGAGGTCAGGAGTTTGAGAGCAGCCTGGACAACATGGTGAAACCCCGTCTCTATTAAAATACAAAAATTAGCTGGACCTGGTGGTATGTGCCTGTAGTACCAGCTACTTGGGAGGCTGAGGCAGGAGAATCGCTTGAACCCGGGAGGCGGAGGTTGTAGTGAGCCCACATTGCGCCACTGCATTCCAGGCTGGGTGACAGAGGGAGGCTCCGTCTCAAAAAAAAAAAAAAGTATAACACAATTAAAAAGATTCAGTGATAACTGTGTATTTTAAAGAGTAAGTGTGAGTATAGGTAGAATCTTCTATATGTAACCAAGATAACATTAGAACTCAAAGGCAGATATAATATAACCATGTGAAATATGAGAATGTATAAAAACACACACGTTAAAATAATGAAACTTCATATTTATTAACTAAGCACATTATTTCTATTCAAGGAATTTAGAACACTTCCTCGGCCTCCCATTTCCAGATCACATTATTAATAGCAGATGAGGAAAATGATAACAGCGTGTCAAGTGATTAAGTATTGCCATCACAGGCTGCGCAGTCTTTGTTGGCTGGTTCTGGCCGGAGCTCTGACATCATCAGTACCATCTCAGGGATCTGTGGGTCCAGACTGCAGTCTTGAGCCCCATCCATGTAAACAAAAGCAACAGTAGCCCCGGCCCAGAGCTGCTTGGCGCCTGCTGCAGGGACACTGTCCATCTCAGTGTATGACCACTGCATTCCCACTTGGGAGCAATCTCGTCATTCGGAATGGTCCCGAGAAGCCAGGACTGCAGACTGGGAGGTGTGGAGGTGGAATGGGGAGCTGCACACAGCCTCACCAAGGCAGCTACTGGGCTGTGCAGCCTGCAACCTCCTACGCATACAGGCAGGAAACCGAGCTTCTCACCACCTTTACAGATGCACAGGAAATAGGTAATTGTCCATTGGGCCTTGGATGGCTGAGAGTAGACACTAAACAAATAAAAGAAGTATTGAACCTGAATTGATCTAAAAACTGCATATGTTACCTTTCCTTCCCTGTGAAACCATCCTCATCTAATAAAAGAGCATGCCATGAGTATTTTTGCTCGTGGAAAGCCCCCTTCCCTATCAATCCCAGCCCCAGGAGGTCTTCCTTTGGGAGGCGTGGTGGGTTCCCTCCATCTGTCACCCAGAGACAGGGTTTCCTCCCTTCTCCGTATGCCCCCAAATGTCTTTGAGCTACACGGTGTTCCCACTGTTTGGCAGACATCTGATACACCCACCACCTTGTCCAGTGAATGCCTGTTGAATGGCTGAGTGTGACACTCATCACTCACCTTTCCCAAATCTTATTTTCTCCAAACAAGACTTCACAACTCTTAAGCCCTGAATCAACCAACAGAGAAAAGATGCACTGAGCCGAGAAATCAACAGCAAATTAAAGGATTCTTTCTTGTTGGTTGACATATTTATTTATTTTTAAAAAGCAGAACAGAATCCTGGAAAATAATATTTCTGAACTAAGATTTTCTAAAAGTAAATTATGTGGCTCCACTTGAGACCAAATCCCGTACCCCACAGGACACTGCGGTGATGAAAGACTGAAGGAAGGTGGGACCTGGTGTTGAAGGAAGGTGGGACCTGGCGTTCCCATAAGGGGGGAGAGCTGGGCACCTCATCTCATCCGTAAGATCCCTCTGGCTTCAGAGCGCCCTCCTAGCTTCTGCCCAAAAGCACCATGCTGACTGGTGCACACACGAGGCTCCCTAGAAGATGATCTCCTCGTGAACGAAATGTCTTCCATTTTTTTCGGTAATAATGGAGCCCTTCTCCCCGCTCCGTGTCTACTGCCTTTCCTTCACAAAACAGAAGAGAAAGGTCAGAACTAATTTGGGCCACTGCCCCTCTAAAGGAGAGAAGATGGTCCTGCATGCTGCCATGTTTTGGGACATTCCAAATGCCTTGTTGGAGGCGGGCGCTGAAGGAAACCCACTCATTTAATTCACCTCGTCATTGGCTCTGCCAAGGAGACAGAATCAGCTCTATGTCTTCATTTTGCAAACATGGAAATGATGTTCCGAAGGCTCAGCATACCTGATTAGGGCAAGAATGTGGAGAATGAAAGCACCGTGGGCCCTGGTTCCAGGGTTTTCCCTGAACAGAACATTAATAGAAGATCGTGATTCAGGCGGTGCTGGGTCAGCTCAGGGCCTCAGCTGATAGAGCAGTGTTCTCCCGGGAGCAGGGGTCCTGCAGGGGAAGTTATTTTTATGTGGAGTTAGACACATCATGATTAATAAGAACCACGATTTTCCATAACCTACTATGCCCAACCCTGGGAGGGGTAAGCTTATTCCCACTTTGCATGTAGTGACATTGAGGTGCAGAAGGTTTGATTTGCTGTCCAAGGCCATGGGAGCTGGGGAGGGGTTTTGAACACTTTCCTGCCAGCCTCTCCAAGGGAGGATTGCTGTTTTGAAATCTAACCTACCTGTCAAAAAGTGACAGTGCCATCGTGATGGAAAAGAAGTTACTCACTGTAAGGGAAGGATTGCTGGGGTTTCTTTCCATTTTCAGGTCATGGTCTGGACATGGCTGTACCTCACCCGCCCACACAAGGGTAGAGACAGCGTTCAGCACCAAGGGAGCCTGTCCAGCTCCTTTCTGGAAGGTGATCATTTAGCAGTCTTCAAAACGTTTTCAATCACCTCTTAATTGTTCACCCAATCCTCTGACTTCTGGGTGTGCAATTACCCCAGCCTCAAACTATCTGACTGTCCGTGAACATATTTATAAAATGGGGAAAGCAGTGAAAAGCCAATACTTTTCCCGAGTTACTAGTTAGCCACTTTTACATGTAAGATTCGCTGAGGGAAACCAGCTAAATAAAAATTGGCAAGTCCCTGAGTATTTCATGAGGACTCTCCATCGTGCCGGGTTAAAACCGTGATGTGAGTCCAACTCCAGCCTCCATGTGCCGTGACCCTCTGGCTTCCTTAAGGCCTAGGAGCACGGGTTCCCTTGCTAGATGGTGGGGACAATAATCTCATGTAGCACACAGGGTCAAAGATGAAATGAGACGATGCATGCAAAGTGCTTAGCACAGGTGCCGAGCACTTTGTAAAACTCATTAAATGAGACCTATGAATATTGAAAGCAATAACAGCACTACAAATAATTTACCTACACTGCTGATAGTATAAAGTAGCAGAGTGATGACATCAAGTCTTTGGCCAGGCACATCAGCAGGCTCCACAGGAGAAAATCAACCAGGCTTAGAAAGTTCCAGGGACCTGGCCGAGAGACGGCTTAGCGGGGGCTTCCCTCAGGGCAATACTGCAGGACCCAAGACTGTTTCTCCGCACAGTTCTTCAGAAATATGAATTTCTTTTGGCCTCACTCAGGAGCAAGCGAACAAGTTTGTTACTGAATGTGGTGAAAAATGTTCATCAATGTGTTTCTCACCATCTCAAGTCTTTAAAGCTAAGCTGCACAGTTAAATCCCTGGAGTGCAGATCTCCACGTTAGTTAAGCGTCACGTGTCCAGGGCCTCACTGGGCTCTCAGTGCCATGGGCCGTCTGTGTTGACTGCACTCACGCTGATGTGCACGTGGTCACGGCTGCAGCATCATGAACGCCGCTCCTTCCTGTGCAGCGGGCTTCCAACGCGTCTGGAGACTCTGGAGGAGACTCCTTCCAATACAGCTGGAGAGTGTGCTCATTACAAGAGAGGGCTGTGCATGCCTTGTAGGTTTGTCCTGGGGGAAGGCAGCACCGAAACCCCTTTGTTTCTAATGAAATACAGCGTTACGCACGAGGAATACGACCAGTGGCCCATCCCACATTCATCTTCAGAATACAGTAACCACCTCCATCTCAGAAGTGAATTTATTTTCTGTGTTGTGCTGAAGACACAACACAGAAGGCTACAAATTCCAGCTTTCCTCTCCAGCAAGACCACGCCGGCTCTGTGACAAGGCAAAGTTTGCACGGTGACAGAATCTACAGTGTGTCAACACTGAAGGACGACTTTGTGAGAAGGTCACAGCCTCGAATGCATTAGCGAGACCCGTCCTTCCACGCCATGGCTGCTCATTTTCCCCTTTTCTCCCCCAGCAGCAGCTGCATATTAGATGACTCCCGCTTTAAACTGTTAAGTGCTGCTGCTGCCGTTTTATCCGCCAGTCGTCAGTAGGCTCAGGGGAGAAGCGCTATCTCCTATGGCCATGAAAATTGATATTGAACATGGAAGGAAAAATCTCACAAGCTGATAGCAATTAGCTAAAAAGGATTTGCGGCTCCATGATTCATCACGCCAGGGGACCAAAGTCATTTGCAGACACTGTTTCCAGAGTCCCTGCGCACTCTGGAGCTGGCCTCTGTTTATCTCTCACACTGGGGTGTGACATTTCCTGCTTTCAGGACCCCTTTCTAGAGCAGAGGCTGTGACGTGGGGCAGTTCTCTTCCATCAAAGATGCTTTCGTTAGCAGGTGCTTGAGGTGGGACTCAGACTCTTATTTATATTTTCGACATTCATGTAGGAAAATGGAAGACAGTTTCTCAAAGAGTTTGTTGTGTGTGTTTATTTGTTTCTTAGAGAATAATTTGTAACTCTGGGTCAGGAAGATTCCATCTAAATTAATTAATCAGAATAGTAGTGTTAAGGTACCAGAGTGCCTAGAGATTCTTTATTAGGACAAAACCGCTGGCCCAGATAACTCCAGCATTTCATTCTCGACGTCTGAGTTGTGCTGACAGCCAGTGCCTTGGCTTCCATGGGCAGTGACTTACGTGGCACCCGTAGTTCTCCTGGGCAACTGCCATCCCTGGCTTTTGCCGAGCAGACCTGCACTCTGGGTCATTGATTCAAATGCTGCCGAGCCCTTCATGGTGGCAGCATACAATAGTCCCTCCCTTTCATAAATGGACAAAAAATTTGTTCCCCGCCTTGTCACAGATGCTGCAGACAATTGCGTGTCAGTGCTTGAGCATGCATTGAACACCTTTCCAGGTAGAACTGAGACCCTGACCTAAATGTGGCAGGTAAATGTTAAATGCCTTTGTGACCCCAGAGAAGAGGGGAGGGGGCGCTTGAACTCGTATCACATAACACCAATCTCAAAGGAAAAGCTTATATATGTCTCCTTTTTGAACTTTTATTTTAGGTTTTGGGGTACATGTGAAGGTTTGTTACATATGTAAACATGTGTCCTGGAGGGTTGTTGTACATATTATTTTGTCACTGAGGTATTAAGCCCAGTACCCAATAGTTATCTTTTCTATACTATTCAGTGTAACGTCATTGTGTATATATTTACATGGATACGTACACACACACACAAACTCATCAATGTTAAAGCTTCTTTAGAAGTACCATAAACAGGCAAGAGAAAGCCACACATAACCTCCTTACCAATTATGAAAACAAGACTAGAACAGCCATGCACTGTTTTGCTCTCCCCATTTGGCTGGCACAGAACAGCACATCTGATCATAAAAGGATCATGCAGGACAAGGGGCCTCCGCCGATGGCTGTGCTAAGGCAACCACTAGCGCCTCAAGGTAACTCTGCGCCAGCCCCTTCCCACCACCCCCCGCCAACCCCAGCAGCCGTGGGCAACAGGGCTTCACATCCCTTCACAACTTGACCTCCCATGTACTGGCTAAGGAGAGTCAGTGGTCCAGTGGCAACTGTCAGCACTGGCTTTATTTTGGGTGCCAAGCTAGCCCTTGTTTAACCTGCGTACGTTTTGCCTTGAATGTTCTTGCTCACTCAAGCCACACTTTAGCCATGACTTTATGGTCAGCAGGAACTGCGTGTGACAGGCTGTGGAAAGTTTGGGATAGGAGAGAATGCAAACATATTACAAGCACTTAAAGACATGTCCATACTTCTGTGGAAGAGTGAGTTGAAAACCGGGATGGAGAGAGAATCACTGTGTTTTGTAGGGTTTGGGGATTTGCTGCTCAGGCCAAGATAAGACTATTCTGGGCAGTTGTCTCCGCATATAAGTGGTGCCTATGGGACAAGTGGAAGGGAAAAGCTCCCTATTCCTTGCTTTAGACGGAAGACACTGTGAGGGCAAGGAGACCGGTTTCTAAGGCATCTGTTTGGCAAAACCAGAAACATTTCTCAGCTTGGGTAGTTTACATAGAGAAAGACGGGTGAATAACATTGAAATGGGGGCTTTCCTTCTAGGAACTGAACAGACATGCTCAGAACCAAAAAGAAAAGAAGGCAGGTCATGAAAGAATGTTCAAGGCCGGGCGCGGTGGCCACGCCTGTGATCCCAGCACTTTGTGGGGCCAAGGCGGGCGGATTGCGAGGTCGGGAGATAGAGACCATCCTGGCTAACACAGTGAAACCCCGTCTCTACTAAAAATAAAAAATAAAATAAAAAAAAAAATTAGCCAGGCGCGGTGGCTCACGCCTGTAATCCCAGCACTTTGTGGGGCCGAAGCGGGCAGATCGCGAGGTCGGGAGATCGAGACCATCCTGGCTAACACGGTGAAACCCCGTCTCTACTAAAAATACAAAAAAAAAAAAATTAGCCAGGTGCGGTGGCTCACGCCTGTAATCCCAGCACTTTGTGGGGCCGAGGCGGGCGGATCCCGAGGTCGGGAGATCGAGACCATCCTGGCTAACACGGTGAAACCCCGTCTCTACTAAAAATACAAAAAAAAAAAAAATTAGCCAGGCGCGGTGGCTCACGCCTGTAATCCCAGCACTTTGTGGGGCCGAGGCGGGCAGATCGCGAGGTCGGGAGATCGAGACCATCCTGGCTAACACAGTGAAACCCCGTCTCTACTAAAAATACAAAAAAAAAAAAAAATTAGCCAGGCGTGGTGGCGGGCGCCTGTAGTCCCTGCTACTCGGGAGGCTGAGGCAGGAGAATGGTGTGAACCTGGGAGGCAGAGCTTGCAGTGAGCTGAGATCGCACCACTGCACTCCAGCCTGGGCGACACAGCGAGACTCCGTCTCAAAAAAAAAAAAAGAATATTCAAAACACAGTTGACTTCAGTATGATTGAGATGGCGCCTCAAATGCCTGTGTTCCCAGGACCCTTCTTGGGTCTCTTAATTATGTAATCAATTAAATTCAATTTAGGTTTAATGCGGTGATACTATTCCTTAGTTGCCAAGCAGTTACTCTCACCACTTTTATGAATGTTAGAAATCAGGGGGATCGTTTGGGTAAGTGGCTCTCAGTTTCAGCATCTCTGAAATTCATTCCTTGAAAATTCTGCATGGACGGGCAGTCATGCAACAGCTGCAAGCTTCCGGGGCCAGCTTCTACCCTCCCATTTCTTCCTATGGCTCTTTCCCTCCCCGTTTCCCTGAGTATTGGCCTCCTGTTTGAATGGCCCAAATGCATACAGTTTCTGCTAATTACTTCAAAAATCATCCCTGCTGTTTGTCCAGGGAGTTTCGAGCCCTAGGAACTCTCAAGTACAAAACGTCCTCTGAGCTCGCCGGCCTGCCTCCTCTGCTCGCCCTTGTGCATCTCCTGTGTGCATCTCCTCTTTGGACAGGCGATGCACTTGCTCATGACGCCCTTGTTTATTTGGGCTTGTGAACCACTTCCTCTCCCAAGCCAAATATAAGCTCTGGACAAATGGGGCTCTTATCTCATCGATGTGTTCCAATTAGTGCACCAAATAACACTTGTGTGTCTTCAACTCTGAGCTCAAAGAATTCTATCCAACATAGCTCAGGGCCAGGGTGAGATTGCATTACAGACCTTTCGTGAGAGCTGAGCTAAGTATCTGGATGTGTCCCTTACACAGTGTTCTAATGCACAATGCAAGTGCTGCTGAGTACAACGAGTGATTAGCAAGCTGGGCTTGAAGCTGCTGAGGGCTCACAGTCGCAGTGTTAGATGTGAAAACAGGTCCACGTATCCATTACCGGGAACTGGATCTCATGACCTTGGGTCTCCGAAAGGTCAAAAAGCAAGATGCAGAAGAAATATGTAAATGCAGCAGAGCTGGTTTGGGAGTACATCCAGGGCCGGGAAGAGTGTGGCTCTGCCGAGCACCGACAGGAAATGCGAGTACAGGGATAGGATGGCCTTCTGCAGTGCGGGAGTCCTGGTACGCTTTCCAGGCTGGCCTCTTTAACCTTGAGAAGGCCCGCTCCCCACTGTCACTGAGAATTGAAGCTAAGAACCTAAAATAGCATCAACGATCACAGATGATGTTGGTAAAGTGGGCCCAGATCAGCTGGCACCTGGGCTGCAGGAGGCTAGGCCAGTCAACAGGGGACCCGTGATGTGTGCGGCTTTGCTCATTCTGTTCCCTGCAGGCATGCCCTTCCTTTTACAAACCTACATCTCCTTTGCTGTCTCAGTCTTGCCCTATGTCCCTTCTGCTCTCACCGTTTTTTTTTTTTTTTTTTTTTTTTTTTGTGTGTGTGTGTGTGTGTGTGTGTGTGTGTGTGTGTTTTGGGGGGTGCTTACTTATGTCCCTTCTGCTCTCACCGTTTTGTGTGTGTGTGTGTGTGTGTGTGTGTGTTTTGGGGGGTGCTTACTTATGTCCCTTCTGCTCTCACCATTTTGTGTGTGTGTGTGTGTGTGTGTGTGTGTGTGTGTGTGTGTGTGTGTGTGTGTTTTGGGGGGTGCTTACTTACCATTTACTTCTCTTCCACATGAGTCAGTGTGCTAATCCCACAGGCCCTAACGTATTTAAGGGCCCCTGGCTGCAGGGACGGGCTGGGTGGGCACTGAGCCACATGAACTGGGTTTGAACGCTGATTTCAATGTGGCCCACGGTGTGGCCTTGGGAGGTTGCATATCTCCTCTGTGCTCAGCTTTCTCACTGCAAATGGACCTAAGTGCGACACCTCTCTCCTAAAGTCCTGGTGTGAGTCACTTAGGTGTAACTGATACGGTCCTTGGAATGGTGGCACGTGAACCAGAGCACAGTGAGACACCTCTTCATGAGGACGGAGCTGCCCCGCAGGTGGAATGGTGGCACCTGAACCGGAGCACACTGAGACACCTCTTCATGAGGACGGAGCTGCCCTGCAGCCTCCATGCCCAGGACGGTGATGAGCACACTCCAGAAGCACCAAAACATGAGGGGCTGCGTGATTTTTCCACCCAGGCCACACACTGTCAGCCTCAGCTCCAGACCAGGGTCAGGGCGGGTGGAGGGGCAGGGAGAGGGCTCCAGGGAGGCCATGGGGTTGCGTCCAGTCCTTCAGAAAGGCATAGCTCAGGAAGCTGACACCTCTACACCACACTGGGTCTTCACCCAGTGGACCCCATGGCCTCCAAGCCAGCTAGGGCCAATACCAGCCTCCAGAGGCAGCCACAGGGGTGTTGGCCTCCTGTGAACGGGCATTGGGTCCTGAGAGGCAGGGTGAGTAGATCCTTGTTATGAACGGTCCTGAGGGCAGGTCATGAGGAGGTTCACAGAAATGTGCTGTGGGAATGATGTGTTGGTCATACGAGATCCAGGCCTACTGGGCAAGACTTGTTTTCAGGGAGAAGATTTGAGCACTTGGGCTGGAACTGCATTGGTGCGAACCCCCATGAGAAAGCCCCAGAGCTGGACTTGGGGGTGGGGAATGGTCATGGCAGGTGCTTTCAAAGCTGTTCCCAGGTGGCCCCAAGGTGGAGGCAGGGATAGCCACCTGCACTCCTAGGTGCTCCAGGTCCTCACCCCCGTCACTTTCTTCCATGAGCTCTTGATTTCTGTGTCAAAAAATAAGTGTCTTGGTATCCTGTGGCCATGGTAGCAAATACCACACACTGGGTGGCTTAAAACAACAGGAAATTTTCTCAGAGTTCTGGAGCCCAAATGTCTGAAATCAAGGTGATGGCAGAGCCACTCTCCCTCCAGGGGCTCCAGGGGGGAATCCTTCCTGCATCTTCCAGCTTCTGGAGTTCCAGGTGCTCCTGGGCTTGTGGCTGAATCACTCTGACCTCAGCCTCCACCTTCCCATGGTCTTCGTCCCTTTGTGTGTCCTCTTCTGCCTCTTTTAGGGAAATTATCACTGGAGTTAGGGTCCACCCAGATAGTCCAGGATGGTTTACTCACAAGTTCCTTTGCTTAACTACATCTGCAGAGCTGCTTTTGCCAAATAAGGTCCCATTTACCTGTTTGGTGAGTTAAAACCTGGACGTGTCCTTGTGGGGCCACCATTCACCTCAGTACAGATGCCTTTAGAGGCATTTAAAAGTAGAGTAAATTTGAACAAACTGTTCCACAGAGAGTTAAGGGAGATGCAAATAATTCACAGCCTTTGACTCTAGAAAGCACAGGTCAGGTGCTATGCAGCACAAAGGCAAGGAAAAGGCACATGCACTTGTCACAACAGTTTTCATGATTTTTTGATTTTTGAACAAAACCCCATTGTGTATTTTGACCAGCCTTATTTTTATTTTTGTGCATATAATATAAGCGTGACATAAATCATGGTGAATACCAGTGCTCTTTGCTGACTTTGCAGTGCCAATAAGCCTGTGTTCACAGAACGGGGATTGTCTTGGAGCTGCATTTATTTTATGGCTTTAAACAAACAGAGAAAGCAAAGTCTTGGTATCAGAGAGTGTGCAGGCATCCATGGCTCTGTGAGAATAAAGAAACATTCTCCTTCTCTGCCTCTGCTTGTTTCTCAGGCTCCTCATCATGGTGCCTGGTTCAGGGGGCCCCCAGGCATTTGTTGAATGACTATTTGTGGGGAATGAGTGCAAAGGAGGACTTAGGAGTTGGGGAAAGTGGTAGGAGCTGTGGTTGAAAAGCAGTTTGCTTTGGCCTTAGAAGCCTCAGGAAGGCAGTTTTTATTATACTCTCTGGAAAAGGAGGAACTTCAGAAAATTTTAAAGCAGAGAAGAGTCAGAATATTAATCAGACCCTCAAGTCCTTGTGTATGCTATGGGTTAAGCTATGGACACCTGATCTCGAACTTCAGGCTTCCAGAACCGTGAGACGATAAAGTCCTGTTGTTTAAGCCACCCAGTCTGTCTTACCTGGTTGGGGCAGCCCGAGCAAACTCATTGTGGAGACCTCATGGCTAGCAATAGCGGAATGGCACGTATGTTGGGAGATTGGTCAACACACAAGCATTCTAAAGCCCCTGACCAGGGACAGTGTGAAGAGGTTCAAGCACCCTGCATAGAGAAGAATGCCCACTTCGTTACCACTCTTTTCAAACAGGATTCCATGAATGCCGCATTCGCCAGCTTTTCCCAAGCCTCAGAGTGTCTGTGTGTCTTTCATTCACTGTGAGGCCCTCTATGCAGCCCGGGACACGGAGACACCATCCAGTCCCACCCTGAGGGTCTCATGCTGGGAGAAAAACAATCTCAAAAGGTAGCATACTCTATGGCTCCATTTATATAATATTCTCGAAACTACAAAATTATAGGGATGGGGAAGATTTGTGGTGCCCATATTTAGGGGTGCTGGGGGACGGTGGGTTCGATCAGAGGGGTAGTTGGTGCTATCCCAGTCCTAGGTCTCAAATGTGATGGCCGCACACACCTACATCTGTGATAAAATGGCACAGAACTACACACCTCACACTCTGTCATAGTCTTGGTTTTGACATTGTATAATTACATTGCCTGTAATCCCTTGGGCAAGCTGGGTGAGGGTACAGGGGACCTCTCTGTACTATCTTTGCAACTTCCTGCAGATCGATAACTTTTTCAAAACAAAAAGTGAAGGACAGAAAAAAGAAGCAATTGTGAGCCAAAGTAAACAGAGAAATAAACAAAAAAAATAAATTCTCCGTATGCATCAAGAGCTGATGGTCAGAAGATATAACATTCAGCCACAAAGCAAATGGCAGGATGGTGTATGTGTGTTCATGTCCAATTTTAAAACATGTGAAGCCACAATGTATACAGTTTATTGGCAGTGCATATGTATAAAAAGCATTAAAGTGAGTACAGGAATGGCCAATGCCACATTTAGCATGAAAGGGGAGGAGGGAGGAGAATGGGAAGGAGAACAAAGAGGTCGACAAGAGAACCTTCAGAAACTCTACTTCTTCCAGAACCCTGATGCACACATAGAAAAATGAGACAATTTAAAAAGCCAGTTGTTGATACAAAGCATTGCTTATATATTTCTCTTTTCTTTTCTGTAAACTTGAAATATGTTATAATCTAAGAGAGAAAGACAGACAGAGAAGGGGCAGGCAGTCAAGGAACCGCATTTTCCAAATCCAGGCTGGGGGCAGCTGCCACAGCTTCAGAGGCAGCAAGCAGAGAAAACGCCAGCATTCTGTGCCTGCTGATTTAATTGCATTTTGCTTTGAAATTGAATGATAGATTTAGAGTGATTTCTGATTCAATCAGAAGAGGCAAGTGTGGAGATTGTGTGGGTTGAGTAGGAAAATAACAGAGGGCATACCTCTCCCAGCAAGCTGCAGCTCCTGGTGACAAGTTCAAGGGAAAGGGAGCTTTGCCTGGGGCTCTGGGTTGAGAGTCGTGGCGGCATCAATGATGAGTGCACGGAGGGGCACACAGCAGAAAGTGCCTACCACCTGCCAACGAAGCACCTCTGCTGGGATGCCCTGCAAGTGTGTGAGGCCTGGTCTCCAGGTCCCTGTTCTCAGGGCATTTTCTCTTCCTGTTCTCAGTCCCGGGTTTGGATTTGGGGTGGTTCAAATTCAAGGAGCTGGAACCAAGGAGTATGAAACCAAGAAGCAGCTCAGCATGCAGAGCCAGAGCTCTTCTCCCCCTGAGAAGACGACTTCCCTGCATCTCCAGCTCCATAGGACCCCTCGGTTGACTCTCTTCAGCTTCTCTGCATCTCCAGCTCCATAGGACCCTGTGGTTGGTGCCCATCAGCCTCCCAGCACCTCCAGTTCCATAGGATCCCATTGTTAGTGCCCTTCAGCCTCCCTGCATCTCCATCTCCATAGGACCGCATGGTTGGTGCTCTTCAGCCTCCCTGCATCTTCATCTCCATAGGACCCATGGTTGATGCCCTTCAGCCTCCCTGCATCTCCATCTCCATAGGACCCGCAGTGGTTGCACTTCAGCCTCCCTGCATCTCCATCTCCATAGGACCTGGGGTTGATGCCGTTCAGCCTCCCTGCATCTCCAGCTCCGTAGGACCCCGTGGTTGGTGCCCTTTGGGCAAACATCCCATCAGCGTGGGCCACATTTATTCCACTGAATGAAGAGCATTTTTGTTTTCCGATCATGGACTGTTAGCTGTGGGATGCACCAAATAACCCTTCATTTCAACCCTCCTGGTTTTACAGAGGGGGTAGCTGGGCTTTAAGCAGTGGAATGATGACACTTGGTGGCAACACTGGCAGAGGGCAAAGGAGGCTGGGGCGCATGACCCCCGGGGGCTGTAATGGCCATGTGACCTGAGTTCAGTCACATATGCAGAGCCCAGCATGACGCCCAGCAGCCTGTCCAGAGGAGAGCTTGATGCAGAACTTCATAATACCATAGAACTCCATTTTAAAAGCAAAAATATGTTTCTTTTAAATAGCCTATGATTAAATGTTATTTGATTTAAAAAGAGAGTGTACTGCACAGCTACTGAAACAGAGTTTAGGACTTTTGCAAACAGATTCTAGAGAGGCAGTTCTCTGAAGACTGACCCTGAGGCCTCCAGGCCACAGCCCTTGAGGACCCGAGGTCCTGTCATCTCCAGCAGCCACGCAGGGAAGCTGGACACAAGGCCTGTCCCAGCTGACCTGTGGGCTGACCGCAGCCCTGGCTGACACTGTAATTGCAGCCCACATGGTCTTCTGAGCCGAGGACCCAGCCAAGCTGCATCCGATGCCTGACTTACAGAAACTTCCAGATAACAAGTGTGTGTTGTTTTCAGCCACTAAATGTTGGGGTAGTCTGTTATGCAGTAATCCATAACTAAGACAAAATTTAACTCGAATGAGGTTTAAAAATAAAACATAAGTGCCTATACTAAACTCATTTTCTTCTTCCTAAATTAACTCAGAACTGTTCACAACCATAACAATGTGTGAGAATGGTCACCCAATTCTACATAAGGTTCTGTCTCTCTGTTACATCTTCTCTACATTGGATATTAATACTATTCCACTCTTTGAATGAAAGAAATGCCCATATTGATTACAAAGCAGTGAAAACACCTGAAGAACTATGTTCCCAGGTGGCTTTGTCAAAAATCACAGGGACTGATTTGATCTGTTGGGTGGCTTCCAGTTCAGCTTATATCGGACATGTGATGTCTAAGTATTTTATGTAGACCCAGAGGCCCTTTTCTGAATTACAGAGCTTTTGCAAACACTGAAATAAATACATAGAAATACTGAAAAAATTAAAGAAAACATTTCTACCTCCTGCAGTTTACTTGCAACTTGCTGCTGGGCTGAGCTTGACAAGTATGCAAATATACATCCAATTGCAACCACACGGCAAATTTCACAGGGTTTAGAGTTTCTTATCAAAAGGTGTGCAAAGGATTCTGGGCAGTAGATCAAGCAGCTGGTGCTGACAACCTGACTTTGCTCATTTTAGCTCTTATAAATTAGATGTAAATAAACAAGCCTATGGGAGAGAATGTAGCTTGATTTTTATGGCTGGGTGTCTTGAGTCTGTGACTGAGACCATGAACAGCTGGAGGGCAGGGACCCCTTTCTATACCCCTTGGCAATACAGGAGCAGAGTGTATTGACTCACTCAGGGTGGTGCTCATGGCTGGTATGAGGCACTGGCTGGGAGTAAGCAAGTATGTCTTCAGATTTAGAATGAGGAACTATATTATTCAAATCGTCCCTGGGGAATTTATCCCTGGTTCTAGCTTGCTAGGGAAGGGGCCAGAGTCAGGGAGGAAATGTATATCACAGCAAACTAAAAAAGAAGCCACAGTGCCAAAGAGATCTGGGAGACCCAATTGCACACCTATGAGTACAATGGCCATTCCAATGTAGGTCCCTCAGAAGCCAACCCTGAGACAGGGATTGAGTGCTAGCAGATATTTTAGGAGGTAATCCCAGGAAGCAACAGTGGCAGTGTGAGCAAGTGATACAGGGTAGGGAAGGGGTAAGTTGAGAATGCCCTAATGGGCGGGTGAACACTGTGGACAAACAGAAGCTCAGTCCTAATGAGGGCCTCGGGGCCACCCCATACAGCACACTTAGAGTTTTCTATCCATGGTTCGAGGAAGCTGAGGTCTTTATAACCACTACCACTCATCATTGTTTGAGGGCTGCTCCTAGGGAAATTAATTCCCTTGCACCTCTAGCACGCTTCTCATATAGACAGAACATGCTCCCAGACCAGAGAAGGACCTCAGCCGGAAAGTTCTCTGCAGCACAAAGTCCTCCAAGTGTACAGAAAGGATGAGGACTCGAGGAAAACTGTTAAGGCACCAACAGCATCTGCTACTGTGGCTCCAAGTACAGTTTAACCAAGGCAAGATAAGTCATTGGTTTTTTTTCTCTCTTCTACTCAGCAACAACATCGTGGAGAAGCACAGAGTGGCCACAATGTTCCTAATAGTTGGTACAGGTATAGAAGCTTGGTGCAGGGATGGAAGCCTGCAAACAAGATGGGTGTTTGGGATTGTTCAAGTCAAATAAGCCACATGAGCAGGGTGTGAGAGACATAGATCCCCAGAAGGGTTTAGAGTTTCTTATCAAAAGAAGGGCAAACATTTGCCTGGCTTACTGTTCTTCCTATTCTCACCTATTATTCTTCCTCCGCTAGCAAGATGGCCACTGTAGCATGGGTGCTTAATGCCTACTTGATTGATGAATGAGTGCACTGATGAGTATATGAATGAAGGATTCTGGTCTTGTACCACTTGCTGTACAATGCCTTGAAACTGTCCCGCGTTGTAGTTTTATGGCAGGAGAGTTCATCTAATACCAGTTATTCTGTCATGGCTGAAAGAAAAAATAAGGTCAAAAATTATTAGTTGACACTTAGATTTCTGTATCTGGGAAGTAAACTAAAAGCATATCTTTTTTTAGTTTTCTCAATTTAATAGTCACATATTTATCTGTAACATTTGGAGATTGAAAAGAAGATTTGTGGAAGATAGCATATGTTAGGAATTTTGAGGACGAGAACAGAAGCATGAACCCCCCTTCAGGGCTGCCATCCTCCTAAACACACTCAAGCCCAAGTTAATGAGAAATTTGAGTTGGAAAGAAGGTTAAGCGAGTGCCATCAGCAAGATGGCAAAATAGGAGGTCACCCACTCATACCCTCAACAACAACAATAATTCCGCACTCATCCACAAAGGTCTCCTTGTGGGAGTCCTTGGAATCAGGTAGATTGTGAAACTCTGGTAGAGCCCAAGACCTGGGACAGTTGTCTTGAGAGTACAGATCTGCACCCCTGTTTCTGATCCTCCAGTCACGCTTTCAGGTTCCAATTCAGAAACAGCCTTGCCCCTCAAGAGCTTGGCTACAGCCCTGCTTGGCCTTGACCCTATAACCAAAATCATCTGTCAAGTGGTCTTGGAGGAAGCACACACACACTAGTATTTCTGCAGAGAGGCTCTTCTGCCTCCCAGAGTGGTGTTAGCAGTGGACCTGAGGGTTACCCTGTAATGTGGCTCCAGCCTCCCTCAGCTGTGGTCCCAGAATCATGCTACTCACAAAGGATCCAGAGGGAGATGTGCCTGTCTGAGCTACTGGGCTAGGCTTGCTGACCTCTGTCCCACAGCAAATCCTGAAGGGACCCTGTCTTGGCTCTAGATCCTTTCTGCCATAGCCCAGGAGTAATTTTACCCATGCATGCACCTGTTTGAGCCACCAGGACAGGATTTCTGGCCTCTGCTCCACAACAGCTCCTAAAGAGGCCCTGTCTCAGTTTCAGCTCCTCATTGCTATGGCCAGCAAACTACACAACCTGTGCAGAGAACTGCTGGGAGACACACTCATCTGAGTCATCAAGACAGTCTTGCCAGCCTCCATCCCACAACACATCCCAAGGTGGCCTTGTCTCAGTTTCAGCCCCTCCCAGCTGTGGTCTGGTAGCAATCCTATGCAGTGAGAGTCCTACTGGGAGGCATGCCCATCTGAGTCCTGTGGTAAGCTTGTCAACCTTTGTCCCTCAGTTGATCCTCAAACAGCCCTTGATCCTGCCCTCTCTCATCTGTAAACTGAGAGCAGTACTGCTTGCCTGGAGACTTGGAGGGAGGGACACTCAGTAGTGGTTCTGCAGGCTGATGCCCTGACTTGAATCACGTTGTGACTCTTGGAACTGCCCTAAAAATTGGCTCCAACTCTCCTTAACAACAGTCTGAAAGCAAGCCTGCTCACACAGGAACCCACTGGGAGACACATCTGTGTGTGACCTGAAGTCAAGTCTAAAGATCTCAGTCTCAGGTGTGTACCTGAAACAACTCTGTATCTTAGTTCCAGCCCATGGCAGTTATGGACTTGAGTAAAATGGCCAGCCCAGGAACCCATCCAATGATTCAACAGGATCCTCCCAAAGATCCAGAGGAAGCCAGTTCCTCAGGGCCCCTAATAAGCACCTCATTTTCAGAGACTCTTGAAGCAGTCACTCACCCCTTTGCCAGCCTCTTATGAGATTTCAACCTGGGTCATGTCAGCCATGGTGGCCTTAGGCTTAGGGCGTTTTCTAGTTCTGCAACTGTGGTAGCAGCCATGGGATTACAGACCACAACAGTCTACTCGGAATTCCTGGACAGGCTTACTGTAGAAGAACAGTCATAGCCAAAGTCATGCTGCACAGACTGGAATAAACACTTACATCTAATCTACAGATGTTAATAAATAAACACAAGAATAAAGAACAATTAGAGAACCATAATGTCATCAAACAGGCAAAAATTAGGTGCCAGTGACAGATCCTAAAGACATGGAGACGTATAATCTACAGGACAAATAATTTAAAATAGCTATTTCAAGAAAGCTCAGCAAACTTTAATAAAATACAGCTAAATATGCTAAAACTCATAAATTTAGCAGACAAATTTAACAAATACATTGAAATAATTTTTTGAAATTAATCAGATATTCTGGAGCTAAAAAATACAATGAAAGAAATGAAAAATGCAATAGAGAGCATAAACAGCAGACCAGAACAAGCAAAAGAAAGACTCAGTGAGCTTGAAGATAGACTATTTGAAAATATATATTAGTAAGAGGGAAAAAAAGAAAAAAATAGAAAGAAATAAAGAAAGCTTGTGGGATTTGTGGGACAACATCAAAAGGCAAGTTTTGAGGTCTTTGGAGTTCAGAGGGGAGTAGAGAAAGACAAAGGAGTAAAAAGTTTATTTAAATAAAGTTTATTTAAATAAATACAGGCAGAAGACTCTCTAAGCTTGGAGAAAGATACAGGAAGGTCAAAAGCCACCAAACAGATGTAATCCAAGGCTACATTATAATCAAACTGTCAAAAGTTAAAGGCAAAAAAAAAAAAAAAATTCTGAAAGCAGTGGCAGAAAAGAAACCAATAACATAAGAGAGTCCCAATATACCTATCATCAGACTTATCAGAGAAACATCCAGCCCAGAAGGAAGTAAGCTGATATATTAAAAGTACTGAAAGAAAACCAAAAAGAAATATACCTGTCAGCTAAAAAATACTATATCTAGCAAACCAAAACTATCATCCAGAATCAAAGGATATGAAGACTCTCCCAAACAAAGAAAAGCTGAGGGAATTTATCACTACCAGACGTGTTTTACAAGAAATTTTACAGGGAGTTCTTCAAGATAAAAGAAAATTATACTAATAAGTAACATGAAAATATCTAAAGATATAAAACTCACAGTAAAAGTAAGTATACAGTCTACTAAGAATATTCTAATACTGGGATTGGATTGTGTAAAAAAATATATCTTTAGTATGAACACTAAAAGACAAAACTTTTTTAAAACAGTGATAACTACAACAATTTGTTAAAGAATATGCAATATAAAAAGTTGTAAATTATGACATCAAAAATTCAAAATAAGTGTGTGAGGTAAGCACAAAGTTTTTTTAAATGTAATCAAAGTGAAATTGTTATAAGTTTAAAATAATTTGTTATAACTAGAAGATTTTTTGTAAGCCTCATAGTAATCACAAATTAAAAACTTATAAGAGATACTAAAAACAAAAAGCAAAGAAACAAAATATACAACTAGAGAAAATCACTTAACCACAAAGGAAGACAGTAAGGACAAAGAAAAGAAAAAAGGATCTACAAGACTAGAAAGCAATAAAAAAATAACAGTAGTAAGTCCTTACCTATCAATAATGACTTTGAATATAAATGAATTAAATTCTTCAATTAAAATATATAAAGTGACTGAATTGATGTTTTTAAGACTCAACTATAGGCTACCCGCAGGAGACTCACTTCAACTAGAGGGATATATATCTTCAAAGTGAAGGGATGGAAAAAGATATTTCATGCAAATGGAAATGAAAAGACAGCAGGAGTAGCTATACTTATATCAGATAAAATAGACTTTAAGTTAAAAACTAAAAAAATAAAGAACAGCATTATATAATGATGGAGTCAATTCAGATAGATGATATAACAATTGTAAATATATGTACACTCAACCTCAAAGCACCTAAATTTATAAAAGAAGTAATAAAATAGATCTAAAGGGAGAGATAGAATAAAATACAATAATAGTTGGGGACTTCAGCACCCCACTTAAAGCAATGGCAGACAATCCGGACAGAAAACTATAACACAAACATCGGATTCAAATTGCACTCTATGCTGGGTGTGGTGGCTTATGCCTGTAAGCGCAGCACACTGGGAGCCCAAGGAAGGCGGATCACCTGAGGCCAGGAGTTCGAGATCAGCCTGACCAACATGGTGAAAACCCATCTCTACTAAAAATACAAAACTTAGCCAGGCATGGTGTCACTTACCCATAATCCCATCTACATGGGAGGCTGAGGCAGGAGAATCACTTTAACCCAAGAGGCAGAGATTGCAGTGAGCTGAGATTGTGCCGTTGCACTCCAGCCTGGACAACAAGAGCAAAACTCTATCTCAAATAAATAAAAAAACAAATAAATATCACTCTACATGAAATGAACCTTACAGACATTTATAGAACATTCTATCCGATAGCTGCAAGATTCACATTTTTCTTAACTGCACAAGGAACATTCTCCAAGGTAAATTATATGTTACACCACAAAATAAGTCTTAACAAACTTAAGAAGATTGAAATTATATCACATAACTTTTCTGACCACAATAATATAAAACTAGAACTCAAAAACAAGACAAACTTTAGAAACTTCACAAATGCTTGGAAATTAAACAGTATGCTTCTGAACAATTAATGGGTCATTGAAGACGTACATAAAAATAAATTATCAAGACAAATAAAAATGGAGAAACAAAATACACAAATCTGTAAGATTTAGCAAAAAGAGTTTTAAAATAAGTTTATAGCAATAAACACACACCTACACCAAAAAGGTAGAAAGATCTAATATTGCACCTCAAGGAACTAGAAAAACAAACACAAAAAACCCCTAAGCCCAAAATTAGTAAAATTAAAGAAATAATAAAGATTAGAGCAAAAAAAAAGAGACTAAAAAACTGTACAAAATATCAATGTAATAAAGAATTTATGTTAAAAAGATAAACAAAATTGACAAATTTGTAGCTAGAATAAGAAAAAAAAACTCAAATAAATAAAATCAGAAATAAAAAAGAGACCTTACAACTAATATCGCAGAAAGACAAGGGATCATAGGAGACTGTTCTGAACAACTGTACACCAACAAATTGGAGCCTAGAAAAAAATGGGTAAGTTTCTGGACACATAAACCCACTGAGATCGAATTATGAAAAAATAGAAAATCTGAATAGACTAATAATGAGCAAGGAGAATTAATTTTTAGTTAAAAAGCCTTTTGGGACCTAATTAAACCAAAGGACTTCTGCACAGCAAGATAGACTATCAATATAATAAAGAGACAACAGACTGAATTGTAGAAAACATTTGCAAACTACATTCAACAAAGGTCTAACATCTAGACTCTATAGGAAACTTAATAAGAAAAAAACAGATAAACACATTAAAAATTGGACAAAAGGCATGAAGAGACACTTTTCAAAAGAAGACATACGAGTGGCTAGCAAACATGAAAAAATGCTCAGCATCATTAATAATCAGAGAAATGCAAATCAAAATGAATATGAATTTTCACACAAGTCAAAATGGCAATTATTAAAAAGTCAAAACAACAAATGCTGGTGAGGCTGCAGATAAAATGGTATAGTTATACAATGTAGGTGGAAATGTAAATTAATTCAGCCCCTGTGGAAAGCAGTTTGAAAATTTCTCAAGGAATTTAAAACAGAGCTACCATTTGACCCATTGACTGCACTACTGGGTATACACACAAAAGTAAATAAATAATTCTGTCAAAAAGACAAATGCACACTTGTGTTCACCATACCAAAGACATAAAATCAACCTATGTGCCCATCAGTGGCAGACTGGATAAAGAAAATGTGGTACATACACACCATGGAATACTACACGGCCATAAAAAAGAATGAAATCATGCCCTTTGTACTGTATTGAAAAGGTACCCAAATTGGATACCTTTTAGGAGGGAGTTAAATTGTCCCTATCTGCAGAGAAGATGATCTTATATATAGAAAATTCTTAACAACTCCAAAAAAACTGTTAGAACTAATAAACAAATTCAGTAAAGTTTCAGGATACAAAATCAGTATACAAAAATCAGTAGTGGCCAGACATGGTAGCTCATTCCTGTAATCCTAGCAGTTTGGGAGGCCAAGGTGGGTGAATCATCTGAGTCGGTGAGATGGAGACCAGACTGGCCAACATGGTGGAACACCATCTATATTAAAAATACAAAAAGTTAGCTGGGCATGGTGGCACACACCTGTAATCCTAGCTACTTGGGAGGCTGAGGTATGAGAATCGCTTGAACCCAGGAGGTGGAGGTTGCAGCAAGCTGAAATCATGCCACTGCACTCTAGCCTGGGCAATGAAGCAGACTATGTCTTAAAAGAAAAAAAAATCAGTAGTGTTTTTATATGTTCATAGCAAAATATGTAAAAACTAAAGAAAACAATACCATTTATACTAATTACAAAATATTAAATGCCTAAGAATAGATTTAACCAAAGAGGTGCATGATTTCCACAATAAAAACCATAAAACACTGATGAAAGAAATTGAAGAAGACACAAATAAATGAAAAAATGTCTCATGTTCATGGATTAGAAGAATTCATATTGTTAAAATGACCAAACTGCCCAAAGCAATTTACAGATTCAATGCAATCTCTGTCAAAATACCAATGACATTATTCACAGAAATAGAAAAAAAAGATTCTAAAATTTATATGAAACCATAAAAGACCCTGAATAGCCAAAACCATCTTGAACAAAAACAATAACAACAAAACAAAGCTAAAGGCACCACACTACCTGATTTCAAGACATACTATAAGGCTCTAGTAACCAAAGCAACGTGACACTGTCATAAAAAAAACAACATATAGGGCAAGGGGACAGAATAGAAAGCCCAGAAATAAATTCATGAATTTACAGTTGGCTGATTTTTGACAAGCCAAGGACACACACTGGGGAAAGAACAATATTTTTCAATAAATGAAGTTGGAAAAACTAGATATTCACATACAGAAGACTTAAATTTGACCCTGTTTCTCACCATATACAAAAATAAGCTCAAAATGAATTAAATACTTAAGACTCAAAACTATGAAAGTACTAAAAGAAAACAGAGGGAAAGTGCTTCATAACATTGGTATGGGCAACTTTTTTTGGGATAAGACATCAAAAGCACAGGCAACAAAAGCAGAAATGGACAAATGGAATTACATCGAATTAAAGAGCTTTTGCACAGCAAAGGAAACAATCAACAGAGTGGAAAGACAACCTACAGAATGTAAGAAAATATTTTTAAACATACATCTGACAAGGACTTAATATCCAAAATACAAACTCAATAGCAAGAAAACAAATAACCCTATTAAAAATGTGCAAAATAACTGAATAGATTTTTTTCCCAAATAACACATAAAAATGGCCAAAATATATATGAAAAATGTTCGACATGACTAATCATCTGGAAAATGCAAATGGAAATTGCAATGAAATATCACTTCACACCTGTTAGAATCACTGTTTTCAAAAAGACAAAATATAATGAGTGTCACTGAGGATGTGGAGAGAGGAGAACACTCACTCACTGCGGATGGAAATGTAAATTAGTACAGCCATTATGAAAAATAGTATGGAGGTTTCTTAAAATACTAAAAAGTAAAACTACCATATGCTTAGCAATTACACTGTTGAGTATATGTCCAGAGGAAATGGAATCAGGATGTCAAAGAGATATCTAGATTCTATGTTTATTGCAGTTTATTCACAATAGCCAAGACATAAACTCAACCTACGCATCCATCAACAAACAAATGAATGGGCCAGGAATGGTGGCTCCCAATGCTTTGGGAGGCTGAGGAAAAAGAATTGCATGAGCCCAGGAGCTTGAGATCAATCTGGGAAATATGGGAGACCCTGTTTCTACAAAAAAAAGAAAAAAAAATTAAAAATTAGCCAGGTGTGGTGACATGCAGATGTGGTCCCAGCTACTCAGCAGTCTAAAGTGGAAGGATCACCTGAGCTTGGGAGGTCCAGACCAGTCTGAGCAACATAGTGAGACCCCGTTTCATAACAAACAAACAAATGAATGGATAAAAAGATTGTGATTTATACACACTATTAAATACTAATCACCCATTAAAAAAAATCCCGTCATTTGCAGCAATATGAATAAGCCTGGAAGTCATTATGTTAAATAAAATCATCCAAACACAGAAAGACAAATACCTCATGACCTGTAGAATCTAAAAAAGCTGATCTCATAGAATGACAGAGTACAACAATGTTGCCAGAGGCTAGGGTGGTTAAGAGGAGTAGTAATGGGAAGATTTTGGTCAAAGAATATGTAATTAATTACAGGTAGATAGGAGAAATAAACATTTCCAGAATAGACAAAATATATAGAAACAGAAAGTAGACACCTGGCAGGTGGTGTCCATGTATGGTGATGGCTGGGTGGGCAGCTCACCTCTTTTAAAGGAGCCATCACTATTCAGAACCAGCATCTAACACCATGTGGGACCGGGTGGCCAGGGTGCTGGTTTCCTGATTCAACTATTAACCAAAAATGTGAACCAGAGAAACCATGTTCTCAAAACAAATTTATCTTGCGGACTACCAGTGTGAAATCTTTACTTTGAGATTTTTCAAGGAAAGAGCTTGGGGATTGGATTTTCATTTTAAAAAGATCACTTTGGATACAGCAAAAGAATGGAACACATCTAGGGACCCAAAAATCAAAGGGAGAGTCAAGTGATATGATGCTGATTGGATCAGGGGAGGGCAGGGCTGCAGAAAAGCACAGGTGTAAGGGGAGCCTGGGAGAGGAAATGACTCAGGCCAGTAGCCTTGAGTGTGGGGGTGGGGAAGGGAGGTGTCCAGGGTGGGTCCCAGGATGGGGGCTCCTGCCTCCCATTGAGAGACAGATCTGCAGCAGAAGACCTGATTGGAGGGAGAGGATCATGGGGACCATCTTGGGTATTCTGAGTCTTGGCTGACTTTCAGACATGCCCGTGGGCTTGCCAAGAGGCCATGGCCCTTCTGGGCATGGCCTCAGGATGCTGAGGAGGTGCTTGGTGGCATTGCTTGATTCCACTGGAGCCACAAGCTACTGTGGAGCCCAGCGGGGAGGTGGGCTGACTCCCAGAGGGACTGTCCCAAGCACCAAGGCTATCTGCAGTTTGACTAGAACCAGTTGGATCACGCTGCTGGTCCCAGGCAGACCCCACTGCTATATAGCTCACCAAGGGAAGACCCCCAAGGGGCCCACAGTAGGTAGAGTGGCCCTTAGGGGTAACTGGGGTTCATGGTAATGTCTCCAAGTTTCTACAGCAGCGTCAGGCTGTGGGAGCCTGCACTGCGGGCCCTTGCAGAAGTTCACCTGTGTTTGTTAGACAGCATGTGAAGTTTAGGCCAGAGTGAGTGCAGGGAGAGAACTTAAAGGGAGCCAAAACAGTCTCTGAGACCCTAAAGATGAGGCAGCTGACACCAACTCCACAGAACAGGCTCCCCTCCATTTCTACCCTGAAACAGCCCCTCTTTCTCCCTCTTTTCTTTTTTCCTCCTCTCTGCTTTTTATCTGACTATTATATTTAATTTTTTACTTGCTGAAGAGATGTACTAATTACCTGGGAAACACATTTTAGTTTTGTGATAACATCCTAGTCCTGCACAGCTCCCTAAGCTCCAGGTCCCCAGGCTCCTGGTGTAGGGTTAAACCATGGTGCATCTCACAACGGCTGCTGTTGCTCACGTGCTCTCAGTGCAGGGCCTGTCCTGTATAAATCTCTGTTGCATCAGTGACTCAAGTATGTAAAGCTTCAGATTTCCTCCAATGCACGAGTAGCCACACAGCTGTGCCAGGCAGGGGTGCTCCACAGAGAAATGAAAACAGTGGGCTAGGAGTGTCCCCAACCAACATGTCTCTACCGGAACAAGATGCCTTCTCAATGGAGTGGACTTATGTTTTCCTTAAAGTGATTGCTCTATATCTTTTGCTCTATTGTGGTGACTGAAGATTTTCAGACATTTGAATAGGCCCTTCCCATTTTCTACCTGAATTGTTTCCTGATAGTTTGTCACCTGTGTCTCCAGTTCCCCCATGTCTGCATTAAATGCTTCATCAGGAGAAGCAGCTCCAGGGTGTAGCATCTGAGCCTCGTCTCCTATCCGTGAGGATCCCAGGAGAAGATAATAAATCATGCCCTTATGCTACAAAGAAATCAATATTTTAAAATTCCTTTGGTCAGCTTTTCATGGGATTTTAAAACTCCATGGTGCCAAAATGCTGATGATGTCATCAATAATATGAAATACTCTGACCAGTCTTTCTTTGGGATGCCCCCAGCCTCCTGGCATCAGAGGCAGGGAGGCCGACTTCAACTCCATTACAGGGCACACAAGGTGCCTCTTCTCATCATCATGAAGGAAATCTGCTCACCGAAGAATACATCAAAACCTTCCCTGAGCATAAATGCAAGGGAAGCCTTAGAGAAAGCCTTAGACTGTGCACAAATAGATTGAAGATTCGATCTGGAAAATAATATTCTCAAAGACAACCAAGGCAGGTTGGAGGAAAAGCCAACCAAGACATTGCCTCCTCCATCTCCTGTCCACCTAACCAGGCTTCATTCCTGCATCATCCTTCCCTCCCTTCTGTCCTCACCTGATCACCTGCTCCTGCTCCACAGCTTCCGTGGGGTGCCCTGCACCCCCCTCTCATCTTTACTTCCTCCCTCTCACAGTCGGTCTTCCTCGTCTCCAAACATTCCCTATCTTGGAAGGATATTTCCTTAACACCAAAAGTCTTCTCTCTGTTCCATTGTTTATGGAACCCCTCTGTGTCTCCTGCCCTCTATCCTGTTTTGCTGCAGCGACATCCCAGAATCCTGGTCCTCAAGCAGGGCATACATCTGGCTCCCCTGGAAGGCTTTGTCTGCACAGACTGTGAACAAGACACCCCCGGAGTATCTTGTTCACTGGCTCTTTTGTGAGTCCCCTAGGAATTTGCATTTCCACCGAATTCCCAGGTAACTGTGATGCTGCTGGTGTGGCGACCCCACATAGAGAACTAGCACTCTGAAAAGCCCTTAATGATCAACTCAGAGGACTTTCTGGACCACGCTCTCCGAGCCTCTGCAGTGTGAGACACTGTTGACCAGTCTCCTTAAACCAACAACCAGAGTGGATTTCTCGCAACCTCACTCTGGCCTGATGCCGTCTGCTATCTCACTCTCACCCCACTCCTCAGCATAGAAATACCCTAGAAAATTCAGTTTCCCCCCTTAGACTTCTCTTAGGGCTTCCATTTGGAGAAAGTAGTACACTCTTGCACGTGGTCATTTAAGAAATAATTTCAGCCTTGATTCAAGTCTCTCTCCCTAATTCCAGCATGAAAATATTTGTCGTTTTTGCTAGTTCCACATTTGAGTATTCCGCCACAGAGTTCATTGAATGCACCATGATCATCTCTCTCTCGTTTACCGCAGTCTTCCCATCTCCTAGTAGGAGTGGCTGCGTAGGTAAGAGGAGCTTTCATACTGTGTTTACCCATATTTTCTTTCCTGGGAGCTCTCAAAATCCAAACCCCCACTGCAATAATTGCATCTGTAGCAAAGACTGTGCTTGAGACTGATAGCATGGCTAAGTGTTTGACAAATTTCCACCTATCTTCCAATAAGGCACTATCCCATTTTCCAATAAAGCTGATGAAACCTGATAAAAAAACGTTAGAGGAATCAAAGGCCCCCAGGCTAACTGGTATCATATCTCATGAAATTCCACATTCAGCATCGTCTATATTGGAAATATTAAAAAATTCATATATAGTGAAATGATAGATACTTATGTCACTATTTTAAAAAGTTATGCTGATAGAGCGCTCCCTTGCCCCTCACTAAGCAGGCGCTTCTCTGAGTAGATGAAGATGGCAATATTGACCCACAGTCCTGCGGAAGGCGTGTTCTGAGCTGTGACGAATTTGCCCTGAACCATCTACACCCCTCTGTCTGATCAGGAGCCCTCCCTGGGCTTGCAGAGGATGCAGCCAAGAACCTTCATGCTAGGAAGGACCCCAGAGGTGACAGTTGGAAGTGAAGCTGCAGAAGGCCAAGTTCTGAAACCACACGTCAGGGGTGTCTGGGCAGTGGGCATGGGCACTGGTGTCCCTACTCCAGGCCCAGTGCCCTCCCCTTTGCCACTGTGTTCAGCTACATATTTTCCAGCTGGTTCCACTTGTCTCTTACCACCTACAGTTGTGGGACAGGTTTGGAAGGGGCTTTGAGCCCCTTCTGCAAAGCCCTCGCAGGCATTGACCTGAGTCAATACCACTAGGAAAAGAGAACTTATGATGTCACTGTGCGCCCTGCAATGAGGCGTGCTCCTCCTCTGCCCACCTGCTGTGAACACAGGGAGACACACACATTTGTGGGGCCCAGGCTGCAGGCATGGGAGAGGAGAGGGGCCAGCCTTGTGCAAATACAGTGAGCCCTGGAAAGAGAGCAAGAGGTCTCCATGAATGGCTCCTGTCATCACACGGTGGTGGGGAGTGAGCAAGAAGGGCCAGAAATGAGAAGGGGGCCCCCTCCCTTTCCTTTGAGGTCCCCCTCAAACCACTGCACAGGCTGCTGTGCACAGCACAGCCTGACCTAAGGACTGGAGACTGGGGATCATCCTGATGAGGGGGCTACTTCTTGGTCATCCTCCAGGTCTTCAGGGGCCCCACTACCCCCACCATCCATAGTACAGTTCCGTCTCTTCATGCAGGGCTGGGCTGCCATGGGCCCTCTCCTGAGCTCTTCTCCTCCCAGGGCCAGGAGCGGCCTCTGGAGATGCCCACATCACAGTCTCTTTGGATCCTGCTTTGGGGAGGCCCCTGCGTGACTCTCATTTAGCGGTCCTCTCCCCTCTGGCATGGGATGCACATGCTTACTTGTGTGGTTATTAATTTTCTCTCCCCGACCCACCCACTAGAATGCAGCCTCCTTGAGGGCAGCCCCTCAATCAATGTTTCAGGGCTGAATTCATGGGCCCAGCCTCCCCTGCAATTCACGGGGCTGAACTTTCCAGCATCCAATGGCTCTGGCTGCCCAGGACCCCCTTCCCCTGAGTGCCTGCCTTCCTCTCATTCTTTAGGTCTCTGCTTATGTGTCACCTCTTCCAAAAGGCTATCCCTGACCACTTCTCACTCTCTGTAGCATGAATTCTGCGTGGTTCATTTATCCTCCGAGTCATCATTTAGAATATACACTTAATCAGGGCAGGAGCCATGTCTACAAACAATAGAAACATGTATGTATACATTCCTCACTCTCAAAGGAACATTACACATGGCCTTAGCCCAGGGCAGGACACAGATCAATGCTTGCTGATGGAATGAAGGACATGAAGACAGACGTGTGAGCAGAATGGTGTGGCACTCAGAGCCCACACGGGAACGTGGTCAAGGGATGTAAGATGGCCTCCCCTGGAAAGAGAAACCTTTGGGGCCACTGTGGTGGGAATAGACCCTATGGCAGATGCCATGAGAAGGCCACAGTCTTACTCTGTTACCCAGGCTGGAGTACAGTGGTGCAATCTCAGCACACTGCAACCTCTGCCTCCCAGGTTCAAGTGATTATCCCACCTCAGCCTCCCAAGTAGCTGGGAGTACAGGCGTGAGCCACCACAGCCGGCTAAATTTTGTATTTTTAGTAGAGACGAGGTTTTGACGAGGATCAGCCAGGCTGATCTTGAACTCCTGACCTCAAGTGATCCGCCCACCTTGGCCTCCCAAAGTGCTGGGATTACAGGCTGAGCCACCGTGCCTGGCCTGTTTTCATTCTTGTGCTAAGTCTGGAGGTGTTGAGTCTTAATGACCTTTTTCAACCTCAGAGTCTCGTCAGAACACCGCTCCTCGTGAATAGTGTAGAATGAATTCATTCCCTCAAGAACCATGTCCATCACATGCACTGAGCACCATTCTAAATACTAGAAACTGAAAAATAAATTTAAATAAACGGATTGCAGGTGGAGATGTATTTGTTTCTTATTTCTACTGTAACAAAGGACCACTAAGTTAGCAGCTTAAACAACACAGACTTGGGACCTTACAGCTCTGGAGGCAGAAGTCTGAAGTGGGTCTCACTGGGCTGAAGTCCAGGCATCAGCAGGGCTGCCTCCCTTCTGGAAGGGCCAGAGGAAAACCCATTTCCCCACCTCTTCCAGCTTCCAGAGGCCACAAGCATTCCTTGGCTTGTGGCTCCTTCCTCCGTCTTCACAAACAGCAGTGTGGCATCTTCTACTCTCTCCCCAACCCTCTCTTCTGTCCCTGTCTTCCTTATAACAGCCTGGTGATTGCACTGAGTCTGTCCAGGTCATGCAGCAGGATCACACAGGAGGATCTGCCACCTCGAGGCCAGTTCCTCCGTGACCTGCATTCCAATGAGAGCCTCGGCTCCCTTGGGTATGTAGTCTACATGCTCACAGGTTCTGGGGTTACGATGTGGACATATTTGGGAGGCCATAATTCTGCTACCCTAAGAGAAGCGTGGAGAGTGGGCTCCTAGAAACAACTCAGACACAGTGGGTATTTAGGGAGGAAGGAACCACCTCCCCGAGACCATATCTGTGGCTGTAGTTGGAGGATCCCAGCTACAGACACCACCGCCCCTTAACTCTAAGAAGCATTGTCCTTTATTTTCCGTTTATTAACTTTCAAGGGAATCCCACAGACATTCTGGACTTGAAAGCAGAATTTATTTCCTGAATTAACCTATATTCTTCTGAGATAAATTATATTTTGTTGTCCAGATATTTCTCACCTGTGGCTATCAGCAATCACCTTGCCCCACATAATATTGAGGGCAAATTTAATTGGTGGTGCATTATGTAATGCTTTGAGGTTAATATTGGGGTACAAGTGAAGCTGGATGATGTCAGTCCCCATTGCTCCATATTAGTAGTGGCTGCTATTTTGCCCTCTCACTGTACCTGCTGTCCACTCGGAAATCAGCACCACAGCACTGTCCCCAAACAGCCCCTGCCTGGAACAGGGCTGAGTTCTCAGATGACATACAAATCCATGATCTCATCAGAGTATTAGAGGTGAAGCTCTGAACTCCTGCTTGCCACGGGCAGTAGGAAACCAGGTCTGGCTGCTCTAAGCATTGATTCTCTAAAGCTTCCTTGTTTGAGTGACTGTTTCTATTTTAGAGACGCAGGTGCTGAGCTCTGCCGCAGAACAGGCAGTGTTTCCATTCCAAATAAACTGAACACATCCTTCTCTAGGGGTTGCAAGCTTCATGATGACCAGCAAATGTGATATCCTGGGAGACTTTATGAGCGGCTGTGGGTAAATGTGATCTATCCTCTGCTCCTTGTGTATGTAAAAGGGGTCTATCTTCTGCTCCTTGTGTATGTAAAAGGGGTCTATCCTCTGCTCCTTGTGTATGTAAAAGGGGATTATCTTCTGCTCCTTGGCTGTGAATCTGGGAAAATACATTTCTATACATGCTTCAACATTGGATTTTTGAACTAGGACTTTCTGAAATTAGAATAATCTAAGACACATTTCTGTGCTTGTTCTTTAGTTTGAGGTAATACTAAGGTACAAATAACAGCACTGCTAACTACTTACATTTCATCAAGTAAAAGTAAAATAAAGACATAAGTCACTGATTACAAATATGTCGGAAAACAGTAGGCATAATTCAAGAGATACAGTGAAAGCTTGGAAGATTGTTTTAATTTTCTGAAAGCTGCATATAATCCTTGGGTCAATTTTTAACAAATTTGTATTTAATCTCAACAAATTATTACCTATATTGTTATTAACATATTAAATGATATATTGAATATATTATTATGTTATAATATTATTTATAGTATATATACATATAAATTTATTTTTAATATAAAATTATATTTATATATTATTATATAATATAAATAACATATTAAATATATTATTTAATTACATTAATATTATACAGGTTGAGCATCCCTAATCCAAAAATCAGAAATCTGAGATGCTCCAAAATTCAAAACTGAAGTGTAAAATTTCACCCTCGACCTCATGTAATAGGTTTCACAAAATTATTAAACATAATGCATAAAATTACCTTCAGGATCTGTGTATAGAGTATATATAAAACATAAATGAATTTTGTCTTTAGACTTGGGTTTCATCCCCAAGAGATCTTATTATGTATATATGACTATTCCAAAACCTGAAAAAAATGAGAAATCGGAAACACTTCTGGTTCCAAGCATTTTGGATAAGGAATACTTAACCTGTATGATTATATTTAATAGTACGTTAAGTTAGATTATTAGTTATATTAAGTTATTAAGTACTCTGTATATCCATATCCCTGATCTGTGGGTATATAAGATATTGTGCCAGACAGTACAGAATTAATATTAAATAGCTAGAGACCCATGTCTGTATATCATATCTATGTATGAAGAGAGATTGTAATATGTAGACAGATGAAAGCTACTGGCATGGATGGATGTGATGCAGACACTTGCCTCGGGAGTACGGAGTCTAATATGAGAGCTGAGATAGAACCAAAACAGCCAGTGCCAGGAAGCATGGAGTCCTGGGATAATAGGGGTGCAGGCCTTGCAGAGGGCAGGTGCCCCCGGAGTTACCTGTGAGCTGGGCCTTTTAGGCTGGGCCCACCCAGGAAGTAGCAATGGATGGGGAAGATGTTTTCAGGTGGGAGGAATACCACACAACAGGAAATAAAGGAGGCAAGACCCCGTCATTTTTCAGCAAAGGAACAGAGGAGATGACTTAGTCTCAAGAAACCATTTCTGGTGTGGAAGCACCGTCTTAAATGTGGTGTATGACTGCCTAGCGCAGCTGAAAACATGATTTCACTGTCTATCCCAGGCTGCCTGTTGCATACATGGTGAGGCTTATATATTTGGTGTCGACCTGTCCTGACACATACACACCGCCACAAGTAGGAAGGCTGTTAGTCTTTCTAAACTCACGGCAGCACACTTTTCTACGTTTTGAAAAGCCCCACTCTAACTATGGTCTTCTGTCTTCCCAACCAGTGCTGTTGGTGTCCGCGCTGCTGCCGTCCCGGGCTGTCCATTGTTGAAGCTGAATGAATCTGTGCCCTTAACTTCCCCAAACACATCAGCAAATCATGTGAGCATCAGATGGGAGCACCTCAGTGATAAGATAATGGCCCCCACAAAGAAGGCAGCAGGCGTCCTGAGATGTCCAACGTGTCCTTTCTGTTGGTCCACACTTGAGCTACTTAAGGCTACCAGCACATGTCCTGGCAAAACCTTTGTAGTTTTCTCCTATAAACTAAGCATAAATTTCGTGGGAGATGACAGATTACTTCATATACCATGCAAGCAAGCCCAGACAATAGCTTTAGCCATGACTGATTGCCTCGCTGTAACCCACTTTGTGTTAAATGCATTCTTGCTGTTCAATTCCACCACTGTAATTTTGTTCTTCTGCATTCCCCGGCCCTCTGCGGACTAACCAGGTTCCTTCAGTAATGATTTCTTTTCTATTGTATTGTTTTCTGCATAATCAAGTTGGTAGGTGGGGGTTTGGGTGACACGGCCATCTGTCAAGTTCATTTGCTCTGAAAATGCAAGAAATAATGGCCTCTACAACTTGGGGCTATCCGTTATAAAAGAAGAATATCAGCTTTTACCCTGTGCTCTTTTCTCATCTCTCCAAATTATTTCTCCCCTTTCAATAAGATGCACATACACTCTCTCCTACATGATGGGTTGTTTACATATTTGGGTTCTTTTTAAGGGGAAAAACATATTTATTCCTATCACTTGTCCACCCTGTATTGCAATTTATGCAGGCAATCCAATTAAGGAGACGCAGCTAACATCCAGACTAATGTGCCTGTCTAGGGACTAAAGACGCTGCCAGTGCCTGAACCACTCAGGAGTTCCTTCCTATCAGGGCTCCTCTGACAGGGCTGCTCCACTCCTTGAAGTCTGCATAATGTGGAGAGTTAGGGAGAGGGGGGTGCCACCGAGGACAGAGAAAGTCGCTATTCACTTCTCAAAAATAAAAGGCTGCTAAACTCGTAGTTTATCAAATTTACTGAAGTCACACAATGGTACCTTTCTCAGACTGGAAGAGGTGAGCCATGCCAAGCAGAAAGGATGTTTTCTGCGATTCCAAAGTTTTTCCCGTTTGAAGGAAGTAGAATGACTTACGGAAAAGTATTCATGAGTTTGGTTTGTTTTTGTTTTTGTTTTTTTCCTAAAAAGGGATGATGTGGATAAGATTAAAAGCTGATAATGGATGCAGAAACTTCTCTGAGATCGTGAATCCTACTGAATTGACATATGATGCTTAAAGGTTCTTTTCAGTAATAGGGATGCGTTTAATATGCACTGTAGCCATAGTGCTGCCGTGGGAATTATCTCCGGAGCTGTGCAGGGCTGATTAGTGCTCAGCTCTTTCCAAGTTGTTCCTTCCCTTGAATGTATGGATACAGTCGATGTCACCACTCTGAAGATGAGCAAGTATGGTCACTTTCTCAGTGTTGAGAAGAAAGTCTAAAATGGTCCTCCCACATGGTGGGAGGACTTTGGCCAATGCCTCTGCCATGCTCCCACCTGGGAACATGAACTGCATGGGAAGACTGTCTTGAGGAGTGGCTTTGTAGGTGTCCTCAAGGAGAACCCAGCTCCACAGATGGCACATCTACCCATGCATCTCTGGCTCTAGCTCCATCATCTTCCTCTGTCATCTATCAAGAGATTTTCTATAAAAATTGCCTTCTGTGATGTGGAGCCTGGCAAGTCCCTTGGTGGCCTGAAACTGGGCAGCTGGAGGAGGCACAGGGAGCTGCTGGAGGAAGCCCCAGTGTGCATTCAAGTCTGAAGGCAGGAGACCAATGGCTCAGCTCAAAGACAATCAGGAAGAGAGAAAAAATTCTTTCCTGTCCAGCTTTTTATTCTATTCAGCTCTTCAGTGGATTGAATGAGGTCCACCCACACCAGGGAGGGAAACAGCTTCCCTCGGTCTATGGATTCAAATGTTAATCTCATCCAGAAGTATCCCCACAGATATTGTGCCTAACCATGAATCCTGGCGTCAGGGGCCCTGTCAGGGTGACACATAAAATTATCCCCCCAGATGACACTGCCTTGGTTCGTCTTCACAGGGAACTCCAGGGAGACCCTCTGCACTCTTAGAGTATGTGTGTGGGGGACTCCAAGTGACATGAGCAGATTGCTTCAGAACCCGCCTTTTCCAAATAATTGCTGCCGAGAACAGGAAAGGAGGAAAGAGTGAGGAAAGACCCTGTACTTACCAAGAAGAGCTACAGAGATGCAGCCCTTCTTGGAGAGGAGTGTAGAGCTGCAGAGATGCAGCCCTGGTTCGTGGAGCCAGGTTTTCCAGCTCTTCCTCAATTGCTTAGAGAATGCACCTGGCAAAGACCTCTGCTGCTGTGAGCTAGGGGCAAGCCTCTCTTGCTTTTAAAGTACATCCTGCTTAAAATCCAAACTTCAGCCAGAAGCTGTATTACTCAGGAGACATTTTTGGCTAATCTTCAGTTCTTAAAGGGAACATGAAATGGTGCCTGAAGTGGATTTTGTAAAGTGTTTTCTACACCCTTGAATTAGTAATTGCTGCATTTTTATAGCCCTAATCCTGTAACAATTGAGCTACTCATTTTATTTTATTTTTTTCTCCAAAATTTGACATCACTCAGACAGTCTATTCTTAGCACTGGCTGTAGGAAAAAAATAGCTAAGAGGATGGAAGCAAGCCCTAAGTAATAGAATCATGATAAGGGTGCCATTTTTCAGTCCCAACACACATTGTGAGCTGTATACGTTAACCCAAAGTCTGCATTCAAAGTGGAATTATAACTGGGCAGTGAATGAGTTGCTCAGTCCATCTATTAACCATACTCTTTTAGGCTTTTTATTGCCTCTAATTGTTGTAATAATTAACATTTTCCCAGGAAGTTGTTTTACAGAAGAAGGGGCCTTAGCGGCTTTCAACTCTTTAGAGATAAGTTCAACTTTGTGGATTGACCACAGCACATCTTGTTTAGTAGTGAGCGGGAGCCATACGAATCCTCTAGAGACACAGCCGTGTCTGAGATGGACATTGCCAACACATCACCCTTGGTGAGCAGAGGGGCCCTTTGCAGGGGCGCAGGTTGTCTGTATAGAATATTCTTCCGCTCTCTCGTGGCCTGACACAGACTCTCTGTTGAGTTCCAAGAGATTTCTTTACTCAGGAAATTTCTCTTGTTAACAGTGAAATATTCACATAAAATAAGAAAGGGCAAAGCAAACACAGATGTTTTCCAATGTCTCCCAACCTGAAACATGCCTTAGATACTTTGCAAAGGGAAATAAAATCTCCAAATTGTATGTAGCCAAAACTCTTTGGCAGAGAATATTTGGTGGGCACCAATGGCATGGTGATTTTTGAGATGACTATCCAGCCTTCCCTCTCAGTGCTGACAGAATATATCCAATGGATGCATTTTCAAGCTGGATTCTCAGGCGTGTGTCCCCTTTTCTTGATGCCCTGTGCTCCTGACTCTTGATCTGCCTGTGTCTCCCTGTGATTGGCAGATACAGACCTGAGTCTAAGCAGCAAGACCTGCACAGTTGGACTTTGCACCCTCATTGTCATCCAGGAAGTGCTCAACTGAGATCATGATAAATTGGGGGAAAATTAAGGCCCATTAACTATCTCAGTCACCAAAGCCCCTCTCATTTCCTGCCCCCCGTCTCCATCTTATTCTCCCTTTTCCTCCACTTCGGTCTTTCTTGGGGGTTTTTCAGGCCCCTGTGGAAAGACGCTGTTTAGACTGTAGGTGTTAATTAATTACCTCGCACCATTTTGCTGCCAACTCCAAGCACTAATTGCTGCAAGTTTCTCTAAACGTAAGGTTTTCTTTGGCTTCCAGGAGTTTCTGAGTTCTCCTTTCATCCCCTGCCTTCTCTTTCTCTCTCCCAAGAGACTCTGAATTGCTTTTGAAAGGAGATCTGGGATGCACCCCGTGTCTGTCCCCAGGGCTAGAGAATCTACACGTTTGAGTAACTAGGAGTAGGCATGGGACACAGTGCATCTGCGACTTGGTACACTGCAGCCTCTGCAGCTCAGGGCCCCTGGGCCACACAACCCATCCATTTGCCCCCTGCAAAGGGCCCCCAGGTTTCTAGAGACCCGTGGATGCTCATCCTCAAAGCGCCTGTGGAAGACACTGCAGAAAGACCTGGGAGGATGAGGAGCACCTCAAGGTGGGGGCATCTGGCTGGATTCCAGGCCTAACACAGACTCAAAGTGAAAGGCAGGCTGAGTACATGGTTTAAGGATAACCGCCTAGAATCACCTCCAACCGGCTGTAACTACATCCATCCTGAAGAACATCCCGTCCCTCCAGCCCCACTCCAGTTTCCCTTTCTCTGTGCGTTCTGGCCATTCTTGATTGATCTTCAGCTTAGGGTCAGAAATTCATAATGCTGTGTAGAGTAATTTTGTTCTGTAATTTAGAAATAATTGAAAATAGGGCAGAACATCAGTGGACAGTTTTTCAGCATCCCCAGTGTGCCAGGTCTCTGCCTCCACCTTCCACCCTTCTCCCTGCCCCATGGAAGACACTGTCCTATGTAGGGAGCATTGAAAGGACAAGGGTAAACGTGTCCTCCCATGTATGGTGACATATGCCTTGTATGTGTGGACCTTACATATTGCTTGGTGTAGTATGCTGAACAGTGTCCCTCCCACTCCCTAATAAAAGATATGCCCCACAAGACCCTGTGACTGTGACCTTATTTGAGAAGAGTTTTGGCAGATGGAGTTAAGTGAAGGAAGTTGACCTTAGATCATCCACAAGGCATGGGTTCAGATCCTCGTATCTGGAGTGCTCCAAGGAGAACTTGGAAGGGCAGAGTGCAGCAGGACTTTCTGCGGGCAGGAGTTGAACATGGTCCAGCTGGTCCAGAGGCGGGCAGACCTCACGTGGAAGGGATGGTGATGGCTTCTGCTACCGTCAGTGAGCTGAAGGAGAGATCTGAGACACAGACATGGGGGGAAGGTCCCGTGCAGATGGAGGCAGAGATGGGGGTGATGCAGCCACAGCCAAGGAACATGCAGAACCACCAGGAGCTAAAGAGCCTAGAAAGTCCTCCTCGTGACCTTTCTGAAGGGCCAGGGCTTTGCTAGTGCCTTAACTTCCGATTCTGGCCTTCAGAACTGGGAGAGAATAAATTTTGTTGTTTTAAGCCACTTGATTGTTGGTAATTTGTTACAGCAACCCCAGAAAACTAATAGAGAACAGCAGGATCTCATAAACAGGGACCTGGTGGCCACTCCTAGCCTCATCCTTGCCATTATAAATATGGCAAATTTGTAAAGGTTAAAATCTTGTATGCAAAGAACAACTCACAGACCTATTGATAGCCTGATAATTTGCAGAGATGCCTCTAGATCTACCTGGCAAATCCAAGTCTTTTCCTAAATAATGATTCACTTTTGCCTGCAAGGGTCGTCTGGTCTCTCCCATCTTGTTCTTTGGAAAATAGCTGGCAGGGATCATCAGTGTGATTCCAGAAGTCCTCCTAGACTGCCGAGTTCCTCCTCGGTCCCTACTGAGTTCCTGCTTGCTCTGGGCCACACCCTGTGACACCTGCCCCCCTCCCTCAACCCACACACTCCCCACACTGCCTATGTCCCGCTCCGTCCCTGTATGCTGTTTTTGTGCGTGTGTCTGTGGAGTGTCCCTGAGTCCCCAGCCCTGGATGTTTATTCACTTGATGGGGCCATCCCTGCAGCACAGAGACCTCCACTCTGAAAGCCAGGGAGCTCTCTAGAAAAATGAAAATGTGCCTTAACAAGAAAAGCAAGCTGTGGAGACAGATATCCTCTGACAGAGGCATGCCCCCAGCATGTGTTCTGAAGGCATCACCCTGGGCAGCAGTCCCACCTCTGGAGTCCAGCCGGCACTGGCCTGTCCACTTCCTGCTTGTGGAAACCTGAGGCTGCCCCTGCTTGGTGGCCAGCTTGGTAGGTGGAGGGAACAACTGTAATTAAGTGCTGGTTTTCTGCTCCGTGAGGCTGTCATTTATTTATGGTGCTTGGCCAGGTTGGCCTGGACCAGTCTCACTAGCCAAGTTTGAGCAGAGACTTTTGTCTGACACATTAACAGGCTGATTCCCTGGACAGCAAGTGACATGCTGCCGCCCTGCTTTTCACACATGGGCCTCACTCTGGGATGCAGACCTGCAGGAAGAGAACAGCAGAGGGTGTGAAAGTAAAAGTCACTCTAAAGATTTCCACACCCCAAGGGCTATAGGGTATACTTCAGATCTGCAGGAAAATAATGCCGAGTTTTCTTTTAATAGGCAAAGACATTGACTTTCAATGAACAGCTATTAACTGGGGGAAGGCCATCTAGACACTTTTGCACAGGTCACTTTCAAACAGGGTCAACTTTCTTTACAAACCTGAAAGCTACATCATTGACCTTGAACTTTATGTGGTGTAACTTGGGGGAGCCTCATTGCATAATTGTTCTTCCAGTTGGTTTCTGGAGCAAAGCCTGGTGAAGACCAGATTCATTTGCCACCCAGAGCTGAGGCTTGGAAGCAAGACCCTGGGAGGAGCTTGCTGGACAGGGGGACCCAGGAACGCAAAGGTCCCATCAGATTCCCTTGGGAAAAAGAGAAGGCAACAGTATTTAGACTCATGGAAAATTAAACAGAAGGAAGAGGCTGGAGGGTTTTGGGAAACTTGGTCTGTTTTCAAGTTAGTCCAAGACTAGCCATGCTTATTTTTATTCCAATCCTGGGCAGCTTGGGGAGATGCCCCTTCACCGCCTGCTTGTGGCTGTGCTGGCATCTGGTGTCCAGGGTCTGTGAAGGAATCTGTGCAGGGAGATGCACATCACAACTCATAGTTTGGCCGGGCACAGGGGCTCACGCCCACATCCCAGCCACTCAGGAGGCCCAGGTGAGGGGATCACTTGAGCCCAGTTCAAGACGAGCCTGGGCAACAGAATGAGCCCTGTCTCTACAAATAAAATAAAGTTAGCCCACTGTGGTGGTATGCCTGTAGTCCCTGCTACTCAGGAGGCTGAGGCAGGAGGATCTCTTAAGCCCAGGAAGTGGAGGGTGCGGTGGGCTATGATTGCCCCACTGCACTCCAACCTGGGAGACAGAGTGACAGCCTTTAAAAAAAATCACAGTTGCCACTAACTGCATTTAGTGGAAATATAAAATTTAAGTAATTAAGCCAGTGGCTAATGGCTTTATGTTGGAATATATACTCAGAGTTGTTTACTTTTTGGTAGCTCCATATACATTTTCTATCTTAAAAGTCTGAAAGATGTTTGCTGGTAATTTCATCAGAAGAAAATATGAGTTTTTTATCCATATAGCTCTGGGTATCTCAGCTTGGCCTTCTGGCTTATGTCCCACTATTAAAGACCCACTATTTAAACCGGTAACCCTGAATGAATGCCAGGCTTGAGTTATCACTGAAAGGGTGCTTGTAAATGTGGACTGTGCCATCTCTATCGCGTCTGGGCCCCGCAGCCACATTTGACTCCATGGGTCTACAGTGGCCAGAGTCATATGCCGTGTGATCGCCTGCGAGGAAGTCAGATGAGGCCAACAGTGCTCTCACTCAGCAGTCCAAACATGTGCAAGGAAGGGCTCAACAGAAAGCCATAGAGAGCCTGGCAGGAGGAACTGTGTGTGTAGAGCTGTGTGTACAAGGTGTGTGCACATTGTGTGTGTGCAGGGCTGTGTCTGTGCAAAGTGTTTGTGTTCAGAGTGTGTGCAAGGTGTGCGTGCACGGGGTTGTGTAGGGGATGTGTGTACAAGGCTGTGTCTGTGCAGGGTGTGTGTACAGGGCTGTTTGTACAGGGCTGTGTGTGTGTTTAAGACTGTGTGCAAAGTGTGTGTGTTCAGGGTATGTGTGTTCAAGGTGTGTGTGGAGGGCTGTGTGTGTGTTTAAGACTGTGTGCAAAGTGTGTGTTCAGGGTATGTGTGTGCAAGGTGTGTGTACAGGGCTGTGTGTGTGCAGGATGTGTGTGCAGGGTGTGTGTGTGTACAGAGTATGTGTGTATAGGGCTGTGTGAGTGCAGGTTTGTACAGGGCTGTGTGTGTGCAGGGCTGTATGTGTGCAGAGTGTGTATGTGTGTAGAGGATTGTGTTCGGGAGCCCACACTAAGTCCAGGGCCACCTGCTCTGGGTCTTTCCAGGGATAGTCCTTTGTAGCACGTGCGCTGTGGAGGGCCATGCCTGCAAACGGACTGGAGCACCATGAGATAGCTGGCAGGTCTCTCCAATTTTGATAGAATGAAGCTCTATCTATTCTGTTATTTATTTATTGTTAGACAACTGTTCTTCAGTGCTTCATCTGAGAGGTCCTTGGAATTTGCTTCCAGATGATGGGAGGGGATGTTTGCTCTCACACAAAGCCAGGGACAAACCGCTACGATGTAGGCATGTCATATGGAGGTGCTGCATCTGCCAGGGACAGCTCCCAGGCCACTGGTGGGACCTGAGGCTGGTGGCGCAGGGGCTCTTGCTGCTGAGCCTCTGAGAATCCACAGCCCACAGGCTCTGCCCTCACCAGCATGCTTGAGACACAAAGCCAAAATAGAGTCTGTGATCTGAACCACGAAGATGTCACCTCCAACAGTGGTGGACAGAGCAGGCTTTCAGGAGGAGCCACACGCTTTCACCCTCTGCCAACACCTGATAACCAGTCCTGGGGCCTGGCGTTGTAAGTTGCCACTCCATCCTGGACAACGGGATGGAGTGGAGTGTGGAGACCTCTCACCTAGCCCTGGGGTCTCCTGGGCAGTGCATCTACATCAGGGCACACAAGTGTTCACCAGCACCTGCAACACAGCCACTGTGTGGCCTGTGCCCCTGCCCCTCCTGGTGAGATGCCTGTGACCAGCCTGGCATCGCCCCATCAGGGCTGATTGTGAAACGTCCCGGGAAGGGGAGCACCGGCGTTGGCTCTTGGGCCTTCACGAGCTGGACTTCTGACTATGTAAGCATGGCATCCTGTGTCAGGTCTCGAGTGCTCCAGATGGAAAACATGCTAGTTTTTCATGTGGGATTGCTAAGGATACTAGGAGATGCTCCCTCGCGGGGGATGCGGAAACACCACCTGAGCATGCTGCTGGAACGGGCTGGCTCTGAACGCAGCTGGCGCGGGGCTGAGGCTGTTTTCTTATGTAACGGAGCAGGGTTTCCTTTGCTTATCATTGTGTTTATTTTTTTCTTTCAGGGCCTTTCTTTACTTTCAGTTCATCATTAAAAAGATTATCATTCAAACCCAAAGTAGCATCAACACCCACCACAGGGAATGGGCAGACTGAGGCCACCAGGAGCATGAGTCCTGCACTTGGGGACTGCAGGCCCCATTGATCTCACCTCATTAAATTGAGTCGCGTCAGCAACTTCACAGGCGTCCCGATAGGGTGCATGCTAAGAATAATACAGCCATTTATAAACCAAGGCACCTTCCATTGTTTTTCTTCACACTCCTTTTAAGAGGCTTGGCCTGGTGGGGACTCTCCCTGTTAGCAGAAAGGAGGCTCCATGGGAAAATAACGTGGTCATCTGTTTAGCACAGAATCAGCAATTCTTTTAGCAGTTTAGGGCAGGTGAAACCCTGCATCATATTTACACAGTGTCTTCCTCAGAACAGGTTGCTAATGCCTCATTTATTCTCAAGACATCTCTAGCAGAAGTATAAGGAGGGAGGGATGCTGTGGGGTTGTGGAAGGTAGGGAGGCTTCACCTAGAGGAGGGGGCACAGGAAGCTGGAGGAGCTTGCTCAACATCAGGACAGTGTATAACTGGGAATAAAATCTATACTCTCCACTTCAGGGGCAGAGATGGGCAGGCAGCACCATCTGCCTCTGATGAGGCCGCTGAGTTGAGTGCTCCTGCGCTTGGGGTAGCTCTGCTCCATGCAGTCATTCAGGGCCCCAACACTTGGGCGGTGGTGGACCGGTGGCTCAACTCTCATGTGGGGTGTGGTTCTCTCCCAGGGGATAGAGGCTGGCTCACCCCATTCCCCAGCCTGTCAGTGGTTAGACTATACCCGTGTGCCATTAATGAGGAAAAACATAGACTTGATCAAGGTCAGCCCTTGCTGCTCTGCATAGAGAAACTGTTCTGGGCCCTATTAAAAGCATTGTTTAGCCACCAACATCCATCTGCCTCCTTCAACAATGAGGAATGCCTCTCTCCTGGGGCTTGGTGGCATGTGACAGGCATTTGGTATTTGTTGAATTAAACTTAATTCCACATTGAGAGCCTGCAATGTGTAGTACCAGGGGATATAGCATCTATGCATCCTACCCTTCCAGCGGGCTTTAATGGGTCAAATTATTTAAACAGAAATACCAACATTCTTTTTAAAAAGGGGCACAGGCAGTGAGCATAAGATGTCCAGGTGAAGAGAGGCCACCGTGGTCTTTAGAGGGCAGAGGCCCAGCTAGACCTGAAAGAAGAATTAGGTGCTGCCAGTGATTGAAGGAGGTGGGGCTGTGCGCCCAGGACAATGGCTCCCCCAGGGAAGCTGGCGCTGGAGAAATTGTGGGTCAATTTAATAGCTCGATGGTAGAGAAAGATACCTTGGTGGAGAAATGACAAAATGCATCATCTAGAGAGAGGTCGAATAGGGAGATGTGTCTGTAAGGAGGCATCTGGGTGTGTGTAAGGAGTTGGATTCCAAAGGAAAAGTATAAAGAAAGAAAAAGTCAGGTATCGAGACAGTCTTCAGCTCATTCCCTCAGAGAAACGGACAAAAAGTCACCACTATTTGCATGTTCCATGTTTGTAAACATTCACACACACACATGCACACGCATGAAGTAACTAATAAAAAATTACAAAGAAGCCGATTATTAAATATATTCTCAAAATTGATGTTTCCTGTCTAACCAAAGTACCAATTGGCATGGAATAAATTAATTTATTTATAATAGCAACTGAGATAAAACAACTTAAGAATAAATTCAATCTAATGAGAACTTGTAATAGATTTACTGAAAGATATTTAAAAACATGTTCTTGGAGAACTCACAACCCCTTTGTTGTGAGTAGATGAATCTGCTGTAGTGAAAAGGTCTGAGTGTGAAGCGGCTCGGGCAGGCAGCGCCGTCTCCCTCTGGTGAGGCTGCAGAGTTGAGTGCTCCTGTGCCTGGGGCAGCGTGGTTCCGTGTGGTCACTCGGGGCCCCAACGCTTAGGCTCTGGTGGACGTGTGGCTCCACCGTCATGTGGTTCTCTCCCACAGGATTGGGCTGGCCCGTCATGTGGTTCTCTCCCACGGGATGGGGCTGGCCCGTCATGTGGTTCTCTCCCACGGGATGGGGCTGGCCCGTCATGTGGTTCTCTCCCACGGGATGGAGGCTGGCTCACCTCACTCCTCAGCCTCTCTGTGGGAAGGGAGATAAGAAGTTGGGACATGTGGCCTGGACTTTGAAAAGACCACCTGGAAATTGTCTTCCTTGCCTTTGGTAGTATTCCCATTGTCCCACATGCAGTCTCTGTGCCACAGCGAGCTGCACAGGGTCCGGGAAATGTGGGCATCTGCAACTCGGCGGGTGGTAGCTTCCATCACCAAGAGGAAGGAGGAGAGCGTAGGGACAGTCAGCAGTCCCTGCCACGGGGCGGACGTTACCCTGGGAAGAGACAAGCTCCCTCAGAGTGTTTATATGTTTAATTCAATTCTAATTCCAATGCACATTTCCGAGAACCTGGTGTGATACTTTTAAAGGTTACCTGGGAGAATAAGCGTGTAAGAATAGGCAAGACAATATTTTCAAAGACAAGGTGTACATCTGTGCCTTAATGAACAACATGTTGGTACCAATCGTACCACAAACCATGACCTGGCTAAGATTAGACAGAAAGATAAATGGAACAAATTAGGAAGTCAGGATATGAATATACTGTAAATACAGAAACTATGTAACACATATCACTGTGGCTTACATGATGCATGTTTATGTATACATGCATTTATACACACACAGAGAAAGGCAGACATGGAGACAGAGACATTGATGAGAGAGATATGCACAGTTGAGAGAGGTTGGTCAATTTCCCAACTTTATCCTCTACACATACCCAAAAACATAGCTGTGTTTTAGTTAAGAAAAGTCTGTGCAGATACACTAACATCTGAATAAGATGAAAGAAATATAGGTGAATATGCATTAACTATGTACATACTTACACGATAGAACGTGGCTGCCCCTCCAGAGACCAGTGTGGGTGTGCAGTGGCTGAGTCCTTGCAAACCAATGCAGAAAGACTGATTATACAGAAGGATAACGATTAGAAAACTATTAAATTTCTACCCTAGAACATAATCCAAAATAGATGCTAAGTGAAATAAACAGAAATGTGAAAGTTTGAAAGAGAGCATGGATGCATTGGGCAGCTCGGGCCTGAGGGGCCTCGGGGACACTGGTGACCGCAAACCCACAGGGCAGACTCAGCTCAGGGCTGCAGGGCTGCCATCCCGAGAAGACCATGTCCACATCCGGTCAGGAGATAGGAGCCCTGCGCTGCTGAATGCATCTGCATCAGCTCCGTCTGCATGTGTTTACCACAAGGCAACAAGCCCACAGATGCCCCGAGATGCAGCCACAGGGATAATCATGGCAAAAGCAGTGGATCCCAACAAGAGTAATGAGGATAATCATTCCTCCTCCAGCAGGAGATGGCAGGGTGTCCTCTCCTCCACCCCAAGTGGCCAACGATTGCACTGTTGTCATGGTGCCATTGTTGGGTTTTGCCAGACAGAACAGGAGGTCAAGGTGTACAGGGAATGACTTCAGCTGCCAGCCTTCAGGAACAATAGCCCACAAGTGTCCCAGGAGGGTGTGTGTGCCAGGGACAGGCACACCTCACAAAGTGTCTCTGGTGGGTATGGAGCATGTTAAAGACAGACGGTCCTGAGGGACGGACGGTGCCTCTCCACCAAGATGCCTCTTTTCTGCCCAGAGAACATGCAGCCCCTGCAAGCCATCCAGGCCATCCCAGCTACCCTCCCTAACCAGCGTGCACCCGCAGCCAAACAGGGCTTCCCAGGTGTCCAGCAGCGCTAGAAGCCTATACGGTCACTCCCCCTGCTACGGCTTTCGGTCCAAACCCTCTTCCCCTCTTGACTCCTCCCGTGGACCTCAGCAGGTTGTATAGAATCAGAAGACTTTACTGTGGTGTTTGTTAACATCATGGTGCTGAATGCAGCACGGCCACCTGGGAGTGGCATTTAATAAAACTGGGGCTTTAGCCCCGTGGGGCCAGGTGCATTTAGATCGCCTTTTTTACACACTTTCATCACATGTACATATATATGTGTGTGTGTGTGTGTATTTATCACAGACTTTTTTAGATATGATTTATATACCACCGTTTTTCATTATTGTCTACCTAGAGAGGGTTTTAGGTTATTATTTCCTAATTGCCCCTCATCTAGGAAGCTCTCTGTCTGGGTATTGCATGCTTACCTGTAATTGAGGTATATGAAGATTAAGACATTTTATTCCCCATGAACCAATGTCTGCCCCCGTGGGGAGATACTGGTCCTGCTGAGCTTGCGTGACTTAGACCCCAGCTCTCCACCTTGGACTCACAGTGAAATCACCTGGCCAGCTTAACAAAAAGAAATCACTCACCTCTCTCAGGACCTGCTGAGGGGATCACAGCATCCTTTGCATTGGGTGAGAGCCTACCAGGTTTCTAATGGGCAGCCAGATCTGAGACCCCTGCTCAGCCTGAGACTCGGCGAGGGGTTTAGGGCTCCCGGGAGCAAGGTGCGGTGTGGGCAGGTTTGAGCAGATGGGCTGCAGAGCCTCGCCATGTGGCATCTTGAGCTGTAGTCCAAGGGACAAAAGAAGAATGAGGGGAAGAAAAGGGTAGGCACCGAGTCATGTCAGTAGTGAGAAGAGAAGAAAGTAATTTTTCAGCAACTCAGGGACATGTTTCTATGCCATAAGCAAAGCAGCTTATTGGTGCTGTAGAAGAACTGTGGATAGAAGGATAAAAGGCGGGCATGCTCCCACCCTGCTTCTTCCCAGTCTCCCAGCACGATAAGTCAAGCACCAATTGAGACAGACAGCATGGGTGGGGGTGCCAGGCACCCCCAAACGCTATTCACTCCCCGAGTGAAAAGAAAGCCCGCCTCCAACGACCTTGCCTTCCTTTCTTTGTTTCAGGAGAAAAATAAAGGAAAAAAAAGAAAGTGCTTATGACAGAGACAGGGTGGGGGGAGAGAGAAGGGTGGGGGGAGAGAGGTGGGTGGTGGGATGGAGGAGGGAGGAGAGAGGAGGAGGGGAGAGAAAGGCTGTCGGTGGGGTGGGGAGACTTGAGCAGGTCTGACCCTGTGGCTGCACTTTGCATCTGCTGTGTGAGTAGCCTACACAGGGCAAGCAGGTCACCCAGACTCCGCTTACCTTTATCAGGTGTTGACTCTGCTTACCTTTGTCAGGTGCTGGAGGACAAGCTGAAAATCTCTACAACAGGGAACTTTCTTTTTGACTCTCACCTCCACCCGCCAGCTCCTCTACAGCAGCACCCCCATCCCCAGGAGCGGAGGCCCCGGCTCAGGGTTCTCTTTGCCACAGCCCTGATCTGCTCCCTCCAGCCCCTAAAAGCAGAAGCAGCTGCTGCAGTCTGTTTCACACATTGAGAAAGTCAATTAGAAAAATAAACATTGAGTACTTTTGAGCTGCATCCTCAGGTGAGAGAGAGCACTGGCATTAAGGACAGAGGGTTGGGAGACACCTTGTTCAACCCAGTCATGCCCCAGCGAAGGGACTGGATCCTCCAAAGGTGGGGCCTTGTTCAAGGTCCCCGGCAGCCTCATGCCACATATGGAGGGGGAGGTTGGGCCTTGTTTAGGGTCCCTGGCAGCCTCATGCCACACATGGAGGGGGGTGTCGGGAAGCAAGTGAGTTCTGTTCACCTGAGATGCTGAGGGGCTCTGGGATGTGGTGGCTGAGGTTCAGCTGGGCACGGGGGCTGCGTTCTTGGGAAGGACGGGCCCCAGCACCTGAAAGACTGAGGAGGAAGAAGAGGCAGGTGGGCCAGGCCAGGTCCAGAGAGGTGCAGGGGACTCGTAAGTGCCCACTGCCAAGAGAAGCACTGGAGCTCAACCCGGGGAAGGCGTTTCTCACACCCGGTGTGGCCCAGGACCAGAGGGCAGAGGCACCACTGTCATCAGAGCTCAACCAGGGAAGGCATTTCTCACATCTGGTGTGGCCCAGGACAAGAGGGCCGAGGCACCGCTGTCATCAGAGCTCAACCGGGGAAAATGTTTCTCACATCCGGTGTGGCCCAGGACCAGAGGGCAGAGGCACCACTGTCATCAGAGCTCAACTGGGGAAGATGCTTCTCACATCTGGTGTGGCCCAGGACAGGAGGGCCGAAGCACTCTGCCATCCCTGAGTGCTGAGGGCCAGCTGGGCAGGCACCAGGAGGACGCTTAGGGTGACAAGTCTCAAGCAAACGGAGGGATCATTGGGCTGGGCAGGCCTCTAGCACAGGTGGCAGACTTCATAGGAAGCCAGGTTTGTGGGACCCTCATGCCCAAACCTTTGTCCTCTGCCACGCTGTTCTGTACCCATTCATCAGGGTCAGGGCCGTATTCATACAGGGCCCTACTGCCCACCAGGCCTCTCTGCCCTTTCTCTGTCCTGCTCACCCAGGATCCCCTGGCCCTCAGACTTCCTGTTGGTTTTGGCCATTGGGAGGCGCTAGCTTGAGATGAGAGGGTGGGTGGGAAGAGGAGCTGAGGATTTCTTCCTTCGGGGCCCGGGGTCCTGGGGCAGCCTCCTGCTCACTGAAGGGCCTCCTGGAGCAGATTCTGCCGGGAGACCCTGCCAACCTTGATGTCCTCCAATTCAGAGTGCACGGCACGGGTGGGAACGGCTTTGAGGACTGTCCTGACTGCATAGAGAGTTCAGGATGATGTGGGCTCTGCTTCCGCTGTGGCAGAAGGACAAAGGAACAAGTGCTGCTGGTAGCGTGTGTGCCTGGAGAGGCATCGCTGAAAGGCGAATTGGGATCCAGTGCAGCTGTGCTCATTCCTGGAGGTTGGAACCTACTGGAAGGTTTAGAGGCAGGGTGATCCAGACAATAGAAATGTTCCAGCAAACATAAAGAGTTGAGTCATTAATTTTAGACAATTCCTCTGCAAAATCGCTGTTAAGACAGGCAGGGCTGGGCACGCTCTAGCTGTCTCCATGGCTGGCCTCACCCTCTTCCATGCACACTGGGAGCAGGAGGCTGTGGAGGGCAGGGGCTGAGGACTCTACCCCGAGCAGGCCATCTGTGGCACGGACAGGCTTGTGCAAGAGCATCATTGGAGGCCCTTATGCCAAATAGCTAAATATTTAACAGCCAAAGACCAAGTTAGCAAACAGAGATGTGTTTTATTTTTCTACCTTCTACCTTCAAATATACTTCAAATATACCTTCAAATAATCTGCCTTCAAGATAGCAATGCTACAATGTAGTTGCGGGAGTAAAGTTTTTCAAGGCTGTAAGACGGGGCAACAGCAAGGACAGATTCTAAATCTGATCATCATGCATGTCTGGCTGTCCTATGAATGGGCTGGCAGTTTTCCCAGGAGTGGAAAAATAACAACTTCTGTGATTTATACATTGTAGGTTTAGTTTATGAAATTAATTTTTCTTGCCTTTATGCCAGCAGAATCGCTGATTATATGGTGACGATGGAGATGCCACCTGTGAAATAGCCACAGGAAACCGCTGTTCCCTCTTCGCATCGGTGCGAGAGGGATCTGAATAGCTGCACATTGTAAGATACTGCTTTGTCAAGGTGTGCGGCTCTGGAGAACACCAGGGTAGCTTGTGCTAACTTCCAGAATCACGAACAAGAGCACAGAAGAGAAGGAAAAGCAGACGAACAACAGGCACTGCTGGGACCCACCTTCATTACTGAGGAATCTGCTGCTGGCCTGCAGTTGGCAGGAAAGAATTGATCCACCCACCAGCTCTGCCTCCCTGCCCCAAGCGCTCTGCGATTCCAATTTCCCACCCTGGTGCAGTGTCTGTCTCAGCACTGGCACTGGGAAAACCACAGCCTCCATGGAACCTTTTTCTGAGGCCACGTGGCAATAGACAGGGAGCAGGCTTTTCTCTGACCTGGCCGGTGCACTCGGGAGAGTAGCTGCGCCGTGCAGCCCTGGATAGCACCACCACAGAGGTGCCTGCCTGGCTGGTGATGTGTCTCGTGTGGTTGAGAAGCAAGAGCCCGCCCAGGGCCCTCCTGTCCAGGCTGGGGCCCAGCACCTCCGAGGAATGCCTAATCACTGGATGAGAGAAAGGGACGGTCTTGAATGTGGTGCCCCGGCTGAAGCCGTGATTCCACTGAACAGACACAGAGAAAAAGGTGGCAGGGCATGTTGACCCCGATGGTCCCATCAAGAGGGACTGGAAGAATGAGTCAGCCAGAGGAGCTTCACTGGCACCTGCTTTGGCATCAGAACAGAGACTCAAGGAGCCCAGGGCTGGTGCTGGAAGTGATGGCTTGGAGTAACAGATAGGGTCAGAGGCTGCGGCCAGGGACTCCTGTGCCACCGTGAGGGCTGTCATGCCTGTGGCTGTCACTTCATTTTCTCATCTGAAGAAGGAGATCATTCAGTACATAGGATCACAGGACTGAGCATCCACCCTGACCTCAGAGACCAGGAGGCAGCACAACAGTTTGCTTTCTTTTTAACTTCATGAGAAATAAATACAGGCTGTAAAAGAAGTGGGACGCCTCTGTCGTTTCTGGAGAACTGTACAAAAGCAGAGGGTGCACGGCTCCCTTGGCCCCAACTTCCCGAGGAAGCAAGGAAACATCCGGCCTGGAGGAGAGGCGGCTGTACTTCCCACCATCCCCATCACAAGCTGGCACAGCGGGTGGCCTCCATGCCTGAAGCATGGGTAAGCATTGAGTGGGACTCTGCTTCGGGCTCCAGGGTGCTCTGCCTGGATGCTCCTGGACACAGCAGCCTCAGACCCAGGCCTGTAACAGAGCTGGGAGCCTGGGGGCGAGGAGATCACCTTCACAGTCAGGACCCTCCACTCCACACACCCAGCCACAGGCGCCGCCGCTTTGAAACTGCGTGGTGGTCTCTCTCCTCACTCGGTGTCCAAGCTCCTCCCTGGTGACTCTGAGCTTTGGTTTGCCAAAGACGGTGCTCATAAGATTCTAAACATGAATTTGTATGGTAATTCAAGTCATATGTTTCTGATTCACTGACAATGAACTCACCAAAAAATTTGGCAACTGCCTTTTGGATGTCCCAGCCTCACTTTAAACGTTCTGTGCAATTGCCACTTACACACTCAACAGGCACAAATGTGGAATGCACAATTTAGAACGTTCCGTGTGGTTTCAAGGTGAGCAAAGCAAAACTTCATTTCCTGGTGTGCCCCTGGGTGCAGCGTGGAGCCCCTCACGCCACACGGACCCCGACCCGCATGAACCCCTGTGCCAAGTGCACAGACCCCGGAACTGACACTGGCATCCCAGGACAGCACCATGAAAGCAACGCAGACCGGCCTCTCGCAGGTCATGTCTCCAACTGTTTGAAGACGTGAAGTCTCAGATAATGAACAATTGTTGAGTCTGGTAATTACGGTAATTACCGCATCGCCAGCGTTAATTCTCACCCCCTCTGCTCTTTGTGCACCGTGTGTGGGGAATCCCCTGGTACTTTTTGTTCATTAAATCATTTTTTAAACTCCTGTTAGACGAGATCTGGAAGAAGGCCATGAGAGTGCCCACCTGTACCCCCACCTGCCCACCAGCTTTCGTTCTGAATCCGCTCATCCCTGGTCCTTTCTGCCTCCACCCTGAGTTTTCCAAACTGTGTTTGCTCAAAATTCTCAGGGCTGCCTCCCGCCGGCCGCTGTCACTGGAAGCTGAGGTGGCTTCGCTGAGATTTAAGCGGATGACGAAAGGGTGCACCAGGGATGAGGACAGCCCTCTCCCAAATCACACAGTAAGAGGAACAAGCAGGAACTTCCACTCACATAGGCAGAATTTCAGTGGACGCCTGCTATTTGCAGGTCAGTTTGAGATGCTGGGGAGGGACTGGCACAGAGCTTTGGGGTTCCAGGATCCAGTGGAGAGAGCCCTGCCTTAAGGGGGTGTCAGGAAAAATGCTCATGGTTCTCAAGGGGAGGGGCCAGGAGACAGGAGGAAGCTCCATATTTAGAGTCGACATCCAGATTCCCTATACAAAGGGGCCAGGGGCGACTGGGCAGGCACCTGGAGGTCTCCAGGCCCAGGTGGGGGACATGGAGATGGATGGAAGAGAAGTGGCGTGATTATGATGAGGTTCAGGGAGAAAATCACAACCCTGTGGGGGTGGAGGACGGCGAGGAAGCAGAAGCCAGGAGGACGAGGAAGCCATCGTGGGGTCCAGACAGAGGTGGGAGCACCAGGCACAGGCTGGTTCGTGCTGGGCCCAGACATGCTCAGGTGTGGACACTGCAGGGTCCCGGTGAGAAACGAGGCGGGAGGTAGAGGGAAGAGGGCCTAGGGCCACGGTGGTCTCCACCTGGGGCTCAGTTCCAGGCTGGGGACGGTTTTTCTGTGCACAGGCTGCCCCACCCTCCACCCACAGGACACCCTCACTGCTGTACATGGAAGGGATCCAGGTGTCCCCTGCCTACCGCCTTCCCTCCTCTTCTGCCTGTCCCACACCATCAAAGATGATCAATGGGGCAGAACCCTGAATCCAGCCTCCCCGCTCAGCCCTCTCATGGTTCCTTCAAGCTGTCCCAGCCTTATCAGCACTTCCTTGATTTGGGGTGTGACCCCCTCCAGAGGGGTCTCTGTGACTCAGTTGTAAGACAAGAAGAGGAAAGGCCCCATGCCCAAGCCCTGACTGCCCAGGGAACAGAGCCTCAGAGGAAGCCCCCAGCCAGGAGCACCAGAGCTGGGCAGGAATGAAGAAAGGGCATCCGCCTCCCACCCCCAGCCACTCACCTTCCCTGTTACAGGCCGGGGGGCTGAAATGTTCCTTGTTCTGCTCAAGATCACGTGGCTTTTCTTAGTCCGATTAGGGACAACAGAGAGACAAAAGTTAGCCTAACTTAAGCTCACATTCTCATTAAAGGGGAATTGGATAAAATGCCATCTTCTTGAAGATGCCACAGTTTGTTTTTGTTTTTGTTTTTCTGAGACGGAGTCTCGCTCTGTCACCAGGCTGGAGGGCAATGGCACGATCTCGGCTCACTGCAAGCTCTGCCTCCCGGGTTCAAGTGATTCTCCTGCTTCAGCCTCCCAAGTAGCTGGGACTGCAGGCACGCTCCACCACGCCCAGCTAATTTTTGTATTTTTAGTAGAGATGGGGTTTCACCGTGTTGGCCAGGATGGTCTCAAACTCTTGATCTCATCATCTGCCCGCCTCAGCTTCCCAAAGTGCGGGGATGACAGACGTAAGCCACCACCACAGTTTTAAGGAGATGGACGTAAAGCGCTATGAACACAACTCACAGGGGTCTGAGTTCAGCTTTCCTGGTGAGGCGAAATGGGTTGTCTGCATGGGATGCGACCTTCTCAGGGAAAACCCATTCTTTGCTTGGAGATCTTTCTCTTCTACCAACTCCATGCCTCTGCTATTGTAAACATCTTTGCAAGCCTGATGTTTTTCCTGTAGAGTGTGGTCCTCTCCAAGGCCGCTGTGTAGCCCAAAGTGGGGGTTAGTGAGGGAATATTTCCCGCGACGTTCTCACCCCCGTCGACTGCATCAGGAAGGGCTTCTCTGGGGTGTCACACCGGCAGTTATTTACTCCTTGTTCAACAGCATGATGAGTAAGGAAAGCCGTGTTCAGACTTTTGGAACATCTCAAACTTATTTTTCAAACTTTTAGACAATAAAATAATCCCAAATGTATTTTGCCAGAGACTTCTAACCATTTGTCAAATCACGTGTAATTCCAGGGAAAAGTCAGCCATGTGTTTCTGATTCATTTGCACTGGGATCTTCAGGCCACGGAAGCCAGTGCTTGGTGGGGAGGCGCCACGGAGGCTGGCCAGCCGGTCAGAGGCCAGGGCAGCAGCTCCAGTGTCAAGACAGCATGGGTGGCCTGGGGGTCGTGCCCACCCACTTCCCACCACATGCACCTCCTGGGGTCGTCCATGGTATCGGCCTCATCATGATTCCAATGCTGCCTTCAACGGGTTCTCTGTGGGGCCAGACATCCAGATCCGGGGACCAGCTGCTATCGTGGGGTTCAGCGGTCCCAACGCCAAGGAGATTTCTCTTTATGTGCAGTGGAGGCAGCGTGGAGCATTGCTGTCAGAGCTGGGATCAATACCGGTCTCCGTCCTTGAACCTCTGAGCCTCAGTTTCCCTCTCTATCAAATGGGTGTCATAGTGCACAGCTTGCAGCTTTGTGAGAGTCTCGAGTTCTCATGCATGGACAGTTTCTTAACTCCTGGCTCTGTCTCCCTCCCCGGGCTCCCTAGGGAAGCAAGAGTTCTTCCTCCTTTCACCCTTTCAAGCTCTCTGCAGAACATAGGTTCTCCCATCTGGATTCAAATGTTGCTTTTACAATGTATTAGCTGGGTGGCTTAAGTTAGGCAAGTCACTTCATCGGTTTTTAGTTTCTCATCTACAAAACGTGCATGGAATAGAACACCTGCCATCTTAAAGGACCATCCAACAGTGTCTCTGAGGGTCCCGCTCCGTGCAGCTGCTGCCCAAGGCCCTGAGTGATGGGAAAGTTTAAGGGACACCAGGGCACTGTGTGGATGGAAGCAAGTCTAGACACACCTTCTCACTGCTAGGTTTCACGAAGGGCTGTCCAGGGCCCTCTGCTCGGATGGAAGGAACCTGCCTCCAAAGGTGAAAGCACCTTTACCCCAAGCATCTCAGGCTCCTCTCTCCAGCTCACTGTCCTTGCGCGGTGTTACCTCCACGAGCTTGTCTGCCACAGCAAATGCAGACCCCACAGTGTGAAGGCCAGCTCCCCTGTGCTCCATGCCCCAGCTGCTGCAGGATGACCACACCTTACAGCCTTTTGGGCTCCATTTTACACCAAAAAAGTAAAATAATATTATGGCTTTGCAAGTTTCCTGAAAGGATAAAAATAGAGAAGACATGGAAAAGTGCTTTAGAAACTATTTTAAATTCTTTACAGAGAAATGGTGTCCGTGAAAGTAGGCCCTTCTACCTCCTGCGTGGGGTGTGTGGGAGGGTGGGAGGTAAGAAGGGAGAAGAGGTGACCAAGTTTTGAGATTGCTTTTCCCAGCGACAGGTATCAAGGGAGACGCCTCTTTGGGGCATGTCAGGACCAGTAGTCCACTGCCTTCCTAGCACAGGCAAAGCTTCACTTGCACGGCAAAAGGCCCAGTCAGTGATGGCCCGAGGTGCTGCTCGGTGGGCCCCAGGACCGCCGTCCCTGACTAGAGCTCCTCCTGCAGCCCCCCGTTGTGGGGCTGGTTACCCAGCAGGACAGGCACCACCCCGGTGTCATTTCTCCATCTTGGAAAGTGGCCTAGGTTAGTGTATCTGATGAGTTTACTGTCACCCGGCGAGGCCCCACATCCCACGGTCCCCAAGGTGTGGGAGTCTAGAATAGATGCTGGTGTTGGTGTTGAATACAGGACTGGAATGGATTTCACTGAGGGACGTATGGAGGATGCAGGTTTGCTGGGAGGACGGATGAGTGCATGAGGCCACGGGGAAGGGATGGAACGGGCTGAGAGAAGATCGGCCCCAGCCTCTCTTCAGGCCCCACCAACCGCACAGAGCGCCCTTCAGAGCTGAGGTCAAACCTTTCAACAGAAGTTTATCTTTTAACATTATTTTAAACTTTAAAACTTGAAGGCTTTATGATTTACTAATAACTGCAAATTCATGAATCGACAATGGGATTAAAATTAAGCATAATGTTCTGTCAAGCATAAAGAATTATTTTTTCTCTTCTTCCTAGAATTATCTATTTTATGAAATAGGTTTGCAGAATAATTCTTTCTGAGTTAAAATCGCTTTTTTTTTGTAATTCATCAATCTCACAATTGTGGATAATAATCATGTCTATTTATTTTTTCTTAAGTAATCATGGTATTTTCATCAAAATTCATTAGAAGCTGCTCCTAGAAGCACATGCTTTTAAAATATTCAAATTTATAGTTAATGTTTTATTAACCGTGTTTAGCCTATAATTATTTTTCTAATGAAAATTATCCTGACTGCACCATCTAATGTTATGAGGCTAGCAGTTCAAACAAAATTCAGAGAAACATTTATGCACAAAGGACTGGGTATTACTCATTTCCAAGGAAGGATTTATGTGCTATATAATTAATTGTTGCTTAAGTTTGACAGTCCATATTTTACTTCAATGCATTATTTACACTGGAGGAGGCTTAGGGGTTCATGCTTTAAAATGTTAGGAAAATACAAGCCTACACATTATCTGAATAGGGGGTGATTGTAGTGCAAAGGATAGTAGCGTGTGTGCCAGGAATGTGGTTTGAATATACTATAATCATTAATACATGAGTGTGTGTGTGCATGCAGTTTGTATATAGAATATGTTAATTCTCCGTATATATGTATATAACTATATACTCTCTATATAATATAGAATAGATACATTGTAGAATTTTACAACAGCTGGCCAACATGAGCCACATCCACAGAAGAGATCTAAAATCCCAAGCAAGACTCCACCCTCGGCTTCAGTGGGTGCGACCCATGGGGAGGGGACCACCCTGGAAGCATCGGGAACCTGCCCGGGGAACCCTGGAAGCATCAGAACCTGCCCTGCAGTCCTGTGTGTGGCATTTGGCAGGACTCACCCTCTCAGGACCCTGAGGTGACTGCTGGGCCTGCCCTTACTGCCAGCATTGCCAGGTCCCAGAGGGTGGTCTTCAAACTTGGGGACTTGGAAGCAGATGCTCACCTTCCCCGGAGACTCTCTCCTTGGGACGGGCTCCCACCCTGCCTCTGCCTTGACTGTCTTGTACCCAAGTCCATCCCCCCACCAGCGCCCCTGCACCTTCACAGGCTAGGCGGGTACCTGAATCTTCCTCTGCTGGGTTTGCTGGAAGACTACACATCACTCCTCATTTAGAATATACTTAAACCAAAATAGCTCCAACATCTGTTTTATCATCGTTTAATATGACCCTGTCTTCTCTTTTTCCAAGGACAGAAAATTCCAATAATAATTTTTAGAAAATGCTTTGAAACACAGAGAGAAAGCTCAACATCCCGTTGCCCAGGTTCTGCGTGAAGATGACGCACTGTATCCACTCAAAGATTCAAGACCACACGTCAAATGCAGCTAGGTGGAGAGAGGCAGCGCAGATGATATCGCGCCTGGTCTAGCTAGCAGCAGAAGGCAGTCATGAAACCTGAGGAGGTCAGACTGCTTCTTTAGGAATCTAGGGGTTGATCCATGGAGGCAAGCACAGTGGGTTACAGAGCCCCAGGGCACACGTGGAAGGAAGGGGCGCGCTGTGTGCAGGGCATGTAAGCCACGTCCCAGGAGCAGCCCTGGATGGATGGGCTCTATGAGGTGGGATGAGGTGGGAGCTCCCCATGCATGGCTGGCTTTGTGGGAGGATCTCGGTGAGCAGCCAGCCATAGAGTGCTCATAGCCATGGAGGAGCAGGACGTGCATGGTCTTTGGGCAAGGTGGCTCATGGGGCTGGGAGCTGGCCCAGACTGGCCCACGATCCACACACAGTCCATGAACGTGGGCCTGGAGGCGAGCTGTACACACCCTGAGTGCCCACATAGAGCAATCTGCCTGGCTACCTCATTACCTAGGCCAGCACCTGGGCCACAGGACAATGGAAGACGCTGCCTTCATCAGAGTGGGCACAGTGCCCGTGATCCATGCAATTCCACAGAACACAGTCATCGTCCTGCTGGGCACCTGACCACCAGGACAAGAATCAGAGCTCTTCGCAGAACAGAAGAAGGGTTACAGAGGGTGGCAGCCAGCAGCCTTGCCGTGGCTCCCCTGAGTGCTGGGGCAGAGGGCAAAGGGTCTGTTCCCTGCATGACCCTTGACCTGAGCTCTGGGACTAAACGGACAAGGCCAGAAACAGAAGAGGGAGGCTGAGGGGCTCCAGGCAGGGACGAGGGCAGATGCCAAGAACTAACTGCTCCAGGGCCTGTGTGGGACCCGGGGTGACATGGCGAAGGGTTGGTGGAATAGTCGGTGCTCTCCGGAAACACAGACCCAATAGGCTGGATGCAGATGCAAACAGATGTAGATGTATGAGAGGAGATTTATGAAGGGAATTGGAGGCTGAGAACTCCCATGATAGGGACAGGCCCCCGGCACATGGAGATCCAGGGATGCCAACACTGCGGCTCAGTCCAAGTCCGAAGGCCTCAGAACCAGGGACGCTGATGGGGCAATTCTCAGTCTGAGGCCAAAGGCCAGAGAACCTGGGAGGCCACGGGTGCATGTTCCATGGTCCACAGGCTGGAGAACCTGGAGGTCCAAGTTCAGGAGAAGATGGATCTCCCAGCTCCACAAGAAAGAGTACATTTGCCTTTCTTCTGCCATTTTGTTCTCTCCAGGCCCTCAGCCCTTGGCCAATGACATAGTGCCTGCACACATTAAGTGAGAGTGTAACTTCCTTACTCAGTACACTGCACCAAATGTCTCTTTGGGAAACAATGCTTTCTCAGCAGAGCCATGGCAGGGCTGCTGGCTGCCACCCTGTGTGGCCCGCCTTCTCTTCCTCAAAGAGCCCTGATCCTCTTCCTGGTGGCCAGGTGCCCAGCAGGATGATGACTCTGTGTTCTATGGAGTTGCATGGATTGCGGGTGCTGTCCCCACTGTAATGAAGGCAGCCTCTTTCATTGCACTGTGGCCCGGGTGCCGGCCCATGTAATGACAAAGCTGGGCAAGACCGCCCTGTGTGGGCACTCAGGGTGTGCATGGCTTGCCTGCAGGCTCACACTCATGGACTGCATGTGGACGGTGGGCCAGCCCAGGTATCTAGATATCTCTTAATCCAGCCACATTGATGCCTGAAGTTACCCATCACATTTGGCAAAGACACTGCTCCTCTTCCACCCTGGCCATTGGAGACCCCAAGTTCAAGGACACTCAGACCTGTAGACCTGCTGTGGATATAAGCACTCAGTGAGCAGCCACCTCACCATGCCGTGAGCAGCAGACATAGACATAGAGACCTGGAGAGGAGGCAGTCACCCTGCTGACACCATTCACAGTCACCAGGCAGGTTAAGGGCCCTTGGAGGGTCCCTCAGGGTTGCCCAGAAACAGCAATGCAGGGAGACTTTGGAAGACTATCGTGGCCTCTCTTCAGTAAGATGAGATGGTCTGGAATTTGCATTGCCGATGTCAATGTGACAATCCTACAATTAGCAAGAGTTTAGGATGGGCTCGAGGGCCATGGTGCCAGGTCCCACAAGGGTAAGAAAGACAAATGCCTCAACTGGAGTTTCCTTTGCCCCTCGCCTCTTGCCATAATTATTTCTAAATTCAATCTGTGTTGTTTGTCTTTCCCTGTGGAATGTTTACATGTCATTCCAGTTTGCAAAAGTAGCATAAAAATACACACACAAAGAAACAGTTCCAGCAGCACTTACTGAAATGTATAGAGAATATGAAAATGCAGAGATAACTGCACATTCAGAAAGAAACACTGAGCACCAATGGAGCTGCATGCAACAAGGTGCAGCCTTCACCTGCCTGTGTGTAGGTAACTCTGGGACCAGGATCCTTGGTGGCTGACAGCCCACCAACCTGGAAACTGCAGATGTATGAGCTGGTGGGCGGGGCGACTATGTTCTTAGATTGTTTAGATGTTGAGTGAACAAGCAACGATGATCATGGTTTGGTGTTCGCCACATTTTGAAAAACAATGCTAAGTGTGATCACATGAATCCACTGTAAATACACATTGAGAGAAAATTACTTTCTCAGATTTCACAAGAACCACCCTGAAGCCGGCGGTGGGAGGGCTGTGTATACCAAGAGATGTCCATCACCATGAAGGAATTTCTTCCTTCTGTAAAGGGGAAAGCAGCATGAAATTAGGGCTCACTGAGCTGTAATTTCTGCCATATTGGACATGACATTGTTTTCTGATAAGAACAGTCAAAGCAAAAATTAAACCAGTTTAAACAAAGCATATTTCTGTTGCTTAAAAGTGGGGAGTCCAGGAGTTCACAGGCTTCAGGAACAGCAAGGTTTGGGATCCCCAGCCACGGACCAAGAGACCCCGTCTGTCTGCCATTACCTCCTGCTGTCTTCTGTGATGCTCCATCCTCAGGTGCAAGCTCCCACAGGTCAGAAGGCATTGCCTCTGGCATCTCCAGCTTGCATTGCCACCACATTCGGTGAGTCCAAGGAAAAGGGCAGTAACTTCCGAAACTGTGGACAAGCTCGGATCAGCCTGGATTGGGTCACGTGTGGGTTTCTGAACCAATCTCTCTGCCCAACAATAAAGCCAGACTGGACCCTGGGGAAGGGTCAGCGGTAACAGGGATTGCAGGATCATAGCAGTAGCTGGGGTAGCACTGGTGGTCGACTGAATAATGGCCTCCAATGATGACAGGGTCCTGATTCCAAGGACCTGTGGCTCTCACCCTACATGGTAAAAAGGACTTTGCGGATGTGGTGGGGGAACCTTGAAAAGGGGAGATCATCCTGGCCTCTCTGGGAGGGTCCAGTTAATCACAGGGGTTCTCAGAAGAGAGAGGCAGGAGCATCCAAGTGAGAACGAGAAGATGTAAGGATGAGCGCAGAGGTGAGAGCAGAGAAGAGGCTATGCTGCTGGTGCTGAGGGTGGAGGAAAGGGACACAAACCAAGGAAGTGGTGGCCTCTGGAAAACTGGAAAAGCCAAGTGATGGTTTCCCCCCTCGAGCCTCCAGCAAGACCAGCCCCGGCAACACCTTGACTTTGTCCCCATAGAAATCGTTTTGGAACTCTAACCTCCAGAGCTGCGGGATCATGAATCTGTGTCATGTTAAGCCACTGAGTGTGTGACCACTCATTGCAGCAGCCACAGGAAACTGAATGCAGTGTTGACAGTGACAGCCACAACGGCCAGCAGTCCAGAGAACTACGAGTGTACCAGACACACTTCCCCTGAGAAAGCTGCCTGTGCACGGTGACTCCCCAGCAACCCCGGAGGGTAGGGCCTGCTTCATCCTCTCCACTTTCCCCATGGGAACTTGAGGCATGGAGAGAAGAAGACATGTGTCCAAGGTCACCCCTGTAGGAAACAGCAGGCTAACTCCATGGCACCCTGCCCAGAAAGATGGGTGAGAACCCACAGGCAATGAGGCTTGCTCAACAGAGGAAGTAGGTGGCAGGAGGTGGCCAACAGACCAGAATAGACCTGCCAGCCTCTGCAGAGTGGCCTGGGCCCGGGCCGTGTGTCCACTGGGTCAGGATCAGGGTTGGTGAGATAGCATCTCAGGAGGGAGCAAAGCAAAGGGGCTTCTCTGCATTTAAAAGTCTAATCACAGCTCTCAGGCATCATGTTTGGAATAGCCGTGCTCATAGAGCCCCCGTTGAGAAGTGTTCTCTCCTTTTTAATAATAAATATAGCCTTAAATCGCCTACTAAACTATGTGAGAAAGAACCATAAAAGCATGCAGCCATTGGCTTGAGAAATTCAATACCTTGGCAATCAGCATATTTGTCCCAACAGAAGGAGGACTATGGGTGCTGGAACTTCTACAAGAGCCAACTTTTTAAAGAAAATCAAGACTTTTTGCCCTTGAGTCAATGGAGTCTAGAAGTTTCCTGTAAAAGCTTGTTATTTATTTTAGTAAATCTTGCACTTATCCAAAATAATATTTCTCCAAATAAAAATGCACACTGCTTGGAGGGTTAGGAGAAATAGGAAATGGCAGAGAGTGTGAGTGCCTTCAGCCACTCAGTTTTCTTCTGTGCTACAGCAGTGTGTCTGGGCTCCCTGCTGGAGAGACTGACTTCCTCTCCTTAAGTTCTGGAATCCAATTTAATTCAGTAAACTGTCATTGCATTCGACCCCTAGCAGATAAAGGCATTGAACCAAGCCCCTTGTGTGTCATTCATACGTTTAAAACCCATATACTGGGGTGCAGTCAGTTATGTGAGCACCTGCCTTAGTGAATCTCCTTAAAGGGAGATTTATGTCGCCTTTTAAGTAGAGTCTGTGCCTCTTCATGGCGAATTGCTTTCTAGGAGCCTCACCAGAACGTCGGCTGCAGCTATGCTCAGTGTCTCAGGCAGCTGAAGCTGCTATAACAAAAACACCAGATGCTGGGAGGCTTACACAGCATATTCATTCCCCGCTGTTCTGGAGACGGGAGGTCCAAGGTCAAGGTGCGTGAGGTCGGGGCTGGTGCTGGCCTCCCCTGGGCTGCAGACAGCTCCCTTCTCTCCCTGTGGCAGAGAGGAAGGAAGTCCCCCTGCCTCTTCTCCGAAGGGCACTAATCCCATTCATGAGGGTGCAGCTCTCATTATATAATCGCCTGCCAAAGGCCGCCAAATACCATCACATTGGTGCCTGAAGTTTGAAAATATAAATTTTGGGGGCCTCCAAACATTTATTTCATAACACTTAGTAAACATGTGTTGTTGAATAAATGAGAAATCAGAAATAATGACACTAGACAAGTGTTTGTCACCTAGCATTTAGCTATTGTTTTGGAAGTTCTTAAATCATAAAGAGTGTCCTTTTTTCTTTTCATGAGAATCTTGCTGGATGCAGGGCAGACGTTTCTCCGTGGCCTCCCCTGAGATTCAGAGATAAGGTCTAAGAAGGCACCTGGTGAGTGTGTTGCCCCCAACCCCTTCCAGACCCCTAGAATGATTTCCCAAGGGGCTGACCCGAGTTTTAAAAAGAAAGGGTGAGGCAATCACCTTGAAATGGTGAATTAATATTTTGTTCCCAATTTAAACACTGAACAAAATGCTACATAGGCTTCTAGTGAACCCAGCAGAAATGCTTCATCTTGAGTCTTTGTGAGACAGGCTCACAGACACGCCGATGTGAGCTGAGACCTGGGTCCAGAGGCAGCAGACGTGTCACAGCCGCGGGACCTGGGGGTGCGAGGCAGCCAGGCATACCCTGGGCCCCTGTGAGTGCGGAGAATGAACTTCTGTCGTTCCGACTGCTTTCAGAATCAACTCAGTCCTGGGTAGGGTTGTGTGTTTATTGCTCTAACAAATGCTCCAATTTACAAAAAAATCATAGCACAAATCCATGTGGACACTGGCCCATTCCTCACAAGGAAGATTAATGGCAAACAAGCCTGGAGACCAGGATTGTGCAAAGCCTAAGGAATGAGTTCACAGAGAAGCATGGCTGAGCTCTGAGTTTCAGAGAAGGAAAGGAATTTATTTACAAACCCTGCCATAAAGTGCTCTTGAAAATTATGTCAAGGCCGGGCGCGGTGGCTCACGCCTGTAATCCCAGCACTTTGGGAGGCCGAGGCGGGCGGATCACGAGGTCAGGAGATCGAGACCATCCCGGCTAAAACGGTGAAACCCCGTCTCTACTAAAAATACAAAAAATTAGCCGGGCGTAGTGGCGGGCGCCTGTAGTCCCAGCTACTTGGGAGGCTGAGGCAGGAGAATGGCGTGAACCCGGGAGGCGGAGCTTGCAGTGAGCCGAGATTGCGCCACTGCACTCCAGCCTGGGCGACAGAGCGACACTCCGTCTCAAAAAAAAAAAAAAAAGAAAAAAAAAAGAAAATTATGTCAAGTGACCCAAGTGTTCATTCAAAATGAATTTGCTCAAACTAGAAAACTGCCCATGGGTTAAAACCACATGTGCGCGTGTGTGCACACACACATATGCACACACGTGCACACATGCACACGTGCACATGCATGCACACACATGCACACACACATGCACACACGCACACATGCACAGGCATGCACACACATGCACACACGCGTGCACACATGCACACACACACAAGTACACATGCACACACGCACACACACATACATGCACACACGCACACACACATGCACTTGGGGAAAGAGACATCCACAGCCAACACATTGACAGGGTCTGCTGGTGTGTGTGTGTGTGGGTGTGTGTGCATGCGTGTGTGCATGCGTGTGTGTGTGCCTTTTTCAAAGAACACGAAAAAATAAGATTCTAAATGTAAGACCCATAAGAAAACTGCCTTTAGTTCCCTGAGAAAAATCAGTAACTTTGGGGCAGGATTAAGCCATATCTGGAGCCTGGTGGCCAGGGTAGGAGTTACTCAGGACAGGCTAGGTCTAGGCAGGCCGGCGGAATCTGTTAAGAAATCCATCCGTTTCCCGGATCCTTGGCATAATCTCCATAACAAAAGATACGAAATTGTCACATTATTTTGTTTGCCTCACAAATTTGCTGAGAATTGGTGCTCGTCCAGGCAGCCGGGCTGGCCCTCCCCGGGAAGGCGTGAAACCAGCCAGGGGCGACCCTCGGTGGGGAGTCGGGCCTCCTCCTGTTTCGGGGGTGGTGGCCGCACGTGGGGAAGTAATGCATTATTGCAGCCCGACATACTTGTTAGCTATTTTCTTTTCCAGAATTAAAAAATTGAATTATACACGCAGCCTCGTTACCGAACCCGTAAAGTTTATTACAGTTTATCGACCATGTGCACACACTTCAGGGCCCGGCTTCCACGGCTGCTCTGAAGCCGGAACATTGAATTAAGACGCAGCGCCCGCCGCGGCGCGGGTGGACTCCAGCAGAGCCACAGGTAGCAAAAGTCTCCTTCAATTAGACGCAATCATCACTCACAGTCAATAATTGTGCTAAAGGCTGCTTTCAAATCTGTGAGGGATTCGCATTTAATGTACTGATTCAGCTTGTCTGAGCCAAATTCACTGTGTACTGAAACCAAAGCAATTTAGTTCTTGCCTACGGCCCTGTTGGCAGTTCATCTAGTGCTGAGCACTGTAAGGACTATGAGATACAATTTAATCTGAGACATCTGTGCACAGACAGGACCTTTTCCTTAACGGAGGGAGACGCAGGAACGGCTAAGCTCTAGTTTTATGTGAAGAACCAGGCCTTATCTCACCCCTGAAAAATAAAGCATTTAAGATAGAGTAAAAAGCCAAATCAAAAAAATATATATTTCTTCCCTGGGTTTATGAAATGCACACAGCAGCTACCGACAGCCTTTCTGCCCCAGCCCTCGGAAAGCACTTGAGCCATGATCCCTGGATTAACCATTTAAGGATATTACACTTATCACTGTCTGCAGCTGACGGAGGAGATCTTTATTAAATATGAAAGGGAAACGTCTCATACTTTGTGAGTTTGCAGAAATATGGAAATGCCTTTATGCGCGTCGCCTGCCTTGCGGTGGGCTTGGAAAAGTCCTGTGCTATTTACCACCCAGCACAAGCCCTTCACAGCATCTGAAGGACAGGACTGGCCCCCGCTGGTCACAGCACTGTCACGGGCTCCCAAGGCTGCCCAAGACACCGTGTGCGCCGTCGGCTCCGTGCCAGATCATAAAATGACAAGCCAGTAGGTTGCTGTGGTATGTGACTAAATAGGCAGCTCCTTCAGGCAGGCCCCATTGTTGAATCATGACTCTTACTCGTACATAAAGCACGGTTTGTTCTGTTTTGATTTTCAAGAGAGATGCAATTATGGAAACACTTAACCCCACGCACGCGCGCGCTCACACACACACACACACACGCCGAACAGCTAGGGCTTTGGGACTTTGTCGACTAGTTTTAATAAAAGGACATTTGGGCAGATTGTGAAGTTGCATGGTGGAAAGCAAGACGCCTGTGAGACGTAGAGAACAGCAGGCCAAGCAGAAAGCCTGGCTGTGTCCCTCAGGTGTGGGGCAGCGGGCCCTGCGCCCTGGATGGCGGCAGTCCAAGGTGGTGGCGCTGATGGGGCCCTGAGCTGGAAGAGCTCCAGGCAGGGACAGGGCGCCCCGCTGCGTCCAGTCATGGCGAGGAAGGCGGGGAACAGGGATGCGGCCCTCTCCCCTTGAGGGCTGTGTCCACACAGTCAGAGGAGAATGAAGCTGCTCCCAGCTCCACCAACCAGCAAGGCCCAGAGTCGTCCCCGTCCGACATTTCCAAGCCTGAACCCTTCCTGGCCCGTCACGGGGCATCGCGTGGACCAGTGGTCCCAGATAAGCTCGGCCACCAATTCCCCGGGCAGGCGTGGAGCGGTGGCTTTGCTCTTGCTGGGGGCAACACAGCCTTCTATGACGAGGGCCACCCGGGTCCCAGGACGGGCCTGGGCAGGAAGGGCGGTGGCCGAGGGTCCTGGGATCACAGTAGGAGGGAGGGCGGGGAGCCAGCCTGGGACCCAGCCCCACCGCGCCGGGTCAGGAGGAGGATCAGCCTCAAGGCTGGTGAAAGCCGCCGCGCTCCAGCTGGTGCGCCCACAGCTGCCTTCACACCTCCTCCCATCCCAAATTCAAGAAGCCCCGTAAACAGGGGGACCTCATGCCACCCTACCGACTGGTAAACTGAAGCTTTGCACACACACATGACACACCACAGATTCCACACAACTCATACCACACGCCACACCCCACACACCACGTGCATCACACACCACAGATACCACACAACTCATACCACACGCCACACCCCACACACCAAGTGCATCACACACCACACACACAACACACACATCACACACCACAGATACCACACAACTCCTACCACACGCCACACATCACACACCACATACACAATACACCGCATATCACACACCACAGACACCACACAACTCATACCACACGCCACACATCACACACCACATACACAATACACCACACACACATCACACACCACAGACACCACACAACTCATACCACACGCCACACATCACACACCACATACACAATACACCACACACACATGACACACCACAGATTCCACACAACTCATACCACACGCCACACCCCACACACCAAGTGCATCACACACCACAGATACCACACAACACACACATCACACACCACAGATACCACACAACTCATACCACATGCCACACATCACACACCACGTGCATCTCACACCACAGATACCACACAACACACACATCACACACCACAGATACCACACAACTCATACCACACGCCACACATCACACACCACATACACAATACACCACACACACATCACACACTACAGACACCACACAACTCATACCACACGCCACACATCACACACCACCTGCATCACACACCACACACACAACACACACATCACACACCACAGATACCACACAACTCATACCACACGCCACACATCACACACCACCTGCATCACACACCACGCACACAACACACATCACACACCACAGATACCACACAACTCATAACACACACCACAAAACACACACCACATACATAACACGCTAAACAGACACACACATCACACACCACAGATACCAAACTACTCGTATCAAACACCACACACCACATACCATATACATCACACACAAAACACACAACACACACTACATACATCACATGCCACAGACACAACACATATCACACACCACAGATACCACTCAACTCATACCACACACAGCACACCACATATATCACATTCCACACACACAACACACACTACAGATACCACCCAACTCATACCACACACCACACATCACACACCACATACATCACACACCACGCACACACACAACACACTCCACACACCACAAACTATGTACCTCCCACGCCACACACACAACACACACATTACACACCACACACCACAAATACCACACAATCATACCACACATCATACACCAGATACCGCACATAATACACATCATATACCACAGGCTCATACCACACACATCACACACCACACTGACATCATACATCACACACCCATACAACCACACACATCACACATCACCCACCACAGATAACGCATTCACTATTCACTATACATGCCACACAGCACACACAGCATACTGCCCATAACACATATCACATACCACAGGCTCACATCACACATACCACACACTAAGATAAAACATGCCAGGCACATCACACACCACATGCACCACACACTGACACCCCATACATCACACACACTCACACATGTCACACATCATATACCACATGGCACACATCACACACCACACATACCACACCACTCACACCATACACAATAAACCACACATCACGCACCACAACTACATATAACACACATCGCATAGCACAGGCTCATACCACACACACCACACATGACCCACAAACTAACATCACACACCACACATATCAAATCTCTTGTACCACACACCCATACACACCCCACATACCACATATCACACATACATTGAACACACACCATAGATACACACGCATTATACATCACCCATACATAACACATATACCACACACATCACAGATACACACCACATATACCACACATGCACACAGACACCACACACATATACACTCACACAGCACACTCTGCTCATGGATGGGGTACACACATCACACACACATATCACACATACACAAATATACACATAAATGCTTACACCCCACACACATACACATGCAGAGGTGTGCACATGCACACACATAAGTGTGCGTACACACGTGCACACACGCACGCACTCTCACACACACACACACACACACTGCCCACCTCCTCAACCCTGAATACCTGAGTCCATGTGAGGCCCTCTCCACAGAAAGAGCTCCCACTCCTGGCCTGCTCACAGCTCCGCAGGAAGCAAAACTGTCCTGGTTCAAACATGAGAATGTGGTGAAGTCTGCCCATCCCGCCCCTCATGAGGTGCTCCCTGGCTACCCCTGAGCCTCCGACTTCCAGGGTGCCTAATCACCTGCTCCTGGCTCCAGGGGGTCTCCGAGGGACACGTGGAAAGCCAGGACCTTGCACCTTCCGTGCCGGGAGATAGTCCCGCAACCGCTGAGCCCTGGCTCTCCCTGCTACTCTGTGTAAGACGGGAACCAGGAGTGTGAACCAAAAACTCCAAAGATCTCAAAAGATGTGATTTACACCTAGCGAATCCCTGCCCAGCACTTCAGTTTCCGAGCTACTGATTCCTATTGCAGGGCTCACGACGGTCTTTAGGTGCTCATGGTGGGAGCCAGTGACAGTGGGTGTGAGGCCGTGATGAAGGAGCCCCTCCAACGTCATGATTAACTTCATCTTTCTTAATGTGGGCTTTATTAATCCCACAGCAACATGGAATCTTCAGACAGTTTACTGAGCAGTTAATGACCACTGGGGAAGTTTCATTCTCTAAGTAAAGCTAGTGGCCGTGAACATTGATCCAATCCGAGATTTTAAGCAGTCCATGTAGCTGGACATTTGCCACAAAATGCACACAGCATATTTAACAATCACGCTCTCCTGGCATATTCTGGATTTTTTGACTTCTGAAATCATACTCTGCTAAAAGCAAGACGAAAGCAGATTATGAGAAGTCCAGAAAGCATGTATTAGGAGGAATACACAGAGCCAACCCTCCAAGCCCCACAAACAATATGCTTTTTTAAAATATAAACAGATAAAAATGTAGGATCCATATGAGATGCATATATATGTACATGTGATCATATAGATGGATACAGATATACACAAATTCCCAGAGTTTACATTTTTGGCTTATTTTCAAGATCTGAAGATGAAAACAGTTCTGTGTGTTTAGAATAGATGACAGCTGGCTGGGTGCAGTGGCTCACGCCTGTAATCCTAGCGCTTTGGGAGGCCGAGGCAGGCGGATCGCCTGAGCTCAGGAGTTCGAGACCAGCCTGGGCAACACCGTGAAACTCCATGTCTACTAAAATACAAAAAATTAGCTGGGCTTGGTGGCGGAGCTGAGATTGCGCTACTGCACTCCAGCCTGGGCAACAGAGTGAGACTCCATCTCCAAAAAAAAAAAAAAAAAATAGAACAGATGGCAGCTGAGTCACATCGGTGTTTAAAAGGTGCAATTCCAAAAGCCTTTCTGCATCTAAAGCTGATAATGATGGTGAAAATGTGTTAAAAACTACAACAAAAACAAGTAGCCATCGGACCAGAAAAAACGGTGCCGAGCAAACGCCTCACTGACTGTCGCTCTTGCAAAGCCACCTCTGCGGGTGCAGAGCCATGAGGACAGTCAGTCCACGACACGGCATCATTGAAATCTGTGAACTCTAGCAGTAGTCAACGTTTCCAAGAGACTCAGCCTTTCCAGGGACTTCTGTTTTCTTTGGACATCCTGTGGAGTGATGAGTCAATTTTTTGTCCTCATTATAAAAACCAAGCTTGGGTAGGGCAGAGCCCCTGACTGAAGCTCTGCCAGCCGGCTGGTTTCCGGGTCTGCTTGGGTCCCTATGACGCCAAAAAACACCAAACCGGTTGTTGGACATCACGCCACCTGCATTTCAATCTCACCCTGGGAGGGAGCTGTTTTGTGTGTCGGGGGCAGAGCTTTGCCATCAGGGAGTCAGGCCGCCGAGGCTGAAGGTCCACCCTGCCTCCTGAAGGCTGGGGCTCTCTGCAGGGCTCTGCCCTGGGCTTTAGAAAGGGGGTGAGGTCTCCTGTACCCATGTCTGGTGCCGTCCTGCCTCAGCGCGGCTTTGAGGGCACAATCCGGCAGTGAGGAGAAGCCCTCGTGTGTTCCGAGCAGGAGTCTGTCTTCCCTTTTTTTTTTTCTCTTTTTTTTTTTTTTTTTTTTGAGACAGAGTCTTGCTCTGTCACCCGTCTTCCCTTTTTATCAGAGAAAGACACAAAACCAAATTCATCAAAAATGAGTCCACTTTCCCAAACAAGATGCATAAAGGGCAGAAGTTTAGACCCAGGAGGTGGTGCCTTAGAAATCCCACCTCTCATGGTAGAGATGAAGAAAATGAAGCCCACCGTTTTGAAGCTCTAGTTGAATCATCCAAGTAGATTGCCTGCAATCCGAATTAAAGCAAGCGTAAAAATCTCCGATGCTCTGTTTTCAGTCGTAAAATAAAAACGTTCCTCGGCTAGCTCTTCACTTATACAGAAAACTTGCCACGCACCTCATTCCCTGTGGAGAACACCTGGAAATGAGAGCTCCCAGCCCCTGGAGGCCCACAGTGGGGGCGGCCTTCCACCCCAGCCTGTGCCTCCTTGAGAGCAGGCCTCGGGGTGTTCCTCAAAGTTATTAGGTCCATCCCCAGTGGGAACTTCTTGCTCAGGAAGAAAAAAGGATAAAACATTGATGTTCCCCGAAAGGAAAGATCTCCATTTGTCCAATATCATATTCCCAGGAGCTCTGAGCCCAGCCAGGTTAGACCCATGATAGGTGTGCAGTAAAATTGGAGGGGTAGAGCATGAATAAATAAGTAAATTGATTGATGGATGGATAATTTATTTTATTTTATTTTATTTTATTATACTTTAAGTTTTAGGGTACATGTGCACAATGTGCAGGTTAGTTACATATGTATACATGTGCCATGCCGGTGCGCTGCACCCACTAACTCGTCATTTAGCATTAGGTATATCTCCCAGTGCTATCCCTCCCCCCTCCCCCACCCCACAACAGTCCCCGGTGTGTGATGTTCCCCTTCCTGTGTCCATGTGTTCTCATTGTTCAATTCCCACCTAAGAGTGAGAACATGCGGTGTTTGGTTTTTTTGTCCTTAAATCATGCTGCTATAAAGACACATGCACACGTATGTTTATTGTGGCACTATTCACAATAGCAAAGACTTGGAACCAACCTAAATGTCCAACAACGATAGACTGGATTAAGAAAATGTGGCACATATCCACCATGGAATACTATGCAGCCATAAAAAGTGATGAGTTCATGTCCTTTGTAGGGACATGGATGAAACTGGAAACCATCATTCTCAGCAAACTATCACAAAGGTAATATTTTTAAAGTTATAGAGACACATGACTCTCTTTTCTACGTCAATAAACTGTAGAGATGGCACTGTGGTAGGCAGCGTGTGCACCTGGCTTTGCTGGGCCGTGGTTGGAGAACTGCCGGAGTTCGTCAGTAACTGCCCTGTGTTCGGCAGGTGGTTGGAGTATTTGGGGTTCCTGAAGGTCGGTCTTCAAGTGTTTAATCTGTGATGAACAGCAAATATCACATTAGCTTTATTTTAGTGCATTTTGTGCCAACTTTCTATTTTTATGATTAATTTCTCTGTAAATAGTTTATTTTTCATATGGGAGCCCTCCTGTGGTGAAAATAATCCCTGGAAAGTGAGAGAAGCTCAGGCCTAGGCTGGAGGCCTGCTTGCTGCTTCAGAAGTGAGACACTGAAATGATTTCTTTCGGTAAATGTTTCTGACAGTTCTTTTTTTCTGTCAGCATCACGACATAATGAATATTCGAATACAGTGTCTTATTGTGGTTAAATTTGCTGACCTTCCAGAAATCCTTCAGGTACATGCGGTATGGAAACAATGCGATATATTCTACAAAGCTTCTCGTGGTAGTAATTTTTGCTCCTATGTTTAGCTTTCTAGATGGGGATCTTACTGCACTTTTACAGGAATAAAAAGGTTATGCCATTGATTGGATAAATCTAAGCTTTGAGAGACAGTTATTTGCTGGACTGGGAGTGTGCCTGAAAGTAAAACTCATTTGATAAGTGCACTTTTAAATCTAAACAGTCTTTATTGTACCCATGTTTGATTTATTTTGAAAGCACGATTTTTTGATCACATACACATATGTGTTATAAACATATATTTAGGAGAGTTGTCTTTTTGAAAACAGTGTCAATAGTAAAATACAACTGCTATTTTCTTAGATTAAAAATGTATAGAATTAAAAGCTACCTAATATTTGTCATTTTATGTTTATGGTTATTTAACTCATTTCTATGAATACGAGATAACAGCAGATAGGGAGGACTTTTGTACCGAATGTGACTGCTCATTTTGAGAATTTCTGTAATTTTTTCATAATATATGGCATCTCTGGTCATGTTTGTATGAGATGTTTTTGACAATAGGGGTTTGCACTGGTTAATGGAAAAAAAAATCAGAGGAGAATGAGCTAGGTGTGGTGTGGACATTTCAAAATCAGAGCCATAGAGCAGAGAGACACTAAAAGGCTTAATGCCATGACACCAACACACTTTAAGAAAAATGTTTTAATTAAGAAATGCATATGAATATTTTATTTAAGTTCTTTAATTGCTACAAAACATTGGAAAATACCATCCCAATTAATAATTTGTCAAGAATAGTGACTCATTCATATTTATGAGGTGATTAAATGTAGTTTTCCCGACCCAGATAGGAAAAAGAATGGCCGGGGAAATGTTGAGAACAAAAGGGAGAAAAAGGACATCCTGGCGGCCCAGGTGGAAAGCTGGCCACAGAACCACACTCGGGGTCAGGAATAGCACATGGAAATATGAACTGTCTCCCTCCAAGTTTCCATTAGGCGACGTGAGAGTTGCATGGCTAATTTCCATGATACCCCCTATCAGCTCCAATGCCTCACTCAGCCCTGAGAGCTGGGAGCCTGACCTTTGGGTTAACTATAATTGGAGCCTTCTCTAATTAGGGAAGGTATCAGCTGACTTTAATATGCAGCAAGATCATTATCATTAGGTCAGAGCTAACTAATTGATGTTTGTGTAGCATAGGATTTTGGATTACAATACACACAGTTTAGCAAAACAAACTAGGCTGACCTGGGAAACCAAATTGCATCATTCTGGGCATTGCTGAATGTAATATCACAGCTTATCCAGAGGGCCTTCGCGGTTTCAGAACCAGCTCTATTATGAGAGCTGGGATTTTGTAAGTTCAACCTCTTGCCTCTGCTGTTAGGTAATAGTAGATGTGGAAGCTGATCTGAGATCCCATCCAAGCCTATCTCTCCTATGTAGAACCTGAGGTTTCGGAACACTCTCCGGGATGCTAGTGCAATTCACTTGTTTTGTTTTGCTTCTCCAGTACATTTTCGGATGGCAGGTACCTGTGCAATTACTATTGCAAATCTGAAATTGTCAGATAAAAATGATTAACCATGCTTTATAAGTTTGGATCAAATTTCCAGCGTCTCATTCAGTGGCGTTTGCATGTAAGTTGAGTCTCTTCTGTTGACATTTGATGGGAAACATGTTGAGATTCCGAAGAGGAAAAAGATAGTGATTTGGCACCTTGACTACCTCGGGACCCCTCTGTCCAGAAGAGAAGAGAGCAGCTGCAGAGGGATGGGGCTGCTGGGGGGTGGGAACTCAGGGCAGTTATTGATTTTGTTGGAACAACCATTGAGGCAAATTACAAAAGAAGATGAAAATGCTGATATTTAGCTGTGCAATTTTAAGAAGACAGTTTGGAACGAGTATTCATCATGAACTATTGGATTTCTTGCTCTGCTTTTTTATAATTCACTGCATCCTCCAAGTACTTGGAGCCACTTTTTATGATATTTGTATAAGTTCTGCTTATTTAATGAATATTTACCTGGAGCCTATAATTCAATCGGCTACAGAAGCAGAGAGAATGACGCAGACAGCAGTGCCCTGGAAGAACCTGAAGTCTGAAGGAGTAGTGGGTATTAAGGTCCAGGAAATTCTGGGTCCTGTGCATCATACAGGGAATGACAGGCTCCACCCTCATGGGGAAAGTGGAGGGTCTCCTTGATGACATGATATTTGAACTAAGATCTGAGGAGTGGCAGGAGCCAGAGGAAAGAGCTGGGGGACAGGAGGAGATAGGGTGTTCTAGGGTGAGCCCTGATGCATGTCCCAATTCCCCCCCTCTCCCTAGAGCTTGAGACTTCAAAGCCCTAACCTTCTGTGACACCTCCACTGGGTTCCTGATGGAAACCCAGAGCTTAGGAAGTGTCTTGTGTCTGGGAGAGCATGACCACCCAGCTGGCAGCTCACACAATGACACTAGGGACTCCCTTTCCATCTTCTCCCAGCCCAACCCCTGGGCCAGTCCTGTCGGGTATTCCCTGACATGTGTGACACGTGGTATCTCTTCTTCTCCATACTCTGCCCTCACCCATGCCTGCCGCCCCCAACCTGGCTGCCATTCCTGCATCCTTGCTGATCTCCATCACTCCGCCCCAGAGCAGCCAGAATCATCTTTGAAAATGTCAGTCAGTTCCTGTGACCCTTCTGATTAAAATGCCTCATAGGCCACAGCACACCTATTAGAATGGCCAAAATCCAAAACATTGACAGCACCAGATGCTGGCAAGAATGTGGAACAATGGGAACTTGCATTCATTGCTAGTGAAAATGCAAAATGGCACAGCTACTTTGCAAAGCAGTCTGGCAGGTCCTACAAAACTAAGTGTACTCAGACCATATGATCCAGCCATTGCACTCCTTGGAATTACCCAACTGGATTGAAAACTCAGGATAACACAAAACCCTGCACATGGATGTTTATAGCAGCTTTATCCGTAACTGCCAATACTATGGAAGGACAAGATGCCCTTCAATAAGTGAGTGAATAAACAAACTGCAGTATATCCAGACAATGGAATAAGATTCAGTAATAAAAAGAAATGAGCTATCAAACCACAAAAAGGGATAAAGAAACCTTAAATGCATATTACTAAGTGAAAGAAGACAGTCTCAGTAGGCTGCACACTGTATGATACCAACTACATGACATTCTGAAAAAGGCAAAAGAGAAAATGATCATTGGTTGCCAGGGACTGGGGGAACGGAGGGATGAATGGGCAGAGCACAGAGGATTTTAGGGCTGTGAAAACACTCTATGTGATCCTGTAATGGTGGATCTGTGCTGTTTGATATTTGTCAAAACCCACAGAATGTACAATACGAAGGCTGAACCTGAGCTTGCAGTCTGCATTCCTGAGGCTTCGTGGCCTCCACCATGGGGTGACCCTGTTCTCACAATGTCTATTGATTGGTCTATTGACCTATCAGTCATCTGGTTCTGTTTCTCTGGAAAATTCTAATACATTAATTCTACAGTAATTAGAATAAATTTTAATACAGTAGAGAAAACTCTGTGTGTGTGTGTGTGTGTGTGTGCATGTGTGTTGTTTATGTGGGGGTAAGGGTATGTATAGACACTTTCTGTATTTTCCACTCAATTATTCTGTAAACCTTAAACTTCTCTTAAAAAAATAGTGTATTAATTAAAGAAAAAATGCCTCTTCTGCTTGCTGTCAGGTGCAGGATGATGTCTAAGCACTCACCGTGTCCCCTGAAGCCACATCTGCTGTGTCTCCTCCAAGTTTGACTCCAGCTCCAAGGACTGACCTTCCCCAACCCAAGACTTCCTCCAGGCTCCTCCCTCTCCAAAATGCTCTCTCCAGATCCTTGAATGGCTAACTTCTAATTCTTCAGATCTCAACTTAGATGTCTCCTCGGAGAGGCCGCTCCACCCCAAATTCTCACTGTGCCCCACAGCGCTGCCGAGTCCCAGTGCCCCTGCTCATGTGCACACCTGGGGAGGCTCTGTTGCTGCCCAAGACAGAGGTTCCAGGAAGATGAGACCTTGTCCAACCCCTGGAGGACAGGATCTCACTTGAAGACCTTGAGGAGGTCCTGGTGAAGCAAATGACAAGTGAGTGAGAGGCATTCCTGTGGCCCAAGGAGAGCCAGGGAGGGCTGCAAGGAGGATGAGGGAGGCAAGGAGAGGAGCAGTGCAGCAGGGAGCCCTACATAGAGCCATGGTGTGGACTGCATGTGGGTTGTATGCAGGCTGTATGGAGACATTGTGTGGGCTGCATGTGGGTTGTATGTAGGCTGTATGCAGCCATCATGTGAACTACATGTGGGTTGTATGTAGGCTTTATGTGGACCATATATAGGCTGTATGTAGCCAGTGTGTAGACTACATGCAGGCTATATGTGGGCCACATATATGCTGTGTGTAGGTTATATTTAAGCTGTATACACCATGACTAGCCAGCACTGGGCATCTGGAGACTCATCCCAGGCCTGCGTTTGCAATGGTCTCATCATGGGTGGGTGGCGGCTATCCATGTGATCCTCTCGATGCCCTGCCCCATGAGCACTTAGGGTGCAACATTGCTTCTTCCTAGGTGATCACACATGCTTCAGAGACAGCTTCCACTATGGAAGCAGCCCTGTCAAACCGAATGCCCTGCAGAGCAAGGCAAGACAAACAAATGCTCCTTATGGCTAAAGTTGAAAACATAGATGATGAGCAAAAGAAGGAAAAAGTCCGGAACCTCATATTCAGAAATAACCACTGTCAGCATTTTAAACTATTCTCACCTTTTGTAATTTCTCCTTTGGAAGTACCACATGAAGACCTGACTTTTGGCCCAAGCTCTGCTGAGCAGGTCACCATGGTAGACCTGGGACCTCCAGTTTCCTATCTGTAGGTTGGAAATCGTGGTGACTCTTAGTGTAGTTCACAGCACGCATAGAAAGGCCAGTGCAATGATGCAGGTGGAAGTGCTCTAAAGATTCTCCATGGATACACGTCATCCTGGGGTGACAATAAGGTGTAAGCATGCAGCCTTTGCTGTGAAGTTGTCTGCAGAAACGTTAACTGACACAACTCCTCTCCATTTTCTGATTAATGGGGGAAAATATGTATAAGGGTTGATGTAAGATCAATGCACAATATTTAAGTGTGCAAGCAAGCACAGGGAAGTCAATGAAAGATATCAAATTTTACTAATTTTGAACAATAAAAGACACTACTTTTCTTCAAGCAACACACACTCAAGCTCATTATGTGTTTCTACAGCCCTTACTCAGGGAGTGGCTGCTGGCAGTAGAAGGTGTCCTAAGATGGATAAAACCATCTCTGTCGTCCTGGATCTTGTAATCTCTTGGAGAAATAAGTGGCAAGCATGCCACACAAGTGCATGCCAGCTTCTCTCTAGGAGAAGGTGGTGCCATTGATACTCTCCTGATAATGGGTACAGGCCATGCGTGGCAGAAATAGAACCCACCCACGGCAGTTGCTCTTTCTCTAACTGGCTGCCTTTCCCTAGAGCTGCTCCAGCTGGGAAAATCAGGGCCCTGGGCCACAGGCACAGGCTCCGGCTGAGCAGGAACACACTGTGAAGGTACTGAGGTTGGATGCCAGTCCCCAGGACCACCTACTCGGTTTGTGAGTTGCCAAGCCCATGACATCTCCCGCATGCCATCTTCTTGGTCATCCCACACCCAGTCATCAGCGTGCTGGTAGCTCCTGTTCAAGATGGCAGCCCAAACCTTGGGTGCCCAGAAGACAGCTTTATAAGCAGTTTAACTGCAGGAGCTTCACCAGGTTCCTTTCTCTATGTTCACACTGCACTCTGCCCTCTGAGGCTGTCACTGTAGTTAGAAAACACAGGGTCAACAGTCAATTGGCTGTTGTAATCCAGCCCATTTGGAGACACGAATAAAAGCAGCTCACTTGTTCCCATCAACATTCCAAGAATGAGTGGTCAAGAGGGCTAGGGATAAAAATGGTAATGAAATCTAGCGATGGAGCATAGCTTGACTGTCAACACATGGTGGGCACGTGGTTAGATGGTTCTCAGGGATTAACTCAATGTGGGAACTGTGGGAATGTGCTGGGGGAGATCCTCTGGGGGCAGTGAACTTCTGAGGAGATGCTCAGAGGCTGACGCCTCTAAGTCTGGAGGCTGGTGCTGGCAGTAAGTGAGACTTCAAGCCATGGCCTCACGCTTTACCCCGTGGCTTTTCTACCCATCCAGGAAACTACCTGGGGTATGAACCACCTCATTCTTACAGAGAAGGGACATGCAGATCATGGGCTTCCAGCACCCACCTGGGTTCACACAGAAAGAACAGGAAGGTCAGGGGCTGGGCTGGGCTGGGTGTGATGTGTCCTCCAACCCACTTAATTATTTAGAGGTTTTTTAAGGAAAATAAAAATATATCTTAGAGTTTGCAGATCTGCTTAAGGGGGAAATAATTGTTCTCACCCAGGTGGAATTTTGTCCCTGTATCACAGGATGGGCCTGGCCATTTGTACCCATGCAGCCCTGTTTAGCTCTGAACCCCGGAAGCTGAAAGTGAGATGGAGAAAGGGTGGGCATGGGAGTCAGAGACAAGGAGGACTTTCTTAAGATCGAGTCCTCCACTGCTAGAGAGGTGTGCCATGAGAGATGGTAAATTGCTATTTCCTAGCAACTGTTACTAAGTAGATTTTAAGCTCTGTGTGTATGGAGTCAGAATGTGTCAGGGGAGAACGGGGCAAGAGAGAAAGAGTGAAGGCGTGGGGGCAGCTGAGCAGTGAGAACCTCCAACTCTTGACATTCTTCCTGACGGTAGAGGTTGGTAAGGGAAATACCTGAGTTCTTTTCATGTCCGGCAAATATTCCCAGCATTGCTTTTGCTCAAGGTGACCTCACTCTTTCCAACTGACTCCTGGCACAGGAAGTCGCCTGGAAATCAGACTCCGAGGCAGGGCTCTGCATGGAAACCCTCTCAGAGGGGAAAGGCGGTGAGAACATATGGTCTCATTGCCCAGCCCAGTGCTGAGTGGGGGATTGTGTCATCATCCCCTGTTAAAGGACCCTCCATTGCTGCCACAAAGGCACCAGAACCCCGCTGCAAAGGCCAAAGCCTCCATGCAAGTGCGCCCAGGGGTTCTCCTCGGACAGTCCACCGCAAGCCCACATTACCTTCACTACAGACCTCACGGAAAAGCAGCTCTTAGGTATAAACAGCCTCTCTCCTGCCTGCTGACGCTTGTCCTTGATAAATCAAAACATTACTAAATCCGTGCTGAGGTGCACGAGCGACATAAAGGGCCCCATTGTTCCAGAGCAGCTGGCAGCACACACGCTCGCGGGGCCCATTGTCTCCACGCAGGCACGCAGGGCTCACCCCGCCTGGTTGTCTAACCATCCACCACATACGCAGTGGCAGAGTCACCCCAGCCACAAGGGCCTCCGGCGACCCGGCCGGGTGTGTTAAGATCTGTGAATTAAGATCTGTGTCGGGTTCTCCCCCTCACTAGGACTGAACTCCTTTATTTCCAGTGATAATTGCTACATATGCTCACACATGATTTATTGTTGTTGATGGCAACGTATCCTCAGAAAGTTTGCCAAAGGGCGTTGACTGTTATTGATATGTACATAAAGATGATAAATGAAGAACTGTACCCACCAAATTGCTACCAGTTATGATTAGTTATCCCCTTGTTTTATTTTGTGGGGATTAGGAGATGCACAATCGCCCCGAGTGATCCTAGCATTCCTGTCTGGTGAGCACAGGCGCTGGAGGTGTTCTCACACGTGTACGGTGATGCCAGGCAGCGATCCGCAGGCGATTTAATAAAGACTCCAGCTCAGATTTCAAAAGAGCCAGGCAGACACTCACGCTTTGGCATACTTTGCATTGCTGAGTTTGTGGAGTAGACAATTCCACATTTTGTCCTTTTAATGAGTGTCTCTTATTATTTTAACTCAACGTTCCAGGCAAATAAGGCACCAGCCTGTTGTCTTAATAGGATAACATTTTTCTTAGATTTGGTAATCAGTTTGCTACCCCCATTTACAAAGATTGGACCTGTTTAGAGTCAGCTGGCCCAGCAGGGTGGGTGTCTTTGGGGGCAGGTAGATTGCATTAAAGGACCTAAGGACAGAGAGATTGCAGCCTCCATAGTTGAAATCCCAAAAAGAACATTGAGCTCACTTCAGCAGAATTTCCCAATGACTTTCTTTCAAAAAGGCCTTTCGACCTGATGTCAGTCTTTAAGTGAATCAGAGACCAAATAAGAGCTAATGATGCCTGGTATGATGACTTAATGATATTTAGAAAATCATTCTGTTCTGTTCACTCTAAACATGATGGCCTGTGTCTGTCCTGCCCACTCTACAGGCTTGAGCCATTGAAGCTTAGGAAAGGCCATAACAGATACTTGAGTTGTATGTTTAGGAGTAAATGTGATCATCCTTCCCAACCCACTGGTTCTGTGTATGAGGAGGCCACTGGTTCTGAGTAAGAGATGGGCCAGACCTTTTTTAGGCTCAGCTGGATGGCAAGGGACAGGGCCAGAGAGAGATCTGGAGGCCCTGCCTCTCCCAACATGAGCCCCATTTCAACAATGTGGATCAAGACGACCCTCTTGATTGATAGTGCCCATGTAAAAATCGTCATTTTCTATAAAGATAAGTCACTGTACATCAGAAAAATAAGAGATGTCTCAAGGGATGCTTTCTATGCAAATGAAAGATGAATCACCTTTTGTAGTTCCCGGAATTTAAAAGTCACGCCCAGCTGAATGGAGCTTTGCAGGTGTGGCAGCTCATTGCACTGGGTGGCTTTGGAGCGGCCACGAGGACCGCTAACCACCAGGCTGCCGGTGCCACCCTCTTCTGTTCAGTCACAAGAAAGCCTCCTTGGGTCTAGGATGACGACAACCTGCGTATCAAGAGTGTGCAGCCCATTCCAGGTGCATCCCTCTGTAGACAGGAATGGTACAACCTCCCCTTTACCAGAGAGGAAGCTGAGGCTCGGAGCCATAAGTGGCTGATGGAGGTTCAGCATCTGGTGAGAAGGAGGGTTGGTTCTCGAGCCAAGGCCTGTGACGCATTTAAGAAGATTCAGGCCAGGTGTGGTGGCTCACGCCTGTAATCCCAGCGCTTTGGGAGGCCGCGGATCATGAGGTCAAGAGATCAAGACCATCCTGGCCAACATGGCGAAACCCCGTCTCTACTAAAACTACAAAACTTAGCTGGGTGTGGTGGCGTGCGCCTGTAATCCCAGCTACTCAGGAGGCTGAGGCAGGAGAATCGGTTGAACCCAGGAGGTGGAGGCTGCAGTGAGCCAAGATCTTGGCACTGCAACATACAACTCAAGTCTCTGTTACAGCCTCTCCCAGGCTTCAATAGTTCAAGCCTGTGGAGTGGGCAGGGCAGACACAGGCCATCATGTTTAGAGACTGACAAATGGGAGGAGAATTTGAGACAGTCTGTGAAAGTAAGGTTGAGAGAAAAGAGAGCTTAAGGAAAGCCCACATCCGAGTGGTGAAAATCACTTTTTTTCTACATAAAATCCTACGAACCCACCACACTCCTCAGAGCATCGAGTAGTGAACCAGCATGGGATGAGAAGCACCAGAACACGCATGCACCCCCGGGCCTCGATGCAAAAAGTAAACAATGAGTTCCCTTGAGAGACAAAGGGGAAAGGGGAGGCTCCAGGGAGTCCGCGGGCTCAGCCCGGCCTGCAGAGGCAAAGCTGCCCACACCCACCACCCCAAAAGCTCAGGACAAATGCTTCCCCAAAAAAACTGATGGATCCAGGAATTCTTCGTTTACCCAAGGGCATTTAGGGATTGCATTTTCTCTTCTGCTTTTCTCTCCTAGAATCAAGGCCTTCCTTTTTCTAGAAATTAGATAAGTAAATGCAAGCAAACACAGAAAGCTTGCATTATGTGAAGGTTTTGATCATTTCTGCAATCATAAAGGACGGGAGAAGAAACTCTCCCTGGACTGAGGACCTAGAACATTCCCCATCCAGGTAGTTTTCTGTTTCTGCAGAAGTAATTACCGCCAGCTGTGCAGCACTCATTTAGGATCTGACAGCTCTGGTGAGTCAGTCTGGGCAGGCCTTAGCTGGGTCTTCTGCCCGAGGTTTGTCTAGGCTGCAGTCAAGGTGCCTGCCGAGCTGCATTTCCACCAGGAAACTCAGCTAGGAAGAGGCTCCCCAGCCGCGGATGGTGTTGATGGAACTCAGCCTCCTGTGTCTGCGACACTAAAGCCCTCAGCTCTAGAAGCCACCTCTTCCACACGCAGCTCACAGCATGGCTGTGTGCTTATTCAAGGCCTGCAGAGAAGTGTCATTCTCTTTGCAGAAGAGCCCAGACCCTCTTCTAGGGTTCTCACCTGATTAGGTCAGGCCCACCAAAGGTAATTTTCCTTTTAATTGATTCAAAGCTCACCTGATTTGTGACCTTAATTATAAATGCAAAATGTCTTCATCTTGGTCATATGTTCTGGGCTAAATTGTATATTCCCCACAAAATCTATATGCTGACGTCCTAACCCTCAATACCTCAGAATGTGAGTGGATTTGGAGGTGGATCCTTTAAAGAGGATATTACAGTTATCTGAGGCCATGTGGGGTGGGTTCTAATCCACTATGGCTGCTGTCCTTATACAAAGGACATATTTGGAGACAGACATACAAACAGGGAGAACGCCCCATGACAGTGAAGGCAGAGACTGGGGTGATGCTTCCACCAGCCCAGCAACAGCAAGAGTTGCCAGCGACTACCAGGAGCTGGAACAGAGGCCTGGAGCAGATTCAGAAGAGGAGGTCAGGACACAGACACAGAGGACACGGAGAGAAGACACTGCCTACATGCCCAGGAGAGAGGCCTCAGGAGGGAATGGCCATGCTGACCCCTCACCTCTGGCTTCAGCTCCAGCACCGTGAGACGACAAATCCCCATCGTCCAAGCCCCAGGCTGTGCGGCTGTGTTGTTACGGCAGCCTTGGCTGAGGAATGCATCCTACAAAGTCACCTAATCATCATGGGATCAAAATCCCATGCCATCCACAGGTCTGATCACACCCCAGGGGAAGGGTGTACTTGGGCCTGGACATCAGAGGCTGCAAATCTTAGGGCTCATCTCGAAGCTCCCGCTGCCTCACCCTCCATGTCTCTGAAGTGCCTGTGGGCTGCACCACTGGGCTACGCCAAGCCTGACATTCGAGGTGCCAGTCACCACCATGGGCCAAACCCCTTCTCCCCCTCCTCCTCCACCTGCAGATGTGTGCCATAGACTGTGACCAATAACCACTGCAGGTGAAGATCCCAAGGCACTTCCACAACAGATCCAGACATCGGAACAGATGCCTCTGCAGTGAGTGCTGGGGTGGAACTATGGCGGGTACTGCCTGGGGTTTTACCAATTGTAAAGTTAAGTCATAGGATGGTTAAACAACATTTTGCAAGACGATGTCGTCAGTTGGGGAATGCTGGGAAAGAGGAGACAGTCTCTAGGTGTGTTGCTGGAAGCCGTGGAGGAGTGGGCAGTAGCTACCTGTGTCACGTGTTACCTCTCAGCAAGCATGCTGAGGGACACACCACTTGTGCAGGGCACAGGACCCGGGACACCTTCCCCAGGTCAGATGCCAGGGCCTGTGGCCCTCCACACAACCCGAAAAGCATGGGATGCTGGAGATCTCACCATGACACTCAGGACACCTCCTGTAACAGCCAGTGTCCCCCAGGGCCCACTTAGTAACCTGCACATGTACCAGTGACTAAGATGTGTGGGCCTGAGGGTCACTGCAGCCCTGTGGGGAGAAGGCCTCTTCCCAAAGACATGGCAGAGCTGAGCTCCCCAGGCCCCCTGGAACCACAGGAGCCTGCAGATGCCCAGGAACTGCGGGGTGTGGTGAGCTGCATGGCGTTGCAGGTGCCAGGTGACCGGTGTCAGAGAAGAGCATTGGTCTTGCACGATAGTTGCCCTCCACACAAACTCAAGGCTCCCAGCGGGTCGTTGTCCTCTACAGGACCCCAAAGCCTCCCGCAGAGTCCACACTGAGAACAAACGTCTCCTGTTGGGAGGTGCTTTTCTCAGCCCTGGGGTGGTGCTTTCAAGCATCAGTATTTAGAGAATAACCTTTAAGGGCTATTCTCTGGCCAGTGTGGTTCCTTCACATGAACTGGAGTGGTGTTCACAGCCGAGGAGCGGGACCTGCGAGTGGGCAGCGTTCTGGACCCCCAGCTCCATGCTACTGAAGCAGGCCGGGCTCGTTCTCTGCCAGAACCCCCGATTGGGGATCCCCCAGAGCTGCTGTGGGTCCAGTTGGTCTCTCCCCAGCCCTCAGTCAGTAACTCCGAGGCTCCCAGAAGATCTAAGACAGGAGCGACCCCTGTAGAATTCGAAGACTCTATGTGCAGGCGGCAGGTGCTATCCTTGCTGTGGAAGCCTCCCTGGGAGCACCCTGATGGCGGGCAATTAAGAAGGGCCTCTGGTCTGGAGCCTCGTGAATACTTGGCACCTGTGTGTGCGGAGATAAACTGGGAGATTTATCTGCACGGGTGGGCAAAAGGCAGCCAATGGGCACTTGTTCTGTGAGCGCAGATACCACTGAGATAGCAGTGCTGGAAATAGGCAAATGAATATCTCCGCTCCCCCGCTGCGGGAGCCTCGGCCACTGCGGGAGAGCTCCGCGTCCTTCTGAACCAGGAGAAGCACGGGCGGCAGACGCTGGGGAACACGTGCAGGCTCAGAGTGCGGCTCTGGGGACGGCGATTTTCCAAGGAGAGTCAAGATGACCTTCCACTTGCTCACCGCCGCCAAACGAACCTTTCTAAAGCACCCCCATCACGGCAGCTGTCCTGGCCTGCAGCGGCTCCAGGAGAAACCTGGGATTCTGGCGCAGCGTGCACGGGTTCCCTGCCCACCCCCAGCCCCTCACCCACACTCTCCTCCAGGGAAACGCGGCCTGGGCCGCTCCGTGCCTGTCCTCACACCCGTGCGGTTACTCCTGCTCGCCCCAGCGCCCGAGGACCGCTGCCCCAACGCTAGTGAAATCACCCCTACGTCCCGTTAATCTCCAGCTCCTTCGAGATGTTTGTCCTGACTCTTCCACCTGTGTCTCCTGGACCAGGGCACACCACTCGCTCAGGTTTGTTTGTTTTAATCTCATTTTGGTTTTTTATCACACTGATTTATTTGCTTAAGTCTTATCTCCTTATCTAAATCATAAATATACTGTTGAGTTGTGAATTCTGTACAATATACCATGTTTTAGAATTCATTCGTATTCCCCCACAATGCTTGGTGTATTTCTCGGTGAAGTTAATGATAAGCATCAAATGGACGTCATTGGATAAGATTCAAAAGTTCATTGATCACCCTGTTGGTTGACTCTCTTTTATAACAAGACTCTAAATCCCTAGAAAGTGCCAGAATTCACCTCTGGGACTTAGATTACTCGGGAGGCAACCCTAGTAACTTTAGAGACTTAAAGTATTTTAGCAGAGCTTCAAATAACCTAGACTAGATTAGCTCCCCATTGTAGATGCCTGAGTAGGCCAGAGACTGCATTCCCTCTCAACGAGTTCTCACAGATATGCAGAGAGATGCAAGATACCGAGATGAGCCTAAAAGACAGGGCTATCAAAAAGCAATTTTTATAGAAACTGGAAGCTTCCTCTTGTCCTTTTTTCCTGCTCCCTTTGGCACTGTTCGGCATGCTGGGAGATAACGGAGAAGGCCCTGGAGGGCCGCTGTGGCTTCTAAAGTACACAGCCAATAGGTGGTGGCTTGGGGGCCAGAGCTGAGCTATGGGGACCGTGCCTGCCTCTGCGTCTCACACCCCTTGCTGCCACCTGTGTCGGCCTCTTGGTGTCGGGGCAGGGCCAATAGTCAGAGGCCCCCAGCCCTCCCTGAAGGTGGCAGGGCTGGGAGTGGGGGGCACGTCTCTACAGTGCCAACAACCCTCTGATCTGCCGTTTGGACCTGGAGGAGAGCAGACAGCAAGGCCAGGATGCCGTGCATGCCCCACGTGAAGGCAGCTTTCAGTAAAGGAAGACCAGAGGCAGCGAAGGCCAGTCCAAGAGCCACCCCAGGCCCTGCCAGCCCCACACCAGATGAAGGTAACAGGGCCAGAGACTGTGGGCCTGGGCGGCTGGGCTCCTTCTCCCAATAGAATAGCTGAAGCTCTTCCCACAATTCATGTATCAAGTACTATATTAACAGTTCACCGATAGACCAAGAAATTAAAACAATCTGGGGCAAAAGACTTTTTAAAAGAGCTAAAATGAAATAAAAACTGAAAAAACTTCCCAACTGCCTTAATTGCGGTAAGAATTAGACAAATCTGTGGAATCCAGAGTTTTCACCCTGGCCATTACAGGAGATCCAAAGATAAGAAAATGCTATTTGGTGAAACTCACAACAGACCATGTGGCCTGTCACTGAGAAATCAGACCACAGAATATTCCTGTACCTTCTTCCCTTGCTGTGCAGTCCCAGAGAGGCTGAATAACTCTTTCTCCTGGAGAAACTGCAAAAGATGACAGCTGCCCTGAATTAAGGCATAGATTTCCCTTGGCAAACAGCACCGGAAGGAATCAGCACTTTTTTTTCCCGGGGTTGGAAGGGAAATGAGATCACATTTTTGTTATTTTTAAAAAATGTCTTCCTGTGTTTAAAATATTGCTCAGAGTAAAGAACACTCAAGATTTTATTAGCATCAAAATACGAAGAAAGGTCCTATTTCTTCTTCTTTTTTTTTTTTTTTTTTTGAGGCAGTCTCTCTGTCGCCCAGGCTGGAATGCAGTGGCGCGATCTCAGCTCACTGCAACCTCCGCCTCCCTGGTTGAAGCAATTCTCCCGCCTCAGCCTCCTGAGTAGCTGGGATTACAGGGCCCGCCACCACATCCGGCTAACTTTTGTACTTTTGGTAGAGACAGGGTTTTTCCCCATGTTAGCCAGGCTGGTCTCGAGCTCCTGACCTCAGGTGATCCACTCACCTCAGCCTCCTAGAGTGCTGGGATTACAGGCGTGAGCCACCTGGCCCAGCAGAAAGCTTCTATTTCTAAAGGACCAAGTTTATCCCAGAAAGTGCTCATTAAGATGGAAACTGGGCTCAACTGACTCTGAACTTGGTCAAGGTATTTTTTTCCTTTATTTCTTAAAGGGAAAGATGCTATGGGATGGTCTGTTCTCACTAAGGCTGCACCTTTTACACATGCTCTAACACTCAAAGGAGGGTTTTATGTTAAGAACAGAGATTTAAGCCGTCAGTGAAAAATTAGATGAAGAAGGAAAAAGTCTTGTTAACAGTCTTTACATGTGATTGTCGTCATTTTAGCCTTGATCATGTGTTTTAGAATATGGGGTTCACAGACACAGCCGGGGTCTCTCCTAATGGATGCTTCCAGGGGCTAAGGAATGGAGATGAGGGCCTCTCCCTGCACATACATTGTAGGCCCTGCTCTTCTTTGTGAAGCATCCTGGAGGCTTGGGGGTGTCTTCCGACATAGAGGGGGCTCTCAGTGGGGTGAGGAGCTCATACTGCAGACCCTGAAGCCACAGGATGCCTGGGGCTCCTGGGATTGAAGACCCCTCTAGGGAAGTCAAAGTCTTATCTTCTGGGCCCGCCCTGTAAACGGCATCTTGGTCAAGGCCTCTGGTGGGTCAGATTGTGTTTCTCAGAAGTATGTGTTGAAGCCCTAACCCCTGGTACCTTGTGAATGTGGCCTCATTGGAAGTTGGGTCTTTGCAGATGCCATTAGTTAAGCTGAGGCCACACTGGATTAAGGTGGTCCCTAAGGCCATGCCTGGTGTTCCTACAAAGAGAAGACAAGACAGAAACACAACAGGGACACACAGGGAGAGACAGCAGAGGCAGCAAAAGGCTGATGCTTCTGTGAGGCAAAGGCAGCCCAGGACAGCTGGCATCCCCCAGGGGGACCTGGAGGAGGCCAGAAAGGGTCCTCCCCTGGGGCCTCCAGAGAGACCTTGGCCCCAAGACACCTTCATTTCAGACGTCTGGCCCCCAGAACTGTGAGAGTACATTTCTGTTGCTTTAGGTCACCCAGTTTACAGTAATATGTTTGTGCAGGCCTAGGAAACCAGCACAGACCAGTTCTAGAAATTCCACAACCTTAGGCAAGTCTGTCTTCTCTGCTCTTGTTGGTTTCTTTAAGGTGGTTTTCCTTTTCTACACCAAGTTTCCTGTCCTGGGGGTGGACTCCAGCAGGTGGTGAGGGGTGGACTGCACTTACCATCAGCTCTGAAGCAACATCTATGCAGTGTGGGAAAAAAGAAAACAGATGTAATACTTAAGTTGGCGATCCCCAACACGGGACAAAAGAATAATAAACAACAAAGTTGTATAGAAAAGATGCTTATTAGATAAATGATGTTTTCCTCATTTATTTTCTGCCAGAATCAGCCTCTTCACTTTGGAAATGTTTCAGTTATCCTCAACTTTTACCATTCATTATTTTTCTTACAGTTTTTTTTTAAAGTATGTACAGACGGAGAGCTACTTCCCCGCGTGACTAAAGTGTGCCTAGGGCAGAAGGCAGAGGCTTTCCCCTGGGCCCTGAGTGGGGCAAGAGTGTGAAGGTGCTCAGATTTCTTTTTTTTTTTTCAGGGTTCTAGAACTAGAAATACCATTTGACCCAGCCATCCCATTACTGGGTATATACCCAAAGGAATATAAATCATGCTGCTATAAAGACACATGCACAAGTATGTTTATTGCGGTGCTCAGATTTCCACCACAGTTACCAGATAAAAACAGAGATCCAGGACACATCCTGGCATCCTGAGACTTGCGTCTTGTCTGAGTCCCATCCTACAATTTATTTTTCCTAGACTCCAGAGCCCCTGAACTCAGCGCTCCCCCTCCCCTGACCCCACCACACAGTTTCTGCAGCACTTGAAAGGTCCCGAAGACACAGACAGTTTCCTTTCAGCAGCCTCAGGTCAGGGGGAGTGCTAGCAGGGCAGCCCGGGGTCAGGAGAATGCAGTCCGGCCTACGGGGGCAGGGGGCCGAGCATATTGTTCCTGGGAGCAGCTTTTCTCAGGTCCCGATCCATCTTCATTCCCGCAATTAGGCTCTCCCGAGGTGCAAAGAAAGTGTTGCTATGACACACATTGGCAAATCAAGGCAAATTTGAGGCCTGGTCATTTAAGTGGTAGTTCCATTGTTCCTGGTTGTGTAATTGGTGATCAAGAGGGCCATAAAACTGCGGGCAGTTAAAGGGCTGGGGGAATTGAAAGCCAGCCCTCCACCCCATGCCCGCTTCTAGGCGAGACTGTAACTTTCACCCTCCCATGAACCAGAGTTTATGGAAAGGCCCCATGACAAGCCTCTCGCTTAACCTCCAGAAGGAGGGGAGAAAAAAAAAGAAAGGAAAAATCAAAACTAAAGAGAATTAATGAAGCTTCACATATTGTCCGGTTTCCTTTGTTGTTAAAAAAAAAAATCGGGGTGAAAACAAAGTAAGAAGAGAGTGCTGGAAGAGAAACCATTAATATCGGGTTGTAAATTCCACAAAACATTAACTTCCTTGCATGGCAATCACCGTTGTAACTGGCAGAAGGGAGATTCCACCTTCTCATCACTTACCGGTTGTGCAGGAATCAGCACTTTCTGCTTCTGGCAGAGGTCACACCCCGATAACGGGTCCCAGTTAATGTGAAACGGGGAAACCGTGGCTTCCTTTGCCAGTGCACCGGGGCGGAGGATCGTTGTCACTGGGTCTCTGTTTTTGTTGAGGACCACACCTGCTAATGTGCACAGCAGCAGCCCCGTACCCTGGGGTGTGTGCCTGCCTGCACTCAGCCCTGGTACCCATTTTCCCCCTCTGGATCTTTTTTTTTTTTTTTTCAGCAGTGCTCTACAGACAAAGCTTGGAAGTTCACCATGTAAAAAGCACAGGTTTTATTTATTTATTTATTTATTTATTTTTGAGAAATCATGGCAGTTTTATTTAAAATTTCAAAATTACTTGAGACAAAATTTAAGTCATGTATATAAATATGAAGATGAACATCGGTGCTTTCAACACTGACAAAATCCCTGAAACTATATAACATATATATATATATATATATATATATATATATATATATATATGCCGAGTTTCCTATTTTTATAACATAATTTAAAACTAGATTTATAAAAAAATTTTGTAGGAAAATATAATAGTTAATGATTTGAGTGTTCTCAAATATATGGCTCTGAAGGTCGACTACTTAAGTGTTTTTATCACTTAATCCATATACGATGCAGCAAAGAGACATATTAATTATAACATTTTCCTTCAGTTAATAGTTTATTTACTGTCATAGAACTTCCATGAAAGGTCATCACCTAAGGAACTCTCCAGGTTAGAGTCAAGCAAATTCTGTACTTGGTCAAAGAAACATGAAAATGCCAGGTTGTGGCACAATGAAACTATCTATCTATCTATCTATAACCCAAAAGGTGGTATACACCAGATAAAGATAATCTTAACTAAGCACCGCAGTAACTTTTTAGGCAAGTGGTTGGTACTACACTTGTGAGAACTGTGATTTCTTTCCAACTAAAAGATCACAAGCTAAGCCTGAGGTTAAGCAAGTTCTTTGGATTGGATTGGTTTGGATTTGATTTGGTTTGGTTTCATTTCACTGTGTCAGAAGTAGTTCAGAGTCATCATATGGAAAAAACAACCAACAAATAGAGTGTTTGACGCATACCTATGTGCTACAGGTATCTCAGCATCTCCAGGGCGCCCTTCTCCAAGAAACCCTGTGCATTACACCATCCCTGCAGCCCAGCTCAGAAACCCCAGGAGGAGTGCCTCCCCACAGCCGTCTGGAGAGGTCTCCCTAGGAAGAGCTGGGCCACTTTTGAGTGGAGCCCATGCAGGGCCCATGGGAGCGTTGTTTGTGGGGGAAGAGCCTGCTCTGGCCCTTCAAAAAGGAGGCCAGCTCCTGGAGGAGCCGTCTCAGGATGTTACCTTGGACCATGCGTGGGGGTTTCATCTCCAATGCAAGTTAGGTTTTCACACGTGATCAAGGTTAGAATGACATGAGAATGTCAAGTTTTCTAGATACTCACCTAAAGACTATAGGTTTTTTAAAGAATGCAAGCTGTGTAGTGAGTCATAGCTATCTATTTGTATACTACCCCCAAAAATGAGGGCTTGCTCTTTTTCAAAAAAAGAAGTGTCAGACCCTTTTCCATTCCTTATATTTAACTTCCCTGCCCACCTTCTTGTAAACCAAATACTCAAAATTACCTTATTGTGTTCACTTGAAAGCTAGAATTGCTGGGCTGGATTTAGGAGCCCTGTTGATGCTGCCTGCACTGTGCTGGGCTCAGCTATCTGTGAGAGCCCCTCTTCTTCCATGCTTCCATCAGCAAGCAGGCACGAGAGCCTCGCCATCACACCAGGCCACAGAAATGTAGGAAATGCCAGTGTTGCCCTGGGAGAACCTGGACATGTAGGAACACACATGTGCAGGTGCGCTCACACACACACCCCAGAGTGACACACTAAAGGATGAAAACCTACATAACAAGTCATGATCAGAAAGCTTCTGGGGAGAATTTGAAAGGGGGATTCAGATTTCGGCAACAGAGAAGACTGAGTAAATATACCTGATTCTCCTGCTCCAAATGCACAGAAACAGTTAACAAAATATAATTGTTGAAAATTCATAGGTGATTCCTGGAATACAGTTGTGATGGCTGGAGCTCTAGGCACTATCTTGCACCACAAGGATCATTGTGAGCAAACAGAAGTGTAGGTTCCTGAAGACCTAGTGGAATAGAAGTGCCACACCATTTCAACTGCTCACTTCTGGACCTTACCTGAAAGAAAAATAAACTTCTAATTTGTTTATGCCATTAAAAAATAGAAATACAAGAATTTTCAAAACTAAAAATTCATAGCTAAAAATACATTTGGAGAAAGCCAGGTAGACAGGACATCTCTCTATTATTTTGTGACTTCCTTTGAGTTTACAATTCTTTCAAAATATAAAGCTTAACATACACATAAATCTCTGAGCTCAAAGGAAACATCTTTACTAGGAAGGGAATTTAAAATAAAAAGGAAATGTAAAAATTGAGTTTAGGCTAAATGTATGAACTTCCACTGCAGTGGCCAGGTTATCTGGCACAGATATCACAAATCAGAGGCTGGGCTTTCACAAATCAAGGTGCTTTAGCCTCGGTCCCAAGTAAGACAAGGATCTGATACTGAAACTCCCACATTAATGCATAACTCATCAAGTGTTGCCGCAAGAGAAAATAGACCCACTGCTTCAGAAAAAACAAAAACAAAACAAACAAAAACAAAAACAAAAAAAACCAAGGTGGCATGATATTTACCTAGAAATTGTTTAAAGAAAAGTCTCTTAAAACTAAGTAAACCCCAAGCCTGTCCCACAAAACTATGTGGGGCAGCACTTTTATTCCCCGTGAACTTGTGTATCCAGAGCTGAGCCAGCTGCAAGACCTCAGAGAAGCTCATGTCTTGCTCCTCTGTGGGGACGTGCACTGGGCTGAACACATACTGTTACTCAAAACAAGCCAAAGGGAAACAAAACTGGGAAAAAATAGCATGCGAAGCAAAAACCAGCCAAAAAGTGACCCCAAGAACTGCAAGTTTTTGAATAATCAAAAAAATTATAAAAATAAGAAAAACTATCAAAGAGAGAAAATGATATGGTAATTCCTCAAAAACTTAAACATAGGATTACGATGTGATCAAGCAATTTCACTTCTGAGTAAATACCCAAAAGCATTAAGAGGCAGGTCTCAAAGAGATATTTGTACACCAGTGGTATTAGCAGCATTATTTGCAATAGCCAAAAGATGGATACAACCGAAGAGTCCATCATCAGATGAAGAAATAAACAAAACATGGTCTGTCCATACAATGGGATATTACTCAGCCTCAAAAAGGAAGGAAATGGGGCACATGTTACAACCTGTATAAACCTTGAAGACATTACTAAATGATATAAGCCAGAAAGAAAAGCACAAATATCATATAATTCCATTTATATGAAATATCTAGAGTAGGAACATTCATAGAGAATGAGGATTAGAGGTTACCAGGGGCTGTGGAGAAGGAAAGGATAGGGAGTTAGTATTTAATGGAGACAGAGTTTTAGTTTGGGATGAAATAAATGGTGGTAATGGTTGCATGATAATGTGAATGTATGTAATGCCATAGAACTGTGCACTTGAGTGTTACATATTTTAACACAATTTCTGAAAAGTTATCAAAGAGAATAAAGGAATAATGAGAAAAGCCTCAATGAAAGAATATGACAGTATAAAAATGTAAGTTTGCATCATTCAAGGAGAACAATTTTTATACTATAAGAGTGAAACGAAGTTGCCTGAATTTTTAGAAATCCCCTACTTTCCAATAGGGACAACAGTAGCTAACACCGATAGTGCTGTGGTGTGTTCAGTGTTTGACGTGTGTGATTTCATAACCACACTAACCTTAGAAAGTATGCACAATTAATACTCCCAGTTTATATGTGTAGACACTGAAGCTTAAACAGGTGAAATATTCTATATTTCTTAATACGCTATATTCTTAATACATCTATATTCTTAATACGCTATCTATATTCTTAATACGTATCTATATTCTTAATATGCTATTAAACTGAAATTAGAATTCAAATTGTTCTGGCATTAAGCCTTAAGTCAAAACAACAGGTGAGGTGGGTGTAGCACAGTCATCCAAATAGGGACCATCAGCCCTCGTGAAGCTTTGCCCTTTTTAAAGAGTTTTTATAAACATTTCTTTCCCCGAATTGAATACAGAAATTTAATTATCTAAGCCAGGGCATAGTTAAAAATAAAAGTGAGTTTAGTAGGTAAAGGCAATAGGGGAGTGGTGTCAGACCCATGATAAGACCACGTGACGTTGGCTGTAGCAAGGACCTCAGGGGGCTCTGCAGAGTGGAGAGCAGTGGCCAAACATATTCTCCAGACCCAGCATCGAGCCAGGTGCTTCAAAGGTGCACGTTTAGCTCCTTTGGGGCATAAGTATCTTTCCCTTTATTTTGTAGATGAGAGAAGCTGAATGTCTTGTTTATGACCAGAAGACTACCTAAGTGGCAAACTGAGAATGCAGGTCTCCTGAGCCCTGGAACAGTTTCCTGCAACACAAATGTTCAGACTAGGACCAAATCACTGGTCAGAAACTTACAGTGGGCTGACTGAATGTCCCCAGACAGTAGGACCAAGGTGCCTAAATATGCCTGTATGATGGAGTTGTTGAGGCTGAATGAGACTGTTCTAGCCTCCATGGCCTGCTGTTACAAACTGCAACAAACTGGGAGGTTTAACATAACAGACATGTGTTATGTCCCAGTCCTGGAAGTCAGAAGTCCAAAATCAAGGTGTTGACAGGTTCACACTCCTTCAGAAGGCTCTAGAGGAGGCTCTTTCCTCATCTCTCCCAGTTCCTGGTGGCTGCAGGCGTTCCTCGGCTTGGGGCTGGATCACTCCAATCTCTGTCTCTATGGTCACACTGTCCCTCATACTTCTTGTCTTTTCCTCTGGGTGTCTGTATAAATGAGAAAAAATCATGCCATTTTTAGAAGTGGTCACATTTTGTACCTTAACCTTACACTTTGGAGCCTGCTGAGACCTTAGTCAAGTTATTGGTCTATAAGCAAGGAGGTGTGGTGTGTATAGGCTCTAAAAAGAATAAGGAAGATTAAGCAAAGCAATGACCTCAGGGAAGACCATTGACGCTTCCTCATGGAAAGCAGGGTTAATCTCCTCAGACCAGGGTGGAACAGTTGTTTTTACTGGCAAAGAAGATTCCTCATTCTGGCTAACACGGTGAAACCCCGTCTCTACTAAAAATACAAAAAAATTAGCCAGGCACGGTGGTGGACGCCTGTAGTCCCAGCTACTTAGGAGGCTGAGGCAGGAGAATGGCATGAACCTGGGAGGTGGACCTTGCAGTGAGCTGAGATTGCACCACAGCACTCCAGCCTGGGTGACAGTGCAAGACTCTGTCTCAAAAAAAAAAAAAAAAGATTCCTCAGAATTTAGGGGTTCAATGGTTGAATGTCTCTAGCTTCATCAGAATCTTCTCATATATCCTCATTCCATTTTTATGACCTCATTTCTTCCTAATTAACACTCTCACTCTGACACTAGACACCCTTCCTGGTTGAGAATTCAAATTGGGTTATATTTCAGCAACTCACACTGAGCCTCTGAGTTATATTCTTAGAAACCTCAGCAGCTATAGCTACAGGAGATAAAGATTTCTTCCAGGGAAGATGTAGAAACTTTCAGGTCACCTATGCAGAGCTGAGCTCATTATTTTCATTCCTCACTTTTTCCAGCATAGTTTAGAGCAAACAGCCAACCTCATCAAATCTCTCAGTTTGACTAAAATGTTCTAAGGTTTCCTATACACAACCAATCAGAACATTGCCTCTTAGAAGCACTTGATTACAAGTATTTAGTTGTGATAGTTTGCGTATCTCTATTTCAACATTGCATAACTATCAATGATCTCTTCACTACCAGAAATAGAATCATTCATGCCTTTAAGTCAAACCAGAGTAAAGAGCCAATCTTAGAAACCCCAGAACCAATTAAGAAAACTCAGAAAACTCATGCTTAAGATTTTATCCCTCTAGAACCACTCACCAGGCCAAAATCTGCATGAGTTTTGATTTCAGCAAAGGAACAGAACCAGGAGGAAACACACAGACATAGATGTAGCTGCAGAGATAGAGGCAATGATAGAGATGAGACAGAGACAGAGAAGGATACTGAGATAGAGACAGAGATAGATACAGAGATAGATATAGGGACAGATAGAGATATTTATTGCAAAGAATCAGCTCATTCATTCCATTGTGGAGCATAGCTAGGGAAGTCTGAAATCCATAGAGCTGGCAGTTGGCTGGAAACACTGTGGCGGGAGCTGATGCTGCTGTCCACAGGTGGAAAGTCTTCTTCACAGAAACCTCAGTTCTGCCCTTAAGTTCTTTCATGTGATTAGATCAGGCCCACACAGATAATCAAGCATGATTTACTGAAAGTCATCTATAAACCGCCTCCACAACAACACCTAGATTAGTGTTTGATTAAATCACTGGACACCACAAATGACTCAGTAGACAAAACTGATTATTGGAGGAACTAATTCAAACATTATCATCTTCAACCAACCATCTTTTCTGTAACTAACCATCCTCATTCTGCAGGAACCATCTCCTGGGTTTTCCTTTGTATAATCTCACTCTTGCTCCTGCAGGGTCCCCCAACCATGGACATATATGCAGATGCCCACACACATATGCCCATAGACACTCACATGCATGTACTCTTGCCACTCCCTCTAACCACACTTTGGGGACCATCTGTCTGCTCGGCAAGCTTTTTTCCTTGTTAGTAGACCCAGCTCAAAACACATTTTTCTAGAAGCGTCCCCAAGTATGAGTTACTGGCCGCATTGATGACCACCTGGCTTAACCTCTAACCAGGCATTGTTTCCAGGAATTAACCAGGGGCATCTTTCCTCCCTTGGGTGCCCAGGACTTTGGCAGACCCCTCAAGCCAGGGTGGGAAGTCTTTATGGCCTGCCTCAGTGAGAGGCAGAAAAGAGGAACACACAGAGATGTCAATGCTGGGCTCTTGCGGCCTAAACAGGTTTTTGAAACTCAGGGCAAAAACTTGAGTTTTGAAAGAAAGGGTTTTTTATTGCAAGAAAATATGGGAACACACATAGATTGTGAAGAATAGAAGACCCTAAGGATCTTTCCCTGGAACAGGGTACAAATCCTAAATGATTGAAAGATAGAATCCAAAGGGAATCTAGAAAGTTCCTGATGGGTCTTCTGAGGAAGGGGCCTATGTTCCACCTCCCTAAGCCAAGGTCTGCAGGGAAAGGGGTTGTGATGGAAACTGAAGAAGAGTTTGGCGCCCCCAAGAATGGGGGAACCTCTGCACCTCCCACTTGCCGCCAGCGTCTCAGAGTTTTCCATGCCCTGTTGAAACAACTGCCTCGCACACCTGGGCAGAGTAAAGTGCGTGGGGTGTGTGCGGGTGTGCAAAGGGGGGACCAAGTCACATTTCCCATGTGCCCTCAAAGCCCAGACAACAGGAGCATGCACATCTCATTGGAGGCCAGAGGACAGGAAGGAAGTACAGCAGGGGCCAACCTGAACAGGTGAGGACCAAGATGAGAACCACTCCACCTCGAAAAGTGCATCCATCTTCTTAGAGTTTAGAAGCTTAGGTCCACTCTCAAAGGACTCTTGGCATGAGAGATGAAGGAAAATGAAACCAGGAAATCACAAAAAGTTACCTTGCATTGACGAAGTCCAGTCTTCTGCACTCAGAGGCTCAGGAGAAGAGAGAGCAAGGAGGGTGCTAAAAAAATCCGTTAATCGGCCGGGCACAGTGGCTCACGCCTGCAATCCCAGCACTTTGGGAGGCCGAGGTGGGTGGATCATGAGGTCAGGAAATCGAGACCATCCTGGTTAACATGGTGAAACCCCGTCTCTAATAAAAATACAAAAAATTAGCCGGGCGTGGTGGCGGGCGCTAGTAGTCCCAGCTACACAGAGGCTGAAGGGGAGCTTGCAGTGAGCCAAGATAGTGCTACTGCACTTCAGCCTGGGCGACAGAGCGAGACTCTGTCTCAAAAAAAAAAAAAAAAAAAAAAAAAAATTCCGTTAATTTTATCCTATCCATAACATTGTGGACTCGGATTTTTACCTCCTCAACATTCTCCAGCCCTGTTCATATTTTGAGTACAGGTGTTTGTTCATTCATGTATTCAACAAATATTTATTAAGAACTTACTATGTACATGGCACTATTCTAGGCATGAGGGATAGATCAGAGAAAAAGATAGATTAAGTTTCTTGCTTAGAGGGGGGAAATGCTAAACAGGATAGATATCTTTAATTTAATTATATTCTCAATTTTTCTTTTTATATTTTTAAGTAACTTTCAAATTTCTTCCCATCAGAAACCTTCCAAATTCCTTTATATTTCTCCCATCCCAACCACTGGTGGCAGATCTTACATTTTCTCCAGGTTATTCAAAGTTTGACTAAATTTTTTTTTTAATGAATGAACATGAATGAATGACTTAGCTTTATCGTGTGAGAAAAAGTGTGTTTATTGAAAATGAGCAAACCAATTAGTCTCTGCAGACTTTGGCATGTCCTAAGTGAGGACTATGGTAATAAATCCATCAGCAGTTCAACCGGTCACTTGTTTTAACCACTGATTGATCAGCCTGAAATCCACTGATTGCTCTCAAATGACCGTGTTTTTATTCCTCCAGAATTCTTTTTAACTTTATGTGGATCAACAGTTCATTTACTGACTCAAGCAAGCCATTCCAGGATTAGGCCTCACATCAGTTCCCAGTCTTTTTTTTATTTTTATTTTTTATTATTATTATACTTTAAGTTTTAGGGTACATGTGCACAATGTGCAGGTTAGTTACATATGTATACATATGCCATGTTGGTGTGCTGCACCCATTAACTCATCATTTACATTAGGTATATCTCCTAATGCTATCCCTCCCCTCTCCCCCCACCCCACAACAGTCCCCGGAGTGTGATGTTCCCCTTCCTGTGTCCATGTGTTCTCATTGTTCAATTCCCACCTATGAGTGAGAACATGCGGTATTTGGTTTTTTGTCCTTGTGATAGTTTGCTGAGAATGATGGTTTCCAGTTTCATCCATGTCCCTACAAAGGACATGAACTCTTCATTTTTTATGGCTGCATAGTATTCCATGGTGTATATGTGCCACATTTTCTTAATCCAGTCTATCGTTGTTGGACATTTGGGTTGGTTCCAAGTCTTTGCTATTGTGAATAGTGCCGCAATAAACATACGTGTGCATGTGTCTTTATAGCAGCATGATTTATAATCCTTTGGGTATATACCCAGTAATGGGATGGCTGGGTCAAATGGTATTTCTAGTTCTAGATCCGTGAGGAATCGCCACACTGACTTCCACAATGGTTGAACTAGTTCACAGTCCCACCAGCAGTGTAAAAGTGTTCCTATTTCTCCACATCCTCTCCAGCGCCTGTTGTTTCCTGACTTTTTACTGATCGCCATTCTAACTGGTGTGAGATGGTATCTCATTGTGGTTTTGATTTGCATTTCTCTGATGGCCAGTGATGGTGAGCATTTTTTCATGTGTTTTTTGGCTGCATAAATGTCTTCTTTTTAGAAGTGTCTGTTCATATCCTTCTCCCACTTTTTGATGGGGTTGTTTGTTTTTCTCTTGTAAATTTGAGTTCATTGTAGATTCTGGATATTAGCCCTTTGTCAGATGAGTAGGTTGCGAAAATTTTCTCCCATTTTGTAGGTTGCCTGTTCACTCTGATGGTAGTTTCTTTTGCTGTGCAGAAGCTCTTTAGTTTAATGAGATCCCATTTGTCAATTTTGGCTTTTGTTGCCATTGCTTTTGGTGTTTTAGACATGAAGTCCTTGCCCATGCCTATGTCCTGAATGGTACTGCCTAGATTTTCTTCTAGGGTTTTTATGGTTTTAGGTCTAACATGTTAGTCCCAGTCTTGCTTTAGTGCCTGAAACCTCCACAGCACGTTGTTCCCACCCTGACAAATTCTGCACAGAGCAGGTGGCCTTGTGGCTGGCACTAGATCCTTGAAGGAGTCCTTGCTTCTTTTAGACTTGGAGGAGCAAGAAATAACTCTTAAAAACATACCATGTGTCATGGTTTGAAACACTTGTGACATTTCCCTAATTTCTCAGTGTGGATTTCTTAGTTGGCAACTGTATCTTATGCAGAGGGAATCTAAAAGAAGTACGGCTATATCCTTTAATGGTTTCTGAAGCAGAGATGCTTCTGTGTAGGTTTCTAGATCAAGATGTGGTCTGAATAGACCAGTATCGGTGGAGAAGCAAGTTTTTCTTCATTAGTTGAAGTAACCTCAAAAATATGGATAACCGGCCAGGTGCAGTGGCTCACACCTGTAATTTCAGCACTTTGGGAGGTCGAGGCGGGCAGATCACGAGGTCAGGAGTTCGAAACCAGCCTGGCCAACATGGTGAAACCCTGTCTCTACTAAAAATACAAAAAATTAGCTGGACGTGGCAGCATGTGCCTGTAATCCCAGCAACTCAGGAGTCTGGGGCAGGAAAATCTCTTGAACCTCGCAGGCAGAGGTTGCTGTGAGTGGAGATTGCGCCACTGCACTCTAGCCTGGGAGACAGGGCAAGACTCCGTCTCAGAAAAAAACAAAAAAAATGGATGACTAGGAGATTGCCAAATTGAATGTAGTGGCAATAGGGCTATGGTTTGGTTTTTTCAGGTCCATTAGGGCTACTGTGTAAGTAAAACCAGGTGCATGCCAATTTTGCTAGTTACATGTTTTTTTTTCCTTATTTGGACATAAAGGTTATTTCAGAAAGAGGCCAATAGCCCTGTTTCAGTTCATTCTTGGGTGATTCCACAAACAGATCAATGTCCAGTAGGCAGGGTATGTGTCTTGCTTCTCTGGAACTGACCATAAATATCTCCATAGGTCACTTACATGCCTTTGTCCCCAGAACTGAGATCTCATAGATCAGATGGGTTTGTGGGTAGATGCAAAAAATCAATGTTTGGAATATAAAGAGAAAGTTCCTTTTCAGACCTGTCTTGCAGATCTGTCACTCACCAAGAGAGTGGAGACTTCAGATGTCTAGATTAGTTTTGTTTGTTTGTTTGTTTGTTTGGATTCTGTTCCAGCCGGGGGGCCCATGTGAATTCAGATGTGAGCAGTAACGGGCTATCGCCTTAAACTATTTACACTTAAGTTTAAATTAAATTGAGTAAGTTGACCACACAGACTCTCACCTGAGATGCCTCTTACACTCCAGAATTTGCTGGAGCATTGACTGCATTTAAGTATCCCCATCTTGATGAGTATTGTACACACGTTGAAGGGAAACCAAGAACGATGCTAAAAGAAACCTGCTTCTACTCTCCATGATCAAGGGCACTATAATTTCTACTTATTAAATTATGATTTTATGCTTACATTAAGTTATAACGTAATAAATGTATATTCTATAGTTATAAATTTATTTACAGTTTATAATTTAACATAACATATATCTTGTTACATATAACACACAAAGTAAAAAATATATAACACCATAACGTATAATATAAATATATGACTTATAATGTACTTTGTATTTTTTAATTAATTTTTTAAGAGAAAATACATATAGTAAGTTGATTAATTGGTTTAACAGGTGTTGGGCATTTTATGTATTCTTTGGAGGCGTGCGCCCTCACAAACACCTGGATTTTCTATTTTTTTTTTTAACATGGCCAACTGCAGTGTGATATTCAGGAGAATTATTGAAAAGAGAGATGTTCTCCTGAATTTCTCAATTTTTTTGGGTTGAATATTTATTGTTCTGAATATTTTTAAAAATGTAATCAGTGGTTGAGAACTTGGGGCTCATTTCAGTCGTGATTAGAACATGTGTGGCATGTGTGTGTGTGCGTGTGCATGTGTGTGCGTGTGCTTGTGTGTGCGTGTATGTACTGAGGATCAGAAAAAGAACAGATGACACAGAAAATAAAGGTGGGTGTGCACAGAGCAGTTCGGACACCATGCCCGAAAGTGTGCAGCGACTCACAAAGACTTGGACAGGAACAAACGTCACCACTGAGGCCGCTTTGTCTCGAAGAAGGGCGATGGAATTTGAGTCAACTGGTTTCTCAGAACCTGGAGTCAACAACTTTCCCTTCTTAGCCAATCCTGTTTTTCATTTCCACACAACTTCTAGAGATAAAAAGAAGAATGGAAAGCAGCCCTTTTACCCTTTTGTAAATCATGCTTGAAAACGAGGAAAATATTTTAAAAACCTCATATTAAGTATGGGAATGGTGATTGAAAGGCAGGCACAGGCCGCTAGAAACCAGGGGCTTCCCACGCGTCGCGCGGAGAGCAATACTGTCCTCAGCGCACTGGCCGGCTCACGCTTCCCTGAGTCCTGGCTGCTGGCGGCCTGGACCTAGCCTGTGTCAGCGCGCGCTCTCGCCGAGAAGCAGAAAATATCCCCCGAAATACCTCAGACGATCAGAAGGACAGTGCCAGCTCTTGATTTTTAGATTTTTGTTCTCTTTTAGTATATAAAAGAAGGCAAATCAAAGCAGATTGCAGAAATAATTTATCTAAAGACACCCATTCACTTTTTGTAAAATCATTGATAATTTCAAAACTGAAGTCAAAAGTAGAGAATTTATTTTAAAACTTGGGTGTGAGGTGTGAAGGAGGTAACCCTTCTTGTGACGTTGCAATTAAAGAGAAAATACTAATCTCAATTTTTTTCCATCTGGAGAAACTCCACGATTTTCCCTCTAGGATCAGCATGTGTGTGTGCATGTATGTGAGTGTGCATGTGTGTATGTTTGCCATGTTCACATGTTACATGAAATCCTTAGATTCACAATGTTTAGCAGTTTACTTCCAGCCATCAATAATCTATTCATTAGGTTTGTATTCATTTATAAAATGAATTCATTTATAAATGAGGTGGAGGAGAGGATGCCCAAGCATGCCAGGATGGAGACATCATCAGGTATTGGGACAGAGACAAGAGTGGGGTCAGAGCGTCAGGAACAAACACCCTTGGGTCAGGCCCCGGTGTCGACTCCATTGTGCTCTGGCGCCCCAGCCTCCTGCTCCAGGAGCTGCCTGGGGTAGTCCTTATCTGGGGTAGTCCTGGCCGGTGGACAGGGGGTCTGAGCTCTGGGTGCTGGGGCGCAAAGGCTGTGGAAATGCAGACTGCTCTGGCAGCCGCCCAGTGTCCTGCAGGCCCACAGACTCGTCCTCCATGGCTGCATGGAGCTGGGAGGGTCACAGAGGCAGGAACAGGTTTCTCTGTGATGCACTCTGCTCTCTGCACATGCAGAGGTGAGCTGTGACCCCAGCTCTCAGGGAAGAAGAGGTCATACCAGAATATGGGGATCGGTGCAGTGCTGGTGGGGGAAGGGCCCCAAGGCCCAGGAGGTAGGATTTGCTGTTTTATGGCTGATGCACGCCCCTTGGGGGAAAGCGCAGAAATTCTCTAAATCCCACTGTGCGGGGAAGGCCACAGAAAGCAACTGCTCCCCAGAGACAGCGAATTCTCTAAGTCAATGAGAATCCATGCTTGAAAAGTCTGCAGTTCCACTAGAGCATGTGAACTCAGCTTCGTGTTGTCAGCACTGTAAGTTAAACTCCAGCACATCACATTTAGCCGCAAAAAGGCTAGCTTGATTTTATCTACTCATTTGAAGATTGGACTTGACATTTTGGTAAAGGGTGAAAATTACACGCTAGCTCCCTCCACCTTTTGGCGGCAGATTTAGCGCCTGTATTCTGCAACAAATTAAGAGATTTTCTCAAAAAAAAATTGTTAAATGAATAAAAACCTTATTTTGGGAGGAAAGACACAGGTGAGCTGAGGGTTTCCTGGAAAGTGTCCTGAGACTGGGAATTATACCTAGTGAGGGAGAATTCAGTGGTGTTTGGAGATATTTCTCTCTTTCTAAGAACAATGCTAAATGATTTCTGCTGGAAATAGTCACAAGCCCCGTCTTTATGCTTCCTCTACCTGGAAGGCTTCTCCCCTTTCTGAGACCCTCGTGCCTTCAAATTCTACCCCATCCCAGGCATGCAGTTGGAGGTAGACCCTGTTTACCAGGGAGTGCTGGGGCAGATGGGCCTTGAGCTGCAAGCAGCATGCCATGTTGTGAGGGTTGATTCCCCTGCCTGCACCCACCTGCCCTGACCCTGACCTCCTCAAGGGCAGAAACTTCCCCATCACGAAGCCCCAAGATCCCGCAGGACTTGGCACATGGTGGCAGCTGGGCAGATATTCACTGAATGAATGAATGACAGGGCAGCAAACCCAGGTCGCATCCTGGAGCAGCCCCTCCCTGGCAGCTGTGGTTCCAGTGACTGAGCCTGCTGGCAGTGAAAGGGAGCCCGGGTTCTGTTTCACAAGACCGGGACCAGACTCTTCTGCAAGTTGGACAACCTGCCTGAGCATAGCAATGTGCAAATTCTACTTTGGAAACTTCACCTCTTTTGTTGTTCCTAACTTGAAAGTTTCCTCTGTCTTCCACCCCTCCGATTGCAAATGTGAGGGCTGGAAAGGGAGCTGGCCTTTCACCACTACACTCGGTGAGATATTCCAAGCATTTCTTCATCGTTAGAGCCCTGATAACAAAAATCCACCATGTCCCCAGGGTGTGGAAAAATGCCTACTGCTCTGTTTAATTCTTGAATTGGTTCTGCAAAGTAGGCACGCTCATCATTTCGTCCCAGAGGACACGTACGTGAAGCAGAGTTACATGGCCAAGTGAGGGTGTGGATCCACCAGGTTCGGGGCTTGTCAATTGGCTTAGCCATTTTGGAAAACCGGTAGAATCTACAAAAGCTAAGTGTGCCCTGCCTATGACCCGGCGATTCCATGTCACAGTGTAAATTCAACGGAAATGCTGACATGTCACACAAGGCAGAGAAGAACACTTATAGCAACACTCTCTGTAATTGCCCAGATTGAAAAGAACCGTACTGTTGCCAGCACGCCGCTTAAGTATATCGGAGTGTGCTCTTGCAATGGCATACTACACAGCCATCGAAATAAGTCGCTGCAGTCACACCCAACACCACGGAAAGAGCCAGGCTCAGGCGTTGATGTCAGTTCACCATCAGGCAGGGCTGGCCCTTGGTGGCATCCTGATTACCTGTGGGGGGAGGGTCCCTAATGACCCGAAGGGGCTGGATGAAGGCTTCCGGGTGCCTGTAATGTCCTTGATCACTGCGTTTTTGCTTGAAAAATTCACTGTGCCGCACCCTTAGGATGTGGGCACGTTTTCTGTGTCTGTGTTATTTATAATACAAAGTTTGCCTTAATAAGAAAGAATCTTGACTATAAACCATGGGTTTAGAATCAGGCCAAGCTTCTTTACCTCTTTATACCTCATGTGCTGGTTCTTCTGACCCCTGCCAGAAAACTCCTTGGCGCTCCGCACTCCGGATGGACACGAGAGAACCCCAATACACACATGTGAACAAGCACAGGGAGAAAGAAACACATGAATGTAATTACCTCCGGATTCATCTCTCACAAAAAGCAAATATCCTGCACTCTAATTCTGGCCCAGGTCAAGACTTGGGATCTCATGGAAAGAAATCATTGCCCTTTAAAACAGAAGTGGCAACAGTGGCTTCATTGATAGATTTTCGAGTTTACTTTCCTAACGTGGATGTAAAAGGCTGTCGGGACTGTAGTTTTTACCATCTGTTCTTAGTGAGCTTCAATAAAAATTTAAAAACAGTCTCCATGTTTATTAAATTATCACATGATGGTTTTCCAGAAATCACACATTTTCCAGACTCCATATTAAATGAGAGGTGTTAGAGTTTTGTTTTGTTTTTGGGAAACACAAGGGAATTTCTCAACCTGTTTTCAGTTATGCAAACCAATAAAAACATATATTTTTCTGATTCAGAAAATACTTTCGAGGATGTCTGACAAAATTAGCTGGTTCTAAAAAAAAAAAAAATAGCTGGTTCTAAAACTCAAGCTTGGGACATAAATGACATCTGATGTGTAGATAAGACTTTGCCGATTTGAAGATATAGGTAAACTCCAGCTAGCCTTCCTGTTGCTGAATGCCATGCCAAGCATGGGAACAGCCAGACCACTGTGCACAAAGGCTGTGGGCAGGCAGTGTGAGCTCGGTGGAGGCATTGCTCCATGAAGCTCACAATGATTGCAAATCCCAACCCAACTTCAAGCATGTTTGTAAGGGTGCCAGGACAGGGCCCCTGCTCGGGCCTCAGTGTGAGGGTCCCATCCTTCTGGGAAAGGTAGCTGTGGATTGTCACTGTGGCCTCTAGCCTCCTACCCATTGGCGAGCCTGCCAAGATGCAGGTTTACTCACCTAGAGACATCCACACAAGCACACACACGGACATATGCATGGACACACACAGGCACAGACATGCACAGGTGCACACAGGGACACACACAGGTCCTTTCCCCTATGTAGGGCTCACTAAACACACGACCTTGGGACAAACATCCTGACACCTTATCTTGCTTCAAGGGGAGTGAGCCATGGCTTCCAACAGGAGGGTGTCCTGTGTGCCAGGACTGAAGCTAAACGTTTTCCTTGCTTGCCATGATTAGATGGTACGGAGTGCATCATGGGGACACAAGCCAGGCTGCCCTGCTCTGGACGCTGCCCTGTGTCCTTGGACTCAGCCTCCTGTGACCTTCAGGCAAGCCTGGGCTGGACAATGCAGCACCAAGCATGTGGCAGGCTCCTGCAGGACCCCTTGTCCTCTCGTGTTTAGGAAATCTGCCTTTATAGGCTTTGACCCCATCCACCTGTATCTGATGATGGCAGGAGCATGCCCTCCCAACGCGTGTCCCCCAGCCAGGCTCTCCAGGAAATGGCTGCCCGGATGCCACCTCCCCAGGGCTCCACATTCAGGACCCACCTCAATGGTGTCAGGCGCACTGGTGTCTGTCCTCCTCTAGGAGGACTCCTGCCCACTGGGGCCCACTTCTGTTAATTAGACAAGCAGGTACTTTCCTTGGAGCAGAACCAACCGGGAACCCTGCACTGTTTCACCCTGAGCTGCCTCACACGCCTGGGACAGGTGAGCTCCAGACCCACTGTGGGAGAAGAAACAGACATACCAAGAGAGGAAGAAGTCTCCCAGAGTGCACCCTGCGTGAGATGCTAGGATGCACCTGGCAAGGGCCTTTGCTTCTAAAAGTCCTTCTCTTCATAGCTCCATCAATACTGGCTGCCTTAGCACGCTCTTCTTCCCTCCTCAGGGTGGACGCCAACATAGGACTGCAGCCCTCATCAGTTTTAATGGGAAAAACAGACACAGGTTTGTGGTGTCCCCAAAGCCTGAGTTCCGTATTCGGATTCCCACAGTGGAGGCTTCAGCCAGCCTCGTGTCAAACAAGGAGACGAGATAATTAGGGTTCTTGGGAAGCAGGAGCACACCCATATTCTCAGCAAACTGGTTATTAAGGATCTTGTAATTGGTTGTTAAACCCACAGGATATTTTAATGATGAAATCAATCACCGGCTTTATGGGTTTTCTTTGGAAGAGGTCACACCCACTCAGGACTGTGCCACAACCAGCAGGCTCACCTCACAGCACCCTGGGGGTGGTCCTGCCTGTGTGTATCCCTGTGTGCGCCCGTGCGTGTCTGTGCCCGTGTGTGCGCCTGTGTGTGTCTGTGCCTGTGTTCATGTGTGTGCGCCTGTGCGTGTCTGTGCCTGTGTGTGCACCTGTGTGTGTCTGTGCCTGTGTGTGCACCTGTGCGTGTCTGTGCCCGTGTGTGCGCCTGTGTGTGTCTGTGCCTGTGTGTCCACCTGTGCGTGTCTGTGCCCGTGTGTGCGCCTGTGCATGTCTGTGCCTGTGTGTGCACCTGTGGGTGTCTGTGCCTGTGTTCATGTGTGTGCGCCTGTGTGTGTCTGTGCCTGTGTGTCCGCCTGTGCGTGTCTGTGCCTGTGTGTCCGCCTGTGCGTGTCTGTGCCTGTGTTCATGTGTGTGCGCCTGTGCGTGTCTGTGCCCGTGTGTGCACCTGTGCGTGTCTGTGCCCGTGTGTGCGCCTGTGCGTGTCTGTGCCCATGTGTGCGCCTGTGCATGTCTGTGCCTGTGTTCATGTGTGTGCTCATGGGCCTATCTGTAGGTGAGTAAAGGCAGGAGGAGGAGGAGAAATGAGACTTCCAGGTGAGGACACAAAGACTCTTTCCCTCTGCTTAGACCAGGAACCCAAGGCCCAGCTGTCTGCAGGCCCCTCTGACACCTCTGCCGCACTCCACGCAGGCTCCCCGTGAGGGGAAGGCTTAGGCTCAGGCTCAGTGGCTGCACATGGAGGAACCTGGGCATTTGCAGTTCCTGGAAATGTTCTCTGGACGTTCAGCCATGCTTAAGCAGGGCCCAAGTACCCCAGGCACACCTAGCACCTGTTTGTGCCTCTCTCTGAGGCCATCCAGCCCCAGGGCTATACCCCTTATGCCAAAAGCAGAGATGGTTTTGCCTATGTAACTGGCTTCCCCAGCCTCTTGCTTGCTCCTCCCAGGAGAGGTGACATCGGACAGCAAGTTTTTCAAATGGGCAACCTAGGCACTGCGAGGGGATGGCACCTGTTGTGTTCATCCACCTTAGCAGTCTTTGGTCTCAGCTGCCCCAGGACACTAACTTACTACCAGCTGCCCCTTCCTCCCAGACCTCTACTGAGGACTCAAAGTTCTGACCCCTCACATCCTTGGCTGGCCAAAATCCCTCTCGTTTTCACCAACTTTCCAGATTTCTCCTTCGTTTCTTTCCATCTTAGCCCACTGTTAGCCACTTCCTTCAGTGAATTCTCCAAATTCCACCCCCCCCATTAAAAAAAAAGCATCAACATCTCTAGTACTTAGCATAGAGCCAGCACACAGCAGGTGCTTCATATGTGAATGAACGAGAAACCTCCTGATGAAGGCCACTGTACTGTCGGCCTGTCCTGGGCAGGGCAATCCCTGGTCTCATCAGCTGTGGATGTGGCAGGGTGAAGCTTTTCAGCGCATGCCCATGGATGGCCTGGGTCATCCCCAGGAGGGCCGAGGGTATGTAGGCTCTGTTGTCGCTGAGCAGAGGACAAGGAGCTACGGAGACAGAGGGTCTGCCGGTAATGCCTTCCAGCAATGAAGACCTGCACCAACCCTGCTTCCTTTTCCTTCTTCCCTGGGTGTTCCTGCCCTGTGACGGCCAGCCCCTTTATCTGGGATGTGGTCTCAGCATCCTCAGCATCCCAGGAATCATATCCTGCAGGCCAGACACCCCCAGGCACGGTCTCTAGTTCCCTGAGCCTCACCTGTCCCCTGCACTCGCTGCTTCCACGGTAACCAACTCTGCTTGGCTCCAGCCAGCTTAACGCAGATTCAACCTGGTCATCAGCCCACGTCCTTACTGCAGCCTGCAGCCTCCTCCTGAGATTCTCTCTGGGGCCCTCCATAGGACCCTGCTCAGTGCCTGGGGGAAGAATCATGCTGGGCCCAAGTCACTGACTGGGGGAACCAGATGTCAGAGAGCTCATTCTCACCCCTCTCTCCTCTCGGGGGTAGTGAGGAGTGGCCACCTGGATGAAGAGACTTCTGATGCCAGGAGCACCCAGACCTAGTTTGTCTCTCAGCAGTTGCATGGCCCTTAGCTTCAAATCTGCCCAATCTGTAACGACGTAATCATTTGAAATGATCTCTTCCAGTAGGAGGGCTGGATTTAGACCATCTCTCCACACTTTCCTTCTGTGGCCCTGACACTGACTGGCCTATATATGCAGATCTCTCACTAGTGACTGGTGTACCGCCGAGAGTCTAGGATCCAGCACCACCAGCCATCAGCCTGGTAGGAGTAGAGCTCCTGGCCTCCTCCATCTTGGCAGCATTCATCAGCCTGAGCGTGAGTCCCAACTCATTTGCAATCATTGGCATCAAAGTCAGCACTGCAGAGAGTCACTCAGTGTGTGTCCCAGACCTACCCTTGTGCAGCACCTGTGGGGCTCAGGGCTCTACCCTCCAACCACTGAACTATACACACTTGGTGTAGGGTGGCTATGTACATCCAGGTGCGGAAGGTATGACCTGAATTGCCAAAAAGAATGTCTTATAAGTATTGCTCTAAAAACAGTCTGTGAAATGCTGGAGCCAACATGAAGCTTGTACAAGGTCGGCAGGGCAGTGATCTGGAGAGTGGGATAGCATAGGGGGCTGGAGCCACTCCTGGGTGCAGGCAAGCCTTGTCAATCCCGGACTTATGACCCAGGGCAATCCTGCTCGTTTGGAGTCTCATCCCCAGGAATCCTGAACGGCAGGGCAGGGAGGAAGGACTGGACATCCCGCTGCCTCAGGCACTGTGGCTGTGTGTCTGTGTATGCATGTGTGCCTAGGTATTGTCTGTGTGTGTGTGCATTGTGTGTGTGTGCATATGCCTTGATCAGAGATCCTGTGTTAGGCAGATTAAAACTCTACCTGACATTTTCTGTTCCTTTGAGAATATATGTAATTCTCAAATTCTAGAAATGATCATTAGACATTAACAATATGATAAACTTGAGAAAATAGAACTTGAAATACATTTATGGCTTCTTTAAAACCACACGCACACACACACGCCTTCCATTGGCTCACACGTACAAACTGGGGTTTGCATCAGGACTCCCATCCAGTTGTATACATTACTTGGCAAAGCTGCTCAATGGGGGAACTCCAAAACCTTTGCTCTGAGCGTGGGCAGGGCCTGTACAATGGCCGAGGTGATTGATGGGGCATCCCATCTGTGATTGCATTACGCACCTAAGACTGTCTTGCTAGCAGACTCACTCTAGAGACTCCCTCTTGCTGGCTTGGAAGAATAAGTGGCCATGTTGGGAGACCCAGAGGGCAAGGAGCTAAGGGTCACTCATAGTTGCTAAGAACAGCCTCCGTCCGATGCCAGCAAGAAGCTGGGGCCATCAGTTCTGGATCCATAAGGAAATAAACTCTGCCAATTACCTAGGTGAGCCTAGGAATAGATCCCTTCCCAGGAGAACCTCAGATGCACACCCAGCCTGGGACCCCTCAGCTACAGCCAAGCAGAAGACTCAACCCACAAACTCTGAAACCATGAAAGCATGTCCTTTTAAGCCACAAAATTTCTGGTAATTTTTCCTGCAACAACAGAATAGTAATGCACTGTCATGATTTAAAAATGTGTTAGAATAGATCATTAAAGAAATTGGAATTAAGCGCTCTCATAAACTGAAAAATCTGCTGACCCTACTAATGCATCCACTTTGTGAATCAAAATTTGCAAATATAGACTTTTCTTGAAGCAAAATGTTATTTTTTATTGGTGATGTCTATTTCTCATGGGGCTTTGAAATGGCCTTAAAAACTATTTAGGGGCCAGGCGTGGTGGCTCATGCCTGTAATCCCAGTACTTTGGGAGGCCGAGGAAGATGGATCACCTGAGGTCAGGAGTTCGAGACGAGCCTGACCAACATGGTGAAACCCCATCTGTATTAAAAAAATACAAAGTTAGCCGGGTGTGGTGGCACATGCCTGTAATCCCAGCTACTCAGGAGGCTGAGTCAGGAGAATCACTTGAATCTGGGAGGCGGAGGTTGCAGTGAGCCAAGATCACGGCATTGCACTCCAGCCTGGGCAACAAGAGGAAAACGCCGTCTCAAAAACAAACAAACAAACAAAGAACTTTATTTATACTTCTAAAATGTATACAGAATACAATTTCTTCTTCTGGTTATATTTGTAAAGCTCATGCAGAATGAAAGTTATTCCTAAATTAACAGCACAGTTCTGCTGTAAAGGCAGTGACTTGAATATTTTGTACATAGCCATCATTGCATAACTGTGGAAGGAAGAAAGAATGGGAGGAGAGGAAGGAGGGAGGGAGGAAGGGAGGGAAGAGGGAAGGAAGGAAGGAAGGAATGGAGGGATGGTGGGAGGGAGGAGGAACAGAAGAGAAGGGGGAGGAAGGGAAGGGAAAGGAAGGAGGAGGGAGGGAGGAAGGGAGGGAGGAAGGAAGGGAGGGAGGAGGAACAGAAGAGAAGGGGGAGGAAGGGAAGGGAAGTGGGCAGGAAGGGAAAGGAAGGTAAGGAAAGGGAAGGGAAGAAGGAGAAGGAGGAGGAAGGGAGGGAGGAAAAAAGGAAGAAAGGAAGGAAGAAAGAAAGAAAGGAAGGAAATAAGGGGAAATTAGAAGGAAAATAAGGAAAGAGCCTTTACCTCTAGCCTAGAGCACTGAAGAACTTAATGTCAGGGCGTGTGGATAATTGTGAGTGCACAACAGTGAGAAAAGCAACATTCATATTGTGAAGTCACTAATTCTCTTCCTCCGTTCAAGTTCAAGAGCGGCAAGCCTAGAGGTTTTCCTCAGAGCATGTAGGCACTTAGGAACAATTACACATCCCACAGTTTATTTGTATGTGCTTCTACCTTCTGCAGCATTATCTAATATGAAAACTAAATTGAGAAAACCAACTAAATTAAAGCTAATCAGAGTTTCATCGCGGCCCACAGCACAGCAGATAATATTCCAGCGCTCCATGCAATTAAATTCTTCAATTATTCTAAGTGTTATTATGCTAATTTAAAAGGCTAGGATTATTAGAAAAATGTATAAAGAATTATGCTCAGTTATAGCATTTTATTTATGTGATTTCACATTAAATTATTTAAGGTATGGAAATTATAACAGTTATCAGTATGTGACTTCAGCCTGTCCCACTGGGCAGTCGGCAAAGCTGAAGGGAAAATTTGTCCCATTTTATCCTCCCAGGGGGGATAATCTCGCAGCTGGAAGGATGGCCTGGCCTGCTCCCTGCAAGAGGACTCAGACTGCATGCAGGGGCTGTCCCCACCTCTGCTGGCTCTGAGAGGCACTTCCTCTCCCCGGGAGCACACGTCTCTTTGTTGTGGGATCACTGTTGTGGAATCACTTTGCATACCCTCCTTAATTAGAAAAAAAAAGAACAACCAAAAGGCTTCGAAGGGGGACCCCCAAGGCTTCGAAAGCTGCACCCACAGCCCACAGTGAGCCCTGAGAAACACCTGCCCTCTCACAGCCTCCATTAATGTGCCTGCCTGTTAGGGTTTTGCAGGGAAATTATCTCAAGCTTAAATGAGAACTGACAGGTTTTAAATACGGGGATAATTCCCTATTAAATCCAGACTTATTGTACTTTTCTTTTTACCTGCCTCTCTCTCTTCTGCTCTTATCCTTAAAACACCTTCTCTCACTCAGCTCTGCTTCCCTTCTCCTCCTCAATCCTCCCCTCCCCTCCCTTCTCATCTCCTCCCCTTCCCCTCTCTTTCCCTCCCCTTCCCTCCCCCTCCCTCCCCTTCCCTCCCCCTACCCTCTCCTCTCTTCCCCTCCCCTCCCCTCTTCTCCCCTCCCTCCCCTCTCCTCCCCTCCCCTTCCCTCCTCTCTCCTCTACTCCCCTTCCCGGCCCTGCCCTTCCCTCCACCCTCATTTCCTACCCTTTCTGTCCCCCGACTCTTCCTTTTATTTCCTATCTTTTCCTCACCTTTTTCTCCCTGTTTTGGCCCCAGAATGATTATCTCTTTTTTAAAAAAATTTATTAAACACACAGGGGCCAGTCTTTTTTCCTCTCTATTCCTCCAGCCTGCAGCCCCCGGCCCTGCTCCCCATGTCTGTCTGAGCAGTGTGCAGCGCCAGGCAGTCCTGCCTGGAACAGTCCCTTCAAACAAGCCAGCAGACAAGCCCTGCTCTTCCGCCTCCCCCGTCTCTTTCTCAGAGTTCTGCTAGTGCCTCCCCTCACCGCCACCTCCCACAGCCTCCTAGCTTCAGTGGTTTCTCCTGGATCCCTGGAGTTCCACGTGGTCAGAGTCCCTTCAACACAGGAATGAGCTCAGAGCACAGAGGCCCAGTGGAAGCCACCTGCTGTCCTCAGCCTGAGCCCTTGTCTCCTCGGCACCCTCAGGTCACACCAGAGGCCCCAGAGCCCCGGATCCCAGCACCCAGGAGGCTGAGCACAGCAGGGGAGGCTCAGGGTGGCTCTGGGCATTGTGTCAGTGCCATTGAGTTGATAGCAGGAGGAAGGCCTTGGCCTTTGCCCAACAAAAAAGTCAGATCAGGGAAAGGAAGGAACTTCAAGATGGGAGGAAGCTTCCCCTGTTGCCCTGCAGGGCCGCGTAAGAACCGTGTGGGTCCCACCCCCGCTTCTGCACTGCACCATCTCAGGAAGTCCACGTGTGCCCAACACTCTACCAAGCCCAGCAAACATGACGCTGTGGCATGGTGAGGAGGCTCCATGCAGGATCCAAGGGTGGGGTCAAGCTGCCCGGGGCTCTTGGTACCAAAGTCTGAACCCCACCACTGTCTTGCTGCTGAGGCCGTCCTAACCCCGGGCTACTCTCAGCTCAAGACTTGGCAGGGCACGGACACTGAGGCAGACGCAGGCCTGGGACACCTGAAGATGGTCTCTTTGACGCATCTGCTAACCTTCCTTCCTGCCCGCCCTCCATCCCCTCCCTCCTTCCTCCCCTCCCTCCTTCATCCTCTCCCTCCTTCCTCCCCTCCCTCCTTCATCCTCTCCCTCCTTCCTGCCCTCCCTCCTTCCTCCCCTCCCTCCTTCCTCCCCTCCCTCCTTCCTCCCCTCCCTCCTTCATCCTCTCCCTCCTTCCTCCCCTCCCTCCTTCATCCTCTCCCTCCTTCCTCCCCTCCCTCCTTCATCCTCTCCCTCCTTCCTCCCCTCCCTCCTTCATCCTCTCCCTCCTTCATCCCCCCCTCCTTCCTCCCCTCCCTCCTTCATCCTCTCCCTCCTTCATCCTCTCCCTCCTTCCTCCCCTCCCTCCTTCATCCTCTCCCTCCTTCCTCCCCTCCCTCCTTCATTTGGGGTCAGACTTGCATGGTGGTCTGGGGTTCTTGAAGCCATTCCTGGCTCTGTGAGCATTTCTCCTGATAACATCAGAAAATATCTTGATTTTAGCACCTGCTTCTCCGAGGGCCCGGACTAAGGCCATTGTCATTGCCCTGCAGGGGCTGACACACCGGACCCTTTCAGAATTGTGCAAGTTTCTTTGTGCTCCTTTCCCTCTCATCTAAGGCCAATCTTGCAACACCAGGAACAAGAGAATAGATTTCAGGCGTGATCTAACAAGGGCCTCAGTGTAGATGAGGTAGCTAGTCACAGATTCACAGTTAACTTCTCTAAGCAGATGGGACGGGTTCTTGGAATAGGTAACATTTTGTATGTTTGAGCTTTATGGGCACATTTGCCCTGAATTATAAGCCATTTGAGGTTAAATAGAAATTTCTGGAAACTAGCACTTAATGAAGCAGCAGACTTTAAGTGAATGTTTCTTCCTTGCCCCTGTGTTAGCCTCATCATTATCAGAATGTCCAAAAATTTAACACAGCCTGACCCAGCTCACCTGGAAAGGCAGGAGCCCCACGAGTGCAGGTGACAGGGCGATGGGGAAACAAACAGACCGAGCGTTCCCTGCACGGCCTCGCCCTGTGAGGAGGGACTGCTAATTCCACAGGGGGTTGGCACGGCCGGGCACATCATGCACAGGTGTCAGTGTCTTCATTTTCCAGACTGACCATGCCAGAGAATTGGGTGAGAGCTAATGCCAAGCAAAAGAAATGACCACGAGCTCCCCAAGCAGCCTGGCGAGAATCCGGTGAAGAGACCCAGAAAGGTGTGGGGCTGGACAGTGAGGGACGAGGGCAGGGCTCACCTGCACAAGGTCGGGAGGGAGGGGATGGAGACAGGCACCCACCCACTCCAGAAATAACTGTCTGGGCTGCTCATCAGGGAGTTTCCAGAGACACATAAAGGCAGAGGAAGCTGTGGAGTGGGCAGCCCAGGGCAGGACAGGCCCAGCCTTGATAAAGAGGAGGGGGAGGCAGAGGACCCTGGACCACACCCTGTAGCTCACGTAGGGGCCGAGCAACAAGGACGGACTTCCAAATCCAGCTCACGGCAGGAGCCAATGGCCCAGTCTGGACAGCTGCTCCCCCTGTGTGGCAGAATAAAGGGCCAGCATAGGCCCGGCAGGGTCCAGGCTCCACAGAGCCAGCTGCCACCCTTCATCTTTTTGGGAGGAGTCAGTGTACAGCAAGGGAAGGCTTATCTCTGCACAAAAGAAGGTTGAGAGGTTTGAAAAATAACTTGAGAACATGGAAAGAGATCTAGGGAGGTGGGTAAAGGGGCACTGATGTCAAATGATAGGTGTGAAAGAATGTGGCCTGTAAAGGTAGAGGTGACAGTGGGACCATGCTATTAGGTGATAAAAAAGGGAAGAGATTCTTCTCATATTGGTGGGCATGATTTTTTTTAAAGCACATATGGCATGGAGCATTAGAAACAACCCAGGGAAGGACCTCATTTCTGCACACTGTGGAGCTGCAGATTCGGGCTTTGCTAACTAACTCGTGAATTCTGCCAGTGTTTCTCAGGTGCTGCTACCTCCCAGTAGGCCAGGGAAGGAGAGCTGGGGGGACACAGTCTTCACTCTCAACAGGGGCACTGTCTGGTGGGGAGACCGCTGCATGGTAGCCACATAGGGTGAGGCAGGGCAGGGATGGACATTTGGAGAGATGCACTCAGCACCATGGACTCCTTGAGGGCGGGTCCGCAACCCCTCATGGCTTCCCGTGACCTCTGGAGTTAAATGGGGAGATAGGGGTGTGGGTGAAGCTGTATTAGACCTGGCTGGAAATTTGTCATCTGCTTTTCTTGGGAAGTTGTGTTGAAAATAATAGCTCCTGTATGAAGACCCATGGATTCCACCCAACGATGGTCCCCTGCTGTGCCTGGGAATAAGTGCCATTAGGGGAAGAGATTTGCAGGAATGAATGAACAGAAACAGAAGAAGGATGTATATAAAAGCCATATTTGGCTTCCACATTGCACGTTTCTGAGCGAGAGTGATACTTTTGAGCACAAAGCCAGCAGCGCAGAATTCAAACATAAAATGATTTGCAGTGTATTATGCTACCGGCAGAGCAGTAAAGGGGGTTTCAATTGTTATTTTTGGAAAGAGAAGCTTTTAAGAACTATGACAGATGGTGTTGGATACTTGGTGGGCTAAAAATGGGGGAGGGAGTGTCCTGGAATAGTGATTCTGCAGGCCCAGGCTTCTGTCGAAGATGTGGATGCCACAGAGAGCTGGGGCCATGTGCAGGACCTGGTGGGTGAGGAGATGTGTTTATACAAATGCATCTGCCTCAGAAGGGAAGGATGCAGGCTAGACCTTGGGAGGTACACATGTCCACCTTGACGGCAGTTTCAAGCATTTGTCAGGAACGCTGTTGGATGAGCATGTTGAATGACAACTAAGATTCCTCCTCAGTTTCGAGCTTCTACATTCTGTTTGCAACACTTTCACTCCAGGAAGGCCATGCATCCTGCCTCCTTACTCATGCATGCTCTTCCAAGAGAATGCATCTTGCAAATTTGAGCTAGAACATGGGAGACTAACTTTCCTTCTTCACGATGTGAGTATGCATGACCTTAGCTGTAGACATGTGCATTATTTGGAAGACAGATACTACCATCTGCAGAAATATTCCACATTCATCCTTTTACTAAAGGAACTTTAAAAAAATTCTGATGAAAGTGTTGACTAGATAATTCTGGGAGTGTATGTTGGACTTGAGAAAACAATGCATGCCACAGTACGCCCTGCCTCATGATGTGAACCCAAATGGGATAAACTGTGGCCATGCCTGGTGCAGACAGAGCCTCAGCACGCAGCCTACCCCAGCTCTGCACAGCAAACCTGAGTGCGCTCCTACCCTCTGAGGTTCAGGAGCCATTTATATCCATGCTTAGTGTAGTTTTATTACTGTGTTTTTGGAGGGACTGGTTTATCGGTTTTTTTGGTTTTTGTTTTTCGTTTTCAGAAATTGAACCAAAAAAAGTATTCTGTGAGGTCTTGCCACATGGGCGCCACACAACTCAGCATGGTCCAGTGCTCTCCCGCCAAGGCCCTTGGCCTCCGTTGGATTCAGGGTCTGTGTGAGAAGGTCTGGTTATAGCTCCTAAAGGAGAGATGACCATGAAAATTCGCCCCAAAAGGTCATAAATCTGACCCTGTGTTGCAGCCTCAGCAGAAAATCTAAGCGCGGAGTGGGCTGGAGAAGTGATTTATCCTCCCCGCAAGAGGGGCAGCTCTGCCTGCGGGTGGCTGTTTTCTGGGCATGCAGCTCCGACTGTGTCAACAGCGGACACTGAGGCAACCCCACGGGGCACTGGGGCTGAACAAGCTGCTGAATCTCAGTCAAACAGTGTGGGAGTCAGGCGGAAGCCCACGGAGCTCCCCTAGCAGAGAAGGCTGGAGATGCCGTCACGCTCTTAAAAACTGTCAGAGTACTGTGAGCTTCGTGTCTCCGCTTTAAATAAGTCATGGCAGGGGACCCCACGAAGGGGGACTTAGATGAAACACGGGACACCCAGTCACCTGTGAATTCCAGAGAAACAGGAGCGATTGCTTAGTGTCAGCATCTCCAAATACTGCCTGGGACACACTTGTTCTAAAAGTTACTCATTGATGGCCGGGCGCGGTGGCTCACGCCTGTAATCCCAGCACTTTGGGAGGCGGAGGCGGGCGGATCACCTAAGGTCAGGAGTTCAAGACCAGACTGACCAACATGGAGAAACCCCATCTCTATTAAAAATACAGAATTAGCTGGGCGTGGCGGTGCATGCCTGTAATCTCAGCTACTTGAGAGGCTGAGGCATGAGAATCGCTTGAACCCGAGAGGCGGAAGTTGCGGTGAGCAGAGATCGTGCCATTGCATTCCAGCCTGGGCAACAAGAGTGAAACGCTGTCTCAAAAAAAAAAAAAAAGTTACTCATTGTTTGTCTGAATTTCAAATGCAGCCAGGGTCTTCCCCGTGTACTTGCTGAATCTGGCAATCCTACTCTGGACGGGCATCTCACGCCTGTGCTACCTCTCCCTCTACTTAAGGTATAGACTGGGGCTTTGTGCACAGATGGACCCCAGGTAGAATGTTTGCATTTTATGACATTTGAAAGTGCCAGGTTCACCAAAGGAAAAGGCGTTTACATTTTTCTCTAGGTGGGTATGTTTGTTTGCTAGGGCTGCCTTCATGAAGTCCTGCAGAATGGGTGCCTTAAACACAGACTCTTGTTTCCTCACAGTCCTGGGGGCTGGAAGCTTGAGATCATGGTGTGGGCGGGGCTGGTTCCTCCCAAGGCTGTGGGAGGACCTGCTGCAGCCTCGGCGGTGGCTCCTCACGGCCTGCTGGCAGTCTTTGGTGTTCGTGCCTTCTGGAAGCATCACCCCGTCTCTGCCTTCATCTTCACACAGCCTTCCCCTCTGCGTGAGTGGGTGTCTAATTTCTCCTTTTTGTAAGGAGACCAGTCATCTTGGATTGAGACCTTCCTCATGGCCTCACTTCTCTGAGTAACCTCTATAAAGACTCTATCTCCAAATACAGTCACATTCTCTATTAGGGGAACAAGGGATTAGAACTCAAGCATATAAATGTGGTCACAGCTCAATCCACAGTGATGGGTTCTACCTGTCCCAGGGTGGGGGGCACAGATGTCGTTATGAGATGTCCTCACAGGTAGAACTGGGACAGGTAGAACAGGAAATTTCTGAGCGTCTTCCCCTCTGACTCAGGAGCATGGATGGATCTTTTGCTTTAGCTGAACCATTGTTAAACAGTCTTTAAAAATGGAAGTGCTCTGGATGAACGAAGTGTGTGGGTCCCCTGTGTTGGCAGAGATTTCCATTTTGCCTGGTGCTAAGCAGCGTCCAGTCCTCTTGTTTGTTCTTGAAAGTCATCTGAGTCTCCAGAAGTGCTTGAAGGGAGGGAAGGGGGCTGCTGGGCAAGCACAGGGGCCCTTCCCTGGCCGTGCTGGGTGGCCACTGTGCTGGGTCCCATGTCAGCAGCCTGCACGGTGAACGGTGTGCAGCCCGCAGCCCAGTCGCTGTCTCTGACCCCCTTTCCCACACTAGTTGCCTGAATCAAGCAAGTCCAGAAGGAAGTGAGAAACACTGTGGCCACAAGCCTGTTATCCGTCATGGGCAGCTCAACCCAGCGTGCGCAAGATGACACACTTAAAAATCATGTGTCTTGAAGATGACAACTCATTGCCAAGAAAATGATAATAGAGAAGGGAGGAAACTCCATCTTACTCTGCAAAAAGGACAGAAATCCAGCTAAGCGGGCAGAGGACAGGTCAGTCCTTACTTGGGCAGCTTTACGATTGATATGACCACCCAGCCCAGCAGAGCAGAAGTGGGGCCGGGTGCTGAAGACTGGAGCTTCCATGTAAAAGAAGACTGGTAACTGGCCAGGCGCGGTGGCTCACGCCGGTAATCCCAGCACTTTGGGAGGCCAAGGCATGTGGAGCACGAGGTCAGGAGATCGAGACCATCCTGGCTAACACGGTGAAACCCCATCTCTACTAAAAATCCAAAAAATTAGCTGGGCGAGGTGGCGGGCGCCTGTAGTCCCAGCTACTCGGGAGGCTGAGGCAGGAGAATGGCGTGAACCCCCAGGGGGCAAAGCCTGCAGTGAGCTGAGATCACGCCACTGTACTCCAGCCTGGGCGACAGTGAGAGTCCGTCTCAAAAAAAAAAAAAAAAAAAAAGACTGGTAATTATGCTTCCAGCACAGAATTATCAAGTAGACTAAATAAGATAGCCCATGTGAGTGTGAATGTGTGCACAGTAGCACACCTCGAATGTCAATTTTTGTTGAATTTGGTTAAGTATTATTTTACAATAGTTTCCCTTTTTCATTATGATATTGAATTTAAATGAATGTTGTGGCAAGCACACACCTGCGGGAAGCGGATGGCCCGGCTGATGGGTGCGAAGCTGCCTTCCCCACACAGTGCCCTCCCTGAAGGTCTCACTAAGTACTGCAGAGGGAAAGAAAGGCCTAGCACCAGCTCTGAAGGTCAATGACGTCTGAGTCCTGCCACCAACTCCAGATAATCCCGAGTCTTCACTGGCCTTCTGCAGAAGTTTCAGGTCCTAGAGAACAACAAAGCTCAGGCAGGCTCAGCTGGGCAGTGACTGCATCTTCATGGGGAGGAGGTGGCCGGCTCAGTGCGTCCTGAAACAGCAACGCCAGGGCCTCCTCCTCCAGAATAAAACGCCGCGAACCAGCTGCTAGCTGCAGAAATTAAATGGAGACAAAATCCTGGAAAGAACAGAAAAGAAGCAGAGGCACCCTATGAAAGGGATTTCCCTTCTACAAAATGGAGCGATCCACACAGAAGCTCTCCTGCGACGCCCTTCTGACGTCTCACAGCCACATTGCCAAAGGCGGTGACATTTGAGCAGCCCGTCCTCCGTGGGCCCAGCCAGCCTGGTAGTGCACACCGCGAGGGCTTATCCGTGTTAACATAAACCCTCATTAGAGGGGATTAGGAGAGAAGCAGTGAGAAACAGGATGGACACTCACCCTCCGAGGACCCTAGGAAGATGCCGCGTACTAATTACCCTTTTAAATGACTAGGAGATACTGCGGACACGTATCAGCGTCTGTGCACAGGATGCATGGGGAATTGTGCTTTGCAGATGACAACCTGTTTGTATTTTGCAACAGTTCTATGTTCTGCACCCCCCCCCCCACACACACACACGCACGATCCCACCCTGGACACAGAAGTCAACAGAGACGCTGAGGGGGCGTAAGGGGACGTGACTCCCCTCTTGCCTCTCTTCACTAACCTTGAGCATGAGGGCCTCCTGTGGGTTTCTTCCCTCGAGTCCCCTGCAGTCCCCTGCAGTCCACTGCACAGCCTTGGAAAGCTCAAGCTGCTGGGGACATTCTCAGGACCCTGTGGGTCTGGGGCTGCCCCTGGTTGGGACTCTGCATCTGTTCCACCTGTAGGGAAATGGGTTTCTTAAAGCACAGAGGGTGTCTCCAGCTGCCTTCATACCACATGTACAGATGCAGACGGGCAGCATTGTGTGAACTCAAGTGTGAGCTAAGTGGGCTGTGTTGGCCTCACGTGTGTCTCCTGGGGAGAGTGCCCAGGCCAGATGTTGTCAGAGCGTGGTGGATGCGCCCCTGAAAGGGTGCCTTCCTGTCTTCACCTTCCATGACCCAGCTTCTCCCTGGAAACCACCCCTCCTTACTAACTTCTGAAATGCATGGGTGCTGGGGTCCACTTCTGGAGCCCTCTCTGGCAGGTCTGGGGTACGGAGCTGGAATGTGGGTCTTTCCACACCCCTCAAGGAGCTCCTCTAAGGGGGAAGGTGGGGATGTGGCCTTGCACACTCAGCTGTTGGTGTTTGCTGCTGAGACAGCAGAAGACAGAGCCTCCTCCGCACCCTAGATGGTTTGAGAGCAAAAGCAGACGGCAGGCTCCACACTGGATCCCACGACAGGCAGGGTGGCCACCAGAGGTGAAAAGGGCTTCTAAGATTCATGGCCTGGAGCCCTAAAGTCACCTGGAGGTGGCCAATGTGGCCCAAGTACCCTGTGTGTGTGGCCATGTGTGTGCATGTGTGTGCATATGTGTGTGTGCACGTGTTATGAATTCTCACATGAAATGGTCAGTCAGGTGCAGCCACACAGTAGACACAGAAAAGGCTCAGGAAAACACAGTTTGCCATGCTCACAGGTCCTAGAGGCCGGAGGCCGAGTGCTCCACACGGGCCCTATGGGAGAGAACCAAGGGGTCAGGAGGCAGGGCTGGAGAGAGGGGAAGGCTTCAGACATCGGCGCTGTTGGGGCTCCTGGGGGAAAGGCAGGCAGAGCAAGGCAGCTCTAAGCCACTAGGCTGTCCCCAGTTGCCTGGCACCTGCCCCCCAGATCATGAAGGCAGAGGAAGGTGGTCTCCTGGGAGTCCTGCCACATCCAGAGGCGGCTCTGGATGGGTGAGCTTGAACATCAAGAAAGCTGTCTTCTCATTTTCCCACCATCTTAGAGTCCACGGGAAAGAACTCAGCCTTATTTGGCACTGAGCGGCAGACACAGAGGCATCAGATGGCTGAGGCCAGGGCTGTGGGGTGCGGTGTGGGAGGAGGCTCTGGAGGGCAGTGGGGCCGTTGCATTGCTTCTGTTAGAGGCGCACAGATGGCTTGAGTGCAGAAGTTTGAGAGCAGCCTGAGAAAAATGGTGAAACCCCTTCTCTACAAATATATATATATATATGTGTGTATGTATATATACACACACACATTATATACCATATTTTTATATTACATATATATATTATATATAGATTAGCAGGGTGTGGTGGCACACACCTGCAGTCCCAGCTACTTAGGAGGCCGAGGCAGGATGATCACCTGAGGCCTGGAGCTTGAGGCTGCGGGGAGTTGAGATCGTGCCACTGCACTCCAGCCAGGGCAACAGAGTGAGTCCTCATCTCTTTAAATAAATAAATAAATGCCGTGTACTATAGGAGAGTCAGAGGCAAACCATTTTGACTGGAGGAGCCCCGGGGTGAGAGCCTGGGTGATAAGAATGAAATAGCGCCTTTCCCAGAGGCCCCGCCCAGGTGCTGTGGGACCCCTCCTTGAACAGAGAGCCCCTGGATGAGATGGGCTTCCCACGGGCCCAGCGAGGCAGCAGAGCAGGGCAGGACGAGAACCTCAAGCCGAGCAACCCAGTTGAACTTCCCTTACCTCGGTCATCAGGGTCAAGTCCCCATGGCCACCAGGGTGTGGAAGCTCTGCTTCCTGGGAGCACAGCGGAGGTCCATGTGTCCTTTGGGGATTGTTGCTGCACTGGGGGATGGACCAGCCCCTCCCTTTCCTCCACTCACAGCCATCTACACAGGTGTGGGCCTCCCAGGAAGGACCAGGGAGACCCAGGAGAATCCCCCGGCAGCCCACCCTCCCTTTCAGGGAGACTGCGTCTGATGGCACTCAGATGAGTGGACATGCACTTCACTGCTTGTTCTTGGGCTCAGCTCAGGGTGGCATTATGGTTGTCATTCCCTTTGGGGTCCTCTCGCCTGCAGACACCAGGGACAGGTGGGGGGTTGGCTTTATTATTTGTACTGAGCATTTTGAGGCAAACAATCCCAGCTGTTGACACAGCCACACCGGAAGGCGTGACACACAGAGCTCTGCTCTTGTCCACTGGCTCCTGCACCTTCTGCTGTGTGTGCCCAGAGCGTGTGTCTCCAGCACTGCTGTTGGCTGGACAGCCACGGGGCATTTTCTTTAAGCTGATGGTGCATTTGATCTTAAGAACTAGAGCACTGAAGTTTCAAGAGATGGGGGTTAACAGGCCACGCAGGAGGCAGGGACGTTTGCAGAGTTAGCCATGAGGCAGGGACAGGGCAACATAGTCCATGCTATTAAGAGAGTCTTTTCAGCCCTCCAAAATCAGCACTGTCGATATCTTCATTTTATCAATGAGAAACTGAGGCCCAGATTTGCTATGTAGCAGGCCAAAGATCATCCAACCAACACGCAGAAGAGTGGGAACCTTAATCCTGGGGTCTGGTCCCAGCCCAGGTACACTTTGTCCCTGAATGGGGCTCCTTCCTCCCTACTGGAGAAGGCACTGAGCATGCTCATGGATTTGCTACCAGCAATGCCATCCCCATCTCCATCACCTGTAATACCTTGATGCAATAGAGACTGACAATTAGTCAAGACACAAATCTATCAAGAAACCTATTCAAATTTGAAAAGAAAAGCCAACCAAGCACTCAGAAGGGCTGTCTTCCATAAGTCCAGTGGTCATCTCTGGCTGTACATTAGGCTAGCCTAAGTGTTCAAAAACATTTCCAATCCCCGGGTGGTACATCAGGCAAATTATGTCAGTGCCACTGAGGCTGAGTCCTGGGCCTTGGCGTGTTTCAAATCTCCCTTAGGATTCCGCTACCTTGCCAGGGTGGAAGACGGCTGAGCCAGCTCTGTCAGAGGCACCGAAGCCTAATGTCTTACTGTAGGACAGTAGGTTTCCTCACTCCTTCACCCTTGCAAGATGCCTATAGGAAGGGATGGAGCCCCACCTCTGCCCCAGTTTTACCAATGTAGAGACACACGTGGTTAAAACTGGTCCAGTAATGTTCTGCTGTGATGTACTTTGCAGGGGAGAACTTATGCTAATTAGTTGGTATATACCTTTGGTATTCTGTTGCTTCCTTGATGGTCTTAACATGTCATTTGCATTTTTCAACTATACTTAACTGCCTCTTACGAAGGGAATTATATTACATACTGATATTTGCGAATCTGGGAATTCACAAAGGTTTTAGAATCTATCTGTTGCAAATACAAAGAGTGTGCTATGTCTGAAAAGCTATTGTCTGAGGACAGAACCAAAAGAAACAGAGCACAGCAGAGCTCGGATTGAAAACAAAGAGGAAGTGTTACTACAAATCAGAGAGAGAGCTTCTGGAGGGTACTAATTGCCAGGCATAGCTACAAAGAAGATGCATATTTTATTTCACTGGAAGGCTTAAAAGTGAGAGGAATCTGACTTGATTTGTCTTAGGAGACCTGTAAGCAGGACCTGAGTGGTAGACTTCACATGGATCTTGGCAAGGTCATTGCTTCTGAGGCTGGAAAACAGAGGTGGGCTGGGGCTGTAAAGGGAAGGGCCATTTGTTTCACCCATTCCTAGAGTTACCATGATACATTTTTCAAGGTTATGAATATTGCATAACATCAAAGAAGAATTGAGTAATGCCAATGTGGACAAGATGAACAAACATGACCCGAAATGTGACCAGAATGAGCAATAAACATCACAAAATTACAGAAGTGATGGGGCAATTTTGGTTAAGAAAACAAGATTTCAAATCACTCAACTCTCTGGGATGCCACAGGCAAATTAAGTTTGTAAATAATCAGGTGGACTCGTGGACTTTCAGCTTCTCCGTGCCTGCTTCTGCTCTAGGGCCAGCCCTTCCAGAGCCTGTCTGCAAACCCCGCTTGCACCAACTTACACAGCAAATGCATTGACACACTTCCCACAGAGGCCAAACATACTCCACATCTTGAAACTGTCAATTGCAAATATAGGTGGCTTTTTAGCATTGTCATATTGGATATAATTTTTGCCCTAGGAACTGGAAAACATTCCTTCACAGGATCAAAGGATAGTTATGTCATTTTGCAAGCTCTCCATTAGCTTTCCCATTAAAAATGAATGCTGCTAATAATTTCATTTATATGCATTAGTATTTTGGAAAAAAAAAAACCTTCACTGAATTTGCCTTGAAATTCAAAATGCTATCAGAAAGCACCATGACAAGTCATCATATCATGGTATTTTCCTGATTTATCTCTATTTCTTGATTGTAATATGTTGTTATTATGTGTCAAAGAATTGCCCTAGGAAAAGTATCATTTTTTTAAGTTGAGCTCATCTGTTTCTTTTAGTTTTAAGCTTAAACCCATGGGCATTTTTATGTCTACCTTACAATGCCCGCCATACTTTCATGCTTCTTTCCTTGGGTGAGATATTTATTTAATGCCAAGGTAACAAAATTTAGAATTAGATGAATAAGCAATACTGGTTGTGATGTGCTGGTTTTCTTCCTGTTATCAGCCCAGCAATGTATGTAAACAATGCGTAGGCTCTGAATGCATATGGCAATCCCACCTGCTACCCTTTGCCCATCATATCATGCCCCTAAAGGCATTGTGGGCCAACAGCAATTCAATCCCCCCATGCATGCATAATCTGACAAGCTTTGCATAAATAATAATAAATAATTGGTATGTATAAATAATTTATCATTTATTTTTGCAGGAGAAGAAGAATTCGTAGACATATTTTAAACAAAGGGAACAGCAAACATGATCTCAATCAGAAAAGGGGTTAAGTCTCTTTAAAACACAACTTTCAAAGCTCATATGCATTCAGTGTATATTTGTGATTTCTACTGAGAGGGTGTGTGATATCACCAAAATCTGTGAAGCACGGCAGGATACCTATGTCAGTGTCAGGAAATGATTCAAAATAAATTCTAACTTGGAGAATTATTTTCAAAACAAGCCAAATAATATTTCTTATTAAGAAAATGATTTCTTTTTTCCTGAGAGTGAATCAAGTCTAAACCTTTCCAGTTAAATATATTATTATATGTGAAGATTTTATATTTAGTTTGGTAAATATCTCAGATTAAATGTAGGTTTCTAAATCCAAGTATATGCAAAAAATATTAAGAAAAAATAGTAATAAAATAAAAACTAATCCCTAGTCAAATTGGAGAGATAAATGAAGTGGATAGAAGATTGAATTATTGCACAAATAAGAAAGAAAGAGTGGGCTTCTCCCTCCCCTGCTTCTATGGACACAGAAGTGTCCCTGTGGACGGCAGAGCCTGATTCATGCCACAGGCGGGTGTGGTGGCACCACCAGGGAGATCCCAGGAAGGTGGAGGGATTTCTGCCCATTGACTCTGGGTTTCCTGGATCTCAGTTTTTTCTTAATTTTCCTTCTCCAATTATATGTTGGAAATTTGTTTTGTTTTTTTGAGACAAGGTCTCACTCTGCAGCTCAGGCTGAAGTGCGGCGGTGTGATCACTGCTCACTGAAGCCTCGACCTCCCTAGACCCAGGTGATCCTCCCACCTCAGCCCCAAATAACTGGGACTGCAGGCATGTGCCACCACACCCAGTTAATTTTTTTTTTTTCAGACACGGGGTCTCACTGTGTTGCCCAGGCTGGTCTCAAACCCCTGGGCTCAAGTGATCCTCCCACCTAGGCCTCCCAAAGTGTTGAGATTACAAGCGTGAGCCATTGCGCCTGGCCTATATGTACTTTTTAATCCTCGTAAAATTCAATCCAGCAGGAACAATTGGTTTCAGCGAAAAACGGGTTTCTAATAAAAGACTGGGAGTCGTGCACATGTCCCAGGGAGGCGGGTCAGGTCTGCAGAGGTTCGGGTCCTGGCCCCTTCCTGGCCTCTCCCAACCCCAGACAATCCCAAGGTCCCTCACAGGCACCCACCCTCCTCCCAAGTCCACACAGAAGGCTTTTAGTTACATTGCATCTAATCTTTGAACAAAGCACAACATATTTTCTCATTGGGTCTTACAATCTCTGTAACTTATAGCTCAAAACAGTTGTTTCTGCATTTAATTAGTAAACATGGGTTTGGCCCCGGGTTGACTTGGCCAATCCTGGTGCTACCGTCAATCCATGAAGAGATTTGGGGTGAGGAATTTTACCTCTGTGTCACATTCTTTCCATCAGTGAAAGGGTGGTACTGCTTGTCTGGTAGATATGTCACGACAGTTGATGACTATTGTATGTCACATGCTTCAGTCCTGCTCAAGGTCTCCGGCCCACAGCTCCTCTGACTGTCCCTGAATCTTGTCTTTGGTGGCCCTCCTTTGTCCCTGGCCTCCGGGCTCCAGACCATCCCAGCCCGGTTTCCTCCCACTGCCCACTTGCTCCCCTCCTGTGCTTCTCCTCCATAGCCCCCCTCCCCTCTCAGAAGCTTGGGGCCTCACTGGCCAGCATGGCCCTTTCCTGACCACTTTTCTTCATGCACTTACACAACTGCATATTTAAAACAGTTTTAGCATGTGGCTCATAAACAAAAAATAAATTTGTTTTTGCATATTAAAAAACAGTAACAGGAACAAAAATATAAAAGTGCAAGTACCAATAGCTTCATCCTCTCCCGCTTTATTAGTCTGTTCTCACACTGCTATAAAGAATACTATCTGAGACTAGGTAATTTATAAAGAAAAGAGGTTTAATTGGCTCACAGTTCCGCATGCTGTACAAGAAGCATGGCCAGGAGGCCTCAGGAAGCTTCCAATCATGGCAGAAGGTGAAGGGGAAGTAAGCACATCTTCACAGGGCAACAGGAGGGAGAAGGGTGGAGTGAAGGAGAAAGAGCCCCTTATAAAACTATCAGATCTTGGGAGAACTCACTCACTGCCATGAGAACAGCATGGGAGAAACCGCCCCCATGGTCAAACCACCTCCCTCCCTTGACACATGGGGATTTCAATTTGAGATGAGATTGATTTGGGTGGGGACACAGAGCCAAGCCATATCACCTGCCCTTCAGTGAGCTTCTCAGTGGTCCCATGGTTGACTGTGGCATGCAAAGAGATGATGGTGAGCATAGACAAGTAGAGACCCAGTGGGGGCAACCAGAGGAAGGAGACCCTCTGGGAAGTGGATGAGGGGGCAAAGGACATGTGGTTGGAGGTTGGGGTGTTTGCATGAGAGGTGTGGTGAGTACAGCCAGGTGGCAGAAGTCTCACCTAGTATTGTGCAATTTAGCACTGTCTTCTCACCATACCTCCTCCCTGCTCTCAATATTACCTCCTGAGAAAACACTCATGCTTTGCAGTGTTGTAAGAAAGGATTAGAATCGTGGGCTTTGGAAGACCTCCAAACACAAGACTGGTGCTGAGACTCAGGTTGCAAGCTCTGCACGCCCATGAGAACCTGTAATCAGACATCCTTGCAGGAAGAGTCAACCTGCCAGGCTGGAGCTCTTCCAGATCCTGGACGCCAACTGAGGGCACAGGGAGCCCCAGGGTGATAACTGGGAGATCAGAAGCACAGAATAGGAGGGGAGAGAAGCTGATGATGGAAACGCCAAAGCCCCTTCACACAGATGACCAGAGTGGGCTTGGGGAGATTACCTGTGAGATAAATGCGCAACTTTCCTTCACAGTGTGCGTGGTGGGTGGAACTGTGTCCCCCAGAAAGATATGTTGGAGGCCCAGCCCTTGCACCTGCCAATGTGCCATTATCTGGAAATAGGGCCTTTGTGTCTATAATCAAGGCAAGGTGGCATCACACGGGGTTAGGGTGGACCTTAATCCAGTGACTGGTGTCCCTATAAAATGATGAAATGTGGACACAAAGACACACAAAGGAGAACACACAGAAGAGACACACAAAGAAGAGACACACAGAGGGAGTGTGGCCAGGTGAAGAAAAGACAGGATTGGAGAGATGCAGACACAAGCCGAGGAGCACCCACAGTCCTAGAAGTGAGGAGAAACACAAGAAGCAGACTCTTCCCTGGAGCCTTCAGAGCAAGCACCACACTCCAGCACCTTGATTCCAGACTTCTGGCCTCCAGCACTGTGAGATAATAAAGTTCTGTAATTTTAAGCCACCAACTGTGTGGCAATTTGTCATGGCAGCCCTAAGAAATGGATGCCATGTGCATTTCTCAGAATGGGAAAGGGACGCTGTTGTACTAATGCTTTGGCATTAACCAGACTGCCCCGACCTCACTTTGAGCTGGGATTTCAGTTTACAACACCACAGGCTTCTGCCTCTGGATTTGTTCATGCGTATAATCTCTCATCATTTTGTTAAGACACCTTGATTTTTTCTTTTAATGGAAGATGTTGTTCATTGATCAAATGTTGGCCAGTGTGTGTTTTAGCTTCCTGGAATGAGATGCTCCCTGCAACCAACACCATCCATTTCCTTTATGAGACTTCGTTGCCCTGAGGAGGGAAGTACATTGGATAAAACTTCAGGAAAGCATGTTCCGTGGGAAGAATGAAACAACCAGATTAAACTTCTCATCAAAGTTGAATTTTCCTGTAATGGCTCTCAAAGAAAGGGTGGCGTGAGTGCTTTGCAGGAAGACAGGACTGTGCCACGGTAATGTCTTTTCAACAAGGTCAAGAACCCAAGCATCCAATGACGAGTGTGTCTATTGGTCCCTCTCTTAGAGCAGCTCCCTTGTGCAGACTCTTAAGGAACCCAATCCAATCACTGGTGCCATTCCTGACCCCACTAGAGGAATTAGAGCCCCTCAGAGAAAGCATTTTTGACCCACCAGGACTGCTCCTTCAACTTTGGTGCGACATGATATTTCTTTTGGCAGGGTCACTGGTGCTCAACACCCGTCATCACTAACTTATTAGATCTTGAGGCAATTAGCTGAAAACAAACAGAAGAGACAAGCCTGGTATTGAAACATAGAAACCAGAAGAAAATAGCCCATGGCAGTCCATTATTTCAAAGCTGCTTCAAAGGCAGGGGAGGGGCTTCCTCGTGAAGAAAGGAGCGTATTGTTTTCATGTAATGTCTATACAGTAGAAGGGCTTACTGCATTATTTTTCTACTGATTCGGGTTACATTCAAGCCTGCCTTGCAATAATAGGTTGGTGGAAAGCACCTTTCAGTTTCCACCTAAACCCAGCATGCCATGTGTAGCATGATTAGCCAAGGATTAAAAATCCAATTAGACTCTCCCTTGACATGAGAAATCAGAAGAGGAATTTTGAGAAATGCATTGAAAACCACTTCTTAATATGATTGAGGGTGATAACACGCACTAAATGGAGGACTGATATCCAAGGGACCCCTTGAATTTCCACAACAAATTGACTTTCGCCATCTTCAATATAAATATGCGCTCCTTGCTATTAATTATATTGATTGAGAACAGTAGATGTGTTTAAAGGAAAGTCCATGGGAACCCAGTGATTTGTTATTTATAACTGAGAACTCATGGCAGTGGGGCACTGCGCTCGGAGCAAGCACCTGTTATGGTTAGATTCTTAGGCTTTTGAGAATATCATGTATAACAACATATGTAAAAATCTTACATGGAAACAGAATAACGTGCTGTCTGCTTCCACATACCTTGCCGGTGTAAGTGCTATGAACACGGCAAATATTATCTTACCAAATGCAATTTTTATTTAGTCATGTGTAGTAAACATTACCAGTTTTATGATGTGAGAGAGTCTTTGATTTTTATCACTCAAAAACCTAAATGGAAAAATTTAAAATAACTATTTAATCAGTCTGCTTAGATTTAGTTAATCAGTCTGCTTAGATTTACCTATTCCTTTTTATTCCTCTGTGATTTAATGCACAATTTGATTTACACAGATATGCATTTCGCAATTGTTTCTCTACCATGCTCATCTTTGTCAGTCAGAATAAAATGCTTAATTATTTGATCTGCATAGAGTAGTGCACAAATCAAACATTTTAAGACCATTCATGGATCTCATTGTGGTTCATAGAAACCCTCTTATTTTTATTATGGAATCTGTAGCATTTACTTGGCAAATAATATACAGATAAACATTTTAATGTAAAAAAATGAAAAATTTTATTTTCACGAAAACATACTGCTGAAGTTGCATCAGAACCTCACTTTTTTCCTGCTTTGTGACATGTTTATTAGCCTGTTGTCTATGGCTAGTTGTTTTTTGAACCTTCCTGAAAACATATCAGTGATACACTTGCTTGCTTGTATTTCTTTTTTCTTTTTAATTTTTAGGAGTGCAGGGTAGGTGTATAGTAGTATGGGGTCAGTGAACTATTTTGATCTAGGTATACAATGCGTAACAATCACATAAAGGCAAACAGGCTGTCCATCACCTCAAGCGTTTGTCATTTCTTTGTGCTACAAACATTCCACTTAAATACTCTTTTAGTTATTTTTAACATCTGCAGTAAATTATTGTTGACCGTCACCATCCTGATGAGCTATCATAGACTAGATTTGTCTTCTCCTCTTTTAATTAGACTTCCAGTTTCCTTTTTACAGTCTTTCTATTCTAATAAATGTCTTCATGAGCATTACCGAGCTGGGTTAGAACAGCATTACCAGTCACGTGGGCTGCTGCGTGAAATGCTAAGATTTGGTCAAACTCTTTCCCACACAGAGGTTCCCATGTGTTTGGTGGCCCTCTTGGGATCTGATTTCAAGACACGATGTGCTGAATCACCTCCAATGCAAGTTCAGCAGTCACAATGCCTCCACTCAGCAGATGAGACACAATTCTTCCAGATCAGATGTGCGGCTGTTGGTGGCTCTGTCAGGGTGTCAGATGACCGGAGAGCAGCTACTGGGAAAGGCCGCCATGGCTTCAGAGGACAGCTCTCCCTTCGTCTGCCTGGACAGAAGGGCAGCAGGGGCACCGGGCGCTGCTACCACAGAGACAAACCCACCTTGTTTTCTCACTGCTATTTTGACAAACAATTTTGAACACAAAAATAAACAGGAATGCTCGAAGACTGGACCTATGCAAGTTAGATGAGCCCAAGCCATCTCATTCTGCTTTATTCTCAAAAGATTGCAATTCGTCCTAGTACAGAAGGCTCTCTTTTTCAGCAGTGGGTGCCTTGTTTTAATGACCAGTATAGGTAACCTATTTACCAAGCAAAACATGGTTTTGTTTTTTCATATATGAGTACCTCAAGATGCATTAGGAATGCATACACCACCAACGCATAGAGCTATGTTTGTTTGTTTAACTCCGGCCAGTGAAATGGTGATGATGAATTTGTCCACCTGGCTCCATTTTAGGGACAAACAAACTAAAGCCCGGGAAGGTGAGAGGAATTTTCCGGGTCGCAGAGCAAGCTGGGAGCAGAGCCAGAGGAAGACCTGGGCTTCCTGGTTTGTCTTCCAAGGTTGTTTTTGGGGCACCTGTTAGCAGCAAAACTTGGATTTCTCTTTAGTCAATTTTATAGATAGCAAGGAAATAAAATGTGAGTGCTTAGAGTGTTCTTTTTACTTTATTTTATTTTATTTTATTATTATTATACTTTAAGTTTTAGGGTACATGTGCACAATGTGCAGGTTAGTTACATATGTATACATTTGCCATACTGGTGTGCTGCACCCATTAACTCGTCATTTAGCGTTAGATATATCTCCTAATGCTATCCCTCCCCCATCTCCCCACCCCACAACAGTCCCCAGAGTGTTATGTTCCCCTTCCTGTGTCCACGTGTTCTCATTGTTCTCACCCACCTGTGAGTGAGAACATGCGGTGTTTGGTTTTTTGTCCTTGCGATAGTTTACTGAGAATGATGATTTCCAATTTCATCCATGTCCCTACAAAGGACATGAACTCATCATTTTTTATGGCTGCATAGTATTGCATGGTGTATATGTGCCACATTTTCTTAATCCAGTCTATCATTGTTGGACATTTGGGTTGGTTCCAAGTCTTTGCTATTGTGAATAGTGCCGCAATAAACATACGTGTGCATGTGTCTTTATAGCAGCATGATTTATAGTCCTTTGGGTATATACCCAGTAATGGGATGGCTGGGTCAAATGGTATTTCTAGTTCTAGATCCCTGAGGAATCGCCACACTGACTTCCACAGTGGTTGAACTAGTTTACAGTCCCACCAACAGTGTAAAAGTGTTCCTGTTTCTCCACATCCTCTCCAGCACCTGTTGTTTCCTGACTTTTTACTGATCGCCATTCTAACTGGTGTGAGATGGTATCTCATTGTGGTTTTGATTTGCATTTGTCTGATGGCCAGTGATGATGAGCATTTTTTCATGTGTTTTTTGGCTGCATAGATGTCTTCTTTTGAGAAGTGTCTGTTCATGTCCTTCACCCACTTTTGGATGGGGTTGTTTGTTTTTTCTTGTAAATTTGTTTGAGTTCATTGTAGATTCTGGATATTAGCCCTTTGTCAGATGAGTAGGTTGCGAAAATTTTCTCCCATTTTGTAGGTTGCCTGTTCACTCTGATGGTAGTTTCTTTTGCTGTGCAGAAGCTCTTTAGTTTAATGAGATCCGATTTGTCGATTTTGGCTTTTGTTGCCATTGCTTTTGGTATTTTAGACATGAAGTCCTTGCCCATGCCTATGTCCTGAATGGTAATGCCTAGGTTTTCTTCTAGGGTTTTTATGGTTTTAGGTATAGCTTTTAAGTCTTTAATCCACCTTGAATTAATTTTTGTATAAGGTGTAAGGAAGGGATCCAGTTTCAGCTTTCTACGTATGGCTAGCCAGTTTTCCCAGCACCATTTATTAAATAGGGAATCTTTTCCCCATTGCTTGTTTTTCTCAGGTTTGTCAAAGATCAGATAGTTGTAGATATGTGGCATTGTTTCTGAGGGCTCTGTTCTGTTCCATTGATCTATATCTCTGTTTTGGTACCAGTACCATGCTGTTGTGGTTACTGTAGCCTTTTAGTATAGTTTGAAGTCAGGTAGCGTGATGCCTCCAGCTTTGTTCTTTTGGCTTAGGATTGACTTGGTGATGCGGGCTCTTTTTTGGTTCCATATGAACTTTAAAGTAGTTTTTTCCAATTCTGTGAAGAATGTCATTGGTAGCTTGATGGGGATGGCATTGAATCTATAAATTACCTTGGGCAGTATGGCCATTTTCACGATATTGATTCTTCCTACCCATGAGCATGGAATGTTCTTCCATTTCTTTGTATCCTCTTTTATTTCATTGAGCAGTGGTTTGTAGTTCTCCTTGAAGAGGTCCTTCATGTCCCTTGTAAGTTGGATTCCTAGGTATTTTATTCTCTTTGAAGCAATTGTGAATGGGGGTTCACTCATGATTTGGCTCTCTGTTTGTCTGTTATTGGTGTATAAGAATGCTTGTGATTTTTGTACATTGATTTTGTATCCTGAGACTTTGCTTAAGTTGCTTATCAGCTTAAGGAGATTTTGGGCTGAGACAATGGGGTTTTCTAGATATACAATCATGTCATCTGCAAACAGGGACACTAAATCAAACGCTTTACAGAGCCCCTGGATGACAGGAGGATTCTGCAGGTTCCTGCATCATAACTGTTTCCAGTCCTGAGCTGAACTAACTCGTGCAGCTGAAGAAGCACGCGATTCTCACCATTCTGTGCTTATAACATCAGTACCAACCCCCGGACACACTGGAGTTTCTCCTTATTTCCTCAAAGTTGTTCTTTCATCACACCCCCGAGAAAAGGTTGCTATGAGGATAGAAGAGGGTTGCTGCAGCCATAAAAATCAATTGTGCCACCCTCCAATCTTAAATGGTGGTGAAATGTGCAGGAAAATCTTCCATCCTGCCAACCTCTGTTACGTTTACTTCCCTCCAAACTCATATCATGATTAACCTTGAAGGGGCCTTTGAGTTAGTCTGGCCCAATCCCCATATTTTGCAGGTGAGATGCAGAGACTTCAGTGAATTCTCCAGTGCCCTGAGTCTCCCCTGGCTTTTGGAATCCGGGCTAATGGTGCTTCCACCGTGCCACAGTGCTATGATTTCCTCCTGTTGCTTCCACCTGCTGGAAATATGTCCAGATGCACTCTTTAAGGGCAACAACAAGCAAGCAAAAACTAAAAATAAAATGCCTTTCATCCTCTACCAGGCACACAGCTGCTTCTTGGAATATTTCAAGTGTAAACCCAATATTCACACTGCATCATCCCCCAGAATGGGCTTCTGAGGTGAGCAGACAGGTGTGAGCACCTCACTCTTATAGTATTTTTGTCTCCAGAGCCAGATTAATGAGGCTAAAGGAATATTTTATTTTAATGCATGTGTCCATGGAAAACTTTGCAGAGCATGCATGGATCTGGGGTGAAGAAGATCATAGTTTCTGCTCAAACCACTTCCTGCCTTATTCTTAACTTTTAATTCAACCATTCAACCACGGGTATTTGTCAGATGTTTTAGGTCCTGCTATCCATGGCAGGTGAATCAGGAAGGAAGGGCAGAAGCATTCATCAGCCCTGAGCACTGACCCATCTGATTGTAAAGCCAGCACCCCCAATGGGAGAGAGAGCCCCAAGCCGCCACCTCAACGCATGTACCCAGTTAGTTACTGGGAGGCCTCTGCAGGCTGAAGCAGCAAGTGGCCATGCATAGGCAATGCAAGCCCGGCTGCGTTGTAACCAGTCTTTTTGCCTTTTATTAAAAATCCTGCAGTTAATTGCACATATAGTGTATCTTGTACACTGACATTTCCTTTGAATCAACAGTCAAGGAGTTGAAGGCCTGGTGAAGCATTAGTCTTCTTGCAAGCTTTGCTCCTTCTTGTGAATCTGGAGAAAAATTAGCCACTATCCTCTCTCTCTCCAGCCAGACACTCTCTTCTTCCAAATTAAGTGGAATATTTGTGTTCTTCAAGAATCATACACTTGTTTAGCAAAGCAACTAACTGACATTGAACATTGAATATGGTTTCAAAAGTAAAAGCTGAAAACTGGAGACTTTCACATCTGAGTGGGTATTGCTGTTCATTTAATTTTGACATTGGCTAGAAATAAATCATATATTTTTAATCACCCATTAAGGTTTATAATCTTGGGAGTTTAAAACGTCCTTACTGATACCTACAAGCTCATTGGGTTTTGTGGATTCCAGAGTGTTTTATTCCTGCGTAGCTTTCCTAGCCTGGGGTTCCAAGTGTTTTATTGCTTTGTAGTTTTCCTAGCTTGCCTCTTTTATCATCTTCATTGGCTTCTGTGCATGATCCCACAGAGAGATCCTCTCTGCTGGGCTCTGTGCGATGCACAGAGGATAAACTGCTAGAGAGTCAGATGGGCTTTCTGTGGTTTTCCTCAGTTTCCTGAACTTGAAGAACATCCTTCTAAAACCATATCGTGTTTGACCTTGAAAGGGAATATGAGTCCATTGGTTGAATCTCCACCAATGCAGGTGACACACAGACTTCAATAAATTTTCTAGTGACCCACAGCTGTTCAAACTCCCTAATCCATGCTAGTGGTTCTCCCACTGTGCCACCATGGAATGGAAGGAATAAACCACCCATCATTTCCAACTTAGGTGGCCTCTCCCAAGTCAACCAATTTCTCTATTTAACAGGATTTGGGAAATGGTCAAGGTGAGTAAAACAGAAATTTCCCAGCCCCTTCCAATCACATCCATGAACAGTACTGACAAACACACGTGTTTTTCCTAGATGGAAACCTATCTGTGGACTCCAAGCCAAGTTGCCTGTAAGAAGTTGTCAAGTCCCAAAACTCTATTGTTGCTAATGCCCTAATAGAAAGGATACTAGCAGTGTGTCTTCTGAGCAGAGAAGTGGAGGAGGAACAGAGGACTTAGCCTCTGTGGGGATTGTGACAAAACAGAGGGTGGGGAGATGGTGATATGGAAGCCTTTGAATCTTTACCAAATAATTGTTTGAGGGTAGAAACCATTTTTTAGGTTGCCTGCTATGGCCTCTTGTCCCTCCTGTCTCAGTTTAGGAAACCCTATCAAGCCCCATCATTAGACCCCAGGTATTCTATAGTGCCTCATGTCCCCAGATTACTTCTCTCATCTGACCTCAGTTTGTACCAACAGGCCCCTCTCTTCCGTGTCCTGACCTAGCACACTAAGAATCAATGTTCTGCTTATAAAAGTTCTAATCTTTCTCTCCTCTTTTCTTTCCAGTATGTAAGATTTCACCTCTGTTCTTAACAGTGGCGTCTTCTGATCATAGAATATCATGTAGAATTTGCCTGTGTTCTTCACGATGGTGGCTTCTGATGGGGTGGCGCTCCATTATTTAGTTCTTTTTAAATTCCTCACTACAGCATTCTGCAGTTTTCAGTGTACAGATATTACATATATTGTGTTATATTTATCTCTAAATATTGCATTTTTGGTGCCACTGTAACGAGTATCTTGTCATTTCCATTTTGAAATTTTTATTGCCCATTTTTTTAAGTTCTCATCCTCCTCCCCACTGGCTTCTCTCTGGATTCTGATGTCTGGGCTGAACTTCAGATTCTGTTGAAGTTGCCTTTCACTGCCCAAGAGAGGGTCGTCCCTGGATCAGGCAGCACATCAGCCCAGAGTCTCACTGCCATCAGGAGAAGAACTCACAGTTCTCCAGAAAGGGCAGTGATGGGGGCTGAGGACCTCTCCTCCCAGAGAAAGGTGAGGCCTCCTGCTCTGATAACAGTGGGAAAGTTGCTTCTCCTTCCTTGGTAAGTCCCAAGCATGTTCTGTCTGTGTTAAAAGGATATCAGTTGAGGCTGCTGCTCATGCCCAGTGATTTACCTCACATGTGACTCAAGGTAGACAATTACTTTAATAATTGCTCTGAGTTAAAGTAGTTAACACTCTTCACACCTCCAGGCTCTCTAAGTCTTCACAGTAGGGGATTTATGCCATTGTATCCAGGAGTAATTCTCCAAACCGAATACCTGAGGGGCCACAGTTCTGGACTTCCTCGCTTGTGTCTGAAGTCCAGCCCACATGGGACAACTGTGTAAACAGCCACAGGACAGTGCTCTGGGGGTACCTCAGGGAGGAGAGCCCCGGGCCAAAGCAGGCAGCACATCAAGGAAGGCAACAGCCCAAACTTACCTCCTGCAGGAAGGTGTGCGGTCCTTCCCAGAGGGGACACAGGGAATGGAGGGAGGGGCCGTGTCATCTGGTGCTGGCATCTGGGTCTGCTCATACATAACAAAGGGGAAAGCCCTAACACCAAAGAAAGGCAGATAAAAAGAGATACTTAGCATAAGAACAAAAATCAACAAAATAGAAAACAGGAAATTGATATAGAAAATCAAATAAACCGAAGGCTGTTTCCTTGAGAAGATCAATAAAACTGATAAATCTCTAGCCAGGCTGATTAGGAAAAACAGAGCAAAGGTACAAATTACTACTATCATAAATGACAGCAGGTACATTTCTACTCATGCAGCAAACAGTTAAAAGATGTAATGGCATATTATAAAAGATTGCATAAAAATGAATTTCATGACTTAGTGAAATGGACATATTCACTGAAAAATACAATATAAGTAAGCTCACCTGAAACAAAATTGATAATATCAAAAGCCCTGTATCTTTTAAAGAAATTGAACCTGTATTTAAAGATTTTCTCACAAAGACACCTCCAGATCCAAATGGCTTTACTAGTGAATTTTAGAAAATATTAAAAGAAGAATTAATACCTATTCTACATAAACTAATTCGGCATGAAGGCAACATTATCTTGATAAAAATATTAGGAAGAAAAAAATCAACTATGGGTCAATGCCTTTCAAGAAAACAGGGGCAACGATTTTTAACACAACTGTATAATATAAAGTCTAAAAATATATAAAAATGTTGATGCATCTTAACTAAATAGGCTTCATCTCATGAATGCAATGTTGCTTTTTATTTTAAAAATTAATCATTGTATGAAAGGAAAATAAAATATTGGGACCCCACATTCACTATCCCAGAGGGAAAGTTTAACTTGGGAACTGAGTCATGCCAAAATAGTAAGAATAATAATAATAAAACTGCTTTCTTGTTTGTTCCCAGATAGCTGTGACATAGAAGGCCACGTCTCTCTCCAGGTGGTCCTCACAAATTGCTCACAAGGAAATTTCTTGTGGGCCCCCAAATCTTTCAGAATATATATCCCCCTCATAAACTAACCCTAAAACAAAGGTCTATTGAATCTCACTCAGACAGCGTAAATTAAGAGTTTGTCTTCACAGATATGGGACAAAGACAAGACTAGAAATCATCCACCTGACCACCCTGAGACTACTGCGTATTCGAGTTCTTCCTCTACACTATACTGACCTTATCTTATGTAAAATGTAGAGCTACTGCACACAGGATGAATGCATAACAATTTTTTTCTACTCCCCTCTTCTCACATGTAAAATGTGGATTCAGTGAGCACTAATCAAAGCTTCACAAGAGTGTAACCATTTCATCGTCTATATCCCCCTTTCTCTGTTTATTTCTTTTTTTTTATTCCTCCTTCCCCACCTGCCTGCTCTTTTTCCTTTAAATGTAAGGTCCTCAAAAACCTTCTTGGAAAAAGCACGGATCGCAGATCCTGCTGGAACTTGTGTGTCTTTTCCTGAGCACATCCTCAACCTTGGCAAAATAAACCTCTAAATAGATTGAAATCTGTCTCAGACATTTTCTGGTTTATCAATGTAATTCATAATATAAGTTAACTTTAAAAATGTCGACTCATCTAAACTTTCCTTTATCAGTTCTGCATGTAAGAAGCTTGGAAATACAACTCCATCCTCACCACAGGTGAAAAGCTGAACAGACTGAAAACTTAAACCCCTTCTTGGATCCATAAAAAGGTGAAGACAAAGGGCAAACTGCTAAGCTCTAGACTGAAGAGACAGGCAAATACAGGGAGTCACGTACTGCAGGAGCAGAAACACAGGAGCAGAAACCACCACCACGGGAGCCAGGGCCATGGTAGTAGAACCTAAGTTGTAATGAGCAAACTGCTGGAGGCTAAGAAAAGACAAGCCTGAGAACACCAAACTCCAGGAAGACCCAATTATGCAGTGCACTCATGTGCCCACACTTCATGAGTTTCACCTCCAGGAGCTAGACCAGGTTCTCACAGTAAACATTGGACAAAAATCTCCTCTTGCTCCTAGCAGGGGTAGGTCAAAACATATCAGTTTAAAATAGTTCAGAACACTCCATTCTTCCTCAGAAGCTCTCCCCTCTGAAGAAGTAATACAACCAGTGCTTAATCTGCTGCAGTTTTATCAAAGCCTAACTGATGTTGAGGAGGTGGAAGTACTCAACTCCAGCTCTAGTCTTCTGCATGAGAGAAGACAAATATCCAACTCTAGCCACTGATCCCATCCTGTCTCATTTAGAAGGGGAGGAGGACTAATGAGCAATTGTGAAGTTTAAAGTCCAGAGACACAGACTTATGAAAACATGAACAACTAACCACAGGACTATAGAATTCTCCTCCCCCACACCTCACTGCTGCATTACTAAGGGCCTTTTTGCAGCAGTTTCTTTTACCCAGTACGTTATGTCTAGTCATCAAGAAAAATAACAAGGCATACTAAAAGGCAACACACACACACACACACACACACACACGCACAATTTGAAGAGACAGAGAAAGCATCAGGATCAGACATGGCAAAGATATTGGAATTATCAGACTGAGAATTTAAAACAACAAGGATTAATATGTTAAAGGCTCTAATAGATAAAGTAGACAACATGCTAGAATAGATAGGCAATATAAGCAGAGAGATAAAAATCTTAAGAAAGAACAAAAAATAAATGTTAGAGATCAAAAACACTGGAACAGAAAAGAATGCCTTTGATGGGCTTATTAATAGACAGGACATGACTGAGGAAGGAATCTCTAAGCTTCAGGATTTATCAATAAAACCCTCTAAAACTGAGAAGCAAAGAAAACAAAGACAAGGAAAAAAAAAGAACAACATATCCAAGGACTGTGGGACAAGTATAAAAGATGTAACACACACATAATAGGAATACCATAAGGAGAGAGAAGAGAGAAAAGAAGAAATATTTGAAACAATAATATCTTTAGAAGTCTCCAAATTCAAAAATTAATTCAAGATGGATTAAAGACTTAAATGTAAGACCTAGAACCATAAAAACCCTAGAAGAAAACCTAGGCAATACCGTTCAGGACATAGGCATAGGTGAAGACTTCATGACTAAAACACCAAAAGCAATGGCAACAAAAGCCAAAATTGACAAATGGGATCTAATTAAACTAAAGAGCTTCTGCACAGCAAAAGAAACTATCATCAGTGTGAGCAGGCAACCTACAGAATGGGAGAAAATTTTTGCGATCTATCCATCGGACAAAGGGCTCATATGCAGAATCTACAAGGGACTTAAACAAATTTGCAAGAAAAAAAACAAACAACCCCATCAAAAGGTAGGCGAAAGATATGAACAGACACTTCCCAAAAGAAGACATTTATGCGGCCAGAAACATGAAAAAAAGCTCATCGTTGGTCGTTAGAGAAATGCAAATCAAAACCACAATGAGATACCATCTCAAGCCAATTAGAATGGAGATCATTAAAAAGTCAGGAAACAACAGATGCTGGAAAGGGTGTGGAGAAATAGGAACACTTTTACACAGTTGGTGGGAGTGTAAATTAGTTCAATCATTGTGGAAGACAGTGTGGTGATTCCTCAAGGATCTAGAACCAGAAATACTATTTTGACCCAGCAATCCCATTACTGGGTAGATACCCAAAGGATTATAAATCATTCTACTATAAAGACATATGCACACGTATGTTTATTGCAGCACTATTCACAATAGCAAAGACTTGGAACCAACCCAAATGCCCATCAATGGTAGACTGGATAAAGAAAATATGGCACATATATACCACGGAATACTATTCAGCCATAAAAAAGCATGAGTTCATGCACTTTGCAGGGATACGGATGAAGCTGGAAACCATTATCCTCAGCAAACTAACACAGGAACAGAAAACCAAACACCACATGTTCCCACTCATAAGTGGGAGTTGAACAATGAGAACACGTGGGCACAGGGAGGGGAACATCACAAACTGGACCTGTCGGGGGATGGGGGCTAGGGGAGGGATAGCATGAGGAGAAATACCTAATGTAGATGATGGGTTGATGAGTGCAGCAAACCACCATGGCATATGTATAGCTATGTAACAAACCTTCATGTTCTGCACATGTATCCCAGAACTTAAAGTATAACAAAAATAAATACACAAATAATTTTTTTTAAGTATCCAAATTAAAATCAGACACTAAATCATAGATCCAGGATTCTTAGAGAACACCAAGCAGATTATATTTAAAGTGCTGAGAGAGCAAAAACGCAAAACAAAACAAAACACCAAGTTATGATTTTATATCCTGAAAAATTATTCTTTAAAAGTAAAGGAGAAAAAAGTATAAATTTCTCAGGCAAACAAAAATTAAGGGAATGTGTTGCCAGTGGACCTGCCTCCAAGGAACATTAAAAGAAGTTCTTTAGAGAGAAGAAAAATAATATAGGTCAGAAACTCAGCTTTTTATAGATAAAGAAAGAACATCAAAAAGGGTATAAATGAAGGTAACATGAAAACTTTTATTGTTCTTATTCTCAATTGATTTAACAGATAACAGTGCCTAAAATAATAATAGCAGCAATGCATTTGATTACATATGCTTATGTATATATAATATGTATACATATATGTTTATGTATGTTTATATACAAGAAATGAATGCTTATACATAAGCTTATATTCTCATATACAAGAAAGGAATAAAAGCGATGATAAAGAAGGAAAGAGAAAGTGATTGAGATTAATTTGTTATTATAATATACTCACACTATCAGTGAATAGTATAATTTTACCTGAAAGAGGGTTTAGATTAGGTTGAATGAATATTACAAAATCTAGGGGAACCGCAAGAAAATTAATAAAGGTGTAACTGTTACTCTAAGAAAGGAGACAAAAGGGAATCATATAAAACATTCAATTAAAACCACAAAAAGCAGAAAAGTGAAAAATAAAAATAGGAATAAAAAGCAATGGCAACAAATGGAAAACAGTAAGAAATACGGCAGATACTAATTCAACTATATAAATATTCATTTTGAACTTCAATAGACTAAATTCCCAAAATCAAAAACTGAGACTGAGTGCATATATATTCAGGGCAACTTGAATCTATGCTCCAAGAAAAAAACATACAGATACTGCCAGAGTGAATCAAAAAATAAGACCCCACTCCATATTGTCTGGAAAAAGCAACTTTAAAAATAAAGACACATGTAGATTAAAAGCAAACGAATGAAGAAAAATATATCATACTAAGACTAATCTAAAAAAGATGGAATAGGTACATTAATTTCAGGCGGAAAAGACTTCCAAGCAGGGAGAGTTATCAGGGATAGAGAAAGGCATTACATAACGATAAAGAGTCAGTTCTCTAAGAAGACGTAATGATCCTTAACATGTATGCACCTAACAACAGACTGTTAAACTACGTTTGGCAAAAACTGATAGAACTGAAAGAAGAAATAAATAAATAAAATATCATAGTAGATTATTTCAAACATCCTCTATAAAACATGGACAGATTCAGCAGGCAGAAAGTCAGTGAGGACCTAGTTGAACTCAACAACAAATTAAACTAGAAATCAATAACAGAAAGACAACTGGAAAATCTCAAAATTTGAAGAAATTAAACAACACACTTCCAAACAACAAATGGTTCAAAGAAGAAACCTCAAGAAAAAATAAAAATTATTTTTAACTAAAGATGAAATAACAACTTATCAAAATTTGTTGGATGCAGCAAAACCAGTGAATAAAGGGAAATTTATAGCATTGAATGCATGTATTCGAAAATAAGAAATACATAAAATCAATAATCTAAGTTTCCACCTTAGGGAACTAGAAAAAGAATAACAAATTAAATTCAAAGTAAGCAGAAGGAAAAAGAAAAAAGCAGTACAATAGAAATCAATAAAATTGAAAACAGGAAATAAATTTTTAAAAACTAGCAAAACTAAAAGTTGATTACTGGAAAAGATCAATAAAATTGATAAGTCTCTAGCTAGTGTAACTAAGAAAAAAAGAAAGGTAATACAAATTATGGACATCAGAAATGAAAAAGAGGATATCACTGCAGATTCCATAGATATTAAAATAAAAATCAAGCCATGATATGCATAACTTTATGCCCGCAATTATGATAACCTAGATGAAATAGACAAATTATTGAAAGACACAATCTGCCAAAGCTCACATAAGAAGAAATAACCAATCTAAATAGAACTGTATATATTAAATAAATTGAACAAGTAATCTGAAAGCACCAGACTTAGATATGTTCACTGGTAAACTGTACCAATCATGTAAGAAAAATACTATACCAAGTCTCTATAATCTCTTTAAGAAGGTAGAATGCAGAGGGAATATTTTCTAACTCTTTGAGACTGGTATCACTCTAATGCCAATATAAAACAAAGATATTACAAGAAAAGAAAACACAGACCACTATCTCTTATGAGCTTAGATGCAAAAATTCTCAACAAAATATTAGCAAATCAAATCTATAAATGTATAAAATTGATTATATACCATGACCATGTAGGATTTATGTTAAATATGCAAGGCTGGTTCAAAATTCAAATGCCAGTTAATATAATTCATCATATCAATAGGCTAAAAAAATAAAAACGTGATCATATTAATTGATACCAAAAAAGCACAGAAAAAAAAAGAAAAAAACTAACACTCAGCCCTGATAAAATCTCTCAGTAAGCCAGGAATAGAGGAGAACTAGCTCAGCTTGACAATAGATATCTACAAAAAGCCTACAGCTAACATCATACCTAATGGTGAGAAACTTAAGCTTTCTCACTAAGGTTGAAAACAATGCAAGGATGTTTCCTATTTCTGCTCCTTTTCAACATTGTACTGAAAGTTTTAGCTAATGCAATAAGACAAGAAATAAAAAAAAGTTACACTATTAGGAAAGAGGAAATAAAACTCTTTTTGCAGATTACATGGTCATTATATAGAAAATCCAAGTGAATCAAACAAAAGTTTCCTGGAACAATGGGCAATTACGGCAAGTTTTCAGTATATAAAGTTAGTATACAATCATCACTAGCTTTCTTACATACCAGCAATGAACAAGCAGAATTTTAAAATTTAAAATGCAATACTATTTACATTAGCACCCCCAAAAATAAATACATTGATGTTTTGGTGTGGATGTTTGGCCCTCCACTCCTCATTTTGGAATTTGGTCCTAGTGTTTGGAGTGGGGCCTTGTGAAAGGTGTTTGGTCATAGGGTAGGTGATTCCCTGGTAAATGGCTTGGTGCTATCCTTGAGGTCACAGTTGAGTTCTCACTCTGTTGGTTCCTGCCAGAGCTGGTTGTTGAAGGAAGCCGAGCACCTCCTACTCCTCTCTCTTGCTTCTGCTCTCATTATATGATCTCTGCACATCAGCTCCCTTTTGCCTTCCTGGTGAGTGGAAGCAGCATGAGTTCCCATCAGAAGCCAAGCAGAAGCTTGTGCCGTGCTTCTACAGCCTGCAGAACAGAGCCAAATAAACCTCTTTTCTTTAAAAATTACTCAGCTATCCCTGTATAGCAACATGAACAGAACTAAGACAGAAATTCGGTACTAAGAGTGGGGAGGTTAGGCCGGGCGCGGTGGCTCACGCCTGTAATCCTAGCACTTTGGGAGGCTGAGGCAGGTGGATCATGAGGTCAGGAGATCGAGACCATCCTGGCTAACACGGTGAAACCCCGTCTGTACTAAAACTACAAAAAAAAGTACCCGGGCTTGGTGGCGGGCGCCTGTAGTCCCAGCTACTCAGGAGGCTGAGGCAGGAGAATGGCGTGAACCCGGGAGGCAGAGTTTGCAGTGAGCGGAGATCGCGCCACTGTACTCCAGCCTGGGCTACAGAGAGAGACCCATCTCAAAAAAAAAACAAAAAGAAAGGGAGTTGGGAGGTTATTCTGGACTGTCTAAATAAGCCCAATGTAATCACAAAGATTCTTATAAGAGGAAGATTAAGGGTGTGATGAGACAAGCGGAGAACAGAGACTAAGGCAAAGACTTTAAGATGCTCCACTGCTGGCCTAGAGTTCCAGAGGGAGGAATGCTTCTACCAGGAGACGCAACCATGATGTTACGAAACTGGAAGTTAGGATTGCCACCCAGCCACTTTGGGCTCCTCATGCCTCTTAGTCAAAAGTCTAAGAAGGGAGTTACAGTGTTGGCTGGGATGATTAATCCAAACTACCAAAAGGAAATTGGACTACATGGAAGTAAGAAAGATTATGTCTGGAATACACAAGGTCCCTAGGGCTTCTTTTAATATTACTGTGCCCTGTAATTAAGGTCAATTGGAAACTACAACAACCAATCCAAGAGGGATTATGAATGGCCCAGGCCCTTCAGGAACAAAGGTTTGGGTCACCTCACTAGGTGAAGAACCATGATCAGCTGGAGGGCCTGCTGAAGGCCAAGGGAATACACAATGAGTAGTAGATGAAGATAGTTACAAATACCAGCTACAACCGCATGACAGATTATAGTAATAAAGACTGAAATTGTGATGAGTATTTTCTCCTTATTTTGTTAGGAATATGTGCTATATACACTCATATTAAGAAAATATCTTTGTTTTATTTTCTGTTATTCCTTTATCACGTAACGTAATGTTAATTAACTTTATGTCAGCATTTAAGTATTATAAATTTTGCATCATAGTGTTTAAGTTATTGGATATCAGAAATTAACATTACTCAATAATTTACTTCCTTTTCTGGGGATAGGATTAGTGTGTTTTCAGTTGTATATCAGGTGGAATGATGACCTTCCTATTGTCTTTGTTTGGAAATTAAGTATACCTTAAGGAGATGCATATGGATGTCAAGTTGACGCAGGGCGAACTTGGGATGATTATTATTAGGTGTCAAATTGACTGGATTGAGATATGCCTAGACGACTGATGAAGTGTTGTTTCTGGGTGTGTCTGTGAAGGTGCTTCCATAAGAGATTTACCTGTGAGCCAGTGGACTGAGAGAGAAAGGTGCTTCCTAATGAGGTTGGGTACTACCTAATCAGCTGCAGACGTGACTAAAACAAAGCAGGTGGAAGAGGGGGTATGTCAGGTGCTTAACTCTCATTTGCCTGTTCTCTTTCTCTCTCTCTGCCTCTCACCCTGTACTTTCTCTTCTGGAGCAGGATAGTTTTTCTCCTCCAGCCCTTGGACATCAGACTCCAGGTTGTTTCTTTGGCTTTCAAACTCTGCATCTTGCACCAGCAGCCACCCAGGGGATCTCAGGCCATTGGCCTCGGACCAGGGGCTACATTGTCAGCTTCTATGGTTTTGAGGCTTTTGGAATTAAACTGTGCCATGCTACCACCTTCCCTGGAAGCCACACTACTCGCTTTTCTCTTTCTCCAGCTTGCAGACAGCCTGTCATGGGACTTCACCTTTGTAATCATTTGAGTTAATTCTCCCTAATAGAATCACTTTCATATGTAGATGAATTTTTATTCCAATCAAAATTTCAACTGTGATTTTATAGGTGTCAAAAAATGATTCTAAAGTTTATAGGGAAAACCAAAAAGGCCAGGATGACCAATGAAATATTGACAGAGAAGAACATTGCAGGACTGATACTACCCAACTTCCAGACTTACCATAAAGCTACCATAATAAAATACAGTGGGGTATTAACAAATAGATCAGTGGAACAGAACAGAAAGCCCACGAATAGACCCACGTAAATATAATCAGTTGATTTTTGAGACAGAGCAAGATAAATACAATGAAGAAAAGAGAATCTTTTTTCAGCAAATGGTGCTGGAACAACTGGACTGCCACCTGTAAAAATGGATTCAGACACAGACCTTAAACTCTTCACAAAAAATTAACTCAAAATGGATCACAGATTTAAATGTAACATGCAAAACTATAAAACCCTAGAAGAAATATAGGAGAAAACCTAGATTACCTTGGATGGTGATAACTTTTTTTGATATATGCCAAAGGCATAATCCTTGAGAAAAGTAATTGATAAGCTAGGCTTCAATAAAATGTAAAAGTTCTGCTCTATGAAAGACAATGTCAGGAGAATGAGAAGACAAGCCACAGACTAAAAGAAGCTATTTGCAAAGGAAACATTGAATAAATGACTAATATCCAAAATTTAAAAACTCAATGACAAAACAAACAACCAGATTTCAAAATTAGCCGGACCTTAAGAGACATCTTACCAAGAAAGATATACACACGGCAAGTAAGCATAGGAAAAGATGCTCCACTTCATATGTCATCAGAGAAGCGCAAATGAAAACATCAATAAGGCCGGGCACAGTGGCTCACGCCTGTAATCCCAGCACTTTGGGAGGCTGAGGTGAATGGATGACCTGAGGTCAGGAGTTCGAAACCAGCCTGGCCAACATGGTGAAACCCCATCTCTACTAAAAATACAAAAATTAGCCAGTTGTGGTGGCAGCCGTCGGTAATCCCAGCTACTCAGGAGGCTGAGGCATGAGAATCTCTTGAAGCCGAGAGGCAGAGGTTGCAGTGAGCTGAGACCGTGCCTGGGGGATAAGAGTGAGACTTGGTCTAAAAAAAAAAAAATCAATAAAATGAGACCACTTACCTATCAGAATGGCCAAAATCTAGACCACTGACAACATCAAATGTTGGTGAGGATGTGGAGCAACAGGAACTCTCCTTTATTGCTGGTAGAAATGCAGGATGGTACAGCCACTCTGGGGAACAGTTTGGCAGTTTCTTACAAAACTAAACACACTGTTGCCATGTGATACAGAAATCACACTTCTGGATATCTACCCAAAAGAGATGAGAACTTAGTTCTGTACAAAAACCTGCACATAGATGTTTATAAAAGCTTTATTCATAATTGCCAAAACTTGGAGTCAACCAAGATGTCACTCCCTGTGTGATGAAATAAATTAACCATGATTCTTCAAAAAAATATGATATTATTCAGAACTAAAAGGAAATGAGCTATCAAGCATGTTACTAAGTGAAAAAAAGCCAATCTGAAAGGGCTACATCCTGTGTGATTCCATCAGTATGACATTCTCAAAAAGGCAAAAGAGAAAAATATAAATGGTTGTCAGGAATTGGAAGCGAGAAGAAAAAGGAATAGTTGAAATGCAGAGGATTTTAAGGGCAGTGAAAAATACTCTGTATTATCCTACAATGTTGGATACATGTCATTACAGCAAGAGTGAACCCTAAGGTAAACTATAGACTTTGGATGATTATGATGTGTTAATGCAGGTTCATCAAGTGTAACAAATGTTCCACTCTGGTAGGGGATGCTGATAATGGGAGAAGCTCTGCATGTGTGAGAGCATACATAGCTTCCTTCATGGAATCTCTGTAACTTTCACTTAATTTTATATGAAACCAAAATTGCTCTAAAATAAAATTGCATAAGATCAGGAAAAGGAAAAGATGTCCTGTATTCAACATATTCTAGAGGTTGTAGTAGTGAAATAGGATGAGAAAAAGAAACAAAATCATATGGATTTGGGTGGGAAATGAAGCAAATCCTTTTCTACTTACAAATTTAATACTTTTTTATAAAATTCAAAGGGATATACAAAATGATATTAGAACTTATGAGTTTACTAAGGGTGTAGGATACAGAGTAGCAACAAAAATAAGAAATTAAAAATTTTAAACAATTATTATTTAAAACAGTATCAAAATTTTTCTAAAGAATAAAGGTAAATTTGCAAAATAATGTGTGGCCTGGCGCGGTAGCTCACGCCTGTAATCCTAGCACTTTGGGAGGCCGAGGTGGGCGGATCATGAGGTCAGGAGATGGAGACCATCCTGTCTAACATGGCGAAACGCTGTCTGTACTAAAAATACAAAAAATTAGCCAGGTGTGGTGGCGGGTGCCTGTGGTCCCAGCTACTCAGGAGGCTGAGGCAGCAGAATGGCATGAACCCGGGAGGCAGAGCTTGCAGTGAGCTGAGATCGTGCCACTGCACTCCAGCCTGGGCAACAGAGCGAGACTCTGTCTCAAAATAAATAAATAAGTAAATAAATTTTTAAAAATAATAAGGTGCAAAACCTGTAAGCAGAACACTGTAAAACATTGCTGGGGAAAATTTTAAAATATCTCAATAAATAGAGAGATATACCATGCTCAGGTATCAGAAGACTCAATATATGAAAATGTCATTCCCTCTCTAATTTGTTAGATTTAACACAATGGTGTAATAAAGACTTAAGTTTTCCTAGAACTATCAAAGCTCTGAGAAATTTCCAACTCCATCTTTTATTTTAAGGCTGAGATTTATATTTCTATTAATTTTACAAACGGTGAAACACTCAAAATAATAAATTATTTGTCCTCAAGTAAATTTTTTTCTGTATGTTTTTTGTTTGCTTTTGAACGTTCCCTCCTGTGTGTGTTCCATTATCAACGATAACACTGACATCATCTCTTCTTTGGGCATGCCCAGTTTGGCCTATGCAGTTGTTTCTCTATACAAATAACTGTAGAGACTTTATAGAGAATTCTAAACAGATGACTAACTCTATACAGATAACTCCATATGTGATTGCAACAATACCTCTGTTAGGAATCCTTCAGAATCAATACAAAATTTAGCCAGGCGTGGTGGTGCACGCCTGTAATCCCAGCTACTCCGGAGGCTGAGGCAGGAGAATCACTTAAACCCGGGAGGCGGAGGTTGCAGTGAGCCGAGATCGCGCCACTGCACTTCAGCCTGGGCAACATAGCAAGACTCTGTCTCAAAAAAAAAAAAAATCCCTGAGTCTCTTTCTAGTAAAGATGAAAGGATCCTGCATTGAAACCATGAAGGGATGTGACTTGTCAGATGCTGGGATTCGGACAGGAGGGTCTCTGGGACCCTGCCCATCATTACCAGGCATCTCTGAGTCAGCCAGCAGATGTTCTGCTGGAATGCAGGGAGAGAATATGCATCTGTCTAGAGGGCCCCAAGAGGTCACACCTGCATTCTAAGCCAGAGGTAAGTGAAGAAGCAGAGATGGGAATGCACCACGGCTGGAGGGCAGGGCTTGTTGAGAGGAGAGCAATACAGGGCATGGGCTCTGTGCCAGTGGATTCAGAAATGGCCCATGAAGCCTAGAGAATATTCTTTCCTGGGATGTTTATGCTGGGTTGAAGGTAGCTGGTATAGGGCTGAGCAGACAATCTTCCCGGGGTCGCAGCCTATGAAATTATAAGTCCCCTGCTTAATGTAGGCTCTGCTGCCACTATTTTGAAATTCTCCATAATTTCCGAACAGCAGCAGAGCATGTCTGGGGTAGGGAGAGAGGTTTCCCACTTTCTCCCCATGCCATTCCTACGCTCCCCTGCTGGGCTAAGCACAGGAGTTGTTGTTGCCAATGCTGGTGGTCTTAGCAGCTTAGCTGTCCAGCATCAATGATCCTATACCGCTTCCTCAACCTCTCATGTCTGTACAGGGACTCTGCTGTTTACAAAATGGCAAAAATGGACTGTCCATCAGAGAGATTGGTGACTTTAGCCATGCAAAGGGTGGCTGCCAAGGTTTTGTGGGCAACAGCTGTGTGGCCAAGTGTAACTGGTTGGCTTTGTGGAAGATTGTCTCTCCTGACAGGGCTGGTGTGAGGCTGTGCTCAGTTGCTCGCCGGGCAAAGCCTATCTCAAAGGTCTCCCTCAGTGTCACAGAGTTCAGATAAGTTGTCATCCATCAAGCCTGGTGAAGCAAAGGATACAGGAAATGCTGAGGCCGATGCGGCTCCCCGGAGACAGTGGTCCTTGGGCAGGGTGCATTTATGGGAAAGTGCCCAGTCCTGTGCTGGCTGGGAAGAGGCCTGGGAAACTTCTCTGGAAACCTCTTGAAAGTTTTATCTGGTCAGGGTCCGGAACTGGTAGGTATGGACAAAGTGAATTAACATCTCAAATGTCTTAAATGTCTTCTCCAAAGTGGGAACCTACCTCATGAAACAGATCATCATGCAGACACCTCCCATGGGAATGAGGCCAGTAGACTGAGGAATGTCCAATTCCAGAAGCAAAACGAGCCATTTTACCAACAAGACAAGAGAGTTATGGTCTCAGAGGAGGCAATTTCGAGAAAAAAAACCTGGCCCTCCCCTCCCCTGCCCCATGCTGTGAGTGCTGACACTGAGCATAGGCACAGAACTCCCAACTCTGCCCTAGGACCCTGTGGCTCCCTCAACGCCTCTCCCCAAACCCAAGCTCTGTGCAGCAATGCAGCTCAGGACCCCAGGAGCTTAGTAGACTTAGTGCAGAATAAGGCAGAGGCCCCTGCATGGTGTGAGTACTGCCATGGCGAACCAGCAGGTACCCACCTCCATGGCGAACCAGCAGGTACCTACCTCCATGGCGAACCGGCAGGACTTGGTGTCAGACCCAGACTTCTTGAAGGTACCTTGGGCTAGGAGCATGAGAATGCCTCTCGCTGGAGCGGTTCTTCAGCCACCTTGAATCTGTGGATGGTACCTGTGACTGATTGGAACACGATCCACCTAATCAAGGTAAGCCAACAAGTCAATGAAGTTCTCCAGGCAAGGAGGTCCCCAGGGTCAGTGCTCTGTGGTGCTGCACAGACACATGGAATGGGGGCCAGCTCGGCAGTGAGGCCATTGCATACATGGACAGCCTAGAGACAAAGGCATTGGAAACAGTTCCACCCTTCTGCTGCCTGCTTCCATGGGGCTGCACTTGCTCCAGACGGTGGCGGCCAAACCCCATGGTTGCAGCAGATAGGCAGGCCACCCCAAGGGAGTGTTTTCGTGCCTCTCGGGACCATTTTTTTTGGAATGAGCTCCTGCTTCCAATTTGAGAGATGTATCCAGTGAACACCACGACATAGCACTTGGCCTTGGAATCAATGGTGTGGCTCCCCTTCCTCATGTGTCTGTTTCTGACTAGAGCTCACTGCTGATGGTGGCCGTCGCTGACCGCACCCAGTGTGGACCGTGAATCATGCTTTATCTAGTGCATGTACTCTCCTATACGATGAATCCACCCACAGATCAAGCCTACCTGAATTAAGAAACTGATCAGTAAGTGCTTGGTCATTGTGCCAGGTGGACACAGAGGCCACCAGCATGGGGGACACTTTTCTGCCAGCACCTCAGGCCCCATCCACTCTGGGATCCTGGCAGGTGAGGCTGGCCCTGAATCACCTGCCTGGTCACTCTTCCCAGCACCTCACGTAGGGCCAGATCATAGGACAGAGGGTGCGGTTGTCTCCTCACATTTCGGTTGTAAAGACTGTGGGAGGTGTGGCCGGGCACCACAGGGTGGCAGGGAGGAAGCCATTGGCGCACCATGAACAGAGAGGGCCACCTGACCAAGGCTCTTCCACCTTGATGGGGCCCCAACACCAGTATTTTGCTTGTTTTCTAACAAACTAGGTTTTGTCCAGCTTCAAGCTAAAAGAGGCTTTTCATCACAGAAACTGATGCATTCATCAGGGCAGCCATTCACATCAGTTTCTGTACAGAAAGTGTCAATTTGCCAACATAATGGCTGACCCTCCTCTTTGAACAGAGGAGGCAAGGATTTCATGTGTTCCTTCATCCACTGGGAATAGGCAGATGAGACAAAGCGGGGGAGGTGGCAAATGGAGCGTCACGCCAGTCCTGCGGAGCTCCTCACGGTCCTCTCAGGGACACTTTGGAGCAGCAGATGTGGAGCACCCTTTCCCGCCACCGTGCATGAGTGACATTCCCACTCGTGAAGGCTCCCTCTCCGTCTTGCAGCCAAGGGAGCATGCGTGGTACTGGCCATATGGTGAGGTATCAGATGGCAGGAAAGAATTCTTGTGGTTGCCCAGAGGCTCCACTCACTGGGAACTGGGCCTGGGGCATAAGGTTTCAGAAGGGAAGACAGGGAGCAGGGAAGACAGGGAGAAGGGAAGACAGGGAGCAGGGTTGTGATTCCAGGGCCACACTGCTTCAGTCCTTGTTCCTACAGTTGGCCATGAGGTCTGAGTTTAGCAAACCATGCATCAAATTTCTTCTTAGGCATCAACATTAGGTCCCTGTGGACTCTACAAAGTCCACTAAGTGTAAGCCCTGGGACCTGAGACCCAGGAAGATCAGGCCAATGGGGAGCATGGCCCCTCCCAGGAAGGCTCTTGGGGAGCAGGGTGCCAGGGCTAGGCCAAGATGTGGGGTGTACTGATGCGGGTCCTTGAGCTAGTTGCCTGGATGAACTGGAACAGTGACATTCTGGAGGAAGCTCACTCGTACCAGGAGTGAGGAAGGTGTGCATCCAACATGGCAGGAGAGAAGACACCATAACAGCCAGGTGGGCTCTGAGTTCAATGGCCAACGAACGGAGAAAGGGCGAGCATAAGATGCCTCTTGATGGTGAATGCCTGGCATCCATTTCCGTGGGAGAAAGTCTTTTCTAGTTTGAAGTTGGGCAGAGCCCAGCTTGCTAGAAAACAGGCAAAATATAGGCCCCATGAAGGTGGAAGAGCCTTGGTCAGGTGGCCCTTTCTGTTCATGGTGTGTCTATGGCTTCCTCCCTGTCACCCTGTGGTGCCCGGCCACACCTCCCACAGTCATCACAACCAAATGCACCTGTATACAGGTGCTGGGTGAGATGCTCTTTTGACCCTTGGACTGATAGCTGCCAAGAATAACTGGGACAACCTGTTATGATTCAGATGGACACCTTCTGATACAAAAGTCTGAGATTGCCATTTCTGTCAGTGTCAGCAGTGGCATGATGTAGGGGATGTCTGGCCTTTTGTTCTTCTAGAGCTCTCCCTTGAAAATGGTCACATAGGGAAAAAGAAGCAAGTAATGTTCTCCCCTGACTTGTGCTACAGTTTATACGATGTGGAGGTATGGTGACTTGAATATTTACATTGTCTCTCTCTGTCTTCTAATTATGCACCAGTGAAAGAGTGAGTGAGTGCTGGCCAGCCTGTTCTAATTCTTGAGTTGGGTGTGCAGCTCATCGTCTCTGGACTAAGTTTTTAAAAAGTGAATTCTTTTAATACCACATCTCATGTTTCTCCATTGTAAGACTGAGTCTGTTCCTGTCCCAAACAGGTGAAGAGTAGTGTGGATTATTCCATTACTTATACAAAAGGCTTATGCACCCTCATTGGAGTCCGAGAGCCCCCGAGCGTCACAACCGGGTGTCCTTGTTCCTTAGACACCCCCGGCAGATATCTCAGCTGTGACTTTGACTCAGGATTCCTTCCAATAAGTTTTAACATGCTGCTTCACATTTTCCTTTAGGCAAGTGGGCAATTAGCTGAGCCAACCGTACTGCACACAGGCCTGCTGGCTTCCACAGGTGGCGGGGACAAAACACACATCCAGACATGGGGCAGGTTGGGTTTCCACACCATAAGAAAACACATGGAGCTCAGGATTGAACAACTTTTGCCCCATTTATCCACAGGGAAAGGTCTCTTCTCATCGCAATGGCGGAGAAGGTGCACAACTCGGCCTCTTGCTCCAAAGGCAGAAGCACTCTGCCCGCCAGTGCGGGGCCACACCCATGTGTGCTGAAAGTGCAACCACAGTGGTCAATGTCTTCTTCTATTCCACCTAAATAAGGCTCAAGTACAAATTGAAATCTTATTGCAATTGGTAGACAATAGGATTTTTAAAGGTCTGAGAAGAGGATTACCATATGGTTACGATATTACAGTCTGATTTAAGCAATTCTGTCTTCTTGTAAGGCTTGCTCATGAAATATCTATTTTACATGTGGTACAAACCCCAACTGGGATTGAAAAACAACAACAACAAGAATTTGACATTCCTCAAACAGTACTTTCTTATTAATCAACAACAACAATTAGGAAATGTTTCAAGTAACTTTAATCTCTGTGCTTGAATACACATTGTTCATTTTCCTATGTCAACAAATATAGGCTGATGTTTTAGAACAGATTTCCATATGCTAATTTATCTCTTTCCTTTTCTGAAAGATTGTCTTTCCTGACTGTTAATTCCAGCTGATGGAATGGTTTTGCTTTTTATTCTCTGCAAAATAATGCACTGTTGCAAAGTGATTTCTAATAAACAATATCTAGGAAAGAGCTACAATACTGATTGTTTTTGACAACCAAAAATGCATTATTAATGAAATAATGCCACTGGCAGCATCCTGGCCACAAGCTGATTATTTACAGTGTATTTTTCTGTTCAGAGTTGTGGTCCTATAGTACAGCCACTATGGAAAACAGGGTGATGATCACCCAAAAAACTAAAAATAGAACTACCACACAGTCCAGCAATCCCACTACTGAATATTTATTCAAAGGAAAGGGAACCCATATGGCATCCTCCTATTTATCACAGACTGTTCACAAGAGTAAAGATAAGAAATCAACCAAAGTGCCTATCTATAGATGAGTGGATAAAGAAACTGTATATATATATATATATATATATATATATATATATATATCTCCACACACACACATATATATGTACACACACACACACATATATATATAGAGAGTTTTATATATATATATATATATATTTCCTTTCCTTTGAATAAATATTCAGTAGTGGGATTGCTGGATTGTGTGGTAGTTCTATTTTTAGTTTTTTGGGAGATCATCACATATATATATATATATTATATATATAATATATATATAGTGGAATACTATGCAGCCATAAAAAAGAAGAATCATATCATTTGCAGCAACACAGATGGAACTGAAAGTCATTACGTTAAGTGACATAAGCCACTCACAGAAAGACAAATATCACACTTTTATTCATATGTGGGAGCTAAAAAAAAAAAAGTCTCACAGAGTTAGACAGTAGAATAATAGATTCCAGAGACTGGGAAAGGTGTGTGGGTGGGAGGGGGGACTATAGTTTTATGTTTTTTTTTTCCTATTGATCACTGGGAGAGGAGGTGACTATAGTTAACAAGGATGTATTATATATTTCAAACTAGCTAAAGGGAAGACTTGTAATGTTTCCAATACATAGAAATGATAAATACTCAAGGTGACGAACATCCTAAATGCCTTAACTTAATCATTCCGCCTTCTATGCATGTAACAAAATATCATATGTACCCAATAAATATATACAAATATTATGTTTCAATTTTTAAAAAGAACCTAGATCCTTGCTTTCCATTTAGAGCTTCACTGGAATGGATTACATTATTGGGAAGATTCTGGAGATGCAAATATACTCCATAGAGTTCAAATGAGTCTACAGTGAACAGTGGGAGTGACCACTGTGTTTAAAATTGTGACTCATACCGTATTTCATTAACATTATTTTTCAGCTTTAACTTAGTCAATCTTGATTATCCTAGATCAGAGGTCCCTCAAGTTACACAATCTATAACTAATAAAGGTAATTCTTAAAAGAAATATTATTTCTAGAATCAGAAGTAGAATGTCAGCGGTCAATACAGAATGCCCTCTTTTCATCCAGAGTTGGCTCTAAATTGTAGCTACAAAAAAAAAAAGAATAATACAAGACCTGAAGTAAAACTCGACATTATTTTAATTTGTGTGATGGAAGTAGGGAGAAATCAGTAATGTATCCCAACAACGCAGCAAAATCTATAGCTCACACCATAATTACAGTGGTACAAAAGGTCCAGAAGACCCTACTGATTGCATTTGGTAGTAAACTGTTCCACATTTGAAGCTTACTAATTTTACAAAACATAATGTTTTATTTCATTGATTCACTCCAATTTCTGCTACTTAATTCACTAAAATATTTGTGCTTCTAGTCAAATTATGATGCTGCTGATAGAGGACTGGGTCCCCACAGTTATTGGGTCCCATATTAATTATAGTATGAACTTTATTGAATTTACTGAAGTGCTTTGCTGGAGAGTCTCCAAACACTAACAGGCAAATGAAATTAAATAAAAAGGGTCAGCTCTATTTAAGAGCATCATGTAAGTGCTTTAGAGAACGGGTATAATTAAAAAGGCTGTAAACCAAAACCTCAAGTGACAATGTCACCCCTCACCTGAGCACACTCATCATGCAGGGAAGCCGAGCAGGATTCATCAGAGAACAGGGCATCTGAAGCCAGAATGAAGGGTGTTTAATGGAAGATGGGCTTTTTTCTCACAAGTTCTAACAGATGCTCATAGAGTTTTGATTGTGCTTGCAAAGATTGTGCGGAGAGCCCAACTCTTTTCACACCAAGGTAAACCCCCTCTCTGAAGAAAAGAATTCTCTATCACTTAGGCCATCTGTGGACACGTTGCCCAATGGCTTTGGCAACGGGGCCTGATTTGTAAAATATTAGTTCCCGAAAAGACTGCAGATGCATCCCCTTTAAAATATCACCTACTTCAAAATGCCATCACCTAGAGAAGTGCTTGAGGGCAGAGATGCTGTCTTGTTTGTCCAGGTCCCAGCTCCACACAAGTGCCCGGAACATGGTGAACAATGGAAAAATTAGCGAACAGCTACATGAACAAAGAAATAATGAAGAAACTACATGAACAAGCATTTTCACAAAATGGAAAATCCTTTGGTAATTACAAAGTTACCCCCTAGACATCTAGTTTGTCTTCCTACATGTGCCTAGCCAAGGATTCTTTGTAGATCTCAACACAGTCCATTTTGGGACTTGCTTCAGACATCACATATGGACCGGAGGGGGCCTGTCATTTGTTTCTCAGTGGCAGCGAGGATGTTCTGACCACCAGCTGGTCGGGACAGACATCCGCGTAGTAATGCTCCCCTATGACGTGTCCACAGTGCTCAGCCACAGACAACAGGGAGCTGGTGTGAGCCTCACAGGCTGACACATGCCTGACCTACTGCTGAGAAGGTCACGGGCCCTCTGCCCATGGCCCCTGGGCCTCCAAAAACCGCTGTCCATTGGAACTTGGACTTCCACGGATAAGAGCATGGAGCAGTTCCTCAACACTCCCAGGCTCTGCGGTCCCTGGAGCAAGTGAGACAGGACTCTGAGGGGCAAGCGTTTCTGTCTGACCAGGCCTCTGGAACATCTGCAGAACATGTGCCCAGAAGCACCACAGAGCGGGTGTTAACAAAGCAATGAAGCCAGTGTGAATCTGAGAAGCATGAACACAGACCAAACCTCCTGCGGACACCAGATGGGATGGCCAAGTTTCCTTTTCACGTGGGATTCAAATTCTCTTTATTTTTTTTTTTCAAAAAAGTTTATAAAACATACATAAACATCATAGCTGAGGTACACATTTTATACTTACATAGTTTTAAATGCTGGAACATAACATTTGAGGAAAATCCTGAATTCTGTTTGGGCCTGAAGCTCGTTTGGTTGATTGGGTCAACACAGATGGGTCAATGTGAGCAGGAGGGCAGGAAACTTGGACGCAGTTGGGGCTGCACGGGTTGGGGTGCGAGGGCAGAGAGCGCAATCTCAGGTCAGTAGAATACTGTCCTTGCATGACTCACAGCTGCCAAGTGCACTTTCACGTGCTTGTGAAATGTGCTATGATCCTTGCAGACAGCATTGAAGTAAATGTTAGAAAATGCAAAGAGGAGCAAGTATCAGATTCATCTGCTCACTCAGGGCAACAGGTGCCTCCCTGCTGGTAAAGACCGAATGAGCCCAGAGTGTTTTCTGAGCAGTCATTGTTGGCCTACTGGGGACCAGTCATACTGCTATGTGTGGGGACTCATGGCCTTCCTGAGTGGCCAGGGAGACAGAGGGGCAGGGGACAGACCACAGGGTGGCTTCCAGAAGCAGGGCTGCCCATGGTGCAGGGAATGCAGTGTGGTGGGACACGCCTCATGATACTTGTGCAGTTTCTTTACTTTTTTTTTATTTTTGTTTTTGCTTGTTTGTTTGTTGGCACAGAGTCTCACTCTGTCACCAGGCTGGAGTGTAATGGAGCGATCTTAGCTCACTGCAACTTCTGCCTCCCGGGTTCAAGCCATTCTCCTGCCTCAGCCTCCCAAGTAGCTGGGACTGCAGATGCACACCACGATGCCTGGCTAATTTTTTGTATTTTTAGTAGGGACGGGGTTTCACCATGTTGGCCAGGCTGGCCTCAAACTCTTGACCTCAAATGATCTGCCCACCTTGGCCTCCCAAAGTGCTGGGATTACAGATAGCTTGTGCTGTTTCTAAAGCTGACTGGGCTTCCCTAAGCTGGTGGTTCTCCGACCTGAGGGGTTTAGAAAACATCATTGCCCAGGTCCCAATCTAGACCAGTGGAATCACCATTGCTGCAGGTGAAACAGAGGCATCCCTGATTTTCAAAATTTCTCTGGACAATCCTGATGGACTTGTGAGGTGGAGAAAATGCTCTCGGTGCACTGGAGGGATATGATTCCAGGCATTGCTCTGAACAAAGGCAGGGCATCCACAAACCACACGGCCTCCTAGGAAGCTGCCCTTGTTTGGGCTGGGGCAGAGGTGGGCATGTCTTGCCCTGTGAGTGGTGAAGCTGAGAGTTTGCAAGAACCATGCCAAGAACCAGGGGCAGGGAGCCCTTCCCTCTATCCAGCAATGCCAGGCTGCACAGGAATATACTGAGTAACATGGTGGAGTGTGGATTCGGGTAGGAGTAGGTTAGAGAACCGGAGGCTGGGAGGCCAGGTAGGTGCTGTGAACACAATGCATGCATGTGGGAGCAGGGAGAGAAGACTTTGTATGAGACTTTAGAGACGATCAGTTTCAATCCCTTGGTGGTTAAGATAAGGAAATCAGGGTTAAGCGATTTGCTGGAGAACCCCAAAAATGTGTCAATAAAAGAAGAAAGTGTAAAATAATATGCCACTAACATAGCTCATACATTGTACAAGCAAATTTTCTCCCAGAAGATACTGAGCTATTTCATGTAATAATGTAGTCCACTAGTGTAATCATCCTAGTAAAGAAGAAGATGAAATAGCGTGAGGAGAAAATAGTGGGTTCCCCTAACCAGCAGTTGAAAGCAAAACACCCATTGGCCAACTGACAAAAGAGGACCACAGCAGGCAGGCCACAGTATGGATGAAGGGAAAGTTACACTTCGTGGCCTCTCATTCCAGAGTCTTCAGGATTCTCTCCCCTCAAGAAGCTCCAGAAGATTCTTGGGTCTATCAGGAGAGAGTCAGACCTAATCTTCCTGAGGTCTGAGGTGTCATTTTTATATCTGCATTAATTCCAAACTGTCCAACCCTAAAGAAAGGCCCTAACACTACCACCAACCTGACCCAGCAACTTCAAATCAAGCCAGACCCAGATTATAGGATCTAGGTGTGGTGAGCTCATTCTGCAGTCAGCTAGAATGCCAGTGTCAACAGTCATTGTAAAGTTAGCCTAGCTACATGCTTAGAAGTCCACCCTCCTTTTTTCAGTTTTGTATTTAACATCACATTTTCATATATGATTTGTATATAATTTGTCTATTCTTTCCATGTTCTCACTTACATCAAAATGGATATTATGTTAGGAATAACATCTAAAAACCATTTGTAGAATTACAAGAAATTGTGTCTTCCACTGGTTGATCCATCCAGGCTATTGTGGATGATTTTCTCAGGCAATTACCTGGGAGGCATGAAAAATGAAGAATGTCAATGAGTATAGCTCAGTAGCCCCAAAGTCATTCCCTGGCGGGATCACATTCCCTAGAGTTCCCTGTTACCTACAGCGGTGGGCTGTACTGTGGTTGCATCCTGGGAATGTCCATGACCAAAACCTCCACAGAGTCCAGAATTGCATGAGTCAAAACATGGCTGGAAAGATGCTCATCTCGTGTTGTTTCTTGGAAGGAACACCTGCAGAACGGCAGGTATAATGTATTCCTGTTTTTCATGACTGGAGAGATGCTTGCATATTCATAGAATTTTCTGCAAAGATAAGCAAGACCTTTAGTCAGGGGCCAGGAAGAAGTTCTTTGCTTTCACAGTACATTCTTTGTCTTTGGGCTTTTACCAACAGCATTTGTTACCCCCTAAAATAAAAATCAATTAATAAAAAACAATTTCATATTTGCTGCCTCAAAACAAACAAGGGCATGTGCCTTTGGTCCCATTGCCCCAGTCCTCTTGGAAAACATTGACGACGGCACTCCTGCTCCTGGTTTGTACCCAGAGACCTTCATACTCACTGCCTTGCCCTTGAATTTCCACACCCGCCACAGCCAATTCTCTCTTCTCGACCCTTCGGTGAACCAGGAACCAGCACAGGATTCCAAGCTGTTTGACAGATGAAGCACCGCCTAGGATTATGTGCTATTCCAATAACATCAAACAGAAGGGAACTTGGTCTAACTTCACTCCCCCATGCCGTCATGCCCAATAGATTGCAACCATCTTATTAAAATAGGGGCCATGGTTATGATTTACTCCAGGCAGGCCTGATGGGTTAGTCACTTGCGGTACATGAGGTCCTGTTCAACTGGAGAAAATTCAGAGGGTAGCTCTCTGGAAGACAGATATGATGTGGAGAGGCAGAGGTATTACCTCATATCCCTGATAAATTGATGCTGGAAACAAATTGTTATTCCCTTCTACTAATAACATAAACACTTATTTGTGTATCTTTCCAACTGCTCTGCGAATACCCTTTCCGATGTGGTATAAATAATAGATATTGCATGACCGTGGTTAGTTGAATGGCTTTTTTAACTTTCATTCCTTTGGAATGATCACTGGTTTTGAATTATGTTATCATTTATTACAAGGCCCCATGGCATACAATCTCTAGGCCTTTTCCTGGCTCTCAAATTGTATGTACTTAGCATAGATAGTGCGGGACACTTTTAATTATACATTTAAAAAATTCGTGTGGCGTGCGTGTACTCAAATGGACACACGGTTCTGGATAATGCCTGGTAACCACGGTTGCAGGAATGAGAATGCCTCAATGTCGCCAAGTCAAATGCATTTTGCGATTGACCTGTTTTGAGGAAAGATGAATTACTGAGCGGTAGCTAACTCCATCAATGGGTTAATAATTTTACGTGCTATTCTTTTTTGAAAAGGCTTATTTAAATGTTTATCAGTTGTGCAAAGTGGAGCCGTGCAGGGGATTCACTGGGGATGGCTCATCATTGCCTATGCATGGGAGCGTTGTAGGAAGATTAAAATAACATTGAGTAGATTCTGTAAATGAAGGAGAGAACTAACAGAAGCCTCCAGAGTCCATTATACATTTTAATAATACATCAAGGTAATGTAACTGAATAACCGATCTCTAAGGGAAGAAACACAACATTTGGCTAATATTACAATTTAAATTATGAAAACAAAAAGAGCTTTTAGTTAATCTTGTCTTTCAGCTTTTATTCTTCAGGCTCTTTTTTATTTTCCCTGAATCCAAAACACCATGTAAACAAATAAAAGTACGGGGGAAAATAAACAGTTTGGCATCTCAGTAGATTAATTAATGCGCTTCAGCCTTGGCACCAGTAGGCGAAAATTATGTGCATAAATAATATCACTAATTAAAAAGATGCAGATTAACATGCAAATAATGCTAATGAGGATCTGCAATTCCAGAGTGGGCTCGCATAACATCAACAATTTAATGGGTTGGAAGGCTCGTGTTTGCATTACATTAATAAATTTCAAAGACCTTGCATAAAACAGTTCTGTCGGAGCCTCTGTTTTCCACTTGTGAGTTGTAAATTCTGTGGGCAGTCACAAGCACTCGTCAGCAGATGCCAAAGTCATTATCTCAGAGACTGTTGAGAGGAGCCTCGTGCCAGCGTGACCAGCTGCTGGGAACTGGGCAGTAGGCACGATCCCGTGCCAATTATTCATATTATTTGGGTAGTCTTGATATTTATTTAAACTGATTAATATTTTGTGCTCTGCATCTTGATCTGGAGGGAAATCATTTTAAGCAAGCAAAGTTTAAAAAAAATAAAAACCTTATCAGCCTTTGACGTGTCATGGAAGTTGAATGCATAATGGAATTGATTAAGCAGACATAATTCCAAACCACAGACAAAAACAACATAAAGTGTCTTTAATGATGTCATATCATGTTGAAATAAAGTATTATGGCATTGCAGGCTGAGAGGGCCATAATCCATCGGGCTCTATTGCAGAATCAAAAGGCTGGTAGGCGGCAAAACGCTGTTTGCTTTGCTCTTGGCTGCATGCACGATGATGCTTCTGTGGATGGATTTTTAAGGAGAAAAGCAAAGACTGAGAAAGACCACATCGAATTCCTTTCTAAAACACCAAATTACCTTCCTCCGTCTCCCCGGCCGCTCCTCATCCTCACACAATCCTGAGCCGGGGCCTCCCCAGGCCAATCCTCAACATCACAACATGCGGGAACAGAGTACGCGGCAGTTGGCCTCGCGGGTTACCAAAATGCGGATCTTCTGCCAGTGAGTTGTCCGCACTCAGATTCTCCGAGGGCTGAAAAATGTCCTTTCCCTGGAAGCTAGCAGTGAGTTCCAGGATTCCTGAGAGCAGCCCAGTTGCAATCTACAGGGCCAGAATCGAGGTGGTCAAATCAGGAGACAACCAGCAACTTTGTGCCAAATTAAAGCTCCACCTCAAGTGGCTGTGGGAGGAGAAGCAGGCTGGCAACTTCCGGAACACAGCTCCCCATGCCAGCGAGGCATTCCTTCTCTATGAAAGGCAAGAAGAGCAACTGTTCCTTGCACACTAGCCCGTGTGCCTCAAGTTGACACTCCGCCCTTCCCAGGTCCCTGCATTTACAGACGTCCTGGTTCCTGGAGCAAGACCCCCATGCTCACATCTACCAAGCATGCTTGGTTTAGGATGCTTAGATATGTGTCTCCTGACCTAAGGCTTCCCCGCTGTGGGGAGAGCTCGGCTCTCTCCTCCTGCTGCCAGCACCACCCCATGCAGTGTTGACCATGTGGAGGGTTAGGAGACCAGGGGAAAAACCTCAATAGTTGCAGATTTCAAGTGCGCTTGCAGTCCTGCCAATTCAGATAACCTCAGGGAGAAACAAAACAAAAACTAGAGCTTTTAAAGCTTCAAACACAGATGCCAAGTGGCAGCTCCCCCAGGACGCTTCAGGCTCTTCCTCAGGCTCCACAGTCTCCCCTGCGGTCCTCGAGTTCTGGCTGTGTGAGTCGGTGGAAACCCTTCTTTCCTCACTCCCTATCACTACCTTCTCTTCCAAACATTCAGAGTGCTGGGGGAGAGGGTGTTTTTGAGTCTTACCCAGGGAGATCCTGGCCTCCCAACCCAGACTGGAGGCAATAGGAGGGCCCCACTCTGGGACTCCTGATGCTTAGATGATGGGTAAGTATGGAGGGGATCACACCAGAGAGAGGTATGTTCAGCACTTTTGAAGTTGCTTCTAGAAGGAAGGGATGCTTGGGGAACTGGCCATCTCGTTCACATCTCTGCAACTTTTTGTGTTCTACGTGCATTGTTATCTCTGCAATGTTGTGTTCTACTTGCGTTGTTATCTCTGCAATGTCATGTTCATGTTCTACTTGCATTGTTATGTCTCCCTGACCACACCTCACTAGTAGTGGGTGTTGCAGGGATGCGTGTGATTCACCTTTGCTTCCACAGCATCCAACAGGTGCCAGGCTCATGGCATGTGTTCTGCACAGGACTGATGGGTGGAGAGGGTGGGCCAGCCAATCAGGACACTCTCTGAATAACACTGAGCCAACAACTTTAAGTCACTGCCATCTCAGCCACCACGCACTGAGTGTCTGCCGCGTGCCAGTCACTGCACAGAGCACTTTCCACACATTATTGTGTAAATCCTCCCTGGCGCCCTAGAAGCCAGGACACACACTTTCCCCAGGACGCATTCAAAGACTTTCTGACCCTGAAAATCCCACTTTTCCCTCCAAGCCACACTGCTTGCCACAGTGTGATGCATGGTATTCAAAGCAAGAAAAATTCAAAGCTAACAGAAAGAACACCATACATGCTAATCATTTGCAAACATTTTCATCATGATTAACTAATTGAGCCATATACAGTCAGCTGTTCCTTAAACTTTTCTATACAGAGGAATGCATACAGAGCTGTGCACCTACCTCACAGGTCCCTCAACAACAAACTTGGGTTTATAGTTCTCATAGGTAATGATGAGAAACTAACGGGATTTTTATTGTTGGTAAGTTGGTATATATATATATATATATATATATATATATATATATATATATATATATGGAGAGAGAGAGTAATATGTACATATACCATATATATAACAATAATATATAGCTATACACACATATATACCATAATTATGAAATGTATGCCTTAAAATATGTAAATTGCATTCTGGTGAAAGGTTGCTGTAGACACTTTCCCCAATGCTGTCTGCAAGCTTGCAGTAATGGTTTAGGGTGTCCTTTTGCAGGTAGAAAAGATGTAAATGAAGAATCAAGGCTGGCTCACACACTTCACAGTCCCTCAGAAGACTTAGTGAATGGTGCACTTCTGAAATTGCACATCTAGCCATGCATTCAAACAGCTTTCTACTATATTTTGGGAGTGTCTAGGCAGATGCTAGAAGGCATGTAACCCTTGTTGAAATTTCCAAGAAATATTTGCATGAAGAGAGAGAAGACAGAAACGGGGGATGAGGGCAGACTAAAAAGAAACCTCTAGGCCCAGAGGGAACACTGGCATGGAGAATAGCAAAAACTGTCCAAGGAATTCCGCTTCCGGCTCAGATCTCATGGAGTACATATTAGTTGAATGAATGAAAGGTGATCTCTCTCTTTGGCCCCAAGCATTTCTTAAGTTTATAACTCTATGAAGTTACCTGATGATATATGGCTTTTCCCCCACCTGCATCTGACTCTAAGGTTGTTGCGGGCAAGTGAAGTTCTCTGGCTGTTTCACCTTCGGCACCTCACGAAGTGGGCCTAGCAAGTGGAGGAGGATGAGGATGGGGACAGCAGCCCCAGTCAAGGTGCCTCTGGCCACAGCCCACAGAGCACTGAACTGGTCTAATGGCCCCTGTCCAGACCCAGGCCCTCCCAGCTGAATGTGGCCATAACTCCCACTCCAGTTGTCACTGGAGTTTGTGCAAACAGATGCAAGAGAGGTCAGGCACCAGGACGCTTCCATTACCCAGTTGGTCCTAGGCTGTCCTGCAGGGGTCCAAGGCCTCGCCTGGGTGAACACTCTATGTCCAGGGTGTGCCTGGCCCTCAGGCCAATGGAGCTTCAAGCAGAATTTATTCACAGACACACCCTCCTGGGCATTTGGGAGGGCAATCCTATTCCTCTGCTGTCCAGAACAGGGCACCCTGCAAGTGGAGAGATGCTGCCCCAAGAAGCCAGGCTTGCTGAACCCTGGCCCTTTAACCGGCTTTCCCTTCTCAGATTTTCCTACAAAAGTTCAAGAACCAGCTCATCAAATCCTCAGACTGCAGCTTGTGGACACTTCTCTCTTTCTTGCTGACCTTTCACGGTTTGGAACATGTGTTTCATTTTAATCCAGAGAATGCAAGCAGCAGCAACAACAACCAATAGCAGCCAAAGAATTGCAGATTTGGGAGTGCACTCCCCTCTAAGTGAGAAAAAGGAAAAGAGATGATCTTCCTCTTGCTTCAGTGAGAGGCAGATGTGGTACAGTCCTCAACTAGCCTCATGGTCTTTACCCTTTGTGAGTTATGGTGATGTACCCTGCCATGTCTTTCCGCATTGCCCTTGCCCTGGAGCAGTTGAGGCTGTGGGTCCCATCCCTCTCCGCATGCTTCCCAGGACTGGAAAAGTGATCTCCAAAGAACATCTTTCAGCCATCTGCCACTTTGCAGAATCTAATCTTTTCCACACACATTTCTAAAAATAAAGACAGAGGCCAGGCGCGGTGGCTCAAGCCTGTAATCCCAGCACTTTGGGAGGCCGAGGCGGGCGGATCACAAGGTCAGGAGATCGAGACCATCCTGGCTAACATGGTGAAACCCCGTCTCTACTAAAAATACAAAAAGTTAGCCAGGCCTGGTGGCGGGCTCGGGAGGCTGAGGCAGGAGAATGGCGTGAACCTGGGAGGCGGAGCTTGCAGTGAGCTGAGATCACGCCACCGCACTCCAGCCTGGGCGACAGAGCAAGACTCCATCTCAAAAAATAAATAAATAAATAAATAAAGACAGAAAAAAACCTCTGTTTTAAATTCTGCCTACTTTATAGTTATTACTGCACTTCCACCTATGCAAAGGGGGAAAAGGTTGAGAATTATTTGTTGAACTTGAATATAAAGTGATTCAACGTAATTAGGGACCAAAATTTTCCTTAAGGATTTAAATTATCTCAATTGGCCACCAATATGTCCCAAGTTAGTGAGATAATTCGCAACACTTCATTTTGCTAACTACCTTCCAATCGGGCTTAATAGGGTTGGAACTCTACAAAACCAAGCACAGCCCAGATGCCAGCCGCCAGGCAGTGCTTCTGGGCACGGGGCCCTGCGCTCCCACCCACCCACCCCTCTGCCCTGCTCTTCCTGGGTACCGCCCCACGTGAGCTACTGAAAAGCCACTGCCAGCATCCACAACGTCCTGAAGCCTGGGGGTCTTGTCCCCAAGGAGAGCTTCTCCTCAAGCTTCCCTGGGTGTCTGCTTTCTGGAAAACCAAAGGAGCAATAAGACCGACAATTGGAGACAGTATCAATTCCTACTCAAAGAAAATGGTCCCAGGCCCCAGGCACAATGAGGGATACTCGGCTGTTGACATTCTCCGTGGTCTCTTCCTTCTGCTGAACATATTTTTCTACCTCCTGCCTCTGCTGAAACATCGGAGGTGCTGGCAGCTTATTTATCTTTCAAATGAGATGCTCCTGAGTTTATCACAAGTTGCCCTTGAAGTCAATATTTCTAATGATCGTAAAGAGTAACGACCATGTATCAACGCTTCCTAAGTCCCAAATTGCACACCGCACGCCCGACAGCTATTGACAGCAGATCCAGGTGGGCGGGGCAGGTGTGCTTTAGAGGCGCAAGCAGAGTGAAGGCGCCCGAGCGCTCCTGGTGACAGAGCTATCATGCGGAAGGGCTGGCATTGGAAGTGACATCTGGAAGCAGCCAGGGGCTCGGTCTCAGCACCGCAAGACGCTGCCTCCTTATGAATGATGCCACGCATTTGCCTGGAGCAGTTCTGAAGCCAGAGAGCTTGGGGTTCCATGGAGCCCTAGCGCCGGGCAGGCTGGAAAGGAGATGCTCGCGCCAGGACCAGGAGCACAGTGCGCCGGCCTGCATCTGCCCAGACGCCTGCCTGGCAAAGGGCTGGTTCTTCCCCTTGCTCTGCTTGTGGCGTTTCCGCATCAGAAACTCCCCTGCCCCAGCTCCTCGGTCAAAAACTCTTCCCATCCATAGGCTGTCATCCAAAGCAAACTCTCACGAGACCTTGAGGGCAGCCGGATAGGACCTTTGTCCCCTCTAAGCTCACAGAGCCCTCTCCTGCACGCTAGGGCGCCTGTGCCACATTGGCTGACGTTGGCATTGGTGGCTGGCCATTCAATTCAGGTCAACAAGCAGGTCTTGGGCCTTACTGTGTGCAGGCACTGGGGATCCACTGTGGGGAGGAAGAGGCCTGGCTGGTCTGTGGAGCAGTCGGCTCAGAGACAAACGACTCTATTACGGAGAGGCACAGCCTCAGAGCGAGCCCCACAGGGAACATCTGGCTCAGCCTGGGGCTTCAGGAAAGGACTCTGGCGCCGCAGCCCCCTCACCTGGGGAAACCTCCTGCAGCCTCATCCAGGTGTGCGGCGGGGAGGGGCTTTCCCAGAACAGCAAGCAGCACCAGGGAGTATTGGCCTGGAGCCGCACCGGCTGGAGCCACGAGGGTGTTGGGGGCGGAGGACAGAACCTGGGGTCTTCTGCCAAGGCGAGGGCTCCAATTTTGCCCTGCAGGTGATAAAAGCCACTGAAGATGTTTGACTGGACTTACAAAATCCAGTTTCCATTGAAATGGATCAGTCGGGTGATGATGATGGCGGGGAATGGTTGGGGGATGGAGGAGGGAGAGGAGCAGGGTGAGACGTCAAGGGGCGTCAGGGTTCGGTGTTGTCCAGCACAGCTGGATGGCCGGGGTCTGACATCTGCCCCCACTTCCTCACCACGAGGTCACCTTCTCTCTGCGCCTCGATTTCTTTGCTTGTTAAGTGTCATTTTCCTCTCTTGAGCAGTTGATGCAAAGGTGAGATGGGTGAGCACAGCACAGCGTCTGCTGCAGCCCACCCTGGCCATGCTCAGGTCCAGCCCCTCCAAGCAGTGACATCAGCTCCCTCAGGAGCAGCTCTGTCCCAGTGCTGATTCGGCTCTGCCTGGCAAAGCCGGGAAGAGAAAGCTTAGGAGGGGAAACACAGCCTTTCCGCTACAACCAGACTCTTTATTCTACCACCCGCTGAAGAGTCTCTTCCTCCTCTGTTGACACCCCTGAAAGTCTAGTGGGGGCCCAGGGCTAAGAGGTGTCATCTCCTCGTGACTAAGGTGTCCTCACCCTGTCACTGCATAGGTCCGCCTACTGTGTGGTTTAGCCAGGCGACTGTGAAGAGGAATCTGCGGCGTGGCCCAGTGCAGAAGGATGGTCTCCGGCTCCCATGGGGTAGCCGCAGTCCCACCTCCTCCTGCTCATCAGGAACAATGGCCCCTGACCAGGGGTGACTCCTTCCTCGCTTGGTGGTGCCTCGCCATGAGGACCCCAAAGTGCACAGGGCAGCCCTTAAACCTTAATGCTGGATGGTCCTCCTGCCGTGGAAGCAGCTCCCGCTGTGGACCAGGAGCTCCAGACCTACACAACCCACAGGTGTCGAGCAACATGTACAGAACCCCCAAGTTGGCTACCAGGACTGAAGGTGGGAAGGGCCACCTGCCTTCCTCCCCCCAGATTCCAGGCCCCTGAGGCCTCATTATGGAGGATGAGGCTCCACGTGCTCCTCAGCGATGAGCGTGCGCTGTCCTGGAGGCAGGGCGTCCCCCACAGGGCATCTCAGAGCTGGGGTCTCAGTGCACCTGTGGAGGGTTGCTCCCCCTCTGTCGGGTGGCAGCAGGTAGACTGTGAGGAGACCAGGGGTTCCCATGCCACAGCCCAAGCTGCATTTTGCTGTAAGTCGGGCCCTTTGTCTGATGCAATGTTACTGGGATGCCCAGACAATGGATAGAGCTGGGAAGGCCCAGCTCGCAGTGCTGGCTCATGTCCTGCAAGTGCGAAAAGCAGGTCCCCACTGAGAAGATGCCTTAACCCCAGGCAAGGAGAATCTCTGTCCCAAGGCTGGAAGGGCTCCCATGCCATCGCCTAGACACCAAGCGTGCAGTTGGTCTCCTGGAGGGATGATGCTGTGTCAGTGGCTCAGTGTTGGTCTCTTATTGGCAGATTGGACATGGGAAGCAGGGGTAACCGCATGGGCCTTAGTGAGCGAGAGCACAGGCTGTTAAGCCCTGTGTAGATCGACCCTCCAAATGCCTGAGTCTTTTCCTTCCCTCAAGGACGGCTCTTCAGGTCTCCCGGCAAGATCTGGGGAACTGCTGGATCCTGCATCCGTGGAGCCCTGCAGGGCTTGCCCTGGGGGCACTCACCTCTCCCTCAATGTGTTCTGGGCCTAAAAATAGCCACAGGCCCAGAATCCGAGCAAGGGATGATGACTTTGTCCTGGGGCAGTGGCTGCAGCTCTGGGCTCACCCTGCCTTTCCTTCTCATGGTGCGGAGTGAGCCATGCCCTTGTTGCCTGCCCTTCTGTCCTGCCCTGCATGCCAGCCGGTGCACTCACCATCCCCGCGGCTATCTGCAGCTTAGGCCCTCCTGACCCTGGCTCCAGCCTGGCCCCACCTGCGCCAAGTGCATCCAGCAGGCTGCTGAGTTAAGCCCCATCGCCCGGCCCCTCACCTGGGGTTATCGGGGTCCCAGCTGGGCAACACCACAGCCTCCTGAAAGCGGCCTGGTGTGGAGCAGACAGTGACGGGGAGCTTCTCCATGGAGACTTCTCTCCTGGGACATCCCGTATCCCACCAGTGCAGTGTCCCAGACACCTCCCGGGGAGCCGCCCCCTCCCTGGATGGGTCGTCAGACGGGGCTGTGTCGACTCTAATGTGCCCGCTTCTCTCAGCCTTTGATCCTTCCTCCGCCATCTGCCCTGGAGACTGTCATTTCTACTCCACTAAGCATGGACCATTGCTTTCCCAAGCCTTCCATAGCCCATATGGCAGCATATTAGCACGGTCCCCTGGGGTCTTTGCCAGGGCATTCAGTGCGACTTCCTGGGACAGGGCTCCTATTTAGATGAAATCTTCCCCGTATCTAAGTTGAGATTCCAACCCCCCTGCCCCCACACCCCTGGGATCTGGTCCCGTGTGCAGGCCAGTGCATGCTGGCTGGTCCTGCAGCTCCTTGTTGGGGATCCACTTTCCTCTCTGAGCAGGCTCAGCACCCCAGGACAAGTTAGAGGGGGGAGGGGTGTGTGTGTGTGAACATGCAGGTGTGTACACATGTGTGTGACTGTGTGTGTTCCCTTCAAAGCAGAGAAACCTCTGCACCAGCCTAGATCAAGATGAGAGTGCTGGCTTTGAACAGAATGGAGGGGCTTCTTCTGGAGCCCCAAAGGGCTCAGAGGATGTGGGAATTCAAGGTTTTCAAGTGCGTTGACCCAAATATCCCCTCCTGAGTCTTGGCGCCTGATTTCGTCGACCAGGCCCTGTTGTGGAGTGTTCAGCCTTTTCTGAAACTCTGATTCTGCTACGTCCTGAACCTACACCTGAACCTCCATTTTTCTGCCTGCTGAGCATAGGGGAGGAGAGTCCCTTCGTATGAGCTGGAGCCCCTCTGGCCTTCACACTTGGCTGCCAACTGTGCAGCCTGTCCCTGTCTTTCTCCCAAGCGTTGAAGCCCCTGGGGAATCTGCATCCAGGCCCAGGGTCTGGGTCCTGAAGGTGGTCTGGGCAGCATCTGCTCTATCCTCTCCCCTCCTCAGGATCTGTGATGAGGCTGAGCATTGAGACTCACTCGGAAGGGCGGAGGGATGGCAAACGCTGGATGCAGGGCACAAAGGCAGTTTCTCCCTGCCTCTCCGAAATGTGAATCTCAAAGTGACTCCCTCGGGGTTCTAGGTGGGCCCTCCTTGGCCTCTTCCGCCTGGTATCTTCCCGTGTGTATATCACATTTAGAGATATTCCAGACTGTCTCTGCTCTAGGTCTTTGTAGAACATTGCCAAATTTTCTCATAGATTTCTTTGAGTGGTGAAATAATCTCTTTTCTTTTGTATCAAAGAGCTGGCCCTGTTTTTGTTGTCAGTAACGTTTCCTGACTCGATTTTCATTGTGGAATTAACAAGAGGAGCTTGCTCAGGCTGGGAAGGTGCTTGTGCATGTCGGTTGGTTTTGAAATATGTGGAACTGGTGTTTCTCATGATTTTGTTTTGTCTTTTTTTTGTTTTTTGTTTTTTTTTGATAGCACTTAGCAGAGCTTCCCTACCCTCCCAGCCCAAATGTAGATACCTGGCCAGGGATTTCCCTGTCACCCTCTCTGTCCTCACTGCCTCTGGCACAGCCGCCCGCTGCCAGGTGTGGGTGGCATGGGTTTTGTATCCACGGCTGCGGGGCTGCCCTTTTTATCGAATTTACAGGGCTTTCCCAGGCTGATCCTGCTGAGTAGATCTGCCTTCCCATCTCCAAATGGCCAGAGATCTCCCTCCTCCACCCTCAATAATTACAGTAAAACTATCCCAGCTCTTCCCATGATCTTTTAATATTTGCTTTTATCGTCTTTCTTTTTTTTAATTTTTCAGGGTTCATAGTAGGTGTATTTATGTATGAGGTATATGGGATATTTTGATATAGGCATACAATGTGCATAATCACATCAGGGCAGATAAGGTATCCATGGCCTCAAGCATTTATCTTTTGTGTGACAAACAATCCAGCTGTACTCTTAGTTATTTTATTTTTAAAAGTACAATTGAATTAGTATTGACTCTAGTTACCTTGCTATGCTATCAAGTACTACCTCTTATTCCTTCTTTCTGTCTTTTGTATGATTAAGTATTCCCACTTCCCCTCTATCCCCCATCCACTACCCTTTCCGGCCTCTGGGAACCATCCTTCTACTCTCTGTCTCCATGAGTTCAACTGTTTTAATTTTTTGCTCCCACAAATAAGTGAGAACATGCAAAGTTTTTCTTTCTGTGCCTGGCTCATTTTACTTAACATAATGTCCTCCAGTTCCATCTATGTTGTTGCCAGTGATGGGATCCCATTCCTTTTATGGCTGAATAGTACTCCACTAGGTACACACACCACACTTTGGCATGATATTAACTAATAACGTAAGCTTATTAACCCAGCACTGCATGTGATCTAGCAAATGTGTTGTTTTGGATTCTCAGTTGGTGGGGTTAAAATATCATCTGAACTTGGTCAAATATAAGGCAGGGGGCAGGGACCCTTGGGCCTCCACAGGACTCTTCTCCAGAACTGCTACCCAGAAGTTCCTGAACGCAAGGGAGGAGCAGTGAGCTCTTGTTCCAGCCAGTGGCTCAGGCCAGGGGTCACTGATGCAAGGACATTTTGTGACTTGAGGTGAGAGCTCAAAGTGGAGCCAGTCCCCCAGGTGTCCTGAGCAGCCTGCCCATGCCCAGTGTGATCCCTGAGCTGAGCCTGTGCAAGTGAGCAGGTTGGGGTTTATATTCTAGTCCAGGCCCAAGGAGGACATCTCAGAACCATCCCTCCTGGGGCCCTCTGGGGAACTGCTGGTCACATTTGTAGGGACTCTTGGCCTGCGTGGGTTGAAGGAGGGATTTCATCTCCTCCGTGAGGTCGAGGGAGAAGTAGAGAAGGACAGAGAGGGGGTGACCTGCTCGACAAGCAGAGAGTGCCATGCTGCCTCGCAGGGTCCCTGCACTGGACCCCGTGGGTCACACTTTGGCAGGTGCTGGGGGCTCGTTCCCATCTCTTGGCCAAGGCCTCCGGTCCTGCTGTCCCTAGCCTGCCTCTGCTCTGTTTTGCACATCAGGGTGGCAACCTGTGCAGACTGCCCCTCCCAGGTGCCTCATCCACTGGCCCCCTGTGAGGCTTGGCTGATGGGTGGCACAGAAGGGGGGCATGGGAGAGTCCAGGCTGTGTCTCTGCCCCTCATGGGTGGCGTTCCCAGGAGTGGCTCCATCTGCTCTGTGGTTGCAGCTCACATCAGGCTCCTCACTAAGAGGAATCCTCTCCGTGGCCCTTCTGTTGGCTGCAGGGCACAGCTCCTGGGCTCTGCTGATACTTCTTTGTCTCCGCGGCTGGTGGTGGCCCACAGTCGGTCATCCCAGAGCTGTCCAGCTTCCCCTGTCTGCAGTGCTCTCGTCACCTGCCCCATAACTCGCACCCTCTGGTGCAGGCTGCCCTTTCTCAACTGGACCCTGGCTGGCTTCCATCTTAGTCTGCTCAGCTGCCATAACAAAATGTCTCAGACTGGGTAATTTGGAAACCGCGGAAATTGATTGTTCACCCTTCTGGAGGCTAGAAGTCCAAGTTCACAGCCCATGCAGATTCGGTGTCTGATAAGGACGGCTTCCTGGCTCGCAGATGGCACCTTCTCCCTGTGGCATCATAGAGGAAGGGGCAAGGGAGCTCTCTGCAGCTGTTTTATAGGGTCATAAATCCCATTCCAGAGAGCTCCTTCTCCATGGCCTCATCACCCGGCAAAGGCTCCACCTCCTAACGCCAGCACCTTGGCTGTGAGCTTCCAATGTATGAGTCCGGGGGAGATGCCAGCATGCAGAGCTCACACCTCTCGGAGTTGAAGACGAAGCTCTGGGCCAGGCATGGTGGCTCATGCCTGTAATCCCAGCACTTTGGGAGGCTGAGGCGGGCAGATCACCCGAGGTTGAGAGTTTGAGACCAGCCTGACCAACATGGAAAAACCCCATCTCTACTAAAAATACAAAATTAGCCAGGCATGTTGGTGCATGCCTGTAATCCCAGCTACTCGGGAGGCTGAGGCAGGAGAATCGCTTGAACCTGGGAGGTGGAGGTTGTGTTGAGCCAGGATCATGCCATTGCACTCCAGCCTGGGCAACAAAAGCAAAACTCCGTTTCAAAAAATAAAAAGGAAGAAGCTCTGGTGCAACTCTGGCGTGACTTCTTAGTTCACGGGGCTGACAGATCTGTGACAATCTGTCAGGCAAAGTCCAGCACGCTGCCCAACAGCCCTGGGACTCCGTGTGCCCTGGCAGGAGAGTGTGCTGGGCTTTGCTGGAGGGCTCTGTTCGCACAAGCATCGTGGCTGCAGGGCCTTCCTCTTCCTCAGGGAGAATGTGTCATGCTGGTTCTCAGAGCCCTCCTCATACTTTACACGTTTTTTTATTTTTGAGACAGAATCTCTGTCTGTTACCCAGGCTGGAGTGCAGTGGCATGATCTCTGCTCACTACAACATCCACCTCCCGGGTTCAAGAGATTCTCCTGCCTCAGCCTCCCAAGTAGCTGGGATTACAGGCGCCTGCCACCACGCCTGGCTAATTTTTGTATTTTTAGTAGTGATGGAGTTTCACCCTGTTGGCCAGGGTGGTCTCGAACTCCTGACCTCGAGTGATCCGCCTGCCTCTGCCTCCCAAAGTGCTGGGATGACAGGCGTGAGCCATCACACCCAGACCTTAACACATTTTTTAACTTGGAAAAGAAAAAGAAAAAAACTTCGAGATGCAGTGATTGTTCCAATCCCAGGCCTGACCTGATTCCTAGGCTCCCAGAAAAGCAGAAGGTTGGAAAAGGCCCTTGGAACCGTCACAACTCCCTTCACCCCGGACACTGCACCTTCTCTTCCTATAAGGATGAGTGGGTTTGAATCACAGACCGAGAGCCTGTAGGGGCGTGGATCAACCTCTGGATCTACAAGCTGCGTCTAAAAGGACCCGGGAACGTCTCATTAAAGACTTGCTGCAGAGAAGTTCACTTTGCCCTGGGGAGATGAGACAGAAATGGGCCTTGGACCCACCAGCCAGTGTCAGAATGGGAGGAGCGCTGAGGAGGGCGCAGGAAGCCACCAAGACCATTTCTTCCATGATTCTTCCAGGAACGAACACTAAAAAGAAGAGGAAGGTGTGACCGACCCGCCGAACCAGCTTTCCCGGGATCTCGCTGTCTTGGGGCCTGAGCCGCAACCGTTGCGTTAATTTGAATGACGAGAAGCTGCTGCTGGAGAGTGAGTTAGGACAAAAAATAGAGTAGCCACATTTAATTTGTTCACACGTGCTTTTCTGAGAACTTTTGTTTAAATGATGCATAATTTGCTTGAGGGACTCCTAATTACATGTCAGGAGGTAAATTAATCCTTTTGTCATATTTGTTTCCCAAAGTTGTTGACATTTTTGGGTGCTTCTGAGATGTACAATAGAGGCTGTGAGGGTTTCTCATGTTGTTCAGCAGCCACGGAGGTGTGCACAGACTGGCATCCGGGGAGGGAAGTGGGCGTGCAGCTGGGACACATCCAGGGGGACACCTTCTCACAGGGATGTCTCGCTCCCCAAAACTGAAGAGTCAGCACCACCTTCCTCCACCTGGGTACTGCCCCTCGGCACCCTTCCTTCTGCGATGCCTCAAGCCCTCCCTTCCCATGGACTTTTAGGAACTCTGCTTCTCCACGCACACACACTCACACACACATGCACACCACACACAGGCAATATACCCAGGCACAGTCATGCACGCACACACACACACACACGCACCCATGCACACACACCTCTATACCCAAGTGCAGACATGCACACACCTATGCCTACATGCACCCACTCACATACACACACGCATGCACACACCTATACACACGTGCACTCCTGTGCACATACACACCTATTTCCAAGTGCACACACCTACACCTGAACATTCTCCCACATACACACCACCTGTACACCCATGTGCACACACATAGACACCTGTGCACCTTCACAACTGCACTCAAGTCCACACACCTATGCCTACATGCACCCTCCCACATGCACACACACCCATCCATGCTTCTGTACACACACATACACATGTGCACATACACAGCTACTACCAAATGCACACACCTATGCCCACACACACTTCCGCAGGGACACACGCCCATCCATGTATCTACACACACACGCACACGTACGCACATACACACACCCCCATATGCACACACACCCATGCACACATCTACACAGACATGCATCCTCTACACATACACACCTACACTCACGTGCACACACCTACACCCAAATGCACACACACACCTGTACGCCCATCTACACACACATACACGTGTGCACACACACTTAAACCTCAGTGCACATACCTATGCCTGCATAACCCTCCCACATGCACACACATTCCACACCCACCTCCACACATATATACATATGTGCACACACAATTACACGCAAGTGCACACACCTATGCCTGCATTCATCCTCCCACATGCATGCACACCCATACACACATCTACACACACACTCACAATGCACACACACATTCTCATACCCACACGCGCACACATACTTGCAGAAGCCTACAGCCACACATAACACACACACATGCACACGTGAAAAGCCAGATAAGTATTACTCCTTTGACATTTCTGACACTCCCACTTGGTCAGAGAACTTTTCTCAGGTAGCTGTTAGCCAGGAATTTGGCTGGAAGACCCCTGGACCAGGAATTATTCTGTGCCTTCTCTCCCTCACTCAAAGCTGAATCTCCACTTTGCTCCTATAAGTGGTGTTCAAGTTGCAGAAAGAAAAAGGAAGAGGGGGCTTGGAGGGCCTGTGGCACCAGGAGAGGAAATTTGTAAAAGTTAAGGCCATGGGTGCCAATGATGGTGACACATATGGCAGCTTGTTAGGGGTGTCGGAGAGATGGCATCTCTATCTCCACCAAATTCCCTGCAAGTAGGGAAAAAGCTGTTACCTGCCTTGGCGCATAGCTGAGGGTTGGGGAAGAAGACTTCTCAGAAGGCTAGGAAAAGAGGGGCTTGCTCCTAGGCACACACCGTGGTGTGTTCTTGGCCTGGCCAGTGCCTCAGTGGGTGCTGTCCCCAAGAGCTGGCGAGGAGATATGAAAAGTCTGCCAACCTCTGAGTTCTCAGCAGGATACCCAGTAGGACCGCACCAGTGGATGGCTGAGGTCACCAAAGCCAGTCACTGGGAGGTCTGGAGCCAGTCTTCTCCAGAGAGGAAGCCATCATCAGCTGCCCCCAGGGAGAATCACACGGTCCACAAGCTTGGTGGTGAATGTGGTTGAGAGGAGCACCTGGCTGACCTTCTCACCACAGCCCTGGCACCCAGAAAACCAAGTGGCTCCCAAAGTGGAGTTCTCGGCCAGCAGTGTTAGTTAACTAGCACTTCTTACAAATACACACTGTCCAGCCCCGCCCAGACCAATGGACACAGAAGCTGGGATTGGGTCGGGGAGGCTCCCAGCCATCTGTGCTTACCAAGCCCTCCAGGGGAGCCTGCTGCAGATGCAGATCGAGGCCCCAGCCTCATCCTCCCCCACCACCCTCGACCCCCTTCCATGGGAACCAGCTTCGCCCTGCGCTGTCTGGCCACACACCTGGCACTGCGCACTCTCCTGCCGCAGTCCTTTTCTTCATCTTGCCTTACAGGTGCCCAGGTGTGTCTCGTCCCTCTTACAGAACACAGGCTCAGAAGGCCACAGAGAGCATCTTGTTTCTCTCCCAGCTCAAAGCCTCACATGCTCAACACTATATACTCATTAGACAGAATTAAAATAAAACTTTGGAAATCTGAGAGAACAGGTGCATCTTCTGAGTATGAGCATGCCTTAGTGAAATAATCTTTATAGATGGGAAAAACAAAACAAAGACAAAAACCATCTGAGTGTCCTAAATAGTATCACAGGCAAAGAAGAAAGCCAGTTTCCTCATAGCATCCATGCCAGTAAAAACAAGGAGTGCAAAGGAAAAACAAAATAACACACCTGGTTCCATCACCTGGGCCCATGCTCACTGCAGTCATCTGCAAAGCTGGCTTAACCTCGACCACCGTGCAATAGAGTTTGTTTAAAACGTGAAGTTGGGTCACGTGATGAACTTTAATAGGTGTCACGTTAAAGTTAATGAAACCTCACCATCCAATGACACCAGGGAATGGAAAACCAGGGAAGTGGTTCTCACTGCTTTGCTTAAGGGGTAGTCTGACCATGAACCCTTGAGGAAGGTGGAGCTCTGTGTGGCCCAGGACATCCAGTCCAGGGTTCCCCAGACACCCTGTGCACCCAGGATAACAGCCAGCACCCCAGGGAAATCTTTCTGCCCTTGCACCAAGGCCACGAGTGCTGAATAGAAACCTCACGGGGCTGAACTCTCAGGAGCCTGGCATGGAAGGAGTATCCACGGAAGGTCCTCACGGAGGAGGCGCCAAGGAGCAGGACAGCACAGCCCCTTTGTCCAGCCACAGGCATGACACGATCTGCTTTTATTCCAGCTCTGGGACCAATATGCTTCTTTCAGTGACCCAGGATAAGAAATTGTCTCCAAGTCTTTCATTTAAAAACAATCCTAGAAGACCGTTTTTTATAGCCTGTGCAGAATTTCAAACTGTGGTTATACAGCTCTACAAGAACAAATGGCCCCAAAGACCTTCAGGCTCTTAAGGAAGAATACAAGTAGGATAAAGGACTTGTCCAGGGGAGCACGGTGCAGGCAAACAAGAATAATAATATTAGCCTTTAAAATAAGAATAAACACGAGAGGTACACATAAAGCAAAGTTTGCCATGTGGAAATGGAGAAAGCACTGAAAGTCAGAATCTTAATTTATGCTCTCGGTGTTTCAAGGACCAGTTCTGTGACTTCCTGCAAGCCAAGTTGATCATTTGATAAACACAGTTGATATGGTCCCCACCCAAATCTCATCTTGTAGCTCCCAGAATTCCTGCATGTTGTGGGAGAGACCTGGTGAGAGGTAACTGAATCATGGGGGTGGGTCTTTCCCATTCTAGTCTTGTGATAGTGAATCTGTCTCACAAGATGTGATGGTTTTAGCAGGGGGAGTCTCTCTGCACAAGCTCTCTGTCTGTGCCTGCTGCCATCCATGTAAGACTTGCTCCTCTTTGCCTTCCACCATGATTATGAGGCTTCCCCAGCCAGGTGGAACCATAAGTCCATTAAACCTCTTTCTTTTGTAAATTTTCCAGTCTCGGGTATGTCTTTATCAGCATCATGAAAAAGGACTAATACAACATTTAAAAATAAATAAAATGTGGCCTGGTGCAGTGGCTAATGCCTCTAATCCCAGCCCTTTGGAAGGCCAAGGCGGGCAGATTGCTCGAGCTCAGGAATTGGAGATGGGCCTGTCCAAAATGGTAAAACCCCATCTCTACTAAAAATTAAAAATTAAAAATTAAAAAAAAATAGCCAGATGTGGTGGCTGGCATATGTAATCTCAGCTACTTGGGAGGCTGAGGCAGGAGAATCACTTAAACCTGGGAGGGGGAGATTGCAGTGAAGTGAGACCGCACCACGGCACTCCAGCCTGGGTAACAGAGAGAGACTCCACCTCAAAAAACAAAAAACAAACAAAAATAAATAAATGAACAAATAAAATCAATTTATTCATTTATTTATAGCTCACAAATGACATTAATATTTGAAAAAGTTTTCATAAAACTCAAGTTTTCTCTTCTTTAGTTTTGTAAAATGATGTCCTGTGCTCATCCTCTTTCCAATTTATGCCAAACTAGTCACCACATTTTACTTGAAAGTGGAGAAAATAATCTAAATCATGATGAAATCTGTTTTTATTTCTTTGTAAATGGATGAAATCTGAGACTTATTCTAGATGAATGTGCTCCATGCGCACTTTACGTAGGACTCAATCTCAGCCCCTTTGGACTGGAATTGACACTTTGAACTGGAATTTTCCTAAAGATTTGCTCCTACATCCAACATTGGGAAATCAATATTTAGCTGGCCAGTGTTGGTGGCACTCTGCTGTGTCCGCAGGCTGCACGCCAGCCACTCACCTTTGAGATGCACCAGCGTCCTTGTTTAAACTCGGGAGAGATGAGTGTCTGGATGAGGCCAGTTGGGTCATGGCCTTTTCCCCTCTGCTGTTGATTACACTGACTTAAAAAGTGGCTTCCAGGCTAAGATTGCTGTGGCTCTGTCCATGTGTTGGAACACTGAAGCTTGCTGTCTGATTTCCTTGCACTACAGGTTGTGAAGAAAAGAGAACGCTTATACACTGTCGATGGGAGTGTAAACTAGTTCAGCCATCATAGAAGACACTGTGGCAACTCCTCAAAGACCTAGAACCAGAAATACCATTTGACCCAGCCATCCCATTACTGGGTATATACCCAAAGGAATGTAAATCATTTTATTCTAACAAAAGGAATATAAATCATTTGATTATAAAGACACATGCACGCTGTGTTCATTGCAGCACTGTTCACAATGGCAAAGGCATGAAATCAACCTAAGTGCCCATCAGTGACATCCTGGATAAGGAAAAGGTGGTTTGTTTATACCGTGGAATACTATACAGCCATATAAAAGAAAGAGGTTATGTCCTTTGCTGGAACATGGATGGAGGTGGGGGCCATTATCCTTGGCAAACTAATGCAAGAAGAGAAAACTAAATACGGCATGTTCTTACTTATAAGTGAGAGCCAAATTATAAGAACACATGGGCACATAGAGAGGGGAACAGCAGACCCTGGGGCCTATTGAAGAGTGGAGGGGGGAGAAGGGAGAGGAGCATGAAAAATAACTAATGAGTACTAGGCTTAGTACCCAGGTGATGAAATAATCTGTACAGCAAATCCCATGACACTAGTTTATCTAGATGACAATCCTGCACACAGGTAACTGTGAACTTAAAATAAAAGTTAAAATCTCTTTTAAAAAGTTAATTCTGAAGCTAAAAATAACACTTAAAATGTCTATCTTGCATGTCCCTGAAAAGAAGAGATTATTGTGCAAAACTCTGTCTCTGGGCAGCCATGGCATTCTCATTTAAACCACACTGAGTTTTATTTTATTTTGTTTTAGTTATTATTTATTTATTTATTTATCATTTTTGAGATGGAGTTTTGCTCTTGTTGCCCAGGTTGGAATGCAATGGTGTGATCTTGGCTCACTGCAACCTCTGCCTCCCAGGTATCAAGGATTCTCCTGCCTCAGCCTCCCAAGTAGCTGGGATTACAGGCACCTGCCACCAAGCCCAGCTAATTTTTGTATTTTTAGTAGAGACGGGGTTTCACCATGTTGGCCAGGCTGGTCTCAAACTCCTGACCTGAGGTGATCTACCTGCCTCGGCCTCCCGAAGTGCTGTGATTACAGGAGTGAACCAACGTGCCAGGCCTGAGTTTTGTTTTAAAATGGAAAAAAAAATATAGCAGTTTTCACTTTATCACAGGAAACTTAGTAAATGTCTTTAGTGAAGGCTTAGCAAGCTCGGGTATTTGTTAGAATTGTCTCAAGCTCTCTTTTACACGCCCCCATCCCCAGCCCCTTCTCCTGCACAGCTGTCTCAGAAAACACCTGTTAGAAAGGTTGGTAGACGCTGGCCTGGGGAGAGCTTTGAGGGACGTCCAGCTTGTGTTATGCTTGGCTGGGATGCCCAGGGGCTGTGAGAGCCTCTGGAGAAGCAGAATGCCCTCTTCAGCGGGACACCTCACAGCTGGCCAAGAACTTACACAGGAATTCAGTCCGTGCTCTTGCAGGAGTCCTGAGGGTGAGCAGACAAGGTATGAAAGAATGACAGGAAAATGATGGATGATGGGCCATACATCTCATTTCAGCCATACCAAGGAAACATCATGCTCCCGTGCTGCAGTAATCCCCTGGGGATGGAAGGAGCAGGGGTGGCTCACACGGCAGGATGTGCCGCTGAGGCACCCAGAAGCTGGGGGGTGCAGACAGGGCTGAGAGAGCACTGGATGCCCGTAGGGTGAGCCTCAAGGAACAACTCTCCGGAAGTAGGAGGTGATTCTTCTCTGGCTTTTGTGCATTAGTACCACTCTGTTGAAAGTGGACTTTACAACAGGAGAAAGTATGTTTTTTTATTTTATAATGGATGATAACGCTTCTTTATTACTTTTCCAAGTAATACTTCCCGAAACAAGCTGGTGGTTGACCTTTCTTGAGATAAAAATGTAATAACCAATGCATTATGAAATAAATCAATAAAATGATATAGTTCAAGGTCATTATCAGTGGAAAACACAGAGAGGTTTCAAAGGTATAAAAAAGAAGAAGCTTCATGGGACACTTGATTCTTTGGAGATGCCTAATACCGTGACAAGTATGTTTAGCAGGTGCTGGTGTTTTGTTCTCTATCCCGGTGTTCTTTGATTCAATAAATCATTGCTAATGATGTCCCACATATGAGGTATTGTGCTGCGAACCCAGGATGTAGTGATAAGCAAAGTCAAGCTTGTTTTCTGCCTTCATGAGCTTCAAAGCTAATGATGAAGATCTGTGTAATTTTAGGCAATTTCAAGAATCACATAAACTAATATGAAACAACAGTTGTGATGAAAACATTGACTAAAGGGGAAATGGGGGAAGATGTTTCTGAAGGCGGGAAGGTGATAGAAGCTCGGTCTGAAGGGTGAGTAGGAGCTGAGAAGGAGAAACTGAGGCACGGGCTCAAAACTGGCAGAAGAGGCTGTCCTACCACAACAGCACCCACGAGGAACACAGGGAGCAGGCAAGTCACTGAAGAGCGCCCTCAAGCTGCATGGCTGGGTGCAGGTTCACCCGGGGGAGCTAGCAGGGTGGGCCAGAGCATGAGGGAGCTGATGGACCCTGGAACTGGTTCTTTATGGGAAGTACCTTGCCCAGGGGTGACTTGACCCAAGGTGTTGCTCACCTGGCTGCAGAAGAAGCATGCAGGAAGCGTTGTCAGTTTGGAAGTGCAGGCCATCACGCAGGTGAGAGACAGAGCAGCTTGAACTAAGGGGAGGGCCAAGGAGGTGTCAAGAAAAAAATGTTTCAAGAGATACTGAAGAGGAAAGAGCTAAGACCCTAATGCTGGACTTTGCGGGTGGGAAAGAGGAGCAGGTGGAGGAGAATTCCCAGGTGTGTGGCTCAAGGGACACTACATCCCTGACATTCACTCTGTGGGGAAAGATGTAAAAGGCCCCACGTGGGGAAAGATGTAAAAGGCCCCGATGTGGGGAGAGAAGATAAGGTATGCTTCTGGGAAGTGAATTTGAGATGCCATGGGCATACCCTAACAGAGCTTCCAGTAGCACGTGGACAGATGACTCTAGGGAAGGAAGGTGCTGGGGCAGTGGTCTCTTCAGATGGTCAGCGCCATGGAAGGCCCTTCAGCAGAAGGCGATGGCCACTGCGTATGCACACTCTGCCATGGCAAATCATCACAAACTGAAATTCATTCTCAAAAGGTGCTGGGCTCAGAAGCAAAACCACTCCCAGCCTCTTTCTGCCCTGGTGGCCTCCAGCATTCCTTGGCTTGTGACCGCGTCACTCCAGACTCTATCTCATGGCCACCTGGTTCTCTCCTCTGTGTGTCTGTCCTCTTCATTTCTGTCGAAGTCAAATCCCCCTGTGCTTTCCTCCTATCAGGATGCAGGCGAGGACACTCAGGCCCCCCAGAAGAGAATCCAGAGTGATCCCCCCAGCTCAGAATTTGAAACTTAATCCTGTCCACAAAGTCCATTTCACAATGTAAAGCAACATGGGTTGTTCGCAAGGATTCAGTCTGAAAATTTTTCGGGGGAACCATTTTCTAGTTTCTACCACATATGCTAGGATCCAGACTCCATGCTAGGCCTAGAAGAACAATCCTGTTCAAGTCAGATGCCACTCCCATCCTCGGGGCCTGGCCCCAAACAGGCTGTTCTTGTGTTACTGCTTCTTATTAGAAAGCATGTTTGTGAGTGATTGTTAAAAAATAACCTAGGGCATGCACACCTGTTTAGAAGAAGAGGAATTTAGTGCTCCAGAGACCTGAGAAGTCCAAGGCTAGCTGGCTTCAGGCACAGCTGTACCCAGGAGCTGCCCCCCAGCAGGTTTCCACTCTTCTCTGCACCCCGCTGCAATTCAGTTTGCAAGACCGAGGCCTCTTTGCTGTGGTCTCCACAGTCATGGGACTGACCTTCGTTGGACCCACTATCACCATGGGGATTGGGAGCCAAGCCTGACTTCTTGACCTCTGATGATCTCTAAGAGGTGCTATCAGTCCCAAGACTGAGCGTGCGGAGGGGTCTACAACCACCGTGGCAAACTGAAGTCCTGTTATCAGAAGAAAGGAAAAACGTGCCCAGCTGCCCACCTCCCTCCCCACGTTCCATCACACACCAGGGGACCCACCAACTCCTCTATGCGACTATCTGTAAAATATTGCACCAGCGCAACCCCACAGACTCACTGGACTCTAGCATGCTGGAGGGATGTAGGGGAAGAGGTTGTTTCGGCTCAAAAGTGCATTCCATTGCCAGCAGAGAGACTACAGACCCGGTGCTTAAATGCGATTGCTAGGGACTGGATGCTCACTCTGTGGCCTCTGCATCCCACATGGACTCCATTTCTCAAAGTCCTCTCCTGGGCCAAGGTGGCTGACAGCCCCTGGAATGCACACTCACATTTCAGGCTGCAGGAGGGAGAGGGCAGTGGGCTTGCAGGAGATGCCTGGTGGAGGCACTGGCATTAGGCAGCTTTGGAGGAGCCTACGCACACCTGCTCTTGCATTTCACTGGCCAGGATCAGCCAGACAGCCACATCGAGCTGCAAAGGAGGCTGGAACGAGGTCTGCACCGGGCTCCCAGCACACAGTCAGAGTCCTGTGGATGAGAAAGAAAGAGAATTTGACTGAGGGGCAGTGAGCATTTCCAACTCATCTGCTCTGTTACCCAGGCATTATCTCATGACTTTAAAACAGAACTTCACTGAGAAGTCAGTAGTTACATTCTGTATGTTGATGAGTGAGGAACATAGTGCCTTCTTATTTAGGTGGTTAATGGCTTGTGAAGGTTATTCCAAGTGCCGTCATGTACTAAACAAGAATCTGAATTTTGCTTTGATGACATCCAAGAATTTTTTGGATCTATTTATCTGCCTACAGAGTCAGAGGCTAGCATGGAACTGCCACACTCGTTCTATTACGTTGATGTCACTTTTGAAAGTTAGGTGACGTGTACCAACGCTGATGTGGCCTGCATCAACCACCTAACGTTCACGGGAAAAGGAGGAAATGGGATTTGCTTTGGTGAGGAATTTCCAGGAATGAGGAACACAAAAATTAGAGTTTGAGGGAAGCGTGTTGAGCCTGGGATTAGAGCAAAATGAGCAGAGCCAGACCCAGCCCGAGCCCAGAGGCCAAACAAGCAAGACGACCAGGCCAGCTCCTGACATGGGGCTGTGGGCCACGTGTCCCGAGACAAGGCCGTGGGCCGCGGGTCCCCACGCCGATTTGTGCCAGTCAGATGTCTCCACCGCGTGGTCCACTTGTCTTCCACTTGCCCACAAGAATTGCTCCAGAGGTTAGGTGGAGGCACTGGTGGAGAAGGTGGAGGAAGAGGTGACAGGCTGCAGGGTGCAGGGCTCTCCGAGAGGACCTCATTGCTGGAGAAGGTGGAGGAAGTGGTGACAGGCTGCAGGTGCAGGGCTCTCCGAGAGGACCTCATTGCTGGAGAAGGTGGAGGAAGAGGTGACAGGCTGCAGGTGCAGGGCTCTCCGAGAGGACCTCATTGCTGCAGAAGGTGGAGGAAGAGGTGACAGGCTGCAGGTGCAGGGCTCTCCGAGAGGACCTCATTGCTGGAGAAGGTGGAGGAAGAGGTGACAGGCTGCAGGTGCAGGGCTCTCCGAGAGGACCTCATTGCTGGAGAAGGTGGAGGAAGAGGTGACAGGCTGCAGGTGCAGGGCTCTCCGAGAGGACCTCATTGCTGGAGAAGGTGGAGGAAGAGGTGACAGGCTGCAGGTGCAGGGCTCTCTGAGAGGACCTCATTGCTCTAGCTCCACACAGGGGCAGAGGCTTCCGGACCGGAGGGTGTGAGGTGAAGGCACCACAGCTGTCATCCTGCTCGCCATCCAACCTTCCAGCGCCGTCCTTACTGGGGGTCTGGGGAGACACTGCACAAAACCACCTCATGCAGTGGACCCACTTTAGCCAATAAAGAAATTAGGCTTGTGCCTATGGAGACAGGATGGACTTCTGCAAAGGCCTGTGTTCTGCATAAAAGGATAAGGAGGAAGAGAGCAGGCAGGAGCACCCCTTACCCTTTTCCTCCTTCCTTGGCTGGGGTGGTGTCACCATTGAATGGTGTCTCCCAAAATGTTTGTCCACTCAAAACCTCGGCACGTGGCCTCCACAAGCCAGAGAGTAGTTAACGGATGCACAAGCCCAACTCAACAGGAGACACAGTTCTAGTGCTGTATAGTACTGTAGGGTGACTGTAATTTGCAACTTACTGTATATTTTCAATCAGCTGGAAGAGATTGAATTGAAATGGGAATGTTCCCAATACAAAGAAATGTCCCGTTTGAGGTAATGGCTATGTTAATTACCCTGGTTGATCATTACATGTTGTATACATGTAGAGCAATGTCACAATGCATCGCATAAATGTGTACAATTACTATGTGCCAGTTAAAAATAATAAAAGTTAAAAAATGTACAAATGGAAAGAAGACCTTTGCAGATACAACTAGCTACACTTAGATGAGATCATCCCGGAGTAGGGTGGGCCCTGAACCAATGAATGGTATCCTTGTAAGAAGAGGGAGATTTGGGCACAGGCTGAGATGCCAGGCGGAGAGGGGAGGGATGAACCTGCACGTCCCAGAGCGCCGGGGTCACTGGCCACTGCCAGAAGCCAGAGAGTCAGGAGGGCTCCTCCCCTGGAGGCCTTGGAGGGAGCGTGGCCCTGTGACACCTGGATTTCAGACTCCAGCCCTCCAGGACTGTGAGAATAAATTCCTGTTGTTTAAGCTGCCTGGTTTGTGGCACCTTGTTATAGCCGTACAAGAAACTAATAGAGATGGGGTGTCGGGCTCAAATGCCCCACTGCCATGGTGGATGCTTGGATGCAGGGGTGAGGACAAGAAGGCACCATCGTGCTGATGGTGGAGGTGAGAGATGGGGGTGACGGGCCTGAAGGCCTCCAGAAGAAGCTGCACATACGTGGCCCCTCCAGCCCTCCTGCACCTAAGCTGGGAAGCTTCTGATCGGCTGAAACGACAGCCAAGCATTTTGTTTCTTCCTCTGAGCACATACCAATGGACTGTGTGTTTTCCCAATATGGGGCCAAGTTCCAAAATTAGTAGGGCTCTGATTTGGCTGCCTGGGGGGAAACCAGAAGAGGGAGGAATTGAGCCCACACCTCTTAGGACGCAGCGCCCTCGCATCAGCTCTCTGCTTGGCCAAAACTTGGTCCTACCCTAGATGTCTCGCAGATAATCTGGACTGTTTTTTAGAAGAGCAGCTCAGGAAAGGCATCATCCCTCAGAGCCAGCCACAGGTTCAGCAGCAGCCCAGAGCCGGCATATCCACCTGCTGAAGACAGAAGGGAGCAGGGGAGGAGATACCTACATCTGGTGGCTTCTGTCTCCACACCCAGTCTCACTGTGTCCTGGGCAGGGCCAGAGCAGGAAGCTCGGCCTCTGTAAGGCTCCGGAAGCTTTGAGGGAAAGCTCTCAGGGGAGGCACCTGGCTCCCTCCTGCAGTGATTTATTAGACACAAACCTCCAAAATGGGAGACCCAGGAGAACCGGGGCATGTGGTTTGGGTCACAGCTGTCTCCCTGGCAACTGAAACAGTGCATGGCAAGGTTGAAGGTCAAAACACCGACAAAGGGGGTTCAGTTTCCAGGCTGAGGGTGCAGAGGCAATCATGGGGAGCCTGTCAGCAGCAGGAGGGTGTGACCGGGACACGGGGCAGCAGCATCTGGAGGTGCAGGCTGGTTGCAAAGAGAAGGAGGCGGAATCCATTGAGAAGGAAGCAGCAGTAAATCTGGGCTGCAGAAAGAAGTCAGAGGCATCGAGAGAGGTATGCAGCTGCCTCCGGGGGTTTCCTACACACACTGCAGTTTTGCTTGACGGAGGAGTTGGGAAAACCACGTGCCAAAACACAGGCGTCCCAGGTGACTGTTCCTGAGATGTGCACAGGCAGGTGGAACAAGGCTCAGGGCATTGATAGAATGGGGTGGCCAGGCTGCTGTTTTTCTGTTTCTTTGCACGTGAAACGTCTTCATGCAAGCTCAAGCACAGATGCATTAGCTGCGCAGGAGACCCTGCAGCCCCCAGAGACTCCCCAGTGAGTGGATCAGGTGTTGGGGCAGTGCACTCAGGACGTTGGAAGAGGTTTGGAGTGTGGGGCCTTTCTGAGGATGGACAGCACCCCAAACAGAGTTAGGTATGGGGAAGGGGACATGGGTGAGATCATGAGTCCTCCTGGTCACTTCCTGGAGGACAAAGAAGGAGAGGGAAAGGGAGGAAGCATCCTAAACATGGGCGCTGCCATGTCGGGTTCTGGCAGACAGCTTCCCATTCCCAGTTCTCCTGTGGATGAGCAGGTGACTCGTAAAGAGAACAGTGGCACAAGGGGACTCCCCAGGCTTCCCAGCTCCAGCATCCTAAGGTTCTGTAGCCCTCACCCAGTTTGGCTTCCAGGCCGTTGGGAGGCAGAACTCGTCCTTCACGTTTCGGACACAGACCCTTGGAGTCCCACCGAGGCTTACCTGGAATGCATCCCATGTTAAATTCCTTTATTTAATCTGTAACATGTTCATAAAATCATCAAGATCCACAGGTGCACCTGTTCCTCTCAAAAAGCTATAACATTGATTTTCTAAAAACTGCTTTATTTTGTTTTTGAAATCCAGTTGCGTGTGTGTGTTTTGTTGTTTTTTAGTTTTCTCAATCTCATATTATTTACATGCCAGGTTTCCCATGTTCTTAGAGATAAACGCAACATCACAACAAATAGAAAAAACTTCTTTCATGCACAAATCGCGTCAGTTCTCAAAAAAGCACGATAATTCTATTTAGATCATGGGGGTAGTGATTATATTAACCTTCTGACTATTTCAGTGAGGTGTAGCTTATGTCTTCTGATGATATCTCTCACAGTTATTTGTTCTAGACCAAATAAAAAGAAAACTTTACTTTTCTTCCTTTGCTTATTAGAGTTTGCTTTTGAAACAACTATGATATCATTTATTACTAGATGCCATACATAAATCATAATATTGGCAAGTGATTTTAAAATCAATACATTTAAATTAAATTGCATTTCATGGGTTTGAGAAGATAAAATATTTGTTACTGAAGCCATAATTATTTAAAAAGTCAATCCCCACCCCAAACCCATGAGCTCTTATAAAGATGTAACAATATTCCTTGGCTTTGCTTCTTCATGGTGTATCACCCTTACTATGGAGTCAAGCCCAGCACCATTTAATGTTCTTTGTCTCACAGTTGACAATACATCGTCATCAAAACCATACTCATAAAAAAAGTGACGATTAAACATCTTTCTGTACATGTGTTACATAATGTCACGTATCTATTACTAAGAAGGCGTATTTTCTATGACCAAAGAGAATAACCTGATTTGAAGTAGAAGAACGGAATAGAATTGTTAAACAATCCTTTGCATTTTAAGCAACATTTAATTAGAAACACACTTTAACCACCAAAATGATAAAAATCCAAGAGATTAAAATTTGAGTGTCAATTATCATAAAATTCATCATGGTAATTCTTATTAAAACTCAGTGTTTAGATAGGTAATGATTTTATAATATGCCAATTTGCATAAGGAGCCCTGAGATGGCTTATTATTTCGATCCTACACAATTACAATTCCAGCTCCATACATCAGAGCTCTTAGCAATGTAAAATCACGGTGCTAATTAATAAGCCATTTACTGACTGCAGCTAGTTACGGCGGTCCTGCAGCTGACCTCGCGGAAGAGGAGCCATCTCTGAAGTGCCTGTGTGCAACTACAAACATAATGATGTGCCAGGAGGGAATCATTAAAAATAATTTACACAAGCCTTCATTTACAAGATCTTTTGATAGCATGCTTCCCCGGTGTTTAGATCCACAGTGCAACCCCTACCATTTGGAAAGTGCCAGGCAGGGGAGTGAAGGCGGATACCTAAGTGGTTAATTAAGAGCCATTCGGACGCCACAAGAGCCTCCTGAAAAATCCCTCTGATGTCTGCTGTGTCAAATGTCTCTCACAGGCAAAGCCACAAGAGGCAGCAGCCGTGACAGGCTAATTACTGGGGACGAGGAGCAGCTGAGAATGGTCGTCACGGAGCTCGTGCCGGGCGCACCCAAGCTCAAGATTGAGCAAAGCAATCTTTTGTGCTGCTGGCCTGGAGAGTGCGCCGCTCTGGGAAAGGGGACTCATCGCAAGTGACGGGAGCGGGGGCAGAATGCCTCTCCGGAAAGACAATGGCCAAGGCCAGGGAGGGCCGCTCCTGCCAGCCCCTCACATCCCGCAGTAGCCTCTCCAGGAAGTCAGTCCCAGGAAATCACGCCACAGGACCGCGGGTTCTTTAGATTGATTTCTACGGAAATCAAGCAGCCACGATAACGGATGTGCAACAAAGCCATTGAGATCATCGGGGGCATCGCCTTGCTTCTATATATGTGTGTGCACGTACCCCACACAAAGGGACACACGCCCTGTAGACACACTCACACTCAGGCACACAGCACAGCAAAACAAAACAAAAAGTTCCAAACGCCATTCACTCAGGCAAAGTAAGTGCTAATTCATGTATAGAATAATTGCACAGGAATGCTGTGATGTAATGTTTTACAAGAGGCAGGAACCTGTTAGCAAAATTAGCAAAGGGGTTGTCAGAAAACAATGTGTGAGCCTGGGTGTCAGGGAAGAAGGGAAAACAGTCGGGGAAGCTTCGAAAAAGGATTTTCACCAGAAAAAGATGCAAATATACACAGAAATGGACTCTTAGAGAGCCCAAGGATGCTAACCGGGCATCCGTCTGTTAGGATGAAGACCCCTTCACTCAGTACTAGGCGACAGGATCGCAGAGGGTGTGTCTGCCAGGACAAGTTATGCTAATGCACAAACCACAACACCTCTTCATGCTTAGATTTCATCTATTTGTCTGCGTAGTGGCCAGACAGGGTAAAACCACTCACCCTTAAAATTTTTGTTTAGAAATTAATAAAATGCTTCCATCTGATTCAGGGTGAATGTGTGGATCCAAAGTGGATTTGAACACAAGGCTAATAAATACATACACTGTTCAGTGGTCACCACCAGCCTCAGTCTTGATTAGCTTTGGGGATATTTACTATGTATTCAGAGACAACATATTTGTTAGAACCTAGGAAGCCTACGTCTCTTAAGCCTTTTATGGTAAGAAAATCAAAAGCATGCTTTCTGGTCTTTAAATAAATGGGTGTGAATTTCCCATGCCAAACTCTAAAACCATTCTGTCTTGAAAACTATGATAGGTTTATGTATGTCATTAACTGTTGTGAAGTTTGTGCAATGATGAGCTCAGGCATTTAACTACAGAACTTTTATTGTAATCCCAGTCTTTTAACACTGGCTTTTGCCATGGAGAAGAGATTCAAATTTAAAGCATCCTTTGAAGTCCAGGCAGTCATCTCCAAGACAAAAGGAAATAAGACAAAAATCAGCCCATAGCATGGGTGTAATTAATGCCCAAATCCGCTTCAGGGAGGCCTCCCATATATAGCCATTGTTCCACCGCAGCCCCTGCTCTATGGGCAGTAGACATGGGGTTATTTAATCAATTAGTGTACTCATCCTTGGAGGGGATCGCAAGGTCGCCCTGTGTCTACCTGAAGCAACGGTGAACCTTTCTGGCAGCATAACCCACTTCGGGTGCCAGTTTTATAATAGAAGGTGGAGGAGCTGCAGATGAAGATGTACATTTAGAGATACCATCAGTCTTGAGCTGGCTTTCCTGGCAAGGAGGGTGCTTGGGAGACCCTCCAGAAGAGGCAGTCTTGAGCCACGGTGCTCAAGAGCTGGAATCCAACCAGCCCAGTCCCTCCTGTCCTCTGCCGCCCACTCCCGAACTCAGGAGAGCAAAAGGTGGGCCCTCCGTGGCCCAAGGCAAGCTCCTGATGAGAGCAGTGGGGAATAAATGCAGCTTTACATGCATGATGGCCAGCTAACTCCAGCTGAAGAAGGAAACAGAAATGCTTCACCCATGATGCAGAAAAAAAAAAAAAAGGCAAAGAATTGGAAATTTGTGGCAGCTCATATGAATAATTTTAATTAAGATAATTCCCAATCCAATGGAACCCTTAAGCCGTATGTCTGCTGAGGAAAACATGTTCACACTTTTAAAAAGTACATACTATCTTGCTTCAAAAAGCAAATAAAATATTCAACACATGAAGGATTCTATCACAATCCTAGTCTACCAGTCTTTTACGTTTGTGGCTGGAATTTTACTTGCAACTTTTCTGGGCCACAGTATTCAAAGGCTTTACAGGTCAAATTGCTGCCAGCTTTTCGTTAGCACTTTGATATTCCTAACAGATATGCATGGAGCACACTTCAGTGTCTTTTCGATTACACTGAAAAATCAATTATTACACACAAATATCAAGTAGATCTGTGAACTTTAGAGCAAGCAAAAGTGGTAATGTTGAGTCTCTTAATTTGTTGATGGTTTTATTAATTTGGCTGGAAAAGATGAGCAATGATTATTGAGTCTGTTTCTATGTAATCAAAAGAAAGAAGACATAATAAAAAATGTTTAAATCATCAGTTTTTATTTAATTGTTTATTCATATAGCTCCGAGGGTAAAGCCAGTGTGAATTAGGCGGGAGAGAGGAAGATACTGGAGAACATTAACTTGAATCCTACTTCATCAGGAACTGAGGAAAGATCAGGCACTATTGGGGAAAGAAGTTATTTGAGAGGAACTTTTACAGTTAAAACATTTATAAAATCCTCTCCATGCTACGGATGACATCCCACTTTCCAATTTTCCCTCCACACAGTGAAGGTCACTAAATATTTTTAGACTATTTAGTTTGTATTTCCAAACAAGGTCATTTGCTAAAATGTGTGGCTTTTCAAAATCTGAGGATTTGGTTGTGAAACACACACATACACACACACACATTCACACACACACAATATTGGCCTTTCCTTTTCAAAGCAGCCCACGCCCATTCCCTGCGCTTCCCCAGGCACCTTCTGCAGGGGCTGCATGGGAGCGGCCTCTCCAAAGTAGAAAAGAAAATCCAGGCGGAGGAGCCTGGCTGCTGCTGCTGCAGGTCACTGCTCTCACTGACCTTTCCGCCTGGGCGTGAGCGCCAGGACCACCTGAATTGTCTTAAGAGGGAAGGATCCGCCGTCCTCTGGGGGTGCAGACAGACTTCAAAACGTTGCAATTAAGTGGGAGCTGCAGAGATTACAGGGCGATATTAACTATCATTAAGTGATTTCTGTGTGAATGAGCTGAGCTCGCCTTCCCACGTTTGGCTGAAAAGGCCCCTCCAACCTGCGCGTTTAAAGGTAATTTGATAAATACCTGTACTTGTTGGGGTATTTGTCTGACAGACAGACCACATGTATCACCTTTACAAAGACATCAATGTGGCTAAAATGCAACGCTCCGATTTCCAAACAACAAGCCCCAGCAGGTCACACAAAACCACACTGGGCATCCGGAGCAGGGTGGCGACGCCTGTCTGCCTTGCTTTAAAGAAATTAGCTCAGTTTTCTTACAATAATAAACAGAGGTTCCTGTACTTGAGAGTACTGTTCACTAACATTATATGTAAGCTTTTGATGTTTTGTTTGCTCTTTAAGCATGACAAGATATTGGCAACAGAGGGGAAGGAAACCTGCCTCCCAGAGCAGGGAGAGGTGGGAGAAGCTGTGGCTCGCTCGGCAGAGGGCACTGTGTGAGGCCATGGCTGTGGCTGAGGAGCTGGGTGCGCAGGGGCCCCCAGCGCTGCCACAGGACCAGGGGCTGAGCCCCTGCTGTGACCTCTGACAGCTCCTAAAAGCTTGAGCAGGAAGATCCCACTCCAGGGACAGCAGAGATTCCCCTAGGGGCCTCGGCAACCATCCCTCCCTCTACACAGAGATGTCTGGACCCTGGGCTGTGATTTTTGGCCAGGAGGACACAGCCACTTAGGGTACCTGTCACATGCCTTGACTTTGAAAGTCATGGCAAACAACCCATTACATGTTTTAAAGAAAGTAGGTCTGTTTTCAGAACCAGGGAGTTGAGAATGCAAGATTTAAAAACTGGCAAAGGTATTACTAAAACAGGTATGGCAATAAAGTCTCATATATGAGGTATTATGATGACGCCTCTCTCGTAGGAGCCATCTCAGATTTTTCATAATGTTACTTTTTCTTTTTCCTTCTTTCTTTTTTGAGGTGGAGTCTCACTCTGTCACCCAGGCTGGAGTGCAGTGGCATGATCTTGGCTCACAGCAACCCTGCCTCCTGAGTTCAAAGGATTCTCCTGCCTCAGCCTCCTGAGTAGCTGGGATTACAGGCACCCACCACCACACCATGCTAATTCTTCTATTTTTAGTAGAGATGGGGGTTTCACCATGTTGGCCAGGCTGGTCTCGAACTCCTTACCTCAAACGATCCACCCGCCTCGGCCTCCCAAAGTGCTGAGATTACAGGCGTGAGCCACCACGCCCAGCCTCTTAATGTTCTTTAAGCCAGTAACTAATACAGGTTAGTTATTGAATTATTTGTATTGAGTACCTGCTATTTTTATGAATGCAGTCAAGGCAAAGTTAGTTTAATTGGACTCCCTCAAGCAGGCATTTTTTATTTTACTTCACTTTTTATAATTAGTATTCAATTCATGCACTCTTAATGAGATGAAAATTAAAGTTTCCACATTTAATACCATGTTTTCATGCTTGCCACGCTTCAGGAGTTTTCGTGAATAAACAGTGGTATCAATGGGCCGCCAGAAAGGGCTTCCTGAAAAGGCCATGGAATTTGTTTACAAAGCTCCCATGCTGCCTGTCTCTGGAAATGGGAGCGAAAGAGGTTGCTGGACATTTGGGGAGTGGTCTCCTCACAGCCCCCCATATTCTGAAGAAAATCCAGAGTGACCCACAGACCATCACTGGTTACAGCCCAAATCTACTTCTCTTCCAAGAGAATATTGCCTTTCGCTGGAACCGTGTTCAGTCTATTAATAATCTGGCTTTCACTAAAGAAAAGCTCTAACCCAGAGTTCCCAAAAACACCTTGTAAATTCATCGTGATTTTCTGGAAAAGCTCAGTTCCTGCTCTGGCTTTGGGTCTCAGGAAATAGAGATGCTTTGGAGTAAAATGTGTCGTGCTTGAAGTGGAACAAAATCACACCTCACATGTCCCCACTTTGAAGTTAGAAGGAATATAGTCCTCATAATTATGTTATTAAACCAAACCTACTTTAAAGCCATTTTCTTCCTTGTTAAGGCTACGTAAATTTTGTATGTGATTAAAGGAAAACAACACTATCTAACAGTTTACATTCAAAGAAGAGTGGAGAATGTTTTTCATTTTACTGCAAACGTTTTTGCAGGTGGACAAGGAAGGCTGCACCACAGTGAAGATGGTCTGGAGAGAGAAAATGAAGCTCAGTGTGTGGCTGATTTTTTTTTTTTTTTATGAACAGAAAATGCACGATGATTTTAGGAATGCAGCTATTTGCCTAGAGCCTCCCAGGAGCTGTCCAGGAACATTTTCCCCGTTTTACACTCACATTTACAATCTCTCTCCAAGTTTGCTCCTGGGTTGAAAAAACTAAAAAGTCCATATTCGATTACTTTTAAATTTGTTTCTAATATCTCATCAATACATAGAATAATGATAAAATTAACTGCTCTGTATCCTCACTGTGTGAGGAAGAGAAGACATTGGCAAGAAAAAGGAAAGTTCTTCTCTCTCATTTCCAAATTACTATGTCAATAATTTCTATGGTGAATTGCATTGGCCAAGTGTCATGCCAGTGTCATCAGGAGGGGGCATGTAAGATTGCTGTGTGTCTAAGGTGCAATTTTGCTAAAGACCAGAGCATTCCCCATTTAAAATTATGAAAACATATTCAAGAATTGACCTTATGAGTGCTTAGCAATATTCAGTGTGCAGATTTCAATGGCAAAATGCACTTTCTTGCCTTAGCCCAGTTCCTGAGGAAACAATTAGTGATGGGAGTCAAAGACCTGGTTAGAAAATTCAGGTAAGTTTAATTTCCTAAACAATTGTGTTCAGGCATAGCAACCTCTATGAAAACGTTTGGGGTGTTTTGCTTGTGATGAATAGTTGAGGAAGTGAAATCTTTGACTCTGAAATGTTGTTTCTCCTTATCAGGTACGTGTGCAAGGTCAGCCCGGCAGCAAGAGCCTGGACGCAGAGCCGGGGCCAGCCCACCCAGTGGAGGCGGACGCAGCCCCCGCAGCACCCATCCAGCCGGTACCTTGCCGTCGCATCCACAGAAGCACCGCACATTTTATTATTCAGAAAATTAAGAAGTCACAGTGCACGGGGAAAAAAAGAAAACAGTAAGCGTGCTTTTAAACAATTCATTTAATTAACAAATATCTGAGAACAAACGATAAACACTAAGACTGCTGTGCCAGGGGACAATGCTGCCCAAGACCAGGGTTTTCCCCATTTTAAGTGATGAAAAACATATTCAGAAAGTGAGTTTATGAAGGCTTCGCAACATTCAGTGTGCAGATTTTAACGGCAAAATGCGCTTTCTTGACTTCATCCTACCGTGCGAGGTTTTAGGTGGGACACAAGTATAGACAAGTTATGCCTCTTCTTCCGCAAGAAATTAGACTATTTGAACAAACACACACCAGGCCCCTGTGCCTGGGTCCCAGCAAGCTGTACGTGCAAATGCCAGCACTGGTTATTTCCGAGCTGGGTGTTATGGGTGATTTTAAGCTTCTTCTTTTGGTCTGTCATTGTTTTTTGCTTTCTACGAAGACTAGTTCATGCCTTCTCTACCAGAAGAAAATGACAAGATGAGTCCTACTTTTCAAAGTGTGGCTCTGTGCCAGAAACAGGGGAGTGAGAGCAGGGAGGGCTCGGCCTGGGCCGCACGGCCCACGTGATGCCGTGGAGCGGCTGGAGTTGAGACATGGCTGGACTCAGGCTGAGGGTCCTGTGGGCAGGAGGAAGAACTGAGGAAGAAAGAGTGTGGTGTCATCAGGGACCGGCTGGGGCTGCAGGAAATTGCCCTCTGTGCCCAGGGCCTGTTGAGAAGTTGTACAAGGAACCAGGGAGATGGGGGCTGGCCTAGGGAAGGCCTAGGGCCCTAGGGATGGTCACTGAGCTGGTGAGTAGAATTATCTAGCTGGGCAATTCCCTTCTCAGAATTATATTTTCCCTTCATTATCTCCAATTGCATTGAGGGTTTGTTTTTGTTTGTTTGTTTTAAATTTGACTCTGAAATGTTCCTTCAGGTATTAAGTCATAGAAGCATGATGCTTACAAAACAACACAAAATTAAATTAAATATTAAAACATTTTAAAACCAAATTATAATAGTCACCAAAATGATCTGAACAAATTTATTTATTTTATTATATTTAAATGCATTTTAATATACTTACTACCTTTACATTTAATTTTCTTTCTTATATTTAAGTTTATTTCTCTGTTGATATCGCTCCCTCTCTTCTTCCCTCTCTCTTTCTTTCTACTTTGACTCTAGAAGGAAAAATAGGCTGTTGGACATGAAGGATTCATATTTTACATTCCTAAGAACACTATAAACCCTCAGTAAACGTTGACCACCAGCCACGGTTCACTGTAACCTAGTCAACTCTGAACGTATCTGTACATGAAATGGGTCAAATGATTATCTTGGAAACTCACTTATACATAACAAATGGGGATGACATACACAACCTACCAGTGCCCTTCTCTCCAGTGCTAACATCATGACTGAATTTCAGTATACTCATAAAAACATTGTGAGATCAACTTCATCTGTCCAGGGCTGCACTGCATCCAGGGAACAAAAAGCACATTTAATAAAGGAAGTGAGCAAGTGCCTGGACCAGGGTACCATTAAATGTTTTCAAATATTAAACTTTATAAAAATAAAAATTCACATTATTTTTTATTCAAAGGGAGTATACAGTGCACCTAAGGTTCGAGATCAGTTCTCAGTCGGCTGCAGAGGGAGGGATTACTGTTTCTCAAGTAGAAATGCAAGGTACTTTTGAGATCTCTGTAAAAATCTCCTCTGGGACCTGACCTATGTAGCAAGTCTGTCAGGAAAATTCCAGAGGACCAGCTTGCTTAATTTGGCCGTCCCAGTGGCTTTACTCAGCCTCACCACCTACATCATTTTCAATCCAGCCAAAAGGTTTCTAATCCCTTTTACTTCTAGGTGTTCTTGGAGGAAAATCACATATTTATACAAGCTTTATGTAGCTTTGAAACTCAATACATAATGCATGTCGAAATGAGTAAGTTGCAATTTTAGAAAGGAATAACCTATAAGATTTACAGGGGGCTTAAATATTGTTATTTAATCACAAGATACAGTGTGTGTTATGCTGTAATCTCATTTAAATCATATAATGAATGCAATAATGAAAATTAAAATCCCAATATGCATGGCTGTGCCTGTTTTAATCTACATGTGATTTTAAATAGCATTTCCTACGATGCTGTTCTTTTATTTGTGGGAAGTTGTTTTGGGACTTAAGAATATGCATCCTGTAGGAGCCACTTTTATGATGTCAGACTTTTTTTATTAGAAGAGGATTTATCAGCAACCTGTCCCTCCCTTTTTGAGACTGTATGGATATAATAATAATTTCAACAATGACACAAATCATGCTCCTAGAAGGTGCAGTGTTTCTCTCCCCACATAAAACATTGATTGTCAGGGCTGGGGGCTGAGAAAGAGAATAATTTAAAATTATTCTGGCAAATACATAAGCTCAGACCAAATTGAGATGGAAATGCATGTCTATTAGTTTGGAAAGGGGCAGCGTGGGCTTCTCCTCCTCACCTGGTTTCTTAGTGCCACCATCCTAGTCACTCCCATCCTGAAAAGCCAGGGTTTATCATTAGACCCAAAAAAGGAAACAGTAGCAAGGATTTGGGATCTGGAGGGTCTCGTCACTCTATACCCTTCCTGAAATGCAAGGTGCGTGGATGCATATTTATCCCTCCATCCTTACACAGCATTAACTGAACACCTGCTATGTGCCAGCCCCCTGGACAGGCATTCTTCCCCTTCCATCAGTGTGCAGTAAGTTGCCCCTGCTGCCTCCAAATGAACCCAAACCTTCAGTATCCTTTTTCACAAAGAAATCCAAGTAGTCAGGGCGCAGTGGCTCACGCCTGTAATCCCAACACTTTGGGAGGCCAAGGCAGGCAGATCACCTGAGGTCAGTTCAGGCTGGCCAATATGGTGAAACCCCGTCTCCACTAAAAATATTTAAAAATTAGCCGCACATGGTGGCGGGTGCCTGTAATCCCAGCTACTAGGGAGACTGAAGCACGAGAGTCGCTTGAACCCGGGAGGCAGAGGTTGCAGTGAGCTGAGATCGCACCATTGCATTCCAGCCTGGGCAACAAGAAGGAAACTCTGTCTCAAAAAACAAACAAACAAAAAAACAAAAACAAACAAACAAACAAAAAACAGAAAGAAAAGCCAACTCATTAGGAATAAATCTATGCCATGATGATGTAGAGAACTGCCTACACTTACAGAAATAAAAGTATAGGATTTTTATCTGGTTCTTAATTTTTTATTTTTTTAATTTTCCTTTATTTTTGGGCACAGAGCAATAAAGCATTCAGAATGGAGTTTTTCTCTTCTCTTTATCTTCATAGAATAAACATTTTCTTTCTACAATCGGACTTGACTTTCTAGTTTCAGAAGAATGTCCAGGGCCTTTCCACCACCCTGGGGGCAGCACGGGCGACCCGGAGCCTAGCTGCACCCTCGGCTGCGCCCGCGGGAACCCGCCTGGCAGGCTCCGGCCGCAGTGAGCCAGCTGCAGCCTGGGAGCACAGTGTGAACCTGCCAGGACGCATGAAAAGTGCATGGCGGCACCGAAACATCATTTCAAAAAAGTCCCCCCCCCTTTCATTTCGCTTCCGGTTGTAGCGGTTATTGGCGCTATCAAAGCCATTTCTGAGAAGAAGCAGAGTAAACACTTTAGACCGCTCCTGCGACGCCCAGACAGACGCGGCTTTCAGTGCTAACTGCACATCAGGCTGATGCGCCCGGAGAGCCTGAGCTTTTATTTGTTTCGTTTTTTAATTTTTCATATGAAGAATGTCAGGAGGTGCCATTGGAGGCTCTGGAGTAAGTTGCCGGATGGATAAAGCATAAAGAACAAAACGTCCTGCACACCTCCTCCATTTTCCTGCCCAGTACAAAAGACAGAGAGAGACAGCAACACCCATGATCAATCCTAGAAGCCTGAGAAGAGGGGAAGAAAATATAAGTTTGACAGGAATTTATAAATACAGCCTTGGTTAAGTATATCATCATTCATAATACCATTAAATCTATTTCAATAAACAAAAACATGCTTTACTTATTCCAGGAATTCTTTGTGAAAGGAAAACATTATGTGAAAAATAAAGTGTTACTGCAAACACAGTTAAAATCTGGAGTGAGGTTTTGAATAAACAAATTAAATTGCAATGGAATATAGTGTGCCTCAGAGCCATTTCTTGACAAAACAGTCATCTTATTTACACGCTTCACAATACCCTACCATGGATGTCGAAGGAAAAAAATAAGGAGAAAAATAATTAGCATATTAATCTTTTTTATGCCACCATCTTTCAGATCCAGAAGACCATGGTGTAATTTAAATCTAAACGCTTTCCTGGCATTAGAATTCATTTTAGATGGGTCAATTGTTCCATAATAAAGGGATAGAAGGTGTACTTCATGCAAGAGATTTATGTTTGCCATTTGTTCATATTCATGTGCTACTGAATACCCTCAATTCAAATGGTGATGGCTGTTCATATCAGTCGGTCGCCAGCCACACAGATCACTAACCGGCAGCAATGAATTTCATTTGCAGGACAAAAAATACGGCGAAATTAACTCCAACAGTTTATTGATTTTTGCTTAACAGAAGCCAGTATAACAGCTCTATTGCCCTCATAATGATTAGTGACAAAAGTTTAATTAAGCAATTATGAAGCCAATAATAGAGTTGTCTGGCCCGCTCAGCTTCAGTCCGTTCAGGACTTATCTCCCTCCTGCACATCATAGCAGCTGGAATGTGCTTGAGGAGATTAATGCCGGAGAACACAGATGCCTACTTTAATTCTGCTTCATGATGCCGTTTGAATGGAGACGGGAACACAAGCTCCCCTTTATCAAATTACAAGTCCGCTTTTCATGAATATGTAGTTTAAAAAAAAATCTAGTTGTGGCTTCAAGGTGTAATTATAAAGACATACAACAAAAATGACACACAATTCTGTCTTAGTAATCCCTGCTATGAAATATGCATGATAATGTATTACTGAATAAAGACTTAACAACGTTCTAAGAGGCTTTGCCATTGTACCGTTATCCAAACAATTGGCAGCCTTTTCCAAATGTTATGTGAGATATTGTCTGACCTTACATCTTTGTTTTTATTCCTCTTAAATGTATTGTTTCAAGCTTATTGTATTGTTATTTGTCCATAATGCCATTAAACTCGTCTTATCTATTTGTAAGAATTCCCAATTTATTATGTATGCTTAAATATGTTAATGTAAAAATGTGAGCTCCTTTCTGGCATTAATCATTTCATGAAATATGCACCGTGTCCCTGGAACCTGCAAACCTGGAGACAGGGAGGCGCCGGGCTTATTTCTCCCAACCTAACCATGCTACAGGCACGGCCCCGCAGGAATCTTGCTTCGTGTGCATTCAAAATACCTTTACTCAAGAGAAAGAATCTGTTTCTTTCCACCTCTGAAGCAGCAAATGGTCTTGACCAATTTTCTGGCCCTTCCTTTTTCTCCAGAAAAAGGAAAGGCCACACCACCCCCCCCTAAAAAAAAAGAAACAATTTATCCTTCCACCACCCCATAGAAACTCATTTTAGAGGAGGGTATAAAACAAATTTATATACATATATATAGGTAAATGCATAGGGCTGGAAGTCCTATTTTTAAACTTTGCCTGTGATAACCTGAATCTCTACATTTCATTTAGTAAAACATGAAACAAAGTCACCCATGAGTGTTTGTCACTAATAAGATGTGCCTTATCCAAATGATTTTGATTTATTTTATCAAAATCCCCTGAAAAGACATTTGTCTTCTTGGAACTGCCTGAAACAGCTGCTTCTGAATAACAGGCAGCCGCCGAGGGAGACCAAGCAAAGGGTTTCTGGGTGGCCTCTCGACTCCCCACTCCCTGTTTCTTCCCCCAGCACCCTTGTGGGGGGACAGCCTGCACCCCAGCATCGACAGGCTTGGTGCTGGGCAGTCACGGGCAGAGGCCACCCCCTGGCAGAGCACAGAAGACAGCCGCATTCCTTCACTCTCTGCCTGGTCCCCCTGGCCCGTTCGGGGAACCGTGGCAGGAACTGTGTGTACTTACCCCCAAGCTGCACGGAGAAGGAGGGTGAGCCCAGTATTCCTTGGAGTATTAGAATACATTTATCCTCGGAGCTTTCTATTAAATAAGAATTCGTCTTTTTTTTTTTTTTTTTAATTTGTAGCTATTATTAAGATTTCCTAGGAGGGCTCTGCTTTTATATACAACCTCCATCAAGGTGTGAATCAGAACAGAAGCTTACTAATGAGGAGTTGCCCAGGCTGCGTTAGAATCATGGCCGGAGTAATCGGGGGACTTGCTCCCCCTCGCCTTGTTATTAGTGGCTTATCATGTATCATGAGCTGAGGCTAAGCGTATTTAAACCTCCTGGAAGTTGAAGCAAGTTTGCAAACTGCACAGGTCGGTGGGATGCTCTCGCCTTTGCATGCCGTCTACAGAGAGAACCATCTCCATTTATTCTGGCAAGTTGAACGGACCAGGGGAAATGTGGGCAGTGAGAAATCACATCTTAATTCCTCACCTCTTCGTGGTGATTTATGAGGAGGGGCTCCCTTCCATTCCACTCCAACCATTATCTAAAAGGAGGGTTTTTAGAATGTCTCTAATGCTTGCCCCATTTCCACTCTACAAGACTATAACACTGAAAGACATAATTGACAGAAAGGTTTGTTTTTTGTTTGTTTTTGTTTGAGATGAAGTCTTGCTCTGTCACCAGGCTGGAGTGCAGTGGTGTGATCTTGGTTCACGGTAACCTCTGCCTCCCAGGTACAAGCGGTGGCTCATGCCTGTAATCCCAGCACTTTGGGAGGCAGAGGCAGGTGGATCATGAGGTCAAGAGATTGAGACTGTCCTGGCCAACATGGTGAAACCCCATTCTACTAAAAATACAAAAATTAGCTGGGTGTGGTGCCATGCACCTGTAGTCTCAGCTACTCGGGAGGCTGATGCAGGATAAAAAGGTTTTTTTAACTATCCCCTTGGCATTCGTTAAAGATGATTCAACCTCTATAGAACCTAAAGACAATCCCAGGATGATGGAAAGAAAATGTTGTTCTTCTGTGTGGCTAATTGCTGGAAGTTTCAACATCCGCTCTGATGCTTGAGTCTTTCAAAACCCAGCAGAGATCGTTCTTAAAGGGAAAGACAGTGTAAGTGTTACCACGCTGTGGACATGAAGGACTTCACCCCCTTAGGAAAACTAATAATAGTATGTTACGTGGATGTATTTTAGGGACAAAGATTAAATCAGAATAAGCTTTGAAAGACTGTGCTGTCAAAATAATTGTGGATACAGTTTTATCTTTCTCAAAAATCTGAATATTAAGAATGAATGGTCATTAAATGTCTGCGTCATCCAGCTTCCAACGACTCGCTTCATTCACTTAGCACATTTTGAAAGATAAAATAACTGATTTCCTGAAGTCTGATCTACCAGGAGGGACAACGTAAACTCAGTTTCCAAGGCCCGCAGGCAAATCGAAATTTTCATGTATTCTGAAGGTGCTGTGAGTTGGGACGGCCTCGGCCTCAAACGTAGTTTTTGTTCATGGAACCACTGCAATACTCCTCATAGAATAAACGGTTTACTTTATTTTATTTATCTGATAATCAGCTCAGCTACACCTGTGACAAGTTGTGAATTGTTAAACTACAGAATGTCACCCCTAATTACTCTTTGTTAAGAGACCTAACAATAATTTCCTTGTTCTTGAGCCACAAAATGGTAGAAGTAATTAAGCAAAGAAAGATCTCATGTGAACACATTATTGTGACAACATTACAGAAAGTAGCCGATACCTGTGATGCAGAATTTGCGAAGGGCATTTTATGAACAAATGCGGCATCCAGAACACAACGATGAAGGAGCATCGTTCACAAAATGCAACCGTGCACACGCCACTTGGATATCGGAGCACTGGTGGCACAACAATTAAAAACCCAGGTGAATCCATTTCACAGTGAAGTTGTCTGTCATGTGATAAAATTGTTCTTCTTCCCAATGAGTTTGTTTCGCTCTTAGTTAGCTAGGAAATACACTGAAGGTCTTCCAGCCCATTGCTGAAATTAACAACGAGCTCTTCTTAGCATTACCGACATGGGCAAGACATCTATGGAAGCGAACTTACTCTATGCCTGAAGTCGACCTGCCTGTTTTTCATCCTCAGTGCATCTTTTTACATATACATATTTTTTTGTTTTTGTCTTCTTTTGCCAAGTAATGATTAACAGCAATTTGCTTTTATTAGTAAAGGGTTCTAACAGCAGAATGACAATTTTAATTTTACATATTCAATTCATCACATCATTAGATGAATGCAAAACTGTTCACCTTTGCATATTCACTGAATTTTGCACTGTGCGATCGAATGGTAAGATGAGCTTTAAATCTGCAAATTAAATATTAGGTGCCCCCTATAGTAATACATTAAGCATGATTGGCTTATGAGATGACAAGGAGAATGTGACAGAAATTATATCAATCCAACATATTTGTTCTTCAGTTTGCTCTCCCACATTTTATTGTGAAGACTAGCAGATAAAAAACACAACTGTTTGCTAATAGGACTCACATCTTGTTATGGGGGCTGATTTTCCGTTTCCCCTAACTCACCGTGATTACTTTTTTAGAAGCTCTCCCTTCTCCCCAGCTGATCCTCGTCTAGTTAGGTGGCATTAATGACACTTCAGTCATCCCGGCTTTCAAGCCGAGTCCTTCCACAGCGAACAGAGAGTTGACATTTCCTGACATTTTCCCAACTAATTACAGGACAAATAATTAAGCATGTTCTCGTATGTAACAAATGAAGGCAAAAGCCGTCTGTCAAGGCTGGTGATTGATGACACTCCGGGAGACTTTATCTGATGGGTCCTGCCATGCAATGGAGGGGAAGCAAATTTATTAGAATGAACAATGCAAATTCTGAGTCATCTCATCCAGTTATGCACCAAAGCAATATCCATGTCAAGGTGAATGTGACAATGAAAGCCAAATATTTGCATTTTGTGGAGCAGGTTGAAGGGGAAATCAGAGCGAGAAGATGACAGGCCTAATTATTTTGGCTCATACAGGCTGGGACAGCTGTTTCTGGTGTCCTGAACAAGCCTGTCACACAGGTAACTAAATAGGTCTGCATATAAGTCTGTATCCAACACTGTACTGAGATGTCTACCGCTAATGACCAACGCTAATGTTACTGCCATCCCTGAAAAACAGAAAATGTGTCACTGTGCACGTTCTGCATGGCAGTCAACATTTCGCTACATAATTACTTGTTAGTGAATTAATTCCTATCTGTCAGTATCTATGCCAGTGTCATTTTTAGACCATTACAAAATTATGCCATCACTATAGCAACTGCAGGCACAGTTAAAAGGCAAAAGAGTTCAGATACGCAGGAAAAGTGCCTAGTTAGGAACGAGATAATAACGTAAAACCCAAATCCAAATGCCCACGTCCACCACCCTCATTTTCTTTATTTGGACTATGCATCTGATCAATGATCATTAAACAATAACTTCAGGTTTCCAATTTCAATCCGCGGTTAATATTTCATATAATTAAAACCGCAGTCCGCAGTAGTATCTCTCTGAAAGGAGGAAGCTCACCGCACCGTCAAGTCAATTAATTGGGTGCTTAAAAGTGACAAGCCCGACGCCGCGTCAGGGTCTGCGAGCCCGTATGCAAATGTGCACACGCCTGAGAGCATCGCAGCACCTCTCCCTTAGCTTGGCTTCCTCCACAATGGATCCCTATTGAGTGTGTGTTCAGATCCCTCCCTGTTTTCTTCCGCCTCCCTTTGTGCAGGTTTCGTTTGCTCCCACGCACTGCCAGACTGTGCCGCGTCCCTTTCCCGTTCAGCCCTGCAAGAGGCCATCACGGTAGGAAGAGCGTTCCTTGCTTTATTCAAATCAACACACTACAGGATTCAGATGCTCTCTGCACTAAGAACAATTGGCAACCTTTTGCACCCTAAATGCCCCTGGAGATATACATTTTAAGATGGAGAGAGAGAATCAGAGGTGGGGCAGGGTGGGGGAATAGAGAGAAAGAGAGAGAACCAGGGAGAGGGAGGGAGACAAAAATTGTGACTAACCGAAAAAAATGTTAAAACCCTTAATTTTGAATAAAAGTAGAAAATATAAAATATCATAGGAAACAGAATCTTTGTTCATTGATTTTTCCCTTTTAATTAATTAAAATATTACCAAGCTGGAAATGAACAGCTCCACTAAGCCACCCACATAAATTCATCACGTTGGTGTGTAAAACAAGGTCACTTCTGGTAACTGCAAACATTTTACCGGTGAATTTGAAATGATGTGTCTCAGGCAGACATCTGACTGAGAATGGTGTTGTTGGGCCCCAGTGATTCAGGGAAATGACGAGATAAAGAAGAGAGAATTTGGAAACTGAAAAGCTGCAGTTAAGGTTGGACATTCTTTAGAAACATCATTGTGTTTCCGATTGTCGCCCTCATTTTTGTGCATTGAGCTGGCTTATTTTTAATGCTCTCTGATGTGATGGGGGTGCGGTATTTTGGATGCATTGAGATGCATGTTAATGCGCAGTGAGGTTAAGAATGCAGACGCATGAAATGGGGTGTCCTGGGGCTTGCATTCAGAGCCCGACGTGCCACAGGTGATCCTCGAGCAGGTGAAGATGTGATCAGAAGCAGAGTCCATCCCGAAGATTCCTTGGGTCAATATGCGTGTTGGCGGGGTCCTATCAGAGAAACAGAAATACATGATGATCAGCTGGGGGAGGCTGCCGAAAGCCCTGACTTGCAAAGGTGTGTCACTCCTTAGTTCACCGGCATCGTCTCAGAGGCACAGCACGTGGCTTGGCCGCCTGTCACATTCCGGCAGATGCCCAGGACAAGGGTGAGTCCTAACTGAGAGAGCCGAACTTGCACTGCTGGTCCCGCCTCACGCTGGAAGCGGTGAGAGATTTCACTTGGGTTCCACGTTAACAAGGTTAAGCTTGCAGTGCCGCTGGTTACTTCAGAATCCCGAACGGGCAGAAATCAATAATTTCCCTGGAAGGGTCTTGGCCATTGCTCCCTTCTTGACAGTGCCATCGACAGTTGTTAACACAAAGGCAACAAAGAAAGGCGAGGACCCTTTTGAAATAATGCTCAATTTTGCATATTTATGTGATTTCCCAGCACACCTTATACTATCTGAATGTTCGCAGCATGGAAAGTTGCTAAGGACTGAATCTGGGAGGACAATTCTTAATTTGTTGGAGACTTATTTTGCTTACATTTCAGGCATAATGACAAATCCCAAATTAATCAGTTTTAAGCAAAAGAATCAAGTAATTTGTAATTGGTAAAAGAATAGTTGGGCATGCAGAAAGTGGCTAAGTCCACTCTCTGGTCAAGAAGCAGGTTTCTAGGCATGTAAATAATGCATTATCTTGGTAAAGATTGTATACAAATTTGATACAAGGAGCCAATGAGACAGTTTCTGTCTAATGATCCTAGTCAATCTAATTAATGCATTCTGCTACATTACATTTTAAGAAGTGACCATTGTGTAATACACTTTGAAATATGCACAAGCTAATGGGATAAGATACAAAAATTATTATGCTGACAGTAAATCATATTACATTCCTAATAAGCATTAACTAGATAACTAGGTCAAAGCAGTATTATCTTAATTGATTTTTCAAAAGAAACCTGACAGAAAAATGTCAATGCTCGAATATTTCTTCATGCATCATTAAAACAAGACTGGCTTTTAACAAAAGAAGAGCCCTTCACAGAATTGATTCTTGCTTCGGGCTGCCTGCAAGTAAGTGTATTACATAAAAATCTATACAGGATATTAAAACAACACCGCTCTGCAAGACAGTTACAATTAAAAGCTGACACCCCCCAATGTGTCGGACACAGTGGCTTGCCAGCAAATGTAAGAAAGTCTTCCTAGCCACCGGTGGAGGAGCATCACACACTCTGCGGTTGGAGGGAAAGGCACTGATTATAGGAGTTTCTAATTAAATCAGAACACCCATCCCTTCTCTGTTTTGAAACAGCATAGTTATTAAACAAATCTCACAGGATTACTCGGGAAACCCCATCAACATTACCCGGAGTCTGTAATGGAAGTTGCAGGCCTGCAGATTCCAACAGAAGCTGTGAATGGGGACGCCTTACAAGTCTCCTGCAGGTTAGGGAGGAAAGCAGGAAGGTCCTTCTGGCCCTCACAAGGGGAAAGTGTTGGAACTCAGCCTGGGTCGGGACCGCCTCCTGGTGGAGTGCTGTGTCAGCCAGGGGCTGATTTGGTTCAACTGTTGGGTGGCTTCTTGCCCTAGAAACCTTTGTGCTTTGTAGAAGTTCCCACTCCTGACTGGGAACCTAAATTGTCACTGGCTCTAAGGACATCTGTCCCTGACTTATTTTCTGTGTTTTGCTTCCTCCAGCTAAGAATCAAACCAGTTCCACGTGCCTAAAGCAGGTCCACAAAGCAAGACATAGATGAGGCTTATTCTTAACCCCTAAGGTGCTGAGCAAGCAGGGCAGACCCAGGCCAGGGCTGTCCCGACAGAAGAGTCCTCCGGTAGCACCTGCTTTGGAAAAGCATTTTGTTGGTTACCCAGGAGGCTTCACCATCAGGACACTAGGCCTCGGTTGAGGGGTTTGTGATTCACCCATGGTGAAAGTTTAAACATTTCAAGAGAAAAATAAAGGTAAAAATAGGCACAGTCTTGTAGTTTTTAATTTTAGACAGAAGATAGCTGAAAAACATCACACCTTTCCTTAAACTACTTCTTTCCTTCCTCCTGTGCACAGAAATGCCTCCATTCTCTCTTCCCCTTTTTGCTTTTTAAGTTCCAAATCACTTTTGTTTAGCTGATTTATCCTTTGTACATAATTATTCCTTCTCTCTCTCTCTTTCTTGCTCTCTCTCTCTCTACATATTTATTTTCATGTGAAGAACAAGTGGTTCTTTGTGACTTGGAATGAAAACTGAAGACTCCTATAAAACAAACACTCTGGAATTGAGAGTTGGCTTATTCAAAGAACCACAGTCTTTAGATAATTGGCAAAATGAGATCTATTGGTGACTCTTTATGAAGAAGGAATTTGTGTTAATCAGACAAAACTAGGCTATGTGTTTGACATGGTTTTGGATAATTCAGGACTTCACTGAGCAGACTTCTAATCTACCAACTCTGTCAATTAATATGGCTTTACCTATGTACGTCTCATTTCGCTAACAAAAAGGTGTTAAGTGTTTCAATTAATAGAAAAGCTTCCACCCAGGTACTGCCCCCATGACCCGGGCAGGTATTTCACTTTCCTGAGCCTGCCAACTGTCCATGCAAACAGTAATAGCACCACACAAAGTTGCTGGAGGCTGAATAAGGAGTGAGGAGTGCTGAATATTGGCTGTTCCCCATACTCAGGGTCAGCAGGCAATCAACTTTTCTACCAGAAATTATCTTACAGGTGTCTATAACTTACCTTTTTAAATAACAATTTTGAAACTTTTTATAGTAATTTTCTTCTAAAACATATTTTATGATTCATTTCATTACAGCAGAATGCAGGAGACATAATTTGATCTCTTTATGGGGGCCGGGGCACCCCAAAATCCATGTGTTTATGAAGTGGCTACTTAGTTCCAAGCCCCAGGGACCTGACGGTGAGCTCGGCCCTCGCAGGAGAAGGGCAGGGGCTGGGGGCCTCTGAACGGTGCCCACCCAGTCTTGAGGTTCGGGCAGGCCTGGATATTGAGTAGGATGACCAGGTAGCCTGACTCTCCACGGAACAAATCAGCTGAGTAACTCACTGTCTTCACTGCTTAATATCTGCAGTCCATTGCGGGCGCTTCACTGCATTGTCGATTGTGATCTCACGTGCGAAGCTGTGAGGGAAACGTGGTGATGCCTATGTGCTAGAAGAGGAAACGGAGGCGCACGTGTCACTAGCACGTGTGGAAGCCACAGCTGGCACTTGCCTTCTGGGACTTCTAAGCCTCTCACCCACAGGGGCATGGCTCTGGGACCTGACAGCTGTTTCCCATCTCCGGGTACATTGCCAGGAGGAACTGCGCGACCATAGGATCCCGCTCTATCTCCCGTCCCTCCCTGCTAGGGTCCTAACCTACCCGCTTTCCCTGCCCTGTCTCTCTTAGGTTCTTCCACCTTCACGGTAACCAACAGAACCAAATCATGCCCAGTCTCTGGGGAGGCGCATGGGGTGGCGAGACAGCCCCGAGGTTTAAGCCAGACACCTTTGAGTTTTGGTCTTGCCTGGATTAAGGCTGCTTTGCTTCACCGTTTCACCACCTTGGAGATGAAGAAAGTAAGACTTATTGCTCAGGGTTTCTGGGGGAATCAGGCATTATGCAGAGCACATATTTAACAAATGGTGGGCGCTCATGTGAGATCCCTCTTGCCTCTTCACAACACGGCATTCAAATTCCTCCAGTGGAACCCTGGTCACCAACCCCATGGCTCAGAGACCTTCCCTTTCCTCTTGAGACACAGGCCTCAGCCTTAGTGATGGTCCCCACCCCAACCCTCCCCACCTTCCTGTGTCCTTTGCATGAATCATGCTGTGGACGAGCTGAGCCCCCGGGCTTCTCCTGGTTCTAGTTCTCGCTTTTCCCCGCAGTTTCCTGAACCTGTAAGCATCCCCTTCCTCTTTTTTACCCTCACTGCAGTTCCAGTGTAGTTCACATGCTGGCCCCAGCAAGACTGCTTGGTGACTTTCTTGTCCCTTGTTTGGATTGAATATCGATCACGCGTTTTCCTTCCCCAATAGTATGATTTGCATGCAGAATTCATGTCTGGCCCTTCACAGGGCTGCCCCTAATGGCCATGACCCCAGCGTTAAGCAATTACAAGTGCCGGTGAGTTTTGAGTTTAATTTCTTAAGAATTTTTAGTTTTTTAAAATAAAACCGTATTTTAAAAGCATGAAACAGATTTTTAAATGTCTACCAATTTTGAGTTTAGAAAAGTTGCCGCCAATAAAATGGAACAGAAAAAAATCAATTGTATTCCTCTTGAAGCTTCCATTTATTTTCAAATTAATACAAAGAACATTGCAGGTCATTTATCTTTCAATAAAAATTTATTTCTTAAATAAGGCTCACATATCTTTAGTTGTTGCCAATAGAAACTTTTGGTTTTATTCAGTCATCTCTTAGAGAGAGACTTAGAGCAATTTTTAGAGTTGTCTGGACAGGCAATTGAGTGGGAAAGGCCAAGGAACAACCTGGAGTCTGATCACCTTTATTTAAAAGTCTGTATATATATTATTAAATCTATTATACTCATATATTTCTTATTTTAACAGAGGGTATATCTGTGGTGTTCATGTAACCATTATCATTTCAATCTCCGTCATCCACAAATAAGTTTTCTATGGCAAACATATCACTGGTTTAATTACGATTTAATGTACTCCCTTCCACATTTCAGATCTGGAGTCCACGTATTTAAGAAAGTGTCAGGAGGTCACCCGCTACTCAAATTGATCTGAATTACAGCACTATCATATGTAATTCATAAAATATTGTAATACAGAAAAGGGCCCTGTACACTTAAAAATTGGGTATTGATAGTGCATGGCTAATAAAATATGGACAAGTGGTAGTAGCTTAATAATATCCCTTAGGTATCATTAAAATAATAAATTATATCTGGGTTCACACTTCATTCTTAAAGTAGAATTTTTTTATTTAAATGGTGGTCACTGCTTACATGAGGTGGATTTGACATATTAACACTGTTTGAACAGCCCTAAAACGTCATACTTTGCATCTAAAGCTAATTGTTATTTTATTTCAATACTTCCATATATTTTAAGAGTTTTAGCATAAATTAGACTAAATAATTACAAGGTAATTGGTGGGTATTGTCAGTTTGTTCCTCTTGAAGTATGGCTTTAAATCAGTGATGCTAAATATGTGAGTTATTGCTGATTCGATGGCAACAAAAGATAGATAAGCAAAGCACACAGAGCAGGCTAGGAATCGAAGTAGCCTCTGGGGCTCCACACCCCTGCGGGTCGTGCTGTGCCGCTGCCTGCCCTGTCCTGGTGCTGCCCGCTGTGTCCATGTCACAAGGAGGAATGCCACAGCAGACTCGGAATAACCAAGACCATTCCCTTCCTTTGGATTTCAAGTTTTTTGAGCCACATTGCAGAAAATGTCCTGAAAGTCAAGAATGGATTCTTAAGAGCCTGGATTTTGAAAATTTAAGGTTATTTTGCAAAGAGTGAAGGCACAAACAATAGACTAGGGACTTCTGGAAACGGAGCAGTCCTAACTACAGTCAACTCTGCTTGTTCCACAGGTGGAGCATAAGTGAGATATAACCAGATAGACAAAGGGACAGATAAATAGACAAGCAGACAGAGAGAGATAGGCATAGATAGGTCGATGACAGATGATAGGTAGGTAGATAAATAGATAGATAGACAGAAAGATATAGACAGGTAGATAGATAGACAGGTAGATAGAATACAGATAGATAAAGACTGATAGATAAACAGATAGGAAGATAGATAAATAGATATAGACAGATGATAGATAGACCAATAGATTGATAAATTACATATTACATAGATAGGTAGATAGATAGATAATAGATATATGATAGATAGGCAGATAGATAGATACATACATACATACACAGAACAGATAGATTGGTTGATAGATAATAGATAGGTAGGTGATTGATAAATAGATAACAGCTAGAATATAGATATACTATAATATAGGGGACTTTTAAAAGTTCATACAAATAAAAATAAAAGATAAAAATAAAAAATATGAACTTTATTTCTCAACATAATCACCATCAAATTCAAGACATTTTTGTAAGTGATGATGCCCCCATTTTGTCCATCCCTAAAGGACTGAGGGTCCTGGGAATTTAACCCTGGCAATGCAGTCTTTTATTATTATTATTAACTGAAGAAAAATGGATTCCCTTTACAGACATTTTAAAATTAGGAAACGAAAAGAAGTTGGAAGGAGCCAATTCAGAAGCATAAGGAGGATGCCTAAAGATTTCCCATCAAAACTCTCACACAAATGTCCTTGGTTGTGAGAGGAATGAGTAGGTGCATTGCTGCATTGCTGTGATGAAGGGCTCTGGTAAAGCTTGGCTTTCTCAAAACAGTCTCCTAAGAAGCACCTCTTATCTCTCTCTGACCCTTCAGAAAGTCAACAAGAAAAATGCCTAGAGCATCCACAAAAACTGCTGGTGAATTTTAAAATTGTTATCAAAGAATTAAATAGGCAATTAGATATAGATAAGTAAGAATTACTAAACTGAAAGACAGGGAAGAAAATTACTCACAAGGTAGCCCAGAAAAAGAAATAAATAGAGTATAGGAAATAAAGATTGAGAGATTGAAGACTATAATAAAAAAGACAAAAAGTAGAAGTAGTAAATATTTTTAAATGAGAAAGAAGATTTTTTTAAGAGAGTCTACATTTAAAAAATGCTAGAATTAAAGGAATACATAAATCTCCAATTTGAAAGCACATAAACACTTAGAAAAACAATTTTTAAAAAGTCTACACCTCAAAAACAGAAGACACCAAGAGGAAAGCTTTAACACAAACAAATAAAAGACATAAGACTTTCAAAATGACAATAACTAGTTTTTCAGCAACTATAAAATCTGGAAAGCATTGTGTAGTGTGATATATACTGTAGGAATAATTTTAAACCTAAAATGCATGTCCAACTACAGTATCATTCTCATCTCTTACTTGAGGTTTTGCCAAATCTCGTAAGCAAAAATGTACAGATCTGGTGTTTCTATGAATATTGTTTCTATTTTAAATGATTCTCTTTCCAGGCCTAGGTCTATTAAAAGCTCTCTGTTAAGACAATTTTTGTTGTTTTATATAAAATAATTATGTTTTGACCTTTTCTTTTTAGTTGGTAAGAATAGTCATTCAAACATAAAACACAAGAGGTTTTTTTATTTAATCAAGACAGAATATTTACATTATCCCATCAGAACCAGGAGAATAGTAAAGGTTGTGCTTCAATTTTAAAAATACAAATACGGAAATAAAGAGTATGATAGGAAAAATGTTAGGCAAAATATTGGTAAACACAGATAAACTTGAAAAAACATGGTTACTAAAAATAGTCATGTGTGAGGTGAAAAATAATATGAAAAATAATAGACTGAACAAAATGTCAATGAATATGAACAAGTGGTTGAGAGTTAAACATTTTTACACCAATAAAATTTTAATGTTGGTTAAACATTAAAATTTTATCGGTGAAAAAAAGTTAAAATCTTCACATAAAGCTATTGATTGGTTTTATACAATAAACAAATGTATTAGTCCATTTGCATTTCTATAAGGGAATAACTGAGACTGGGCAATTTTTAAAGAAAAGAGACTCAATTGGCTCACAGTTCTTCAAGCTGTACAAGAAGCATGGTACAGCCTCAGCCTCTGGAGAGGCCTCAGGAAGCTTCCAATCACGGCAGAAGGCAAAGTGGGAGCCAACGCCTCTTACGGCAAGAAAGGGAGCAAGAGGGATGAGGGAGGCGGCACACACTTTTAAATGACCAGGTCTCATGAGAACTCACTCACTATCACCAGGACAGTACCCAGGGGATGGTGCTGAACCATTCATGAGGGATCCGCCCCCATGATCCAGTCATGTCCTACTAGGCCCCACATCCAACACTGGACAACATAGGTCAACACAAGATTTGGAGGGGACAAACCTCCAAACCATATCAGTAAACATTTTGATGTTTTTATATAGATAGGACATAAAAGTATCAAATTGATAATAAGGGGGAAATGAGTAGATAAGCCTAATTTAATGCAATTTAAAAAAAATGTGGACTAAGAAAAAAAGAAATGAGAATACATGGTAAATGAAAAACTTAACATACAGTGACAGAAATAACCCCGAATATGTTATCAATTAAAATAAAGATAGAAATAATAAACTATCTTTTTCAAAGTTGTAGATTATCAGAAAGAAGCAAGTAAAAATCTATCTACATCCATTTTAAAAGAATAACTCGAAACACAGAAAGAAGCAAAAATAGTGAAAATAAGAGATTTAAAAAATCTAGTAAAACAAGACGGTTAAACTGTCAATAACAAATGTAATAGACTTTTTAGCAAACAGAAACACCTGTGGAAACAAAGAAACTATATCCTTCATGTACACAATAACATAGAGTCCATAAACAATGACAAATAAGCAAAAAAAGTGGGCAAATCTGTCATTGTAATAAGTGCTTTTAACAAAATATTCTGAAAATGAATAAAGCAAGCAAGTAAAATTAGTTACAATAAAAAATTTGAATAACACAAATTATCAAAGTTGATCAAATAAATACCCTAGGAACCTATACTCAAGGATTTCAAAACTCTCAGTTCCCTTTTTAGGCATATACAACTTTTAAAAATTTAACATGCAGTGGGATTCAGAAAAGTTTTTAAAAGCCAAAAAAGTTTATATTATTTTCTTTTAACAAAAAAATACCAGGAGAAAGTAACACAAAATAGTCACCAATACTAAAGCATTTGGAAATTAAAAACTAAGACCCAAGTAATTTATTACTCAAAGATAAAATTCTATGGGAAATTAGAAGATATTTCAAACAGAATAAAACCAAAGCTCTTGTAGGGTACACCAACATAATATTTAGGGGAAAGGTTACTACTTTATATTCAAAATCTACAAAGGGATAGGGAATGAACATTATTAATCAAATTAAAAATTTGGAAAAATAGAGGAAAAACAAATTTTAAAATAGCATTAAAAAATCAATATAAATTAAATATAAAAGAGAGAGAGCATGTATAAAAAGCATTTTAGTTAAAGACTCATAAAATGTACAAACAACCTAAATGGTTGTAAGGAAAAAAAATCATGTTCACATAATACTTGTATTATGAAATAGATTGTAAGATAGAGTAGATATTTTTTAAAATCATACAAAATGAAGTTCATGCCATTTTATTACGTTAGCCTAGCCTTGTACCGAGGCCAGAAAACAAACGTGTAAAACATAATAATGATGACAAAATGATACCGAGTTTTTATTAAGCGTTTTAAGATACCAGGCACTGATCTAAGCACTTCACTTTTATAAGTGTTTAAAGCACTGACAAAACACATTAAGATAAATAATCTCCGTTTTATATGTAAGACAACAGCAACACAAAGAGTTGGGAATAATTTGTCAGTTTTTTAGTTATTTGAGTTAAATGACCAATTATATAATTATTGTAATATTTGTCAATATTTTATATGCATAGTACATTACATGTCTTCATTGATATATAATATGTATGAAATGTATGTGTATTTGTACATATATGTATATATAATATTTATATACTCATATATGTATATAATCCTGAATAAAATTTATGCAAACAAAACCTAGCATCCCAAACCTTGGGATGGAGAATAATTTATTTCACAAGACAAAATTTGTATGAATAATAAAGGAAATATTTGATAAATATGGCTACATTATCATTTATAACTCATATAATAAAACATAGTATAATCAACATTAAAATACAAGTAATATACTAAAAAATATATTTTTTTTACCAAAACAGAGAATTGTATCCAGAGAATATGAAAAGCCTTTCAAATATATAATGGACACATGTAAGCAATTGACAGATGAGAAAATCTTATGCATACAAACATACACAGATGTTCAATCTTGCTAGCCAATGAGAAGTAATTAACAATGTAATGTAATGTACAGTAATGTAAACTAAAATGACAATGAATTACATTTTCTTCACAAATTTGCGGAAGAGTGGAGCTTCAATCAATGCTAGTAGGAAGGGACATAAGTACAGCACTTTGGAGAACCGCACAATACACAGTAAAGTGAAAAACAACCGTACCTGGAATACTACTCAGTCATAAAAAAGAATGAAATCGTGTCTTTTGCCGCAAAACAGAAGAAACTGGAGGCCATTATCTTAAGAGGAACAAGCCAGGCACAGAAAGACAAATAATGCATGTTTTCACTCATAATTGGGGGCTGAAAAATGTCTTCACGTTGACATAGACAGTGGAAGGATAAATAATGGAGATTTAGGAGAAGGACGGTGTGGGAGAAGGGAGGATGAAGAAGAATTGATTAATGGGTACAACATACATTGTTTGGGTACTAGGTATTCTATGAGCCCCGATTTGACCGTTACACAATCTATGTATGTGACAAAATTGCAGATGTAGGCTATAAATTTGTAAAAAAAATTTCTTTAAAATGTAAATTACCGTCTTCCTATTTGTGAGGTGTTTATTGATCTTGTTCTACCTTTAAGATGGAGAATTCATACTTCAGAAATTTCAGTCATTCTGTTTTTTAAATATAAGCATTTAAAGCTAAACATTTCTTCTCAGGTATGTTTTGCTGCATTTCATGACTTTTGATACATTTTATTTCTATTACTTAGTTTTAGCTTTTTAAAAAATTCCATCATCATTTCTTTAACCCATAAGTTACCAAATGTGGGTTTTTATATTTCCAAACAGAATTTTTCACTTAACTGTTTATTTTCTTCTAAATAAATTGTTCTGAGTGTTTTCACTTTAGACTAATTTCGCCTGCTCTACAATTTTGTGTAAATTGATGTATATTATATGTAATTTTTAATCCAACTTCTTCCACTCAACATTATGAATGTGATATTTATCCATATAGTTTATTGCAAGAATAGTTAATTCATCCTTATTACTCAGTGATATTCTATTGCATGAATACATCAACTCATTTGTCCATTGCTTGTTGACAGACATTTGGGTTGTTTCCAGGGTTTAGCTACTGTTAATAAAATGATTATGACCATAAAATATATAACCTATGACCCAGAAGTTCTGTTTCTAATAATATGGGTTTTTTTAATTATCCATTGAAAGAACTGTAGAATCATATTACAGATACAGATTTCTAATCTTATGCCATGTTTACACAATTATAAATAAGTCATTTCTGTTGTATTATAAATATGTATTAGAAAATAAATTGTCACACATTTTTAAATATGTTTAATGAAATAAAAATATATAATGAATATCATCAATGATAAAATATATGAACAAGCTGTCTAAATCTCATAAATATTACATTGTTTCTTTTAATTCTTGAATTCATATTTCTATTTCACTTCTAAAGAAATGTATGCTGGCTGGGTGCAGTGGCTCATGTCTGTAATCCCAGCACTTTGGGTGGCCAAGTAGGGAGGATCACTTGGGGTCAGGAGTTCCAGACCAGCCTGACTGACATGATGAAACCCATCTCTACTAAAAATACAACAAAATTAGCCAGTGTGGTGGTGAGCACCCGCAGTCCCAGCTACTCAGGAGGCTGAGGCAGGTGAACTGCTTGAACCGGGGAGACAGAGGTTGCAGTGAGCCAAGAACACACCACTGCATTCCAGCCTGGGCAACAGAGTGAGACTCTTTCTCGAAAAAAAAAAAAAAGAAATGTATGCTCATTATTTACTTTGTGGAAATTGGTCACCCTATCATACATTCCTGCAAAATATACAAATAAATTAGAAATTTTAAGTATTTTGTGCTTGTAGTGACCTAGGCGATAAATTTACATTATTCAATAATCATTTAGCATAATTAATGACAATGATCAAATAAATAGAAAATGCTAATTTATCTCCAATATGTGATTCTGGTATTGACATGTCAGAAGAGAATATAGAAACTTACTTTCTCTTCCTTGATAACATGTAGAGTGCAACTGAGACACACATCGGATTTGGGTGCTATATTGATTCTCATTGCTAAGACTGGAGAAAATGAAGGCATAGAGAAACTGATTTTTCAGAGCATGCACTTTACAAATCATAAAATAAATAGGGCAAAAATAAATGTAGATCAATGATAGGTAAATAGATACATAGATAAACAGACAGATAGATGGAGACAGACAATAGACAAGGTTCAAAGCCTTGCCATGTGCTTTTTGCTGTGATGAATTAGGGTTCCACAACCTTTAACAGTATTTATTGACTATGTTTTCATGGGAAGGTCTGTCTTAGTTCAAGTTGCTCTAATCAAATACTATAAACTGGGTAGCTTCAACAGCATAGTTCTGGAGGCTGGGAAGTCCAAAATCAAGGCACTGACAGATTTGATGTCTGGTGATGGTTCACTTTCTGGCTTATAGATGGCCATCTTCTTGCTGTATCTTCATGTGGTGAAGAGGCTCTGGTCTCTTCCTCTTTTTCTTTTTTTTTTTCTTTTTTATTTTTTTTAGAGATAGGGTCTCACTATGTTGCCCAGGCTGGTTTAGAACCCCTGGCCTCAAGTGATTCTCCCACCTTGACCTCACAAAGTGCTGAGATTTCAGTTGTGAGCCACTGAACCCAGCCTCTTCCTCTTCTTGTAAGGGTACTAATTCCATCTTGGGGCCTCCACCCTCCAGACCTTATCTAAAACTAATCACCTTCCAAATCCCCACATTCTAATACCATTACATTGGAGATTAATACTTCAATGTATAAAATTTGGAGACACAGACATTCATTCAATAGCAAGGACCTCAGGAGCATTGTATCCTTGACAATAGTATGGACATAGAATAAACAAGATCATAAAATAATGTTCATCATGTCTGCTGTTCCTTGCTACTTCAGGAAGCCAAACACATTCAAACACACCTCTTTTATAATTTCTTTTTTAGTGTAAGTGGGTAAAAGACACAGTATTTCAAAGTGCCCCTTTGTTTGTTTTCCTAGAGAACTTCACATTGCAGAAAAGTTCATTGTAGTAGGATTGAGAATGAGAAAAATATATACCCTTACTTGTAAAGTAGAGGATAGAAAGTTGTAGAAGAGAAGAAAAAAAAGCAGGAAAGAAAATGGTAACAAAGAATAGAATAAATAGAAAATAAATGGCAAGATTGTGTATTTAAATGTAGGCATATAGAAAATTATGTTAAATATAAGTGGCCTAAATCTTTAGTTAAATGACAGGGATTATAAGATTGCAAAAAAAGAGCAATACTCAAATACATGTTGTCTATAAAAAAATCTACTTTACTTCAGCCTGGGTAAAAGAGTGAGACCCTGTCTCAAAACACACACACAAAAAGGAAAGAATGAAGAAAGAAATCCCCTTTAAAAAAGAAATACATAATTTCAGAGTAAAAGGGTAGAAATATATGTATCATATGTATCATGCAAACACTGAGCAAAAAGCTACAGTGACAATATAGGTAATAAAATAGATGTAGAAAACTAAATGGTAATAGGGATTTAAAGGGACATTTGGCAATGATAAAGAGGACAAATTATCAGGAAGACAAAGCAACCATAAACACATAAGCAGCAAATAACTGATTCAAAATATAAGAAGCCCTGACTTACAGAACTGAAGGGAGAAATAAACAAATCTCTATAACTTTGTAGATTTTAGTAGTCATCTTGTAACTAATAGAACAAAGAGACAAAAATGCCATCAACAACACTATCAACCAACTTGTTACATGATGGACTTTCATGACTCAATCAGTTCCCCAAAGGCCCTACCTCTTTTTTTTGAGATGGAGTCTTGCTCTGTCACCCAGGCTGAAGTGCAATGGCACAATCTCGGTACTCACCACAACCTCTGCCTCCCCGGTTCAAGCAATTCTCCTGCCTCAGCTTCCCAAGTAGCTGAGATTATAGGAATGTGCCACCACGCCCAGCTAATTTTGTATTTTTAGTAGAGACGGGGTTTCTGCATGTTGGTCAGGCTGATCTCAAACTCCCAACCTCAGGTGACCCACCCACCTCTGCCTCCCAAAGTGCTGGGATTACAGGCGTAAGCCACCACGCCTGGCCAGGCCCTACCTCTTAATTCCACCATAATGGAGATTCAATTCAACATGAAGTTTGGAGAAACACATTCAAACCATCGAAATTCATAAGGCTGAGACATTAAAAAATGTCTACCAAGACATTTTTTGAACCCATTCCTCACATGTAGTTTCAGCAAATCATTTTGCCAAATATGGGGATGTTGGCCAAAGTAGTTCATTCCACAATCATCAAGATTCTATGTGAAACACACACAGATCTTGGTGGTGAATCCAAAGCCACCAAGTTGTCTTCTCCGTGTGCTCTTTCTGTGGAGATGGGCCGTATGGTCGTGCACCCCTGATCCCGGTTACTGTTCCTGGATCGATACGCTGTGACCAGGCACAACACTGAGCAAGCCCCTCCAGATGGGCTCTAAATGCACCGTCCTTACATATTCCACAGATTCCAGCAGCTTAACTTGTAAGACTCTGGAACATGCAACAATTTGTATCTAAAGACAGAAATGGCACATCTTCTCGTAAATTATTTGAGTTAATTTTGTCATAAAAGAAAAAAAATCCCCAAAATCAATAGCAACTTTTTGCCACTCTGAAGGGAAATAGAAAAATATGGAAAAGGGACACTTTCTAAAATGTCCTTCTGCTCCCTTTGATGAATTATCTTAAAAGTAGGCTCTTCCTCTCCATTTTCAAGATAATAATGCATATCCACTGTGCAATGGAGTTGAGTTTAGGGTACACATGTTTATCTCTTAACTGGGTTTATTTTCCTTTGAAAATAAATACGGATGCGTAGGCTGCAGCCTGGTGTCTATGCACTACAGAAGGCCTGGTGCACAGTTGACCTCTTCCTCTCCACCTAGAGGGGGGCAGATGCCACACTTCACATCTAAACCAAGAATGTAGATTGATATGCACGTTTTCTAATGCACTTCTCAGGGCCTCTTATGGCCTGAATTGGGATCTATTCTAATTCCTAATGTTATTTTTCCTTTATTAACTCTTTCTTCTTGTGCACCATCTTGATTATTTTAGTTGCATAGTAGAAAAGAAAATAGTAGGCTCTGATAGTTAAGTGTCAATTTAAATCAGCATTTTCTTAATTTTATTTTTAACAGCAACAAAACACTTTTGGAAAAAAAATTTTTTTGAAAAATCCCAATCTAACCTCTTTCAGGTGGCTATCTTAACTTTATTTCTAAAGTTAAGTTCTAAAACTTTATTTCTTTATAAAGAAAATAACCAATAAAAATAAAATTATTTCTAATACTCAAATGAATTTTTCTAGTCTAGGGTCTTGCAGACTTTGAGAATTGCATTTCCTGTTGGAACCCGGGAGTGCAGAAACCACCTTCCTCCCTTCACTCCTCAGCACTCCCGTTCACAGGCTGTTTACATTTTTGGCCATGCACTGGCCAAGGCCACCTGTGGTCTCTCCAAGATACAGTTGACCAATGTTGGCCCTTACAAAATAAGAGGACAGATTGTCTTCTATGTGTGTCCTGAGAATCAGAAATATATCTATGATGCTAGATCACACACACTATGTTTTGTTGGTTTTGCTTTTTTTTTTTGAGGGTTCATATATCACATCGATGTATGCAAATATTTTGTATTTCTGACAATTCGCAGCTCTGTGTTGGTACACATGAAAACATCCTCCCACTTGAAGCCCACTGCTCAGCTGCAGATGCCTGCTTAGAACCTGGTGCCCCAGTGATAACACAGAGCACCCAGTGAGAGCCCATTCTCCCAGCAGAAGCTCCTGTAAATTTTAATTTTACCTTAAAAATGCTGAACTCTTATTTAATCTTCTTTGTTTAACTTTCCCTTGGACAGGCAGAGCCCATGTTGTGGTAAAGTAGAGCCTTGTGAGGCTTCTATTGGGGAACGTTAGCTATTGGCCTTGGGAGTAAGATAAAATTTCTATTCAGCTGTAAAAAAATTAAATCTATAAATATATTAGCAGTGAACACGATTTTCACAGAAGTTGCTTAAACTAGCTTAGTTTACATAACAGCAATGTGCCTGTCATAGTTCTCTATATATATTTAAAGGGATACTATTTAAGTACTTCTTATAAATTAATCACTCGTTTTATAAACGAGTAGACTTGTTTCGTGAATCTGATTCTCGAAGTATGTACGTACAGTGAAGTGCATTTATAGAAAAATGACAAGTGAAAATTTACCCATGTTTTAGTCATGTTATTATTTTTATTATTATTTTGCTGTGGAGTTATAGCAGTTCCTAATATATTTAGGATATTAACTCAATCCGATTTATAACTTGCAAATATTTTCCCCATCCTACACGCTGCCTTTTCATTCTGTTGATTGCGCCCTTTGCTTGCAGGAGCTTTTTTAGTTTGAGCAAGCTTAGTGTCACTTGCCTATTTTTGCTTTTGTTTCCTGTGCTTTGGGGTCATATCAAGGAAATCACTGCCAAGACCAATGTCTGGAAGATGCTTCGCTATGTTTTCTTCTAGGACTTTTGCAGTTTGGGGTCTTATGATTAAGCCTTTAATCCATCTGGAGTGGATTTTTGTGTCTGGTATAAGGGTGCAATTTCATTCTTTTGCATGATCCAGTTCCCTCAACCATTTGCAGAAGAGATGGTCTCCCTGCTGGTGCTCTGCCACCATGCCCGTGTTCCCCGGGATGATCTACTGGAGGATGGCACAGGCCCCGAGGGGGGTCACCCAGGGTCCCACCCAGGTGGTTCTAGGTCAGCCAGCTGGTGGGCAAGCCCAGCCAAAATCGGCAGAGCCGCCTAACACACACACGTGCAGCAACCGCAGATGCGCCAGTGAGCTGAGATTAGTCAAACCCAGCCCAGATGTGCTCACCCAGACCCATCAGACTCAGGAATAGGTCCGTGTCTGTACTGTCTGCCACTGAAGGCCTGAGGGTGTTGTCATTGTGGCATCTGATCCAGGCCACGTAGTCCTGGGGACACTGTTGGTCAATATGCCCAGCCACAGGGGAGTGTCACAGGAATTGAGTGAGACCTCCAGGCACTCGCTTCACAGGGACTTGCACTCCGGGGAGAGTGTTTGAGGACAGCCCTCCAGGAAGCGGCACTCTGCACTGCTGTTCTTGAGCTCCCTGAAAACCGACCACCACCCTGGCTCCTGCCCTTCTAAACCCAGTTCCTCCATGGGGCACCCATTTGTCCCCTATAGTAATACATTCTCCCTGTTTTTTTGGTCATAGTCTGTTCATTTTGCTTGCACCCCATGAAACTTGAGCATGGACTTTGTTGTGCACTTTCTAAGCTCTGGAGACCCTGGAAGCACAGGAGAAGGGAAGGCCTGGTCCTGCTGCTGAGTGAAGCCGGGATGGGCGTCGCTTGCATTGTCTGAGCTTGACTCTTGGCTCCTTCACACCAGATCACTTGGGGAAAAATCACTTACTCTTTCTTAATCTCAGTTTCTCATCCACAAAGTAGGGTTAATAATGTTACTTTTTAAAAAAGGCTTTAAGGATTAAATGACATAGTATGTGCAATGTCCTTAGCAGGATGCCTGGTTACTGTCATTTCTCTTTCCTTTCCTGCAGTCTAAGGGAGAAGAAAGCCACCGAACAAGCAACTGCAATATTGTACCATAAGAACAAGGGCAGCGGGCTTATCACTGCTACCGAGAAAGCCTGTGTCATGGTGCGTCTGTTCCATATTTCAGCGATCCCAGAAATCTTCATGAAAGAAGGGGCAGCCATCTTGGGAACCAAAAGATGTTGTACCTCTTAGTGGAGAGAAAGTGTGGGGAGGAGAAAAGCTGCTGCTGCCAGGCGAACCCAGAGGTGTGGGGGAAGGCTAAACCCCGAGAAACAAGATGAAATCAGCATGTTCAGATGCTGGGCTGGGGAGTGGGGGATGCGGGACAAGCTGTCCAGACGTCCAGACAAACCAAAAGCTGTGGAGGAGGCTGAACTCTAGGGAATAGGATGAAATGAGCACGCTCATATGCTGGGCTGGGGAGGCCCGGGATGGGGAATGTGGGACAAGATGTCCAGATGTCCAGACAAACCCAGAGGTGTGGGGGAGGCTGAACCCCAAGGAACCAGATGAAGTGAGCATGCTCAGACACTGGGCTGGGGGGATATGGGACAGGACATTAGGTTGCAGGGTGAGCCAGAGGCAATGCATGAAGAGGGTTGGGTGACCCCTTAGGGTTGGGATTCTGTGCAAAGAACAAAAGGAGACCCAGAGAGAGCTGCAGCAGGATCACATGTGCCACTGAGCACAATCACCCTGACTGTCATGGAGAAAGGATTGGAAGCAGTAAAACAGTACAGGGAGAGGGAACTCAGACGCGGGTTCAGGGACCCAAGTTAAATGGGTGGGCCCCGGACCAGGGTGGGGATGGAGGAAAATGGACAACCTGGGGGACACTCCCCATGAGGTCACCATGACCTAGTGGTTGCTGTGCTGGGGGAGAGGTTTATGCTTTGGATGGCCAGATAGGGAGTGGGAGAGAAATCGCATGTTAGGGGTGGGAGAATGTGTGGATACTGAGAGTGAAGGTTTGAGTGCTTCAAATTTGTGATATTGGTGTGACATCTGAGAAGAGGTGGCTGAAAGACAGCTGGCTCTGCAAGTTTGGAGCTCCAACGAGACAGCAGCAATGGTAGAAGCTCTGGGATCCTTGGGGTGTGTGTGGCGTCTGACTCCAGGAAGAAAGAACAGATCACAGTGGGAGTCTGGGAATGAGGAGGCCTGAGCAGACCTTCCGACCTCGCACTCGGCTGCCTCACACTGCACACACCAGACCCTGGTGGCTTCCCGACCCGCAGAAGGACCACCTCTTCTTTCCTACACCCTCTACCCTGCAGCAGGTCAGAAGGTGGTTTAGTAGGCTCTGAAGACCCTGCAGGGAGTAAGTGTTCTTCAGGAGCAGCAGCCTAAGAAGATGTGCGTAGCCGGGCACAGGGGATGGTCCACAGGTGCTGAGATCTCCCTCAAGTGCACGTGGGAAAATGCTTACATTCGCTTTCTGTTTCGGGGAGGCTTCTTTATAGGGCAGTGATACAGTTTGGCTCTGTATCCCCACCCAAATCTCATCTCAAATTGTAACCCCTGTGTGTCGAGGCTGGGAGGGGATTGGATCATGGGGCAGTTTCCCCCATGCTGTTCTCATGATAGTGAATGAGTTTCACAAGATCTGATGGTTTTATGCGTGTTTAGAAGTTCCTCCTTTGTTCTTCTCCCTCCTGATGCCTTGTTAAGAAGATGCCTGCTTCCCCTTCCGCCATGATTATAAGTTTCCTGAAGTCTTCCCAGCCATGTGGAACTGTAAGTCAGTTAAACCTCTTTCCTTTAAAATTACCCAGTCTCAGGGAAGTTTTTTATAGCAATGTGAAAATTAACTAATTTAGTGAGTTTGTTAGCGGCTTGGATTTCTGACAAGTAAAATGTTACTGTGATATTTCTATATTTTGGGGGGAAACAGGTCTAAAAGAGAGGGCATATCCTCACATTATACGGAGAATACCCCTCAGTGCTGGCATGGTTGATGGGAGAAAATCACTGTCACGAGTATTCTTGTATCCAAAGTTGTCTTCATTCATTCTTTCTCTGGAAAATGGCAGGCGATTGACTCAGACCAAGGCCGTAACTATGGATTGAATGGATTCTGCTTTCATCTCTGTAGCTCTGCGTGGTGCTCAGGAGACAGAAGTCACGTGTTCAGTGACATCTATAAAAGATAAGGAATCTATTCATCACCATGTCTGTAGTTATCAGTGTACCGTGAGTGAAGGCAAGGTTGTGCTCTATAGACAAATCTTTAAAAATATAAAAAAAAACACATAGCGTCAAAAGCCTAGCTTCCCTTACCTTTGGAAAATATACCCCATCAATTCTGCACTAATGCACTCATTCCATGTGTAGAACACACACACACACACAGAGACACAGAGAGAGAGAGACACACACACAAACACATACACACGGACACACACACATAAAAACACACACACAGAGACACACACACAGAGACACACACACACAGAGACACACAGAGAAATACACACAACATACAAACACATACAGACACACACAAAAACACACGCACATACAAACACACACAGAGAGAGACACACACACAGACACACACACACACACGAAGTTTACCCCATCATTGTATTTTATTATTCATGTTTTTACCTTTATTGTAGGTAATATTTGTCAAGTTCTTGTTTTGTGCCAGGCTTGAAAAATGCCTGTACTTTGTCTCACTTAATAGTTGTAGATACCTTCTGATGTGAATGTTCACATTGCACAGATGAGGATGAGAATTCCTGAGGAGTTAAGAAATTTGCCAAGGTCACATGCTATCTCATGAATCATGGAACAATCAGCATTGCAACTTGGAAGTGCCATGAGTTTCTCAAACTCAGAATATCTAAAACCAACTTTACCACCCTGCCCAATGCCTCCACCCAGATAAAGATCCACACCCCTGACTTGTTTATTTATGTGATGAGTATCCCCACATCTGCAGTCACTCTTGCTGCCTGGCTATGCAGTTTGCAGGTTTTCTTACCCTAGATGTCTTGAGGCTGTGTCCAGTGTACAATCTGCAGTCAGCCTTGAATTCCATGGCATTTTCAGGACTCACTGTCTGAAACTCATCACTCTCCAAATGATACAAAATGAAGCCTCCTCTTCTTCTTACTAACCTGTAAAATGTGCATTCATTCATCAGCAGCTACTTATTACAGGGAGACTTGGCGTGGGGCTCCTGGACAGAGCTTTTCCTTGATTTACCAGGGGCTGGGCTTTTCAGACTCTGGCATGGATCCCCCAACCCCCAAAGCAGCTGTTAAAATGCAGACTGTGAATTGGCAAGTCCAATCCGGGTCTACTTTTCTAGCCAGCTCCCAGGGGACACGTGCGCCATGAGTCTGCGGGCCACACGTTACTTGGTAGGGCTCCTGGGTGGATGGATGAGCTACTAAGGAGCTGCAGGTTCCCCAGGCAGCCCTGGTGTGGCTCCAACCTCAGGACAGGTGCTTCTCTCCCAGAGTAACCTCCTGTGCATCTCTTCAAGGGAAGCTAGTCCTATCAGGGCTTAACTGTGCTCCCACGATGGTGGTGAGTGAGGGAGAGAAGAACCCCCTGGGACTCTGCACCCATCCTCCCAGGTGGTCTTATCCTCTTGAGGCCTCTGCAAGGAGCACACTGCTGATCACGGAAGATGGCTGGGGGCCAGCAGGGCTTCTGCCCATGGGTCCAGGAAAGCTGTGGCTGACCCAGGTGGAAAGACGAGGACCTGTGGGCAGCATCGCTCCAGGCAGTTGGTCCACATTGGATGCTCCTCCGTTAGGAGTGCACAGGTGCCCTTTTGGTAGTGGACTGAGAGCCACAGGCAGACTCTGCAATTGGAGACCTACATGTAAGCGAGTTCCATCTAATACTGACTCTGTTCACGTGATCTCAAAAGAAAGCCCCTTACATGCGTCCATGAAGGATAAAGAACAGCTGCCAGACACTTTGAATACAATTGTGAATTTTTCAATGGTTGCTTTAAAGAACAGTGTTCAAAATTTTGTACTTATTTGTGCAAATCAACTTTCAACTTAATAACTGTCCACAATCCAAAAAAAAAAAAAATCACCAGGGCATAAAAATAAGTTGTGCATAGTCATTTCATGCAAGATATTTGATGGTTAAAAATATACTAATAACAAATTGTTATTACCAATAATAGAAAATACTTTCATTGGAAGTTATACACAAACCCAAAATGCAATATACTATCTAATAAGTTTATTTTTTATTTTATACAATTTTTAAATGGTAAAATTTTCACTAAACTCTACACACATTCTTCTAAAGCCTCCTTAATTTACTCTGTACAGTTTAACATTTCTACCTGTGATATGTCATTTACAGATTTGAGAAGTGCTGCTCGGTGGCCCACAAAGGCAAAACATGGCGGCTTCACTCAAGTCATTTAGAATGTCATTGCAGAGGGAGCTGCATGCCCAGAGAGGCAAAGTGGGAGGCATCAAGCTGCCAAGTGCCATACAGATGTTCCAGTCACACACAGAAAAGTCAGCCCAAGCAAGGCAGACCACTTTCAGTCAGGAGGCTGTGCAAAATGCGGCTGAGGTTAGATGCCACCCTTGAGAGGAAACACTCTTTGATTTGAGATATGATAATAAAGGACAGGAAGAAGAAACACAGATATTAGAAAATACTAGCATGTTTGGAAAGTAGTAGAATGACCTCTCTAAAACAACAAACTTGAGGTTACAAATTATGAAGGATACTGAATTCTAGTCTTGGACTGGCTCATACATAAGGTGATGCTATATATAGTTTTTCTGTTACATTAGAATAACATTATGTAATATTTGCAATATGAAGGTTAACTTATATACAGAATGCAAAACTTAACAGGTTTTATGCAGAAATTATAAGCAGATTCTAAAATATGTATGGAAATGTAAAGGACCTAAAATAGCCAAACAAATGGGAAATAGAGCAGAATTGCAGAGTTTATACTTTCTGGTTTCAGAATTAGCTATGAATCTGTAGTGATCAAAGTAGTGTGGTATAGGAGTGATGGCAGACTAACAGATCAATGAAATAGAAAGAGCCTAGAAATAGACTCACACATCTGTGGTGAAAATTGACTTCAACAATGGTGTTGAGGGAATTCAGTGGATGAAGAAAGGTCTTTTCAACAAATGTTGTTGAAACAGCTGCCTATTGATATGGAAAAAAAATGTATCCCTTACCTCACACCACACTCAAAAATTAATTTGAGATGGATCATAGAGTTCTATATAATTGCTAAATCCATACAGCATTCAGAAGAAACTATAGGAAAAAATCTTTACAAATGTGGAATTGGTAAAGATTTCTTAAATATGAAACAAAATATTAAAAGTAATATATTTCTGTGTAATATATTTTCTGTATATTTTCTGTATATTTCTGTAATATATTTATTCCTGTGTAAAAAGAAAAGAAATGAACAAATTGGCCTTTACCAAAATTAAAAAATTATGCTATTGAAAACACCATTAAGAAAATAAAAATGCAAGCCACAGAGCAGAAAAAATATGTTTACAATATCTACATCTGATGGAGATCCTGTATCTGAAACATCTAAACAAACTGTCCAATTTTTTTCAGAGATGGGGTCTTGCTCTGATGCCCCGGCTGGAGTGCAGTGGTGCAATTATAGCTCACTACAGCCTCACATTCCTAAGCTCAAGCGATCCTCACACTTCAGCTTCTCTGGTAGATATGATTACAGGTGCAGGCTACCAAAGCTGGCTTCAAACTGTACAATTTCATAATGCAAACACAGGCAACCTAATAAAAACAGGCAAACTATTTGAAGATATACGTGAAAAAGAAAAATATGTGAGTAGCCAATGAGAATAGGAAAAGGCGTTCCACATCATTTGTCAATAGGAAAGTGCAAATTAAAACCACAAGGGGAAACCACTAAGACCCAGCAATAACTAAAACGAAGAATACTTAGAATACCAAATGTTGGTGAACATGTGGAGCAATTCAAGTTTCAATATTGTTGAAATTCTCATGTATTTCACTTTGAAAATCTTTTGGCATTTTGAAAATAAAGTCAAGCATATACTTACTCTAAGAATGAGCAATTCCACTCTTAGTAATTTACCAGAGAAATGAACACAAAAAGGTTTTTATGTACACAGAAACCTTGTATAAAAATGTTCCCAGACCTTTATTTACAAATGGCTCTATGCTGGAAGCACTCCAATTGTGGAATCATTAGAGAAAGAATAACCCTACTGATATGATTTGACTATGTCCTCACCCAGATCTCATCTTGAATTGTATTTCCCATCATCCCCACATGTCGTGGGAGGGACCAGGTGGGAGGTAATTGAATCATGGGGGCAGTTACCTCCACGCTGTTCTGATGATAGTGAGTGAGTTCTCAGGAGATCTTATGGTTTTATAAGAGGTTTCCCCACCCCCTCTGCTCTGCGCTTCTCCTTGTTGCTGCCATATGAAGAAGGACATGTTTGCTTCCTCTTCTGTCGTGATTGTAAGTTTTCTGAGGCCTCCCCAGTCATGCTGAACTGTGAGTCAATTAGACCTCTTTCTTTATAAATTACCCAGTCTCAGGTATGTCTACTAGCAGTGTGAGAATGGACTAACACACCCACTGTGGTACATTCATTATTCAATAACAAGGAAAAGGCTGCTGAACACACAACAGCATTGATGGATCTCACAGACATGTTAACCTAAAGAGAATGGGCACAACAGAGCAATTCCGTATGAGTCCATTTATATGAAGTCCAAGAACAGAAAGGCTAATGTGGTGTGAGAGAAATCAGAGCAGCAGGGTCCTCAGGAGCTAGGGATTGATTGGAAAGAGCATGAGAGACATTTCTGGGTGATGGAAATGCTCCTTTTCTTGACTGAGGTGTGGGTCACATGAACTAAGCCATGCCTGTGTAGAAATTCTGGAATCTGCTCTTACTGAAACCCCTACTCTCTCCACATATAGCATTCATTTGATCGCCATGCTAATGTAATGAATACTCATTAAGTTCCTATCATATGCCTGACATGACACAAGAATGGATAAAGCAAAAACGAAAAGTCCTTCCGTCTTTTGGAAGCCCCTGGTGGCTTTCTCTGTGACCTCACCGAGGGACTGCAGGGTTGTAAGTGTGAGTGGAACAGCACCTTGAAGGAGAATTACATGACAACTATATGAGGGGACTTCAGAAGTGCCAGGCACAGCAGTCTCACATTGCCATCGTTATTGTTATTACCCAGCAAAACCAAGATCGCAGCCAATTCTGCCAAGGTCGGGGCTGGAGGGAGCAGACAGAGGTCTCATCAACAAGGTGGCATCTGGCCATGAGGAGCCCAGAGGCTACGGTGAAGATGGCAGGGCAGGATGCTGCACCCTGGCTGTGCCCGCTCTGGGCCAGCGCCTCTGTCATGGTCTTCAAGCCCCACATAGCCTCGAGTGCCCCATCCACCCTTCCTGGCTGATGTGTGGATGCCTGAGACGCTGAGTCCAGAGCCTCATGACAGGCAAAGCCAGTGCCTGGTGGGCAACGGCACTGTGATCAACTGGACCCTGCGCTTGCCTCAGCTTTCCCGATGCTCCTCCCTGAGGGGGCAGGGCTGGTTCGTGCAAGGCGGCCCTGAGAGTGTGCCAGGGTCTGACAGAGCAGCCCCAAACAGTGCTCCTCACAGGCATTCCCACCCAAACACGTGGGTTAAAAGACACACCACCGCGCTGAGGTGTTGTGACGGCGGCTTTGGCCACTTTTGTGAACTGAAGCACTTACTACTGCGCACAAGTAAAAGAGTGAAAACCAGGCAAAATGACAGTAAAAAGCATGTTTTTGAAAGGAGGCTGACTCTAGCTATGCTGTTTTCACTTTCCATGGGTAGACTTCAAAACCGTATATAATTTTGCCAAACTGTGTTTCCTCTGTGGAAACAAGACAACACTGCCCAGTAAGGGGCTCGAGAAGCACAAGCGTGGGGCATCTGAGGCCGTGGGTGGCCACCCAGGGGGAGCAGGGCTCAACCACACTCCCGAGACAGTGGCCTCCCACAGTCTCCTTCCCAGCCCCGTCAGCAACACAGGCCTCTCCCTGGTTTTCTCAGAATCTCAAATTCCTGAATGGATACCGGCATTGGGAATACCATGGCAAACAGGAAGTGGTCTGAAGCTGGATCGCAGAAGCAAAACAGAAACAGTAAATATTAATGTGGGCCTCAAAAAAGAAAGTCTCCGCGTTGATTTTCTCCAGTAAAAAGACACAATTTGTCCTTCTAACAAACCCAAAGAGAGTTACAGGGTATGATGTGATGAAACACACTTAAAGGGAAAAATACAGAATTACTCTCAAAATTTACATGATGTAAATAGACCCTTCAGAGAGAGAGAGGAGGGAGAGAGAAATGAGATCCTGAACTATGATCCCATCTAAATAAAGAAATATTGATTAATAAAAGAAAAAAGTATATATGAAAATATACAAGAAATGAAAATAACTCACCACAACAATACTGTTGGCAACATTTAATAGGGCAAGAAACTATTTAATTTAAAATTCATGCACCATGCAATACCATATAATCAGACCAATTTGTTCCACGGATTTGTTCCAATCCGTTCAAGATCTGATCTATATTCAATTTTGGTCCAACTTGCAGTAGATGTTAAATTGAAGCTACACTGCATTGTCAAACCAAGATAAATACCACAAACTAAAATTATATAAGCTGTTTGAATCTCCGTTTAAAAAATCAGATGGCTACTTTTTTCTATTTTATAATGTCATAGTTAAATTGCCTAAACCTTGGCTATGTAGAGAAATCAAGAACAGTGCTGATGCTTAAGAATTAAGTTATTTTATTTTCAAAGAGATCAAAGTAATTTCTGAGCCACCAAATGAAATAGAAGCATTCATGTGAGATCACCATGGAAGAGCTGGGTGGTTACCAGGAAAAGGATAATGCTGGCTGTATATGTGGGTGTGTGCAAGTGTGTGCATGTGATGAGTGCATTTAATAACATAAAAGTACATGAAATCCCTGCCTTTTGTCATGCTCTATTAATTGGAAAATAACTCTTGATATCCTAATCTTATTCAACAATCTTAGATCAACAAATTTAGCCTCCTGTATGTCTTTCCCACTTTGTGTGCTTGCAGTTGTATAAACGGGGAAGCAGGAATGTTAGTTTAATTGAGAAGGCAATAGTCACAGCCGGGTCAAGGCCAAGTTCTCTTTGAGTCACTGATTTTGAATTTGAGGAACAACCTCTGACCATAAAAGTCTCCCCTGATTCCCAGTTGGCATTGCCAAATACAGACTCCAACAGCAGATGCGCAGAGAATGCAAACCTGCAAAGGAACACGCTGGGCCAGGTGCTTCTGAATGGAGAACTTTACAGGGTCAGACATTAAGGCTTCTTGATGCCCCGCCTACAAAAAATTCATATAATTTAAATGGTCAGAAGGAATATCACTTACCATAGCACTCTCTCAGCAAAAATGCACCAACCTCCCAGGGACCCAGAGAACACTGTTGGAGCCCCTGCCCCTCCCCTCACTCCTCGCTTTGGCTGGGCTGGGCAGATGGTGCTGTGGGCTCTGCCCTGTTTATTCTATCAGGGATGTGGAAGCACATTTTAAACTGCACAACCTCATGGCTTATCAGTGAGCTAAGAGCACACAGCACGCACAGCTCAACCAGAGGAACCAAACTTCTGTAAACAGCCAGAGTGGTTGTGCAAATGCCATTTTCTTGACATAAATAACAGACACATATGGCCCGAGACAGGAAGTGGAGGCTACCTGGACAGATTGATGTCCTGCTTGACAAGTGACTCTATTTATGACTTGATTCCGCCCGACAGCATGAGAGGATGGGAGGCTGATGACTTTCTCATGAACTCCCCGACAATGCACGTCGGCCACGGGAAACAGTGCTCCTGTTGTAAACATGGCCAGTGAGGATGAAGAAGAAACGTCTTCTAAAGGCAAAGAAACACCACCTCTGTTCCACTGGGAATGGGTGGGTCTGTCCCACAGCAACAATGAAGTACAGCAAATTCTCACCCAGCATGGGTAGCCAATTTTAAACAAACTTCATGCCAACTTGATTCAGAAAAACTGTTGATTTTTCTAACTCTCTTTGCCATCCCTATGATGTATTACTGGGTGTGTGCTTAGATCACATTGCAAGCCAGAGACCAAATTTACCTATTCCACAGCTCGATGGAATCGGTCCTACGTCACATGCTCCCGTGCGGCTGCAGACCCTCATAAGCACAGCCAGGCCAAGTGTCCCGTGTGTGGTGTTCCTGGCTGTGAGCTCTACCTCTAAATGCTATTGGCCTGTACTCCACAAATGCTGTGGTCCTCTAACCAACAAACGCCATCTGTACCAGGCACTCTTGTTCAGATACCCAAACTTGAAGAGCAATGCTGTTTTAATTGAGCTTCTTTCTGCAAATATTTGTTGAATGTTTTACATGGAGTTCTTCAAGGAATTCCAGGCTCAGTAAAGCAAAGTGCTTCCCATGGAATGTGGGCATGCTACATGGGTCCCAAAATGGCAGTAACAGAAAGATGAATCATACAGAAATGCACCTCACTCTGTTCTTCTCTCTCTACAGAATCAATCGCCTCAGCCTAGAAACACATTGCTTTTGTCATTGTAAGATAAAAAAAAAACACCACGATGTTTTAAAAGGAACTTCCCTTGGCTGAGCATAGTGGCTCAAGCCTAGGTGGCTCCCAGCACTTTGGAAGGTCAAGGTGTGAGGATCGCCTGATGCCAGGAGTTCTAGGCCAGCCTGAGCAACATAACGGGACCCCTTCTCTACAAAAAGTTACAAAATTAGCCAGGCGTGGCGGTGCAGCCCTGTAGTCCCAGCTACTTGGGAAGCTAAGGTGGAAGGATAGCCTGAGCCGGGGATTTTGAGGCTGCAGCCAACCATGATTGCATCACTGCACTCCAGCCTGGGAGACAGAGCCAGACCCTGTCTCAATAACAACAACAACAATAACAACAAAAAGGAAATAAAGAAAGTTCTCCCGACCTCACAGGGCTGTGTCCAACGCCTCACCCACATACGTCTCATACTTCATCCTCACTGTCTCCAGTTTTTCTTCTCCTCACGCTGTCTGTAAAAGGCCCTCCATCTAGCCATGTGTTCCATAAAGGGAAGTCTTGCTGTCCTGAGCCTTCTGCGAGAGGATCCCTGGCACTGGTCCCTCCGTCCCCGCATACACCTCGGCTCATTGCTTCCAGGGCTCTGCGCTCTCACAGCCTGCCTTGGGTTTATCCAGGAAGCATTCCTTCACTGTCTGCTACACAAGCGCCTGTTCTTCTCCCTGATCTTGGAACATCTGAGGGCTCCAGCACTCACTTCTTCACTTTGCTGTCCACATAAAATCTCCCAGGGCAGGGCTCCTCACATCCTAAGATAACTACAGATCCTGTGGGGAGCTTATTAAAATGAAGACTGAGTCCAAGGTCGGGGTGGGACCAGAGATTCTGCATGTTTTTTAAGTTTTATTTTAAGTTCAGGGCTCTTGTGCAGGTTTGTTGTGTAGGTAAACTTGTACCCCAGGGTTTTGTTGTACAGGGTATTTTGTCACCCAGGTATTAAGCCTGTTACCCATTAGTGATTTTTCCTGATCCTCTTCCCTCCTCCCACCCTCTACCTTCTGGTAGACCACAGTGTGTGTTGTTTCAATGATAGACTGAATAAAGAAAATGTGGTACATCTAGATAGTGGAATACTATGCAGCCATAAAAAAAGAGCCAGATCATGTCCTTTGCAGGAAGATGGATGAAGCTGGAGGACATTATTCTTAGCAAACTAACTTAGGAACAGGAACCCAGATTCCACATGTTCTCACTTATAAGTGGGAGCTAAATGATGAGAACTCATGGACACAGAGATTCTGTGTTTTTAACAAACATGAGTAAGGCTGCTGGGGCTGCTGGGGGGTTGGGAGTGGGGACGTGCACATTTTAAGTAGTAAGGACAAGAGAATCTCCCTCTCATCCTGATTTTAAGCGTCATCTTTATGCTAATGACTCTCAAAGGTGTATCTGCAGCTCCGATCGTTCTCCTCTACCCCAGTGACTAGGTTAATAGGTCCACCTGGATGTCTCATCAGTCCCTCAAAATGTCCTGCCTGCAAATGAAGGTCTGCTTTTCCTGCCTGGCCCAGCCTGGCCCCCGGCTTTCCCCATCTCAGTTGATGGGAACTGCACCCTTCTTGTGGTTCAGGCCAAACCACGAACCTCCACCCAACTCTTCAGCACATTCTCTCAGCTTTATTTCTGAGATATCCTAAATTTGACCATTTCTCTTCAATCTCCATGGCTGCCGCAGGGATTGAGCCACCACTGATGACCTGCCCTGGCCTCCCTGTGGGGCTGAGACCTCATGTAGCCTCCTGTTACCCAGCAACCAGTGTGATTCTCAAAAAACAGGAGCCGGACCCTGGCCTTCGCGGTGCCAGATTCCCCACCACACTCAGCAAATGCCCACAGTGGCCTCTCTGACTTCTTCTGCCCCTTCCCTCCCCCTCACATACCTCCCTAGAGTCTCTCGTAGGCTCAGCCGCAGCCACGTTCCTACCTGGAGGTTTTGCCATGGCTGGTCCTCCAGCCTGGAGTGCTCTCCCCGTGGACTCCTCCTGCCCACAGCTCCTCTCCTCTCCCTCTGAACTCATCTCCAATGCTGTCTTTTCAGTCTGCCTGGCCTGATTAAAGTGTTAATCAGTGCTCCCCCACCTCCTTACCCCCTTAATACTGTCTTCCCACTGGATTCACTGCATTCTGATGAATCTAGACTTTGTGGGTTGTGCGTGATTCCCGTACACAGTTTGTCTCCCATTCAAGGCTCTCGGATCACTGAGGACAAAAAAATGTTTTAAATCTAAATGAATTCAAGTAAGTAGTTTGATGTGTAGCCTGACAAGCCAAATTAGTGGAGATTATTTTACAATGCTAGTTCTGCTTTAAACTACGTAATTATTTCAGGAAGAAAAGCCAGAGGTGTGACCCCAGAGCCAGCAGGCAGGTGTGCTGACAACCTTCCCTCTCACCCTGGATAATTCCGGCTTCCATTCTAGAGTCAACCATTTCTGCCTCCTCCCTGCCCCTCACTCCTCCTGACTTGTTCTCCCCTGCCTAGGTGAATGGCCTGCTCCTCACGTCTCTTAGCAAAGGAGAGCAGGCAGAAGAGAGCACCTTCGTCTCCCTGCCACCAGCCCTCCAGGCCCCTCTCCTCGGCTCCCGGCCTCCCGCTCCTATGGGTGAGCTCCTGCCTCCTAACTAAGCGCAGCTCCCTTGGGTGCTGTGATTCAGGAGTGATGCTATGTCCAGGTTTGCACAGATGTTTCAGGTTTATGTCTGTTTCCACGAGTACCCCCTTTCGTTCTCAAGAGCGTCCTGTTTAAAAAAAAATATGCTGTAAAGAACATTATTAGATAATTGATGGAACTTTTAATATGAATTAGAAATAAGTTTTCGCATTGCATCGATGATCGTTTCCTGAATTTAAAAATTGTCCTGTGGTTGTGCACAAATCAATAGAAAATAGACACTGAGGTGTGTATATATCGAGATGGCAGAGGTGTCGGAGTTCTCTGATGAAGATTTTTATAGAAAATAGACACTGAGGCGTGTATATATCGAGATGGCAGAGATGTCGGAGTTCTCTGATGAAGATTTTTAAACCGTCATCATAAAATTGCTCCATCAATCAACTACAAACATTTGTGAAACAAATGGAAACAAACAAATGGGAAAAATAAAAAGTCTCAGCAAGTAAAATCATATACATAGAGAAGAACCATTTGGAAATTTCAGAATGGAAAAAAATACAGTGAGTGTAATTTTAAAAATAACAATAGATAGGCTAAACGTCAGAATAGAGAAGATAGGAGAATTAATACATGAACTCAAAGGTTTAAAAATGCAAAATACCCAATCTGAAAAGCAGAAAGCAAACAGACTAAAAAATAAATATAAAAAGCCCCTCAGACATGTTGGACTATGTCAAACTACCTAAGTTTTCTGTCAGTGGAGTGCAGGAAGGAGAGGAGAAAGAGAGCAGGGGCAAAAACATAACCTAAAAAAAAAAAAAATGACTGAAAACTTTTCAAATCTGGCAAAGCACATAAATACACAATTTCAAGAGACTAAGCAAATCTCAAACAGAATAAATCCAAAGAAATAAACACCAAGACACATTGCTATGACTGAATGTTTGTGTCCCCTCAAAATGCATATGTTGACGTCCTAATTCTCAATTTGATGGATTTGAAGGGGAGCCTTTGGGAGATAATTAGGTTTAGATGAGGTCATAAGGGTTGAGCCTCATGATAGGATTAATGCATTTATTAGAAGAGGAAGAGACACAAGATCTCTCTTTCCTTCTGCCTGTTTACACCAAGGAAAAGACATTTGAGAACCTAACCAGAAAAACTGCAAAGATGACCCTCATCAGGAACTGAATTAACTGGCACCTTGATCTTACACTTGCCAGCCTCCAGAACTGTGAGAAATCAATTTCCAATATTTAAGCCACCCAGTGGTTTTTTTGTTACTGTAGCTCAGACTGACCAAGACACACATCATAGTCAAACTTCTGAAAATTAAAGACAAACAAAATTTAAAGCAGTGATCAGAAATGACACTTTACCTACAGAAGAAAAACTTGAATGATAGAGAATTTCTCAGATGAAACTACAGAGGCCAGAAAAAAAGGAGTGTATTTTTCAAGTGCTGAAAAGAAAAGAACTATCATATCCAGTTAAGACGTATTTTGTGAATGAAGGAAGGAAATCAAAGCTTTCTCAGTTGAATAAAATTAAGAAAGTTTTTTACCAGCATCTACACTTAAAAAGAATAGCTAAAGAAAGTTTACTACCAGAAAATAATAAAAGTAAGAATCTTGGAACCTCAAGAAGAAAGAAAGAACAATGGAGAAAAGTAAATATATGAATAATGCAACATATCCTCCTTCACCTCTAGAATTTTCTAAATCATGTTTGAGGACTTAAGCAAAATAATATAACACTGAATATGGTTTTAAATGTATATAGCAGAAATGCAAAATAATTGTATTATAAATGGGAAAAGGTATCAGAACAGATGGAAGGTTAAATTTCTACAACTCATTTGAACTGGTAAAATGATAACACCATTAGGCTTATAAGTTATGCATATTTAATAAAATACCTAGAGCAACCTGTAAGCAAGCTATATAAAGAAATAGACTCAAAAACACTGCAGATGAATTAAAATGATACTCCAAAAAGTGTTTAAGTAACCCATTGAAAGGCAGGAAAAAGAAAAGAGAACATTAAACCAAAGAGAACAAACAGAAAAAAAACAAAAAGTAAAATTGCTGAAAAGTGCTAACATATTTATAATTTCATTAAATGTAAATGTTCTGGACACACCAACTAAAGGATAGAGATTTCAGAGTGGATTTAAAACAAACGAACAAACCAAAAAATCACACACATGATCAAATTGTATTGTATATGATCTATAAGAAACTCACTTTTGGCCAGGCATGGTGGCTCACACCTGTCATCCTAGCCCTTTGGGAGGCTGAGGTATGTGGATCACTTGAGCTAAGGAATTCTAGACCAGCCTGGCCAATATGATGAAACCCCATCTCTACTAAAAATAAATAAATAAATAAATAAATAAATAAATAAATAAAAATTAAAAAATTCAAAAATTATCCAGGCATGGTGGCGGGTGCCAGTAATCCCAGCTACTCAGGAGGCTGAGGCAGAAGAATCACTTCAACCTGGGAGGCAGAGGTTGTGGTGAGCTGAGATCACACCACTGCATACCACACTGGGCAACAGAATAAGACTATCTAAAAAAAAAAAAAGAAAAAGAAAAAAAATGAAACTCATTTCAATCCTAAAAATATAAGTAGGTTAAAAAAAAAAAAAGAAGAAGTAGTAAAAACAGATGTATCATGCAAACAATAATCAAAGAAAAACAAGTATGAATGACAATATTAATATCAGGTAAAGTAGACTTCAGAGCAAAAAAGTTAACAGCGACAGAATGATAACTTACACAATGATAGAGGGTAAATCTATCAAGAAGACACAGCAATTCTAAATGTGTATACACCAAACAACATAGCAGAGAAATATGTGAACCAAAATTGATAGAACTGAAAGGACAAGTAGACAAATTCACAATTATTTGTCTTTATTATTTGGGTTTCCCTGAGACAAGGTCTCGACTACAGGTAGTTTACATGGAAGGTGGTCCCAGGAAGGGGAAGTAAAGGAAGTATTAATAAAATAACTTAAAAATCCAAATGAATAAACAACTGATACAGAAAATCAACAAGGATATAGAAGAGCACAACAACTGAATCAATCAACAAGATTTAGTCAACATTTATTGAATACTCTACTCATCAACAGCAGAACACACATTATTTTTAAGCACCCACAAAACACATGCCAACATGAATGATATCCTAGTCGTAAAACAAACCTGAACAAATTTAAAAGAATTTTAGTCATACAGCGTACATTCTTTAATTACAATGGAGTCAAACTATAATCAATTACAGAAACATAAGAAGAAATTCTCTCAGACTTGGAAACTAAACCACATAAGTCTAGATAATCTATGAGTCAAAAAAGAAACCTCACAGGAAATAAAATGTACATTGAACTGAATGAAAAGAAAAATACAATATATCAAAGTTTGCAGGACGCTGGTAAAACAGTGCTAACAGAGAAATTTACAGCACCAAATGTTTATATTAGAAAAGAGGAAAAATAGCTTGGCAGTTTCTTTAAGAACCGTGCATGTAAATACCATGTAAACCAGCAGTCCTGGTCACTTATTCCAGAGAAATGAAAACTTGTGTTCACACAAAAACCTGTTACAAAATGTTCATAGCAGCTTTAATTGCTATAGTAAAAAACTAGAAAGAATCCATGTTTTTCAGTAAGTAATAATTTCAAAATATGTGGCCAGGCATGGTGGCTCATGCATGTGATCTGAGCATTCTGAGGGGCTGAGGTGAAAGGGTCTCTTGAGGCCAGGAGTTTGAGACCAGCCTGGGCAACAAAATGAGACCCTAACTCTACAGAAAAAAAAAAAAAAAACTCATTTATATCATGAAATACTACTCAACAATAATAAGAATGAACTGTTAATACACACCACAACCTGAAAGAATCAGCAAAGAAGCATACCAAATGAAGAAAACCCAGTCCCAAAGGACATATGCTGTATGATCCTACTCAGAGAACATATGCTGTATGATCCTACTCAGAGAACATCCGAGAAGTGAAATTGATGGTCAAGAGCGACCCTCGGCCAGGCGTGGCAGCTCATGCCTGTAATCTCAGCCCTTTGGGAGGCCTGGTAGAAGGACTGAGGCCAGGAGTTCGGGACCAGGCTGGGTAACACAGTGAGACCCCATCTCTATTTAAAAAAATAAATAAATAAATGTTTTTTATTTTTATTAAAGGAGCAACCCTCAGTCAGTGGGATGGGGCCAGGGCAGCCCCACTGACTCCAGTGGGACTATTTTAAGGTGTGAGCAATCAGGTACTCAGGACACCAGTGGTCCATGGCAGTCAACCAGCTTATTTACACACACTTCATTAGGTTTCCCTTCCCAATCACCGTTCCACTCCTTTACTTCCCCTTCCTGGGACCACCTCCCAAGTAAACTGCCTGTAGTAGAGACCTTGTCTCAGGGAAACCCAAAGTAATCCTTGGGCAAAACAGGAGTTGCATTTTTGGCATCAGGGACAATCTGCACAGGAGTGTGTCAACCACACTAAAAAATGAAGAGGAACAGAGATGAGTACAGGCATTTCTGACTCCAAATCCTTGCCTTCTGGTCATCACAACTTCCATGAACCCAACGCTCAGTGGCCATGAGTCATTTCTTCTTCCATTTCTCTCCTCCCCAACATTTTTCTATAAGCAATAAAGATAAACAGGCTGAGCCTTCAACACTTTGCCTAGAAATCTCCTCAGCTCAGTGTCAAAGGCCATCATTTTCAAAGTCTAATTTCTAGGAAACACTCAAGCAAAATTCAGCCAAAGTCTCTGCCACTTTATGACAAAGATTGCCTTTTTTCCATTTTCCAATAATATGCTGTTTATGTTCATTTGACATCTCATCATAAGAGCCTTTCATGTTCATATTTCTACCCATATTATGTTCATGATGATATTTTTGTTCTCTAAGGTGATGGAAGCTTTCTCTACAGTTCTCTTCTTTTCTTTCTGAGCATTCACCAAAATGGCCTTAAACATCTATATTTCTACCAATGATCTCTTCAAAGTGACCTGAGATCTTTCTAACATGAACCTCAGATCTCTTCCACACGCTAACTAATGCCCAATTCCAAAGCCACTTCCACATTGTTAGACATCTGTGACAACAGCCTTCCACTTCTCAGTACCAAAATTGCATTGGTCAGCTCAGGCTGACATGACAAGGGGCCGCAGCGTCTATTCTGGGCTAAGCACAGGCTTTGCCATCAGCACCGGGGCTCATCCTAGAGCCAGAAAGCAAAGAACCTCCCTGTGGTCAAATGCGCTCAATAACTGTGTGTTTCTTGGGGCCTCGGTTTTACAAATTTTATAAATTATAAATGTATTTTAGAACATTTGAAGGCTAAAATAAAACAAACAAATAGGCATTTTCTGAGAAAATATCAAAACACTATTGGTACTGTAATTTTTCACGTTATCACTGATATCAACTCTGCAACTTCAAATTGTATAAAAAGAACCACCACACCTTACATCCATTAGGATGGCTACTATCAAAAACAAACAAATAAAAACAAAAACAATTGTGTTGGCAAGGATGTGGAACATCTGGAACCCTTGTGCACTGTGGTGAGAACGTAAAATAATGCAGCCACAGAGAAAAACAATACGGTGATTCCCAAAAATTAAAAACAGAATTACGGCTGGGTGCAGTGGCTCATGCCTGTAATCTCAGCACTTTAGGAGGCTGAGGTGAAAGGATCACTTGAGCCCAGGAGTTCGAGACAAGCCAGGTCAACAGTGAGACCCTGTCTCTACACATAATAAAAAATTAGTCTGGGCATGGTGGCTCATGCCTGTAATCCCAGCACTTTGGGAAGCAGAGGAGGCCAGATCAAGTGAGGTCAGGAGTTCGAGAGCAGCCTAGCCAACATGTTGAAGTCCCATCTCTGCTAAAAATACAAAAATTAGCTGGGTGCAGTGGTGGGTGCCTGTAATCCCAGCTACTCGGGAGGCTGAAGCAAGAGAATCGCTTGAGCCCAGGAGGCGGAGGTTGCAGTGAGCTGAGATCGTACCACTGCACTCCAGCCTGGGTGAGTGTGAGACTCTGTCTTAAAGAATAAATAAATAAAATTAGCCAAACATGGTGGCAAATGGCTGTTCCATGTAGGTTCCAGCTACTCAAGAGGCTGAGGTGGGAGGATTGCTTGAGCCTGAGAGATTGAGGCTGCGGTGAGCTGAGTTTGTGCCACTGCACTCCAGCCTGGTCGACAGTGGGAACCTATCTGAAAAAAAAGAGAAACAACACAGAATTCCATATGCCCCAGCGATTTCACTTCTGGGTAAATATCTAAAGAAACTGAAAGCAAGGTCTCAGAGAGATATTCGTACACCCATGCTCGTAGCAGCATGATTCACCATAGCCAAGACGGGGAAGCAGCCCAACTGTTCATGGATGGATGAATGGATAAACCAAAGGAGGCGTCTCCATATGGAACATTACTCAGTCGCAGAAATGAAGACAATTCTGACACACGCTACAACATGTTTGCACCTTGAAGACATGATGCCACGTAAAATAAGCTGGTCACGGAAGGACGCATGTTGTAAGATTCCACCTATTTAAGGTGCCGAAGGTGGTCAAATTCATAGTGACAGAAAACAGAATGGTGGTTTCCAGCGGGTGAAGAGAAACGGAATGGAAAATCATTGTTTATTGGGCAAAGGTTTCAGTTTTGCAAGAAAAAAAAACGTGCAGAGGAACGATGGTGATAGTTGCACAACAATGTAAAATTTAAAATAAATAATAATAAAAGCAAAAGGGTCATTAATAAGAACATTGAGGGGTGGAATTGGTGTTAAAAGTGGCGGAAAATGAACTCGTGGTATATTCAAACAATCCAACTATAATCCCAAACACAAGATGTTTGTAGAGTAAAATGTGCTAAAAATCCATGAAGGTCTTTGTGCGTTATTTATCCACACAAAAAATTCCTTTCATGGCTGTTTTATGTGATAATTTAATGTTGATTTTCCTATTTGTATTTAAAATAAAATGTAAATTAATTAAGTATGAGCATTGACGTGAAATATTCTTTCTCTTTAGGAGTGGAAGGAGCACTTTAAAACCATTAGCAGAAGGTGGTTGAGGCTTTGGTGGCCTGGGTGTGGCCCTGAACGCTTAATGGCTTGTGGTTTGCAAGGTAAACATTCCGGGTGGGGGTCGTGATTAGTCTCAAACCCGGGAAAAGTGGAAATGTAAAATGCCCAGCCACAGGCAGACACTAAAATGAGGCAGCCACAGCCGTCCACCCCAAGGATTTTCAGACCCACGGCTGTGAGTCCGCTCGGCTCTGGGCCACAGTTCTCTGGGTTTTAAGGAGAGAAAGGAGGACTTGGAAGTCAGAGGAGAGCTTTCTCCGTGTTTTCTCATCTGTCAGGCTCGGGCTGGGGCAGTATTGATGGGAGGCGGCCAGGTCCTTTCTAATGTACTGGAAAGTCTTCCGCATGCCTCGCTCGACTTCACGTCTCAGGACCCCGTGGGCCAGGGCCCCGGCCCCGCAGAACAATATGGCCTTCTCAAGGCAATGCCCTGTGGGCTGACCGTTGTCAGGTGATGTTATGTTTTCATGGCAGACACTTCAATGCCGGTTTTGTGCGCAGTTGTATCAGAACAAGAGCACTGAACAAATAGGGGGCCCCTGGAGCCTCCATTCATCAAGCGGCCCTGACACGGCCCCCACCTAGGGCCTACCCAGACGGTCACTGCGTCTCCTTTCCAACTCCTCCCTTTTATTATTTTAAAGTATCTCCTCAAATGCCTTCCTTTCCAAACACGTGAAGTATTCCCCAATGTTCAAAAAGTCATTTTGAGAAATTAGAGTGAAAACAGGAATGACAGAAGAGTTTCAGGGTCCTTGAGACCCTGAGCCACAGTAGCATCTCTAACATGGAGATAATGTGTCATTCCAGGTAAAACAATGCTAACTGCATCGGGGAATATTTACGGCTCACTCAGGAGCTGAGCTTCCACACTGGATAGATTTAGCAGCATTCAGAAAGGCCAGTGCAAAAGAAAAAGGAAGTCTAAAGCCCTAATATTTAGTTGGAGTCTATTGCAGAAAAAGCCCAAAAGGATGGCACTTTAAAGTACGTATGAAGCCTGTGTGGGCACTCGAGGATGAGCAAATGTCGCGCAGGTGGGAGGGATCTCATGCTTACAGCCTGAAGCTGGCTGCTTATGGTTAAAATCTCATGTCAGGGGTTCTCATCCTAGGCCCATGTTGCCTTTCAGGGACCACTGCCATGTCCTTCCAGACATTTTTTATTGCCTACTGCACACCAGTGCTGCTGGCTTCTCATGAGAGAGGACAGCAATGGCACCAAACAGCCTACAACCCAACAGGACAGCCCCAGGACAAAGACAACGCAGCCCCAGTGTCAAGAGCGGCTGAGATGGAGAGATCAGCTCTAAAGGAACAGGGAGAGATTTTAGTTTTTAGCACAAGGAGACTGACTATGATGTCTTTTTCTTTGCATTCAACCACCTATTATAGCAAAGCTTTAAATATTTCCTTTCCGGAAACATGATAACATTCTTAAACAGTTGCAAAGCACTCATTAGAACTTCTGAAAATGTTCTAACAGGCTAGCCAGATTTTAAGTCTTGCAAATGACGTGTCATAAACTTTCTTTTTTTTTTTTTTTTTTTGAGACGGAGTCTCGCTCAGTCGCCAAGGCTGGAGTGCAGTGGTGCGATCTCGGGTCACTGAAAGCTCCGCCTCCCGGGTTCACACCATTCTCCTGCCTCAGCCTCCCGAGTAGCTGGGACTACAGGCGCCCACCACCACGCCTGGGTAATTTTTTTTTTTTTTTGTACTTTTAGTAGAGACGGGGTTTCACCGTGTTAGCCAGGAGGGTCTGGATCTCCTGACCTCGTGATCTGCCCACCTCGGCCTCCCAAAGTGCTGGAATTACAGGCGTGAGCCACCGCACCTGGCCGAGGTATCATAGACTTTCATTCGATAGATTCTAAGCCAGCTCATTCTTATCCCTGGGCTTGAGACAAAGGGCGCTTGCTGTGGAGTCTACACAGGAAAGACAGAAGTGAAGCAATCACGGAAACAGTGAATGAAGTGAAATGCTGCAAAGCGTTTCAGTGAAGGCCATAGGAAGAGGGGATTTCCCCTGGTCTGGGACAACTGATATCCAAACTGAGACCTGAAGAATGAGAAAGCCTCCCTGGGTGAGGTGGGGAAGCGGTGGCCCCTCCAGGGAGGGAGGAGAGCATGTGCAAGGCCCCAAGGCAGGAGGGACCTTGGCCCGGGTGCATCCCAGAGCGAGGCCCCCACAGTAAACCATCAGTTAAGCGGGGAGGGATGGGAGATGGGGCCAGAGAGTTGAGCAAAGGCCGGATCACGCAGCACCGCTTGAAGACCAAGAGAGAATTCTGGATTTTCTCCAAGGGCAGTAGAGACCCATATGAGAGGGTTTTAGGCAAAGGAAAGAAATGCTCAGAGTCCCATTCTGGAATTCCCCTCTGCCCCTGGTCTGGACCTGGAGAAAAAACCTGTCTAGTCCAGTTAGAAACCTGTTCAGTTCAAGCCTGAGAAGATGGTCACTTGGGCCATGGAGAGGGCAGGAGGTGTGAGTCCCACATGCAGACACGTGCGGGCTCCTGAGTCGCTGGGACTGCGAGCTCTCGGAAGTCCATGCTTCTGAAATCGTGAGCTGCATGTGCTCACAGTGTCCCCTCTCAGGCGTCCACCCACAGGTTTCTGGAATAAAAGATATTCCTGCAGTCTACAGAGGACTTGCCAAACTGCATTCAACAGAGTGGTTGTCACCCAGACAGTGTGCATTTTACTTTTTTTTTTTTGAGACTTGGTCTCACTCTTTTGGCCAGGCTGGAGTGCAGTGGCTCAATCACAGCTCACTGCAGCCTCGAACTCCGGGCCTCAAGTGATCCTCCTGCCTCAGCCTCCTGAGTAGCTGGAAGCACAAGTGTGCACCACCATGCCTGGCTAATTTTCTGTTTTGAGTAGAGATGAGGTCTCACTATGTTTTCCAGGCTGATCTCAAAATCCTGACCTCAAGCAATCTTCCTGCCTCAGCCTCCCACAGTTCTGGAATTGCAGGTATGAGTCACTGCGCCTGGCCTACTATTTTAAATGTGGATCTCAGCACACTGACTCAGGCACAGACAGACTCACGCAGAACTGGTTGTCTTGGCTCTGAGAATACCTATCACAGGGTGGGTCTGTGGAAACCACAGCACCTCCCTCTGGTCAACAGAGTCACAGAGAGCAAGCCTGTGACCGTGAGGATGAGGACCTCAATCAACAGGGAGTTGCACAGGCTGGGAATCTGGAGGAAGACCACGGAGCAGGAAGACACAGGAAAACACTTACCCATATGTGGCTTGGAAGCCTGCCCCCACTAGTATCACACTGGAAAAGCTGGCAGCCCACACACATTATCCACTGAAGTTGGCCTTCCGGGTAGACTCCTGGTTTCTGAGGGCGACTTCAACATAAGCCTTCAGCAGAGAAATTCCATCTGGATGTCATAACAGCAGATCTGAGTTATATGAGTCAATAATCAAGGTATGGAAAAATGATGCCCTAAGGATTGAACCTGTTACAAAGATACTATCTACAGACTGCAGTTTAATTAACAGAGATGTGTGTGTGTGTGTGTGTGTGTATATGCAATTTATTCATGTAACAGATAATTATTGAGTACCTACTATGTGTGCATAATGTTTTAGGGACAAAATCATGAGGTTTTGTGGTGAGCAAAATCATAGGATCCTGTCTGCAAGGAGCTAACAGCCAAACAGGATGACAGAAAAGACTTAGAAATGAACTCAGTATGTTCGGTCAGAAAGCTCTTTGATGTTAGTTTCAAACAAAATATGGGTCTACACAGGAAAGCTTCTAAAACCTGATGTTGCTCCAAGTTCTGGAAGGATTTGCCCTGGCCTGTTACAATGAAGTCCGTGGAGGAAGAGGGTGGTGTGGTCCAGGGTTCATCCTGCTTCCTTGCAAGCTTGGGTGGGAGGAGGCAGCGCCTTCTCCATCCTTCTAGATATACCTGATGGAGGATGCTTGAGCTGTCTCGATGCACTGCTCCTTCGAGTGTGTGGATCACCACAAACACCTAAAGATCCTTCAGGGCCTTGAGCTCTTAGCCGGTGTGAGATGAATAGACAGAGCTGACTTAAGTGATGTGTGGATTGGGGAACGTGGTTGGTTTAGGGATCAATCAAGGTTAAGTAGGACTGGAGCCAGGGAGGGATTGAACTGGTGCTGGGTGTCAATGTCAGAAAAGCAGCTTTGAAACAGAAGCCTAAGCCCAAGGATGAAGGGGCCTTGCTTCTCTTGGCCTACAGCGTAGGGAGGACTTGAACAGAGGCAGTACCTGTGGGAACCGCAAAGAGCTGTTTTGCTGCACTGAATTCAATAACTCCACTTCCCAGAGCCTCACATCCGCCTCTGTGGGGGCTGCTGCCCTCCCCACCGAGTGCCCCACGGCTGCCGGCCTTAGCCTCATAACAGGTCCCCCTCCTAGGACTCATCTCCTTACGAGCTGGTTTTCTGCATCTGAGGAGGGAGATACATTTTTCTGACATCTGTGGGGTCCCTTCAATGTAGGTCTTTGCAGGCTTGGCAGAAGATAGTCTCATCATAGTTCACTTTCTGCAATTCTTTTCTTCCTTGGGGCTGGGGCTGGGGCTTGTCTGGTTTTGGGGCAGCCAGTGCAGAAAATGCTAAATGTCATTTGTGTAACTGCCCAGACCTCATTGACAGGCTCCTCAATTCTAAATAAAGCTTTCCCTTACACGGGTTTCAATTATGCTCAGTTTTGGAGGGTTTTGGAAGTCTTTTCTAAAACTACTTTCAGCAAGCCTTGAAAGTCAATGATATATTGAGATTCCTAAAAAGTCAACATCATTGAGACATAATTTGCATATAACAAAGCAAAATGTTATACGCAAATTATGTTAACAAAAATTGTTAAGAACACAGCTTGGGCAAATTTATACACTGCAGTAATCACCACCGCAACTAAAATATAGAACATTCCCATCCCCTAAAAAGTTCTTTGTGCCCCATTTCAGCCACGCCCTGCCCTCACCCCAGTAACCACTGACCAGATTTCTGCTGCATTAAATAGACTTTAAAAACACAAATATAAATGCATTATTAAAAGTCTCATGGCTATAGCTTGTAGGCTCTGTTCTGTACCTTTTTTTAACACAATGTAAGTTGCATTTTAGAAGTTTGGTTGCAATTGCATTTGTTTGTTTGTTTGTTTATTCATTCAGACAGAGTCTTGCTGTGTCATCCAGGCTTGAGAGCACTGGTGTGATCACAGCTCCCTGCAGCCTCGAACTCCCGGGATCCAGTGATTCTCCCACCTCATCCTCCAGAATAGCTGGGACTACAGGCATGCAATACTATGCCCAGCTAATTTAATTTTTTTTTTTTATAGAGAAAGATTCTGTGTTGCCCAGGCTGGTTTCAAACTCCTGGGTTCAAGTGATCTTCCTGCCTCTGCCTTGGATTACAGGCATGAGCCATGGTGCCCGGCCCAACTAATGACAGTTGGAACTAGCACCGCTTACTGGATGCTCACAGGGCACATGGTGTCCCCAGCTTGCCACCTTGTTGTCATTATTGTCATACACCCCATAACACCCACCATATATGCCACAATGTTCCCGTAAGATTAGAGAAGAGCTGAAAAACTTCTATCACCTAGTGATGTGGCCATCGTAAGGTTGTAACGCAGTCACTTTATTTCTTTTTATAAATGCAGTGTAGCCTAAGTGTCCAGTGTAATGTACAGGAATGTCCTGGACCTTCACCTTCACTCCATACTCATTGACTCACTCAGAGCAAGTTCTAGTCCTGAAAGCTCCATTCATGGCAAGTGCCCTATACAGGGGCACCATTTTTTAATCTTTGTCTATTTTTACCAAAGCTTTTCTATGTTTAGACCTATTTATTTTTATTTTTATTATTTTGAGACGGAGTTTCACTCTTGTTGCCCAGGCTGGAGTGCAATGGCGCGATCTCGGCTCACTGCAACCTCCGCCTCCCGGGTTCAAGCGATTATCCCACCTCAGTCTCCTGAGTAGCTGAGATTATGAAATTACAGGCACCCGCCACCACTCCGAGCTAATTTTTTTTTTTTTTTTTTTTTTTTTTAGTAGAGATGGGGTTTCACCATGTTAGTCAGGCTGGTCTTGAACTCCTGACCTTAGGTGATCCACCCGCCTTGGCCTCCCAAAGTGCTGGGATTACAGGGGTGAGCCACCGTGCCCGGCCCTGTTTAGTCCTATTTAGAGACACAAATACTTGCCTTTGTGTTACAGTTGCCTGCAGTATTGAGCACAGTCTCATCCTGTACAGGTTTGTAGCCCAGGAGCAATAGGCTATGCCACATAGCCTAGGTTTGGCGTAGGCTGTACTGTCTAGGTTTGTGTAACCACACTCTACAATGTTCGAACAATGACGAACTCACTGAACCACACATTTCTTGGAACCTATACCTATGTTTAAGTGACATGTGACTGTACTAGTATCCTGGAATGCATCGACGATTAGTTTAACTGAGCACTAGCTAACTCAGTGAGGCCAGTATGGTGGCCCTGCAGGTTATTAATATCCTGATGGGATGCACTTTGTAATCTTAAAAATTAACTTTTTTCTAAAAGTTACACAAATACTTTTTAAAAATACCTCAAGAAAAGTAAATAGAAGGTTAATGTCTGATGAGCCAATGCCATATTTTGACTAAAAGGCCAATAAGAAAAGCTAAAATATATTTAAAAAATTAGACTTGAGAAAAAATTGATCATCTCATAGTAGATCCTGTTGGTAATTTTTTATATTATTTCTGAAGTCGTCCATGTATAATAGACATGTAATTTTGCTTTGAAGTGCCATCTTCTTTGCATATCATTGGATAAGTTGATGGTTTATGTAAATATATCACCAACTTATCCAATGACATGCAAAGAAGATGGCCCTTAGAGGCAACATTATATGTCTACTATACATAACAGACATAATGTGTATTATACATAATACAGAAGATATGTATGATACGTACACAATTAGCAGCATAATTGAAGGGAAATACCATCATAGCAAAATGGTGAGGCCGAGGCACCGGTCCCACTTGAGTTGCCTGTGATCACACTCTCACAAGCTCACCTCCCGTGGGTCAGAGGAGCCATGAAAGCAGGTTCCCAACATGCAAACACACAACTGTGGTCCATTCTGGACCAACAGCCAGCAGGGAAGTCCCTGTGATCAGCCATTATTGGGTTTCTCAAGCAAGCTTGGCTGTGTAGAGGCATGATGGTACCATTAATGTCAACTGGTCTTTCAGCTCCCTTCTTGTACCATGAGGTGAAAGTTAGATGTAAGGAAACAGTCTTGTTTTAATTAAACTAAAGTGTGTACAGGCTAGAATTATTTAATGTAATTAAGAAAGTGCGAACATATAAGAAGTACTAAATAGTAGCCTAATGGCATGTATTGTAGTTCCCATTATATCTGCTTATGAGTGACTCAAAATAACCAAAAGGACTTTTTAAAGTGGCTACATAGCCATGATGGCAAAAAACTTAAGAAAAGTTGACAAGAACACAAAGCACAATCTTGGTAACCCGAAAATGTCAATTAAATGGAGATTTGGAAACTTAAGAGGCCGACTGTAAATTAAACCAACAGTAAAGGGACCAGCCATGCACTTAAGAGACTCTGGCCTTACCATTCAAAGAACCTGCACCCAGCAAGGATGCCCATTCTAAGAGGCCTATCCTTATTTTGAAAATACACCCTTCTCAGTTTTTAGCAGAAAAGGCAAGAAACATGGATGTATTTTGATTTCTGCGTAAAGAGGCCACAAATACCCAAAACTCAGGCTGTGCTGCCGACAAAACATTTTCTACTGCTATTTTTTGCACATGGAGGTGACTCACTTCCAAAAAGGATTCCTGAAACACGGCCCCAGGAGGTCACATATCTGAAGGCACTTTACAAGTCTCGGAAAAGAGTCCCCTCCTATCTCACCCTCAAACCATCGTCCCTGTTAACTTATTTCCCTTGAAAATCCACCCCAGGAGAGAACTGCACCCCCCGTAAACATGCACTTATGCATCTGTCTTCTGTTGTTCAGTTGGTGTTTGCTTGGTTATTAATACAGGTCATGGTCTTCTCTTCCACACAGAACCTTCCTTCTAAATCGTCACACAACATTGCACTGGACTTGGTTTTATGTCTGTCCTGGCCTTCTTAACCAGGACAAGAGCAAGACCACACGGCACCCTCCTGTGTGCTCTAGGCCTAAAAACCAGTGTGAGCCCAGAAAATGTGCACAGACAGGCAGAAGGAGTGAATGAATGACCTTTGTATCCTCCCCTGAGAACAAGATTTTAGAGACATTTAAGAAAGGCAGGACATTTCCAGCCTCTGGTCCAGCAGGAAAAGATGTTGGACATCCTCACTCCCATGCACTCAGATAAAAACCTATACAAACTAGAAATCAGCAACTCCTGGGTCCCTCAGAGAAGTGAGGTCACAGGCAAATTGCTGCTTTCAAAAGTGGAGAGACAGACAGGCAGACACACAGCGTCACAGCCTGTGGGAGCACGAACCCATGAGCAGAAGTGGAGACTGGAACCAGCGCAGGGTAGGAAGACTTAATCCTCCTTGATAAGCTGCCAGAGATTCAATGTGGACAAGCCTTAGAGATCAGTCTCAGGGGGGCTTATTCCTAGGGGTCCCCAAACTCATGAGAGAAAAATAAGATTAGAGAAAAACCCCTGGGACTCCCAGCAGGGGGAGGGAAAAAGGAACCATCTTAAAATATGCCCAAAATACTCTGTCATGAAAAGGCCAGACCTCAAACAAAACTATTTTATCAGCGCCTAGCCCGCTGGGATTTTATCAGAGCCTAACCACCACCCCCACCCCCACCCCAGGGGAAGGGGGCCATTCTATCTCACCCAAGGGGAAAAACAAAACAAAACAGAGAAGTGTTTGGGAGAGCCAAGAGCCCAGGGCCAGGCTTGCTGCAGAGGGCAGAAGGGGAGTCAAGCCGGTTGTGAAGGATGCTTTGATGACGAGAAGCACAGGAGCGGGATGCAGAGGACCCTGAATGTGAGCTTCCCTTCCACAGAGCTGTGTGTGCTGTGATGTTCCCCAACCCTCTTGTGAACAAGCTCGTGCCGCCGGTGCTGCCTTTTTCTGACCCAGTGCCTCTGCTGACATAAGAGGGAAGAGGACACCATCCAACAAGAAGGCAGCACAAACCCCTCCTGGCCAACCGTGGGAGCTATTGCTCGCTGCACCCCAGGCCAGCCAAGCTGCCACGCGGCCTTCCCACTAGGCCTACGGGAACTGCCCCAAAGTCAACACACAGAGAACAGAGCTTCCATCACTCCACAGTCAGCCCAAATGTAAGCTAGACTCTGCCACTCATCAAACAATAGGAAACCCAGTTTTGTCTCATGATTACCGACTTCCATGGGCTTAAGAATCATCCGAAATCTTGTGACATGAGAGCCAAGAAAACCTCAACGGAGGGAACTGGAGACTTGTGCAGAGTACACCGCACCTTGAGTTTCTTTCTCAGGGCTGCTTTTGATATCCCGTTGGATGAGGGGACGTGTTCGGCGTTGGGAGTAGGCTGCTAGCAGAATGATTCAGTATGTGACGGTTTAACAGTAACAACACCCAATGTCCAGTAATAACATCGGGATCTCCAAGCATCTGACAGCTGAGTCACAGAAATTTTAATATTTCCTTCACACTAACATCTTCTGCTTGCAAGGGTTGCCATAGGATGGGGGCTCTCACATCCAATATGCAATCGAAAAGCGCAGAAGCTTCCTGTTTTTATACAATGTGATTCACTGAGCATTCCAAGTTCATTGCTGGCCAGATTACAACCAGCAACGGTGCCATCAGGATGAGGCACAGGTGCACTTGGGACTCTCAGGTCACTCTACAGTCAGCCCAGATGCAAACTGTTTACCTGCCCCAGGTTACGACTCCCCTGTAAACCCTGCACCTTCTCAGTTGACCTCTGAGCACCACCAGGTAAGCCTGGACCTGGGATTCCAGCTTCATTGAGATGGAGAACAGTTTCGAAAAACTTCTCAGAATGGAGTTATGAGTGATATGGGGGTTAGGAAATAGGAAAAGTTATTCTGACGATGCCTTGCAGGTTGGCTGAATGAGAGAGTAAAGGGAAACTGAGGCCATTATGGATGAAAGTTGTTTTCCATTGCACCTTTGTCAGGGCAAAAATGAGACTTTGCATCTTTGCAATGTCATGCTGCTCCCAGAACACCTTCTTGCCCTTTGGAGAACCTCCGTGAATATTCATTCTGTTGAAGAGAAACCGCCTGGAGAGAAGGTCCCACCTGGTAAAAGCCACAGGCACTCTGGAGCGTGCACACCACCTGCAGGTCACTGTCACTGCCTCCACGTCCAAAAAGGTAATTTAATGCAACCTTTTAACCGACCTCTCTACTTTGGGACTGAGGTCTTTCTCAGTGAGGTGAGGTGATCTTGGTGTAACAGCTAGAAAGAATTGGCCTCCTTTGGTCAGCCATGCAGACAACGCATCAGATACAGAACCTATCGCAGTGCCAGGAGTCATGGAAGCAAATCCAAGCTCATTGGTCTGACTCTGCCGGGTTTGAGGGCCCAGGACCACAGCCTCTCTGCTGCTGTTGACTTTGATGGGGGCCACAGCGAATTGCAGCATCTGTATTGGGTCTGATTAAATGCATCCACAGCACCTAACATCTTGGTTCTGGAATCCCAATTTCCGGGCCAGTTGCTAAACCTAACAGTGCAACGGTTTCAGTGCCTAACAGGTAAGCAGGCCACGGTGGCTTTTCAGTCCTTGCTGTCTGCAACACCAGCTGTGCAGCACAGCAAGCCAGAGGCCAGGCTGGATCCTTCCCCATGGGCTCCAGGGCATTGGAACTCCTTGGAACCAGAGACTTATAACACGCATGTGTGTGAACAGATTCTTAGGGGAGAAAGCCCTCACTTTCCTCGAAATTCAAAGTTGTCCACACCCCCAAAAAGTGCAGCCTGGCTCTGGGCTTCTCTGCCCTGCAGCCAAGGTTTGTTGTCTGTTTGTTTTTGTGTAGATCTGATAATGACACTCCCTCCCGTTGACTGAAAGACTTCCCAGACCCTTGGTTTTCCCCCAGTACACCTACCAGCCTTGCATCTGCCACTCCCCAAACGCTCCCACTGCCCGAGAACAGCTGGCGTTTTTGTGTCTGCTCCATTGCACAGTCTCTTTTCTTTGCCTGAATTGTCTCCGCTGGCTGGCCAGTATGGCAAGTCCTGCTCTCAACCAATGGCTCACCTAACAGGGAAGCTCACTGTGAGTCTTCCCATCTTCTTCAGGGCTTGCATACTCTCTAATTGCCAATTTTATTTTACCATCAATTATATGGCTATAATGTCTTGATTACACTCAGTGTTAGTCTGGGTGCTCCAGAGAAGCACATAGATACACTCTCTCTACACACACACACACATACACACACACACGCATGCACACACATGGACATAGAGCTGGGAATTGGCTCACAAATTACAGACCCGAAAGGGCTGTCATCACGCTGGAAGCTCGGTAAGAGCTGACGCTGCAGTATCAAGTCTCAACTCCACCCGCTGGCAGGCAGGGGAGCCAGGCGGGCTTCCTGTGCTGCAGTCTTGACGTGGAATTTCTTCTTCTCAAGGAAACCTCAGTCTTCCCTCTTAAGACCTTCAACTGGTTGGATGAGACCCACCTACATGATGGAGACAATCTGCTTTACCTCCAGTCAATTGAGGTAAATGAGAATCACATCTACAAAGACCTTCCATAGCAACCTCCAGTCTGGTGTTTGACCAAGCAACTGAGAACCACAGCCAAGCCAAGTCGACATACAAAACTAGACATCACACTCTCCTTCCCCATGAAGACCAAGAGCACCACAATGCCCTGAGTAGGCACTGAGCACTGTGCCTCCGTAACATGTAACATACTTTCCAGCGCACAATCAATGTCTGTTATGTGAATTATTGAAAGTGACAGATTCAGGCACTGACTAACTCCATCACTAATATTTTAAAAGTACAAACAAGAGTTTTCCCAGTTTGTTAGCATGTGTGTGTGTGTGTGCATGTGTGTACCTAATTTATCAGTTTCCTAAAGCCCTTTTGAAACTTCTGTGCATTGGGACCTTATACTCCACAATGGCCAACGACAAATGCTTCCAAGTCCCCTTCCTCTAAGTCTCTGAAGTCACGAAGCTGTGCACAATGTCACTATTTAGAGAGCGACAAAGTGCAACTAAAAGCAATTAAGTGATTTGGGGAAAACTGTAGAGTGTATCAACAGCAAATATGAGGGCAGTGACCACGGGCCCCCAAAGCAGCTGTCAGCAAACCAGGCTGCTCTTTGGCCGTGATTTAAAGCCCCTGTTTAGACTGCTATCCACATCCATCTCAGGAAATAAATGGCCACAGTGCAGACTCCAATATCTAATCCAGATGGAAGTGTTCATCCTCCTTCAGAAAGTTTAAATCACCTCACAACGTGAGGTTTAACGTTCTTATCAACGTCAGGAAATATCTCCAACAAGGCTGTACGATGGATGAATGTGGAAGACTGTAACCAAAAACAAACAAACATATGAACAAATAAAACCAATTATGTCTATCAATATACCATAATAACCAACACACATAGTTATACAAAGAGACTTTGCTTGGCCCCTCAAAAATCAAAATGTCTCGTAATTATTTTATGTTGGCGTTTTGTGTCTCATATCATCCACACAAGCTAGTTCAATTCGTAGTTTTGATACCTCACTTTGTGAGGATAACAGCAACAAAATCTCTCATTCTGACGCGTATTTTTGAACGGAAGTATCTGGCCAGGTGCAGTGGTTCACACGCCTGTAATCCCAGCACTTTGGCAGGTCAACGCAGAAGGATCACTTGAGCTCAGGAGTTTGAGACCAGCCTGGGCAACATGGCAAAACCCCGACTCTATAAAAAAATACAAAAATTTATCTGGGCATGCTGGTGTGCACCTGTAGTCTGAGCAACTCAGGAGGCTGAGGTGAGATAATTGCTTGAGCCTGGGAGGCCGAGGTTTCAGTGATCTGAGATTGCACCACTGGACTCCAGCCTGGGTGACAGAGTGAGACCCTGTCTCAGAAAAAAAAAAAAAAAAAAGACAGAAAGAAGGAAAGAATGTATCGAGTTCTAATTCAAGGGCTAATCTTTTGAATTATAATTTATTTTAAATAGATATAATTTTTAAAATAAGTTTTTGTTGCTTCTATATTAACTTATTACCAAATTTCATAAAGGTGTATCAATGGCTGATTTGCTCTTATTCCTTAATTTATGAGACATCGGTCTAAATAAGTATTTGCGAAAAAGATAAAGGCAGCACAAGAATAGTTATGCATAGAACTGTTTGAAACACTGAGTCATGTGACTGGCACCTGCATTCTTGAGCATGTCACCAAGACCATTCTTCAAGGCACCATAGAAACTTCTCTTCTGCCTCTCCGTCTCCACCAACGCATTTTCTGCCATGTCAGGTTTTCACTTCTTTACTCCTCCAGAATAACTTACTCAACACAGTGCAGCTGCTCATGTAAGAATAAGAAAGCCCAATGGGAATATCTTAGAAAAGGAAGATGCATATGGGTGTTCCCTCCATCTTCTTGGCACCCACTGGGTGTCCAAAGGAAGGTTGGCAGGTGTCCCTTTTTTTTTTTTTTTTTTTTTTTTTTTGAGACGGAGTCTTGCTCTGTCGCCCAGGCTGGAGTGCAGTGGCGCGATCTCCGCTCACTGCAAGCTCCGCCTCCCGGGTTCACGCCATTCTCCTGCCTCAGCCTCCCGAGTAGCTGGGATTACAGGCGCCCACCACTACGCCCGGCTAATTTTTTGTATTTTTAGTAGAGACGGGGTTTCACCGTGTTAGCCAGGATAGTCTCGATCTCCTGCCCTTGTGATCTGCCCGCCTCGGCCTCCCAAAGTCCTGGGATTACAGGCGTGAGCCACCGCGCCCGGCCGGCAGGTGTCCTTTTAAACAGAAATTGTCTCTTCCACAGCTGAGGTTTTACTCAATGGCTTTCTGTCACACCTGTCGACAAGGTCCATCCTCCCTCCTAGGGGCAGCCCCCATGCACATGAGGGGCCTCCATCACGGGCACAGTTCACATGGTTTCCCACCAACTCGGGCTGCCTCCCCTCATCCCTTCACTCTGCCTGATAAATACAGTCTCCTGAATGAGTGTGTGTTCTACCTACCTACAATTTGTTCTCCGAAACTACCATTTTTAAATTTGTGTCTATTTCAATAGAACTATTTCTAAAGGTTTTGCCATACATACTGTCTTTGTCTGTAGCATAAGCTAAGGGTGATTTGTCACTTTCCCAGGGACCTGGGTGTGGCTGAGACACTGTCTCCTGGATTTTGCCCTGCAGAGTTGACACCTGAATTAAAGGAGCACCATTTATTTGTTTCACTGGTGTCCTTTGTCCGCGTTCCTCTGTCTTACGTTGCTTCTCTGAATCACGCATCCTTTCATTGCGTCCTCTTCTTCTGCTATTTTTAGTCTGTTCTTGCTCTACATGTAGATAATCCAGAGTTTCCGAAATAAACAGGACACCAACTTGCCAAATCACTGGCCTTGCTCTTGTAGTGGTAGATCTATGGAAAACGACTGAACGTCCCCACCAAAAGTGCCCTCGGTGGTGCTGGGAGCTCTCTCCCCGCGGCTCAGAAGCCAAACTGCTCGTGGTGCATGGGTGGTCGTGACACCCAGCGGGCTGATTTGTTGATAAGCGGCACCCTCTGTCCATTGTGACGCTTCAACATTTCATAAACAAAAAAGTCACGTGAAGAATCAGGACACGTTTTTCTTCAAACTCAGGAGCAGGAGGTGCTTTATTAGCAAAACATCAGGGAGAAAGTCTCAGTGATTGTTGCCCCATCTGCTACCAGTGGCTGGGTCCTTGTTGCTGAGTGGCAGGAACTATTTTTACCCCTTGGTCACAGGCCTTCCTTCTATAGAATGGCACTCAAAAAACGGAGAAGCACAATATGGGATGCGGCTCTGCCCCTTTTCTTACCAAGACACGCTTGCTGTCTTGCGTTCAGACTGCCTGGACCTTGGGAGCCACATTTAAGAAAGTCCTTGAGTCAAAAGGGCAAGGAGTCCTCCCTGGGGGCTCTTGCCTGATAAATCCAGGGTTGCAGCCCCTTTCCGGCTCCGCTCCAAATTCAGCACCAGATCCAGCTCTCAGAGCCACCAAGTCTGGGGCCAGGCTGGTTGTGTGTCTTGCAAGTCAGCAAGAAGGTAAGGTTCATGCTGAGCTGATGGAATCAGTCTCTCCCAGCCCTGCAGGGCATACGCCCTGCGCCACCCAGCACTGCAGAGAGGGCAGGCAGGGTGATCCCTGCACTGTTGACATTCGCAGAACCCAACTCCAGTCCCTGTTGTTCTGAAAGTTTTCTATTTGAGAGTCTTAATGCATATTTACACATATGTTTAAAATATTAATATTTAAAATGTAATTAAAAGATTTAAACCCATTTTAATACCTAAGGGAGACAAACACGATGCCTGTCTGAGGCATTCACATCCTTAGGAGAATTGTTAGTCGGCATAATTCATTAATATTGAGGAGTAATCCTGATGTGCCTCATTTGGTTCTGGGAAGATCAAATGGGGTGATCTGAGAAGTGCCAGGAGGCGGTGGTGGCACAGTGCACCGCTAGTGCGTTCAGCCCTAGAGCTGGGGACAGCGGCAGGAAAGCCTGTGACAGCAGGACCTGGCTGAGAAACCCCCGGAGATGAGGCCTGAAGTCTGATGGCAGCAGAAGCAGCAGGGGCTGGTTGAGGGTGGAGTCTCACCTTCTCTTTGTCCCAAGGCAAGGTCTCCTCCAGGACACCATTTATCAACTTCAGCCCTACTGACATCTGGGGTCAGGAAACTTTTTTGTTGGGGGCTGCCCTGTGCTTTGTTGGGCACTTAACAGCACCCCTGGCCTCTCCCCACTAGCTGGCACGCTTCCCTCCCCGGGTGTTAGGACCGACACTGTGTCCGGGCATTGTCAAATGTCACAGGCGGCAGAGTCATTCCCAGCTGAAGGCCACTGATGTAGGAGGACGTGGGTCCCATGATCTGGCTTCGTCACTCATCTGTCCAGCTGGCTGGGGGGAGACGGGGCCTTTCTCGGGGAGTTTGGAGACAGCCGAGCTCTCCTGAGGGGCCCCCTAACAGCCTGATGCAGTTAGGCTAATGCAGTGAGGCACCACTGCTGAGCTCCGTGTTGAAAGTAGAACAGGTGCCCTTTGCCCATTTTGTTAAACTAAAGGACAGAAAACATTTGTCTAATTTTGCCTTTCTCACGTCTTTCTACCAGGAAATATTAAACTCACTCGCTCAATGCATCTTTGGACTGATTGTTACAGGATAGGAGCATTTCAGTGGCATGTTTCAAGGCAATCATCAGTCTCAGAAAAAGAATGTAGCCCATGTACATCTCTGAGCAGATTCAAAGTGTCCATAACTGAATCGATGTATTGTGTCATGGAGGGTAAGACATCCAAAAAATAATACCCAATCCAGATGTTGTTTGGTGAAGATGGAGAGGAATCCGTAACCAAAAGAACTCCCATTGTCAGGCCAGGAGCGGTGACTCAGCTTGTAATCCCAGCACTTTGGGAGGCCAAGGCGGGCAGATCACAAGGTCAGGTGTTCGAGACCATCCTGGTCAACATGTGGAAACCCCATCTCTACTAAAATTACAAAAATTAGCTGGCTATGGTGGCAGGCACCTGTAATCCCAGCTACTCAGGAGGGTGAGGCCGGAGAATCACTTGAACTCGGAAGGCAGATGTTCCAGTGAGCCAAGATCACACCACTGCATTCTAGCCTGGGCAACAGAGCTACATTCCATCTCAAAAAAAAAAAAAAAAAAAAAAAAAGAACTCCCATTGTGTCAAACCACTCCCATTGTCAAAACTCACCAGTGCAAAGCTGAGGACTGGGCTGGGCAACGTTCTACACACTGGCTTACTTAATTTACACCCCCAAATCCACACTATTAACAGTATTTTACCAATTTAACAGTACCATGGACAAAGAGATGTTTTGTGGAAATTAAAAAATTTTTAAAAATTAATAAGAAAATATAGAATGTACTAGAAAAGAACAAAAGATGTGAACTCAGAGTTCACAGAAAAGAAGCACAAAAATATCAGTAAGAATATAACTAAGAGGCTCTACTATACAATTTAGTTCATAATTAAATATTGCAGATCAAAATAACACATAGGTACCCACTTTTCCATTTGAAAACAGCAACAACAACAAAAAGAAACAAACAACAACAACAGCAACAAAACTTTTAAAACCCTATTGCCAACCACAGTCTAGAAATCCAGGCCCTGTCCTACATGACTGGGGGCATGTAAATTTCATAAGCTACCTGGGGAGAATTGGGTTAACAGCTAACAAAACTTAATTCTACCAACTTGCTGATGGTATAATTTTACTATCAGAAATGCTCCCTAAAGTCATCCAAAAGCAGTAAGTATGAGGAAATGCACAATGAAGTTTTAAAAAATCAGAACCGACTAAAATGGCCATTGAGGGGAGTTGCTGAATAAATTAAGGTGTGGGCCTGGAAGCCTGGGAGCCACGGGAAAGACAAGGACCCTGTGGGAGGCAGAGGAACAATCTCCCAATTATAGGTGATTAAACATTACCACATAGAGAAGTTTCTGCATGATTCCATTGACTTCATAGAAGACTCAGGTGCCTGCAGGAGGGATATGGATACATTGTTTCTTTGAAAAGAAATTGTTAAAGAGAGACTGTCTCTGGGTGAAGAGGGAGTTGGCAAGGAAGACTTTCATGATCTATTTTAATGATTGTGCAAATTTCTTTCTTTAATTTTTGAAATAAATTAATTAAAAAATGCAAATGAAACCAACTAAATAGCAAAAGGGAAAGACCGGCTCATTGATGGATGAAGAAAGCCTTACCCCAGTGTTTCCCAAAGTGGGTTCCACCGGGAACACTCATTGTTCAGGCAAGGAAAGATCCGGATTTAAAGCGTGTTGTGCATCTACCCCCAAGACCAGGGTCCTGCAGGAAAGAAATGACTTGCCTCTCTACGACCTAAGGTAAAGGATCCACTACTGCACACTCAAGGCTGCTGCTTCTTTTGTTTAAGGAAGAGGTGCTGCATTCCCTCTGACGATTGCTCCCAGCAGGTGTCCACAAGGCAGACTGGACTCAAGGACATGCAGGAAGATGGCTGCAGTGTCCAGTGTTATTCATCCACAAAATGCAGCAAGTGAAGTCGTGAGCAGAAAGCACGGGCCATCCAACCTACATGTGGGCGAACCGTGGTGACTACAGGGAAACAAATGCCTTTGCAAGAGCCAAAGCTCCCAAGTGGTCTAGTCCACAAGTGGGGATCTTGCAAGTCTGACCCTACAGCTGTGCTTTCTGTACTCAGGTCTGGCTGTTTCTCCATCATTTTAAACATGTTGCTTCCGTGAAGCACCAGTTTGTGGTTTTCATGAGACTACAGCAGCCTGCCACCCTCTTTGAGAACCAGGCCACTTCTGCTCCTCTATTTCAAAATTAACTTTAAATTACATATTGATTCCAGCCCTATGAAATTTAGCAAACAGTGCATTACATTTAAATAAATTATAATAATCAAGCTCCAGTGTTTGAATTAAAGCTTTTTTTGCATGATTTGACTGAATACTGTAAAAACCTCATTAATTTGTATGCCATTAATTTGTAATTTGTGATAAAGCAAAGGCAGGAGAATTGGAAAGAAAGGGGTGACCTGACTAAAGGGTTTTCTTTTTTTTCTTTCTTTCTTTCTTTTTTTTTTTCTTTTTTGCCCTGCAAATCTTTTTCATGAAAGTGCAAATCAGTACTGTAAACAAGGTTGCAGGGGGTCTTATTTAAAATACTTAAGAAAATAAACTTTTCAAATACCTTTTAGAAGCATCATTTACATGCATACAATTTATATGCTAATTACAAATAACTCTGGTCTATTCACTGGAGTAATTCCCTTGACAACATCTACTGGGCTTTTTGGGGTTTTTTGCTTTGTTTTGTTTTTTCGCCTGTGTTAAGTTACTATTGTACTTGAAATTTACAAAATGTGTGTCCACCAACACATTTTATTTAAATGATTTTGTTTAATTAATTTAAATCAGTAAAAATTTCGCTGCAGCTTCTAAGGGTCACTTTACTTTTTTTCTCTTGCTTTCTAATGTGATCCTAAAATGCTCAGGAATTTGCTGTTCTCTAAATCAGAGTTCCTAACAGAGGTGAGGAAACCAGCTTCAGGGTGGAGGCAGGGGGCCACAGACTCCAGTCATAGCCTGGAGCTGAAATTAGCTTTTATGAGAATTTTTTGAGTTTAGGTGTGTGTGTGTGTGTCTGTGCCTGTGGGTGTATATGTAGATATGCACATACACATATAGAAAAAACACAGCAAACTTGTAATCCTGGTGTTCGTTTTAAATTTCCAAATCATTTACTATCAGAGGTCACAATCCACAAACAAATCAAAGATTTTTTTCCCCCCAGTCCAGGGCCATCATGCTCCCTGTGCTGGAAAAATGGAATCCAATATTGAGGTCGTATCTGCAAAAACAAACAGGTTTTCCAACTATCCACAAAACAATAGGCATGTAGCTCTGCACTCCGTCCCCAGCCACCCTGCCCCCAAAGAGAGTGCTGAAAAGCCCCGTGTTCTGAAAACAAAAACATTTTGGAGTGGGAAGGTGGGAAAAGCAATGGAATCCATTTGATCCCTGGCTCGGCTGTGTAGCACAGCCCTGATGCACTGTCAACTGATAAGCTCAGCTTCTAATTTATTTACTTTACTAATTGGTTTACAAAATAAAATTAACATCAGCAACAAACACCCTCCTTCAAACCGTGTAAATTACATATTGCACCTCTCAGAATATAACTTTAGATAGTAATATAATTAAGCCTACAAATGCTCACAAGAGGAAGACTGGAATTCACAGAATTTAGCAAACGCCTTGGAATTTCAGTCTTACACAGCATCATTATTCTTATGTGAAATATAATTAATGAAGAAAATGCCTCAGATGTGTGGGCTAGGAAGGCAAATATAACCATCCTTTATTGTGCCTTCAAGGTTAGAATTATTATAGCACTTATGATTTTATTTTAATTACCCATAATGAGACTCCACACATGTGATATAGCCGACATGCTTTTGACAATAGAAGTTTTTGAAATGCCTCATTAAGTATTTTAGTATATATTTATGTGATTTTCACTCTGCCTCCCGGTTTTGGTGGCACCACAGCCCATGTAAAGGCATATGTACATATTTTAATAAAAAAATGCTACCATTAAAGATCATAAAATGATTACGATGAATAGATATTAAGATGTCACAGCTGTATAACCCTTTCTTTTTATGTACTCCCATGCTGAATTGTTTTATGACCTATCATAAACCTATTAAACTACTGGTAATAAAGTATTGTAATTAGTGATAAAACCGTGTTGCTTAGTGAGCCAAGACAGTCATCCTTACTTTGAATTTTATTGAAAGTAATCAAGACAAAACCTTCAGCAATGTCAAATACCAGTCTGAGAACAAGGTTGTGCTTTTACTGGGGACTGGTAACATTTAACCTTTCCTGGAGTTTTGACTCTAGCTTTATTTTGCTGGTGGTGGAGTTTTTTGGCTGTTTAGCTTGGTGCCGTTTTATTTTGTTTGTAAACAGGAGGTGCAAGAAAGCGCATTCCAAGGGGAAGGGACGCCGGCAAAGGAACCCCCTGAGCTGGGGACCATTGTCCCCGCTGCCTGGCGCTGGGGCACTGTGTGTCGCCCACGTGGGATGCAGCCATGACACAGCCGAGACTATGGCAGAGAGAAACCGCGCTGCCATGGATCTGGGGCCGAGCGAGGGAGGAAGGGGCTGAGAAAGGGCTGAACAAAACATGCGACCTTTTCGCCTCGCAAATCAAATTAACTGTTTCCTGGCCATCCTCGGCTGAAAGTGAACATTGTCACCAGAGGCACAAAGCCCCCTCGCGAATCCCCAGGGCACGGCCAGGCCCCGTCACCTGTGTCTGTTGCTTCCTGGAAGGCATTAGCTGTGCCCACACCCTCAGAAGATGCTTCTGGGTGGATGTGGTCTACTGAAAGAGGTCATTTTCAGCTCCCTGAATGTACATTTCCCATATCTTCATCTCAAAATTCTGGGGGCTGCAATTTTATCAGGGAATCAGAGCCCGGAATATGTCTTTGCAAAGCCTAAGAGCGGAAAGCGCCCTTTTGTGCCAGAGTGGAGAGCGCCCTGAAGCCCTAGGCCTGGACAGCAAACCAGGGCATCAACCAGTCCAGCGGCAGCCCCTGAGCTCACCGAAAATGGCCACGCAGGGGAAGCCGCGTGCGGCTGGGAGCTTCACTTAACTTCGAAAGTAAACTTAATGGAAGACCCCTTTAAGTGGCAAACAATGACCCAGCCCTCCATTGTGGGTCTCACAAACCCGAGATTATCTCAAAGAGGGAAGACCAGGTAGAGGGGCGTTTATTCCTCTTCTTTCCTTCTAACTGGACTTTGCAACCCACTGTGCTGGGCTTTTCACAGCCCTGAATTGAGCAATAGGGAAACTATAGTAACCAATAATCTGCTTCAGTTCAATGGAAACTATGTATCTTGGAGGATGACAAAGCCAGGGATAAACACACACACACACACACACACACACACACACACACACACACACCCCACCCTAAAGCCTGCTGTAGGACCACAGAGAGGCACAGCACAGCCAGGAGCTGGCCTGTGGTCTAACCAGCCTCACCACTGAGTCCTGCCCCAACCTGTGGAGCGCAAGGGGCCTGCATGCAAGGCCAGGGTCAAGGGTGGCTTCTGTGTGGAGCAGAGTTTCAAACGGAGATGCTGAGAAATAAACCCAATATTAAATGGAAGGGTTGAAATTGAATACAAGGGACTGGTTGAGTGTGGAGACAGACAAAAACATTTAATCACAAGTGCATTCAGGTCTCTCTTCAGACCCAGGAAGGGTTGGGATTAGAGCAGCAGAAATCTCTTTATATTATTTACACTATTTGTATTCTCCTGGCTATAATTCCACCTTATCACAAATACAATGTGTGCTTTCCCATTTGCACTACACCGGCATAAGGGGCGTATTAGTGTAGTCTCGAGGAAATTATAAAATGAAATTAAAACGTATCCCCAGCCCCTAAATGTCAGCATGGCTGTCTCATTCCCATCACTTGAGGTCTATATGGAATCAGGGGCACCAGAGGCTGATGACTTCAGCTAGCAAATCAGGAAGATGGCTCATCAATTTTATTTTTTATCTTAAACATATCCAGAGTTGTATGGCTACACACACAAGCTGTAGCAGTTGGTCAGGATTTAAGCTACTAGAAGAAAGTTAAGCTTCTGCGTCAACTGGCTGAGATACCAGCCATAAGCTGACAAGTAATTAAACCGGTATATCTATAACAACTGTCATCTCTTATTTCTGTGCAACTTGGATGTAAACCAAGAAAGCCAGAGAGAGAGAGAATGAGTGAACCTCCATCATCGAAGGCCACCGCCCTGCTGAACAGTTTAGTAGACTTGAGCATTTAGCGGTTTGACGCCCGGATCAAAAGGGTCAGCGCTCCCTTTACCAATTAACAGCAGGGAGAAGCACAGCAGCTAAGGTGTAAATTTCAACTCTGCAGTTTTGAGGAAGCCGAGCATAAAATGCACTCTCGCACTCTTGAGTGGCTGCTGCTCAATGGTGATGCCACCACTGCTGTCCCTAGAAGCTGAAAGGCAGGCGGTACCCTGCCCAGGGCCAGCAGGGCCTGGCCCCCTCCCCAGGTGGTCTTCTTGGGGTTGGTGCCTGCATTACCTGTGGTCTGAACAAAAACTCCCTTCTGCCCACACTCTCTCTCCACCAAGACACATGACAGATATTCTACAGAGATCTCTTTCCGTGTGGAGATATTTCACATTAATAGAGAGAGAAGAAGTGGCGCCGGTGGAGCTCTCAATGGTTCAAAATGATGGGAAAAGTTAAGTAGCAGCCAACCCACATTTCCAGGCTTGAGGCTCAATCTAATGGACGGTCTGAGCTCCTTTTTGTGCGGGGACTTCGTTTGTTTGATGCATTTGAAAACAATGTTATGGGGACTATTAGCTCAATTGAGATGGCTCCTCACTTTCCAAGATAAACAGGCAATTAGGTTCCTCTGCATTTTTGGTCCTGGGAGGATGAGAGACCTGGGTTAGGTCAGAAGCCCAGCTTTCAGGGGAGGGGGACTCAGGGTGACTCCCTATGCCATTATCTCCTGCTTGGCACCCCAGTGATTTGCAAAGGATTACTTGCCTGACACTGGATGCCACTATATAGCAACGAGAGAGTGAAAGGAAAAATACTGCAGAGCACTCTAAACCTCCAGACATTCCTGTTTGCAGTAAGATTTGAGATGTTTAAGTAAAAATTTTAAATGTTTAAGATGAGCTATTTACTCTCCCTCAAGACTATTATAATCCCCCAAAATATGGAAGAATGAGCAGGGCATTTGTTAGGGATCGAATTGCAAAAATATCTGATGTTTTTGCTTTTAAAACCTCTTAATACTTTCCCAGTCTTTTCTGTTCAAATGGAAGCTAAGCTTTGTTAATTTCCAAGTAGTTAAACTTGGAATTACTTGTCAATCTTGGAAACACGGACCCCCAATCCAAGGCCTATCACACATTCTGTTTATTTTTCTGCTAATGAAAAGTGTGACAAGCAAATAATTAAACTGAAAAGAGAGCATAAATTAGAGTCTACAGCTACAGAACAGATCGCCTTTTGAAGACTGCATTTTAAAAGATGTGCTTCGGGAGAACACTCACTCCAGTCATTTGAATTATCTGGCTTAAACTGTATGTGGTTCTTCTGTAAGATGGTTTATCCCATTTCATCAAATAGAATGTTTGATGTACCTCGGCATAACAAATTATTTGTGTTGGATTTATTTCAGCGAATTCCCCTTCTCCTTCTGGTTTCAAGAGAGTAAGCCCTGAGTTTCTAAACATTATGAAAACAACCAGATCTCAGAGACATTATATCCACAACAAAGGGAAATGAGTGACCAGCCCAGTTGCATTGTCTTTTGAACAACAAGTCAATGCAGACAGAAGTAAATGACAGTTAATTACAAATTACGTTCTGGTTGGGGCTGCGCGGGCCTCTCGCCCGGCGTAGCGCTCAGGCCCCGGGGCGCTCACCTGCCTGCCGAGGGCCTTGCGGAGACCTGGGTTGGGGTGCCGCACAGCCTTCAAAACAAGCTGCTAAACACAAAAGCTTATTGGATTACAGAGATTTAGGAAAAGACATTCAGATCTCTCCGGGCAACTGCAGAAGGAGGGTGGAGGGGGTGCTGGAGGACGGATCACTGCAACTTTTTGAATGCTGGTCTCTCTTTGCAGGGAAATTGGCCCCGTTGTTTGGCAGTGTTGGGAAACTGGTCCTACCATGGGCAAGCTCCCTTTAGGAAGCACAGCAGTGCTGGGGGCCCATTATAACTTGGCCACCTAACTGCTTTTCAAACAGGGAAAAGTAGACAGTGCTGATGCTATGTTAGATTCGTAATCACATGAATCATGAATTCGGTGATGCACTCAGACTGTTTATTTTTTATCGGGAGGATTGTCATCGCCATCAGCAGACATTTTGATTTACTAAGAATGTTTCACATTTTTAATTGGAACAGTAAATGAATTTATTACATTTTAAGTCAAATTTTAAGTTAATACATTTGCAAAAATAAGACAATGTCGAAAATAATTAATGTCATCATTGGTGCATTAAAAAGACCTTGGCTTTTGTAATTCACTAAAGCAATTTCTATTCATTTAGTTGAGCTAAATGCTTATTGTTAAAGACAAAAGATCCAACAGCTTGACATTGAGCTCATTATGTATGTTAGAAACACTCAGAAACCCAAGGCCACACTACACGCCACACAGCCAAAGACTTGGGGGCGGGGAGCGTTTCCAGGGATTAAAATGCAGACCACGCCATTCTCAATCACTTTCCATTTAGACCTGATTAAAACTTCAAAACGAAGCTTGTTGGAAACATTGGTAGAACAATTTTTGTTGTTGTCTTTAAGTGATGGGGTAATCAGTAAACTCTGGGGAAGTTTAATGGGTCTCTCTCTCTCCCTCTCTCTCTCTCTCTCTCTCTCTCTCTCTCTCTCTCTCTCTCTCTCTCTCTCTCTCGCTCCCTCTCTCTGATAGCTCTAACAGCCCAGATCTCACTCCTTACTCCCAGCTGACTTGCAAAAATATTTGAATTTTTAAAGAAAGCATTCAGAAGCACATGCTGAAAACTGTATCTTTTGGAAGTGCAGCGACGTGCAGAAAATAAACATTCCTCCTTCCCTTAGACAGCATTGATGATGCAGAATGACAGGGACTTACTAGTGTGATGTTGGCATCTCCAGCCCTAGGAGGTGGCTCTCCACTGCATTTTCCACACTATCCCTACACTCAGCCACGGCATAGGCTCCTGTTAACACAGCCATCACAAGAAGTTCCCTTTTGTATGTAGGGAATAAGACATCCTTATTGCACTCCACATTTGGGGGGGGATCAATTACCCTGCCCTCTCCCTGACAGTGTCATAGGTGAGACAAACACTGTAGTTTGCACATGAGTCTCAACACGATAAAAGTTAGATTCAATCCTGCTGAGATAACTTCAATGCTTTCCCCTGCTGCTCATTCTAAAAGAATGCCTGGCTGTTTTGATCACCGAACAAAACAAATGAAGCAATTTTCAAGATACCGTCCAGAATGAGTGTGTGAGCATATTTAAGGTTTCATAAATACCTCCAAAAGGCTACACTCTAAAAGTTTTACCTCCACGCTTCAAAATTTGAAAGGCTGCCTTTTAGAAGTGTTGGTGTTTTCCAATAAAATGCACAGATAGTATATTTCCAGTCTAAAGGACTGAAATTAATTTATGGAGTGATAGGAGTCTTCTGCCTCCTGGATGTGCGATCAGAGTGAGACATCTCAAATCCTGCTGAAAGGACACCTGTAAGAGCTCTTTCCCTAAAATTAGGTAGAAAAATATCTGCCTTCTCCGTGCTTAGGGGAGTGGCCTTCTTATCGGCGGTGGAGTGAAGCTGACTGTAATGACAGTGACAGGCGAGATCCATCGTGTCATCGGCACTGTGAGGGATGGGGCCCAGTCCCGCCCGCCTGCGGATGCTAGTGGAACCCCCAGCCAGGAGGCAGGGAGTACTTAACCCTGCAAGCCCCGGGTTCCCGCTGTGCGTCACCAGGCCTCTGTCTTGTGTGGGAAGCCTACAGGATGACAGCAAATCTATACGGGCCGCGCAATCTGCCCTCGCGACAAGCTCGCGCCAGGCCGCCTTATAACACGATTAAATGGTATCATAAGGGCAGGGCATGCCTTGTGGAGCCATCACAAGAGTTTTGGGGAGACTGTGGCTGCCGTAGGTGCGGGCAGTGCAGGGGGAAGCAGGGAGCACCGTGGACCGGACCAGAGGACTTCTCCGGGGCAGTGACCCCCCACCAGAAGCCTCTAGTTTCCTATGCCAGGGCGATGGCTTTCAGGCTGTCTGCAGTCGGGACAGATTATGTTTGCCCCTATACTGCAAGTTCACTTTGATATGCCTGTGAACATATATGAGATATATATGTGATTATATATATATGAACATGAGGACCAATTTTGAAGATGTCTTCATACATCCTTAGTAGACAAATCGGTGAGATGCAGTAGGGTTGGGAAATGCTATTGAATGCTATGTAGCATGTTTTTCCCGTCCTGGAGAAAAACCTAAATTATGTAAATGGCAGAGATAATAATATGGTAGATGGCATTTTAGGATGCAATCTTGAACTCCTAAGATGTCAAGTGTCTGATTGTGATCTCGGTGCACACACATGTAAAGTGGCATTTCTCCCGCTATTGTGCACTCATATTTCTAGGAGGACTGTTACATTTACAACATGAAATTTAAAAGTTAAAAAAAAAAAGAATGTAAGAGCTTCACGTAAGGCTTTTTCTAGATTGTGTTTTTGTAGTATTTCTGCCTTCTCTTTTGTTAAGTCACAACAAGCTTTTCTTGGGTTAAAAAGAGAGGAAAAAAGCCAATTGAATAGTAATATGGTTCTTTCATGTATATGCAAGAAAAAGATCTTTTCACACCTTGATGAAATTAGCATAAATTTAAATACTAATGAATTGCCAGTGACTGGTTAAGAATACCAAGGACCACAGTCACACAAAGTTAGACATCCCTAGGAAACAGCTCTGATTCTAGGGGTATGTGGCCTGATCCGGGCATGATTTTTCCACACACACAGTCCTAGACAGGTCAGGATGGCAGGGGAATCGTTAACTCTTCATCAGGGAAAAGTTTCCTCAAAATGGAAAAATTGAGACTGAGTGATAGTTAAAAAGCTCCAGGCCTGGGAGTCCGAGACGGGTGGATCACGAGGTCAGGAGATCGAGACCATCCTGGCTAACACGGTGAAACCCCGTCTCTACTAAAAATACAAAAAATTAGCTGGGCATGGTGGTGGGCGCCTGTAGTCCCAGCTACTCGGGAGGCTGAGGCAGGAGAATGGCGTGAACCAGGAAGGCGGAGCTTGCAGTGAGCCCAGATAGCGCCACTGCACTCCAGCCTGGGCGACAGAGCCAGACTCCGTCTCAAAAAAAAAAAAAAAAAAAAAAGCTTTGGGCCTTGAGTAGCTGGCCCTTGCAAGGGGATTGCTAGAGACATTTTGGTGGCTGCCACGTTGTTTTGTGGTGGGTTTGTTTGGTACAGGACTGGGCTGAGGAATTATTTGCATGGGTATCTCAGAGCAGCATGGAAGGTTACTCTAAAGCTCTGAAGACACTTCTGCAAGGTAGTATCCAATATGACAGAGACCAGCCAGAAAATATGAATTGTGTGCCTTGATGCTTGGCGTCAAATCAAGTTTAGGCTAAAGCTGCCTCCTTATGAATTTTAAGTTCAGCCTAAAGGGTTCTCTGCACATAGTGAACGGCAGCTTATGTGGAGGTGGAAACAGACTAACCTCCTGCTCTTCGGCCAATCACAGAGTTTTGGCCAATCAAAGGGCGCTGACTGGTCAAACTGTGTTCCAATAAGGCAAACGCCGGGCTACAACCTCTCTGGCTGTTTCTGTACCTCACTTCCGTGTTCTGTCTATACATCTTCCACCACGTGGCCGCGCTGGACTCTGAGTCTACTCAGGCTCGGAGGCTGCCGGATCAGTGAATCGTTATTTGCTCAATTAAACTCTGTTAAATTTAATTTGTCTGAGGTTTTCTTTTAACATTGTGTTTAGGGAGGGGGACACTCGCAAAGTGCTCCTGGGATCCCATCTGCCCCACACACGTGGCAGCACCAGCGGCCTTGTGTGGGTGCAGTTCCCCCTTTGCTTCAATACTGAGTGCTCTTAGGCAAACCTAAAGGAGGAATCCTATTTTTTTTTCTTTTTGAGGCGAAGTTTCACTCTTGTCCCCCAGGCTGGAGCTCAATGGCGCAACTTCGGCTCAGTGAAACCTCTGCCTCCAGGGTTCAAGCAATACTCCCGCCTCAGCCTCCCGAGTAGCTGGGATTATAGGCACCTGCCACCATGCCTGGCTAATTTTTGTATTTTTAGTAGAGACAGGGTTTTACCATTTTGGCCAGGCTGGTCTCAAACTCCTGGGCCTCAGGTGATCCACCGGCCTCAGCCTCCCAAAGTGCTGAGATTCCAGGTGTGAGCCACCGTGCCCACCCCCTATTTGTTTTAAATGTTCAGCTATCATATGGTATTGGGAATAATTTCACGTTCTTTCAGGTAAAGGTTGTATATTGATACACAATCACATCATCAGTCCTGCCGTTGTGATCTAAGGTCTCAACATGGAGTCTTGATTCCACAGGGAGTTGCAGCAGGGCCTGGATGGTTTCCCTGTCTCCATGTCTCCGTCAACACACATCTTGCTCGACACCCTTGAGACACTCTTCCAGGAGCTTTCCCCTTGCTCTGCATCCTGACCGGCATTATCCTGCCCTCCAAAGTCACTACTTACTGTTCCTGTTTTTAAGTTTAATAGTTTTAAAAAATTCCAAAATATTTGAAAATATAATTCTAGGAAAAATATTTAAAATGTCACAATTGGCAAGAAGAAAAACTACATCAAACCACAAAAAATAAATACTTCTTTTTTTTTTTTTTTTGAGACGGAGTCTCGCTGTCACCCAGGCTGGAGTGCAATGGCGCAATCTCGGCTCACTGCAAGCTCCGCTTCCCGGGTTCACGCCATTCTCCTGCCTCAGCCTCCCGAGTAGCTGGGACTACAGGCACCCGCCACCTCGCCCGGCTAATTTTTTGTATTTTTAGTAGAGATGGGGTTTCACCGTGTTAGCCAGGATGGTCTCGATCTCCTGACCTCGTGATCCGCCCGCCTCAGCCTCCCAAAGTGCTGGGATTACAGGCGTGAGCCACCGCGCCAGGCCAAAAAATAAATACTTCTTAAAAATGTGAGTAATTGACATTAAGTAATATTATGGTTATTTTCCAATTTTTTTTTAATAAATTATTTTCAGGCTGGGTGTGGTGGTTCATGCCTGTAATCCCAGCACCTTGGGAGGCGGAGGCAGGCAGATCACGAGATCAGGAGTTCAAGACCAGCCTGGCCAACATGGTGAAACCCCATCTCTACTAAAAATACAAAAATTAGCCAGGCGAGGAGGTGGACGCCTGTAATCCTGGCTACTCGGGAGGCTGAGGCTCGAGAATTGCTGGAACCCAGGAGGTGGAGGTTGCAGTGAGCCACGATTGTGCCACTGTACTGTGGCCCAGGCAACAGAGAGTGACTCAGTCTCAAAAATATATAATACAAATAAACAAAATAAAAATAAACAAATAAACATTTTCAGGCTGAGTGCAGTGGCTGACATCTGTAATCCCAGCACTTTGGGAGGCCGAGGTGGGCAGATCACCTGAGCTCAGGAGTTTGAGACCAGCCTAGGCAACATGGCAAAACCCCATCTCTACAAAAAATGCAAAAATTAGCCAGGCGTGGTGGCACGTGCTTGTAGTCCCAGCCACTCGGGAGGCTAAGGCACAAGGACCACTTGAATCTGGGAGCCGAGATTCTACCACTGCACTCCAGCCCGTCCAGCCCGGGTGATAGAGTGAGACCCTGTCTCAAAAAAAAAAAAAAAAAAAAAAGTAAAAAATGTAAAAATTAATTATTTTCTATGGTTTGCAGTATTTTTTCACATCAGTTCCTTAAAATTCATACAACACCTCCAATACAACCTCAGAAACATGTACAAAGTTATTATTTAAAAAAGCAAAAGAGAACAAAATACTTTCTGCCATGGCTAAAAGCTTGGATAAATCATAATTTTTTTTTTTTTTTTTTTTTTTTGTGAGGGAGTCTTGCTCTGTCACCCAGGCTGGAGTGCAGTGGCGCGATCTCAGCTCACTGCAAGCTCCACCTCTCAGGTTCACGCCATTCTCCTGCCTCGGCCTCAAAACATTCGCCTTAGTAGAAATACGCCTGGCGGAGCCTTCAGCAGTGCTCAGTTTACATGCCCCTGAGGGGCGCCTCTCAAGCATCAGGTGCTTGAATCAGATTCCAGCCAGAAGAAACAGCATTGATTTAGGGTTGAGGCCTCAGGCGAGAACCTAAAGTTCCTGTTTCTTGGGTTGTCCATTCAACAGAAATGCAGAGCCATCATTACCTAGGGTTGACATTACCACCAAGCAGTTCCAGAGCTGGATCTGTGCCCTGGTCCAGAAGGGGAGCCAGGCCACCATGCCGTGAGTCCAGGACAGGCTGGCCAGAGCAGAGGTGGGACTCAGGGACACACGGGGAAGTCCACTGCTTGTTCCCCTACAGGAGCACCTTAGTTACAGTCAGTGTTGGAGGGGAAAAGCCCACAGAACAAGTAGATCCTGAAAATCCACTAATCACTTGGAATGAAATGGACAGGCGCAAGGTAAGGCTTCCAGAGACAGCAGGGGATGGGGACCCCTATGTTACTGTCAAAAAGTTTGTTTAGGAAAAAGGAACCGGAAGTTTTTCTACAGACCACGGACCTGAGGAAACCCTGTACCCACCTCACCCACCACGCACCCCAGACCTGGTTTAGAGGGCTCTAAGCACTACTGAGAGGCCCCACTTCCAACAATGCCCGCCCGGGACTTCCAAGCTGAAAATGGCCTTCCTCAGGGGATGGGGGTGGGTGGGGAGAGTGTCCAACACTGACGGATGGAAGGAGTGAGGGAGATCTCTGCCACTGAAAGACTGAAGAATCAACCACAGGCCGGGCTCACACTTGTAATTCCAACACTTTGGGAGGCCAAGGCAGGAGGATCACTTGAGCACAGGAGTTTGAGACCAGCCTGGGCAACATAGTGAGAGCCGGTCTCTAGAAAAAATTTTTAAAATTAGCCTGGTGTGGTGGTGCACACCTGTGGTCGCAGCTAGTTAGGTGGCTGAGGCAGGAGGATAGCCTGAGCCCAGGAGGTCCAGGCTGCAGTGAGCTATGATTGGGCCACTGCACTCCAGCCTAGGCAACAGAGCAAGACCCTGTCTCAAAGAAAAAAAAAAATGAAATAAGAGTAATGATAATGTTAACAGTGCAAGGGCCGGGTGCAGTGGCTCATGCCTGTGGTCCCAGCACTTCGGGAGGCCAAGGTGGGTGGATCACTTAAGGTCAGGAGTTTGAGACTGGCCTGGCCTGCATGGTGATACACCGTCTCTACTAAAAATACAAAAATCAGCCAGGCGTGGTGGCACGCATCTGTAGTCCCAGCTACTCAGGAGGCTGAGGCAGGAGAATCACTTGAACCTGGGAAGCGGAGGCTGCAGTGAGCCGAGATCATGCCATGGCACTCCAGCCTGGACAAAAAGAGCTAGATTCCATGTCAAAAACAAAAACAAAAACAAAAGCAAAACAAAACAAAACAAAACAAAAAACAAAAACAAAAACAGTGCAAGTAATAGCCTGCACTGCCGTTTATCAAACACCTGTGGAGCAGCAGGTCTTGTGCTCTGCATTTTATATGCATTGGGTCATTTAAGATTCACCTTGCAGGCAAGGTGAGTCTGCAAGGACTCAGCCCTTGATGATTTCTCTTAACCAACAGTCAAGGAGGAATCGCCCAGTGCCAGGCACTGCAGGGTCCTTCTGGCACATGCCAGCTTCTTGTAGGAACAGGCTGGCACAATGTTAATCAGGCAAAAAGGAGAGCAAATGGTTAGGGGGAAACAAATGTTGACAGCGTCGTCTGGTCTGGAGGAGTGTCAGGCGGGTTGGTGAAGGCACTGCCACTTCCCCTTGGGCGGGATGTCCTAGCACAGAAAGCCTGCCCTGGAGACTAGGCTGGCAGGATACTGAGGGCACTGAGAGCCCTTCTAGACCGAAGCCAGGGTTCCGCCAGGATCACGGCTGTTCCCCAGGTGAGGAGACCCATGAGGAGGACATCCGAGTCCTGCCCTCTGACCTCAATCCGTAACACACACTGGGGGCAGGAGCCGGGATGAGGAGCTCTCATCATTTTACCCAATCTTACAATTCTGATTAACATGCTTTCCTGAAAGACTTGGTTTTGTTCTCCAAAGTGTGGAGGTCCCATGTCTGACAGACCTCCTGGGAGTGCTTGGAGGAATACTGGGCAAGTTCGACAGAGTGAGAAAAGGTGGACGCGCTCTGTGAAGTCATCCCATCAATCCCGTCAGTGCCACTGAAGACCCTGAAGGAGGATTTTCCCTTGGACTAGTGTGGAAGGCAGTGCTGCGTGCTGGCCCCAAGCTGGGTTCCACTTTCGCCTATGCCCGCTGATCTTGAAAAACATTCTGGGCTTTGCTGGCCCGAGGTATTCACTCTCTAAACTAACATGGTTGGGTGAGAGCTGCTCCCACGTTGCTTGTAGCGTCTGTGCTGTGACTTGCATGCTCTTCCAATTATGGAGAAAGAAAACTCTACCAGAAACCAAACCATTTTATTCTGGTGTTTGGGTGACAATGCCTGAGTCAGCGGTTGGAAGCGTCCCCTCTGTGTATGGGTGTGGCTAATGTCCAGCTTTTCCCAGACAGGCTGTCTCTGCAGTTGGAGCCTTTCCTCCATGTGACCCCCAGATTCACCATGGAGGTCTGGAAGAATTCTCCCCCCTTCCTGACTTCGGCCATCACACTAGCCACTTCCATGTGGCTCCTGGATTGTGTTCCCACCTGAGCACAAGACACGGGCTCCTATAAATCAGCTATACCCTCAGTGAACTGAGGTTCTAAGCACCGCAGGTGGCCCTTGCATCTGACCTGTGAACATCACCTTTGATAGAAAATGCCTATAAGTACCTCCCTGGCAGAGCCACAAACAGGCTCCATGAAGCAAATGTGGGTAACACTTGGCAGTAGGTAGATGTGATACTGATGAGCAAAATCTCCCCCGAAGAGAGCAGGTTCTTCAGGCTGCTGTTCTGAGGCCATCCTGGAAAGCCCTCTTGCAGACATCGTGTACTCCTCCCATGAGGATTTTACCTTGCAGAATTTTCCCGTTACCCCTCAAAATCATTAGTAGCAAAATTTCACCAAAACATATAGCTTCTTTGAGTATCAAGTTCCATCACTCATGATTTAAAGATTGGAAAACTGAGATGTAGAAGAGATGAGAGCCACCAAGGGTCATCAGGAAACTCAGCCCAAGCTTAGACAACCTCACTGTTTCTTGTGTTCTTCAGCGTCCCTGCCATTTGCTCATTATTCAGAATGCACACATCGAGGATGGCTACGTGCTGGCCCCTGGGGAGGTGACCCTGAGCCAGGCCTGACCTGGGAAAGACACAAATGATCCCTGAGCTCTGGGAGCTCCTGCAGTAGAGGAAGACAGCTGCAAAAAAACAAACAAACAAACAAACAAAAACCACAACCTGGAATAGATATAAAATAATTCTGTTTGATTAAATAAGCTAAGCAAATACAGTGTGGCTGTGGGAGGAACAGGAAGAGTGTTTCTCTGTAAGGAGGCCATGGAGGTGATGTCTGAGTTTGGGAGAAGAGTTTTGCAACCAGTGCAAAGGTCCTGGGGTGGGAATGAGCTCATCAGAGCTGCACAAGGAGCAGTGTGGGTAGGGCAGAGACGGGTGGGATGGGGGAGGGCCAGACGTGAAGGACCTTCCAGGCTGAAGTGACATTTGGGTTCTAAGTCCCATGGGGAGCTGCTAGCAAGCATTTTGGTGCTTATGGGGGACATGCTGTGGTTTATATTTTTAGAAGGCCCCTCAGACTGCCGTGTGGCATGGCTTATGGGCCTGGGAGGAGGAGCAGAGAGCTGCAAACCTCCAGCATAAAGGTGGGGGTGGATTGAGGGAGTAGCATCAACAAAGATCATGGAAGGACTTAGATTCTAGACCTTCTGGAAAGAGGTTCCAGGGGCTCCCCAAAGTGGATTGGATGGGACCGGGCAGGTTGTGAAGAAAAGTGAGTGGAGGCTGACTCCTAAATTTTGGACCTAAGCAGACTGTTTGGGTCCTGGTTCTTCTGAGGAGTGAATTCTGTAAATTAATCATATTGATAATCAAATTAATCATGTTGATAGATGGGATGAAGAAAACCTCAGAGGGAGAGACTCCTTCTTAGTTTCAGTTACAGGGGAGGAAAATGCATGCATGCTGAGAGGCAGCATGAGAACTGTAGCTTCTGCAAAGCTAGGATAAAATGGGACCAGGACCACAGCTGAGCTTCCAGCCATCCCCAAACCATGCATGCACCCTGTGTGTCTCCTGGCTGCAGTGAGGACAGGTGGGGTCTTTGGCCTGCAGTTACATTTTGGAGAATCTGTATCAGCAATGGAAAGACGAACACGGTTGGGAACTGTTTCTTTGCACCTGCTCTGTGGACCAAGTCCCATGTGATTCTTGTACGTTGGCTGTGCCTGGTTGTAAAGTCACAGGCCTCTCCGAAGGCTGTGAGAGGGGAAGCAAACGCCTGGGGCCTTAGGAAGCCAAGAGAAACCCTCAAGAGTATGGCGTCATCAGAACCGGTGAGAAATCCAGTGTCAAAGCCTCACCCTGCCTTCCAAACTCAACCTCAGATGCACAGAAGTTTTCACCTCAACTGCATATGCAGCAAGAAGGTGGCTCAGGTGGCTGAAACCCTGAAGAGGGCAGGAATGTGCAGAAGGCTGCTCAGCAACATCAAATCTGGTGACACGCCACTGAGAATGTTCGGCTCTAAACACTGAGCATCCTCTCTCTTCTGCTCTGGCCACAGACACTGTTTCCATCCTGCAGGGCCAGCAGCCAAGGGAAGAGGCCAAGTCAGAGGGAAGAGGACCCAGTATTGGCCTAGAGGCAGTGAGTTGGGGGTGGGGGGCTGTCGGCAGTTGGAGAAAAGAAACTGCATGTTGAACACTGTGCTTACTGCAAGAGATCTGTGCTCAGGGGACCACAGATGCCGTGGCGGAGCTGGCCTCAGACGCCAGAAGACCCAGGCACCTGCCGCAGAGACTCTGAGACAGGAGGGGCCGTGTATGAATCTGTTGTTCCAAGCTGGCTTTTTGAGGCTGCATTCCGGAGGCCCCCTGGCTCTGGGTGGAACTGTGGGTGGGGGAATATCCCATGCACGGAGTCAGGTTGCAGGAGCGCTTGGCATTCACAGAGCGCCCGCGGTGAGAGCTGGGGCAAATTTTCAGCACAAGAGTCCTGGCCAAGGATTGATGTAAATAGGGCATTCTTCTTCTTGTTGTTGAGAGAGCTGTTTTCACATGGAGGTGAAGCACTCAGTTGTTTAAATGAGGAGCTGGTTCATCAGTCAAAAAGCAGTTCCTCATAGGGGCACATGGGGGTGATAAAAATCAGTGACAAGGATAGTGAATTGCCTGGGAGGGTTCAAGACAAATTCGAGATAAAGGAGGGAGAGATGAAGTCAAGACAGCCTGACTGCCTTGGCTGAGCTCCGCTGCGGTGCGGACCATGGCTGGCCTATTCATGTCCAGGGCCCAGGGCCAACCTTCTGTCACCTCTGTTGTCCTATGTCAAACTTTCCGGAAACAAGGCCCAAGAAAGCAGATAATCAATAATGAGATCAGGAGATGTTATCAGAAGAAAAACAGGGCCCCCTGCTTTGTTTGTGGGAGGTTGTTTTGCCCAGGCTGCTTGTCAGTGAGTGAGTGGGGCGCGCAGAGCATGATGGAGTGGGCAGAGATGAGGCTGGGAGGGGAGTGAGGGGAGGGGAGAGGAAGGGGGGGGAGGGGAGAGGGGACAAGAGCAGGGGAAAGGAGGGGAGGGGAGGGGAGAGGAAGGGAAGAAAGGAGGGGAGGGGAGGGGGGAGAGGAAGGGAGAGGAGATGAGGGGAGCGGAGGGGAGAGGAGGGGAGGAGAAGCAAGAGAAAGCAGAGGGAAGGGTAAGGGAGGGGAGGGAGAGCAGAGGGAGAGGGGAGGGGCTGGGGAGCCAGTCACACAGAGTCAAGGGGAAAATGCAGCCCTGTGGCCCCCTCACCTTCCCCTTCCATCCCAGGGGCACCTCGAGCCACTTCTCTGAGTGGCTTCATTTCTTTGGTGTCCTTTCTCGGACAGGTTATTGAGAGTTTCAGAGGCTGTGGCAAGTCTGACTTGGGACTCTGCGGGGAAGGGACCCAGCCTCCTCAGTTTGGCCTCCCCTCCACCACATGGCAGGGGGCGAAACTGTCCCCCATATCAGGCAGACACACTTCTATGGAACAACACTTCTGCATGGTTTTGGGGACGCCCATGCCTCCTCAGAGGACTCTAGGCACACACCCTCAGTTACAGGACATCTGCTGCAGCCCTGCCTCGCTCATGGGGAGTTAGACCCCACTCCTCTGATAGGTGAGCTTCTGTAGGAAACACAGCACCTGCTCTTTGTCTATAGAACAATGGGCGCAGGCACACCTCTGCCTGATAACAAGCTCACCCACTTCCACTATATGACAGTAGGAGCACCCGTCTCCTCTGTGTGGTAACAGGTACACCTGATCATCCTCTGCAGAACAGTGCAACCCCCGCCTCTCCACTGGGACATTGGGCTTACACAGGACCCCTGCGGATAAGCACACCACATGGCCTTTGGGTCATCAAGCACGTGCCTCTGCCACGTGATGTGGGTTTCCTGCTCCTCCTCTGTACGGCAGTGGTGCACACACTTCCCATCTAGGACCCTAGGTGCACCCACACGGCGCTCACATGTGACAATGGACACTCTTCTCTGCTATGTACTTATAGGCAGGCTCAGGCCTCCTATGTACACCAGGTGCCTTATCCACGCAGCTACAGGCTTTCTCAGGAGGTGCTGACATGAGACTCTGAACTGTGGCCTCAATTCTTTCTCAAAAATATGTTAGTAAGAAGAGTGATTAAAGAACATAGATGCCACTTGTGTGTATATTTGAATAGGCTTTGCAAAACAATAAATAAAATAGTCCTGTTACTACCACCATCTTATAATTGGAACACTCTTTGTTTCCACTGAAATCATCATAGAGTGCATGGAACAATGAGTCATCAGAGATAAAGCCATTCTACCAATGCATAGTTTTTGTTAAAAACACTATCGTACCCAATTACTCATCTGTACTTTTCTCACATAGAATTTCTAACAAATAAGCTCAGTCATAAACATTTGCCGTTGACATTTTATCGCATGACCAACAGAATTAAACTGGCATTTGGGGGGGATATATTTTATTTTTCAAATTACTCTGAATTCGACCCTTGTACATTTTATTAGTAAACCAACCCAAGTACTGGGTGTTGTGATTATTTATAAAATGCACCAGGATGGTCAGAGGGCACTGGGCCGCCTTCCTTAGCTGGCAGGTGTCTCCTTTTAACCCCTCCTTCTCTGTCCGTCTTCTGCCCTGGGCTCTGTTTGGGGAGATGGCTTTCTTGCTTGTGTGACTGTGAAATGACACTTGCTTTTAACACAATACGACACGACCATGATCGTTTAAGGCTGTTTTTCCGAGGCGGCAGCTGAGGTGTTTGCGCAAGATAGTAAGGGAAACAGGAAGGGGCCAGGAGCGGGGAGCCGGGGAGCCCGCAGGACTCCTGGGTCTCCTCCCCCAGATTCCCAAACTGCCAGCCGGTCTTAGCCGTGTCTTCCAGTGAGGGGAACCCGCACAGTTCATCCCGACCCTTCAGAACGTCTCTTTCTGAGGAGTGTGTAGTTTCTCTAAGCTGAAGGCTGATTTAAAGAAGAATTTGTGCCTGGGGGAAAGGCCCCGTTGGCCTTTTAGTACAATACAATTCCGAAGGCAATCACAAAAGAAGATAGGCTTGCCGGAGTTAATGAGATTCCTCACCAAAAACACTAATCTGGGTTAAAACTAAAAGAATGCTGATAAGGATATTACAGCTCACACTGAGAACAAGAACGGTGCTCCGCTAAGATCAATTGTGCATATTAGGAGGCAGCCTTTAATAGTGTTTAAAAAAATCTGAGGAAATGGATGTTAGAGACAAAGCCTCTTAGATGAGGAGCGGCTGAAATAGAATAAAACATACCATTTTCATTTTTTTTTTAAAATAGCGTTCCAGGTACAAATCAACTAATATTAGCAGAAGTTTAACATCACTTTAAAAGAAAGCGATTGACCCACTGCGAAAGTACAGAGTGAAATGTGGAGCGATACAGTGATTATCTCTGTTTCCCCTCAGGCAAATACCTCTCTCTTAAGCATGAGCACTGCAGCATTTTGTTTTATTACCTTGTGAGATAAGTGAGGAAAAAAGCCGTCTGTACCTGGGGAATTAAAACATTCAGCTTTGTCATATCAGGGTCTGTTCTCAATTTCATGCAGGGCGCATAATTATAACAGTGTTTAAATTGAGCCCAGAAGAAAGATGGGTTCAAGTGCAAATTAATTTCAGATTATCACAACAAAGGCAATCATATCTCAACAAGCTTGCCAGCAGAACACTCAGCTAAGGTCCCCGGGTCCTTCCCCTCCCCAACTTACAACAAAGACCTTTCAGCTCAAATTAAGCTAATGATCTCAAACAGCCCTTCTGCCTACCTTTTTGGGATTTTACTATTTGCACAGTTGAATGTAGTAAAGCTGCAAAAGAGACAAAAAGCAGGAGAGGAACAGGGCTGGGGCTGGGGGAGGTGGTGGCGGAAAGGTAGCCGGGAAAGGTCAGGGCTTTCTAGCCATCAAGTGGTAAAATAAACAGGGAGCTGCGCGGCCGGGCCTGCACATCCTCAAATCGTCTTATTCAGTGGAGCCGATCAGAGCAGACGGACGCGCTGAAAGGGGCCTCGGTTTATCTGAACTCTTGCAAGCGGCCTCTGAGGCCACAGAGCCCGACTCCGCTCCTCCACCCAGCCACAGCACAGCTTTTATAGAAACCCAGCGTCTTATGCCATCCTGGGGGACCTGCTGGGGAAGGAGGGAAAGCCAGGGCTGAAAAAATTCAAGTCAAGCCTCATTACTTCCTCATTACCTTTGCAAAAGTGGAGGGAGAGAAATTTTTATCTGGGGAGCGAGGCTGGGATGTCATTGTGCTCTGCCTGGTTACTGCACAGCCGACCGTGGCATGCAGCCGCCGGGGGACTGGAGGGTTCTCCCGTTCCTCTGCAGCAATGATCCACTCGTTAGGGTTTTTAAGGCAAATTGCCATTGCTCATCACTGTGTCAGCCCGGGGGCGGGCTCACCCCACTTCCCACCCTGCAGATGGATGGGGGAGATGAAGGAAATGCATTCTAAGGTTTGCACCCTAATTCCATGTTAATTTCCTTCACCTGCTTTTATTTGGCTCTACCCGGAAGACAAATGCACTTGATGCCAACACAAATGCAGCCTCCTCACCCGGCAACACCCCTGTGGCCTGGGGTCCCTGCTTGAGGCTGAAACTCTTCTTACTCCCACTCGGGAGCTCATGGCTGGATTCAACTGAGCAAAAATTAGTTCATTAGTTCACAACAGGGCTTCAATTCTTCCATGCTGGTCTCTTTTCTCTGACTTCGTGTCTTCTGGCTGAATTGTTTTCCTCTGGCCAGCAGTTGCTTCTCAGGGTGGATGAGAGCAGGCAGCAGTCCTGTGGCCAATGACACCCCTAGGCCCAGCCCCACCTCCTCTGTGGAAAGCAGGGCTTAGGTTGAATTTAGGATGTGGCCTGATGACAGGATGGGCCTTGAGCAATGGCAGACACAAACGTTGATTCCAAAATAGGATCCTGTGATCAAAGGCCTAAGAGGCCGGGTGAACTCAGGCTGTCTTGCTCAGAGAGTATGTCTTCCCGGAGGGTGGTTCTCATCAGCAGCCCCTCTGGGGAGAGTTTGGTGACATTTTAAGCTGCAGAGCAGTGCCCTGATGGAAGCCTGATACCAGCCCTCCCCTGCCATGTCTTCTGGTTTTAAGTGTTTGTAAGAAACTATTCTTATTTTCGCGCTGTATTTTCTCAGAAGATGCTGTTTCCCCAGGTGTGTCCGCCTCTCCCTCCTGTCTCCTCTTCCCTAGCCCTATTCTTTTTTTGTTTTGTTTTGTTTTGTTTTTTGTTTTTTGTTTTTTTCAGATGGAGACTCGCTCTGTCACCCAGGCTGGAGTGCAATAGTGCAATCTTGGCGCTGCAACTTTCGCCTTTCAGGTTCAAGTGACTCTCCTGCCTCAGCCTCTCGTGTAGCTGGGATTAAAGGTGCCTGCCACCACAACCGGCTAATTTTGTATTTTTAGTGTAGATGGGGTTTCATCATGTTGGCCGGGCTGGTCTCGAACTCCTGACCTTAGGAGATCTGTCTACCTCAGCCTCCCAAAGTGCTGGATGTACAGGCGTGAGCCACTGCACCCAGCCCCCGATCCTTACTCTGAAAACTTTGTGCCCCTCTTTTATTTCCCAATGCTTGCCCTTTCCTGTCTGTCTCCTGGTTTGCTGTGTGTTCTCTGTGAAGATGGAGGCATCACATTCGAGGGACAGGAAGCAGCAGCAACACTCAGGTCCCCAGCAGTGGCCAGCAGTCGGTGACGGCCCAGTGTTGACAGGAATTTAAAGGAGAGGGAGACACAGAATTAAACACAAAGAGAGCTCCATCCAGAGGCTCCAGGGGCTGGGGGAGGGAGAATGGACTTTGTAGGGGGAGAGGAGGTGCGATGGTACAGTCAGCGTTTGTCAGGAACAAATTTCCCTAAATGGAGATAAGCTGTTCGGATTTTGCTCTGTGGCCTAGAGCACTCCACCTAGAGCCTAGTGGGTGAATGGGCTTCCTTTGCCTACCAAAGGTTTTCTAAGTTTGGTCCAACACTGAAAATCAAGAAAATCCACCTGTCAATCATTAGTTCCTCCTCTCCTTGGTACCTGCACAAGCATGGCCTGGGGGCCGGGCTGGGTTGGGAGAGGGGAGCAGGCGGGGAAGACTTAGGAAGCATGGAAATGAAAATGTGTCCTAGGAGAAAAGAAGCTAAAGAAGTGTAAATGACATTGTTAGGGATCTGGAGATGCCTGGGCTTCCGGGGGGCTGGGGGCGCATTCCTCACACTTGGGGACGACCCGCAGCTTCCTTCATCCCAGGTGGGCCACTGTCCCCATTCTACATCTGAGTGAGCAGATTCAGGCGCTCAGCCCCACGCAGCTGGAGGTGGCCTCTCACTGGAAGGCCCCTGCAGAGTCAGAGAGGAATGGGGGAACGGGGGAGGGTCACATGGACAAGGGGCTTGGGGGAGATGGGAGGTGGAGGACAGAGCCGAGGCTGGGGCCTGGGGACAAGCCACTCCTGCTGTGACATGTCCTTGGCATGTACCAGCTGGCAGTCTCCTCCCAGGTGTGTCTCCAGGCCCCTGTGCTGTGCTGGTCCTTGCAGGGGCCTCTCCCTGAGCAGTGGCCTCTGCCTTTCCGGAGATCCAGCAGAGGGGACAGGCTCTGGCTCTGCCCACGGGCCTGGTTCCGGTTCTCCCCTCCTCCACCATCCCCCGTGGCTGTCCAGGCTATGCTTCTCCACCAGGGCCCAAGGGAGAGAAAGGACGCAGGTGGCAGCAGCCCTCCCTGGCGGGTGGCTCGTGGTGTGGGATGGCTGTGGCACCAGGAGGACAGCGTATTCACTTATACTCCCTGTCTGATGAGCCTCCTGTCCAAGCCTGTGATTCCCAATGCCCGAACTTCCCGATCCATCTCCTGTTTGCGCTTGTGGTTTTCTGTGAAGACGGAGCCATCGCATTTGAGGGGCAGGAAGCAGCAGCAACACCCATGTCCCCAGCAGTGCCCAGCAGTCGGTGACGGGGCTCTTTGTGCCCCCAAGAGTGAGGTGGTCCCAGCCTGGCCTCCACCGGCAGGAACTGGAATGGACCAGAGCCACCATGTGTGGGAGGTGGGGGTCTCTAGCCTGGATTCTCTCCAGCATGTGTGGGAGGAAGGTGGGAGACTGGGGTCTGTGCCTGGCTTCAGGGCCGATGGAGGGGTGGTGCTGCCGTGGGGCTGGCCCTGGAGGCTTGAGTGGGGCAGGTGTCTCCTGATGAGATCTTGGGGGTGGCAGCGGCCATGTAGAACCCCAAAGCCTGGTCCCGGCACCCCTTCTTTTTAACCTCATTTAGAGGGAGTCTGTTGTCTGGGACAAGACTCCAGACTTGCTCTCCTCCCCAGACAGCAGAGCACCTAACTCTACAGGTGGTTCCTTAGGTGAGAGGGCACGCACCTGGCTGCCCAGGCACACTCGTTGTTCCCCCTGGCCCTCAAGTGTGAGCTGGGGCTGAGGAGGGGACATGAAAGCAGGCTGCATTCACTTTGAACGTGAACCTTCTGAAATGAGCAGGGAGACAGGCAGTTCTGAGCTGACGGGGGTGCAGAGCATCCCCCGGGCAGGATGGGCTTGGCTCATCCTCCAGGGCTGTGTTGAAACAGGGCCATGCACAGTTTTATTGATGTGTTGAATTCTTTTCAGAAATAGTTTCAGCATTGCTGTGGTCTGAACGTCTGTGTTCCCCAAAATTCCAGTGTCAAAACCCTCACCCTCAAGGGGATGCAATTAGGAGCTGGGGCCTTTGGGAGGTGATTTGGTCATGGGGGTGGAGCCATCATAAATGGGGTGAGTGCCCTTAAAAGAGGGACCCCAAGTAGTCCCCTTGCCCTCTCCACCCCGTGGGGACACAGCGAGAAGGCACCTTCCACGAACCTGGACAGGAGGTGTTGCCAGACGCCATATCTGCAGATGCCTCAATCCTGGACTTCCAGCCTCCGGAACCACGGGAAGTGAATTTCTGGAGGGCGTAATTTAGACGGTGAAACACCCGCGTTTCGGAGCACGTCATGTCTTCACAGCAGCTGTGTGCATGTTAAGCTAACATGAGCCACCTTCCAAGAGTTCTGGGCGGTGCTTTCGGTAGAGTCTGGAGGGGCTCATCCTCGACAGCGTCAGGACGGGGTGGGTGCTGATGGCTTCTATCTATCTGTCTTCTACCTGTCTGTCTATCCAACTGTGTAGTATCGATCTTTCTATCTATCTATCTGTGGAGAGCTATGGAGACACAGAAAGACACAAAGAGAAGAAAAGAGACAGAGAAAGTGAGAAAGAAAAGAGACAGAAAGACAGAGAGAAGAAAAGAGACAGAGAAAGCAAGAAAGAAAAGAGACAGAGAAAGAGGGAGGAAAAAAGACAGAAAGAAAGAAAAGAGACAGAGAGAAGAAAAGAGTCAGAGAAAGCAAGAAAGAAAAGAGACAGAGAAAAGAGAGAGGAAAAGAGACAGAGAAAGAAAGAAAAGAGACAGAGAAAGACACAGAGAGAAGAAAAGAGACAGAGAAAGTGAGAAAAAGAAGAGGGAGGGAAGGGGAGGAAGAGACAGAGAGTTTTGCTAGGCAAGCTTAACTCTTTGAAGACGTTAATGTACCGAATGCGATGCTCCACCTCCTCTCACCACATCACTCACATCACCAAGCTTCAGGTTTGTAAAACATAGCTCATTTTCAGCACTGGGAAAATATAGAAGTTTCTAGTTTCAAGGCTTGATTTTAAATATATTTTGTCTTTCTCCCTTTTTGGTGATCATTGGTGAAATCCTAATTACATCTTGCCTTTAACCACCCACAGAGACCTTCACGGTCACCTTTCTTCAGACTTAAAGAGCAGGGCCTTTCTCTTCCTTTCACTGGAGCGGGTGAGTGTTCTCCGAGTCAGATGTTCACTTTTTGGCACCATAAACAAGCAGGTTCTGTCTGCTGAGGGATCAGGGTATGTGAACCTGATGCTCCGGCTTTACAGTGATGACCACAAAATGCCTTTAGAAAGAAGATTGCAATCCATTTTAATCTGGGAAGACATTTCTTTTCTTTCTTTTTTTTTTTTTTTTGAGACAGAGTCTTGCTCTGTCACCCAGGCTGGAGTGCAGTGGCTCAATCTCGGCTCACTGCAAGCTCCCCCTCCCAGGTTCACACTGTCATCCTGCTTCAGCCTCCCAAGTAGCTGGGACTACAGGCGCCCGTCACCACACCCAGCTAATTTTTTTGTATTTTTAGTAGAGACGGGGTTTCACTGTGGTCTCCGTCTCCTGACCTCGTGATCCGCCCGCCTCGGCCCCCCAGAGTGCTGCGATTACAGGCGTGATCCACTGCGCCCAGCCTAATCTGGGAAAACATTTCAACTTTGAAACCAAAATCCACGGTAGATATTTCTGTTGTTTCCCAGAGTGCGAAGCAGTGCTCATCGATAATGCTAATCGCGTGTTCCACCCCAAGGACACCTTTGGAATTCCGCATCTGTGGCTATTAGAATCAATCATGACAAAACTTACACATTTTAACTTTGTGTGTTTTATCTAATCATTTTTATTAGATTTGCTATAAGATATATGACTATGTCGTGCAGTTATTTTGATTAATTGTTAATATAATACAAAGATTAATAATAATTGTCTACTAGATATCTACATAGCAATTAACCAGTACTTTGCTTGTATGTGTTTTACAATGTTCATTTAGTTTATTGAACATGTTTATTCTGGGTTTTTAGAAATGAATGTTTGAACACACGCCTCTTCATATGCTATTAGAGTTGATTTGCCGAGAGAGACGGTCAGCTGTGCATAAATCCAACAGAACCCATGCTGTATCTAAGAAATCTTAGTTTGTTTAAACTGAAAACTAAAGCAGCCCTGGAGCCCTCACCTGTGAGGTATGGAAGGCATAAAGAAGTTGGCAACATGTAATATATTAATGTTTATGCTTCAGAAATATTTACATGAGATTGAAAGAAATTCCAGACAAGTCACATCAGGATATGTGAACACATTTGAAAGACACACATAAATATTGCCAGCATTAAAATGAGTAATTCCAGAGAAAACAAATTAAGATGGCCAATGATAATGGTCTCGTTTGACAAACGTATATGACACTTTCCTTTATGGTTTATCGCATTTTACCTTGCAGTAAGAAAATGGTGTCTATTTTCTTGGGGCTAGAAGAGGAGGGGTCCCGGGCCCTGCATGGTGTGAGGCCTCTTGTCCAGAGTTGCAGTGAAGTCACTGCTAGTGGCCATGCAGGCTGCTTTGGGGGAATTATATGCCCACAGTGAAGGACAAAGGGATGCAAGAAGAAAATGGGAACCCCAAGGAAGGTGCTCAACCTAGAGGCCAAGGAGAGGGAGAAAGCAAGCGGGGAAGTGAACTCCAGAAACCATGGTCATGGGCAATAGCATGGCGGCTAGAGCCCTGGAGATCAGGGTTGAGCCTAAGAGGGGCACCATGGAGCCCAGGAGTACACAGACATCGGGAGAGGCCAAGGCATGTGGTTCTCCCATCTACAAAGCATTCATCAGAAGGCAAACACGGTCATTACAGTTGCTGCTATCGTAAAAATCATTACAAATAAAAGCAAAACACGTTTCTGTTATTAAACAAAAAATTCAGCTCTCTCAGGTTTCTGACAAATGTCTCCACATATGTTAATACTTGCATATAAAATAAGTGTCTTTGTCTTTTGAAGGTTCAGAAACATGATGCTTTAATTTAACGTATTCTCCAAATAAACATACTTGAATATTAGTCCAAGACTTTTTTTTTAAAAGAATGCAATAGAATGCTGCAACTCACAACTTCTTAGAGCTAAGTTTCACACTGAGCCAGTGGGAGTTGGCAGTGATGGAGAATTAACACAGGGAGAGCCTGTCTTGGTGCCTGGTGGGTGGAGGAACAGGGCTTTCACAGGGGCGGAGATGGGAGTGCAGGGCTGAGAGCAAACCCTTCCTTTAGCCATTTTGTTTTTGTGCAGGAGCCCCGAGCTGCTTAATCAAATCCATCTCCTCTCAGGACTTCGCTGTTGTGAACAGGATCAGGGGTCCAGTGGGGCCGACCTCCGCCCTCGGGGCAGTGAGAAGGGGGTCACCCTGGAGACTCCCTATCCCATGCATTTGAGGGGTAGGCGCAAAACAGAGACTTCTTTTTTAAAAAATTTGTACTTTTATTTCAGGAGTTTTGGGGGCACAGGTGGTTTTTCGTTGCATAGATATGTTCTGCTTTTTTTTTTTTTTTTTTTACACAGTCTTGCTCTGTCACCCAGGCTGGAGTGCAGTGGTACAATCTCAGCTCACTGCAACCTCTGCCTCCAGGGTTCGAGCGACCCTCCTGTCTCAGCCTCCCGAATAGCTGGGATTACAGGCACGCACCACCACGCCCAGCTCATTTTTGTATTTTTAGTAGAGACGGGTTTTCACCATGTTGGTCAGGCTGGTCTTGAACTCCTGACCTCGTGATCTGCCTGCCTCAGGCTCCCAAAGTGCTGGGATTACGGGTGTGAGCCACTGCCCCTGGACAAGAATCCTACATTCTTACCACTCCAAGTACAAGATAGGTGTGAGCACCTGACTCTCAGAACATCAACCCGTGCCTTCATCATGTTAATAAATTAGTTAGCGCCAAAGAGGAGGACGATGGATATTTACATCTTTATATCAATCATGTGACCTTTTCAGAATCAGTTTTCTCAGCAAGAATCCATCCCAAAGACCCAGCATGTGCATTGCGATGCCAAATCTGAGCTTGTTTTCTTTGGAAAACAAGTTTCACTAAGTCTGTCAGAGACTCCCCATGCAGAGGTCCCTCGTTACTCCTGCCACGCCTGAGCCTCTGGGGCCTAGGATCCAGCCATGAGCATGGCTGACTTTGGGGAGAGTTGTTAATGCAGCCATCATTGCCAGTTTGTGGCAACCAGTTGAATACTGGGCCTGTAACTTAAAACGCTTCATACCTGAGTTTTACCACTTTTATGTAATTGGCAGTTCTCAATAATTTGAATGTATTAAGTATTCAATAAAGGAGAAATAAATGAAAATGAGACATTATGCATTTTAAGATTGGAAACTGGTAATCCAAGATTTACTTTATGAGAAACAAAATGTTTATGGAAGTGACAGTCACCTTGGGCCTCCGATGAGCCCAAGGAGAATCCCCATACTGCGGGTCATTATCTTAGGGATTTTCTTCTGTTCATGGAATGTTTGGCACACCTGAAAGCAACAGTTTCTGTGAAAATTTTTTTGACTTGTGTGAATTCCTTGGGGGCATCAAATTTGAGTGAAATAATACACCAGGTCCAGTCTACAAGACAGTGCTCTGTTGCTCTGATGACGCTGAAGTCGGCACCCAAGCTGCATGCAACGGGATGGAGAAGGACCTCCTGAGAACGCTGGCATTTGCTGCCCTGCGGCCACTGCCCTTGGCACCCAAAGACACTGAGAGCCAGGCTGGTGGGAGACACATAGACAGAACCTCTCCCAGAGCTACCAGTGAGAGGTCTCAAGAGCCTTATGACGCGAATACACCTAAGCTTAACACCCCGAGTACAAGACTAAAATCCCAGACTGTAGCACTAAGTCGAGGAAAATTTTATACACAAAGATGGCCCCTGAAATGTTCCACGGGATTATCAGGATTTTAAATGTCAAATCACTAAAGGATGCTCTTCTATGTTCTGGCCAAGTTACCTGAATGAACATTTGGCAAGCAACAAAAACGTTTCAATATGTTGGAAAATGCTTGTGTGATATAACCTTAAAAGCAAGGCATGAAGATACAAATGCAATAGTATACCACCCATGTAAAACATTATGTAAGCATGGAACTATTATGTAAAAAAGAAAAGTGATTAAACTATTAGTGCTTATTTCTAAGTGCGGCGTTATGAAGTATGTTTTTTACCTTATAATTCTTTTTTTTTTCCAAATGACAATGAGAATGATAGGAAGACATACAGGTGAGTGCAGCCTCAGAAACAGGTGCAGACGGTTATGAGCTGAATCACGTCTCCCCTCCCCCGATTTCCCGCGTCAAAGTCCTAATCCCCACTACCTCAGAATATGACCTTACCTGGAAATAGAGTCACTGCAAAAGAATTAGTTAAGATGAGGTCATATGGGAGTAATCCAACATGACCAGTGTCCTTATCACAAGGGGACATTTGGACATGGAGAGGGACGCATACAGTGGGAGGGCTGTGTGCACACATGGGCAGAGATGGGCCGATGGCCAGCAAAGGCTGGAGGCTGGGACAGGGGCACAGAGCAGAGCCTCCCTCACAGCCCTCAGGCTTCAGGCTCTAAAACAGGAGAGAATGCATTTCTGTTGCTTAGGTCACCCAGTGGGGGATACTTTGTTAGGGCAGCTCTGGGAAAGGAATATACAAGTAGATACAGATGTAGATATGGAAATAGATCAGATGGAGATATATGAATCCATAGCAATTCAGAATTACAGATGTGGAAATTTATATAGATACAGATCTGATACAGATATGCATGAAGTGGTTATAGATGTATGTTTTTGTATAGAGTACCATCCGATATAGATACATAAATCAATAGAATATTAATACAGACACAGATGGTTATGGACATAGATGTAGGTACGTGTGGATATACATGGGGTATACTCTTTTTTTTTTTTTGAGATGGAGCCTCACTCTGTCGCCCAAGTAGTAGTACAATGGCATGATCTCGGCTCACTGCAACCTCCATCTCTCGGGTTCAAGAGATTCTCCTGCCTCAGCCTCCCGAGTAGCTGGGATTACAGGCACCTGCCACCACACCCGGCTAATTTTTGTATTTTTAGTAGAGACGGGGTTTTGCCATGTTGGCCAGGGTGGTCTCAAACTCCTGACTTCAGGTGATTCTTCCGCCTCGACCTCCCAAAGTGCTGGGATTACAGGCATGAGCCACCGTGCCCAGCTGGGGTATGATCTTAAATAGTACGTACAATAGAGACAGGGAGCAGAAAAGACCGTGGTGGAACAAGAGTCCCTAAAAACCATCTTTGCGCTACACAGAGATGTGTCGGCCTCCGTGGGATTCCTTGTGCTGCTTCTCTCCACCCCCTGGCATTTCTTGTTTTGAGTGATGCCGTCCGAATTCCTTGTGAGCTAGCAAGTGATTTATGTATAGATCATGACATTCACCTAGGTGACAGATGGCCTCACATAAGGATCTAGTCTCCTGAGCCGCGGGGCAGGACGCCCAGCCTTTTCCAGCAAGTTTTCCCCCAATGGTAGAAACACCTATTTTTCCTTTTTTTCCCGGTTCTTTTGAACTTACACGATAAAATCACCCCTTCTGACGTTTTATGTTTTAATTAGTGTCATTTCATTTATACTTATACCCTTAAGCTGTTTTAGCAACAAACTATAATTTTACAAATTGGGGCAAAAGTCCTCATTCACCGTATGTATTTAAAACAGAGTATTTTATTTCAATAGAATGATTTAATCTTTAAGGGTATAAAGTCCCCCTGATATATTAGTCATCAACATTGGCCTCTGCAATGACTATCAGACTCCCCGAAGCTACGTGAAACTTCGTCTTTTTAGGAAGTTTGCATGGCCTGGCCAGCTCCTACCAGATGGAAACTTGGTTCCTTCCCACTCTGGGCCATCGTAATTACCTCTTCCTGCTCTGAAGGCAAACCCGCCCCTACACGTAGCGAACTGCCAGGGGAGGCTGCTGTACACCACCAGCAAACAGCACTTCCTCACTTCACACTCTGCCCACGCTGGCGTCTTCCAGATAACCTGAGTGTGATGTTGTGAGCACTGATAACCCCAGGACACCGTGAGCCTTCCCAAAATAGGAGCAGACTCCGGGGCCCTCAATCATAGCATCACTTAGGCAAAATCCGCTGCAAAAGTGGGTAATCTCTCTAACCACCTCACTCGTCAGAGATTGTTGAGAACGCTGAACCCGCAAGCCCCAGAAATCCCATCAGCCAACACCGTCTAAGAAACAATCGTCAGTTACTGGTAACAGGAAACGGAGGGACTCTGAGGTTTGAGCTTAGCGAAGCAAGCCCTGGAATGCTGTTTGCAATTTTTGGGTTTGGGAAATCTGCTGGCACCTCTGTTCTGTCCACGGGAAGCCTGCTCTGGGGCTGGAGGGCTGGTCCACCTGGCTTTCCTCATAGGCCTGGTTCTGAACGTTTCCTTAGAGACACATGACCTGCTGGGGAGGCCGTGGGTGGCTTATTGGACCAAAGACAGGCAGTGTTTGAGGACACCAAAGCCAACCTTGGCCACGCCTGCTTTTTGGAAGGTGGATCCTCCCTCAAAACTCCTGCACATTGTGGAGCCTGTTGCTGAGGCCTCCACACAGCATGTCTGCAGGGCAAAGAGAAGCGATTTTCACGAGGCTCACAGAGGGCCATGCAGACTCCATCATCTGACCTCACCCAACACTGTCCGCTTCCCAGTGTGGGAGCCATTGAGTCTCCTCGTCTCTGGTGAGCAAGCACACGGTGCTGAAAGCGTATTGTTAAGAATTAGCGGCACAATCCTTTTATACCAAATGCTGTTTTGAAAACCCATTAGGGGGCTGGGCAAGGTGGCTCACACCTGTAATCCCAGCACTCTGGGAGGCGGAATTGGGTGCATCACCTGAGGTCAGGAGTTTGAGACCAGCCTGGCCAACATGGTGAAATCCCATCTCTAGGAAAAATACAAAAATTAGCCAGGCAGGATGGCAGGTGCCTGTAACCCCAGCTACTCGGGAAGCTGAGGCAGGAGAATGGCTTGAACCAGGGAGGTGGAGGTTGCGGTGAGCCGAGATCATGCCATTCTACTCCAGCCTGGGTGACAGAGCAAGACTGTCTCAAAAATAAATACATAGATAGATAAATAAATAAACAAAATTAAATTAAATAAATAAAAGCCATTGAGGGAGCCCCTTCAGCCATCTTCTTTCTTTCCAAACTTCCAAATGGAACTCAGACAAACTCAGGTTGTCATCCCGTTAAAGAGTCTCCTTTGTAGACTGGGGTGTCAAGGACAGTGACAGTTCTCACAGTAGGAACCACTTAGACCACATCAAAAAACACTTCAGCACATTTTCCCCCTCACGTGTTCTGTGAATGGAATGTTGCTTTCGACTTATGAGAACAGGAACCTTTTGTTTCCCTCTTTTAGCACACGTCAGTTTTTTTTCTCTTGTCTTTCAGTCCTTTTGAGATCAGACTCTTGTTTCCATTTATAATAAAGTAAATTGGAAAAATTAACCTCCAGACTTAGGGGGAATTTTTAGCTTTGAAAGATCTGCTGTATAATTGCCATAAAATAAAAAGTGTCCGTGATCTTTTCCATGGAGGAAGGGAGGGAGAAAGACGTCGGCGTGGTGGGCAGCATGCTGCTATCTCAGTGCCTCTGACGGTGATAGTGTGACGAAGGTTTTTCAGAGTGGTTCCTTCCTCCTAATGAGAACACATGGACACAGGAAGGGGAACATCACACTCTGGGGCCTGTTGTGGGGTGGCAGGAAGGGGAGGGATAGCATTAGGAGATATACCTAATGCTAAATGACGAGTTAGTGGGTGCAGCACACCAACATGGCACATGTATACATATGTAACAAACCTGCACATTGTGCACATGTACCCTAAAACTTAAAGTATAATAAAAAAAAAGAATGACCTTTTTGAATAAAGCTATGTGGATAGAGAGCTGTTTCTGAGGGACAATAATTAATGAGCTTTCAGAGGTGAAGATAAGAAAATCCAGTTTGTGGCTATCTGGCAGTCCCAGGAAGGAGAAGAGAGACAGGTTTGGCTTTGAGGGAGTCGCTAGGGCCCTGTGTTCCCCTAGGTGCACTATTCCAGACTCTTCTAGAAAGTGAAAAGCCAGCTGCATCTAAGCAACTCTGTCTTCCACTAAAACAACCAGATCCCTTGATTTCTCTTACAGGATGTAGGGGAAGGGACAGGGTAGAGGGAGAGGTTCCTGCTGGAACACACCGAAGGTGGCTGATCCGGATTTGATCCCAGGGAGGATGAGGGAATCATGAAGACTAAGAACATGTTGGCATGTGAGAGATCTTCCCAGACAACACCGGAAGCCCGGAGGTTCCTAATAAGAAGCTGAACACCGGAAGCCTGGAGGTTCAGAATGAGAAGCTGAACATAAGAAACCACAAGAAAGGCCTTAAAAGTTTTTCCTGGGGAACATCACACACCAGGGTCTGTTGTGGGGTGGGAGGAGTGGGGAGGGATAGCATTAGGAGATATACCTAATGTAAATGACGAGTTAATGGGTGCAGCACACCAACATGGCACATACATACATATGTAACAAACCTGCACATTGTGCACATGTACCCTAGAACTTAAAGTATAATAATAATTAATAATAAGTTTTTGCCTAGGAAAAGACATAAGACACATTCAGCAGCAGTTTCAGTCAAAATGAGCCAAGTCATGGCACAGTAACACGTAGCACCCAGATCTCAGTTGTCGTAAGCGGCAAAGGTTTTTTTCGCTCAGGGCACGTGTCCATCTCGAGTGACTGGAGGTGTCCCAACTTAGAAGGTCACTGGCCACTTTAGCAGAGAGCACACATCACAAGCCATTCCTTGGTCCTATGGCTTACTCGGTTACATGGCTCCTGAAAAGGCTTGTTGAAGTGACGCTGGTGAGTTGCTCAAATTTCGCTGGCCAAGCCACTCACCCCATGACTGGCTTAGAAAGGAGAGGAGAGTACAATCCTACCATGAGCTCAAGAGGAGGAGAACCAGAAATATTTACAAATAGCACTACTGACCACATACTCCGCCCTTCTGGTCACCAGATATTTGGCTGATTTTTTCTTCCACACAAAATACTCTCAGTGTCTTCTCAAATCTAGTCATGACATCAAACCAAAAGTTAAGGATTGCTATGGAGAAGTGTAGCCTCCACCTCAAATCATGAGCTGTAGGATTTAAGGAGAAAGCTACAGTAACTCCCACCCCAACACCTTATATCAATCTCTCCCAACGCCTAACAGACTCAGGATACAATGGTGACACAGGAAGAGGATAATGGCAACAAACACTCTTACCTGGAAAGGAAAAGAACGTGACACAAACAGTTCATATTTTGAACTCTTTTTTGTTATGATATTTTGAAATCTTTTTTGTTATGATATTTTGAAATCTTTTTTTTTGAGATGGAGTCTTGCTCTGTCACCAGGCTGGAGTGCAATGGCGTGATCTCGGCTCACGGCAACCTCCACCTCCCAGGTTGAAGGGATTCTCCTGCCTCAGCCTCCTGAGTAGCTGGGATTACAGGTGCACGCCACCACATCTGGCTAATTTTTGTATTTTTAGTAGAGATGAGGTTTCACCATGTTGGTCAGGCTGGTCTTGAATTCCTGACCTCAGGTGATCCACCTGCCTCAGCCTCCCAAGTGCTGGGATTACAGGCGTGAGCTACCGTGCCTGGCCTGAAATCTTTTCCAGACTAATATTTTGAGAGCTTCCTATCCTGGGAGTATATAATTTATTTTTCTTGATTAGCCCCTAATTCTATTCCTTGGTAGTGATTTTATATGCATTTTTTTCTGTAAATATTGGCTTCATTTCTTAGAATATTATGTCTTCTTCATTTTCATCCTTGACCACATTAAGATCTTGATTTTCTTAGAAGCTGAGCATCTTCTAATCCCACTTCTTGCTTGTAAACATTTAAGGATGAAGGGTTATCTGAAATCTCAGTCCAGCCTGGTGGTTCTTTAGACAGCATAAGCATCTCGGCACTTTGGTTAGTTTCTCATCTGTCTGTCTTACATTCTGGTCAGTTCCATGTGCCAAGATCAACACTCATGGCTCCTATCCAGAGGTACATTTTACATTTGTTCTCTCTCCTCCATGCTTCATCTCTAAGGACATTTTGGGTGCCTAGTGCTTATCACCCTTGGTGACAGGTCCACGCATTTAGCCTCCTCTCCACTTCTGCTGCTTTTTCAAAGTAAGCATATTTGCCAACCACTATACTCTCTATTGTTTCTCTACTCTCTATTGTTTCTCTACTCTGAAATCCCCTCATTCAGAACTTTCCAGAAAGTGTGTAATGACCATGTTCTTAATGTAATCTTTGCTACAAAGCTATGTTCCAGTTCCCCTTTGTTGCTTCAAGACTTTCTTAATTTTATCTCCAGCATTTGAGGGTAAGAGGTAATTACCTCTTTCAACACTAAAAGTTCTCAAAATTGTACATTCTTTTTCTTTTCTTTTTTTTTTTTTTTGACACGGAATCTCACTCTGTCACCCAGGCTAGAGTGCAGTGGTGCAATCTTGGCTTACTGCAACCTTCACCTCCTAGGTTCAAGCAATTCTCCTGTCTCAGCCTCCTGAATAGCTGGGACTACAGGTGCATGCCACCACACCCAGCTACTTTTTGTATTTTTGGTAGAGACAGGATTTCAGCACGTTGACCAGGCTGGTTTCAAACTCCTGACCTCAGGTGATCCACCTGCCTTGGCCTCCCAAAGTGATGGGATTACAGGCATGAGCCACCATGCCCAGCATAAATTCAATTTTTAATCACCTTAATATGGACTGAATGTTTATGCCCTGATGCCCAAATTCATATGTTGAAATCCATACCCCCAGTGTGATGGCATTAGGAGGTGGGGCCTTTTGAAGTAATTAGGTTATGAGGTGGATTTGTGTCCTTGAAAAAGGGATCCCAGAGACAGCTCTTGCTTTTTTTCCGGCATGTGAAGATACAATAAGCCAGCAATATGAAAGCCAGTCAGCAATCTGAAAGCCAGAACCTAACCATACTGTTAGGAAATTTACTTATTTCCTAACTATAAACAATAAATTTCTGTTTATAAGCCAACCAGTCTACAGTACTGTGTTATAGCTGCCCAGAATGAGACTTCATCTTAAACCATTTTTAAGTGTGTAGTTCAGTAGTGTTAAGAACATTCATATTGTTATACAACCAATTTCCAGAACTCCTTCAGCAAAATTGAAACTCTGTACCCAGTAAACCAGAACTCCCCATTCCACACCCTCTTCCCCTAGCCCCTACCACTATTCTACTTTCTGTCTCTGTGAATTTGACTATTCTAGGTACCTCACATATGTGGAATAATACAGTATTTATCTTTTTGTGGTTAGCTTATTTCACTTAGCATAAGGTCCTTCAGAACCTTACATTTCCACTAACAGTGCCCAAGGCTTCCAATTTCCCTATGTCCTTGCCAACAATTATTATTGTTATCACAGCTAATGGGCATGAGGTGGCATCCTATCTATTGTGGTTTTCATTGCGTTTCCCTAATGGTTAGCTATATTGAGCATCTTTTCATGTGCTTCTTGGCCTTTTGTATATCTTCTTTGGAGAAATGTCTATTCAAGTCCTTGGCTCATTTTTAATTCTTTTTTGTTCTTGAGTTTCAGAAACACTTTACGTATTCTGTATATTAACCCCTTACCAGATAAATATGTCAATATTTATTTCCATTTTAGGTGTTGCTTGTTGAGTCTATTGATAGTGTCCTTTGATATACAGACATTTTTAATTTCAATACAGTTCAATATTACTACTGTTACTTTTGTTGTCTGTGTTTTTGGTGTCATCTTCAAGAAATCATTGCCAAATCCAATGCCACGAAGCTTTCTATGTTTTCTTCTAAGAGTGTTATAGTTTTAGGTCTTATGTTTAGGTATTTGATCCACTTTGAATTGACTATTTTCTATGGAATAGGGTGAGGATCCAGCTTCATTCATTTTGCCAGTGGATATTCAGTATCTCAGCATCATTTGTTGAAAAGACGGTCCTCTCCATAGAATGGTCTAGAAACTCTTATCGAAAATCATTTAACCAAATATGTGAGGATTTATTTCTGGGCTCTCTTTTCTGTTCTGTTGGTCTATACGTCTGTCTTTGTGACCGTACTGTGGTTTTGATTATGGTGCCTTTATACTAAGTTTCAAAATCAGGAAGTAGGAGTCCATCTTTGTTCTTCTTTTTCAAGGTTGTCTGATTATTTAGAATCCCTTGAGATTTCACATGAATATTAGGATAGATTTTTCTATTTCTGCAAAAAGAAATGCCATTGAGATTTTTACAAAGATTTCATTAAATCTGTAGGTTGCTTTTTTCTAGTACTGACATCTTAACGATATTAAATCTTCTAATCCATGAACATTGATATTTTACCACTTATTTATGTCTTCTTTAATTTTTTAGCAATATTTTGGAATTATTTGTACAAGTCTTTCACCTAACTGATTAAGTTTATTCCTAAATGTTTTATTCTTTTTGATGCCATTGTTAACAGAATTGTTTTCTTATTTCCTTTTTGGATCATTTATTGTTAGTGTGCAGAAATACAATAATTTTTGCATATTGATTTTGTGTCTTGCAATTTTGCCATATTTATTAGTTCTAACAAATTTTGGTAGAATTTAGGGTTTTTTACAAATAAGATCATGCCTGCAAACAGAGACAACTTGATGCCTTTTATGTCTTTATCTTGCCAAATTGTCCTGGGTAAGCCTTTTAATACTATGCTAAATAGAAGGCGCAAGAGCGGGCATCCTTATCTTGTTTGTGACCTTAGAGAAAACATCTTCACTCTTTCATCTTTGAGTATGATGTTAGCTCTGGACTTTTCAGGTATAATTTTTATTACATTGGTGTAAGTTTTTTTTGTTTTTTTTTTTGAGACAGAGTTTCACTCTTGTTGCCCAGGCTGGAGTGCAATGGCACGATCTCAGCTCACTGCAACCTCCACCTCCCAGGTTCAAGTGATTCTCCTGCTTCAGCCTTCTGAGTAGCTGGGATTACAGGCATGAACCACCATGCCTGGCTAATTTTATATTTTTAGTAGAGATGAGGTTTCACCATGTTGGTCCGGCTGGTCTCAAACTCCCGACCTTAGGTGATCTGCCCACCTCGGTCTCCCAAAGTGCCGGGATTACAGGCATGAGCCACCGCACCTGGCTGATGTAGTTTTCTTCTATTCTTAGTTTGTTGGTGTTCTTATCAAGAAAGGGTATTGAATTTTGTCAAATGCTTTTTATGCATTTGAATAATCATGTAGTTTGTTTTTCCTCCAATATTTTTTAATGTGGTGTAAGACATTGATTGATTTTTATAGCTGAACCATCGTTGCATTCCAGGAACAAACGCCATTTGATCATGGTATATAATCCCCTTAATGTGCTGTTGAATTTTGCCAGTATTTTATTGAGGACTTTTCCATCATATGTATCAGGAATATTGGTCTGTATTTTCTTGTTCATGTGTTTGTTTGTTTGTTTTTGGAACACTTTTGTCTGGATTTGTTGTCAGGATAACACTGGCCTAACTGAATAAATCTGAAAGTGTTGAAAGACTGTAGAGAATTAATGTTAGCTTTTCTTTAAATGTTTGGTAGGATTCACCAGTGAAGCCATCTGGTCCTGTGCTTTTCTTTATTGAGTGGTTTTTGTATTGATTCAATCTCCTTGCTCATTATAAGTCTGTTTAGATTTTCAATTTCTTCATGATTCAGTCTTGGTAGGATGTATGTTTCTATGAATTCATCTGTTTATCTAAGTTAACCAATTTATTGCTGTAAATCATTCATAGTATTTTCTTTTGATTCTTTATATTTCCATAAAATTGATTGTAATTTCCTTCTTTCGCTTCTGATTTTAGTTATTTGAGCCTTCCCTCTTTTCCCTTAGCCAATCCAGCTAAAGATTTGTCAATTTTGTTCATCCTTTTGAAGAATCAACTCTTGCTTTCATTGATTTTCCCTATTTTTTCTGTTGTCTATTTGTTCACCTATATTATAGTATTTATTAACTCAATTTTCTGTTGTTACTGCCTGCAAGTGGACTAATTATTTTTTGAGGTAATGTCTTTCTTTCAATAACCTTTAAATGCAGACAACAGAAACATAAATACATGAAAATATTTTTATTTTCTGCCTTGTTTCCTTAGTGCTACACATTTATTATTACCTCCCAAGTTTCCAAAGGTAATAGTTTTTCAAACATTTTGCCACCATACAATGAACATCATTCTTTCACAGATTGATAATTCCATCATTATCACATGTTAATCAGTCCCAAACCAATGAGATATCTACCTAGCTATCCACCTGTCTGTCTCTCTCTATTCATCTATCCATATTTCTCTCTCTCTCTGTTTTTCAGTAAAGCAACTTGGTTCCATGTAACAATTTCGATATCAGGCAGGATGAATTAGGACAATGCACTAGACAACACCTAAAATTGTTTCTGCAACTAAAGACAACAAATGTGCAGGCCCTATGTGTACCTTGGGTCAGCGTTGGGTGTGGGTGACTCCCGCATTCATAAGCTTGTCATCCAGGGATGGAGGCTCTTAGAGGTACTACCATGTTGAAAGTTACTGACCTCCCTGGTAGAGGGAAGGAACCATGGCAAATAGCATCCTTATGCTTCAAGCCTCAGGCTGGAAGTTAAACTCTTCACTTCTAATCACTTTCCTTTGGTCAAAGTAAGTCACAAAGACATGGCCACCTTCAAGATGGAGAGGGCACAAACTGACTACGTGTCCAGAGTGGGGAAGTAAGAATATAGACAGCTTAAAGACTTCAGCAAAAGTCAGCTAACGGTCATGGGAGAACGTCTACAAAGCAGAGGGCAGAAAGAGTGTTATTTATAATTTTAATGAAAAAAAAAAACTTGGAAATCCAAACAAGATAAACTTCAAATAGAAAAATGGGCAAAATAAAAAAACAAAAACCCGTAAAAATGTGATTCACAAAGAAGCAACTCATGTATCTAGCACATCTGTGAAAAGATGCTCAAATCCCCGTGAATGAAAGTAACAGCGAAATATCATTGTATGCTTACTTGCTTGGCAAATGGAGGCGATAAACCAGAAGATACCTAGTGCCTACAGGATGTGGGAAGAATGTTTGTTGTTACAGCCTTTGGGAAGCTCTGGCCACATTCATCAACTTCACAAACATGTGCTTCAATTCAGCAAGTCCACCCCTGAAAAGCTATGATAGAAATAAAAAGCATAGTTACGTAAATATTTTAGTACAAAAATATTATTACCGTGTTGCAGAGTGTCCAACATTGGCAACAAAATGAATACGTCACAACGCATCCATATCAAAAACATTGCAGGTTGCTTGCAGAAAACTAAATTAGAGTTATGCCAGGTGAAATCTGTTAGATATTACTAAATATGAAGCAAAAGGGACAAAAAGGTCTGTAGTATGTGGTCTCACTTCTGTAAGGCAAGCAAAGGGGCCTTACTCTGTGTGTAAATATATGTTTCTATGGACTGTATGAACAATAGGAAATCTGAAAGCATGAGCACCCGGGGATGACAGTGGACTCTCTGGGGTGGAAGACATGGGGCTGGCTGGGAGGCAAGTGAGGAGGGAACAAGATGTGTGGCAGTGATGAACTCAAAAGGAAAGAAAAACTGCATGATAACTTGGCCTTATGTTACTATCCCATTTGTGTATTTTTGCCATTTTATATGATTGTATATTAAGGCTTCTTAAAAAATGAATATTTAACTTTAGTCTGTACCACTCTATCCCTTTTGAAAACACAGTCTTAACTCTGGTCATGCTAGCAAGAAAGTTTATTAAACTTGCAGGCCTGTCTTCTGCAGATACCCCACTTTCCTGATCCTACCTGGGGCTTCTTTTGACTATCTGTGAATCTGGAGGATGTGTGCTGGAGAGATGTTCAACAAAAGGGCATCATTGATTGACCAGCTGGTGAGCAAGACCAGTGTATAACATTCCCCTGTGACGTGCTGTCTCAGAGCCGTGCAGGACCTAGGAGAAAAGGTCCTGCCGGGGGGTTTTTAAGGCAGGGAATGTTGTGAAAAATTTACCGCAAGGTTCCTGCACAGTATTTCAGGGGCTGAAACTGAAAATCCCAAAAGAATGAACAGTGATGGCTTCTATTGCCCCGTCTCACATATACCTCAAAATTCTATTTCCAAACTTTCATCCTATGTCATTCTTTTCCAAAAACATCCAGAATTTCAAATGCAATTGACTTATTTTTGATACGGTTACACTGTTTTTGTGTCATCACTAAAACAGAAAGAAACCAAAGAAAGATATGTTTATTTCTATGACTGAGGGCAGACAGAGTTTTAAGGCTTGGGACATAGTTTAAAAAATAATTTAGAAAGCCGGATTGCTAACTTACGGTTTCTTTAAACGGAGGTACTCTGGATCCAGGTTCCAGTCCCACAGGTCATGGCACAGTGGATTCCATCAATGGCTGTGCCGTTGATCAACAATTCAAAACCGCCACATCAATTGTTCTATGGTCAATTTGAGGCCACACAGCATGGATTACGTGCTTGTCAGTCAAATAGACATGGATTAAGTCCACTTAGATTTGTATGTCTATTGAGATACCTATTATTTAAATAACGCTGAGCGATATTCATCTCCCTTCACATGGAGTGAGTATATACTGCTTTGCTTGTCAATACATACCTGAATTATTATTTCTTTCAATGTAGTAAACCATCTTTCCAGGTGCTGGAGACATGGGAAATGATAATTCATAACAGTGGCCCAGAGTGCAGAGCCATACATTAATGCCATGTGATAAAAATCAGACACCTGCCAAACCCAGGCAGAGAAAGGAGCCCTTGTTCTTCACCTGGGTAGCTGATGTCTGGAAGTTATTTTTTCTCCAATGGTGCTCATCTTGCAGACTGAAAAGAAACACTAAGGCTTATGCAGCAAAAACAGTCAAATGGTTTCACTTAAACTGTCCATTTCATGACAAATTTAAGCAAGCTCCATCCTCGTTCTCCCTGCAGGTGGAATATCATGGATGGGGCATGGAAATAGACCTGCCTACATTGAGCCCAGTGCTGCTCTCTGTGCAATGGATCTTGGTAAGTTACTCCACCGAGGTAGCGGTTTCCTTGTCTGAACAGCACGGGTGGGTAGGTATTAGACAGATGAGGGTGGGCAGCGGTGTAGCTGTGGATGCAGAACATGGCAGCTGCTGGTTCCATCTGCTCTTCCTTCTTCCTCTTCCCCCGTCCTGCCCTCTCTACCTCTTTGCAGCCCATGTTCAGCCTGAATATTAAAGTCAAACCTCCTCTGAGATAGTGAATTTTAATTGTCAACTTGGCTTGGCTATGGTGCCCAGTTGTTGTCAAACACTTAGTCTAGATGTTGCTTTTTAAATATGGTTAACATTTAAATTACAATATTTTGTTTTTTGTTTCTTGGGGCATTTTTAGAGATGGTGTCTCATCTGTATGTTGCCCAGGCTGGTCTTGAACTCCTGGGCTCAAGTGATCCTCCTGCCTCGGCCACCCAAAGTGCTGGGATTATAAGTGTGAGCCACCGAAGCTGGCCTAAATCAGAAGACTCTGAATAAAGAAGATGACCCATGATAATGCAGGTGGGTCTCTTCCAATCACTGGAAAGCCATGAGGGCAAAGCCTGATGGTTCCTAAAGGGAAGGAATTTTGCCTTCAGATGACAAAACAGGAATGCGGCCTGGGTTTTCAGCCTGTGGACTCAGGACCACAGCATCAACCCTTGCCTGAGTTTCCTGTCTGCTGACCTGCCTTGCAGACTTCAGTTTTAACAACAGTATGAGCCAATCCGTTGAAATACAGCTAAAATAAAATAAAATAAAGCTGAATAAATTATACACTTGTGTACACACACACACACAGACACACACACACACACATGCCCACGCACACTCACCCTGTAGGTTCTGGCTCTCTGGAGACACCAGGCTCACATGTCCTAACATGGCTCTCCCCTGCCTATCTCCATCTGACTCATCTAACTGCCCCCACTGCACAGCCTCCATGCAAGCAGGTGCATTTTTTTTGGGACCTGGCCCAATCCCTCTCACAGAGCCACCTCCACCATGATCTTGCCTCTGCTTCCCCCTCCAGCAGGCCAAGCCCTCCTCTCAGCACTGGTCTCAGCCATGCCACGGAGTCTTGGCCCCCAAGCATGTGTTGCAGGACGGTGGGTCTGGACAGTGTCCACACCCTCGGCCTTAGCTTGCCAGCAGGGCTGAGAAGCACCAGCACTGCACGACAGGACTGGTCCGTGGCAGGGCCGCTGCGCCTGCAGCCTCCGGGCTCCTGGGGGCCATGCTGAGGAATATTCACAGTCATGTGTCTTTTCTTCCAACTCAGCACCCAACAGGATCGCATACATTGTCAGGGACAGAAAACCCACTTAGATCAGCTCAAAACCAGAGGATGTGTAAGCTGGTATAAATGAAAGTGGAAGGAGAGACACAGAGTTTTACTCCCCCTCTCTATTAGACCTAATTTCCATGTCCAGTTTCTGGCAGCCTCCAGTTCCTCCCAGGCCCCAGTGCAGACATCTCCATGCAGCGCCCCTGCTGCCTGCTCTCTGGGGATCTGACGGCCGGGCTCAGCATGGACTCAAGCCACCAGCCCTGATCCCCCTGGAGATCAGGGAGAGGCCCTGGCAGCTCCACCTCTCCAGGGCTCCACGGACCTGGGACCAGCCACCCAGGGGTAAGTGCCACAGCCTGGAGGTGCTGGAAGGAGGGCCCCTGGGGCAAATACTGGGCCATCTGGGCCGTCTTGGAAGCCAGCGGATAAATTTCCCTCCCTTCTAACCTCTGCAACCACCTGGGGCTGTTCTCAGCAGGTGGTTTCACACGCCCTGCCCAGAGCTGAGCCCCTGACTTCCCTGGTGCGGCTGGGCCAGATCAGAAGTGCTCAACCTTGAACCTGTGCCTCGCCTTCCTCACTGCTTGTTTCCCACCTGCCCCTGCCCTGCATCACACTCCTTGAAATTGCCACCTCTTAAATGCAGGCTCAGCACCTATTTTCTGGCGTGCCTGGCCTAAGGAGACCTCTACCATTGAAACTCAGACAGACGTGATCCCATAGTTATCCTTGGAGGCCTATGGATGCAGCTTTAACATATTCTGTGGAGAAGGGAAAATTATGTTTTTAAAATTCTTTCTCATGGCAGCCACATGCTCCCATGACTATGTCCTCAAGTCTGTCCTCACCTGTAGCCAGCAAGGCCCCAATAATATGGTCTCTAACTCTGATTGGGGGAAATGTGGAATAAACACATGTCCCTGAGCATTTCCTAGCTGGGGTGCAGCCTCTGACCTTCTGCAGCTTCTAGCACAGGCTGTGCCTCCAATGGCCTCTAGGACATTCATGTGACATGGATGGGGCCATTCCCCTGGCAGATTCTACGGCGCTGGTGCCTCACGGCTGCCAGCACAAGCACTTGTTCGCATGCAACTCCCTCTTTCCCAGCTCAGTGGGCCCCCAATGCAGGGGCTTTTCTTCAAATCCCCCATCCCTCCTATCCTTGCTGGCCTCCTCTTCTGCTGACAGTCTTCCTGGAGCAAGACCCAGGAGGCTGCAGGCGGAGTGGGCTGGGGAGGGAAGGCTGACAGGGCAGGAGGAGGAAGCCTGGCCCACCTCAAACCTCATCTCCTGGATGAGGCTTCCAGACAGCGGTCCTCTGAAAACATGACGGCCCGAGGGGTTTTGTACTCCGAGTCGTGTTGAATTTGTGTTTCTTCTTCAACATTTCTCATCAAAATGTCATGTTTCAGGAATAAGAATGGCATCAGAGTTTTTTATTAAATTTATTTTTAATTTTATGTATTTAAGGTTGTATAACATGATGCTTTGATATACATATATACACAGTGAAATGATGACGAAGTCAGGAACTTAACCCATCCATCGCCTTCCATAGTTACCTTTTTTATTTGTTTGTTTGTAGCAGCTAAAATTGATTCTCTTGGCAAATTTTCAGTACACAATACAATATTATTATCTCTAGTTTTCATGCTGTAACAGATCCCTCCTGGCATGTGGTAGATTTCCCTAGAGGTCCCTCTTGGCTCATGGTAGATCACCCTGTGGATCCCTCCTGACACGTGGTAGATCCCCCTGAAGGTACCTCCTGGCATGTAGTAGATGCCCCTGAAGATCCCTACTGACACTTAGTAGATCCCCCTGTGGATCCCTCCAGACACGCGGCGGAGTCCCCTGTGGATCCCTCCAGACACGCGGCGGAGTCCCCTGTGGATCCCTCCGGACACGCGGCGGAGTCCCCTGTGGATCCCTCCGGACACGCGGCGGAGTCCCCTGTGGATCCCTCCGGACATGCGGCGGAGTCCCCTGTGGATCCCTCCTGGCACGCGGTGGAGTCACCTGTGGATGGATCCCTCATGGTACATGGCAGATCCCCCTGTGGATCCCTCATTAGACTCCAGGTTCATTCATCCTGCATAACTGTAACTTTCACCCTTTACCTCTGCTGAGGTCCAGGATGTTCATCCTAGCCTCCTTCTCATTCCCCTTATGTACATTCTTGTTATTCTGCATTGATGAGTCTGATTCTCTTTTCCTACCACTTCATCACACCCTGTTCTTTCCTTTTTCTCTAAGCCCACCCTGTTCTCTGTCATCAAAAACTTCTTAGTTCATTTTCCCCTAGATTTCTTGCATCCTACTCTTTCTGTCTACTGAGGCCTTCATATCAGCCAGGAATCCCCATCCCAAAAGAGGCCTCTCTCACCCTGACAGCTTCCGGGAGACCCACAGGCTGCACCCCACTCCCTCCCGTGGTTCCTGGAGGGTGGCCTGCCCCCTCTTTGCAAGTCCTCACCAACCCTGACGTCTTGAACTCCTTGAAGTCAGGGTCACAAGTCTCTTGAAACTGCCCTTTAAAGTTTGCTGGTGGCCTCGTGCTCATCAGACCCAGAGGAGAGCTCCCTCTGTTGATGAGATTTGCCATGGGGTCCATTCCTCCTGCCCCTTCAGAGACACGCTCGGCTCCCTGGCTTCCCCAGCCCTCACCTACCTCTGCGTGCGGCTTCCTTGTCTCAGCCTTCTCTTCCCTCCTGGGGTCTCTCCCAGAAGCCTGCCCCAGCCTCCCTCCTTTCCCACTCTGTACTCCCTTCAGACGACCTCGTGCTTCACAGGGTTTAAATCCTTCTTCTGGGCAGGTGTGTGCCACACCCCATGGGTGTTCCTAGACAGTCTCCTCTGCATTCATTCTGGAGGTCCTGCATTCTGCTTCCTGAATCTTAGAATCTGGAATCTTTAGCCACAAACTCAACTTTCCAGAACCAACATTACCTACATCTTCTATGAATGGACCTTATCCTGATATCTATATTTTTGTCAACCAGTCTGACAACTTGCCTTCTCTCTCAAGCTGAAAAAGGAGGCTCATCTTTGATTCTTGTCTCTCACGTCTACATTCGAGGAGAAGCCATGTCTTATCTGCCATCAGTTCTACCTTGAAACATTTCCAGATTTCACTTCCTTCTCTCTCCTCAATGCCACCAGCTTGTGCCCCACATTCCTCCCAGGCAGCTTTCCATTGGCAAGGCCCCTGCTATTTGACTCCGGACCACAAGATCTGGGAGCCGCAGTGGAGTGGAGGGAGGGTGTATTAGTTCATTCTTGCATTGCTAAAAAGGAATACCTGAGACTGAGTAATTTATAAAGAAAAGAAGTTTAATTGGCTCACAGTTCTGCAGGCTGTACAGGAAGCACAGTGCTGGCACCTGCTCAGTGTTTTGGGGAGGCCTCAGGAAACTTGCAATCATGGTGGAAGACGATGGGGAAGCAGGCATGTCATACATGGCTGAAGCAGGAGCAAGAGAGAGCAAGGGGAAGTGCTGCACGATTTAAATTACCACAGCTCATGAGAACTCACTTACCATCATTGACAGTACCAAGGGCGATGGTGCTAAACCATTCATGAGAAACCATTCCCATAACCCAATCACCTCCCACCAGGCCCCACCTAAAGCACTGGGAATTACAGTTCAACACGCGATTTGGTGGGAGCACAGATCCATATCACAGGGAGGCTTTGATGTTAGAAGTCAGATTTGAGGCATCAGTGCCTCTCTCAATGCCGTTCTCCATACCTGTTGTCTATCACAGTGCCTGGCACACAGTAGGTACCCGGATGTGTTGGATGAGCTCAAGAACAGTCAGAAGAGTTACATATTCTGGGCGTATCACTTTTCAGATTTTACATCTCATAGCCTCCATTCTGCCATGTCTAAAACCGAGATGCAGGCATGTATTGCAGAGGACTATGGGGAAGGAGATGCGATCAGGTGCCTCATGTTCCCGCCACAGAGGAGGCATTGGATAAAAGGGAGCTATTATCGTTACTGAACGGCAAGGTTCATTTGTGGAAGTGTGGTTCTGATGATGCTGTTTAGTTGCTCAGAGCCTGCATTGTGTCCTCAGGGCCACTAGATTCACTCTGGTGTCTCTGAAGCCCTTAGCAGGATCCAGGGCGACCTCCACAATCACCCCAAAAGTTTGCTCACCTCCTGCCTTTGTTTGCACGTGGGAGTGACATCTTCAACACCGCCCTGCCTGAGGTCCTGAGCACAGTGGAATACACAGTTGGTGCTCAGCAGATGCTGGGAAGTGCGTGAATTCATGCTCTCAATCGGGTCCTCAAGCCCCCCTTTAATGCCATAATGAAAAAACAAAGGTTTGCAATGGGAAATAGAAAATAATGCTTTTGCAGTGCTTGAAACTAAACATGACTGAATTTTAAAAATAGATAATTTTTTAAAATATACATCTTCAATTTTTTAAGAAAAAATAGAAATTAAATGAGGGAGAATAGTTGTGAACTCCAGAAGGATATGTCTGGATTCTTGGAAGCTAGTTTTACCTCGCATTTTGCAGTTTCTAAGTTTAGTTCAGAGGTTGATAATGATAGCAACAACATTGATGACACTGATTCTCTGACCTCTTGGCTGAGAAAGGGCCTTGTCTGGGCTCATCACATGCATTTTCTCATCAGTTCTTGCAGCCCTCTGTAAGGGATCCCCACCCTCTAAGTAGAGCACTGTTACAAGAAGTGCTGCACAACTTTTCTTCTTATGCATTAGGGTGGGAGAGAAGGAAAGAAATCCATGTGCCTAACAAGCACTGGGTTAGGTGAGGAGTCAGGGGATAACAGGCAATAAAGTTGAGAATTGGAGAATTGATGAAATTACACACAGTGAAAGACAGAAAGTACTAGAACACACCAGGTTTGCAATCCCCCTTGGTAGGTGGAGGGAAGTGAGGGTGGCGGAGTTTGAGAAAACACTGAGATTTGCAGTTACCCAATCTGCTCACTAGGTGGTACCATCTTCCTAGGACAGCTTGGTTGCCAACTGCCAGGTTGGAGTTGGGTGGGGTGGGGTGGGGGTGGGGGAACAACCTCCTGGGGAGGGGCAAGGGTGGGTTTAGGTGTCTGGCAGCTGGTGGTGGGATATTTAAAGTGCGGATGACCCTAAACTGTGTGGCAGTCTGTAATTTCCCTTTGGCCTTACTTAGATAATATGTCATAATGTGTGAAGACACACATGTATGACACAGGAGAACATTTGATTTAATACAGTGTCTAGCTTGCAGTCTCAAATGTAAACACTTAGGTCTTCTCAATCAGTAGGAGACCTGATCAGCATCCAAGTGAATAAAAAATAGGCCAAAGACATTTTAGACACCGTCTTGTTGACAATGAACTCTTACCACTCAAGGCTTAGTAAATATACTTAAGTGTTTATGAAAATGAATACACTAAACTTATGAAAATGGTTTATTACAGAAACTAGAAGAAAAAGTTAGAAAATAGATGCATACTTTTAGTAACATCCAAGAAGACACAATCTCTATAAAGACAGGACAGAAAGTCAGAAGGAAAAAAAATGCTGAAACGAAAAGTAAGAAAAGATAATAAACACTTACATGGAGATTGCTATACACCAAACACTGGAGTTCATGTATATTAACGTATTCAGTCTTTGCAATAATCATGTAAAGTGAAAACCATTATTATCCTTATATCTCAGATGATAAAATTGAGATAGAGTTAGAGATAGAGATAGAGATAGGAATTTAATGTGGTTCACTAATTTGACAGTCTGTAAGGATCCACTTAGCCTCTTCACCCTTGCGTTTCCTTCTTCGGACAGACCTGTTTTGGCATCTTCCTTAGTGCTGGAAGATCCTGGATGCAGAGTGCAGACATGGAGTAAGATTGTATTGCCTGGAACACTGGGAGAAGCACCTGCGTTCGCTGACTTGCTGACCAGCAACCCATTGATGAGAGCAGAGCTTTTCCTTTCCGAAGCCTAGAGTGTGGTTTCCTGAAAGTCAGCAGCAGCAATGACACACATGTGCATTTGCAGTTCTGTGCCCCCTTTGCCTTTCTGAACTGTTCAGCAGGAGTACATTTGGGACCTGCACAGACTTTTTAAGGTTTGATGTGGTAACTCTGAGGAGCCAGAGGATCCCACACAAGGGGGATGTCATTAAAATTTATTGATTCCCGATCATGAGGGTGTGCAAGAGGTGTGTCAGCCTCTTCAGAAGGAAGCTTCCAAAACTGCATGTTCCCTGTCCTTCCGCCTCTGATAGAGCCCACGTGGGAGCATCCTTTTGGTAGAACAGGGGTGGGAGCCAGTGGCCTCTGACCTGAGACCCCAGGACGGACACACCAGGAAAATGTCCCCCAGGTAAACCCATTTGCCAAAGACTTTGCTTCTAACTAAGTTTAGCAATTTTTTTAAAAAATATAAATAAACAGGTCTTGGCCGGGCGCGGTGGCTCCCAGCACTTTGGGAAGCTGAGGTGGGTAGAATACCTGACATCAGGAGTTTGAGACCATCTTGCCAACATGGCAAAACCCCATCTCTACTAAAAATACAAAAATTAGCCGGATGTGGTGGCATGTGCCTGTAATCCCAGCTACTTGGGAGGCTGAAGCAGGAGAGTCACTTGCACTTGGGAGGAGGAGCTTGCAGTGAGCCAAGATCGTGCCACTGCACTCCAGCCTGGGTGACAGAGCAAGACTCCATCTCAAAAATAAATAAATAAATAAATAGGTCTTTGTCAGAGAAAGAGTACCTACGGAAAAGGTATTTTCTTTCTCCTTGGAAATTTCAGTTTAATGGGATGTAATAATCAGAAATATGTAGTTGATCATTATTCCCAGCTCCTGACACGGTTTCTAAAACTCTTGAATTTCCTGAGTGATGGGTGAGAGGGACATCTTTTGTTATTCTTCACAATCATCTTTCAACCATCCTGAGTTTATGCTAATGATGTGACTCCTGGTGGGTCCCCATATAGCTTCAGGGTAGGGCTGGTTGCCAGAGGAACATCCCTGTGAGTAGAGGGCAGGAACTTTCAGCCCCACTCCCTAATCTCCAAGCAGGGAAGGGGCTGGAGATGGAGCCCCATCACCAAGGGCCAGTGATCTAACCAGTCTTGCCCACGTAATCTAACCTCCATAAACCCCTAAGTAGTGGGGTTCCAAGAACTCCTGGACTGGGGAACATGGGGAGGTGCTGGGAGGTGGTGTGCTCAGAGAGGGCGTGGAAGCTCGGTGCCACCCTGGACCCCTCTCCATGCATCCCTTCCCAAGGTGTGTCCTTTATGATAAACTAGTCCTAGGAAGTAGAGTGCTTTCCTGAGTTCTATAAGCTGTTTTAGCAAATTATCACACCTGAGTAGAAGGTCTGGGAGGCCTGGGACATGCGATTCACGTCGTAGGCAAAGGCAGTCTTTTAGGACTGAATCTCACCCTGTGGGGTCTGCACCCACTCTGGGTAGTTAGTATATGAATTGTGTTGAATCACTGGACACCCAGTTGGCTTTGGAGAGTTGGAGGACTGGCCGGCATAAAAAAAAAAAAAAAAAGAAAGAAATACTGCAAACATTCGGTGTCAGAGGTGCAGTGAGTTTTAACTCTTTCAGACAAGGGGGTGTAGAATAAGCAAAGGTTAAAAGCCGGTAATATTCCAAATCTGTTTATAGCGTTGGGGCTTTGAAGTCACTCCGGGAAGGAATCCTGCTGCTTCCACGTCCTGTTCTCAGCTGTGGGTAGCATCCTTGGCTTCTCTGGAACTCCATGTCCTCCTCTGTAAGTGGAGGGAAGTCACACATACCCTACAACGTCGTGGTCAACACGCCGAATATGCACAAAGTGGCTACTGCTCTGGTTATTCTAATTATTGTGTGTTTATCATATGGATAGCTAGGAACATACCCCATAGCAGAAATCATATTCAAATGCTCAAGGAGCTCAATCAAGACCAAAAGAAGAGATTCTTGTGATCAGGGCCTGGCTTCTGGTGAGGGCTCCCTTCATGGCTTGTAAACACTTGTCTTCTCACTGTGCCCTCACATTGCCTTTTCTCTGTGTGAGTGCAGGGAAGGAGAGAGAGAGAGAGGCAGGGGGGAGACGGAGAGAGAGAGAGATCTCTTCCTTTTCTTAGAAGGACATAGGACATTAATACTGTTGGATCAGGGCTCCAACATTTTAATCTCATTTAACCTTAACTTCTCCCTTACTCCAAATACAGAAACACTGGAGGTTAGAGGTGCCACATGTACTTTTTAGGAGACACAAATATTTAGTCCATGGAACCCTCTTAAAAGCTTCCATTATGACAGTTCAGAATTTCCAGGTTGCCTTCCTTATCACTACCTACAAAAATTAACTGCAGATGGATTAAAGACTTAAATGTAAAACCCAAAACTATAAAAAAAGAAAAAAAAAAAAACCCTGGGAGACAGCCTTGACAATACCATTCTGGACATAGGAATGGGCAATGATTTCCCATGACGAAGATGCCAAAAGCAGTTGCAACAAAAACAAAAATTGACAAAAGGAATCTAATTAAACTAAAGAGCTTCTGTGCAGCAAAAGAAACTATCAACAGAGTAAACAGGCAACCTACAGAATGAGAGACCATTTTTGCAAACTATGCATCTGACACAGGTCTAATATCCAGCATCTGTAAGAAACTCAAACACATTTACAAACAAAACAACCCCATTAAAAAGTGAGTGGACATCAACAGTCACTTTTCAAAAGAAGACATACATGCAGCCAACAGGCATATGAAAAAAAGCTCAACATCACTTATCATTAAAGAAATGCAAATCAAAACCACAATGAGATAGCATATAAGACCAGTCAGAATGGTGATTATTAAAAAGTCAAAAAATAACAGGTGCTGGTGAAGTTATGGAAAAAAAGGAACACATACACTGCTGGGAGTGTAAATTAGTTAAACCATTGTGGAAAACAGTGAAAGGTTTCCTCAAAAAGCTAAAAACAGAAGTACCATTTGACCAGCAATCCCATTACTGGGTATATACCTAAAGGAATATAAATTGTTCTATCCTGAAGACACATGTGTGTGTATGTTCATTGTAGCACTCTTCACAAAAGCAAAGACATGGAACCAACCTAAATGCCCATCAATGGTTAGACTGGCTAAGAAAAGTGTGGTACTTATACACTATGGAATACTATGCAGCCATAAAAAAGGAAGAGATCTTGCCCTTTGTGGAAACATGGATGGAACTGGAGGCCATTACCCTTGGCAAACTAACACAAGAAAAGAAAACCAAATACTTCATTTTCTCACTTGTAAGTGGGAACTAAATGTTGAGAACACATGGACACATGGAGGGGAACAACACACACTGGGACCTATTGGAGGGGGGAGGATGGGAGGAGGGAGAGAATCAGGAAAACTAACTAACGGGTACTAGGCTTAATACTTGGGTGATGAAATAATCTCTACAACAAACCCCCATGACACAAGTTTATCTATATAATAAATCTGCATGTGTACTCCCAAATTTAAAATAAAAGTTAGGAAAGGCTGGGCAGGGTGGTTCATGCCGGTAAAACCAGCAATTTGGGATGCCAAGGCAGGTGAATCACCTGAGGTCAGGAGTTTGAGACCAGTCTAGCCAACATGGGGAAACCCCATCCTACTAAAAATAGAAAAATTAGCCAGGCGTGGTGGTGCGCACCTGTAATCCCAGCTACTCGGGAGGCTGAGGCAGGAGGATCTCTTGAACCCGGGAGGCAGAGGTTGCAGTTAGCAGAGATCACACGACTGCACTCCAGACTGGGTGACCGAGAGAGACTCCATCTCAAAAATAAAAGAAAGAAAAAAGAAAAAAAGAATTTCCAAGACAAAAAGAATTTTTACAAATGTATATTTTAAACAGTATCAATCCTAGGAAAGAACAAAAATCAACTTAAAGTTAGGCTGTACTGTGAACCCCTTGACAGTCAGCCCAGAAGGTTTCCAATATATGCCCCTCAGCATGTTCATTTCTTTAAGACTTAAAATTCAGATGCACCCTTATTTGAATGCAGTGAGTGGTCATGAAATAAAATCTCCTCTGGATTAGGAAGACCCTTGACTGCACTTTGCAATCATTAGGCAGCTTCGTGACATTTCTACACATTTATTCAACAGGACAAATGCTTGTGGTCAATCACGTATATTTTCCTTCCAATCAGAGAGTCTTCATCTTGAAATCCCAGTGCCTACTAGCTTAATGGGATCCTTTACAGCATGCTCCCACTGGGGTGTTCCAGGAAGAGACATGGCTGGGAACCTGTCCCATGCTCTGATGGCCAGGCTGCTTGAAGCTGAGCTCCCATATCCATGGCCAAATGCCCTACAGCAGTCCTGGAGGCCAGACTCTGAAGTCCTGTGGAAGTCCTTCCTCCAGCAGGAGGCTTAGGGCCCAGATGGGAGATGCCCTTGTCCCCTGCAGTCAAGTGGCTACTGGTCCCGATCTGTGAAGAGAAAAGAAGTTGTAATCCCAGGGCCACAGGCAATGGGCATCAGCATCTTATTGGATAAGCAGGTTTAACAGCAGGCGGCTAACATCTCATCAAGTAATCTTGGCCTGTGTCCAGTATCCACTGTGAATTAGGAAGGATTTTAAACAGTATTTTCAGAAAAAGGCAATGTAACATTTATACAGAAATGTAGGAAAAAAAATTCGGAAGTTTCCAGGGAAAAGTATCTAAAGTGCATGTGGTGCGTTTGCTGATCTTAAGGCCACGGAAGGGGAATAAATGAGATCAAGAAAATCATCATTGAAAAAAGACGATTTAAAGTTGTTCAACAAGATTCCTTCAAGTAGAACTGTTGAAATTTCACTCCTCTATTAAGATATAAAAAAAATTTCAAATAGACATTTGTCAAAAGTAATGTGAAAATTTTTCAGCAGAAATCCTCATTTACAGACACAGACCTTCATAAAAATATGAAACTTGAGAAATGTGACTTGGGCACTTCTACAAAGTCCGCCATGTTGATTTTCTGCAATATGTGTAACAGGATATGCATGGTTACGGTCTATTGTGACTAGTGCACTCCCCTCACTGGGTAATCTCACACCGGCGATGTGCTGAGATGTTGAATAATTGGGAAATAAGAGCCGGACTGAGATTCCATTTCCCTCAACTTATACATACAAAGTGACTCTCACCCAGGGTTCGTGGTCACGACAATGGAAACCAACTCTGGCTAACTCAGGCAAAGAAAGAATGCCAGAGCCGGGGATTGCCAGCTCAGAGAGTCGGTGGATAAACTGGAGGACCCCTGAGAAACACAGGCAGAACCAAGGGAGGGAGGAGCAGAGATCACTGACAAGGGGGTACACACCACCCCCTTGTTGGGTGCTCCCGTAGCCCCAGTGGGCAAGCCTCAGAGTGCCAAGCAATTCTGAGATTCTCCTTCAAAATGCAAGGACTTAGGTGGGAGGCTCACTTGCCAAATCTCTGGCTTCCAGTGAGTAGGAGGAGGAAAGGTAACTCTATTTGACTTCCACTGGGGAGGGCAAAGGACATCATGTCCTTTAACACTACACACAATGAGGAATTCCATGCAAAGAGGGAAAGGGCTTGCTTGATAGATGACAGGACATTAAAAAAAGACAAATGTTCCCTGGAAGAATTTCATCACATAGGACCTTGAAAATACTTTAATAAAAAAGATTAGCTGAAAAGAAACTTTCACAACAAACTGCATTGTGTACATTCTGCATATCCTGTAATTTAGATGTTCAAACAACTGATGCTATTCAGTTACAATGCCAAGATGCTCGTGGTCTACCAGTTGTATACTTTGGCAGGAGGGCTGAACACAGATTGGAGACTGGAAGATTCCATCCCACCAGAATGTCTAATAGGGTGTTCGTGCTGTGAGAGCAAAAGATAAGGACGTAGGGGAGAGCTGTGGAAGGAAGGCTGGCGTCTAGGGTGACAGCACAAAGACTGTTACCAGCCAAGAAAAGGGTTTAAAATGCAAAATCGCCCCCACACTAACCCAGGCTTAAAACCATGTGCTTAAGGAATGTGTGTGCTTCATGCAAACTAAACAGAACAGAGAGAAGCAGGTCAGGAGGGCGGAGCTCTTTGGGGGACTGTGGAGAGAGACATGCTGGGCCTGCACACTTGATGGAGGCTGGGAGGAAGCTTTCTCTCCAGCAGAGACAAGACGAGCTCTAGAGGCTCCAGGGTGAGGAGCTGCCTGGCCAGGAACCAGGGGAGATGCTGATGCTCTCCAGCCAGGGAACCATGGGGGGCAGGTGCTAGCGGCACTGACAACTCCACCACAATACAGCAATGGCATCAAAACTACTGCATTTCAAAAAAAAATGGAATCAGATCATCTTTTAGGGTGCTGTTGCTGGATGCAAGGTCAGGGTTGCTGAGCATCTGTGAAAGCAAGTGTGGGTGCATGTGGAGGCAGCCACATCCAGGGTGGGCTCCACAGAATTATGCAGATTGTCCACCTGGGTTCTACACTCACTGATTAAAGCCTTACACTTGACAGGGACCCCATAAGCATAGCCATCATAATGGGCCACAGGAGTGGTTAGGTTTGAAGAAGTATGGGGTGGTGGCTGGAATGCAGATTTTGCGGGTAATGGCAACTCCCATAGGTGACCAAGACATTGCAACCAGCTTCCTGATACTCCTGGGGGAGGAGTGACAAGCAGAAGGTTGCAGGGGAGCCTCTGATGAAAGACACAGAGAGAGGCCAGACAAGGCGGCTCATGCCTGTACTCCCAGCAATTTGGGAGTCCAAGGTGGGTAGATCGCCTCAGATCAGGAGTTCGAGACCAGCCTGGCTAACGTGGTGAAACCCCGTCTCTACCAAAACAACAAAAATTAGCTGGGTGTGGTGGCGTGCATCTGTAGTCCCAGCTACTCTGGAGGCTGAGGCAGGAGAATCACTTGAACCTGGGAGGTGGAGGTTGCAGTGAGCCAAGATTGTGCCACTGAACTCCAGCCTGGGCAAGACTCCATTGAAAGAAAGAAAGGAAGGAAGGAGGGAGGGATGGAGGGAGGGAGGGAAGGAAGGAAGGAAAGAAGGAAGGAAGGAAGGAAGGAAGGAAGGAAGGAAGGAAGGAAGGAAGGAAGGAAGGAAAGAAGAAAAAAGAAAGAAAGAAAGAAAGAAAAGAAGGAAGGAAGGAAGAAAGAAAGAAAGAAAGAAAGAAAGAAAGAAAGAAAGAAAGAAAGAAAGAAAGAAAGAGAGAAAGAATGGCACAGGGAGGAGGAAGGACCCACTCGGGGTTCCCAGCCACAGCTCACTTCAAGGTCTGGGGATACCCTTGGCACCCCATGGGCTCTGTTTTCATATCTACAAAACGCAGAGCTTGGGATAGACACCCTGAGTTCTCTCCTGCTCTGCATTATTAAGGGTCCTGCTTGGGAGTTTACCTCAAGGCTAGCCCAGGTGTTGCAATCCATCTTCCCTCCTAACAAACCAAGCGGCACCTCTGTAAACTGCAGTGCGAGATGGTCTCCCATTCTGGGAAGTCAGAGTGAGACAACGGGATCAGGGAAGGTAAGGCAACTCCCTTGTCTGAGGCCTCCACAAATGTATATGTACACACACTCACACACACACACACACAAACATCTGTTGGGCTGATTTAAGAGTAGTATTGACTGAAGAACTAGGTAGGTTTCCCCACACTTGGCCAGACTCTGGAATTCATGGAGAAGATCAGGTATTCATGAATCATAAAGGATGGTCAGGACGATTGAATCAGACTCCATCAGGCTTCTCAGGGATGGAATCAGTAGATGATGTTGGCTTTGAATCCTCAGTATTCTGATCTTGTCAGGAACTGGCAGCCACTCCCACTAACAGGGCATCAAGTGGGATGCTCACATCTAAATGTAGGACAGCCGGCTGTTGGATTTGTCAAGGGCTGAGGCATAAACACCCATCTTCTTCTCTCTCAATCTCAAGACCAGTCAAGAAATAAGACAGAAGATGGAAATAAATCATCACTTTTATTACTGATGAAGTTCATTAGAAAAGGGGCACTGGAATACTAGCCACAGGGATTTTCCAATGCTTCTCCCCTTAAATAGACCAACCACAAGCCTCATGTGGGGCTACGGACCCAGGACAACGTGGTAAAGAGACAAACATCTCACTGCCTTGAGGCTCAGAAGGAGGTGGACAGGAAGTGCTCAGCGTGCCCAGCAGATCGGGATTGGGTCCTTTCCCCAAATTCATGAGTGAGTGAAGTCCTCCCCACTGAGAATCAGCTGAGGTGGGGAGAAAGGTTGGCAGAGTCACTCTTTTGGAAGGTACAGCCAGGGAAGTGAAGTTCCTGCTTTGCCTGCCTTTCAAAGGATGAATTTTGCAGACAGATAATGAATTTCAGGGTCTCTGTAAAAGTGTGTAGAGATTATCTAGTATATAAAAATCACCCAGCAAAGTGCATGGCACATAGGAAGTACTAAAAAAAATTAGCTATCCGATGATCTTTGTTATTTTAAAAGATTTCAGTTTCATTGCATTGCTTCAATTCTATTGGTTTCCACGTTAACTCTAAACAGCAACCACATTGTCTATCATTCTTAGGATTGGAATTTGTGGAAATTAAATAGATATCATATTGCAATTTTCTAAAAAGTGATTTAAAATAGAGATAAAATGTAAGACAATATATGATGTCATTTTTAGGGTAAATATTGAGAACCTGGTCTCATTTTCTGCATAATCCCCAGGAAATCAAATTTCCCCAGGTGGACAGCTAACAGAAGGAAATGCTGGGGGTTCAGTTGTGCCAGGAGAAAACTTCAAGTCAAGTCATACTTTTGTAACGTGCATATGTTTGTTTTTGCTCTCTAGTCCAGGAGTGTTATTAGCGATCATTTTAAAAATTCAGCTTTTAGCAATTTTATCATTCTGTTTCTTATCAATAAGAAAGATAGCAGCAGTTCTCTTAATTCTAGCATAAGTGTATCTATTATCTCCTCAAGACTTAAGAGTATTCGGGGATCAACAAAAGTAGGGTACCCAAGGGGTGGCTGTCAAGGGCATTTCAAAGGGGTTACATGGACACCTCTTTAAAAATGCATTGTACTGTACCTTCCCCAAAATGGACAAGGCTTCTGATATTAGTCTTAGGCATATTCTCATTGTTCCTGAACTAGATGGGAACAACTTCAACAGTGGAGAAGTCGCCTGTATTATTGTAAATAATTAAACAGAAGAATTTACGAGTAAAAGAAGAGAATGAGGAGAGCTCAGAAAAGTAAGAAAGTGGCTCCTGGTTAGTTATTTCCCTTCCTGACCTCAGCTGGCAGCTGCTGTCATCAGCAGGGACAATAGCTTTCTCGGTGCTTTCCATCTGACCCCACAGATTTTCATATATATTTAATGCCCCTCTATGTCCAAGATCATATAAAAAATTTGAATTTCTTTTTTCCTTCATTAGAAGAACAAAGAAAATAATTGAATAACAAAGTAGTTAAAGAAAAATTTAAATTGGCTGATTGCCACTGCAAGGATGATCTCTTTCCCTACTTTTTTAAAAAGCTCAAACTTCAGGCAGAGATGACACAAATGACTGGACTCTTCCTCCAGTCCCAGGGTCTTGGATCCCGAGTCAGAGGCTGAGCCGCGGGCAAAGGTTGGTGATGAAGGCCAGAGAGGCCACTCTGCTGGTGTGTCAGAGCTGGCTCACGGTGCCTGGATCCACGGGCCGTTTCTGATCCCCGGGGAACCATCCTGAAGGTCTCCTCTACTGCTGGCATGGCTGGATCCCTGCCAGCCTCGCTGGACGCAGCAGTAGCCACAGTGCCCCTCAGATTTGATCGGGGGGGAAGTTATTGAAAGTTGATAACATCTACTTTCCCCACTCTGGTCTCAGCCCTGAAGATGGACACAGACCTTCTTCCTGACCAAACTTCGGTGGGGCCATATTTTCACTGGGCCTGGTCCTCCAGCCTGCTGGGCGCAGGTGCGGCAGGAATCCGGCTGAGCCACTGCAGCGAGAATCTGCTGTCCTGGATGCTTCCTCTTAGGAATTTCCTATCCTCTGACCCCAACCGTGCTTCTTCACTATGAATTCACACTTGACTGTGCTGTATTTAGAATTGAGCCCAGTTTTATTTTGAGGTCTCTGTTCCCCTACTGAAATAGTTTCTGAATCAAATCTGCTTTTTTTGCTTTAACTGTTTCACCAGCTCTGGTTGTCTTTAACAGGACCAGGCCTTAATATTCATTCAACAACCAGTGGGTGCCTTGGACCTCTCTCAACACATTCTCATGCAACATCGAATTTCAATGGCCTCGTGGTGAAAATCCCCAGATCACACCTGGGTGACTCGGTCATACTCCTCTGGGGAGCGCCTTTCCTGGTCCTCATGAAGGATCCCCCTACAGGCTCAGCCTCCTGGTGGAGGGATGTGCTGCCTTGGCTTTTGTCTTTGTTTCGTTTTGTGTTCTGTTAGTGGTAGTTACATTTACCTTTAAATAGCAAAGCAAAAATGAAAGCTCAGCTCATCTACTTTCTCTCTGTACTTCAGGGAAATCTTTCCTGAAGGTGGCCCAGGAAGCATGACCTGGGCCTGTTCTGGCAACTTCTCCTCCGTGGCCTGAGACTGAGGTAAAATAGCCTGCCCCGCAAGTTCTTTCACTCCACAGCTTGGCATGTGGTGGCTTCACCCAGGGTCTTAACTCTCAGAAGAGCAAACGCTGATTCTACACATTCCCAGCCATTCCACACCATGGGCCATTGCTGCCCCTCCCTCATTCTAGAAAATCTTCTCAACCCTGTCCCTCCACTCCTCTTAGCACCTGGAATTGGGATGTTTGCTATGAGGAAGCATTGTTTTGAGAGAACCCTTGATTCTTTCAGGAAATGTTCATGTCCTGATATACTCTTTTGATGAATAGAATCCTACCATTTTACTTTTTCAGTTATTATTTCAAACTAATTTTAAACTTATAGAAAAGTTATAAAAATAGTACAAAGTCCTGTATGCCTCTCACCAAGCTTCCTCTGATGCGAACACCTTGCACAGCCAGAATGCAATGATCAAAGCCAGGATTACAACAGTGGAAAACCACTATTAATTAAGGCAGAGTGGGGAGGCCAGGCAGACATCACAGTAGTGGGATGGATGGATGAACACCGTGAGACCCTCGATCCACTGCACTGAGAACACAGCTCCATTTCCATGCTATTCTTGCCAGAAATTCATAATGCCATTCTAATAATGAAAAAATACTAGACAAGCTCACATTGAGGAACATGCTACAAATAATTGACCAGCTACGTTAAGAACACAAAAGAAAAGAGGGTTAGTTTGCTGGGACTGTCAAAACTAAGTACCACAGACTGGATGGCTTACACAGAAGAAATTTATTTTCTCACAGTTCTGGAGGCTGGAAGTCCAAGATCTGGGTACTGGCAGGGCTGGTTTCTGGTGAAGCCTCTCAACATGGCTTGCAGACAGCTGCCTTCTTGCTGTGTCATCATCTGGCCTTTGTTCTGTGCCTGTACATTCCTGGCTTCTCTTTATGTGTTCAAATTCCCTCTTTTTGTAAGAATACGAGTCTTATCAGATTAAGACCCATTCCAACAACCTCAGCTGTACCTGTAACCTCAGCTGGTACTTCTGTAAAGATCCTATTCCAAATAAGATCACATTCTGAAGTACTTGGGGTTAGACTTCAACAGAGGAGTTTTGTGGGTACACAACTTGGGCCATCACAGGTGGTAGCAACTGAATGTGGCATGGGATCCTGGACTGAGTCCTGAAGCAGAAAAAGGAAAGGACATCAGTGGAAATACTGATAAAATTCACATTCTCATGTTTTCTTTCTTTTTTTTTTTTGAGATGGAGTGTTGCTCTGTTGCCCAGGCTGGAGTGTAGTGGCATAGTCTCGGCTCACTGCAACCTCCGCCTCCCAGGTGCAAGTGATTCTCCTGCCTCAGCCTCCCAAGTAGCTGGGACTACAGGTGCACATCACCACACCCAGCTAATTTTTGTATTTTTAGTAGAGATGGGGTTTCACTATGTTGGCCAGGCTGGTCTTGAACTCCTGACCTTGAGATCCACCCACCTTGGCCTCCCAAAGTGCTGGGATTACAAGCATGAGCCACCGCCCCCGGCCTACATTCTCATGTTTTCAAGTTGATAACACTTTGATATTGTCTATAGTATATTGCTTAAGAAAACTTATTCACAAAGAATTGGCCAAATGTATCAGTCAGTTAACATTTTATATATATCAAACATACAAAGCTTAAGAGTATTAATTATTAAAAACATTTATGTAGAAATTTTTTCAAAAGGGAAATGAAAGATTGCAGATATTTATAGAAATATTTGGTGGCTTTTTGATTCTAGATATTTATGGAAATATTTGGTGGCTTTTTGATTGCAGATATTTATAGAAATATTTTGTGGCTTTTTCAGAATCCTCTCAAAAGGGATTTACTACCATAAACTAGAACATATTATTGTTAGTTTAAAAAAAGATAAAATATATTCTGCATTCTACCTTGTAGAAGAAAAAAAGAAAAATGGAGAGAGCTAGAGAAAAATGGCTGCCCAGTGCTGAATGTTCCCTGAGGTTATGGAAACGCAATGAGCTTGGATGCAGGAGCACTTTACAGAGCAGGGAGGACATGCCTGGGCTTTGTTGCAAACAAGTCTCTAGGAAAGTAGCATGAAGCTGTTATGGTCAACCAACAGGCATCATTCCTGGCTATGACCAAGTTCTCATGAGCTACAAATAGAAAACCCACTTTTTGTAATGTTGGAGTAACAATTTTGTCTTGATGTTAAAGCAACTAATATCCATTGTCAACAAAGCAAATTATCAAACAAAGAAACTTAAAAAACAAACGTTCCTGATTTTATAACCCCCAGATAATCTCTGTAAAGCCCTAAATTATACGAGGTTTCCTTCAGACTTTTTATTTTGTTTCTATCTACCTAACATGATTTGGCTGTGTCCCCACCCAAATCTCACCTTGAATTGTAGCTGCCATAATTCCCACATGTCATGGGAGGGACCTGGGAGGAGGGAACTGAATCATGGAGGTGGGTTTTTCCTGTGCTGTTCTTGTGACAGTGAATAAGTCTCACAAGATCTGATGGTTTTATAACGGGGTGTCCCCTGCAGAAGCTCTCTGCCTGCTGCCATGTAAGGTGTAACTTGCTCTTGCTTGCCTTCCATCATGATTGTGAGGTCTCCCCAACCACGAGGAACTGTGAGTCCATTAAACCTCTTTGTTTCATAATTACCAAGTCTCGGGTATGTCTTTATTAGCATCATGAGAACAGACTAATACACTATCCTTACGCATTTTACTAAAATGGGATCATAACATTTAGTAACTTTTACTATAACAACATGTTATGAGCATATCTCCATGTGAAATAAAGATCTGTGTTTTTATTTTAATGGCTACATTTAATTCCATTGTAATGCAATAATTATTTAACCAAAGCCCTATTTTTAATATCTAAGCTACTTCTGATTTGGCACTACTGCAAGTATTGCTAAATTGGCCATCCTTTCCAAGTGTCCAGTGATTTACTGCGTGAAATCCTAGAAGTGAGATGGGTGTTAGGGAAGAAAATCTTTGAGGCTTTGATGTTGCCAAATTATTCTCCAGGAATCTTGTATTAATTTATGTTCTCAACGAGTGTATAAAAGTGATTTATTTCCTGTACCTTTTCCCACAATATATAAGATTATTTCTTAAACCTTGGCTAACCTGAAGGTGAAAAATGTTGTTTCTGCTACATGTGCATCAATTTAAATCAAATCACAAGTGAACAGCAAAGTCCTTTAAATATTTACTTGAAATTTATGTTTCTTCTTTGTAGATTATGCATGTCCTTTGTCAATTTTCCTGGACTTTTGCTTTTCCTTATTTATTCTTGTGTCCTTTATATATTGAGGGTGTTAATTCACTGACGATCATGTGATTTGCAAATTCATTTTTCCCTAGTTTGCCAAATGGGCTAAGTCAGCCAATTATCAGTTGCAATTCACATAAAGTATGAGTTCTCTTTAGTCCAGGTAAAACATGTAGAACATATTTGGTCACCCAAGCAGTGGCATACATTGTAGTAGCATCTGAAATAGATCCGGCATAGACCAAGGGCTTTAGGGTAGAAAGAACCACACCTGGGGGCTGCAGACCCAGGTTTCAATGCTGGCTGGGGATTCTCTCCTCTTCTTTATGGGAGTGCAAATAGTAGCCCCAATTCTTTTTTTTTTTTTTTTTGAGACAGAGTCTCACTCTGTTGCCCGGACAGGAGTGCAGTGGTGCCATCTTGGTTCACTGCAAGCTCCGCCTCCCAGGTTCACGCCATTCTCCTGCCTCAGCCTCCCGAGTAGCTGGGACTACAGGCGCCCGCCACCACGACTGGCTAATTTTTTCTATTTTTTAGTAGAGATGGGGTTTCACCGTGTTAGCCATGATGGTCTCGATCTCCTGACCTTGTGATCTGCCCCCCTCGGCCTCCCAAAGTGCTGGGATTACAGACCTGAGCCACCACGCCCGGCCAGTAGCCCCAATTCTATAGCTTATGTCCCTCACCTGTCCATGGTGCCAAGGAACAACCTGAGCTGTCTCCCTGCAGGCTGCAGCTCTGATTGGCCAGGAGGCAACACTGCACTCAAAGTGGGGTTTGCAATCCATTCACACGCGCTTCCTCCTCAACTGGCCAGAGGACAGGATGACCAAGCTGCACAAGCTAAACAGACAAAGAATCACAAGATGTAGTCCCCAGTGCCATCCTCCTGTGAGGTGTGCTAGCAAGTGGGCTGGGAAAAATGCCTGCTTCCTTTTCGAGACTGTGGAATGCTGCTCTCTGGAGACTGGAGCCGTGCTGCCATTCATTTCCTGAGGAGGTGGCCCAGCTAGGCCTAGGAAGTGTGCTAAGACGGCAGAAGGTCAGGTTCGCCCCACAAACTGGACCCCGGGATCAGCACTGGCCCTGGGGTCAGACGCGGTGGGGAGCTGCAAGCTTCCTGCAGGACCTGGGGAAGCTCCTGGGACTCCGATTTGAAAGTCTGGATGGTAATTGTCAGAGAAAGGAAACAGGGCTCATCCTGTTCAGAACTGAAGAGCCATGGAGAATTGGATGTTAGAATTTGATCACAAAAGATTTTCTTCATGACGGAGTGTGTTTCCTCAAAATAATAAAAGTGTAGACTCCCCCGTGCCCAGGCGGTCTAGACAGGAGGATGCGGGGCTCGCTGGATCCCCTCAGCCCTGCGTGGAGGTGTCATTCTGCATTATTATTCAAAGCATGTGATGAAGTGAAGTACTCACAGGAAGCCCGCGGGTGTCTGAGCGAGGGCCCTGCTCTCCAGGGCTGGCTCCTGCGAGGCTTCAGAGCTGCAGCAGGAGCAGACGCGTGACAGCCTGACCCTGGCGCCCCATCCTTACACACAGCTCCCACACACCGATTTTGGTCGGGTTTGGAATAGCCGTTCATCTGCAGGTTATCATTCGTATTTCCCTGGGAGCTGCAGTTGAATCTCTTTTGTGGCTGTACCTTTGGCTGTTTGAATTCTTCCCCTCCTCGTTTTTCTTTGGTCTGTTGCCCTTATCAATATGCGACGACGTCGCTAGGCTGTTAGTCCTTTCCCTGCAAGTCTGGGTGTGTTGTGCCTTGTGTCTGTGTCTGGGCATCTGATCAGCTTTCTCACTGCACATCCCTCGAATGCGGGTCCTGGGTGTGTGGTGCCCGCTGTTGTGACATCCCATTCGTGCGTGGGGCCGCACTTCTGCAGCCACCAGCTGTCCCAGGAGGGGCCAGGCATACACAGGCTGCAGGCCTGGCCGGATGTTATGGAGCTGCCTCAGTGGCCTCCCTTTTCCTGCTCCATGGATGAGAATCCCTACAAATGAACTTAGAAACCAGCATGGCCTGGTGTGGCCCTGAAAAGCATCTGCGGAGGTGCTCTGTTTGTTAGACGTGGTGGTTTGCGTGGAAAAGCATAGAACTTGCCACAGGAACCCGTTCAGGACTCAGGCCTTCTGCCGCTGCACCCACAGAGCTGCACCAGGCCAGGGAGTTGCACTGGGGCCCAGCCCATATACTGGGCTTTGCTACCCAGAGGGAGCAAATGTTATGCATGACTAGGAACTGCATGCCTGAAGATTCCCCAGTCCTGCTGGCCAGGGGAGCCAAAAAAAAAAAAAAAAAAAAAAAAAAAGGAAAAACATGGAACGCTGCAGGTATGAGCAGGGTGAGGCAAAGGAGGGTGCAGAGTCTGGATTGCTCTGGATTGCTGCCTGGTGCAGGGGGCAGAGGCCCCCGACAGATCCTAAGATAAGCTCTACCCCTTCCTGCTTGGCTTTCCATTGGCCCTGGTGTTAAAATACGATCACTGCATTTTCCACCTCTATAGACTGAGGCTGTCTGCTGACTGCTTCTGCTTCCTAATATTCCACAAACGAGCCCAGCATTTTATGACGCTGCATTTAGAGCACCTTCAGACCCTCCACCAAACCCCAAATCTGCCTGGTTCCACTGGCCTCACCACCACCCTTGTGCCTCTGACCTCATCTGGTCTCCCAGTACACCCAGATCCTCTTGGAAACACCTCTTTCCCACTGAGTCCAAGTATTGAGGGTGGGGACACTTCATCATTGTTTGTAGTTGTAAAAGAAAAAAGGGACTTGCCCAGAAGTCAAACTTAATACAAGGTTTAGGAAGTTGTAGAAAGCGTCTGCCCAAAGGCCAAGATTCAAAGTGATCACGTTCATTTGCCCAAAGCATAGGCCCGGGGTCACTCCGTTCACCCACGCACAGTGACCACCGGCAGAAGCCGCGGGGAGGGCCTGCCGGCCCTCAACCCAAGGCTTCATGACTCCTACCAGCTGATGGAGGTGCCCAGCTCCAATTAGCAGAGGAGAGAAATAGCAACGGGTGTGGAATGCAAAGTTGTGTCTCTGTAGCCTACGATCTAAGTGCATGTGTCCTTCTATTATCCGTTATGCTAGTGCAAATGTGATTTTGGTGAAATAAAAGCAAACAAAGAGATGACTCTTTTATCCTTTTATTATCATCCTCAAAGCCATCGTTGTTTCAGGCAATTCTATTTTTTCAGAAGTAGAGCCAGTCTGTTTGAAGGTCATTGGCCTGACTCAATTTGTAAGTCGTTGCCAGCTTGAAGTAACTACAGAAGAGAGGGGATGCTCCCATTGTTTGCATCCTTTCTGGGTTCCCTGTGCCAAATCTTCTCCAGATACAACCTGTCAGGGAGAGACTTGCTCAAGCAACTTTCCCAGCCGTGAGTAGTCCTTGGATAGGGCACTGAAAAGACATTTCCTGTGCTGTGTGGTGTAATAGGAGCTACAGATTTTACTCCAGCTATGAGCTGCACGAGAGGAAATTGGAATGCCCAGAGACAGCGCACAGTAATTAATCATCGTATGCCGAAGCCTGTCAAGTCCCTTTCTGGGGCTGACACTGCTGTCAATTACAGCCAGCCTGCCACCATCTGTAATTGTTTAAAATATCACCCGGTACCAGGATCCACGTTTTTAACACTTATGCCTCATTTACACCTCCCAAAGAACACTCTGTAAGAGAATCTGCTCAGCCGGGAGCGGTGGGGCTCGTGTCCACCTCTAAACAAAATATTACTGGCCGATGTGAACATTTAGCAAAATCTTTGAGCTGTGAAATATAATCCTAACAATATTACCTTCACTTCCAGTTGAAATTCCAACAGCAGGATTCAATTCTGGTCAAGAGTTAACCAAAAGTAAGAGTAGGTTGTTGCATCTCAATGCAAGGGTTGCAAATTAAAACAAGCATTGTGGAACAAAAAGGAGTTTCCATGCTTCAAATAAAATCCCCACTGAAAATACATAGTCAGCCATGTTCTTTCTCAGCATTGCCCGTATGCCCTTTTTCATCTGAAGTTTGGCATTTGAACCTCGTGTGGGTCTCTATGCTCAATGTGGACCTCTAAGAAGGAAATACACAAGCGAGAGCCCCTCCCCGCCGCCGGGGGAGAGGGAGCACAGTCGCTAGCACTGAAGAGTTAAGTTTTTCTAACCTTTTCTAAGTACACATGTAGAATTGATTTTGTTTATTTTATTGATCTATGAAATACATAGGGAATTTCTTAGCTAGAATAAATTTCATAAATTAATAAAAAGGAGAAGGACAAATCCCTTTTACAGAGAAATTCCAAATAATAAATGTAAATATCCTCCTCTTCAGGAAGTGGAGCTGCAGCTTCCCCCTCCCCTTTTATGGAGAAATTCCAAATAATAGATGTAAATATTCTTCTCTCCAGGAAGTGGAGCTGCAGCTTCCCCCTCCGCCTCTCCTCTGTGAGCAGCCTCTGGGCTTTGTGATATTTTCCAACAGAGTCTGGAAGGGAAGTCCAGTGACTGCCGGCAGCATCCCAGCCACCTGTCCATGGCTGCAGTGAGCCGTGATGTCCAGGTGACATCACCAGAAGTGTCTGCGGAGGTCCTGCACAAAGTCCTATGTGATAAGAAGCCACCTCACCTCTGTGGTTTTCTTCTTCAAAACCTATGACCCCAGTCAAACCATGAGTAAACCTTAAATAAACTCAAATTGAGAGACAGTCTACAAAATACCTGACCGATGTCCTTCAGACCGTCAAAGGCATTTATGAAACACAAAGACGTGTGAGAAAGTGTCCCAGATTGAAGGAGGCCGAGGAGTTGTGAAGACTAAATGCAATGTGATGTCCTGGACCGGATGCTGGGTGGGAAAAGGGATGTTGGTGGAAAAACTGGTGAACACCACGTCAAGTCTGGATTTAGGTAATAGAATTAGACCAGCATTCACTTCGTAGTTTTGGTAAAGGTATCATAGTTACATGAGATGTGAACATCAGGGAAAGCACATGTGGGAACTCTTGAAACTCTATTTGCAAATGTCTATACATTTAAAATGATTTTTAAAAAGTTTGTTTAAAAAATTAGATTAAAAATAGTCTTCTAAAATACTGGGCCAATGTAACAGAAACTGAATCATGCAAGCTTTTCTGCAATGTTCTGCCTGCTGCTGGTGACAGTTGTCCACTGAGCCCCTGGAATGCAGATATCTTTCCTGATTGACATATGTCCCATTTCAGCTCACAAAATGCTTTTTAAAGGCACGATTTCTGTTTCTTCTGAATGATACTCTATTCCATGTCATATGTTGCTAGTAATAATTTATGGAGATTCAAGCCCTTCATTTTTCTAGTTTCAACATCTGCAGGTGCAAAAGGAAACGAAATGGACAGTGAAAGATATCACTAAGTATTTTTTCCTGTTGGAAAGCTACTTAAGAGTGTACCATATTTTCTTTATATTAATCTCTTTATTATGTTCATGAGGTATGTAATATGTAACCAGGGACCAAAGGATCTCCAGACAGCAGTCCTGCTTTTTACACAAATACCCCCAAAGCATGTGCTTATGAACCCGTTAGAAACATCTGGTGTTACTTGGTATAGACTGTCTACACTTTTGTTCCGCTTTTCTTGCATGAATGGAAGCAAACCTAGGGTCCAACTACACAAGCTCTTTGGTGCCATTTCCTTCACGAGTCACACAGAAGTGGGGGCTTCAGGCTGGCTGCAGTGGCTCACACCTATAATCCCAGCACTCTGGGAGGCCAGGACAGGTGCATCACTTGAACCCAGGAGTTTGAGACCAGCCTGGGCAACATGATGAAACCCCATGTCTGCAAAAATTCAAAAAAAAAAATAAGTTGGGGCCAGGGATGGGGGAGCAGGTGGCTTGTACCTATAGTCCCAGCTATTCTGGAGGCTGGGGTGGGAGGATTGCTTGAGCCTGGGAGGTCAAGGCTGCAGTGACTGAGGCACTGCATTCCAGCCTAGGTGACAGTATGAGACCCTGTCTCAAAAAAAAAAAAAAGTGGGGGCTTCACCCTAAGCCTTCCTCAGTTACACATGGATGGTTGCTCATGGTGAATTGTTATTTGATTTCCCCTCCTTTGTCCGGAAGTATGTGGGATGTTGAGAATTTCTCTCCCAGCATACCAACACAGAAAAGTCATATGGAAAAGCTGAAAGCCTTGAAGTCATTCCAGGTAATCTGGAGCCAAAGTTTTCAACCTGGCCTGAAAACCCCAAGAAAGAGGCTTCCAAGGGGAATGCTGCACAGATGGGCTTGAAGACACTGCTTTTGGGAATCCCAGCTTCCATGTCACCCTTTTCGCACATCAGAAAGGAAGGCTCTGTCTCACCACCAGGAACCTAGCAGTGGAGCCTGGTCCTGACCCAGGAGACTCTAGGACACCAAACGAGAGATCCAGGCTGAAAAGGTGACGGGGTAAAACAATATTAACAACACTTCTGCATGTCTGGTAGCTTCCAGCTCTTTCTAGTCATCAAATTTCAGGGAAGAATGAATCTAGTTGTCACATGACCATTGAGACTAATTTTTGATAGATCTGTATGTAATTTTTGGTCTATAAATCAGAGTTTCAGAAAACCAGAAGATATTTTTATACCCAAATTACTTTTATTCACGTCTACTTATGTATGACCTCAATTATAACAACTACAGAATAAATAAATTTGAATCATGTTTCATTCTAGCCATAAGTCATATTATCTGGGAATATGTATTTTAGAGGATTTGCTCCCAATAGCATTCAATTTTTACATTTAATAACTTAAATATATGAGGTATTTCTATTGTTTTATTCAATTTTTAACAATGTTTCCAATGATAATTGAATTCAGAAGAAAAGTTTACCAAAAATTATGAAAAAATAAAATTTTAATTTTATATGTATTTTTCTTGCAAAGAAGAGTGAATGATCAATGAAAAACTTTTTAAAAAGTACAGTAGCTAAAATTCAGTTTTAACATAATGGAAATAAAAGCTAAAGAAAAGATGGGCACCATTTTTAACTATTATTAAAAGATTGCTATGTGTTGTTAAATAGATGTAGGTGGGTATCAATTCAGTGTCCTATTACAAATTCTAGATTGTTCACACACTTTTGAATAGATGAGGTTGGGTATCACATGACTATCAACCTTAAATTTCTTATTTATTTATTTATTTGTATCATTATTATACTTTAAGTTCTAGGGAACATGTGCACAACGTGCAGGTTTGTTACATATGTATACATGTGCCATGTTGGTGTGCTGCACCCATTAACTCGTCATTTACATTAGGTATATCTCCAAATGCTATCCCTCCCCCCTCCCCCACCCCACAACAGGCCCCAGTGTGTGATGTTCCCCTTCCTGTGTCCAAGTGTTCTCATTGTTCAATTCCCACCTATGAGTGAGAACATGCGGTGTTTGGTGTTCTGCCCTTGTGATAGTTTTCTGAGAATGATGGTTTCCAGCTTCATCCACATCCCTACAAAGGACATGAACTCATCCTTTTTTGTGGCTGCATAGTTTTCCATGGTGTATATGTGCCACATTTTCTTAATCCAGTCTATCATCGATGGACATTTGGTCAAACTTAAATTTCAAGGCTGCTGATTGGTTTTGGTAGTAGACGCTGGTGGGCATCCAATCAGTTAAAAGACTTGTGTGATAATTTTGGCTTAAGATGCTAACATTTATAATTCGCCAAACAGTACATGCTTTGCAACTACTGAAATACAATGGAAAGTCGTAAATGTCAGCACAAGCATGTATGTGGGAAGATGTAGCTGTTAAAAAACTATAGGCCGGGCACGGTGGCTTACGCTTGTAATCCCAGCACTTTGGGAGGCCGAGGTGGGTGGACCACGAGGTCAGGAGATTGAGACCATCCTGGCTAACACAGCGAAACCCCGTCTCTACTAAAAATACAAAAAATTAGCCGGGTGTGGTGGCACAGGCCTGTAGTCCCAGGAGGCTGAGGCAGGAGAATCACTTGAACATGGGAGATGGAAGTTGCAGTGAGCCGAGATCGCGCCACTGCACTCAAGCCTGGCAACAGAGTGAGACTCCATCTCAAAAAAAAAAAAAAAAATTAGAGTAGCAGATGTGTTATGAGGGAAGTCGGCCCATGCTTCCGAAATGACCATGGCAGCACAAGGACAGAGTCTTCCCAGGGTCCCCAAGGGCCTCCTGCCTCCTTTGTCTCTCCTCTCCCACTTTTCAGGCTGATGGGCAGGCCCAGCTTGTTCTCCAGGACAGCTGGGAGGGACTGGGCAGGACAAGGCCTCCTGGAGAGACAAAGGTCAACCAAGCCACTGTCCACAGCCCTTCTGTATCCACGGAGAGGCCCGACACCTGCGTCTGGTGGGGGCTGGACTTGGTGTAGACACTGTCAGGACAGCAGTGTCTCCCTCGGAAGTTGCTGTGAGACACACGCGTATTCACCACCTTCCCAATCTATTTGTAACCAAGACTTCAAATAAGCCCAAGTCCATTTTGGTATTCCTTCCTCTTTCAATCCCATGAGCATTGGATGTGCTCCAGAAACTGTCAGAAATAGGATTTTGAAAACTTTTTAGCTTGCTTCCATTTTTATATTTCCACGGCACTTTATCAAGTTCTATCAATGTCACTCCCGACGTTTACGCAAAGTGTGTGAGAGGTAATTTGTCCCGAATTCTCACAATTTCCCTTCTCCCCCTTTCTTTTTATAAGCAAAAACTTTTATTTTCTGATTACCATTACTAATAATCCTATCATTGACTGGCTGCATGATGACAACCTAGTTTCCTGGCAAGAGGTGGCACTAGAAACCAAGGGCAAGGGGCATTGTCATCATGGCTATGTGTTCCAGGGTGAGGACAGCACAGAGAGCCCGTGTGTGGAAATGTCACACACGTGAGCCATGTTTTCTGGCCCTCCAACCTGCGATGTGTCCGCCCTGACCATGCCCACCTGGCACGTGACGGAGGACAGGGGGCTCGACTGCCATGCCAGTGCTGAGATGGACGTGGGGCCCAGGCCTGCTGGACGAAAGCCTCCCGCCCAGCAGCCTTGCACATCCTGCTGCCACCTGGAAATCCTCCAGCGAAACTCCCTGAATGCACCGGCGGAACCATGGCCTCCGGCCTGACTTGTTCTGAGCCTGCTTCCTGGGTGTCTCCCCACTGCGCAGGACTGCCCGTCAGCAGAAGGGGTTTGAGTGTTCTGTTGCAAGGCCAGGAAGCAGCATATCAGAGTCAACACATTGGCTGGGAGGGGGCTCCTGGGAGCCGTATTTCTAGAAAACTTTCGAGAAGTGAAAGAAAAGCCAGGCTGGGTGCCTGCAGTGGGTACAAGAATGCATGCACAGTTCTCCCTGGCAAAGCCACCTTCCCAGGAGAAGACCCTGGGCCTCCTCACAAGACCCACCAACGTGTGTCAACAGTGGTGTGGGCCAGTCCTCCAGCCAAGACCTCTCTACGAAGCAAAAGCCCTCCGTGGGTTTGTTGTGATTACCAAGAGGCCTGAGCTGCAGTAAACACGGCCGGCGGCTTGACTGTGTGTGGATAACCAGTTCCTTTGGTCCTGAGCGATGCTCATCAGGAGCGTCAGCGTCCTCGATTCAGCGGTGCCAGTGCACCCAGGGCAGGGCAAGAGTCCTTCTCAGTGCTTTGAGCCAGCGCTCCACCCAGGCTCCTGCGAACCCCTGATCCAACCACACAGCCAGAACAAAGCAAGTTTTCTGCATGTGACACATGAACACCATCTGGTGAGAAAAGCCCTCAAATAATTGAATGTGATATTATAATTTTGGTGCTTTTATCCTGGCATGGAGGACTACTGAGCTTCCAGCTGCGCTTCACAGAGTCGCTCCATGGCTGTAGACCTTTGGACAGGTGTTATAAACACAATCATGGACAAACTGGGTTTATGTGCAGGAACACATGGCTGATGAGGCTGCTTAAAAGTGATCATTCAGATCAATCCTTTTCCCCAAGCATTCCAAGCATTTCCCACAGCAGATGAAAAAGCACTCTCTGTTCAAGGTGGCCAGACACAGAATATAGCATTCAAATTTAAACAGTTGAAAAGGAATCTCTCTTCATGATATAGACGGCAAGTACCTATTCGTCAATAAAAAATAATCATCAATCAGTAGTCACTAATATGAACTCTTGAATAGTTTGTAAATAGGAGAGTTAAAAAATGTGCACATTAGCCACAGCAAAGGGAATATTTATGATCTATATTCCCCCAGAAGTGTGCGTATCTCACAGCTTTCAGGATCCCCATTTCCCAGGAATCATACAGTGTGGTCCCTGGAGCCCGGCTGCCTCATTTGCACAAGGGCATGTGGCCTCACGGTTGGTCTCTGGAGTCTTCACTGGTGCTCTTACTCTCACTGACAGGCTAAATCCCACCTTCGGTGGGAGTGGGGGGTATCTCAGACAATGGGATGCACCTTTGCCGTTAAGACTCGAGAGCCCCAGAACCCACTGGAGGGGACTTTCTCTTACTCAGCGGCCTCCTGCTACCTTGCCCTGGGGTCTACTAATCCCGCCAAATGAGCCCAGGTAGGAGATGGCTTCGGGGAACACACCTTACAGCAGCCCTTCAATTGATCAGAATTTATGTATGGCTGTGTGTGCGTATTTTTTTTTATTTTTTATTTTTTTAAACATGTTCTCAACATCATGTGGACACGTTTCTTAACATAATATAGTACAACTTAAAAACATGACGTTTTCTAAAAGTGACGATTGTCTGAGAAAACCAACACTATCAATGCATTTTTCTGCTTATAACATTTAAAGCTTACTGATGATCCCACAGACCTGACGGGTCCACATCATTCATGGAGTTATGATCATTCCATGTCAGATGCAGGAATGGGCAGGTAACAGAGGCCAGGCCTCTGGTCAGCAGCTAAGGCCCCAAGGGCAGTTGGCACCAGCATACTGAGGCGCTGGAACCCCAGTACAACTGTAGGTCTCGGAGGTCGTATTTCTGTTCTTCTCATGCACACTTGGGCAAATACCCCAGAGGGAAATGTTAAGGGGATAAGCACAGAGAGAGGCATGCTCCTGCCTGGATATGACACAGCTCAGAAGCTGGGATCCAGAGAGCTCTGTGGGTGGGACCGAGGCGGGGCTCTCCAGAATGGCAGGGACCTGGCCACGGGAGTGCTCCCGTGACCTGAGACATGGCCGTTCCCCGCCCCTTTCCTGCAGTTAGCACAGGACACTGCTGGCAGCTCACCCATCTCACAGGAATGAACTGCGAGGAAGAACCAGTGAAGGCTGGAAAGCCTTTTGATCGTCATGAAAGATTGTTGCCAGATGGAGAAACAGAACTGTTAGAATATAACGAAGCTGCACTCAAGATAATCGCCATCTTGTTCAACTTTTCCCTGCAACTCCATATTAGAGGAGAGATTTGTCATGTGCTGTGATGTGGGGGGAGGCTGTGGAAGGGGCTTACTTTTTGGGACATCAGAGATGGGGAGGAAGAGTAAGTATCTTGTCACTCAGTCAAGAGGACGCGTGTGTACCAGGGAGCAATGGAACATAAGGAACACATTTATGGAAAATACCCACCAATCGATCTGTTTATTGCCAGATTTGGAGAAAGGAGAAAGGATTTGAGAGTCTTTGTCCCACTTTCCTCACCCTTGATGCCCCACCCCACACAAAACTTTCTCCTCTTAATCCTCTGGCTGAGTCTACATGGAGTCTCTGAGATTTACATCATAATAAAAAATACACTTAAATTGATATGTTTTTAAATATTCCCACCCCACACTGGTATTTTTCTGACTACAGAGAAAGGTAAAGCTTATATAGTTGCATTTGTATGACATGGATACAATTGGAACAGTATATATTTATATTTGACTTAACTGATCAAAAATAAACTTTCTCAAAAAAGAAGCTTCATGAACTTTTAATCAAATATATTACATTTTCAATGAAAACTTTTAGATGAACTTTCTAAGTATGTATTGAAACGTCTTTCATAAAGAATTTAGTTACAGAAACCAAGCCGTTTGTCTAAAATTCATTTTTTATGGGGGCAAACTCTGGGTCAAAAACAATGGCGTCTGACGCATCTGCTGTGATGACAAATTCATGTCCACACTTGCCCACTTCACCAAAGACACATCAGTGATGTGTGGGTGGCACGCATTGTTCTGCTGGGATACACAGTGCTGATGGGCAAGTCTCTGAGTCCCACACAGTGCTCCTGAGGGTCGACGGCCACACATCAGACACACAGCACGTGATGCACCTTGGGAGGTGCTGAAAAAAGAGCCCAGCCAACTGGAGTAGACATGCATGTGCTGGGCAGGCAGTCAGGACAGTGGCTTCCAGGAAGGTTCTACCCAACCACAACTGGGCATGTCACCCTCCATCCCACCATCCTTTCAACAGTGGCAGGAACTCCCCACTCAGACTTGTTCCACATTAGGCACAGAAGAGTACTATGAACAATCCTCCACTGAGAATGCTAAGCTAAAGTGTTTAAACACAGAACTAGGCAGGAATTTAATTAATTTCATTTCACTGACCTTAAAGGTTTGTAATGTAAATCTCGGAGTTGTAATATGGGACAAGTCGCCTTTGGAAGCAGCAGCTGAGAGTGAATAATCCAGGTTTAAATATTGGCAACAATGATTCTTGAGAGGCTGATGGATCAGGTGCACATAAGTTATTGATGAAGGTAGCTGGTTGTGCCTTGAAACGTTGTATTAAGATTGAAAAGTAGCCAGGCAACAATGTAAATTTGTTGTATTCATTAGATGATTTTTGAGAGGCAATATAACCACTTGGTTATATTGAGATTTAAAAAGTGTTATCAATTGAGGTTTAAAGTCACCAAATTGAGATGTAAAAGGTGTTATAAATACAGTATAAAAAACTAGCCTTAGAGAAGGATCCCTTTCTTCCCAGCTTTTAATTGGTATTAGAACTCACATTAGGTTTTGAAGATCAGAAGCAAACACTCTGTTAACAACACCACAAAATGGCCTCAGCCGGGAATGGTGCCAGGACTCCCATGGGCTCCTTCAGGGCTTACTCAGCCCCCACAGCACCACCTCAGCTTCATCCCTTCCAAATGCCTTGTCATCAGGGTCCTTGGGCTGTGGAGGACACCAGGTGAGGGCCTGGCTTTCCGGGATGTGCTGAGGAGCCTCAGGAGGTAGCCCGTGGAGGGCAGATGTTGCTCGGCCCTGAAGCCTGGGTCCCAGATCTGCCTTCCACTGGCTCCCTGCTGGACCCCCAACCCCACCAAGTCTGCCTCACCCTGCCTGCAGCACAGCCTCACTAAAGAGGGATGCCGCCTGGGGGCATACGACACAGCTTACCACCTATGGGCACGTGGGCTGTCACTCCTTGGACAGCCACCACCCGAGGGATCCTGGCTCCTGGAACTATTCATCTGAGCACCCACAGTGACTCCCTGAAGGGAAAGCTGCTCCCCTCGTCCCCTGCCCCATGTCCCAGAACACTGCCTCCCAGGGCTCTCCACTGCAGCATCTGCATGGTGACTCCCCCCAGGTGAGCACAGTCCTCTCTGCCACCTGGTCTGGAGGTGGAGCCCATCCACTCAGGGAGGACATTGAAGCTGGTGGCTCCTGCCCCACCCACCCTTCTCTTCCTAATGTGAGTTCCAGCCATGACCCCTACCTCACCCACAGAATCCCACTAAGATGAGGACCTGTTTCTATGTGTGTGTCTTCATCATTCCCTAAAACCTGTCACATTTTCATCCATCCACATAAGAACCTTGAATTGGGTGCCAACCTCTTCAACTCAGTAGGATGGGGGAAGCCTCCTCTGGCCTAAGCAGCCCTCTGCCTTGGACACTTTCCCACTGAAGATGATTCCAGGTTAGCTAAGACAACAGGTGCATGGAGTCCGGCATTCTCCCTCCACAAATGGTAACTCTTTACCTACCCTGAGGTTGGCCTGGGAATTGGATGTATGCTGAGAAGGGTCGTGAATCTGGTGCAGGGAAACCTAGACATAGCTAACTGAATATCTCTGGCCACTTACTCACGCATTTAGAAAAAAAAAGTTTTATATTAAATATATGTGAGCAACATATTATGCCAGAAAAAGAGTGCATGATGATGAATAAGGCACAATTCCTACCCTCAAGAACACACAGCCAAATGCAGAGACAGAGGAGGATGCTGGAAAACAGTGGTGTGACTGATGGGTGCCGGAGGAAGGGTGTGGACATGGAGGGAGGCACTGCAATGTTTGTGCATGGGAAAGAAAAAAAGAAACAGGGAAGAGAAAAATAAAGACGAACAAGCTCTCACCTACAAATCCAACAAAGGTGGTAGATGCATTCCACTCCTGTTGTTATAAGGATACCTCTAGAAATAATTTTATGAAATAAGCAATTGGAATTCATGTGATATTATTTGAAAAAAAAGTTTAAAAATATTTTAACCAAATCCACACTGAAGGCTGTTAGAATGTGTCACTGATGCATAAAAAGCATAAATGTTATTTCTTCACATCTTCCTTCATCTGACTATAGATTCATCTAAGTGCAATGGCAAAATAATATAGATAAACATCTATTTACTGCCTTTCTATGTCAGAGCAGGGGTGTTTTTGTGTGTATGCATGTGCATGGTGCAACCACAGGCTGTAAAGCTGGGGAGAGATTTTTCTAACCTGGTGACCTATTCCCATCCCAGGGATTCCTATGGAAACTGTGAGTGCCTGGTAATTATTATTCCAACACTATTAGCATAATGATAGCCTACTTCTCTGGCTCTGCATTTTTATCCACAATCTCCCGGAGGTCTTTAAGCTTGTTAATAATCATTACAGATAGCCAATGAAGTGAATCATGGCTAAAATGAACTCACCTGAACTAAAGAGATTAACCCTACTCAAGCCTGAAGTGTCCCATAAGTATTCATCAAAAGTCTCCTCCTATCAGCAAATAAAAAATAAAGAGAGCTACAGGGAAATTACCCCATGTGGAAACACATATTTTTGCTTCAGTGAGTGGCTTGCTCCAAGTGGTTCCATCTTTAATTAACACCACCAGGCACATTTTAGGTGTTTTCAGCACGCATCCTTCTGCAGACGTGGTTGGGAGTTTCTTGATGGCCTCATCGTTTTGTGAGATGCTAAGATATGTCTGTCAGCCAACAAGGCACAACGTGAAGCAGATACTCTCCTGATGGCTCATTGAAAGAAAACTACATCATTCTTGGGGTGTAGTTTAATCAACCTTTTTTTTCTTCCTCTCCCTTTATTTTTCTTTCATAGTTCTAATTCCAACCATAAGAAAGTCTGCCTCTAATTTTTTTTTTGCCCCAAATTCATTCTCTGCCCAGGGCCGGTTGTTGGCCCCTCTGAGCCTCCCACCCTGCAGGAGTGTTTAGACATCACTGCCTGCAGAAGGCTCGTGATCAACTGGGACGTGTCTGTGGCCCTCAAATCGATCCTAAGGGCTTCCAAAATCCTGTTACCTTTACCATCTGGTCGTCCTTCCTAGTTGTTTCGACAGTTTAAGAATACAACTTCTCTTGAAATATTTTCAAGTTCTATTCCTTATATTTTTAAATTATGAATAGAGTGTCAGAGTATAATAAAAATCTTTTCCTAACTTGCAAGATATTATGTTGTATATGTTTCTTAGAAAAGCAATACATGTTTGTTGCAGGAAATTTAGATAACACAATAACACAAACATGAAAGAAAGAAAGGAGGTAGATAGGGAAAAAGAAAAAGAAAAGACAAATACAAAAAAAAAAGCCACCTATTCTCAAACCTGTCACCTCCAACTGAAAAGCCTTTTTGTTTTTTCTAATTTGGCGTATACACTCAAAATCTCTTGCTACCATCCATCCATTGGTTCCTTTTCACAGAAGGAGCCACCCTACTACAGAAGACATCTCACGACTAGCTGTTTTCTCAGGAAGCTTCTTTAGGAGAAGGGGAAGGTCTGATAATGGTGCCAGCTGTGCCAGCTGCTGTTTGGCCATCATCAGCCCTGGCCAGGCCAACTTACTTCTCACCAAGAAGTTCCATACTCAATCCCCACCACCTCCACAGGTCACAATATCCTTCAGCCGTGAAACCTGCCATGAACTGTGTTTTCATTATCTCCTAAGTGGTCGGGATAGCAGTGACCTCCAACATGCCTATTGCCTCTCTCTGATTCCCTAATGTCATCTCTGGCCCATCCTTGGTTTCAGTCGTGGACAGCAGCTGTGTGCTGGTCCTCCACTGCCATTATCCTGTGTGTGCACTCACATGCATGCCCACATGCACACACGCACACACACACACACAAATGCACACTCCTTTTATGTCTCCTATGGTTGAGTGCTTTCTTTGTTGAAAAGGCCAGGCAGCTTCCTTGAGCATTTTGTGTTTTTGTGGAATTGACCAATCAATTTCCAATCAATCAAGTTCAGTCCTCTTGGGTAAATACTTAGTGAAGTTTCTGGGTCATTGGGTAGATGTAGGTTTACTTTTAGAGAAAAAGAGTTTTCCAAAGTAGTTGAACCAATTTACACTCAGCAAAAATGTCTGAAAGTGAAGTTGTTCCATACTTCATCAACATTTGATGTTATAAGCTTAAGTTTCAAATAATTAAATAGATGATAGATATAGATAGATCAATGATAACTAGATAGCTGGATGATAGATAGATAGATAGATAGATAGATAAGTGGATAGACAGATAAGACATTGATAGAGAGACAGATATGTGGATGGATGGAGATAGAGAGCTAGATAGAGAGAGATATGTTGATAGAGAGAGATAGAGAGATGAGATGTGAGAGATAGGTAAAGACATGGATGGAGACAGATAAATAATGAGATAGAGAGATAGAGAGATGAAGATATAGAGATATCTTCATGGATAAAGAGATGGAGACAGGAGAGAAAGAGAGAGAGATAGAGAGATAGATAGGGAGACAGAGATGATAGAGAGGTAGATGATAGATAGATAGATAGATAGATAGATAGATAGATAGATAGACAGACAGACAGATGACAGATAGTCAAATCGACAGATGAAACCAGAGGAGGAAAAGCCGCAGCATCCCGGGGTGGACATTAAGGAGTCCTGGGTCTAATCTCGCGTTGTTTTTACCAGTTATGAACATGGGGCCCTGGGTGTCTCTTTCTGCTGCCCGAGAAGATGGTTCATCATCATCACATCTGTCTTCTCTCTGTCAGAGCATGTTTCCCCCACTTGGTCTTGTCTGGCAAATACCTGTGCATCTTCCCATCTGTAAATCTCCATGTAAGCACTGGCTTCTCCAGGAGCCCTCCCCACCCCCACTCTCTGGGGACAGGCGTCTTTGTCATCGCTGGTTTGCCCACCTCCTGTGCCCAGCACTGAATGCCCCAGGCAGGGTCCACTGCGTATCCCTCTCTGCTCTCTTCCTCCTCCAGAAATGGAACCTCATGGAGCTCAGAAATGAAAACACAGAAAGTCGCGCTTCAGGCGCTCATGTAGCACAACAGTTCAAGTGAAACAATTATCTTTTAAACTCTGTGTCTCAGTGAACACATTACCAAAACTGGAATTGAAAAAAAAAATGCTTTCCCAATGCATCTCATAGGTTTATTGAATACTCAGATGAGAGAGACCATTTGTATGAAATCATTTTATGAACTTGAGATCACTGTATTAAAGTGAAATAATAGGAATAAACACACCCAGGAGCAGAGTCCATTATGTTTTCAGACATCGGTTGGGTTATTCCACTGTCATTTTGCCATCTTGGTTGGTCATATTGTATCACTGGGCTAATTTACCACGTGGCTTCTGGGCTACAATTCTTCCCCTGCTCCTCTGTGTCTGGCCAGCCTTCCTGGTGGCCTTTCAGGACTCATCTTCTTGTGTCTGTCTCATCCATCCTGGTGTTCCAAGAACAGTCTGAGGCCTCCCTGCTCACTTTACGGACTCTGAGCAATCATCTCCATTCCCAATGCCTTTGGTCATCAGTGACTCCCAAAACCACAGTTCCCAAAGCCTCTCCCAACGGCACCTCATCCTCTGACCACTGGTCACTTGGTTTCCCAAGTAAGGAGGCTGGGAGGTGTTAGTTCACACTTCCTGACTCTAGGGAGACCCACATCCAATGGCACCCACTCACAGCCTCATGCCTCTAGAGCACGTGCCTTCCCTGCACTGACCTTCTGGTTAGCTCAGGACCCCTGGTTCATCTCACAGGTCTATCACTCAGGCTTTTTACGGACAGGTGTGGAATTGATGATGTCACTTCAGACTGTTCTTCCATGAGCTACCTGGTGAAAGTAACACGCTGCTTTCCTTGTCTAGAACGTCCCTTGCCTGCCTCCATGTCCTCCAGCTGTTGCCTCAACTATTGCCTTCTCGACATGTCTGAGTGGAATGAGGAAGCCCTTCCTCCACACCCCACAACACCTTGGACCTTCGTAGACAGAAATGTTCTCGTTTCTTATCCGCCTGTCCCTGCCCACTGGTCTTTAGAACACGAGTGGCTTACGCATGGCCATTGAATAAGAGTCTGTCAAGCAAATGAAATGGCCAAAATACAACAGAATAAATTGCGACTGAATTACAATCAAACTCCCTTTTCCCTGAAAGGTTTATTTCTTGGCAGCATTGGATAGGTGTTCCCTCCGAGGCCACACAAAGTGATTCGGCCTGGAGTCCCAGGATGCGGAAAATCTTCAATCTCCTCTTGGAGTTTGTCTGTTCCAGGTTCCAGGAGCACCCAAGTGGGCTCTAATCAAGTGTGACGGTCCCTCAAATCTGTGTCACCTTGCAGATGTTCAACGGAAGGAACTGTGTGAGCGCAAGTGATAGATGCCTATCCCGAAGCTCAATAGCAAGAAGAAACGCTGACTCCACTCTCACTGCAGAGCTGGGAGGAAAAGCAAGAGCTTTATTTACTTAGCGCTCCCCAAATTCTTAATTTGCACACTTGAAAAATTAAGTCAATATACAAGAATCACACAGTTCTAGCCCTGTAGATGCTTTCCAATATTGGAGTGTGTTTGAAGTGGCCGCAAGAAATGACCCCCCAAATCTACCCATCTTGTAGCAAAATCCAACTGTTTTCAGATAAGCCTTTCTGATAACTCTTCACTGTGCTTTATCGGCCTTTAAGTTGAAATCCTACTGCTTTAAGTACATCTCTTTAAAACACAAAAATGGTGTCTGCATATTCCTCACACTAGAATCCATCTCCTGGCAAAGCTGCAGTCCCGTTTCCTAGTTTTAAATTGTGTTGTTCCCCCACTGAGTGAGAGCTCAGACATATGTATCCCATAAATTCAGAAATGTTGATCCTCAGAGCAGATGAAAGGATGAATAACAGGGTAGTTATAAACCAGCAGCCTGCATCATATTTTACCTCGAATTTCAAAATACATCATAGGGACAGGTTTCCCCACGTCAGGAAATGGTATCCAAACAGTTCAAACCGGTTTCTCAGCTGCCTCTGTAAAAACTGCTTTAGCTTAGTTATAAAAATGTTGAACTCTATTTAGGTTCTCATTATTGCCTGAAGTTTTGATTCATTATATGGCCTTTTGTTAGCCAAACAACAAGCTCCTCTAAACATCTTTGCAGGACACACCACAACCTCAAATGCTATGGGTGGCCGCATACTTAACCTCAATACAAACCCTTCCAAGGAGAAGCCATCTAGTCATAGATACAATTCCATCCAATTAGGATCTTATTTTTTTAATACAGAAAATACATTCAAGACCCAGGAAGCCTGAGCAGTAAAGGCGGAGGTCTGGTGAGTGAAATACTGAGCCACATATGTGTGGGGATCAGCTGCCATAGAGTAAGACGAGGAAAGTGTATGAGATGTGTGCACGGCACATGTTGAACTGCAAGATGAAGAGAGCGTGGATTGTGCATGCAGATGGCCCACAGCATCCGGTCAGGATTCCCCAGAGAACAGGGCCAGTAGGGAGGGCATCTATCTATATATCTATGCATCATCTACTATGTATACATATAGAATATATTATATATCTATGCACATGTACCACATACAGATACACCCAAACATGCACACACACACACACACATCATGGACTGTGCATGCAGACAGCCCACAGCATCTGGTCAGACATTATGTATGGTCAGTGTTCTCCAGAGAACAGGGCCAGTAGAGAGGGCATCTATCTCTATATCTATGCATCATCCCCTACCTATACATATATAATACATTATATATCTATGCACATGTACCACATACAGATACACCCAAACATGCAACACACACCACACACACACACACACACCACACACACACACACACACACACACACACCGTGGACTGTGCATGCAGATGGCCCATAGCATCCGGTCAGGGTTCCCCAGAGAACAGGGCCAGTAAAGAGGGCATCTATCTCTATATCTACACATCATCTACTATCTATACATATATAATGCATTATATATCTATGCACATGTACCACATACAGATACACCCAAACATGCAACACACACACACACACACACACACACACACACACACACACCCCATGGACTGTGCATGCAGACGGCCCACAGCATCTGGTCAGCCATTATGTAAGGTCAGTGTTCTCCAGAGAACAGGGCCAGTAGAGAGGGCATCTATCTCTATATCTATACATCATCTACTATCTATACATATAGAATACAATATATATATAATATATACATGCACATGTACCACATACAGATACACACACACACACACACACACTCACACACACACAGAAACAGATTTACAGTCATGTGTCCTTTGGTGAAAGGGATATGTTCTAGAAACATCTCATTAGGTGATTTCATCATTGTGCAAACATAGAGTGCACTCACACAAACCTAGAGGGTACAGCCTACTACACTACACACCTAGGCTAGATGGCATAGCCTATGGCGTAGCCCATGGCTCCTAGGCTACAAACCTCTACAGCATGTTACTGTACTGAATAGCAGGCAATTGTAATGCAATGGTGAGTATTTGTGTATCTAAGAATAGAAAAGGTACAATAAAAATACAATATAAAATATAACAAATAGTACACCTGTACAGGGCACTCATCGTGAATGAAGCTGGCAGGACAAGAAGTGGCTCTGAGAGAGTCAGGGGATGGGTGGGGAGTGACTGTGAAGCCTGGGACGTTACTGCACATGCCCGTAGACTGCAGGAACACTGGGCACTTAGGCCATACTCCATTTATCAAAACCATTGTTTCTTCAATAATAAATCAGCCCTTGTTTGCTGTAACTTTTTTATTAACTTTTTAAATTTCTTAACATTTTTACTCCTTTGTAATAATACTTAGCTTAAACCACAAACACTGTACAGCTTTAGTCTAAAAAGTTTATAGACTAAGAAAATTAGGAAGAAAAATATTTTCTTTCTTTATATTTAGTCTATAAGCTGCTTCTATATTTTTGTTTTTACTTTTTTACTTTTTAAACTTTCTTGTTAAAAACCAAGACACAGAATGTTTTTCCATTTGTTTGTGTCATCTCTGATTGATTTGAGCAGTGTTTTGTAATCCTCATTGTCGAGGTCTTTAACCCCCTCAGTTAGCTGTATTCCTAGTTATTCTATTCTTTTTGTGGCAGTTGTGAATAGGACTACCTTCCTGATTTGGCTCTCAGCTTGAATGTTGTTGATGTATAGGAATGCTAGAGATTGCTGTATGCTGATTTTCCATCCTGAAACTTTGCCGAAGTTGTTCGTCAGTTGAAGGAGCTTTTAGGCTGAGACTATGGGGTTTTCTGGCTATAGAATCGTGTCATCTGAAAAAAGGGATACTTTGACTTCCTCTCTTCCTATTTGGGTGCCTTTTATTTCTTTCTCTTTTCTGATTGCTCTGACCAAGGCTCCCAGTACTATATAAAATAGGAGTGGGGAGAGAGGACATCCTTGTCTTGTGCCAGTTTTCAAGGGAAATGCTTCCAGCTTTTGCCCATTCAATATGATATTGACTGTGGGTTTGTCATAGACGGATCTTATTATTTTTTGTATGTTCCTTCGATACCTAGCTTACTGAGCGTTTTTAATATGAAGGAATGTGGAATTTTATTGAAAGCCATTTCTGCATCTATAGAGATGATCATGTGGTTTTTATCTTTAGTTCTATCGGGTACTAGGCTTCATACCTGGTTGACGAAATAATCTGTACAAAAGAACTCCATGAATTTACTGATGTAACAAATTTGCACATGTACACCTGAACCTAAAATAAATTTTTTCAAGAAGTATATCATCTACAAAAACTCACAGCTAACTTCATATTTAATGGTGAGAGGGTGGAAGCTTGCTTGTGAAGATGAAGAACGAGGCAAGGATATTCCCTCTTACCACTGATTTTCAACACTGTACTGAAAGTCCTAGCTAATACGGTAAGACAAGAAAAGGAAATAAAAGGCATACAGATTGGGAAGGAAGAAATGAAACTGTTGGTTTGGAGGTGACATGATTGTCAATTTAGAAAACTTGAAATAATCAACCACAAAACGAGGGATTTTCATGAGGTTGAATGAAATAAAGTTAGTATACAAAAGCCAATCACTTTCCCATATACCAGCAATGAACAATTGGAATATGAAATTAAGAACATAATATTATTTACATTAACACCCCCCAAAATGAAAAACTTAAGTATAAATTTAACAAAATATGTACAAGATCTATGTGAGAAAAACTACAAAAATCTGATGAAAGAAATATAATAACTAAATCAATGAAGAGATATTCTATGTTCATGGACAGGAAGACTCAATATTGTCAAGATGTTGGTTCTTCTCAACTCCATCTATAGAATCGTTGCAATCTCAATCAAAATTTCAGCAAACCATTATATGAATATTGACAAAAAGAACTTTTCTAAGTTTTTTATGAAAGTACAAGAGACTCAGAACAGCCAGTACAATATAGGAGAACAGAGTGAGAGGACTGAGCATTACCTGACTTCCAGGTTTACAGTAAAGCTCCAGGAATCAAGACAGTATGGTACTGGTGGAATGACAGCTGGATAGACCAATGGAACAGAACAGAGAGCTCAGAAACAGACTGACCTAAATAGAGTCAACTGATCTCTGGGAAATCAGCAAAGACAATAAAATGGAGAAAAGAGATTTTTTCAACAAATGATGCTGGAACAACTGGACATCCACATGCAAGAAAAGTGAAATGAAAAGAGCTCTCCTGAAAGAGGGTCTTTGAAAGTCACCTGTGACAGCAGCAAAAAATGCCCAGCAGGACCTGCGACACTCAGTGAGCTCTCCCAGGAATGCAATGGCTGGACTTCAATATCCCTCAGCCCCCATCTCTGTAAGACTTTTCATAAAGGCTACAATGATTCTTGTCAGTCACTTGGGCCTACCAACCTCCTAGGTAGGATGCAGTACTGAAGGGGTCATCAGTACACTGCCCTCAGGGGACTCTGCAGCCCCGTGGCTTTGTAGTTGATGCTGACCTTAATCCCCTATGTGTCCCTGGCTGAAGACAGGCCCCAAATACAGAGGCCAGGCCAGAGAGCTCATCTGATTAAGTCTATTAAGGCTCAGTAATAACAATAAATAAATAAAGTAACATAAAAATAAACAAGACACAAACACACACCTTAGCCTCAGCCTACACAGAGTCAGGATCACACACGTCACTGTCTTTCGCCTCCTCCTCTTGTCCCTCTGGAAGGCCGTCAAGGGTCAACGACAGGCATGGAGCTGCCAGCTCCTAGGAGGACACCTCCTGAAGAACCCGCCTTTGGCTGTTTACAGTTAGATTGTTTTTATAAGCAGAAGGAATACACTCTAAAATAACAATAGAAAGTATAGTATGGTAAATACATAAACCAGTAACCCCGTGGTTTATTACCATCATCAAGCACTGTGTACTTCTATGCTCATGTCCGTAGGTGCTAGACTTTTCTATGACTGGCAGCATGGTAGGTTTGTTTACAGCAGCATCACCAGGGTGACTACTACATCATGAGGCAACAGGAATCTTCAGCTCCGTTACAGTCTGATAGAATCACTGTGCTATATGCAGTCCTTTGTTGACCAAAAAGTTGTCATGTGACACATAACTGCAGTTTAAGAGATTTATTTCAATGAGTTGGCTTCTGTGACTGTGGGGATTGGCGAGTTCAGATCTGCAGGCCAGACTCTGGGCAAGGCTGTCCGGGAACTCTTTGGCGGCCCCCTGCTGCAGCCTTCAGGCAGAGGTTCTTCTTCCTCAGGGAGCCTGCATGCTGCTCTGAGGCCCTTTCAACTACAGGAGGAAGCCCACATACGCAGTTGTGGAAACCCCCTTATGTGTAGTCCACTGACCACAGCCTTTACCCGCATCCACAACACAGCGCCGTGTGGCTCGCGTGCCACCAAATGACCTGGCCTGGCTGATTGGACACCTGAAACTGACCATCAGGAGTGGGTTGGCTGCAGCCACAGGTGCCCATCCACCAGCTCCCACTCAGTGTTTGTGAAGTGGGACCCCCTCCCACCTCCGCCTTGCAGGGCAGCATAGGGGGCAGGTGAAGGGGTCTACACCAGTGATTCTCTGGCTCCCGCCATCTTCCTGGGGTTGGATGAGGGGACCCACTCTGTCAGAGGGGACAGAGCATGGCCTGTTCACTCTGCAGCCCTGGGAGTAACTGGCCAGGCATCACCTGGGCCTAGGCAGGGCAGGCAGGCCAGGATGAGGGACCGGGCAGAGGAGGGGAGGAGAGGTGAACACCAGGACACAGGAAAAAGAAAATGTCAAAGGTGGTCGAAGACAGAGAACACTGAGGTTTCCATCCTGGTCTATTTCCACAATGGCCTCTCATATATCCATGAGACTGAGCTGCCTACAATAGCAAAGACATGTGTACCGCCACAGATACTGTATTGGCAACAAAATTCAGACCTACCAGGTACGTACGGCAAGATCCCATTCAATATACTCCAGGTGGGGTGTGGCTGCTGGGTAGTGTCAGCTGTGAGGACAGCAGCCAGGCTGGCGTGGTGGCTGGGGGGCAGGACACTGGAGCTTTCTGATAAGGAGATGGCTACATGGTGTCCTCGCCTTGTAAGAATGCAGTCACCCTTTGGTCTGTGCACTTTTCTGTATAAAAATTAAAAGTTCAAAGAAAGAAAGAAGAGTGCTTACCCTGAAGCTTGCCTCAATGCCTCTGAATGTCACTTGTGTCTTAGGCTAAATTCTTGTATCATGGATAGAAAAACCACCTGAGGAATTAAATACTTTTTCAAATATCTTTCATGTGATGGTCATCCAGGGAGATGAGAAAGGCATATTTTATCACCTCATCCCAAGGATAAGAAAACAGAGGTATGTGGAGGATGAATAGCTCAGCCAGGCTCCCAGGAAGCAAGGACCCCACCTCCATAGAGATGGGACCCCACAGAGCAAGGGTTCCACCTTCCTAGGGACCTGACCCCACCTAACATAGGCCTCATTTTTATAGGGACATGACCCCTCCTAGCAAGGAATCTACCCCATAGAAACACTACTCACTTATAAAGGGCCCCCCTCTTCATAGGGACACGACCCCACCCAGCAAGGGCCTCCATCTTCACCACCTTTATAGGGACATGAACCCACCTGGCAAGGGATCTACCTCCATAGAAACACTGCCCACTTATAAAGGGCCTGCTTCTTCATAGGGACATGACACCACCTAGCAAGGACAACCTCTTCATAGGGACATGGCCCACCTAGCAAGGGCCCATCTTCATAGGGACATGACCCCATCTCACCAAGTCCCCATCTCCATAGAGACATGACCCTACCTAGCAAGGGCCCATCTTCATAGGCACACGACCCCACCCAGCAAGGGCCCTCATCTTCACCACCTTTATAGGGACAAGAACCCACCTGGCAAGGGATCTACCACCATAGAAACACTGCCCACTTATAAAGGGCCCGCTTCTTCACAGGGACATGACTCCACCTAGCAAGGACCACCTCTTCATAGGGACATGACTCACCTAGCAAGGACCACTCCTTCATAGGGACATGACCCCACTTAGCAAGGGCTGCCCCTTCATATAGGGGCATGACCCCATCTAGCAAGGGCCACCTTTTCATAGGGACATGGCTCACCTAGAAAGGACCCATCTTCATAGAGACATGACCCCACCTAGCCAGGGCCGTCCCTTCATAGAGATGGAGCCTAGACACAACAAGATTTTTCCACCTCCACCAGGATCTGCAGGGGACCTACGTGCTAAAATAATATCTCAAGCACTTTTAATGGTAACTTTGAAATAAGATTTGATTAAAAAACACAATACATTAAGTGGGCCTTAGTTTTTATAAAGGTGTTACGATGGCTGAGGACGTGAAATCTGACACTCTGTGTCTCGGAATGCATCCCAAGTCAAGGAAAGCAGCTGAGCAGGCTGGTTCCTAAACAGGGCTGTGGATTTAACATGATCCTGGTCTGTTTCCTAACTTTGCCAATGACATTTTGGAGAGCCTGGACTATATAAGATAGATTCCACTTTTGTTAAATTAAACAGGATTAGTGACAAACAGGTGTTGCACTTAAAAGATCCACAAGGATAAGGGATGTCATTTTAAATCTGTTTTAATGGGACATTAATATTGTAAAATGTTCCCCCATTAATTTACTCAATGGATGTTTCTTGTACATCTATTAAGCTAAGTTACTCCCTTGCAGGAGTCGGATTTTGCATCCAGCTTCCTCTCTGTGTGCTGTGAGCCCAGGGCCAAACACATGACCTCTTAATGCCCCAGGTGTAGAAAGATAATGGTCAATCTACCTTGCTGGGACCCTGATGGCAGGTACACACTGTAAAGTCCCGTGCTGTGCGGCCATCACTCATTCCCAATTCTAAACCCAGGCAGTCATCTTAGGCATTTCTTGAAAGTTATTTGATCCCCTTTCACTGATGTGCGCTGGTGTGTGATGAAGAGACCACAGAGGCACCATTATATATGTCCTTGCCTTTGGCCAAATGGGAACAGTGCAACGGTATTGAGTGTTGGCATCCGTGGAGAGGGTCTGCATCTGAGCAGCATGCCGGCATCCCCAGGTGCATGCCAGAAGGGGGAGGTTCGGGGTTTCTCAGGGTGGGCTTTGAGTGAATGTCAATCAAACTCCCAAGTTTGCCTGCATAGAGAAGGTTCCTTTGACATGGGGCCAGGCGATCGTGCCTTAAGGGGCTCTGTAAACAGGGAGACTGAACAAAGTGTGAATAATTGATGAAAGAGGGCCCCAGATAGCCCACCAGTTCCACCAGGGGTATTTAATGTAATGCAAGAATGTCTAAACCAGTGAAGAGACAAATACAAAACTCTGTAATCAGACAGATTTAGACCCATTCCCTCGGAAGCTAGAAGAGGCTGCAATGGGCCAACGGCTGGGCCAGGCATGTGTGGAATGGCCTAAAGCCTTTTTACCTTGCAAGTACCAGCTCCAGTTACAACAATAACACAGACACTACAATCTATTTACACAACATGGAACTGAAGCCTGGCAGGAGTTAAAAGCTGCGCTGCGATGTCTTTTGTTAGAATCGGCTATTCAAAATCAATTTGAAAATGGCAATGAAAAAATTTTATTTCAAAACACACTACTCTGATGGAACCAAACTGTTTAAATGAGGGTCAGGAACGGCCACCGGCAGGCACGCAGGGCAGTGAGGGGTGCGATTACCCTGCCTCCATTTCCTATGTCCGGCCTCAATATCCAGTTATTTTCTCCATTTTCTTCAGCACCATTGGTAAGAAACACTAATTGATAATTGTGCATATTTATTTTGCCCTGGCTACAAAAATCTAAAAACAAATAGTTTTCTCAAAACTGTTTTATTCACCACAACAGAGAGAGTGGAGGCCACACGGTCAGATCCAGGCTGGACTCTGCTGTTTACACATAAATTATAGCAAAATACTTCTGGCAGTGCCACCCCTGCTAATGGCAGTCGGATTGCCACTGTGTGTCCAATTAAAAGGGTGTAAAATATCACAGTCATGCCGCATAGCACGATTACCCAGCTCCAATCTGACAGGGGGCTTAGCGGCCAGGAATGTGGATGCCAAGGAGGACTCAAACGCAAAATTTAGGATCTCTATTTCCTGGAAAGGGAATAAGTCAAATCTATCTTAATACAATTATTTGGACAAATTTCTGAAATATTAGCTTTATGCTTTCTTTCTATCACTGTTCACAGATATGAGGAACACTTAAGTGCAGACAAACGTAGGGAGATACTTCTAGGATAAAATGACTCAATGCATTTATGTTAACTTAGAAATAAATTCCAGAATTTCTCCAAATTTCAAAGATCCAAGAAAGGGACGGAGGTACTCCAATTTCTCTTAAGAAAACTAAAAGTGTTCAACTGTCTCCCCCTTCATGGGCACACGGTGGGTGGGAGGTGTGAGTCTGCCTGTCTCCTCCACGGGGGATGCTCTCCGCAGCACACAGCAGGCCGATGCAGCACCCCGGCTCCGAAGATCTAACCCAATACCTTCTCCTCCAGAAACTTCCATGACCCAAATGGCTAAGGGAAGTAGCATTTTTAATAGACTTTACTTTTTAGAGCACTTTTAGGTTCACAGCAAAATTGAGCAGAAGATGCAGAGCTCCCACACACCCCCATCGCCACACAAGCAGAGCCTCCCCTCTATCAACACCCTGCTCTGTGCGGCAGCTTGGTCACAAGGGATGAGCCACAGTGACGGGTGATTGTCACCCAAAGGCCGCAGTGCACATGCGGGTCCCTCTTGGTGCTGTGCATTCTATGGTTTGGACAAATGTATCATGACATGTGTCCCCCATTACCTGTCGCTTGGAACAGTTTCACCACCCTCGAAACCCTCGGTGCTTGGCCTGCTCACTGCCTCCCCGCTGAACCCCTGGCAGCCAAAGATCTCTTTTCCATTTCCATTGTTCTGCCTTTGTTGGAAAGTCATAAAGTTGGTGTATGAGTCAGGGTGCGCCAGAGAAATAGAACCCATAGGACACACACACACACACACACACACACACACACACACAGGTGCACACAGACGCACGCACACAGACACACACACGCACACATACATACAGGCACACAGGCACACACACGCACAGGCACACAGACACACATGTGCGCACACAGGCACACAGACACACACGTAAGTACAGGCACACAGGCACACACACATGCACACATAAGACACACACGCACACACATGCACACAGGCATGCAAACAGGTGCACACACATGCACACAGACATGTGTGCACACACAGACACACGGGCACACACGCACAGACACACAGGCGCGCATACACACGTGCACAGACACACAGGCACACACACACATGCACACAGACACATGCGTGCATACGCAGATGCACACACACACATATATATTTCCAACAAGGGACTGGCTCCTGTGGTTATGGAGGCTGAGGAGACACAGGTCTGTGGTCAGCGAGGTGGGGCCTGGGAGGCTGCTGTTTCAGGAGTGGAGGGGCGGGAGTGGAAGGGAGGAAGTGGAAGGGCAGGAGGAGCTCGCTCTTACCCACTGGAGGATTGGTCTTTCTCTCTACTGGGGCCTTCAAGGGGTCGGATGAGGCCACCCACACTAGGGCAGGCATCTGCTCGACCCTGTCGACTGGTTCCAACGTTGTTCTCTTCCAAAGCCCTTCACAGACACACCCAGGATTGATCATAACTGGGTATCTGGCCACCCCACAGACGGACAAGTAGACACGTAAGATTCACCATCGCGGGCATGTCCAACATACGGGATGCTGTCCTTTCACACTGGCTTCTTCCGCTTAGTGTCTTAGCTCAGGGCGCCATTACAAAATACCACAGGCTGGTGGCTTAAACCCCAGAAGTTTGTCTGTGGCAGCTCTGGAGGCTGGCAGGACACGGTCGAGGCATTGCTGTTCCTGTCCCTGGTGAGGGCGTCTTTGCATTGTGTTCTAAGGAGACAAGCCCTCCCTTCTTAGAAGGACACGAACCCTGTCCTGAGGGCGCCAGTCTCATGACCTAATGACTTCTCAGAGGCCACACGACTAGCACCATCGTCTTGGGGATCGGGATTTCAACAGAGGAATTTGGGGTGCAACACAAACCTTTAGTCCATAGCACTGAGGGGTGCTCATGACAGGCTCCTTCATGCCTTTTCGCAGCCTCCTGGCTCGTTTCTTTTTAGTGCTGAGTAAGATTCCACTGTGTGGGTGCAGCACAGCTTAATTCACCCCCTCGCTGACTGAGGGGCATCTTGGCTGCTTCTGAGTTTCGGTAATTATGAATAAAGCTGCTATAAACATCCGTGTGCAGGTTTTGGTGTGGACAGAAGTTTTCAGTTAATTTGGAGAATACCAAAGAGCAGGAATGTTGGAGTGTGTGGTAAGAGTGTGCCCAGTTCCATAGGAAGCTGCCCAGTGGACTTCCAGTGAGGCTGTGGCGGTTTGCATTCCCACTGGAAGGCACGCACATGAAAAAGGAGAGCTTCTCACGGTGTTGGCAGCCCCCTTCCTGGAGGTCTGTGTATTTGGATTCCTTTTTTTTTTTTTTTGAGACAGAGTTCTGCTTTTGTTGCCCAGTGCAATGGTGTGCAATGGTGGAGTGCAATGGCACGATCTCAGCTCACCCTAACCTCCGCCTCCCAGGTTCAAGCAATTCTCCTGCCTCAGCCTCCTGAGTAGCTGGGACTACAGGCGTAGAGATGGGGTTTCTCCATGTTGGTCAGGCTGGTCTCAAACTCCTGACCTCAGGTGATCTGCCCACCTCGGCCTCCGGAAGTGCTGGGATTACAGGTGTGAGCCACCGCGCCGGGCAGGATTCCTTTTTAACCTCTCCTCTGCTGCTCTCTTCATTCCGTCCAGGAGCAACTCCTGCATGGCCCCCTCCACACTCCCACACCAGCCGCCCCTCGCCTTTGACGCCCACCTGGTGGACACCTGCACAGTCCTCCCAGGGGGAACAGTTCTCGGCTGAGCACCTTGCACCATTCCCGGGCCTCTGGGCTTGAGGGGCTTCAACCTGAAGGTCCACCTGCATCCTCAGCAGAGAAAGCTCCAATCTTCACTCTGCCATGAACAAAGCAGGCATCGGTCCCTGCCCCTCTTGGGCCAGCCCAAGCCTCAGCTTCCCCACATCTTCTGCTTCTTCTGCTCACACCTTCAGGCCTGCAGGGCAGGAAGGAGGTGGCCTCTTTCCACTGAGGTCCTCGGATCCGGGGAGGAGGTCTTCTCTCCAATTGCCACCGTGACCTCCCATGTGCCCAAGGCTCTGGGGCCATCGGCAGCAGCCCCTCGTGCTTCAGGAGCATCATACCCAGGAGGGGGCATGACTGCCTGAGAGGAGGGAGAGTGCCTTCCTCCTAGTAGAGCCTGGGGGCTCAGGGGAGGCTCGGGCTGGGGCTTAACATCATGGATGATTTTATGCTTTTGTCTAAAGTTTTGATGGATGATTTTAAATTTGCGGCCTTCATGGTAGAAATTTATACAATGCTTTTAGCTTCTCAATTTAATTTCTCATTCATTTTGTCATTTTCTTATCTCGGTAAGGCAGCTATTATTTGTCACAAGAAACTGAGACAAATAGAAAGCAGTGAACTCCATAAACTCACACCAGAAAATGAAACCCAGAACGTGGTCTGGAATCAAGGCCTTGAGTGTGGTCCTGGGCTCTCTCTCCTGAATCCCAGGTCAGGAGACACCCCCTCCCGACTGCTGGGTGTGCATTTGCTCCTGCTCACATCCCCCATTGACTGTTCCATGCAACAGGGGCTGCCCTTCCATATTTCTCTGAGCTCTCCATTGCTCTCTCTGCATATCATTGCAACTGGCATGCCTATTAACCACCATCACCGCCGCCACTGCAGCCACCATCGCCGCCACCACAGAGGAAGTTTTGTGCGCATTCTGAGCCAGGTACTCTTCAAAGCACTTTACATGAATTAACTCATTAAACCTCTTAGCAAATTATCCCATTTTATGGTGAGGAAACTGAGGCACAAATAAGTTAAGGAAAGAAGTCCACAGTGAGGGACAGGGTTAGGGTCTGAGCTCAGGCCACCAGGCAGGGGTCTGCTTGGAACCACAATGAGCGTGTGGCTTTGTCAGGTCATGTTCTCCCCTGGGTGCCATGAGAGCTGCACTAGGACATGCCCGAGGCATCTGACCCATCTCCTCCCCTGGAACAGGCACTCAGGCCTGGGGGCAGGGGGCACAGAGGGGCTCAGTAAGGTCACAATCAGCAGATGGGTCTCCCCAGAGTGCAGAGAAATGGCAATTCTGCCCATGGGATGCACCTCATCCTCCCTCTCCACACACCTCTCTGCTCCTTCACAGTGGAGCTTCTGATAAGTCACAGGAGGCCACGAGCACACAGCAAGGTGAAGCAACTCCACACAGAGAGGAGAGCCACGGCCACGAGTGCGCAGGGAGGTGAGGCGACTCCATATGGAGAGAAGAGCCACGGCCACGAGCGCACAGCAAGGTGAGGCGGCTCCGCACAAAGAGGAGAGCCATGGCCACGAGTGCGCAGGGAGGCGAGGCGGCTCCAGATGGAGAGAAGAGCCACGGCCACGAGCCCAGAGCAAGGTGAGGAGGCTCCGCACAGAGAGGAGACCACACCTGGCCTCCTGAGTGATGATGGGGCAAAGCCCGGACTGCCCCTGGCCTCGGTCCTGCCCGAATCCACCACAGCAGGTGGTGATGGACCAGCACAGGCCACGTGTTTGAGGTGACTGAGAAAGGGGTTCCATCACCAGAGGTGATTCTTCTCGGGTCCCCTGCTCTGGAGTGCACAGGATATATTCTATGTAATTGCATTTTCACGCTTCTGGAGAGAGGAACATGGACATGTGTTTATTTAAGAAGTAAAACATCTCCTTCCTTTCATTCCAAGCTGCATATGCTCAGTTGTCACAAAAATGAAATGCTTGCCGCCTCCTTCAAGGCATCCAACTGGATGGCCCAAACCTGGCAGAGGGCCATGTCCCCTCCAGGGCACCCATAGCTGCTCTGCTCGTCTTCAGGAAACAGTTCAGGGACTCTGTTTTCCGGTCCTGTCTTCCAGGAGCCCTGAGGGATAAGTCCTTGTATCCTGTGTCTGATGCCAGGCACTCACTGATGGCCACTCAGGGCCTGTGTGTCCAGGGCCAGCGTTTGCCCCCATCAGGGAGCCTGCTGGGTGTTCCAGAAAAAAAGCGGGAAAGGCCACCACTCGGGGTGCCCAGTGGAGGCTGTGGCTGAGGAAGGCACGTCGCTTGGCATCACCTTCCAAACCTTCTACATGTCCTGGGAGGAAACTGACTTTACATGGGTGTGCACATGTGGAGGCGGCCAGGGGTCAGACCTGCTTAAAACACCGCATGTCGCTGGGGGCACTGCCCCTCACCGGTGGACTGAGACGTGGTGACCTTCAACACACGCTGTCTTGGGGGCTCCTCCCCGCCATGCAAGACCAACAAGGGGCTCTGAATCCGGGGCAGGATGAAGGCTGGGGTGACAATGATGAAGGAGAACCAGCCATAGGCATGGCAGAGACCGACACAAGCTGGTGAGGGGCTCCCTGGCGCGGGCTGGAGCGTGCAGTCCCTAGGAGTCCAGTGGATCACCTGCTTCCCTTCGATTCTGGGCTAGAAGAGGAATAGGAATGCCCCTTTCTTTTGGCCAAGGCCTGCACCTCTCAGGGTTCCCATCCCGAGATGTGGACTCCGTGTCTGAGGGAACAGCGCCTGCCCCGCCCTCCACCATGACCCCACCCTCTTCCTGGGGCTGTCCCAAGCAAGTCATCTGGGCAGCTAGAATATGAATGGCAGATTCTAGAACAAGCTGGCTCAGCCTCTGGCATGGTCACCACCTGTGCCCTGGCCATGCATAGAGTGGGATCCTGTGTGAAATGGACTGTGCTGGGTTAGGCTGAGGGACCAGATGAGCAGCGATCGGACATGGTTATGTAAGAATCTGCTTTCATAGCAATTTTCTACTTTGTAGCTTACTTTTCTATACTATTCGCAGGTTTATGACATACTACCACATTCCTCAGATGCGAGAACGTAGCAAGTGTGGAGGTCTCTGAGGGTGCTGGGCCTGTCCCCAAGGCCAGTGCCGCCCATGGGAGGGAAGGTCACGACACGGTGAGGGGGCACCACACAGGCCCTGTGGAGCAGCCACCCGCCATCAGACTTTGCTGGGCAGTTTCACAATTGTCAACGTCCACCAGGACAGTGAGGATCCCACATAGGGGCACCAGGCTCAAAAGCAAGGTCTGCAGAGGGCAGGCCCCAAGGATGAGCGAGAGGCACACACAAGATGCAGAGGGCCAGGCCAGGGGGAGTGCAGGAGGAGAAGCAGGGAGAGGCAGGGTGGGCAGGGGTTAGCAGGAGGAGAAGCAGGGAGAGGCCAGGCGGGTAGGGGTGAGTAGGAGGCAGAGCCAGCCATGGACACAGCGCTGGGAGCCCGGCTGACCGTTGGAGTACTGCACCTTCCCCAGAAAAGGCCCCTGCTGAGCTGACCCTCGGCCTGGTGCGGGAAGGGCTGTGTGTCTCTGCAGCAGAAAGGAGCTTCCCAGAACAGCCGCTCTGTAGTCTGCAGGAAGAAGCCAATTGGCCAAGCCAAGCGTGTCAGAGAGGAGTGCAGACGGCTTGGCTTTCATGACCAAAGAATGTGACGGGGCAGTAGACACAGTCATATTGTTGCAGTTGTGTGTCCTGCACTGAGTATGTGGGTTGATGGTGGCCCCAAAGAGATATGTCCCCCTCTGAATCCCTGTAAATGTGACCTTATTTAGAAAAAAGCTATCTCCATGATTAAGTTAAAAATCTTGAGGTGGGGGGATCACCCTGGATTATCCAAGTGGGCCCTAAATTCAAGAACAAATATTTTATAGGAGAAAAGTGGAGGAGATTTCACCCAGACAGAAGAGGAGGAGACGACGTGGCCCCAGAGGCAGAGCCTGGAGCGATATGGCCACGAGCCCAGGAGCACAGCAGCCAAGGGGAGCTGGAAGAGGCAAAGACGCTTCCTCCCCCAGAGCCTTTGGAGAGTGCAGCCCTGCAGACATGGGGCTTTTAGACTTCCGGCCTCCAGAGCTTTGAGAGGATGAACTTCCGCTTTTGTGAATCGCCAGTTTTTTGTCATTTGTTACAGCAGTCGCAGGACACCCGTGCACTTTTTAAAGTGCTATCAGGTTTATTTCAATTTGCTCCTCACCGCAACCCTGTGACATGGATTTTAATTGTCATTAACATCAAGAAAACTGGAATAAAGAGTAATATTTCCTCCCAGTGTAGTCTTGGGAACTTCTCCCTCAGAAGCCCCTGGGTGCTTGTTGAAAGTGAGCATTTCCACTCTCTCCAGGCCTTTGGATGGCAGTCTGAGGCGGCCTGAGTGGCTACAGAGTCCAGTCCTCACTGCTGGGGGTGCGCTTGGAGCACCTGCACGCAGCAGGCCTGGTGTTCCTGAAACTTCCATGGCTCAGGTCCCCTGGGCACCGCTGCACTGCCAGTTATACAGTCTCATACTAAATATTTTAAGTATGTGAAGTTTAACTTTTAAACATTTGAGTTCCCTGATACTTCAAATGGCCAATCTACAGACCAAGTTCCAAAGGCACGAGAATGTGTGTGAAAGGAATTCTCCTCTCTTGCCACCACCCGCCAAGCTTCCCTCCCCAGCGAGAACACTGCTGGGCCAGGCCCTCATCTGCTGAAGGATGTAATTTAAACTCCCTAGACTTCAGGCTGTCCCTTATAGGGAGATGATCTCGCTCACTAGAATTCCCCATTATTCCTTGAAGGGAGAGGACGGCTGGGGAGAGGCTAGCAAGGGAACTGTGCAGCCGGCAGCCCCTCCCAAGTATGAACCACATGCACTGGGGTGCGGGGTGCGGTGGGGGGTGGGGCTGGTCTGTGAGGGGCGCATGCTGCTGGACCAGGGGCCCCCAGCCTGCCCCACCGCCAGCTGCGAGGGAACAAATGCAAGATCCTCCTGCACTTTTGCTTCAAGTTTGGCTCCCTTGGGAAACCTGCCTTTTCCCATTCTCAAACTGCTAAACCTTTAAAGTACTATTGTAAAATCCGACTTGCTTCTCACTCTCAAGCCTTAAGATAGAAAGAAGCATTTTATTCACAGCCATTTGAAGTTGCTCTGCAGTGAACACATATGAGAGACCCACACCCCGATTTCTGCGGCAGCTGAGCTGCGTGCAGCAGGAATTCCAAGTTTAAATGCACTGCAGGTGCTGGCGGACGGAAGAGGGCACTGGGACACAGTGGGTGGAATCATCTGACCACCTGGTGCAGAACCACTCCTAGATAACTGCTGCGTGAGTTATGTTGTGAGCTTGGAGTTTTCTAAACGTGAGACTGTCGCAGGACAGTAATGGATGCATGCAGAGAGAGGCCAGTGTCTTTTAGGTTTATCTGTGTTTGAGTCTCCATTCCCCTATCTAGCAGCCTGTTTGTCCTTCAGCCTCAGCCCTGGCATGGCTCTAATTCTCCCGAGGCTCCAGTTCTCACACGAATCTTCAAGGCGAAAGCTGACCCAGTGGGGCTTAAAGAGATGCCCTTTGCTTTTTTCCCATCAGGAAGATCACCGCTGCTGTAATAATTTGCTCCGAGCAGTGGTCTAGCAGCTGTCTAAATTGACAGGGTCACTCCTTGCCCCGCCACAGCCCAACTTTTTAGGGACCGTGGGCTCAGGTTTCCAATAAGTGCACATTCCTCAGTAACCCAAAGCAGCCCGCAGGACTTGGGGCGCTTGGAGATGGATGTTTGTCCCTTCTCACTCTGGAAACTTCAAAGGGCGGATGAGGGCCCGGTCGACATGGCCCACATCCTGATACTTCCTGTGCACACCACACTGGGCCTTGCAAAATCTCAGGTTATCACGCGCCCGGCTGTCTGGCTGGGCAAAATTCAATCCTGCCCTCTGCTCACCTCTCCCTTGCACTTGTTAAAAGTAATTAGTGTTTGCATCCATATCTGAACTTTGATTTGTTTCCAGGATGGAGACGTTGATATTTCTTCTGATGGCTACATAAATCACACATTATTAAGTTACCTCCCATTACACTTTTTGAAGTATTGGAAACTCCTGACTTTAAAAGAAGGGAACTCGTGTTAATGCAGGCAAATGGTAGACCAATCCAGGAGCTGCAGCCAGCCGTAGACAGACAAAGCCTCACATACGCATATTAACCTCCCTCCTCCTGCCTTCCTGCCCCTGGAATCCTGTTTCAGTCCTCCAATAGAAGGCTATGACAGCAATCAATTGATAGTTCACAGATACAATTCATGGGCATGGTCCCCCCAGTCTCACTATATTTCTTAGAGGGGCATCCGTGGGAAGCATGATTCCCATTTCACAGAGGAGGAAACTGGGAAACTCAGCCTGGGGAGGCTGGGTGACTTGCCACCATGTCACCTAACCAGGGGCCAGCAGACAGTGGCTTCCACTTTGGTCTCTGCCCCTGGTGTTGGCAGAGGTGGCACTGCAGCTTGCTACTCATAGTGGGTCTTGTTGGTAAGACTTTCCTCAGCTAGGAAGAACTAACAGAGCTTCTGACAGCACCCGTGGGGAAACCAGCCCTCCCCATGCCTGATCCCAGCATCCACTTTCCTGAACACACCTCACAGGTGAAGCCAGGAGCAGCCAGGAGGAAAGGAGCTCATCACAGGCCCAGCTATGGGGAGTGTTTGGTGAGAAACTGGCTGGGGCCCAGTCAGAGCCAATCGGGGAAACAGGAGTTTGTCCAGGTTCCTGGTATCCGGCCTCCTGCTGTGGCCCACAGGTCTTGAATCCCGAGCACCCCTTTACACACAGGACCTGCGGCAGAAGCAGCACAAACTGAGCTGAGGCCAACAAACCTGGGTTCTCTTCTTAGAAACATGGCCACCTGTACCGGAAGCCAGGCACACCCAGGAGCTCATACCTTCATTTCTGCATAAGCCAAATGTTGAGGGGTTTGTCCTACCCAACCAGCTTAGCATAGCAATTACTCAGGAGCTTTGCAAAGGTGGACGGGATAATTTATCAGGAGTTACAGTGCATCTTTGTAGTATGATGAAGTTCACATTTATCGAGAATATAAAGTACTTTTTTCTAGTAATAATTTGAGATGCATTGCTTTTCTTCTCTGAAGAGTTTGCTAATTTTTTTTTTCCGAATCAGATGTATGAACTAGTGATTTAAGAGGAGGAAGAAAATGAAGTCTCATGTCTCTGTCAGATCAAGAAAACAATGGTAATTCTTGCTGGAGATAGTTTATCCAGTTAGTATTTATTAATACTAACACTTTATCAATATTGTAGGACTGGCTGGCATAGCTGGGTGTGGAGGTAGTTTCATTTTAGCCTTGACATGTGAGGTCAACACTCTGCTGCTCTTTAGAGAATGCTTTTTGGGGACATCAGTAGAAACCAGGAGACCAGAGAGGAGGCTTCTGGGAGCAGGAACAGAAAACATGACCAGATCTTGGGACAGCAGCAAAGAAGACAGGCAGGCAGGGGCCCTGACATACCCTTTTGCATGTACAGATTTGGTTCATATATAAAATATTTGTCGATAATTCTCACAACTTTTTCCTAGAGCGAGGAGCATATTCATATAGACACTGGTACTTTATCCTATACACACAAACACAAGGTGTATCTAAAATTACCTTTGCATTAATGCTAGACATTTTTTTTCAAATGTGGAGGGAAGTGTAGACTCTAAGAGTTAAGATCTGCTTAAGGAAAAAAAAAAAGCCACATTTAAATAAGTCTACCCATATGCATAATTAGAATTCTGGTATGACTTAGAGGGAGTGTTATTACTAAAAACAACAATTATCCGCTGCCCTTCTCTGCAGTTTTGATATGGTATGTATTGCCCAAGGAAGAAAAAAGTGATAGGTGAAGCCATTCCCAGTAACCTAATACCTCTAAATGGTTCATACTAAAGTGACTGGGTCTCCTTTCAGGGATTTACCTTAATGATATCATTCCCAAGGAGTCTGGTTTAGATCAAACTAGGTTAAAGATCATGAATGTCAAAAAGTGATGTCATTAGATCCCATTACTAATAAAGTCAGGGTCATCATGAGTACAGAAGCAGCTTGGAATTCAGGCTTTATTTACCTTAAAACCTGCACCCAAACTTAAAACCCCAAGTGAAATACAGACGAGGTGAAGTGCTTGAAACATAATAGCTGAGAGACTGCTGGCATTGACTTGTATAACTCAAGTTTGTAAGGATTTGTCATTTTCTATGTATTTTACATCATCAATGTACAAGATTCAGCAGTAGCCTTGTTTATTTCTCTTGCCAGTGGATTCAGTCATAACTTACATTTTGCAGCACAAGATATCCTATTAGAAGTAAGAGTAATTAATTTCTAAAATTTACAAAACACAATAGGTCACAGCAATTTCCATATTTAGAATACCAAGAGTGAAAAGGGAGAGTTAGTTTTCAAAAGCTAGGTTTCCACCCATGTTTTCTAGACTGTCTGAAGGCACACCAGACCTCCAGACCCACAAGAACCTTAGCAAAATGAAACCAATCTATTGCCTTTGCCCTTTGTACTGCTACAGCGAAACAGTACAAAGAGATTGGGTAACTTACACACAATAGAAATGTATCAGTATCCCGGCTTCCAAGATGGCGCCTTGTTTCTGCATCCCCAGGAGGGAGGAGCGCTGGGTCCTTACAGGGCGGAAGGGATGGAAGTGCAGTGGCGTCATTCATCTGGGCTAATACCCGAGGTTCCTTGCCTCATGCCAAGGAAGTTTAATAGGCAAAAGAGAGAAGCTCCCTTGTGCAGAGGGAGGGGGTTCTGAGTGGATTTCCCCAGCTCACGGTGAAATGTGGTTGGTTTATAGATGAGCTTGAGGAGATGGTGTCTGATTTACATAGGGGGCAGAGGATTGGTTGGACCAGGTGTGCCATTTATAGTGTGCGAAGAAGGTGGCCACCCCATCCTAAGCTTTTATCATGTAGATGGGTTCTCTACCCGGCCGGCGCCACCTTCCCTTCTGCTTTTCTGCACATGTGGCACCAAAGAAAACAGCAGAGGGAACCTCCATGTTGAACATACCTGGCTTTCAGGTACCCCTTTCTACTGGCACAGCTGCCGGCATTTACCATGCAGGCTTCCAGCTTGCTTATCTATGTTTGCAGCTTGATTTTTCAGGCTGCTTTTTGTTAGAAAAGAAATGATTTGGAGGCTGTTTTTTATTAAAAGGAAATTTCACTGAGAACTCTCTTACCCTCGCTATCTGCCTAAATAATTTCTTTTCAGCTCCTATATCAGAAGGGCGGAAGACAACCGAGTGCTGTGTGAAGCCCCTTTCCAAAGGCCCGGATGCCCTTCTCTACACTTTGACCTCCTGGCTTAATCATCTCCTAAAGGCCGTACCTCTTAATACTATCGTATTGGTGATTGAGTTTCAATACATGAATTTCGGAGGGGACATATACATTCAAACCACAGTGGAAGCACTTTCTTCTATTTTATTTTATTATATTTTTGAGATGGAGTTTCACTCTTGTTGCCCAGGCTGTAGTGCAGTCGCGTGATCTTGGCTCACTGCAACCTTGGCCTCCTGTGTTCAAGCAATTCTCCAGCCTCAGCCTCCCAAGTAGCTGAGATTACAGGCCTGCACCACCACGCCCGACTGCTAATTTTTGTATTTTTCGTAGAGACGGGGTTTCTCCATGTTGGCCAGGCTGGTCTCGAACTCCTGACCTCAGGTGACCCACCCGCCTCAGCCTCCTGAAGTGCTGGGATTACAGGTGTGAGCCGCCACCCCTGGCCAGTACTTTCTTCTTTAAGCCCCTTTTGGAGATTCCTAATTTATGTTGTATATTAGACCCTGAGAATTTCACAATAAAAACTTTCTGTTTAACTGCATTTCACCCAAATCTCAAATTTTGCCGAAAAACTCATTCAATTTGTCATCTGTTTTATCCTTTTGATCCAGTGTTGAGCAGAATGTTCTCAGGACATGATGCAAAGGCGGACAAACTATGGCCAGTGGCCCAGAACTGGCCAATTATCTGTTTTATTACACACTACAGTTGAAGAATTTTAAATATATTTAAAATTATATAAGCACCATATGTGTATAGGGTTATGTAAGTACCTTATGTAATAGCCCCAATTTTGCCTCTTGCCCCACAGTGTTTATTATGTTCAATATTTACTACCTGGCTGTTTTAAAAAAAGGACTGCTGGCCCCTAGAGCAGACTACAAGGGGGAATAAAGGTCATCTGTAGCTTATAGAAGGGGCCAACTCCTCAGGGATGGGTAGAGAAAGGTCATCTGTGGCCTGTAGAAGGAGCCCACTCCTCAGGGATGGGTGGAGAAAGGTCATCTGTGGCTTGTAGGAGGGACCCACTCCCTAGGGATGGGTGGAGAAAGGTCATCTGTACCTGGTAGAAGGGGCCACTCCCCAGGAATGGGTGCCACTCCACTGACCATCTCCGCCTCACCGCACTCCTCCTTTCTGTTATCAGCCAATGACTTCACCACACCAGATTGCTCCCCGTTTCACAAAAGCTTTCTTTACCTGTCCATAAATTGGCCAATAAAAGATTGTGACAGCACCCTGAAACCAAAACTTTCCAAAAGTCTAAGATAGTAAAGCATCAACCAACTAACCTGATCTATTAATGATAGACCACTATTCCCAACAAGAGTGGAGTCACAGGGAATGTTCGCCTACAGAGACCTTATATTGCATCAAAATAATAGAAAGCATGTTCTCTGAAAAGAGTGGTAGTCATATAAAAAGCAATAATCATAAGATTTCTAGAAAATCTTAAATATTTGGAGATTAAATATTTAAAAAGCTAAATAACTCATGAATTAAGGAAGAAACCACAACAGAAGAGACAAAAATGTAATTGATTAATGATACCATAACACGTCAAAAGTTTTGAAATGCAGCTAAATCAGTCATCGGAAGTACATTTATAGCTTTAGATGCCTGTATTAGAAAAGATGGAAGGTATAAAATACATTTCTTCTATTTATATCTAAAGAGGTAGAAAAAAATTAAATTCCAAATATAAAGAAGAGTCAATATTACGAATAAGAGTGGAAGTCAGTGAAATGTAAAGAATAACCAGAAAAACAATGAGAAAGTTCAACAAAGTCAGAAGTTATTTCTTTAAAAATATAAATCAAATTGGGAAACCTCTAGCAAGATTCACAAAGGGGAAAAGAGGACACAGCATTTGTGATGAAGCTCTCTGCACAAATTACAAAGAGCAAACATCATTAGAGATCCCACAGATGAAAATGGTAAGAGTGGATATATAGCAGTAACTTAGTGGATATATAACAACAACTAAGTCGCTTATTAATATAAATAAAGCACCTTAGAGAAAATTGATAATTTAAAAAAAACTGAAAAGAAATTGAAAATCTAAGTAGACACATGTCCATTGAGTATGATAAATTATGAAGTAAAAATCTTACCACAAAGAAAACTTCAAACCCTGAAAGTTGTACTGCAGGAGTATCCAATCTTTTGGCTTCCCTAGGTCACATTGGAAGAACAATTGTTTTGGGCCACACATAAAATATACTAACGCTAGAAACAGCTGATGAGTTTTTTAAAAACTGCCAAAATATCTCATAATGTTTTAAGAAAGTTTACAAATTTGTGTTAGGCCACATTCAAAGCCATCCTGGGCGGCATGCAGCCCTCGGGCCGTGGGTTCAACAAGCTTGTTTTACTGATTGTATTTCTATCAGATGTTTAAGGGGGAAATAATTTCAAACACAGACAACTCTTTTAGAACACAGAGGAAGAGAAAACACATCTAACTTATTTTGTGAGGCCATTAGATAAAACCTTGATGACAAAACCAAAAAATTAAACTCTAGTGTCTCTCATGATTTTAGACACAAAATCCTCTAAAAATACTAGATACCGAATTCAGCAATATATGTACAGAACAATAGACTCCTTGATCAAGCTGGGTGTACTTAATAAAGATGAAAGATCTGTTTAATGCACAAAATTAATCAATATAATCTACTATGTTAATAGATTGAGGACAGAAACAAGTCATATGATTATATTAACAAAATTAATCAATAGAATCTGCCACATTAATAGATTGAGAATGGAAATAAGTCATCTAATCATATTAATAAACATAGAAAAATAGCACTTGCCAAAATACAAAAGCATTTATGGTAACACTGTGCACCTGAGGAATTAAAAGAGCCTTCCTTTAATTCCTGATCAAGGCACTAACTGCACGATCAACAGTGAATTTCACACATAACGGTGAGAAATTAAGTGCTTTCCACCTAAGTTTGAGGATGACACATGGAGGTCCACACTCGTTGCTCTTATTCAACATTAATACGAAACTCTAGCCAAGACAGCAAAACAATAAAAGACATTCAGATTAAAAAGAGGTAAAACTGGATTTATTCACAGATCCCATAATTGTGTAGCATAAATGCTAATGAATATCTAAGAAGATTATTAGAACTAATAGGTAGACTTGACAATGTTGCAGAATTCAATATTAAGAAGTTAAATTCCGGCCAGGCGTGTTGACTCATGCTTGTAATCCCAGCACTTTGGGAGGCCAAGGCGGGCGGATCACAAGGTCAGGAGATCGAGACCAGCCTGGCCAACATGGTGAAACCCCGTCTCTACTAAAAATACAAAAATTAGCTGGGTGTGCTGGCGCACACCTGTAATCACAGCTACTCGGGAGGCTGAGGCAGGAAAATCACTTGAACCTGAGAGGTGGAGATTACAGTGAGCTGAGATCGTGCCACTGCACTCCAGCCTGGAGGCAGAGCAGACTCCGTCTCAAAAAAAAAAAAAAAGAAGAAATTAAATTCCTATATACTTGAAATGAACAATTAGAAAATAAAATGGAAAAATCAGTATCATTTACAATAGCATCAAAAAATGTCAACTCTGTAGTAACAAAAAATATGTGGGACTATATACTGGGAACTATAAAATGCTGATGAGAATAATTAAAGGAAATTTAAATAAAGGTGAGATATACCATGTTCACGTGTTGAAAGATTCATTATTATGATGTCAGTGTTTCCAAAATTGATTTATTTCAATGCAATTCCAATAAAACTTTTTACAGATTTTTTTTCTAAAAATCGACAAGATTATTTAAAATTTATTTGGAAAGACAAAGGACAAAAATAGTAATTAACATATGAATATCCAGATTCAAATAGAAAAACAAAATTAAAGAACATCATCCATATACATTCAAGAAAATACAAAGGTACAGTAATTACCCCAAAGAGGGATTAAAAAAGTGATTTAAAAATATAACAATGTAGCAATGTAGGAAATCCCAAAATTGACCCACACTTACCAAATCAAATAATTTTCAACAAGGATGACAAAGAAACTCAATGGAAAAAAGAAAATTTCTTCAACAAATGGTTCTGGAACAACTGAATATGTAAAAGCAAAAAAAAAAAAAAGGAATTATATTTTTATTTTACACTACGCACAATATAAAGTGAAAACATTCAATCTTCTAGTAGAAATCAGAAGAACAGAATAATCACTTCTCAAATTTAGGACAGGCAAAGATTTCCCGGAGAATTAAAAAAAAAAGGGGGTAGAATCTTAAAATAATGATAAATTAAAATTTATCATAATTAAAAATTTATGCCCATCAAAAAAATCTTGATGATAAAGTCACAAAGTGGTTGATGTATTAGCAATAAATACATTAGCAATGTATTTATACAAAAATTCTTGTATAAATAACTCCTACAGCCCAATTAAAATAAATAAAAATACACTCAAGGCTTGAACAGGAGCAAACAAAAGAAGACATACAAATAGCAAATGAAAATGTGATGAATATCTTTAGATCTCAGGAAAATGCAAATTGAAACCATCATAAAATATGACTGTATATTCACTAGATAGACTGAAATTTTTATAGTTTGACAACAATAAATGTTGAAGAGGCCGTAGAACAACCAGAACTCTTACTTGTTTAGAGCGTAAAACGTCAAAACAACTTTTGAAAACTTTTTGGCGGTTAAAAAAAATTAAAATACATCTATCATATAATTCAACAATTAAATTTCTAAGTATTTATCCAAGAGAAATAATTCAACAATTAAATTTCTAAGTATTTATCCAAGAGAAATAATTCAACAATTAAATTTCTAAGTATTTATCCAAGAGAAATAAAATTATACCTACAGAAAGTGTTATACAAGAATGTGCATGGCTGCTTTATCCATATTAGTCTAAACCATAAATGACATCCACCCTAGAATGGAAGCATCCACTGTGCGTTCTATGCAAGGGGATGCCTCTCAGCATCAAAAGGAACACGGTATTGATGCACACAACAGTGTAGATGAGTATCCACACTTTCAAGCTCAATGAAAGAAACTGAACACGAGAAGAAACTTACATGATTCAATGTTCATGACATTCTCTAAAATAAGCAAAATTAACTTATGGTGGTAGATGTCAGATACATGAGTATTTGCGAGGTGAGCAGGATCAACTAGAAATTGGCAGGGAGGAACTTTCTGGGTGACGGATATGCTGTGCATTGAGGAACACATTTATGAAAACTGATCAAATGATGCTCTTAAACTTGGCAGAGCATTTTACCGTATGCAGATTATACCACAAATTACACACACACACACACACACACACACACAGAATAATGAGTTTGATCATCAGCTTGGGATAGAGTTGCAGTTCCAGACCTGGCACTGCCCTAGTATAGTGTAATGGTTCCAAATCAGATACTGCCTTATGTGGAGTAATGGCTCTGGATCTGACATTATTCTAGTGTTGTGTTGGGTTGTTATGCTGTGTTATGTTATATATGTCAGCCACTCAGTGCTGTCTGCAGTCAAGGCTATGTTTAAACAGTTTAAAACTCCTTTACTATTTCCTAAATGCAACCAGATGAAGCACTAGCCACTGCATACTGACAGTTCCAGGCCAGGTGCTGCCTGTTCACAGTGATGGCTCTAGATCAGGCACTGACTGGTGTACAGTGACGGTTCCAGATCAGGCACCGACTGGTGTACAGTGACGGTTCCAGATCAGGCACCGACTCGTGTACAGTGACGGTTCCAGATCAGGCACCGACTCGTGTACAGTGATGGTTCCAGATCAGGCACTGACTGGTGTATAGTGATGGTTCCAGAACAGGCACTGACTGGTGTATAGTGATGGTTCCAGAACAGGCACTGACTGGTGTACAGTGATGGTTCCAGATCAGGCACTGCCTTGTGTACAGTGATGGTTCCAGATGAGGTGCTTGCCATGTGTAAAGTGATGGTTCCAGATCAGGCACTGCTTGGTATATGTTGACGATTCCAGATCGGGCACTAGCCTGATGCACAGTGATAGCTCTGGATAAGGCAGTAGTGTGATTTTGGAATCTGGAGGATGGAGCAGGAAAGCATACCATGGCAGTGGGAAACAGGCCTGACAGTTTTCTCTCAATGGAAGGGATCTGGTGTTCTGATGAGCTGCCTGCCCATGCCATGTTTCTCCATGGCTGCTGCTATGTTCACTTGCTGCTGTGAAATGCAAATAGTCATATCTATTCTCTTGTGTCTTCATTAAGTCACATGTTATATTACATATATTTAAATAGTTTAAAACTCCTTTAATATCTCAATAATTCAATCTTTGGTTGGAACTATAGAGAAAATATGTAACCCAACTTTATACAATTACATCATGGCACATTCTGTAGTGTTTGGAGCTAAATGCTTAATGTATTAAACACTCTCATGCCAGAAGTAATAAAAAATGTTCTCTAAATGAAACCTCCCTTTCCATGCACCCTGCATCACCCATCACCCTGCAGTCCTCAAGGAGAATAGCCTTCTTTGAAAAGCTATTTAATTCAAATAAAGAAAAGATATGATGTTGCTAGTGAGAGCAAATAAAGATGGAATAAGGTGTATTACCCAGGAAATGTTTGCATAACACACTGAAATTAATATACCATGTGCAGTAGTTGACACAGTTCATTCTAAAACAGATAAATCATTCATAGGAAAAATAAACACCAACTAAAAAGAAATAGATCACCAATTGAGCCATATATATCAAGAATGAAATCAGATGTGCTCGTTACCTGTTGACACAACATGAATTTTCTGCTGAAACAGACACGTAATCTACTAAATCAAAGTGAACACCTACTGAGCCAGGCATATCACCTAGTTAGACACATCACTGTGCAATTGCACGCATCCATGCAGCCTCTATGTATTTCTAACACATTAGCAGTGCACAGTATTTTAGAGCTTAGATTTACTAAACCATAAGCATTAAGAAGTTAATGTGCTAGTTGGTAAAATGTATGTATCTGTTTTGCTTTGTTTTTAAAAAACTCAATTCACATGATCTTGTTGCAAATGCATTTATTGGGCTGGATAAACTTAAAGGTGGCCCCCCAATCCCTGCCTCCCAATGGGAACCCAATTCTCTTGAGTTTGGGAGGACTCATGATGTGCTTCTAGCCAATGGCATCTGGCAGTGGCAATGGGCTGTCGGTCCTGACCTTTGATGGCTTTGCCATGGGTCAGACTCATCTTTCCGGTAGACTCACCCTGGAGTTCCATTCTGTATCTGGCTTTGAAAATGCAAGGTGCCATGAATCCTAGTTATAAAACTGCCCAGGATTTCATTTATAGAGGTATGACTGAGTGATTATATGAAGAGGCAAATGCCACTAAAATAATATTTTTATTATTTGCATGTCCGAAGAAAGGGCACACTCCACCCTGCCATGCCACGCCATGCCACGCAGGGCCACAGGAGGGAGAAGCACAGGTTTTGTAGGGAGGCAGAAGCAGAAGCAAGGGAATGCCAAGGCCAGACCCTGTGCTGGGGCTCCATGGGAAAGGCAAGGCAGAGCAAATCAAAGAGAACAGTTTAGAGCTGGCTACTTTGCAGAATTCTGGTGGCCTTGGGTCATAGGGGATGTCCTGAGTTGTCTGGTACTTGGCCTTGGGTAAATTCAGGGCAGGAATAATATTGGGTTGGCATGCGGGTGTTTGATAAACAGATGGCTGTGTCTGTAGAATCAGGATGGATCAATTTGCATATGAAAGGCATGCTGTGGGCAGGTTATTATTGGTTATGGTTATATGTAGGAACTAGCCAGCCATGGGAAGGGCAGTCTTTCCCTAGGTCTGTAAGGCCCTCACATACCATGGTATCAAGAACACATAAAATAAGAAAATTTCGTTAATATAAATTGGCCCTGCGATGAATGGATGCCAAATAGAGAAATACAGAATCTCAGAAAACAGTTATACTCTCTTAAAATCTTATAGCTACAAGAAATGAATTCTACAACTGAGAGAGCTTGGAGGCAGATCCTTCCCAGTCAAGCCTCTGATGAGAACTCACTCCTGGACAACACCTTGGCTACAGCCTGCGGAGGCCCAAGCAGAGGACCCAGCTGAGTCAGATCCTGACTCCCAGTCCCCAGAAACTCAGTGATGATAAACGTGTTATTAAAGCTGTTACAATTGCGTAGTTTGTTTAGCAGCAACAGAAAAATACTATATTTATCAAGGTAACAAGGCACAGAAACTGTCATGAAATTATTAATTAAAGAGCATGAGAAAATGTTAACTTTATTGTCACTGCTGCTACGGAGTGATCTGTTTCAGAAATCTAGAGAGTAAGTATTGTCAAGATTTCCAGCATTGAGCATTAAAGATTAAGAAGATGAAAACCAAGGCTTTGTCTGGGGCCACACCACAGGGACTGGACTTTGCTCTAAGACATGCCCAACATCGGGTACCAGGGAAGGGAGTGAGTCCCAGATCAGAGCTTGCAGTGAGGAGCAGGCAGGCGGCTATGGGCTGGCACTCAGCAGGCAGGCTGTGGCCAGGAAGGGGTGTGCCCTGGGCCAGCCCAACTGGGCTTCAGAGACAGACTCATCTCCAGTGGACAGGAAGTGGGATCTGAGCCAGAGACGCAGACACAGAGACTCAAAGATGAGACTGGCCTGTTGAGAACTTAGACTTGCTCAAGGAAACAAAAACCTGGTCACCAAAACCAAGGTGTGAGGGAGAAGTAGAACCCAGGCTTTGTGAGCAACTCTCTTCTCTTTGCCTCAGTTTCCATCCCTATGAAGTGGGGACAATCACATTAGCCTCTCAGCGTCAGAAGAGGTCCACAGTTGACCTCCCAGAAGGCCTGGAGAGAATCTGTCAATCAAGCAAGGCTACTGGGCTTAGTGCAGGGAGGGAGGAAGCTGCCTTTACAGACCGAAGGACAGGGGATGTCAGGCAGGAGATGTTCAGGGGTCAGAACCCTGAGCCGGGCACCTGAGAGGCAGGTCTTGCGTTGAAGGGAACTGGCTGAACATCGGCATCATGGAGGCACAGTAGCTTTGCGTTGGTCGGTATGGCAAAGAGAGGGCCCTGGAGGGTGAATGGTTAGTCTCCATAATAAGCTACTTCAATCAGTTAGCAGTCTTGTCTTCCAGGAGAAAGTCTTCCTAGAAACAACAGTGTAGTGATTGACATCTGGTCTCAGTATTCTCAGCCTAGAAAGAGGAAATGGCTTAGCTCAGGGAGGGAAGAGCAACTTGGTCTTTGTTATCAAAGGATTACATTAAATAATGTGAATAAAGCTATTAGTTTAACCTCAAACACACGGTAGGTGCCGAAGAAAGTACTGTCCACTTTATGGCAGCAAGGCTGACCCAGCACAGCTCATTTTTGCTTGAAGCGTGGTGGATCTTTTAATTCTACTGAACTAGCAGAGGGTTTACGCCTGAGCCTGGGGAGTGTGGGGAGGACTTAGAACTTCAGGGACTGCGTGGGCACAGGACAGGCAGCTGGGCACCATTAAGAACATGTTTCCATAGCTGAGGAATGTGTAGGACCTGCTCAGACCTGTTCTGGCTTCTCTACAGTAAAAGAAATATATTTGTCAGGCTCATCAGACTTGTCATTCCCTTTAACTCCTGGAAATACGAATTAATGTGTGGTCATTATTTGTTACAAACACCTAAACCCTTTTGCTGATGGGAAGCCAAGATGCTCACCGAGAAAATTGGGTCCTGACTCCTGGCTGAGCTCACCTCCCTGGAACCTGGGTACACTCTCGGCAAGCGTGGTGACATGGGCACTCAACCACAGTGCCTCTCAACTTGGGAATGATGACTGTGATAAACAAAAATCCAACCCAAGCCCTCAGGCCAGCAGGCTTCCCTCTCTAGAAAGAAATGGCATTTAAATAGGAGATACCAGCTTTTCTCTAAGATCATGCTCAATAAATAATAGTTTGAACGTGCTTAGGGCATCTCATCATCAAAGAAAGAATCATTTTAGTAACATATGTAATTAATGTATTCAATTATTTCTAAAAGTAGACGAGACATATCCCAATAGACCAAGTTATTCCATCTATATTTTTAGGACACCAATGTAGATTTGGTGAGTTGTGTATGCACATAGAAACCTTTATCCTAAAAACAAAAATCCAGGGAATTTAAGCAAGTGACAATGCAGGTCTATTTCAGAAAAGAATAATTATATAATAGTAGTTGACATTTGTAGAGTCAAGCACTGTGAAAAACATTTCTATACTGTTTGCATTAGTTTCCTGTTGTTCCCATAACAAATGGCCACACATTTAGAGTCTTAAAACAGCATGAGTTTCTTCTCTCCTCTGGCCTGACGGTTGGAGTGCCATGTGGGCTCACTGGTTTCTCTGCTCCAGGTTCCTCAAGGCCAAAATCAAGGTGTCGGTCAGCATCTGGCGGATCTGAGGAGAACACATTTTCTGCCCAGAAATGTTGCCGGCAGCTTTCAGTTCTCTGAGCCCATGAGTTAAAGTTCCAACTTCCCTGTGGATGTCAGCTGGGAGCCGGATACTCAAGGCCACCTGCACCTCATGTCACACGGCTCCCTCCATCTGCAGACCTAACAGTGCCTTGAGCCCCTCTTGTTCCTTGAGTCTCTCTTCCTTTCCCTTTGCTGCATCTCTGTGACTCCAGCCAGAGAAAGATCCCTGCTTTAAAGGGCTTGTTGTGGGTTGCATTTTGCCCCCAGATATTGAAGTCTATTTCCCAGGACCTGTGAATATGACTTCATTTGGAATAAGGTCTTAGTAGATGATCCAAATAAAATGGGTCATTGGGGTGGACCCTAATCCAGTATGACTGGTGTTATAATAAAAACAGGAAATTTGGACACAAGCACACACTCACATACAAGCAGAGCGTCCTGCAAAGACGAAGGCAGAGATCAGAGTGGTCCTTCTACACATCAAGGTCTGCTAAAGATGGCCAGTAGCCAGCAGAGCCCAGGGATGGCCTGGAGCAGATTCCTTGTCATGGCCGCAACCGTGATGACACCTTGACCTCCACGTGCAGCCTCGGGGGCTATAAGACAACACACTTCCATGTTTCAGCCTTCAGCCTGCGGCCCTTTATTACAGCAGACCCAGGCCATAGGCTGGGCCCACCTGATTCACCCAGGATGCTCCTCCCTTTTTAAGGCTTAATAACATTGCAAAGCCCCTTGGCCGTGTAACATGACGTATTTACAGGTTTTGGGGATTGGCGTGACCATTCTTAGGGGGTTACTTTTTACTGTAATGTATTATGTATTAATTAATTTAATCCTCTGAGGTGAGTCTATCTTGCTTCCCATTTTCCAGGTATGAAAACCAAGGCATGAGAGGCTATGATGACCATACCAGGTTGACATCAGGCCAACTGATGCCAGGGTGCCCACTCAGCAACAAGGTCTTGCTGAGGGTGCAGGAGTCACAGGTACATTCCCAAGGCCCTCCCACTCTAAGTTCAACATGGGTCTTCCTTTACCCCCATGAACTTTGGAGTGAGTTACCTACATAAACTCATCCTCAGGTTAAAGAAGGCTAAGTGTTCAATCGCAGGCAAGCAGACTTAAAAAGAATGAGCAAAATTCCAAATGATTGCTTTTGCCCTTACTGACGTGATAAGGGTCACCTGTGCACAGGTAGATGGCTCTGCTCCAGTAAGATGGGCCAGAGCCTAAGGAGGATCTGCCCAGCCCTGGCCCAGCACCGTGGACCCAACTAACTGGCTCTTTCTGTGGTCTCCTGCTGAAGAACACAAAGGCCAAAGACATCTGTTGTTCAGGGGTTTAAAATCTGCTTTTAAAGAAAACCATCTATTGAAAATAAATCCACACAGGAAACACACGAGGAAGCATACACTACACATGAGAGCAAAGCCATCAGAGCCTCCAAGCACTAATATTGGATGCGCTTGGTCCAAAGAGATTCCATGGAGAAGGTAGAATTCTGTACTGTATTTGTTCATGAAGAATGAAACGCTGAGGCCCCAGGGGAAACGTGTGCTTTTGTGCGCATGCACACACGCTTTCTCTCTCTCAACCCATTCCGTTAATTACCTAGAACTTCTCCGAGTTAAACAAAGATTAAAATTAACTAAGCCAAGTCTGTCAATCATTTTCTCTCTGCACCCAGCTGTGGGGTCCTCTTCCTCTACCTTTATTCAGATACATAAATTCAGCATCCCCACAAAACAATGCCTTGCACTGTCCTTGGAATCAGGACAATCAAACCGTGTGATCACCTAGGATCTTGCTGTATCCTACTCTTATCAATACCTTTCTCCTAAAACAGAGGACAGCTATTACCAATTATATTTCCATAATAATGTGAAACTAGCTTTTTAAAAATGCATTTACCATTTAAGGTAGTGTTTCTTTGCAATAATAGCACCAAATATGCAAAACAAGTTACAGGATATGTGTTTTGCTCCCAGGATTCAGTCCATTTTGATCCTGTCCATGTGTGGGCTCACCGTGGCACTCCATCCTGGAACTGCTGTGCAAATGAGAAGAACAGGCATTTCCCTCTCACCTCTCCTGCTGAATGAGGTCACGTGTGTCCCTGAGGGTCAATTTCAAGTTTTTGAAACAGTCACTCCATAGATGCCATGCTCTGTGTTATGATGAGTTAATCCAATTTCTCGGAAATGCCCAGGTTCTTCATGGTGCTGGCAGGACTTTGTTCTGAGATTAGGTAGGGAGCTGAGATATCCTGCCCTCATTCTGAGATGGTGACCAGCAGCCTGTGGGTCTCCAACCCTCTCCCGGTAAATCTCTCTCCATCTGCTACATTTTAGCCGCTTCCTCGGTAAGGAGGAGATAGTACAGCCACAAAGGCTTTAGAACAAAGAGTTCCTGAGGCAAGCCTTGCTCACAGCCGAGATGCTCCTCACCTTGTGTGTCAGAGGATGAGTTCTGCACCTGGGTAGCAGGCGGATGGCCTGTGCTGCCTTCTCCCTGTGTCCAAGCCCCCTGGGCAGTGGGCTCGTTCTGGGAATGGTCCTCTAGAAGACAGCCTGGAATTCCAGAACCATTTAGAGGCCATAGACCTGGGTTCTGGTAAGGACGGCCCTACCCTCCTGACAACAGGCAGGTGTGCCTGGGTTTCTAGCTGCAGAAGAATGTGAGAAGGCTGGAGCCAACTGTCTTCTGCTGCTCAGACCAGCGCTCCTGATCTCTGGGGAGGGACAGTGCCGAGGGGACGAAATGGCAAGAGGGAAGCCCTCCTTTACCCTGAGCTAGAAGCGAACACCCAGAGCTATTCAAATTGGGCTAAACTGCCTCATGACATCACTAGAGAGAAACAACAGAGCTTGGAGGAGTGTTCATGGAAATTCAGACATAAATGAGCCAAGTTCAGTTCTGGGTTCTACAATTTTCCGAACTAGGACTAAAAGAAAACTGATTTTTCTTTTCCCATGATAATGGCTATTGCAGAAGCTAAGATGCGAATATTCAGCAAGCCCGTCAGGGACTGTGAGGCTCAGGCTCGTGCACCCTTGTGCAATCACAGAAGCACGAGGCCTTCTCTCTGCAGAGGTGTGGAAGGAGACCCATGCTCATCATCAGGGAGAGGTCATGCAACAGGGCCATCGTGGACTCAGCCACTCCAAGCTGACCCTTGTCTCAGTCCCTGGTCCTTCAAAAGGACCATGGGGATGTGGCCTGAAGGTTGATTTCATAAAATATTGGTTCCCGTAATAGGGCAATAGAAATGTTCACCTCTCAGTGGCAGCCAGCGCCAGGGAAAGGCCATCTCCCTATAGATAGAAAAAACCTGAAACTGGTGATCAGCAGCTTCCCAGTAAGATCCCAGGAGTGGGATGCGTGGGCTTGAGCATGTGCACTAAGAGGCAAAATGGCAGAGTTTAACTTGTGTACAACCTCCCAGGGACATTCGGCTGGTAAGGGAAGAACGCCTGAAGTGAGCATTCGTAGGACTCCAGGAAACACACTGTGCATGCTCTCCTCCAAAATGCTGGCAGGCCACTGTGCTTGCAGACAGTCCAGCCCAAGGGAAGAATCAGGGGAGAAAGGACATAAGACCCCAGCAGCGTGACAGCATATAAAACCCCAAGTCGAAAGGTCAAACTGCACACGTGTCTTCAAGTCACCCACTTGACCTTCTTCCAAGTGGACTTTACTTCCTTTCATTTCTGCTCTAGAGTTGTTTCTCTTCTTCTTTTTTTTTTGTTTTGAGATGGAGTCTCGTTCTGTCACCCAGGCTGGAGTGCAGTGGCGTGATCTCAGCTCACTGCAAGCTCTGCCTCCCAGGTTCACACCCATTCTCCTGCCTCAGCCTCCCGAGTAGCTGGGAATACAGGTGCCCACCACCACGCCCAGCTAATTTTTTGTATTTTTAGTAGAGACGGGATTTCACCGTGTTAGCCAGGATGGTCTCAATCTCCTGACCTCGTGATCTGCCCTCCTCGGCCTCCCAAAGTGCTGGGATTACAGGCGTGAGCCACTATGCCTGGCTTCTGCTCTAGAGCTTTTTAATAAACTTCCACCCCTGCTCTGAAACTTGCCTCGGTCTCTTCTTCTGCCTTCTACCCGTCAGTTGAATTCTTTCTTCTGAGGAGGCAAGAAGTGAGGCTGCTGCAGACCCGCAGGGACCCGCCACTGGTAACTGGGATACCGGCTACTGGTAACATGTTCTGGTGCCGTGTGACTCGTTTAACGTCCGCCACTAACACTTTCACTGTGGGCTAAATGCAAGATAACCATGAGCCCAAAAGGCTAAAAAATTGGTGAAGAATATTGGACAGAGAGAGGAAAACAAAAACAGTATAATTACCCTTTATTGCATGATGTCTCATGTGGGGAATTCTGTGCATTGACTTTGGAATTACATAAGCTTGCTTTTTTGTTGAATTGTATTCTGTTGGCAAAAGTTGTCTGAGGCTCCTGAGTTGGAATGGAACATATCCTAATTTATCTCACTCAAACAAATGGAAACACTTTTTTCACATATTTGCTTTTGACTTAAGGGCAGAGTTTTGGGGAAGAAACTAGAGTCCTGAAGTTGAGCTGGTGGTAAGTGTGAAAGCAGGTGTTCCTCACCCCCTGGTGTGTTCGCCTCTTGGCCTCCTCCCCATTGCAGATCGTCTTGGAGGTGGAGGCCTGTTGAGCCACAGCTTCAGGAAGAGTATGGAGGCACCAGGCTTTGAGTTCTAAAGTAGCCTTTTGGAATGTATGGCAGGAGCAATCACTGTGAAAGATAAGGCTTTGTAAATGGTTTGAGCATTGCGAGTTCCTCTCACCTGGGAGTGAGGCTCGGTACCTTTCTGTTCTCACCCACAGACATGGGGAAAAGGAGGAGGAGGAGCCAGTTTGCTTCTCCCTGGACTAGAAGGGAGAAGCTGAGCTGGTGGGGTGCTGGCAGGAGCCTGAGCATTTGCACAGGTGGACTGTGGAGGGTAAGGGATGGAGGATCTGAAAGATTAGGAAAGGTGAGCCTCTGGACAATGGCCAACTGGAGGTGAGAGGATAAGAGCTCTGTCTATGCCACAAGAGAGAGGGTGGGCAAGGGGGCCATGGGAGCATGCCCTCTTCCCGCTTTTCCTGCAGCCTTTGTGGGTCAGGAGAGCGCCCAGTGTTTCTGTGTTCTCCAAGAGGGACACAGGCATTGGCAGAAAGAACCAGCCAATCTGAAGAGCCCCAGGTCTGGATGGGACCAGGCCCAGGGTGCCGTAGACATGGCTTGGAGTCACTGGGCTTCCTGCAGGGATGGGCACTACAGGCACGAGGATGCAGGAGCGGTGACCGCCCCAGGGGCCTCTCTCCTTGACACCTAGACATTCGAAGGCCCTTGGAACTTTAATTCTATGGTGGGACAACAGGAGGGTGGGAAGCAAACCCTGAACTAGATTGAGCAAATTTACCCTGAATTGAATAGGCACCCCTTTCAGTTATGAGGTTAAATGGAAACTTGAGTTAGAAACCAACCTGTTAGCCAGAGTGAAACTCCCCAACATTGCTGTGGCCTGGTGCCAGACCTGACCCACCTGGCAGCTGGCTGTTCTGAGCCCCTTCTCTCACCATGAGCCCTCCAGAGAGCAGTGCAGGATGCCTGGTCTGGGGTGGGCTTCGAGTTCTATCCAATAACAACAATACAATTTACTCAACAAATCAATAAAGCATGTAAGATGAACATTTGTGTGTAGCACCTAGCAAAATATTAAAGTACTTTTGTTCAGACATTCTAACTTACTTCATTAGTTCATTCTTACCCATTCTTTTCTTCATATTTATTAAAGCAAATTCCCCAAGAGACATCTCTTTTATCAATCAAAAAATAATCTTCCCTGAATTTTCTCCAATTCAGACTTCACAACAATGCAGATTGTCTTGATTTGTTAGAATACGTTATTGAGGCTTAATGATTTTTGCTGTGTATGTAAATATAATGCAAATTTCATCTTAGAAATACACAAGTTAGCAGACTTATTTGTGGCTTTCTTTAAATTCATTAATATAAATTAATGTATTGGGTGTTATTAGATATTTGCTTTTGACGAAATGTGTGAGAGTCCAGGCGCAGTGGTTCATGCTTGTAATCCCAGCACTTTGGGAGGCCTAGGTGGTCAGATCAACTGAAGTCAGGAGTTCCAGACCAGTCTGGCCAACATGGCAAAACCCAGTCTCTACTAAAAATACAAAAAAATTAGCAAAGTGTGGTGGCATGCGCCTGTAGCCCCAGCTACTCCGGAGGCTGAGGCAGGAGAATCACCTGAACCCGAGAGGTGGAGGTTGCAGTGAGCCAAGATTGTACCACTGCACTCCAGCCTGGGTGACAGAGTGAGAGCCTGAAAAAAAAAAGAAGAAAGAAGGAAGGAAGGAAGGAAGAAAGGAAGGAAGGAAGGAAGGAAGGAAGGAAGGAAGGAAGGACTGCAATAATGATTTCTTTGGCCACCAAGCCCTCTACAGATACATCATGCAAAAAGCTGTGGGTGGGAAGCAGCCCCCATCATAAGACTGTTCCTAAAGTTCTTCCAAGAGCAAATGCATGCCTCTCCTGCTTGCCTAAGGAACCTGGTTAAACTTATTCAATGTTGGCTGTGATTTGGGCTGTTCTTTTTTCCATGTACCAAGGAGCCTATTTACATGATTTATTTGGTGGCTTATAAACGATAAGCATCTCTTACCTTTTTCTAATTTGCATAAATGTCTTGGCTCTCCTTTCACCCACTCACCTGTTTAGTCCTTACCCTGGCAATGTCGTCTTCCAATCAGGGTAATTAGCGCCATCTCCTCCCCAGGCATGGCCCTTCACAGCAGCAACTGACTCTCCCGTGTGCATTCTCTCTTCCCCATTAAAATTAAAAACCTTGTGAAATAACACATTTGGATAAAGCTGCTGACACTCCGGGGTGATGAGTGGAATCTCGCAACATAAAGGGCCCAGAAATAAATGAGCAGGAACCAGGTGGGTGTGAAATAGAGCCCCTGGATTGCAGGTAGCGAGACAGGCAAGGCAGTGTCCAGAAACACCCACCCCCTTGCCAACACGTCCAAGGACAGAAATGGAACTCTGATTTATCTTAAAACTAATGTGCTTTCTTGGACCTCTGAGAGGAGAGTTTAGTTTTGGCATCCATGCCTTTGTTTTACTCTCTGAGGTTATTTCAATGTACATTGACATGAACTCATTTTCTCACAAAAGCAAGGACCCCTCGGATTTGCTGTAAAATTGTCTTGCCTTCTAGATAAGCACGACGGAACCTTCCAGATAAGCACGACGGAACCTTCCAGATAAGCACGACGGAACCTTCCAGATAAGCATGACGGAATCGCTTCCTGGCATCAGAGCACAGTCCTCCAAGACCAGCGCTGAGGCCGTCTTGCCAGCTTCATCTACGTCACGAGCTCATCATCATGTATTTCGCAGGAGTCCCCAGAGAGGAACACTCACTTTCAGGAGACATCATCATTAAAGCATTCGTTAGGTATAGAGCACAGTGAAATTGTTTCTTCAGTCGTGGTTTAAAAAATAGACGGATATATTTGTCCAAACCTTGAACTGAATCTGGGTATCACTTATGAGGATTAGGAAGGTCTCAGGAATTCCCCAGCCCCTGACATCCCCTTGTTCCCGTGCTCCTCGTCGTCTCTGCTTTCTGAGGATTCTGTGAATTTGCTGGGGAGCACTTCATCAGGCACCACAGGATGTACAGCGGGGGTATAAATATCAAAGAAGGAAAAATGTGTAGAAGTCAGGAGGGTGATTTAAAATGTGAGTTCCAACAGCCCTCTAGAAGAATCTTGCATGTTCCAACTCTCCCTGGGCTCCTGCCTGGCTTGGAAGTTGTGAGGATGTTTGTTACTCAGCTGAATACGGCATAACCTGACTGGTACATCTTCACAAATCAAAATGCCACTGATACGGTTTGGCTGTGTCCCCACCTAAATCTCATCTTGAACTGTAGCTCCCTTAATCCCCACATGTCGTGGAAAGGACCTGATGGGAAATAATGGAGTGATGGGGGCGAGGTTTTCCCATGCTGCTCTTGCGATAGTGAATAAGTGTCACGAGAACTGATGGTTTTATAAAAGCACAGTTCCCCTGCACTTCTCCTTGCTGCCACCACATGAAGAAGGACATGTTTGCTTCCCCTTCTGCCATGATTGTGATGCCTCCCCAGACATCTGGAACTGTGAGTCCATTAAACCTATTTTTCTTTATAAATTACCCAGTCTCAGGTACTTCTTGATAGCAGTATGAAAATGAACTAATACAGCAAATTATGTTATTTTCCTGCCTGAAAACTTGCAATGACTTCCATGCAAAGTCCCAAAGCAAGTCCTAGCCTCCACCAACCTGGCTGGTGTCCACACCCAGACCTCATCTGGACTCAAACTTACCTCATGACCTCGTGTACTTTTGCACTGGAGTCGCTGAAGAGGGCCTGTGGGAGCAGAATGGCAGGGTGGGTTCAGAGACTCTGTCCACTTGTTTTCTAGAGTGGGAGCAGAATGGCAGGGCGGGTTCAGAGACTCTGTCCGCTTGTTTTCTAGAGTGGGAGTGGAATGGCCCGGCGGGTCCAGAGACTCTGTCCGCTTGTTTTCTAGAGTAGGAGCGGAATGGCCGGGTGGGTCCAGAGACTCTGTCTGCTTGTTTTCTAGAGTGGCCATACAAGTTTCCAGGCTGAGCAGAGACACAGTAGTTTGTTTCTCTATCCACAACCTGGGGCCGAATGTCATCAGAGCTCTGTTTCTGGAGAAACATTGCAGGATGTTAAGTGCACTTGGTGGGCATGTGGGCATTTGCTGTGTTTTTCTCTATGCTTCTCTGCAAGAGATACTTGACATATTTCAGCTCTCCTGTATATACTGGATATGTGCACATAGACCACGCATCGCAGTGGTGTGTGCCTCCCAGACCCCAAGGCAAATTCCTGCAGCAGCCTGTCTCATTCCTCCCACTGTGCAGGCCTCCGCCTGCTTTCTCCCCATCACCCCTACTCCTTCTCCACCGCCTACTTCAGAGCCCTGCACACAACAGTGTGAATTCCTTCCCCACTCGTGCCCTACATGTGCTTGTTACCTGGAATTTGCTGCACTGCATGGATGAATTTCCAGGACTGTGTCCTTTGCTAGACGAGGGGCTTCTCAAGACAGGACTGACATGGTTCATTCATCTCTCAAAGTCGGCTTCCTCCGCATTCATGGGAGGGGGAAGAAATCAAGCCACAGGACGCAGGAGGGACCTGGAAAGAGGGAAGTAGGGAAGCCAGACAGGCCATTTCCATTGGATTCCTGTGGGGGCTGCTGACCACCTTAGGAAGCCGAGGCCCTCAGTGATGGTGTGGAGGAAGTGGGTGATGCAGAAACAACCGGTCACCTGGTGGCAGGAGATGGGGCTTTGAGACAAATGCCTTTGGTCTTGGAAGATGTAAACAGTCCTGAGGAAACTGGCCATGTTCTCCTTACATTTTTAGTTTTTGTTTTGAGTCTATAGTATTTTCAGCCACTTATTAAAGTACATACAAAGATATTGGTTCGGCTTCATGCAATTTACTTCCCCAAAGAAAAGGTAAAAGACATGAGATCCACAACCCATCCGACAGCTCTGGGTGATTCCATGCACAGGCAAAGCTCAGCGCCAGCCCAGAGAAGAACAGCGGGTGGGGGCTGTCCCTTCAACACAGACCGAAGCGCTGGGAACGGTTGCCTGAATTTGCTGGAGAAGCACCTCCGTCCTCCCGTTTCTTTCTTTTATCCTTTCCTGGCTGTCCTGTGCTTTGTTCACTAGGCTAAAACATTGAATTCTGGAAGGGAATGAAGTTTTTTTTTTTTTTTGAGACGGAGTCTCGCTTTGTGGCCCAGGCTGGAGTGCAGTGGCTGGATCTTGGCTCACTGCAAGCTCCACCTCCCGGGTTCACGCCATTCTCCTGCCTCAGCCTCCCGAGTAGCTGGGACTACAGGCACCCACCACCACGCCCGGCTAATTTATTGTATTTTTTCTTAGAGACGGGGTTTCACCATGTTAGCCAGGATGGTCTCGATCTCCTGACCTCGTGATCTGCCTGCCTCGGCCTCCCAAAGTGCTGGGATTACAGGCATGAGCCACCGCGCCTGGCAGGGAATGAAGTTTTTATATACAGTGTTTGTTATATTATCTTAGCCCTAAACCTAACAATAACATGACGGTACTCTTAATGTTACTACCCCGTAGCCCTACGCCTGACCTCAACTCTGTTCTTAAACCTACCCCCTAACCCTACCCCTACCCCTAGCCCCAACTCTCACCCTAACCCTCACCCTAGCCTGTTTTCGACCCCCCAGGAACCACAGAAGCGGGCCACAGAACCCACATTTTCTGTCTTGTCTGTAGAGGTGTAAGGATCACAATTTGATTTTGAAAGGTTCGTTGTTTGGAGCTTTTTAATAAAAGCACAGCCATCCTTTCACTCTATTCACAACCTGCCGGTGGAGAAGGAGTTTCTTGTTCCTGGAAGAAAAATGGTGCATGGGACACCAAGAGCCACATCTCAGCACCTGCTGATTTGGGGGCACGTAAATGTTTATTTATTGAACAGTTACATCAGATTTCAATTAGAAGGAATACATGCTCCCGTAATTCTATGAAAGTACACGGGAATGTGATCTACACAGAGTAATACTGAGATGATTTTAGTGTTGTAAAGCTTTCATTGTCCTCAATACTCAATATGTTAGCTGATTTACACAGTCCTCCTTGCTTAAAGGTGCCTGTTCACCCCACACTACATGGAGTCCCTTCAGTTTCTTTATTTTCCATCCCAACTGTCGTCACCACGGAGCAGGCTGTGTCTCCAGGGTGCCTCACCTCCACACCGTGACCCAGAATTGTCCGACTCATTTGCAGTTCTTCCTCTCTCCTCCACGACCCTCATGAAGGCCTCCTCTCCCCTCCTGCTGTCTCTGCAGAACTAAGTAGGCTCAGGGCAAATGTTGATTTCAAAAGCTCTCTGGGCTTGCTAGCTCAGAGAGCACCAAGGTGGGGCAGAATTGGCCTCAAGATTTCTTAGTTCCAAAACATGTGCTTCACTGAGATCAAATGCCTCTGGAATGCTAAGTCAAAGAAAGCCATTCACTCCTGTGTTTAATTTGAGACTGGTGCAGCAAGCAAGTTGCACTAATGCCCGTCTCTTCTGCAAACCAGGGTATAATTTAATGGAATACAAGATTACCTGTTAAAGATCTGACCGGGCCATGAAACACACCAATGTGTGCCCTGAGTTCAGCGGGAGCTGCGTGTGCGCCTGCCTGTGTGTGCTGGAGGCAGATGAGGGCGGGGAACATCACAGGACAAGCTTACAGGAAGAACATAGAGAGCGGAGAGAGGAATTAGATTTGTGTTTCTCTTAATGTATCCCCAGTCACCCCCATTGGGCTGAAAGTGCATAGTCAAATATTTAAAAAGGAAATAATGAGTCTTGCGTTCAAGCTTCACGGAAGAAAGAGAATTAAAAGAGCTGAGCAGACAAAAAGAAGCAAGCACAAAAAAGGAAAACTCCTAATTAGTTAATACAAAACATGCTGAATCCAATTATGAGAGTCCTGCAATTCGGGTTCAGTACTCTTTCTGACCAGAGGAGAACAAATATGTCTTTAAATCAATACGGCATACCGGAGCATTTCGACTTCACCCACCACTGTCTGTGGCTGTAAAGGGGCGTTAGGAAGAGCCCACCAGGGAAGTGCTGACCTGCCTTCAGGTTGAGGCTTGCTGCTATAATTTTCTCAAACCCCCAAGAGATTGGTAAAGAAATCAGAGTAGTTCATTAGCATATGGCTGGCTAAAATCTATTGATTTTTAACTCCATAGAATATTCTGTTTTCATTACCATCTGCTGAGTTCTATCTATCTCTGTTCCAGGCTGCTTTCCCCCAGTTCACCACGAATCTATGCTCTAATGAGAACACACCTAGAGGAAAACAGGGGAGGACCCACTTTGCTGTCAGCTACTGTCACCGTATTCCGGGAATCTTCCTTCTGAATTCCAGCTTAGGATTTTTTAGAAAGTAGCAGAGTATTTAATCTTCAATAATTAGACTTTGCCCAAAAGGACAAACTCATTTATATTACTGTCAATTTAACCCAATCTCTCAACAGTTGTATTCAGTGTTTTATTGTAATATTTTAAACAACTTGGTAGAAATGAGACAATTAAGATAAAAATGTCAAAGCGGTCTTCATCTTAATCTGAAGACTGTTCTAAATTTAGAAAATGCAGTTATACACAGGAAAGCAGGTACAAAAATATAGATTTGGTCAACTCTTTTGACAATATCAGGTTCATTCAGGCTCAGAGTTGAGGGGAAGGAGTCTGTCACAAAGAATTTGTCCAGGCCAAGCGGGCTGCCCTTTAGAGAGCACAGTCAAATTCACAACAGCCAGCAGCCTTTTGTGCTCAAGGCGGGTGTGGGTGCCTGGGAGGGAGAACTGGGAACTGTGGCATTCCCTTGCCATTTCTGCCTCCTCTCAGTGACTCCTTTGAGGTTCGAGGGTCAGTCTGGTGTTGCAGTAAGCGTCAGCTTTCCCTGTTTTCAGAAACACACACACACACACACACTCACACTCACACTCAAGAATGGAAGATAAAAAGCACCAAGAGCAAAGGGGCTGCCTAAAGGACAGACGGTGCCCTGGGATCTGTTTAAAATGTGGTCAACAGAATGCCTGTGAGGGGCTGGCCGTCTGCAGGAGACCCTGGAACCATGTCTCCCTGCTTTCTTCTGTCCTTTTTTTCCATTCACTTTGCCTCCTCTCTCTCAAGAACCACGTCACAGCTACGAATTGCTTTCCAAAGTGTGCATGACCCGGGGCAGCCATGTCTCCCAAAGCTGGTGTCCTGCACCCCGGTCCGGGGCTGTGCTTTGCACCAGGGGAGTCACAGCTGAGGCACTTGGAGAGCCTTGTGCAGCCACACGCCCTTGGAGGGTCAGATGCTAGTCACCAGGGCAAAGGCACTGAGGAGCCCTGCGGCCAGAGAGTCAGTCAAACCAGGTTGAATGCAGGTTTCTTGAGCTGATTTGGCCAAGGTCTCCTTGGCGGCCCCCACAGCCTTACCACTGTCCATGCTTGGACTAGCACTTCCACGGCAAATTTGAGGCAGAATGCTGCTACGTTTCCACCAGCCTGAGCTGCGTGTGTCTCTGGGAGGTCCTGGTGGTGGGAATGTCCTGGAGCTCCACGCAGGCTCTGTGTCAAGCGCCGGGGCTGTGGGGCTATGCAGAGCTGAGGCTGGCCTGCCTCAGCACCTCCCAGAGTGTGGAAGGCTGGACCCTGGCCTGGTCAGTGCCCGGGCTCTCCTAGCTGTGACTCATTTCCCGCCACATCATAGGGAAGCTGGGCTGCAGCCTGTGTCCATCCATTTCCACCCCGGGATTGCTGGTGAGCAGCTCATGGAGCTGGCTGGATCCCTCGCAGCTCTGCCATTGGAGAGGCGGCCCCGGTGCCCGTCCTGCTGTCTGCATCACGTCTCTGAGTCATGAACTGTCTGCCTCACTCTTGAAGCAGTCACTAGAGACAGACTGTCCAGAGAACCAGAGACAGTGATAGGTAAGAAAGACATCTGCAATCTCTAAATCCTCTTGAAACCCTTGGCAATTAGTATAAATGACAAAAATACAAACCAAAAATGGTCAATATTTAAATATCCGAGTTGCTACAGCGTGACACTATTGGGGAAAGGTGCAGTCCCAAACAGTAAACTTGATCTAAGGGAAAGATGGCCTGGATTTCCAGGGACTATCAGTGTCCCTGGCCAGCGGCTTACAAGGCAGTTTGGAGGAACTGTCATTTGGAAAGTTCTGCCTTGTGTATGAAAGAGAGTCCCCTCTTAAGGCAGTGGGCAGGCCACTCAGGACTGCGGGCCACTGCCTTCCCTCACTGCCCTGAGGAGCTCTGCCCATTGCTCTCCAGAGACGACCAGGCATTGCGTGTAGCTTTAACCTGTGAGGAGCCGCCGGCAGCCCCGTGGCTCCACCTCTTCTGGGCGTAGGACGGGGTTAGGATTCACTGGTGTTGGGTCTTTTTGCCTCAGTGCTGAGTTATTGACTGAAGCATCCTGCTAGAACCCAGCAAAGCTACTATCCACAGGTGTTCTTGCTCCTTGATTTCACATTATGTAAATTAGTATGTTCTTAATTTCCCTAGAGCTGAAAAGACTTGTTATCTGAACAAGCTACAGCCGTCATAAGCGGGTTCTCACCTTGAGCCGACTCTGCACAATACTAATGCAGTCTTTCAATGTGAGCGGAGTGTGCCCGGGACCAGCTGTGGGGATGTCAATGTAGACCACCCACTAGGCCCATGAAAGGGTTTCTTTAACCTCAGGGAGGAGCCCATAAGGTCAAAGAACCTAGGAGGGCTTCAGCTCAGCAAGCCACAGAACCTAAAAGATTCCATTAAGGAGCTCCGGATTTGTAATTTCAGTAGCCTAAGCCTGTGGTTCTATTTAGTCCAAAGCCCATGTCCTAGGATCAGAATTCTGATGAGGTCTCCATTCCCTACTGTACATTGCTGCAGATTCCGCTACATCAGGCAGGTGGGACAAGAGAACAGAGGGGTGACTCCCCAGAGAACTCTAACTGGGGCACGAGGGAACTCCTTCCCATAAGAAGCCTGGACCTACCGGATATTAAGACCCCTTCTAATGGCCTTTTGTGAAACAAGGGTTCATCAGGGTTTCTGCACTCTGGTCTAGCACCGTGAGCTGAGAGACCAGGTCTTGATCATTCTCTAAACTGGAATTACTAAACATTAGATGCAGAGATGAAGCTCTCTCTTTGAAAAACATAGGAAATATTTTCTTAGGTTTCTCTAAAGAAGATGAAAGAAGAACAGACGAAAATGTGAAAACGAAAGAATTTGAGAGATTATCCTTTCTTTTAGCTAAATCTGTTCATGAACTCTGTGGTCTAAGCCACGGGTGTTCCCTGGGCCACACTGGAAGAAGACAAATTGTCTTGGGCCTCACATAAAATACACTAACACCAACGACAGCTGATGAGCTAAAAACAAAACGGAAAGTCTGTGCATGATTTTTGTGATATCAGCCACCACAGATAAGCAAACAAGTCCTTGCATTCAAAGGGCTGAGCGTGGCAGGACTCTAAGCCTTCCTGTAGGAAATAAGGAAATGTGGAGAGAATGAAGGTTTTGGTAAGATGATAGAATGACAAAGAAAACTCCAGTAGCAGCTGAGAATTCTGCAGGAAGGAAATCAAGTGCCAACAGCCAACCAGCAAAGCTTGGCAGAGACTCCATTGATGGGCAGAGCAGGGCGGAGGGTGGAGGAAGCTGAGAGGCCCGTGTCGGGACACAACAGGGCAGAGAGAGAAAGGATTCCCCCAGAGGAGGAGAGCGGGGCAGGGCTGGACAGAGACCGCCTGTGTCCATATGCGCTTAAGAAGGGCCTGCTGGGGTGGCCAACTGTCCCAGTTTGCCTGGGATTGTTGTAGCATTAGCACTAAAAGTCTATGCTCTGGGACACCTTCTGTCCTGGGCAAATAAGAAGACGGGGGCTCCTCATTCCACTCTGATCCTGATAAAGCAGGAGCTCCCAGGGTTCACATTTGAAACTACGCGGGACTCACAGAACAGGGGTAAACAGTGCCTCTCCAAATTCATGTCCACCCTGAACCTCAGAATGTTACTTATTTGGAAATAGAGTCTGTGCCAATGTAATTAGTTAAGATGAGGTTATATGGAGCTAGTATGAGCCCTAGTCCCATGGCTGGTGTCCTTATAAGAAGACAGAAGAGAGACACAGAAACACATGGGGGGACAGCATGTGACAAGAGCTGTGTCCACAAGCCAGGGAATTCCGAGGCACGGTAGCAGCACGGGCACCAGCAGAGGCAAGGAAGGAGGCCTCCCCCGCACCATCAGAGTGCTAGTCCCACTGACGCCTTGATTTTGTACTTCTAGGCTCCAGAATTGTGAGAGAATAAATTCTGTTTTTAAGTCACCCAGTTTGTGGCAATTTTTTTACATCAGCCACAGGAAACAAATACAGTCATCTGATTTCTTTTTGGCCATAATCAATGACTCATTTCTATCTTTTGGGGGTTTCTCTTAATTCTCTGAAATAAAACCAGGTTGGGCTTGCAGAGGCAGGTGTGTTTGGCTTGGAAAGACCAACTAGATATGAAGGCCACACCTGGATGCTCAGACGAGACTCCCACTTCTTGGAGTCCTGAGTCAGAAGAGCTCCGTTCCACGTGCCCAGGAAAGCACACACGGTCAAGGACTTCCGGAAACAGCCTCTAGTCGTTGGGTCAATCATCAGTCCATTCTATCTGCAGGCATCACTCAGGCATCCCCCACGGAAGAGAGGGGGATGCCCAGACACTTCCACGAGAGACTGAGAGGCACTGCAGGACTGTGAGCATGGAGAGGGTGCTGCATTCTCCGCCTACTCTTCAGCTTATGTCATCTCGAGCCTTTGATATAAAACAAGCTTGTCCAACCCACAGCCTGTGGGCCACATGCAGTTCAGGACAGCTTTGAATGCAGCCCAACAGCAATTCGTAAATTTTCTTAAAACATTATGAGATATTTTTTGTGATTTTCTTTTAGCTCATCAGCTATCGTTAGTGTTAGTGTATTTTACGTATGGCCCAAGGCAATTTTCATCTTCCATTGTGGCCTGGGGAAGCCAAAAGGGTGGGCACCTCAACACAGCCAAGGTCCCTGGGGACACGGAGGGTGACCAATCTCTGCCCTCCACCTCCAGACAACCCCCTCTCCACCTCTGCTCTGCAGACATCCTCTGCCTTCCACTTCTCCTTTCCAGACACCTGCCCTCCACCTCCAGACACTCTCCTCTCCACCTCTCCTCTGCAGTCCTGATTGGCTGCAGCCAAGTCCAAGGGCCCTGAGTGTACTTTGCAATGTAACAGGTGAGGTCCCCTCCAAGTACATTGAGGAGCGTCTGCTCTTTGCCTGGTCTCTTCTGTCTGACTTGAGTGGGATCTCTGCAGAGAAATAGAACCCATAGGTTATATATGAACACACACACACGTAAACATATGTATGTATTTTTTTAAAGAAATTTATTTGAAGGAATTGGCTCACATGGTTGGTTGTGGGACTGACAAGTCTGAAATCCACAGGCTGGAAACTCAGGCAGGAGTTGGTGCTGGGGTCTCCAGGCCAAATTTCTTCTTTCCGGGGCAACGTCAGTAATATCTGAGAAGATACAGTCATCCCATCGTAAGGTTGAACTTCACATGAAAGGAATTTCATTATTTTTATTAAGATATAACATGTTTAAAATGTTAAAAAGTCCTCTTTGTTGTTTCAATGAAAGGAAGCCCTTTATGGGTAATGGCTGACCACGCCCCGCATGTGAATATGGACTGCAAACCATACTTCTTTCCTTCTGCCTGTCTCGGGCTGAATCCACTTGAAAACCAGCTTTTTAAAAGGCTGTACCTGGAGGGAGACTAGTGTGACCCACCCAGGAGCACCTGTGTAGATAAGATGAGGCCGTGCTCTCAGGGCAGGTTTGTGGATTTAACGAAGGGGCTTTTTGAGCACATGGGTGATTGCTGAAAGTTCAACAATGATGCCTGAAGACCGGCAGCCACTACAGAGCGGCAGCACGTTGTCTGGCAACCCCGCAGGGCTCGAGAGAGGAAAAGCCTCCCAGGGCACGTCCTCATGAAGTAGGTGGCAGTTCACAGGACATGGCTTGTTTCAGACCTGTTAGAAAACTGATGACTTATTTGCATAGCATCATGCTTGAGGCACTCAGCCAACAGTCCCACGTTTCATTTTATCTGTGGATGTCCGCACCATGCCCAGGCCAGGCACTGAGAAGGCCCAGAGGTATTTGTTTTAGCTGAGCAAACACTGATTTCCATTAGGAACCTCATCCAGCTCTTTGGAAACCTTGGAAAAGGCACACACAAAATATATTTTGATCTTCGTGACTGCCAGGAGCAAAATGACAGGTGCTTCTGCTAACGGAATAATTCTGAGTAGCTATAGAAACATTTTAATAGACTAATCAAAAGGGATGGTAAGAAATATATGGGTTTAAGTATAGATCAGATATAGCTAAAAATATAGTTACAGATATTCATATAGACAGTGAGGAAGAGAGCAACAGAGATATGTAAAATTAATACAATTTATTTTATAAAATGGGCCATTTTAAATCTCAAATTCTCATATATTATTTTGTTGAAATATGAAATTAAAATGTTCAAAAATGGAAAGATTAGCCCAGCTACTTAACATGTATTTATTATTTTTATTATACAATATTATAAATTACTTATTTACACAGGTCTGTTTTATCTGTTTATTATCGATGTCTAGTTCATAAAAAACCTGTAAGCATCAAAAACTGAAAGTGCATGGCTGTTCTCTTTGTTTTAATAGAAGTTCGATATTCCCACTGTTATTTAATGTTTATAATATCAAAAACATTAATGGTAACTGTATATAAACTACAGTTTTTTAATTGAAAATGAATATGAAATATGAAAATGTAATATGAATTTTTCTATGCTTATGAGGAGAGATAAGTTACACAAAAACTAAATCGTATCATTACTTCTCATTTTGAAATTATATCCCCAACTTATTGCACCAAACTGATGGTTTTTGTGGCTTGCTCTTGTTGACAGTGAGGTCTGTGGACGTGCACCTGCCACAAGCACAGTCCGTGGACCTGACAAAGACGTTTTCCCCACCATGGTAACCTTCTCTTTCGCCATGGCATTCCAAGCAGCTGCTGCAATGCTCCTGTATTTTGAAAGGACTGGATTTACATTCAATACTTTAAAGAAAAAAAAAGTTCTTCCTGTTGCTTCAATAAACCCTACATGTTTTATCTTTTAATTACCCAAAATGTCAACACAGTTTTATTTTACATAAAGCCAGTATTTGTTCTAGTGTAAATATTATCCTGGGATGTTTGGGGTGATCTATGATGCACAGGAGGGGCTGCTTCAAGGACGGTTCGTACAAGTGTGTTTGAAACTCAGCCATGGACACCTATGGATCGGGTCTCACTTTTCTTTGCATTTGCCCTGAGGAGTAATGATACTCACTCCTACATAGCATGTCACTGCCAGAAAATCTGACTCCCTGATTCTAAAGTCATCTGTTCCAAGAACACTAATTTCCAAAGATGGCCTGTTTGGCAAGATGGCCTTAATGCCTGACAGTATGTGGATAAACATGACTCTTTGAAACAAGCTCATTTAAACTCATTCGTAAAAACATCAGGTTAGTGCTTTTATGTTCTCTTCCCTCTTTGCTTTATAAAAGCGATTCTGGCAAATTAACTCTCTTGGAGAAGCTGTCGCAGAGGCATCACCTCCACAGGATGAGGTGAAATTCAAACTGTTTGATAGCGACCGGCGGACTGTCTGGAAGAACTCTTCGACAAATCTAAGTCATACTCATGATTGATTGATTGATTGATTTTTGCCCCAAACAAACTGTATATAAAACAGCTGTGAAACATTTGTCATATGAGAGCAAGTGTGTACAGCTGTAGTCTGGTGTGCAGGTACCAGACCTGTAAAACTGCATGTCTTCTGCTACCCCTGGAAAAAAATCTCCTCTTCTCCTTTCCCGTGTGCAGCCTGGGAACCCGCCAGGCTGTGGGCAGGTGCCGCACTGCCTGGCTCCCTGTCCCGTCAACTGGACTGCCAGCATCCACGGCAACGACGCATCCCCGTTGGGGCTCAGTGGAACAAAGAAGCGAGTTTGTATCCGCGAGATGCCTCTTGTTTTTCTTGCTTCACTTCTTTAGAGATAGAATAAAGGATTTTTTGTCTTGGAATTTAGATTTTAATCAAAATGCTTGCACTCGATTCAATTAATGTGCAAATTAAGTAATCTATGAGACTTGAGCCAAAATCTAGTTTTATTTAAATTATACGGAAACTAGAGACAAATATGTCCTAGGAAGTTACATGTTTCTGGTCTTCATTTGCAGTTCCCTGCATGGGTGTGGCCATCCTGCCTGCAGGGCAGTGAGAATGGGCTTCCGGATAAAGGCAGGTGGAGGTGGAGCCTCAGGAAAAGCACTTGGACACGGGAAGTGTCAGGACAGCATCTCTCACTCAGCACCTGCCAAAGTGCCGCTGACGGTGCTTCCTGCTGGGATGAACGCATCTTACTTGAGGGTACAGGGCTCATTTGTTATGCTTTCATGACATTGTTGGCAGTCTGGTTCTTTTAGGGAATTATCACATTTTCACGTGTTAACATTCACGTGGAAAACATCACCATGAGTCTTAGTGAAAACAATTTGCCAGGAAGTGGGACTTCTAACCCTCAGCGTGCTGTCAGTGGCCAGTCGACAACATTTTTAGTGTTGAGGTTTCTTAGAGCATTTCTAACCATTTGTATGAATTAATATTTCATAGCTGTTATTATTTAGTAGGGGTTTTCCAAAGAAGAAATAAAATTTACTTATTTAAAAAATTATTTCCTCTTATATAACATTATTTAATGTTATTTTGAATGGAATAAAATTCTGTTTTCTGTGTAATTAACATATGGGTCCTTTGGGTCCTTTTCTGAAATCTAAGATAAAAGGATTGTGATTTTTTTTTTCTTGTATCTTGAAGAATTTAACTATTTTATCAGTCTAGGAACTATTTTATCATTACTCACTAGTTATGTTCAAATGTGCTTTAAAAAAACAAACACTAAGAGAATAAGAATAAAAGAATGATACAATCACATGGAAGGATAAAAAATAATGAAATAAATAGTTATTGTTTCATTATCCTTTGGTTTTCTTTTTATGTTGCCCAAAATATTAAATCTCCTTTTTCGAAGATGTTAAAATGACTTGGGGCACATTCTTTGTAGATTATTTTTAGTTTTATTGAACATATTTGAAAATTTAGAACTTTTCAGATTCTGCCTATAAGAGTAGAGAGAAAAGAAAAGAACATGGAGGATATTTTTACAATCCTTAGACAAATCAGAAGGTTAATACAAAGACACATGTATCAACTGTCTAGATTCTGATGATGATCATGAAATTGATGTTATAAGTGAAATCTCAGACTGTGGTCTTTAGATATTCTAGATGAATTTTTTCAAACTCAAGAATGTTTACATCAGCAACATATTTCTACAGACAAGAAGGAAATATGGTACTCTCACCCACTTAGTCATTCAATAGGAAGGACTCCATCCCACAATTGACTGGGGCAAGAACGTATAACTTCTTGTTTTGCCAAACAGAAAGGTGACAGTATTCTTTCAACTTCTATGATGTTTGTGCACCAAAATCTATTTACTATGATTTCTAAGTGGACAAAATGTAGCTAAGCATACAAAGTGATCAGAAGAAAACAGATTATGTAAAAATAAAAAAGGGTTTATTTTTCTAATTATTGATAATAAAACTAAGAATGAAAATTATTTTTAATTATGGAGCAAATAAGAAAGCTGTACTCTCTTTTCAAAAAAGTTATGAACTGTCAAAGAATTATTAAGTATTGTGCTTTGATGATGCAAGTGAAAAAAGAAAAACTCGAAATAAAGAGAAGCTAAAAATTATCCCAAAATGTTTGGAACCTGAAATCTGAAATCAGTTTTTACAAGGAAGTTGCATTCCAGATTTACACAAGAAGGTTTATGAGCAGATAGTATATTCAGAGAACTTTGCCCATTTCACATACATAGAACTTAAAGCCTGGAAAACATGAAATAAAAATTTGGGTTTGCCATGTTAAAATTCTTCTAAAGTTTTTTTTTTTTTTAAAGTAGTATCCCTTTACTCATATAATTGTAAATGATTTGTAAAATGACTGAAAATGTGAAATAAAATAAAAAGGGTCCATTTTCATTTGCCCAGTGATAAATGGCAATGAGTATTTATTTATTTATTTATTTATTTATTTATTTATTTATTTATTGACATCCTGAGTGTAATAGTCAGGGTTCCCCAGAGAAAAAGAACTGATTGGAAAGAGATTTATTGTAAGGAATTGGTTCACATACTTATGGACATTGAGATGCTCCAAGCTCTGCCTGGCAAGCCAAGGACCTTGAAGAGCAGATGGTCTGGTCCTGTCCAAGTCTGAAGACCTGAGAACCAGGAGAGCCAATGGTTCCAGGCTGAGTTCAAGCCCAAGGCAGGATAAAACTGATGCCCCAGCTCAAAGGTAGTCAGATAGTCAGACAAAACAAATTATTTTCTTCTATTCAGGACCTGAATGGCTTGGAGGAAGCTTATCCATATTGGGGAGGGCAACCTGTTTAACTCAGTCTATCTATCCAAATGTTAATATCATCCAGAAACAACCTCCCAGGCACACCTAGAAATAATGATTAACCAAATATCTGGGCACCTTATGGCTCACTCAAATTGATACCTAAAATGAACCATCACACTTGTTCATGGCGCCTGGGACCCCAGCCACCACTCAGTGTTCCCTGGGATATTGATGCTTCTGCAGGTACAAGTATCAGAACAGAAGGTGTGTCCAACATGTTTTAGAAGTGAGTTTCTCAGCCAGCAGGTTCACTTTAATGACACTTTATAGCGCTGTTCCATTGATATGCATTGTCTAACAGCCAACTAATAAGTAACTGGGGTTTAGGGATTTGGTCAAGATCTAATGGAACTCACTTCATAAAAGACATAAGGTAAGTAACAGAGTAAATATAAACAATAAGACAGCAATTCAAAGTAATTTGAACAACACTGAGTCCCAAGTAGTTACTCAATATCTATCTACTGAACGAAGGGAGGCAAAGTAGAAGGAAAGAAGTAAAAAAGCAAGGTGAGAAGGCGGAAAGGAAGGAAGGATGAAGGAAGGGCAGGCAGCTCATGGACATGATCGTTTGTTAATTCTCTGGTGAAAAGAGCACACTTGAACCCTGGGTCAGGAAAATGTAAACCTACTCAAAGGAATTATCCAACAGGCAGCAAATTTTAATGCTCATTCTTTCAAGGGAGATGTAAACAGAAAGATCTACAGATTGGGATCAAAGACCTACATTAATGCATAGAAGACCCATCAAAGTCCCTGAAGGAAACGAGGATAGTTGAGTCTACTGTTGCTTTGAAGCACAGTATCTAGAGAAACAACCCTTCCCTAGTACCAGGGTCCTTTGCTCCCCTACACACGCAGAGATCAGAGTTCTAAGTTTGCTGGGTTCCTTCGCTGCCGATTGATCATGGACTCTGGTTGCTCCTGGGCCACCAAGGGCTCCATGAACCTTCTCTGTTGTCCTCACCTGAATATAACCAGCGAAGATTGCTTTCTTATCCTCAGACTATTGTGCAACTCCTCTTCTGAGATCCTGGGGCCCTGCTGTCACAACAGCTTTAGGACCTGCAGACACTGCTGGGCTGGGGTGATTCGCTTCCTGTCATTGCTCCTTTCCTTTGCTTCCTGGGGGTTCTATGTTCTATGGCTCCAAGGACCACCTTCTCATTGTCCTGCTACCATTTTTGCTTAGGATTTTCTCACCCTGCACTGACTTTATCCTGGTTGTATTCTGCAGAGAATGGCTTCCACCCGTCTTTTCCCCCACTGCCTTTGGTTCAGTATTGGTTGTCACTGTTACTTGCAGTTATCCTCTTGTTTTTCTCGGAGGCAAACAATAAACAAGACAAAGCCTCACAAGTTACTCAGGTGCCTAGATGGCAACTTTCAATTCCAAGTCCTTGGAAAATGATGTTGTCTGGATGGAGACTGGAGGCAATCTGAATGCTTCCCTGTTTGGTTGAAGGGTCAGGACAGCTGTCTGGGAATCCCAAGGGAGGCGTGTCTGAAGTCAAGAGGGCCTGTGAAGAGTAATTCAAGGGCAATGCTCTGGGCCAGGCCCCCAGACATACTTTCCAGGAATCAACAGAACCTCTCACCAGCACGGGATCCTCCCCAGGCCCTGGAAATCCTCGCAATGCATTCCAGTGTTCACATGTTTCTTGTAACATGTACAAAAGGAAGTCAACTTTGTATTGTTTTTTTCATGTGGGAAGGATCCCCCAACTTGTCTCAAACTTAGGCCTTACAAAATCAGGACTGGCCTCTGGTCAGGAGGATTGACCTGTGGGTCAAGGGAAACTATTCAGCTGACTTATTCTCCAGCAAAAACCACTGGCTGTGTCTGTCCAGGTTCCCAGGCCTATATTCTAACACTTGTTCCGGATGCATCATTGTTGGCCAGATCTCCAGCCCATTTCATTTCTTGCGTGGGAGGTGAGCAATAGGAATCCACTAAACGGAGGAGGAATTGCATCACTTGGATGGATCACTGTGATTCTGCAAGATGCTTGAAAGGATCTCAAAGCTCAGAGATCGCTGTGGGAGGGGTCTGGGCAGTGGAAGGAAGGTGGGATTTCTTCTGTCCCCACCTGAGTTCTTTGGACTTGCTTCAGAGCAGGAGAATAGCAGTGTTCCTGGGAGCACCCCCGCCTTTTTTTTTTTTTTTTTTTGAGTAATAGGCTTCCATTTGGATCTCTGAAGTTCTAAGGAGAATAAATGGATCTTCGGGGAAGGCTTGACAGCCAGAAAAGTGAAGTTCTTAAGCCTTGGTCCCAACACCTCTCTCTTTCTTATTTCTCTTCCTAGTCTGTTTACTGCAAACAAACATTTTCTTTCAAAAAATAAAATAAGAAAAAATTATGCTCTCTATACAGCAAACACTTGCATATCGAAATGTTTAATTTAATTATGGAAATGTGAGTTTATAAAAAGCAACAATGATAACCAAGTAAATATTTAAAAGCTCAATATAATGGGCGATCTCTGTACATTTTATCATCTCTCATCTTCTACTGGTGACAATTCAATCCATTTTCTTGACTGCCACAACCTGGTTTGAAAGTGACCTGCACATTTAATTCTCATCTCCAAGCCAAGGCAAGGTGCTGGGTGGAATAATGTACCATCACCCTCAAATTCACCTCCATCTGCAGCCTCAGAATACAGCCTTAATTGGAAATACAGTCATTACAGCTGGAATTCGTTAAATGAGGTCAGGTCTGATTAGGTGGGCCCTAAATCCAGTGCCAAGTGGCTTCTAAAAAAGTCATGTGACAACATGAGGGCATGGAGGTAGACACAGAGAGGAGAAGACCACGTGAAGACAGCAGCAGAGGTGGGAGTGCATGTCCATAAGCCAAGATTTCTAGCAACCACCAAGGGCTGGAAGAAGGAAGGAAGGAGCCGTCCCTGGAGTCTTCAGAGGGACCATGGCCCTACCCTCACCTTTAGACTTCTGGCTTCCAGAACTGCGAAAGAACAAATGCCGGTTGTTTTGGGCCCCCAGTCTGTGGGCATTTTTAACAGAATCCCCAGGACTCTAATAGAGGCCAGCTCAGTAACTCCTGGGGTCAGTGACCAGGCAGCTCTGCCTGCCCCTTTAAGAGGCACGGGGACCTCAGTGTCCCTAAGTCCACCCATGGTCCATGCAGAACAGCCCATGGGAACTGGGAGACCCAGGTCCAGGAGGGCCATTGCAGAGAAGAGTTGACAAGCAGACGGTGTTGGGAATCACATGCCTTAGTATTATTTAGATCGGAAAGTGCAGATTCCATTCGAGGAAGACTGATTTGGAGTTTGGGGGGCTTCTGCTCAGCTGAGGGAAAGCAGAGAAGCCCAGCCAGGAACTAAACCTCCCTGCCTTCTGTGCAGTGAGAACATGAGGCTCACAGGCACTGGGACAGGTCACGGGCTCCGCCTCCTGGCAGGCCTGCACTGACCCTTGCTGGGTGTCACCACCTGCAGAATGCCAGCATCACAGGATCATAGTGGAGTTGCAATGAGGTAAGAAAGACCCCAAAAGGGATAGACGGGCCCACAAGAAGCAGTTGTCATAAATCATTTCTATAATACTAGGGCCCGAGGATACTCAAAGCCAGGAGGGCTGCACCGCACTTGCAGGGCTGGCAGGCTGTTTGATGCCTAGAGCCTCACACATTTGCAATTTCAATTGCCAGGCTTGGGGCTTAGAACGGAAAAGGTTTGTGCAGACTGGACTGCTTGGACAAAGTATTTTTTTTCTTTTTCTTTGTAAGACCTAAGTTGTCGGGAAGATTGATGCTGCTTCTTTCTCTTTCCAGCTTCCCCCAGGGTTGTAATTTGCTTAATGTGCTTAGTACTGACTTGAAATAGCTAGAGGGAACGACTTAGTGGGCTAAGCCCCCAACTTTGTACGTCAAGAGCAAGGTTCCCTGGAGCCACGGGGCAGATCCTGGCAGGGTCACCATGAGTTTCCCAGTGAGGAAAACCAGGTTTCTGTGTTTGGGGCTTTTACAGAGGAGGCCCCTGCAGACAGCAGCCTTCCGTGCAGGAAGGGAGGGAGGCTGGCCCGGGCCCTGAAGAGTCAGGAGACAGAAAGGCCCTATCTGGTGGCCAATGAAGATGCCAGAAGCCTGCAGAATGTTCTAGAAGAACCCAGAAACTTGCTGGGCCAACGTGTGGGCATTTTAGTGAGGTTTTATTTTGTTTAATACATTTGTAAGAAAACAAGTACCTAAAACATACAAGTGTGCAGAATCTCCACAACACATACACATTCTCTTTCCTTGGACACCCTCCTCTGCCCTGGCCAGCACACTCAACAGGCACCAGAAATCCTTTTGTTTAACATGGTTCACCTTTTCACAAGGCCACCGGTGTGCACAGAAGGACAAATTATCTTCTGAGTTGGGCAGTAACCATGAGTGTTCATTATATGTCAGAAGTCACACAGAAACCATGCACAGCAGTTCTGCTTCGAACGCTGACGTTCAGGATCAGGAGCAACTGCCCACAGGCTAGGTGGGTTTTCTGTGGGTTTCACTATATGCCGCTGTTAGGTTTAAAGTTACTCCATTTGACTCCTTGTTGATCAAAAGTCACATAATGATGGGTTGTGCTGTAATACATTTATTCTATAGGCAAAATTAACATTTTAAATTCTCGTTTTAAATAAATATTATACAGACTACTTTTTTTAACTTGTATTTTAGGTTCGGGGTACATGTACAGGTTTCTTATACAGGTAAACTCGTGTCTTGAGGGTTTGTTGTACAGATTATTTCATCACCCAAATATTAAGCCTAGTACCCAATAGTTACGTTTTTTCTGCTCCTCTCCTTCCTCCGCCTTCCACTCTCAAAGAGGCCTTAGTGTGTGTTGCTCCCTTCTTTGTGTCCTTTTGTTCTCATCATTTGGCCCCCACTTATAAGTGAGAACATGAGGTATTTAGTTTTTTGTTCCTGCGTTAGTTTGTTAAGAATAATGGCCGCCAGCTCCATCCATATTTCTTCAAATTACATGATCGCATTCCTTTTTACAGCTGCATAGTATTCCATGGTGTATATGCACCATATTTTCTTTATCCAATCTATTATTAATGAGCGTTTAGGTTGATTTCATGTCTTTGCTGCTGTGAATAGTGCTGCAATGAACATATGCGTGCATGTGTCTTCATGGTAGAATGATTTATATTCCTCTGGGTTTGTACCCAGCAATGGGATTGGTGGGTCGAATGGTATTTCTGTTTTTAGGCCTTTGAACTGCTTTCCACAACGGTTGAACTAATTCAGACTACTTTTTTTTTTTACCAATATATTTAAATAAGTTCAAGACTTGTCCCCACAGATGGTGGACTTTTACTTAATTTTATTAAGCTAAAAATAACACGTGCATTATTTTAAAATAAATATATGCCCAAGATGGGAACATTCTGATCTGAAGAGGAAACTATTTTACTGGGAGGGACTTAGAGTTGGAGAATGAGAATGCACAAAGTCAATGCATTTAGGAAACTCGGCGAATTTACAAATCATAAAAACTTGTGCAGAAACCGAGGAAACAGAGAAAGGGAATGAAAGAGCATGGGTGGCACATGCTAATGGGTGCCAAGGAATTAGCCCCAGAGCTGGGTTGGCTTCTCGGCACGGGAGGGTCCTGGAAGCCCTGCCCAAGCACCTCGCAAGGGTGAGTATAAAGTCTTTCCCCAAAAATGGGTGATCACCCTGTTTAAATCCTGGGAGGTCAGCCTTGCCAGAAGAGCCACTGACTTATATACGCCTCTTTGTTGCTTTCTTGCCTATTTTCAGCCTCCCTTTCCTCCTCCTCGGCAGGGAGATCTAATCCAGCTGGGATGTCTGACGTGGGATATATTCTGCCCATCGTTCTGACTTTGGTCCAATTATCTAGTGTTTTGAATAAACTTGCAGAGTTCTCCACCACTTGCTGGAGGAAACGTCAGAGGCAGCACGTGCTTCCACTCATCCTGTCTTTATTTAAATTCTGATGCTTCCTTCAGCATGGATTTTTTTTTTGGGAGGGGGCAGTAATTGTGATGTCTTTAGAATATTGCATTGAATTATTAATTACCTTGATTATTGAGTTTGCCGGAGCCTCCTTAAATCAGAGCGAAGCGTTGAGAGGTGAAAGGGAAACTTTGTGCTGAGCAGTTGGGGACCTGCAGTCCGGGAGCGGCTCCCAGGACTCCTGAGACTCACGGCAATGCCAAACCTAGGCCTGCATGTCCATGGTGTCAAGTCCACCTTCTCACTGGCCTCGTTTCTGGGATGAAGTGTGCCCTGGGCATGGGAGGTTGGCCTGGGATGTGAACAGTGGGGCCGCTGGCTTGTGAGAGGCCTCCCTGCCCTGCTAACACCTGGACAGCTGCCCAGAGGAGGAGGTAGGAGTGAAGCAGCCGACCTGGGGAATTCTGACCCACCCAGGATGGTAAACTCACACCCAGGGACCAAGGAGGCTGAAAACAGCACTTCCCATTCACTTCCTTTCAGTTTGTACTCTATCTCCACATTTAAAAAATATTCTTCCAGAATTTGAAAAGAGCAGATGAAAAAGAAATTATTGAAATCTGTGGTATTTGGATTTATTTATAATTATAAACCTTAGAGAAATAGCAAAGTTTAGTATATGGAAAAGTGTTTGATTGTCTATTTTTTTCCTCCAATAAATCCTTATATTAATTATATTTTTACTGTTCTTTACTAACATCAATCTAGCTGAACGCAAAGTTAAAGTGCTCTGTATTCTTAAACTCCATGAAAAACAAAACATGAAATGACAATATATTATCAACGTGTACTAATTGTTAAATTTATAAATTACTAGAGTGCTCCCATTAAATGACAGAAATAAGAAATTTTAGCAGCATTCATTGATTCATTTGTACCCTCATTTATTCATCATTTAATGTTGATTGAGTGATTGTTATGGGAAAGTGATTTTTCTAAGGTTCTGTAGAAAAAGCGCTAAACAAAAAAGATCTAAACTGTTACCTTCATGGAGCTTACAACCTGTGCAACCTTATGCTAGTCTATGTGACGAAGCTCTGCATGTTTGCAGCAGCATTAAATAAGCTTTTATTTGGACAATTTGGAGCAAGAATATTTTATGTTAATAGATATCTCTACAAAATCTGCATTCGATATTCTCTTCAGGCTTGCATATCCGTGTGCACACAACAGACTTACACTGGTGAAGAAACAATTCTGAAATGTTAAAAATAGGAATATTGAAACGTGTGCATCAACAAACAGCTCACAAGAACTTTAGAGAAAGAAGAAATTAAGTAATAGAGTGAGCAGCCAGGTGTGGTGGCCCATACCTGTAATCCCAATACTTTGGGAGGCTGAGGCGGGCGAATCACTTGACTTCAGGAGTTCAAGACCAGCCTGGCCAACATGGTGAAACCATGTCTCTACCAAAAATAAAAAAAAATTAGCTTGGCAGAGTGGTGCATGCCTGTAATCCCAGTTACTTGGGAGGCAGAGGCAGGAGAATAGCTTGAATCCAGTAGGTGAAGGTTGCAGTGAGCTGAGATTGCACTGCTGCACTCCAGCCTGGGCAACAGAGCTAGACTCCATCTCAAAAAAAAAAAAAAAAAAAAAAAAAAAGGGCTTCAGGACAGCTGACCTTATGACATCTGTTTTTCCACTTCTAGTCCATTAATTGTTAATTTCTGTGATTAAATTGCCAATCTAGAGACCAAGTTTAAATGACCAATAACGAGTTAGATTTTCTCCATCTTTCAGTTATAAATGTGTCACTGTGGTGTGCTACCTAATACTTCAGTAGGCCAAACAAATACAGAAATAAACACAATATGATTAAGGTGCTTATCGTGACTGAGGTGACATTAAGGGAGAAAAATCGGCATCCCAATTTTTCAAGTAGGGGAAAAGTTACTGCAAAAAGAAAAATACTTGTTAGCTTTAAACTTAGCAACTAGACTGTATAGGATTTCACTATTTAAGGCATAAAACACTGGATATTTAGGTTCTCAGCAAATACATTAGGATTGTTTCATAAGATTTAAGGGGATCCAACAAAATGGAAATTGCTCTTTTCTTTTTAGCCTCAGTTTTCTCATCTATAAAAGGTTGGTACTAAATGCTCCCTAAGATTTCTTTCAGTACAAGAAAACCTCAAAACCCAAACTTTAATATTTTAGTACACTAAGATGACTAAATAATTTTCTCTATAAACTAGTCTTAAATGTATTTTTTTCACAGTGTCTATATTGAATATAATTTAAACTACACTTCCCTGTTCGGAAACATTTTCATTGCACAAAGAGAAGTATGTTTGTATTCTGCTCCTTACAATTTCAAGCGGCCCTCCTGTAATAATTTGTTTTCCAGAACAAAATATGAGCTCCATGTCATTCACCACTGAAGTTCATTTGTGTTGTCTCCTCACCAGTGAGTACCCAAACATTTTGTGAGATCTTTAAAAAACTATATCACAGTTTTAATACTGCTGATGTTTTTCAATCACATCTGACAAGAAATACTTGCTCAGGAAGTTGTTTGTTCATTTAAAATATTATGTTGGTGTTTTAGCCTGGGTTTGGAACAACATGGCTTACCTATCCAGTTCTGTTTTTCTTTTATCTGATGTAAATTAAAGGTATTTTTAATTTAGTGTCTCTCGATATTATTTGCGGGCTGAGGGCTGGGATTGGGGTGAGGTGTATGAGGCACTAGTCATGGGGAAATTTTAAGGAGGGACCAAAATCAGTAATCAAGGTAAATAAAATTTTGGTGCAACATTTTAAAAAGTCAAATTAGCACAACCAAATCCATGATGAACAAAATATCCCTGTTTTAAATAAAAATAGCATCGGTAGAGGCATAGCATGCCTCTAATTGTTCATCTAGCAAGCAGTGAAAAACTATGCAAATTGATTTTTAAAAGCTAGATAACTTTACCAAAGTTACAGTGAGGAGCCAAACATGTCTTAAGTCAGATCTCCCTGTTGAGTGACATGTTTCTTTCAGAGGAGGATACAAGGAACACCGAGGCTATGAAAGTGAAGTTATAGTTATCAAGTATTGTACTTAAGTTAGTGGGGCTTCTGGTGAACTTGACCTCCCAGTTAAAACAGGTGATCATGCCTTGTGGCAGAGGGTTACATACTCATCTTACACGAGGAGTCTGTTGCTGTGCTGTGGAAACAAAGGCATGGCTTCATTGACTTGCTTCCCCAACGTGAGCTCCCATTCTTCATCATGCTTGTGATTCTGCTCATCTTCTGGTGATTTTGTGAAAACACAGGAGCATCATGAAGGAAAACAGGAGGGAAAGAGAAGAGGAGAACAGAAGGAAGTAGGGCAGGGGAAAGTCTTGCAAACTGGTTTCAAGACAGCTATTATCAAAGGATCTAAAGGTAAAGCTACTAAGGAGGAAAAAAGGGACAGCTCTCCAGAAATCCATGCTTTCCTTTGACCTTTGTTAGAGAAAAAATTATTCATGGTACTTGCTAAAGATGGGAAGGCAGACTTTATTTAAATTCGGTCATGTTGATTGATGTAGGAACCACTGGGGTCTTGCAGTGGGGGAGAGAGATTGGACTCAAATCCAATGCCAACGAGAAGAAGTCGAGGGTTATAACCAAGGATCAGGGTGGGGGTCAGTGCATGGAAAATTACTGAAAGAAACATCCGGGATAAGGGGATTCTAGCTAAACTGACTTGATAGGATCATTGCTGAAGGCAGGCCAGGGTGATCAGATGTCAAATGTGGTCAGATATCAAGGGTAGGAATTTTCCCTTAACCAATTGTGCAGGATTCTTGCTCAAATTGAGTTCTGCAGAAACAAGAAGAGAAGCTTAAGTATGAGCTTAGTGAAACAAAGGACTCAGAGGAGCCTGACTAAAGTTTTTTTTAAAGGAGAGAATCTCTGAAACTTTGAAGTTTGATAAACAAATAGTAAATGATTACTGATAACTTGTATCATTGCTTTCTTTACTCTAGTAGTTAGTTAAGAGACCCATTCTTGGTGGTTCCTCCTTAAGATCAGAATAAGGGTCAGTTTACGTGTGCAATACCTTTAAAGTTTATGGTTCTTATGCAGTGAATTCCTGAAAGACATCCCTTAACTTGAATTCTCACAGAGGCTTAATATATTAAAAACTGGAGAAGATAACCGTATTTTTTTTAAAAAAGAATCATAGTCATATTAAAGTATTTGCTGAAAACTGCAAACAAAGAGAACAAAAGGAGACTGGGGGAAGCACAAGACAGGGTATGTCTGAAAAATTGAATGGTGCAGAATGAACAATATCTGCTTTGCAAACTTGGCTGAGTCTACTAGGCTTTTCTTTCTCTTTGTTTGGTAAGAATATTAAGTCTATGAATTGTTTCATTACTATCTCCTTTAAAAATGGAAATAAAATACAACAAAATTTAAGAACTAGTTAACAAAGAATAATTTACTCTACTAATCTGTCACATAGTCTTGCTCCTTTAATGACAGAATATAACATTTTCTTGACCTCTTTCAGTTCAGCAGTTACTTCAATCTCTTCATATATGTAGAAACATACCTGTTGCATCAAGTAGTAATAATTTAGAAGTTCATAAAAGCATCAACCAGGTGTTGTGCAGATGCATTAACATCCTCTGTACTTCTTATTATTCCAATGACTGGAATGGAAAGGGACAGTGACAACATGGTGGGTTTTGTACTAGTGTCAGAAAAGTCTAACTTCAGTTAACAAGTCATGATTTAAGCAAGAAAAAATCAGTGTGATGACATAAAAGGACGTATCCATGTAGCCAGAATGGGAGATCTTTCTGTGCTGAAGGAAGAACATGCCCACAGTGGCATGCTGTAGCTTAGAATGTAGAATGACCACAAAAACAGACAAGTACGAGATTGTGAAAAGCAATGAACAATGAATGAAAATGAGGAGCCATAGAATGTTTTTCTAAAATGAGAGTCATTATTAGATTTTGAATAAAAATACAACTTCAGAGGTGACTAGATTAGCGTTAGAGAGGGCAATGAAAAAGATATGTAATAATCAAGTTAGAATGATGAAATCATGACCTAAGACTGTGGTGGTATGAAGGAAGAATGGGGGAAAAAATTGGAAAATATTAAAAGGATAGAATCATTAAAAATTTCTGATAGATTACATATAGACTTGGAGGGAGAGTGCAAGATAGAGATGAATCCAAGGCTTTCTACTACACTTTTCTTGGAGATGATGTATCTAAAGGTAACATCAATATTACACAAAATTCTTTAAGATAATCTAAAAAATATTATATAAAATATAAAATAATTGGCTTATATACTGGAGAATAACAAATTCATTAACTCTTTCTATGGATGATATTATTGTAAAAGCAGAAAAAATTAGAAACTAATAAAAATTACCACAGTTTATAATAAAATTTGGTAAGGTGGCTGGAAATATGCTAAATATACAAAAGCATAGTTTTCTCTATACTTTCCATATTAGTTAGAAATGAAAATGCAAACAAATTAACCTGTTTCAAAAGTAGCTAGAACTATAAAATACTTAGATAACAACTTAATAAAAAAGATAAAAGATTTATACTATAAATCTTATTGAAGAATATAAAACAGATCAGATAAATATTCAGCTACAAATATTATTCTCCTGAGTAGAAAAGTTTAATATTATAAGAATATTAATTATTCCCAAGTAATATACACATGACACAATCAGAAGAAACTTTATTTTGACCTGAGTAAAATGGTGTAAAAGGCCAGGTATGAGGCAGAAACAATCCTATCTAGCAATATTTCACATTCTCACCTACATATTAAAATCAGCTCTATTCTTAGATTGAGGCTACATGACCAGTTTTAGCCAATAAACTGTATTTAAGAGTGAGGTAATTTTTCTATGCACTTTCCTTTTGCCAAGACTATCTCAAAAGCTGCATTTTGAAGTGGTGGTGCCACATGTTGGGGGATCTCAATCCCTGGGTCATCAGTTGGAGGAGATCTGCAATAATCCACTCCCTTGTGGGAGTTTGGAAGAGCAAAATATACACTTGTGTTTAATTAAGCATTAGAACTTGAAGGTTAATTGGTTCATTTTTGCCTAGTTTAATCTGACTGAAATAATATGGGAAAGCAAATGTTTTAGAATGGGCAGTATAATTCTAAATATCAGTATAGGGAACAGGCACTTGTCTTAACCTATTTAAAAATGAGGCCATTAATATGAAATGAAGTAAGACATTCACATGACAGATTGTAATAGGAAGTCTATATAAAATTGAGTGTATATAGAAACAATATACTACAAAAGGGATATTTCAATTCAGGAGGGGAGCATGGATTGCTTAATGAGTGGTATTGGCATAATTAGCTATTCATCTAAAAGAAAACAACACTAAACTCCTGCTTATTCCATATACATAATAAAATGTTAAAAAAATCTCTAAAAACATGAAAAATTTGAAAATCTTCGGGATAAATTTGTATTATTGAAAAGCAAAGAGTCTATGAAATAGGCTAATAAAAGACCTATCTGAATACATTTTTTTAAATGTCAAATGATAACAAAAACAGTCACAGATAAGCAATGTACTGGAAAAATATTTGCAACATATACAAATAAAGTGTGTACATCACTAGGATTCTATAAATTGATAGAAAGGCAAACAAGCATGATTTAGTAAAGACTCAATCCATAGAAAAGGCAATTTGAAAAGTTATAATAGACATATAAAAAGATGTTGAACTCCATTGTCAGAGAAATGCATGTTGAGTTAATAATGCACAACATTTTTAACCCCATCAGTTTAGAAAAAAATTAAAAGCATAATAATGCCCAGTATGCATGACAGTGCCTAGAAATAAATGAGTCTCCTAGAGGTAACAGCAATTTAAATTCTTGGTTTAAATTATAAGTATTTAAATAAAGCTGTGCATGCCTTTTCTTCTAGGAGTGTTTCTTTTGGGAACATTAAATATTAAAATATAAAAAGCAGTAAGATATAAGGATACTTGAACAAGAATATTGTGGCATGTTTTGAGGTTAAAAGTGAATCAGAGTCAATAGAAATATCTATGATAAGCTGTTGAGTGACTAAATTGTATTTGTCCATACATTGAAATATTGTACAACTCTTAACAGGAATGAGTTTTAGTTATGGCCTGGAGAAATGCCCATGGATGTGAGACACTCACTCACTCACAGAGCAGCTAAGTAAGAACACTTAACCACAGTCTAATGAGTTTGGAATTACATCTTTTCTCTACAGACTAATCTTCTCTGTGTGCTATTGTGTTTGTACAACCTCTTGGTCATGCCAACGTAAGGATAGTTACCACAAGCTGTTAACAGGGTTGATCTCCATGGATGGACAATAAGGCAAGATATCTTTTAAAAATTACCATTCTGCACGTTTTTTTCACGAGAATAATGAGTATATATTGATTTATTTTAGATTTATATATAGGACTAAGAAAAAAAAGAAACATTGGTGATTTTGAAAGTCCTGTAGGTTTGAGGGGTGAGGGCTCAGGGATAATGAATACAGGCCCTTTATCCATTATCTATAGAAACCTGCAGGGAGGAGAACTGACCAAGAGGTGTGATATGATGGACCCACAGGAGACCTGGAAACTCAGGTGAGACTTAGTTGAAGCAGAAGGAACACCCTCAAGAAAATGCCACCGGGAGGCTACATATATGGATACTTGTGGATACACAGATACTGATGACAGATCTCTGGGTTGGCTGTGGGATTCTGACAATTGGTATATGGAGACAAGGTTACTGCTTATGAGATTTTATAATGTTGATCCCTGTGGAGTGATGTTTTATCTAGTAATTTCTCAGCAAAACTGATCAAATATATACTCATCAATAGAAGGAGAGAACTCTACAACTGAACACACTCACTGTCTTCAAGTCTATAGGCACAATGTAAATAGGAATAACATAATTTTGATGTAATTATAAAATAAAATAATATCATTAAGTTAAATTCTAAAATATTAGCCATCATGACTCTGCTGCAGTTACTGTGGTTTTTTCCGTTCATACAGCAACTTATCACTTGAGGGACTCCTACTGAGGAGGTCCAGTAGGACAGAAAGTATTGGAAATATCATCAGCCCTCCAAGTCCATGGGTTCCCCATCCATGGATTCCACCAAGTGTAGATAAAAAATGTTAGAACAACAACAAGAAAAATAACAATACAGCAATAAAAAATAATGCAAGTAAAAAAAATACAGCATAACAACTATTTACCTAGCACTACATTGCATTAAGTCTCACAAGTAATCTGGAGATTGTTTAAAATATGTAGAGGAAGTGCATAGCTTTGTGTAAATACTATGCCATTTTACGTAAGGGACTCAGCATCTGTGAACTTGGCATCCTGAAGCCAATCCCCAGGATACTGAGCAATGACTGTGCTTGGAATCCCGGCTTCTCTCTTAGCAGTTGTCCACCTTTCTAAGCCTCAGTTTACTCATCTGTAAAAACCTGCACACTTTACATTTATTAAAAACAATACTTGCAAAATATCTAACATCTGGGAGGTGCCCAGTTTGCATGTGTGTTCTTTTTGTAAAAGGTATTTACTTGATAGTTATAAATTTTGGAGGAGAGCACAAATTAAATGAATGGAAATTATAAATTATTTTATATTGCTTATACTTTCAAAATAAATATGGAAAACCTGTTTCTATTTTAATTGAGTAATTAATTATAAAATATCCACATTAGTACATTTGAAATTATTCATTTCTTACCATGGAGGCTTGGACTAATACTAATCATAATTACAGTAATATATCAACAATAATTTTGATATAATAAAATATAATTCTAGCTATCAGATAGATATACTATTGTTATCTATTAAGCTTAATCACATCATAGAGTGTACTGATAATTGAAATTACCTCAAAATCCTATAAAAAGGTGAGAGAAATTTGACCCCAAGGGAGAAAATAAAGATCTCCAGTTGAAGAAAGATTTTACTTGTTTATGTTTACTAACCCTATACAAACATATTAAAGAAAAGAGCTGTTCTACACTGGCAGCATCCAGGGAAGTAATTTTTGAGACTATTTCCCATAAATTTTAACACACTATTAAATTACCAATAAATATTCTATTTTACTAATAATTTTTTGAAATTGAAATATATGAATTATGTCAGAATATATCCATGGCAATGCTGTTACTAATCTGACAGTATTGATTTGCTGCATTATGCTAAAAAAAGATTGTTTTATGTTGTAAAGTAGAACAGATACCCCCTAGAAATATCCACACACTTCAAGTGTCATCTCAGTTGTGAGTGTTAAAGGTGCATTAATGGATTCAGAACCTGTTTTTTTTTTATTATTATACTTTAAGTTTCAGGGTACATGTGCACAACGTGCAGGTTTGTTACATATGTATACATGTGCCATGCTGGTGTGCTGTACCCATTAGCTCGTCATTTAACATTAGGTATATCTCCTAATGCTATCTCTCCCCCCTCCCCCACCCCACAACAGGCCCCGGTGTGTGATGTTCCCCTTCCTGTGTCCATGTGTTTTCATTGTAGAATCTGGTTTCTTTCAGCCAGGACTCCAGTAGCTACAAACAGATAAGGGGATAGAACAAAGACTTCAAACTGAACTTAATAGCAGCTCAGTTTAAAACAAAGTTAGTTAAATCATATCTCAGCCTTTGTTTTATTTTCCTAACATGTTCCAGGCATATTGCAGACTAACACCCCTTCCTTGTTCTTGCCTAAAGCTCCTTAAGCATATGAAGGACAGGAGGCTAGGACAACTGTGCTTCCAAGTGATGTTTTAAACTCACATCTACAGGACAGCACTCCCAGAAAACCAGCTAATGGGGTGGTTATTCTGTATTTTCAATAACAAAACAAAACAACTTAAGGTCAATTAAGTTTGCAGAATTCTAGATTAAAGACATGTATGAAGGTTTTATGTTAAATTTGGATTTTGTTCTCATTTTATTATTTATTAGCTTCTGTAATGCTTCTCAGAATCATTATCATCACTATTTAAATCTCCATGAAGATTTGGGTGTCAGGGAGAACAAACAGATTTTGAAGTAGTTTCTGGAGTTACTGGATTGTTAAAGACTATTTTCTTTGGATGATTCACAAAGAGGGGAAGCCTGGGCTCTTTGAGAATGATGGCAGTTGTTACTTAATTAACATCCCTGGAAGAGAACTGTCCGAAGGGTAAAATATCACCAATTTGTCTTCACCAAGGTTGCTGTTTGTCGTTCCTTATCTATGGAGAAAGGGTTTGGTAAGCAAACTAACAAAGTTAACCAGAGCTTTCCATACTGTGTCCTGAGATATTAATAGGTATTCCATGAAAAGAGGATTTCATGGGCCAACAAGTTCAGGCAGCCCCACGTGCACAGTCCTTCCTGGGAGACCAGTCATGCAGATTAGCTCACCAAGCCTCCTCAAGAAACCCAGGACACCAAAGTGACTTTGTTCCCCCAGCATCCCCAAGGGCAGTCCACAGTGGAGACCCTGGCCCTCCTCCCTCCTTCCCAGAATGGGAATTTCCTGTAACTTGGGAAGTGCTGCTGCAGATAAAGCTAAGTTTTCTCTCTATAACCATCATAGGATCCAGTGGGAGAATGGGCAGAATGGAGGAAGGGAAGGTGTGAGGGAGGGAGAGGGAATGTCAGCTCTAGATGTGAGAAGACAGACTTCATATCCTTCCTCTGCGACTTCCGAATGTTATGACTTCAGGTAATTTGCATGATTTTACTTTTCAAGGGTGGACACGAAGCCCTGTAGAGATCCTTAGCCCATGATCACTCCTCTGCTCTGGAGGTCCGGAATGACTTCCAGATCCCGGATCAGCAGTAACAAGGGTGAAGCAATAGATCCAAACGGTCACCCAGAACTTCAAGCATTAGAGAGCCCCCTACCTACACAGTTATATATCAGTCATGCACCATTCTGATCTTTTTATTTAAAGAGCACCTCCTCTGCCTGGAAATGTTTTATCAGGCTATTGTACTCATTTAAGAGAAAAAAATGGTTTGAAGGAGGCCGGTTTATGATTCAGACTTTTGTTTGTTCAAATTGATCTTTGTAACTGGCATTAGCCAACCTTTGTCTAGATAGTCAACCCCCGACCATCCTAAATGAAGCTTTAGGCCCATGTTCAGAACATCTGAAGAGTGTAAAAAGCAAAAAGACATACATAGAATGTTTTTGTTAAAAAAAAGTTGGCATTTAATTCAGTTGTTCCAATAACACACAAACTTTGTTTTTGTTGGGCACAGAACACTTACCATGAAATCTATTCCCAAACATATTTTAAGTGTACAGTGCAGTATTGTGAACTTTGAGTATAATGTTGTGCAGCAGATGTCTAGAATGTATTCAGCGTGTAAAACTGAAACTTCATGTCTGTTGCTCAGCGATTTCCCAGTTCCCCTCATCTCCTGGTAACCACCATTCTTCTCGTCGATTCTATAACTCTGGCCAATCTAGATGCCTCATCTCAGTGGAATGGTACAGAGCTTGCCCTTGTGCAGCTTGCTCGTTCTGCTTAGCACACTGTCTTCAAGGTTCATCCCTGTCAGAGCATATTACAAACTCTGGCTCTGTAGGGGTGGATAAGATTAACTTTCTTGAGTTAGTTCTATTCATTGAAAGTATATGCAATGCCCATAGTTTCCCTTAGGGGCCATCAGAAAACTTTAACCATCAATACTGCATTCATCTCCCAATAAAATAACTAGCAACTGATCACCCTAAAGAAATTCAAGTAGGTGCTTCGCCCATGTTATTCAGACGTGCTCCTTGCATGCAGGGAACATGGCCCTAGTGACCAGTTTGCTTGCAAATTAGTCACTTAAGCTTTATAAATATACAAAGGTATAGCAGTTGCAGCTCTCAAAATCATCAAGAGTATAAAATCTGTTGTTCCCACCCTCCTACCCAGGCTTTTTACAGTTTTAACTGATTGGCATCAATGTGTTTATCACCACTCTATTCCTTTAATAACTCAGTCTGTGCAGTGGCCGTGGATAAAGTGATCTCCATCGCAGAGATCAAAGAATTAATCAAGCGAAACAGTAAAGAATGATTTCAGAAATCTTTGGAGAGAGATAAATAACTCAAAGTGATGAATTATTGAATCTTTAGGGTGTATTTATTTATCAGGCAGTCAAAATTTACCATTTTAAATCTCATTCCATTTTTCTTTCATATTAGCTAGTTGTCTTCAAGGTGACATATAACTACCCAAACTGAATATGCAATCAACTTGGGACATAATATGAGAAAACTTGATAAATCTATTCTATTCTGTTTAAAAACAAACCTCATGATGCTGAATATGGAAAAGCTCAAATGATCTGTAATGAACAGGAAAATTCTGGCTCCATCCTGACCAGAAGTATTCTAAATAGCTCTTCAATTAAATCATGCACCCTTAGGAGAAAAAAAAGTTTTAGAGTTCTCGCTTTGAACTCCCACTCAGAGGAACAACTCCTCTTCCTTCACTATCCCTGAGAGATGTTCTGCCAACTGTCTATTGAATATCATGTCTATTCTGTTACCCTTGCCTTGTTAACTGTAACTTTCACCCACTGATTGGTACTAACTCAAGTCTCCAAAATTACCAAGACTGTAACCTAATATCTCCCACATGAAAACCTTCAATACTTAAATGTCCATCTAAGTAGTCTAGTTCTTCATTTAAATATCTCTAGTGTCTTCAACTATTTTTCATAATGCTATTCAAGACTTTTGCTGTTGCAAGTTCCTCCCCGGAATGTTTTCTATTTTCAAGTTTTTGGTTTGTGTGTTTTCTGAGTACAGCTCACCAAATAGGATCTTCTACTCTAGGCATAAGATGACCAGTATAGAGCAGGAAAGGAAAATGTCCATGGAACTCAGAGAATGCCTCTCACTTTCCTTCTTCTGGATTCTATCCTCGAAGCAAAACCCAGCCTCGGAAGTACATAGAAATCCATGACTCCAAATAAAAAGGCCACAGCAAGGCTGTCCATGTGCACCTGCCACACCAGTGTAGATGACAGGATTAAGTTTCTCGTGAGTAAAGGGGAATCAAGTACTAACTAAGGCCTCTCTGTCTTGGTAGAGTGGAAACATATTTCTTTAACACACCTGTTAATATCAAACTTGATAATGAAGTACTACAACAAATGATGATTCATGTTACCAAAGCACACATGTACATACCAGCAGGATGTCTGCTGATGAGTCAAGAAAGCCACTGTACAGCTCAAAATAATAATAAAAAAAGAAGCTGCAAAACATCACAAATTCCTTGTCTTCTGAAAGCCTGGTTAGATACTATATTCATTAATAAGTTGAGATGATAAAATCAGGACTTGTGAACAGAAATAACAGGTGTATTTCAGGGTATAGAGAAGGCATTTATTTTTCATCAGTTCTTCTGTTTGTGCCACTGATATCTTCAGTGTCATTCTTTGATGAAAGGAGTTGTACAGTCAAACAATAGGTTAATTTTGGCTTCAAATAGTTGACTTGTTATATTTTCCCACACAAATAACAGAGACTGTATGATCTTGTTAATGATTTTTACTGAAAGATTTCAGAACATAATCAGGAAATTTTTGGAGTGATCATCCTTCTTTAAGAAATTACTCTTCATCAAAATCAGTTTTCAGAATTGAAAGTTCTATTGTTTACTTGGTTGACAGTTTGTTCTCGATTTGTTGACACCCAACTGCCCAGATGTGAAAATCAGCATTGCAATTTTTATTTCATGAAAACAAAACAGGATTTGAATAAAAATGACCATATTGCTACCTCCAAATTGCAGATGTCTTGAGTTTCTATGAAATGAAAGTGTTGTATTTACCTAATTAGTCACTACGACACTGTAGTTTTTTTGTTTTAGTTTTTGTTTATTCGCAGGTTGTGCAGAGCCAGCCGTGAAACGTTAAGTCATGAAACACTCTGGAAAGATTCCTCAATGAGCCCTTTCCAACCAGTGTGAGGCTGGTGCCATGGCCAACCTTTCCGATGGGAATGAAGCTCCTTCCTAGAAGGGCCTCCCTGGTGCTCGGCTTCCATAAAAATGTGGCTGAGGCTTGATCACATGGAGGCTTCAACATATCAGCATTGCACGAGAGCCTGCTAAGTGAACACAGCATTTCTCATCAAAGACAAATTTTCCTGTAAGATCTGCACTCAAATCTCAAATTAAATGTTTCTTGGGGTTAAGGAATTCTAACCAAAGAAAGAAAAAGTTGAAACCACCGACTGGAGAATTTAGAAACCAAATTCTTCCCCAACTAAAAGATAATTAATTAGCTTACTAGCTTTGTTATCATATGAAAAATGTTATCAAGTAGTTTTCTTACAAATTTGAAGATCAAGCTTACAAATAATGTCTTTTCTTCCCCCTTTTTATTTCTAAAAGCCACTGATGTGAAAATCCCACTATTTTGGACAAAAGATGACCATTGCCCCAATCTCTATCACACAGACGCCATGGCTCAGTGAGTATACCATGGTGTGGATGTGGGCCACGTTTCCACATTCAAAAAATGAAGGTTTGTGCACACACACGAGCCTGCACACACACACACCAGCCCCAGCCCTCTCACTCTACTTTGTGTAGACTCTTCTGCCTCCAACACTTACAGCCCCTCAGTCTGCCAGGCAAGCGGAACCCCATCCACTCCCCAATCAAACAACTCCCCCATCAGACTTGTAGAGGCCAGGGGCCTTGCCCACTTACACTTGTCTGTCAGCTGGGTTGACAAGATGGAAAGAGAGCCTCCCCCACCTTTCCCTGCCCATCAGCTCTGCTGACAGGTGCAAGCAGGCAAGGGACTCCCCCCTCCACCCCATTCATGCCCATCAGCACATCTGATGGACACAGGCGGGTGGGGGCATCCCCAGAGCCTCTCAGGAGGAGGGTAGGCGCATTTTCACCCTGGGTGGGGCTGGGCTGGATGCGGCTTCACATTCTCAGCTGATGGGTGGGGGCAGGGACGGGTTCCCAGCTGCACCAGCGTCTGACAGGAAGACACCGTTCATCCAGGTTGATTCTCAGTCATGCCTCTGGCCAACCGTGGATCCTGCCTGGGTAGTGTTGGATGGGATTTCGACAGGCGAATAAAAGCATATGGGACACAGAGAAAGCAGGGAGCCAGTGAGGGGAGATGGGACCCACCCTGGGGCAACAGAAAAGGGCATGAGTAGGGCATCTGAAGAGAGGAGATGATTGATCATGGACCAAACTCTGTGATTGTAAAAACAATATCTCACTGGAGATCGAAGAACACAAAGGTTTTTCTTATGTATTTTTGTCAAATATACTTAGCAAAGACATCTGAGAAATTAAGATTCACTGTAAGAAACCAAATGCATGGTGGGGTCACCCTCAATCATCCAAATAAGTATCTATTGAACACATACTATGTGCCCAGCCCTGAACACTACATCGTCCCCTGATCACTGAGCCCACAGAAACTCCCTGGAGATACTCGGGTTCTTTCATGTAGACCCCGATGGACTAGCCAGAGAGCATCACAATGGGCCCCCAGAGTTCTCTCAGTGGCCAGTCTATGGACCTTCTTGATGGTCTGTGTTTACATTGTCATGATGCCATATGGAAATTTAATGGAACACATTCACAATTTATGCCGCTAAACAAGAAACGCCATTATCCTGTTAGTCTTTAAAACCATTATGGCTGCTTTCACTAGTTTATCTTGTTAGTGTTTAAACCAATATGGTTACTTTCACTGGTCTGGGTAACAAGCACAGTCCTGACCACAGTCAAAGTGATTCAAAAACTAAAATGTCCCCAAACACTGAGTGTCAAAAAACATCAATCAAACAAAAGGTAATGTTTTCATATCATAAAGAACTCATTTGTATTAGTAAGCTTCCTCTCAGGGTCTTGCTTCAATTTTCCCACTTTAACCTCAGATTTCAATTAAATAGAAGAGCAGAAATGAATAAGGAACTTCCAACACAGTGCATAGTAAGAAATGTTTTTAGCACACATACAAATGCCTTTGAGTTTAAGCCAACAGGAAAGTAACCGGTTTTCAACCACATGTGGGATCTGTAACTCTAAAGCACTGCATGAAAAGCAGCCGCAGCAACAACTAAATTGGTGTTTTCGCCTTTTGCATTGAGTCAGAAAAACATTATTAATTTTGATTTGATTTGCACGGGTGACAGTTTTACCTTCGAAATTTTCAAGTGCCTTAGTTCTTTTCTTTTATGAATTCCTGGGCCTCCTAGCAGAACACAAAGATGTCAGCTCAGCAGAGTGTGGCATTTTCTGCATGGGGCCCAGTCAGACTCCAACCAATGTCGTGGCCAGGCATTCCAAAAACTTCCAGGAACCCCAGCTCTTTCATGGACCGAAACCACCAGTTCTCTTACTGGCCATGCTCAGACAGACACTTGCATGATGACGCCGTGGTACTCTACATGAAACTTGCTGCTTCCTGCAAGCTGTGCTGAATGTATTTGTTAATAAGCTTTCCTGAAGAAACGAGCAGGGCTTTGAGCTTGATGGCCGTTCAGAAGACATTGATGCAGTTTTCTGAGGCTAGGGCCCTTGAAACTAAAAAGAGGATTGATGAGTGACTTACAGGTTTCAGAATACTCCAACATGCATCAATCAAGCACATAAAGAATCAATCATGGAGGAACCCAAAGTTTACACTATAAAAGCATTTTGCTTTGTAGATACACCACGTTGAAAGTGTTTCCTTAATTAAATAGGGACTTGATAATGGGAATGGATAGACAGGCAGAACTTTCAGCTGCTGAAGGGACACTATTTCAGCTTTTTCTGCCGTTGTTGACTCAGATAAAGCAAAGCTGAACTAAATGGAAGCAGAGCATATTTTTGAGATCTGGGAGGAGGCTACCAACAGCAGAACTTTTGCAGGCATGGCTTAGCAAACTGTACATCTGAATTTATGTGTTCCAAGAGTTGAAATATTAAGCCAGTTACGAACTGTTTACAGTTTCGGTCTAATTTATTTCATCTAATTTCTTCAATAATATTACAGCTCATGGAGCTAGACAAGAGAGTCATAAAATCACTTGATTTTGCCCCCACCTTTCAGGAGAAAGACTGTATTTCTACCCACATTTTAGAAATGAGAAAATGAGACTCAGAAAGACAATCTTTCTGCACAAAATCACATCACTAGTAAATAGTAACAGGGAAGCAAATCCAGGCCTCCTGCCTCCTGCGCCACCTTGAGAGATGACATGTGAACAGGAAGTGGGTGGGCTACCCCTACGTTAGACCCTGGAACAGGCCTGGGGGGCAACCCCGTGACCAGAAGACCTGGGGTCCTCAACCCAATGTCTTTATTGGGCAATGCGGTCTCTTTCTATCGTTCCAAGTTAAAAAAAAAAAACAACAACACTGTAGCTATTTTAAAAAGAAAGAAAGACACACAGAGAGATTTTATAATATCTATTGATTCTAGACAAGTCATCATAACTCAACATTTAAGCTCCCATTGGTGGATTTCTTAGATTACTATTTAAGGTTGACAACTGTAAGCTTAAAAACACACAGAATAAATTTTAGACATCAAGAAATGGCACCACATAAAACATTTATTGTTAAAATCATAAAGAAGTATTATAAATGTCTGCTAAGGCTACTTTGGAAATGTGTAACTTTTCCTAATTGAATCCAAACTATCATCAATCTTCTAATAACAACGTATAAATTTTCGTCTGCTTTTGTTGTGAGTCTATGGTTGCAATTCCTTCTCCTCATGGATGACTGAAATTTTTAATTTACATTAAGGTGATCTGGTAACCATGAAACTGGTTGTCTTGCTCAGTATCAAAGCTCTGCTCCAGTTAAGGCTTGGCTGGGTTAAACCTCTCACAGTATATTTAATTATAGGTTTCTTGTGGAATGATAAAGGAAGCACATAGTCACATGGCTTAAATGTCTCTAAATAAAAAGTCAAAGTGAATTCATAAGAACAATTCTCCCATGGAGCCACCTGGTTGGAATCAGCAAGAGATTTCCTGCTGTGGAAACCCCAAGGAAAGAATTACAAGATTTTAGAGATCATTTCGTGTCAGAGTTCTAACACTTAGAAATGTGCCCAAGCTATCAAAAACGGACGTAAATACAGTCCTTCCCATTCAGTGGGGAGGTTTAAAAATAAAAGATATTACCCAGGGTGCAATTTAAAAACACACCATTTTGTGGAGTTTCTATGTTTTACATTAGTAAGTGTTCCACTGTCAAAGAATTTAGAGGAATGAGGAGATTCACAAAATTGCTTAGTTATATATTACAGGGATTCATATCTTCAGTATGCTGGCCTGCACTATGAATCTCTAAGACAGAACTTTCATAAGATGCTCCTCCCAAATTTATTTGGCAATTGAATCTGTGAGTCCAGAGTATTTATGTTCATTACAACACACTGTGAAAAATGCTGGGCATCTCTGTGTAGGTCTCCTTGATAAAAGGCTATGCTTTGTTTTACTCTGGGTTAAAAGGAACGTGGACCAATAAATGATGGAACAGGAAGTCAATTGTCCATGTTGGTAGAGGCAGAAGGAGACAAATGCCTGGGCAGATAGCGAACAGTTCTTCATGAAACCCACCTTTAAGCCTGAAACAGCATGAGGGCTGAAAGACCTGACTGCTGGTCCCGGATGAAACCCCAGATCCAGAGGAAGAACTGCTTCTGTTTGCCCGCCCACTCCCAATTGATTCTTTCTGAATAATGCCTTTTAACCAATCAAATGCTGCCTTTTCTGATACTACCTACGGCTTACCTGGGCATGCCAGCATGTGCACTGGCGGAGCAGGTGGAGCCACCAGGAAATCGTGCCTTATGCTGGGGAGGAGCTCGGCCTCTTCAACTTGTGTGTGGCAACCTGGTGTTCGATTTTGTGAGGTGGAAAACCAGCATGCAGGTCCCCTCTTTTTGTTGAGAGCTTTTATTTTGCTTAATAAATTCTGCCCTCCTCACCTTTAAATGTGTCTGTGTGCCAAATTTTTCCTGGTCATGAGACAAGAACCAGGATTTTAGCTGAACTAAGGAGCAAAAAGTCCTGCATCAATGTTACCATGTGCACAAAGACACTCCTCATTTTTCTGGAACCATACAGTCTTTTTGGAGCTGCAATAATTATTAAAGGTCCCTGACAGAATGATTTAAATTATATGAATTTCAAGATAACATCCAAATACCACTGTATATTTGGCCAATTTTTGCCAAATTTCAGTCCCCATCTGTAACAAAATAATTTGATTTTGAGTGAATAAAATTTTAACAAGAAAGACATGAGCTCTAATATAAACATTTTCTCAACTCTTCCAAAGTGTTTTGGACACTCAGGAATTCCTATCGCAAGGACACTGTTGTTAGAGCTGGACTAATGCAGGGTTCCGCCTCCTAAGCCATCCCAGCATCCTAGGAAGCTCAGAGGAAAGCCAGTGCCCAAGGGCCTGGCCTGACTCAGGAGTAGGATGCTAAGGGTGAGCTCCTGTCTCCTGCTCTGCTCACTTGGTTTCGGTTGTCCTTCATCCTCCTGTTCAACCATTCTTCTCAGAGCTAAGGCCATTAACTTGTGAAGCCTCCTTAGACTTCCCCAAGCATCTGGACCTAAGATAACACAGGCAAAGCCTCTACTGTCTTGCCTGGGACAAACTTTGTCACTAGCAAATAGTAGCTGCTCTTATTTTCCTCCATGCTCTCCTGGGTTTCTCATAGCATTTGGAATTTTTGACTCTCATACTCTCCTCAATAAAATGTCTATCATCAGCAGACTTCAAAAGTGGGAAAACCCTAAGAGAAGCTAATTTGTTATAGCTAAGTCTTACATTAGATACCAAAACTGAGTAAAGGGAGATGTCACTCCTCATACAGTTTCTAAACTCAAGAGGAAAAGGAATCAGGAGTTGAGAGGACATCAGGGTACGTGCCCTCTTTGCTTCTGGAGTCTCCAGGGATAAGCTAAGGCTAACTAGGAAGCCCAGCCAGTCTGCAGAGATTCTTGCCCCTCCCATGATGATGTGGTTCGGCTGTGTCTCATCTTGAATTCCCAGGTATTGTGGGAGGAACCTGGTGGGAGGTAATGGAATCATAGGGGCAGGTCTTTCCCATGCTGTTCTCATGATAGTGAATAAGATTCATGAGATCTGATGGTCTTAAAGGGGGAGTTTCCCTGCACAAGCTTTCTTCTTCTCTTGTCTGCCACCATGTGAGAAGTGCCTTTTACCTTCCACCATAATTGTGAGGCCTCCCCAGCCATGTGGAATTGTAAGTCCATTAAACCCTTTTTCCTGTATAAATTATCCAGTATTGGATATCAGCAGCATGAAAACAGACTAATACACATGGACTCAGAGCAAGCCTGTCTTTGTGAGACCATCAGCTGGCCTGGCCACATCCCACGGGCCCTCTGCAAAGTAGACACATGCTATTCCATGGAGGCCCACAGAAAAGCAGAGCACTGGAACTGTCCAGTTAACTGCTGGTGCATAACTGGTCCCAGGAATTCCAGGGGCGGATGGCCAGCAAATGATCCCGCCACTAAACCACTGACCATCCAGTGTCTGCCACAGAAAGAACATGCTGCTAAAACTAAATTAAGACTAAAATAGGACTTCATTTTAACCTGGTTTAGTTTTTCCAGAGGTGGGGTTGCATTTAGCCACATTTTTCATCCCCACCTGCATTTTGGTGTGCACACACATGTAATAAATACTCATAATAATATGTCCACAATTTAAAAAATGAAGCATTGGGTTTTATGACTTAGTTTATCGGAGTTAATTGTTTAGAGGCAAAGAGGACATCTGGGGTGGACACATAAGCACGTGAATTTAAGGAGGAAAGTGGGGTCTGTCCAATTCAAGTGGGGGACCCCTTCTCAGACACTGAGACCCTCACATTTCTCTCAGTCACTCTTTATATCACTGCTAATTAGGCAGAAAACATCATGTTGTTTCTGCAGTGAATGTTGGCAGCCAGCCAGCCCAGCAGTGGGTTCTCCATGGCTTCTCCCACGTTTTCTGCCCAGCTGGCCTCCAGGGACCTGTAGGAGCCACACATGCTGGGAAACTCCATTTGTCTCCAGAAATGGCTGCAACAAAGTAAATAATTCAGTGATTTGTGTATGGAACTTTATATAACAATTTCCATAAAACTTCATATAACATTTTCCATATTTCCATGCCTGAGATCACTTGAGGTGAATCAAGAAAAAAATGATTTCCACTGAAAGTGTGATGTGAGTTTTAATAAACACATTCAGTAAACATCAAAAGACAGGTAAGTGTCTCAGGGAAACTCCAATTATTCCCCACGAACTCTCCAAGTAGAGAAATAAATGCCCCTTGTTGTGGTGAAATAGATTCTTGCAATATTTTTTGCTTCATCAATCATTTAGTATGATACTTTATGTCACCTGCATTTTTGACTAATGATCCTTTTTATTTTCAATTTTTGTTAATGTTACTGTAAAAGCCACATTTATTTTCACTTATGTGAGGGTGATCTGTCACAACTCACTTTTCTTTGCGTGAAGAAAAAGCACATGTCTCGAACCATTGCTTCTGTGTGTCCTTTCTCTTGGGACAAGAGAATTACCAAGAAAGCCTCACCTTGGCAGGAAGGTGTCAACAAGAGGTTGACCTGCCTCCTCTCCAGCTGCCCACCACAGCTCTCACTCCCTTCCAGAACGGTAACTTGACATTGTGTTGTTTTTATATTTGCACATCTTGGTGACATCAAGCCAGATATTGAAGGGTCTTTCTTACTAGGACTTTCCTGATGCATTGTGGTCACCATCACACAGTTGAGGAAGGGAAAGGATTAAAATGTTATGAAACTTGCCAGGGCAAAAGGTCCATGCCCCAGGGCAAATGATAGGAGAAGGCGTATTCCCCAGTGCTCAGAAGTTGTCTACATTGTGCCAAATAGTCTGGGAAAAAAATTGAAAATGCTTGCATTCGGTGGGTGCAAAACAATTAGAATTTTATAAATACTTCAATGCTTCTAAAAAGCTGAACTCTGTGATAGTTAATTCTGTCAACTTGACTGGGCTAACGAATACTCAAGATAGTTGGTAAAACATTATTTCTGGGTGTATCTGTCAGGGTTTGAGAAGAGATGAGGATTTAAATCCATGGACTGAGGTGAGGAAGACCAACCCTCAACAATGTAGATGGCATATATGTCCAATCTGTTGAGAACGCAAATATAACAAAAAGGCAGAGGAAAGGGGAATTTGTTCTCTCTGAACTGAGACAATGATCTTAGCCTGCCCTCAGACACAGGTGCTCCTGGTTCTTGGGTCTTTGAACTCAGATGTGGGCTGAAACCATCAGCCACCTGATTTTCAGGCCTCTTGATTTGCAGTAGCTTCCCCTGGTCTCCAGCCTTGCAGACAGACTGTAAAATTTCTCCCCTCCTTAACTATGTGAGCCAATATACTGTTTCTCTGGAAAATCGTGACTAATCCAGACTCCATGCCATTCTCTACAAACCATTACATGGCTACTGCTGGGTTCTTAGGTCACAGCCTTTGAAAGGCTAACTCTAGGTTATAATTCTCTCTGAATCCTTGCCAAGATTTTTTCAATTTGGTGACCTGAAACAGATCAAAGATGCAGTGCACAAACATTTTAGGGAACACATTTATCTTGGAGACCAAAAATGGCCTCCCTAACTTTTTGGCCCCTGTGAATGAACTGCTAGGACATGGTCAGGCCTCTAGCAGAGACAGATACCCTAAGTCCACAGATATTCTGGTTCTCATCTGGGATCCTTGCCTGCCTGGAAAATGTGTTAGAAAGTGAAGAGGGAATGGTTCTGATCAGACACAGCACAGACATTCTATATGCACAGGAATAAGCCAGCTAGAGGGTGGATGGTGTAGTTCTGACAGACCTTCCTGAATAGACCATAGAGGTCATAGTCAACTTGGATCTTGCTTTTTTTGACTTCCGGCAACAAAGAACTCTGCTTCCCAAGATGCTCTCTGAGATTCTAGAAACAAAGATAGTTTGTCTCCACTCTGACACTTATACAGCCTGCCTACATACACCCTCCCTTTGCTCATGAGGCATGCAGTATTGTGACCCAGATTGTGGTTTCAAGGTGGTGAACTCAGCCAGGACTCTTAGCCAGGAGGCCCAAAATCCAGGTATCAAATGATCTGCTTACTCCTGAAATATAATTCCCCAAGAAGCATTTTCTTCATATACGCACATTCTTTCTTGCCACAGTAAGCTACGGTGATTTTTCAGCCTCTGCACACCACACAGAAAGAGAAAAGCTATCCCAAACATTGCATTTTGTTTGATCTTCTTGCAAATTTGCAGCCAGATTACTGACTGGCATGGCCTTTCCTTGGCAAGCTCCCTGAGAAATGCTGGGTTGCAAGACAGCAGAGTGTGAGTCCCGGCAAGGAAGATCTGCAAACGTTGACCTTTGAGGTTGGTGTAACATTTAAACAATAAAGTTGTGTGGGAAAAAGGTGGCAGAAGGGCCAGTGGCTTCACCAGAGGCTCCAGGTTGCAGTAAATCTTCAACTTATCCTCCTCAGCCTTTCTCTTCAACCTCAAGCAGAGTTGTCTTTCATTTCCTTTGTGGCTTTCTGAGTACCATTTATACAAGGAAAGAGGGACACCCTGGACCTCAACAATCCAGGTTTTCCTCTTTTCTTGACAGTCATAAAAGTTGGCATTAGGTGCTGCCTATTTTTAGCCATCAAAAAGACATAACTCTGACCTGGGGACTCCCAAAACCAGGCATGTCACTGATTATGTCATCAAAATGGCTAAAGAGATTCCCACCACTCATGTCTCCACAAAGAAGAACGAAAATAACAAATAAGCAACTACATTTTGAGTGGTGTCTGAGAGAGAACACTGGAATTCAGCTAGGAAGTGATGAAAACCCTTTGAAGGACAGAAACTCAGGATGGCACCATAGAGAGGGAAGCGAAGTCCTCAGCTAAGATCAGCTTGGTACCAAGCGGGAATCCCCCTGATTGGAAAAGGTAAGCTGGAGATTCCCAGAACTCTCAACTACCACCATGGACACATGCAATCCTAGCCACAACAGGGCCACTCAACCCTCACAGGCTCTGAGCCCAGTGTAGAGAACTGCCTAGAGTTCACACAGCTCCATCACTCCAGGGAATGAACTAACACTTAGTCACCCCCCACTACCCAGGATCCAAGCTGCCACAGCACAATGCCATTTTTGGAACAAAACTATGGCTAGAATGCATCCTGCCCTAGGAGTTAATAGCCCCTGCATCTCCACATTTCTGAGGGCCTGACTTATTCTCACCAAACCCACACAACAGGCTATAATTACACAACCCCAGTTAGATCCAGAAGTACAACTGTGACTCTGGCACTGAAGCCCACACAGCATCCTGCACCCCCTCATCGCCCCCCAACCAAAAAAAAGCAATCAAGAACAGTGGGAAGGCCACCCCCAAGACTGAGGAAACTAACATGTGTGCTCCCCAGGGACTGAGGACTGGCCGCCCAATGCCCATCACCAGTGGTGACTCTGACGCTTCAACTGGTAAAGCCATCACACACTGCATGTGCTTCCCAGGGTCCAACTACTCACCTGACCGGGGCCCCCACTGCCAATGATCCTGCCCTGCCCCCACAACCAGTGGAGCCATCACACTTGGCATGCACTCACCCAGGGCCTGAGAACTGGCCTACCTGGTTGCCCCTTTCCCCAGCAAAGTCTTGCCTCCACAAATACCTACATTCTAGGCCACTAAAATACTCACAGACACCACTGACATTGATGATAGCCAAAGAAATTACATTGATTATAGCCAAAGAAATACATAGAGACTATATAATGTACCCACTCAGAATGAAAGCCAAAGCATGCTACCCAACCGATGCTGTAGAACACATCTCTAAGAAAAAGTCTTACCATATGGAAGCTACCCCATAAAATTGAAAGAAGTAGATGTTCCACAAGGTGTGTTGATATCAACATAGAGACTCAAGAAACATGAAAAGGCAAAAAGAAATAAAAAGCCATAGCAAAAGAAACACAATAATTCTCCAGTAAGATACTCCCAAAGAAAAGAAAATCTATGAAATGCCTGAAAACAAATTCAAAATAATAATGTTAAGGAAACTCACTAAGACACAAGAGAATACAGGTAGATGATTTAACAAAATCAGGAAATCAAATTTCTTATGTTTTGAATAAGAAATTCCATAAAGAGATAGGAACTATTAGAAAAAAATCAAACAAACCTTTGAGGTGAGGAATTCAATGAATGAAATAAAAAATACAATTGAGACCTTACAGAACAGACTAGATGAAGTAAAAGAAGACATTTCTGAGCTTGAAGACAAACTTTTTGAAATGACATAATCAGACAAAAAAAAATAAAAAAATAAAAAAGTAAAGAAACTTTTTTTTTAAATGGGACTTATGGGGCACCGTTAAGCAAACAAATACTTGCACTTTGGGAAATGGCCAAAATTCTTCTGAAGAAGAAGAGATAGAAAAAGTTATAGTAAAGATATTTAATAAAATAATATCTGAAAAATTCCCCAGTCTTGGCAGAGATATGAACAACCAGATCAAAAAAGCTGAAAATTCCCCATATATAATCCAAAAATTTTCTCTCCATGGCATGTTATAGTCAAACTGTTATAGCCAAACATGTTATAGCCAAAAGTGAAAGACGAAGAGAGAATTCTAAAAACTGCAAGAAAAAAGCATCAAGTCACATTTAAAGGAATTCTCATTAGGCTATCAGCAGATTTATCAGTAGAAGCCTTAAAGGCCAAGAGAGATTGGGTTAGTATATTAAAAGTGTAAAAACAAACAAACAAATTCTTTCAACTAAGAAGGCTATACCGAGCAAAGCTATTTTCAGAATGAATGAAAATTAGTCTTCCCAAGACAAGCAAAAACTGAGAGAAATCATCACCGCTAAACCTGTTTTGCAAGAAATGTGTAAGGAAATCATACATATGAAAGTGAAAGGATGATAACTACCATCATAAACAAAAATGAATGTATAAAACTCACTGTTAGAACAGATTTACAAATAAGAACGAGAAAAGAACCAAACCTTATCACTACAGAAAACCACGAAATGCAAAGATAAACAATAAGAGAAGAAGAAAGGAACAAATGATATGTAAAACAACCAGAAAACCAATTAAGAAAACAGCAGAAATAAGTTCTTACTTATTGATAATAAACATGAATGTAAATAAATTAAATTATCCAATTAAAAAAAATGTAGACTAGTTAAATGGATCTTTTAAAAGACCCAACTATATACTATCTATTACAAGAAACTCACACTTCACCTGTGAAAATACAGATAAACTGAAAGATAAGTGAGAAAAAAGATAGTCCATGCAAATAGAAACCTAAAGCAAGTGGGAGTCGCTGTACAGGCATATTTTGTTTTATTGCGTTTCACTTTATTGTACTTTGCAGATACTGAATTTTTAAAAAATTGAAGGTTTGTGGCAACCTTGCACTAAGCAAGTCTATTGGCCCTACTTTTCCATCAGCATGTGCTATCTTTGTTTCTTTGCATTAGCAGTATTTAGCAATAAAGTAATTTTTAATTAAGATATGTACAATGTTTTTTAGATGTAATGCTATTACACACTTAATAGATGACAGTATAGAGTAAACATAACTCTTTCATGTACTAGAAAACCAAGAAAAACTTTGGTTTGATTGTTTGATCGTGATATTCACTTTATTGCAATGTTCTGGAACTGAACCCTCAGTATCTCCAAAGTATAACTGTACTTAGACAAAGTAGATTTTAAGTCAAAGACTGTAAAAAGAGACAAAGAAGGGCATTATATAATGAAGGGATTTGTGCAAGAGGATATAACAATTGTAAATAAATATGCAAGGAACACCAGAGCACCCAGATACAAATAGCAAATATTATCAGATCTAAAGGGAGAGATATGCTCCAATACAATAATAGTTGAGGATTTCAACATTTCACTGTAAGTATTGAACAGATCATCTAGACAGAAAATTAACAAAGAAACATCCGCTTTAAGCGGCACTATATAACAAATGGACCTCACAGACATTTATAGGACATTTCATCCAACAGCTACAGAATATACATTCTCAGCAGCACACGGAACATTCTCTAGAATAGATCATGTGTTAGGCCACGAAATAAGTCTCAACCATTTTCTTAAAAATCAAAACCATGTCAACTATCTTTACGGACCACAGTGGAATAAAACGAGATATCAATAACAAAAGGAACTTTTTAAACTGGGCAAAGACACGGAAATTAAACAACAGGCTCCTCAACAACCATTGGGCCATTGAAGAAATTCAGAAAATTTGAAAGTTTTTGTAACAAATAAAAGTAGAAACAAAACATACCAAAACCTATAAGATAAAGCAAAAGCAGTACTTAGAGAGAAGTTTATAGCAATAAATGCCTACATCAAAAAGTAAAGATTTCAGATATATGACCTAATGGTGCACCTCAAGGAACTAGAAAAGCAAGAAGAAACTAAACCCAAAATTAGTATAAGAAAAAAATAATAAAGACCAGGGTAGAAATAAACAGAATTAAGTCTCAAACATGCAAAATAACAAATACAATAAAAAGTGTTTTTTACATAGACAAAATTGACAAACCATTAGCTAGACTAAGAAGAAAGGAGAAAAGAACCAAATAAAATCAGAAACAAAAAAGCAGATATTGCAACTAATACCACAGAAAGACAAAGGCTCATCAGAGACTATTATAAACAATTATATGCCAACAAATTAGAACACCTAGAGAAAATGAATAAATTCTTGGACACATATAGGCTATCAAGATTGAACCCAGAAGAAACAGAAAACCTAAACAAACCAACAGTAAGTTATGAGATTGAATCAATAATACAATGTCTCCCAACAAAGAAAAACCAAGTACCCGATGGCTTCACAATTGAATACTACCAAACTTTTAAAGAAGAACTAACACCAATTCTTCTCTAACTATTCCAAGTATTTGAAGGGAAGAAAATTCTGCCAAACTCATTCTGTGAGGCCAGAATTACCCTGACACAAAAACCACACAAAGACAAACACACACACAAACTATAGGCCAATATTCCTGATGAACATAGATAGAAAAGCTCTCAACAAAATACCAGGAAAGTGAATCCAACAACACATCAAAAAGATCATACACTATGATCAAGAAGTTATCCTAGCAATGTAAATATGCAAATCAACATATGCAAATCAATACATGTGCTACATCACATCAACAGAATGAAGGGTAAGAATTATATGATCATCTTAATTGATGAAGAAAAAAGATTTGATAACATTCAACATTCTTCATAATAAAAACTCTCAGCAAACTAGACACAGAAGGAATATACTTCAACATGATAAAAACCATACATGACAAGTCCACAGCTAACATCATGCTGAATAGGAAAAAGTTGAAAACTTTTTGTCTAAGAACTGAAACAATACAAGGATGTCCACTTTCATCACTGTTATTAAACATAGTACTCTCCTGGCCAGAGCAATTTGACAAGAGACAGAAATAAAGGCCATCCAGACTGAAAAGGAGGAAGCCAAATTGTTTCTCTTTGCAGATGGCATGATCTGACATATAGAAAGAACCTAAAGATTCCATCAAGAAACTCTTAGAACTAATAAACAAATTTGGTAAAGTTGCAGGACACAAAATCAATGTGCAAACATTAGTAGCATTTCTATATACCAATAATAAACTGCCAAAAAAGAAGTCATGAAAGCAATCTCATTTACAATAGCTACGAAAAAGATATCTAGGAATAAATTTAACCATGGAAGTGGAAGATCTTTAAAATAATAACTATGAAAGAAATGCTGGTGAAAGAAATAGATGAGTACACAAAAATAGGAGGTCTCATGTTTGTGTATTAAAAATTAACATTGTTAAAAAGATTATACTATCCAAAGCAATCTACAGATTCAGTGCAATCCTTATCAAAATACCAATGGCATGCTTCACATAAATAGAAAAAAATTTTAAATTTATCTGGACTCACAAAAGACCCTGAATAGCTAAAGCATTTCTGAGCGATGAGGAAAATTTAAAAGTTTTCTGAAACAAATGGAAATAGAAACAAAACATACCAAAACCTATGAAATACAGCAAAAAGCAGTACTTTTCAAAGTTTATAGCAATAAACACCTACATCAAAAAGTAAAGATTTTAATATACAACCTAATAGTACACCTCAAGGAACTAGAAAAGCAAGAAGAAACTAAACCCAAAATTAGTAGAAGAAAAGAAATAATGAAGATGAGAATAAAGGTCAGAGGTGGAGATATCACACTACACGACTTCAAAATATATTACAAATTATAGTACCCCAAACAGCATGGTACTGGCATAAAAACAGACACAAATTATAGCACCCAAAACAGCATGGTACTGGCATAAAAGCAGACACACAGACCAATTGAACAAAATAGAGCACTGAGAAATAAATTCACATATTTACAGCCGACAGATTTTCAACAAATATTCCAACAAGACACGCTGGGGGAAAGAACAATAACTTCAATAAATGGTACTGAGAATATTGGATATCGATATGCAAAAGAACAAAAATAAGCCACTAACTCTCACCATATATAAGAATTAACTCAAAATGGATAAAAGACTTAAATGAAAGACCCAAAACTACAAAACTACTAGAAGAAAACATAGGTAACACACAAGACACTGAACACTGGTCTGGGCAAAGATCTCATGGAAAAGACCTCAATAGCACAGAAAATAAGAGCAAAACATAAACAAATGGGATTATATAAAACTAAGAATCTTCTGCACAGCAAACAATCAATAGAGTGAAAAGACAACCTGCAGAATGAGAAAAAATATTTGCAAACTATTCATCCAACAAAGGATTAATATCTAGAAAATACATGAAATTCAACCAACTTAAGAGAAACCAGAGCCAAATAATCCAATTTAAAATGGGCAACTAATCAAGAATCTCTAAAAAGAAGACACACAAATGGCCAAAAAAGTATATTTTAAAAATGCTCAACATCACTAATCATCAGGAAAATGCAAATCAAAATCATAAGGAGATATAATTTCACCCCAGTTAGAATGGCTATTATAAAAAAGACAAACAATAACAAATGCTGGTGAGGATGTAAAGTGGGACCCTTGTACAGCATTGATGAGAATGTTGATTAGTGAAGCCTTATGAAAAACAGTATTGAGTTTCCTCAAAAAAACTAAATATGAAACTTCTATATGATCCAGCAATCCCACTGCTGGGACTTGAAGAAAAGGAAATCAGTATGTCAAAGACGTATCTGCATTTCCATATTTATTGCAGCACTATTCACAATAGTCAAGATATTAAATCAACCTAAATGTCTATCAGTGAATGAATGGCTAGAGAAAATGTGGTATATATACACAATGGAATACTATTCAGCCATAAAAAAGATGAATTCCTGTCATTCACAGCAACATGGATAAGCCTAGAAGACATTATGCGAAGTGAAAGACGCCAGGTATAGAAAGACAAATACTGCATGTTCTCACTCATGTGTATAAGCTTACAAAGTTGCTCTCTTATAGAAACAGACAGTAGAATAGTGGTTACTATAGGCTGGGAAAGGTAGTGGGAAGGGGGGAAAGGTAGTGGGAAGGGGAGATAGGGAGGGATTTGAAAGGAATACAAAAATCATGGCTAGACAGGAGGAATAAATTCTAGCGTTCTTTAGCACAGCAGGGTGACTATGGTCAACAGTGATTTGTTGTGTGTTTTTAAATAGCTAGAAAAAGGATTTTGAAAGTTCCCAACACAAAGAAATAATAAATTTTTGAGGTGATGGCTATGCTAATTACCATGATTTCATTATTACACATTGTTTACACATATATAAATATCACATTGTGTCTCGTGCGTATAATTATGATATGTCAACTAAAAAAATCATGAACAAGTCACAATAGCATCACGTTGACCCAGGAACCACAGTGTCAAAGCACCAGTAATTTATGCCTGTGATTGGAAGAGGTTCACCTTGAGTCATGTGAACTTCCCTGTCCTTCCGTTTCACCCTGGACCACATAGTGAGGTGCAAAGATTCTGGGGTGCTGTTTTGAAAGCAGGGTTTAAACACTGCAGTTAAACTTCAGATTTTAACCTTCTGAATTATTTGGTAGGTGAGTCATTATCTTTCACAGACAGAGCCGCATCATAACGGTGTAGTTCTCTTTCCAGGCCTGCTTTGGTGGAACTGTGGCTGTCCAGATGACCTGGTCAAGAACACCAGCCTCCTGCAATCCTGTTTCTTGAGACTCTCAATAATGGAGAAGTTTCCAGCAAAGCATGCTTCTATTCAAGTTTGTCCAACCTGTGGCCCATGGGCTGCATGCAGCCCAGGACAACTTTGTGGCCCAACACAAACTCATAAACTTTTTAAAAACATTATGAGATTTTTTTTTGAGATTCTTTTTTTAGCTCATTCATCAGCTATCGTCAGTGTTAGTGTATTTTATGTGTGATCAAAGACAATTCTTCTTTTTTCAAGGCGGCACAGGGAAGCCAAAAAATTGGACGTCCCTGTTCTAGATGAAGCATCCTTCTTAGAGAGAAATGTTTTCGCCTTCTCTGGAAGTTGGAAGAGCGCCCCAAATCACAAGCAGGAAGTACCTTCGAAGCCGACTGTTCAAGGGACCTTCTCTAGAGGTGGAATCCTCCCTTGGCCAGCTAAAGATGACTTCTCCTTCTGGGCAACCTCAAAAGAATACAAATGACGGAGACTGCCACATACTCTTCCATAGGCAACCAACCCTTCTCAACTAATGTACAGACCAAGGCAAATGAATGTACTCCCAATTACCTGCGCCCCCGTTCACTGCTGTTTTCACCCTCCTTTGATTACTGGAAACACTAAGCATACCTACAGAGAAAGCAGAAATGGCACTGGGCATGGCGGCTCACCCCTGTAGTCCTGGCACTTTGGGAGCCCGAGGCGGGTAGATTGCTTGAGATCAGGAGTTCGAGACCAGCCTGGCCAACATGGCAAAACCCTATCTCTACTAAAAATACTAAACTTAGCTGAGCGTGGTGGTGCATGCCTGTAATCTCAGCTATGTCAGGAGGCTGAGGCATGAGAATCGCTTGAACTCAGGAGGCAGAGGTCACAATGAGCCAAGATTGTGCCACTGCACTCTAGCCTGGGTGACAGAGTGAGACTGTCTCAAAAAAAAAAAAAAAAAAAAGGAAAAAAAAAGTGGAAATGGGAGAGAAACGAGACATGAGACTCTGCTATAAGGCTGACTTGAAGGTGATTAGGTCAGGACCAATGGGGAGCAGTGTCCCAGGTCACTAGGGGTCAGCGAAGACATGACTAGGAATCAGGAATGCCTGGGCTGGCACAGGGTATGCTCAATCTCACATCCTATTGGAACGGGCCCAACTTCCTGGCCCATTGATAGTCCAGGCAGTGGGGCTGGGACACTGGAGGTCCATACCTCATCATGCTTCAGATGCTCATTCTTGCTTTTAATTCCCAGATGCAGATCCCATTTCTGCAAAAATGCTCAACCCACATTTCTGTCATGTTGGATTCTGGGCATTTTATGGCGACAGGCCAGAAACAGGGTACAGCCTGCATTGTGTCAACACACAAATCCTGCTGAGGCCAAAGCCCTCTTCACGCAGCCAGGGATCCAGAAGGCCCTGCTCTGAGCCTGGGCCCAAGGTGCGATGTGGATGCTCACACGCCCTGGGCCCTGCAGACAGAAAGCCCCTGATGACCAACAGTCTCTGCCCTTCCACAACAGGCGTCCAGGCAGTGCCAGCCCCTCCTGCGCTGAAGAAAGAATCCACAAAGATGACAAAAGCAACTCCATCCCACCCCTTAGAATTCGAGGTCGACCCTGGAATCTCTCCTAGAGACAAATTGTTTTAACAAGGTGGAAAAAGAATTAAAACATGACGTTCCATATGTTTTCCAATTGCTTTCCTGATCCACATCATAAATAGCATTCGTTGAAAGTTGCTGCTTTTTATTACACAGAAGATGAAGACTCAGCAGGAATTGTGGCCATGTTATCAAAGTTGTGAATACTTAAGTCAGATAGTATGTTAAAGGGAGCCTGAATATTTCTTTATATGCATGAGCTCATTTTTCTGGAAAGCCCACCTTTGTGGCAAGACGTGAAGCAAAGGCATTGTGAACAGGGGCCCACCACAGGATTTCAGATGAGAAAAGAGTTGTCCCACATAATCCCCAGGTCCTGAATGTGGACTCCTCTGCAGCCCAGTGTCTGTTAGCCTCACCGATAGCTCATGTCATTGCATTGTCAGAGTGTTCCCAGTGAAAGGCACACCAGGGTGAAATGCACCTCTATCCTGAAGACGCCAAATGGGCTGAGCGGCTTTCATTCTACCCTGTGCTTTCATGGATTTCCAATATTCAGGAAAGCTTATAAATAAATGAACCAGAGAGGAAAGCAAAACCTTCCTCATCTCCTCGTTCTCCTTGTCTAACAGTAGAGAATCCTAATACTATTTTTCCTTCCCTACCCCTCTCAAGACATGCCATCATTGTCCACAGGACAGCAAGGACATCAGTGATAACAGGCATCCCCTAAAATAAAAATCCTTTCAGGGAAAAATGGGCTGGAGCTACCATTCTACTTTATTTACTGAGCTCTGAGTTTCAACAACGTTATTCTTTAGTACTTGAGGAAGGAATACACTCTCACCCTTAAAACGCTGTAAGTAGTCGATAATCCATTATTACAGTAAGCCGTTCACTCTCACAGTAATTATCTAATAACCCCTTATAAAGGACCGTGGCTTCCTAATCTGTTTATAATTATCATTTCAATGATCCCACACATTAATGTCTGACCTTCACCAACTCTGACCCGATCTTAATTAGCTCTGATATCAAATCATCACTACATAAGAAACTAGCCATGACCAAATGAATGAACCCCAGGTACAGTTAATTTCTGGAGCAATTATCTTTTCATGTAGAGAGATTTAAATGATTATCTGCACAATTTCACACAGTTTTATGTAATTCTGCGACATTATAAATTCTGTTTTAAATCATATTTCAAAGGCAGGGCTCCACAGTCTGGTTTTTCTAGTGTTCTAAAGTACTTGCTGTCCCCGTGTAATGTGGGATGATTTTGTGTCATTATTTACAATGATAAACAAATATCAAAAACACAGCTTACAAAGTGATATATTATTATAATAAATATGTAACGATGTGGGCAGGTAGTCTTAGAGCAAATATCCAGGTTAAATCATTAAAGAAAATACACATTATACAGAAACATTGAAAGAAATTAATAATATAAATATATGCTGTACAGACTAGAAAGCCTATATAGTGTGTGTTCATATGTGTCATGTGTTCGCTAAGCATGGCAGGCTGGAAAGCATTTATCATCTTAATAAAGCCTGCAGAGGATGCTGCAAAGGCAGATCAACCTGCAGTTGAACTTGATTTTAAACCTGAGAAACATAGGTACATTCTTGTGTTTGCAGACATCTGACTTCCTGAGCGAAGTTTGTGTTACAGTAGCTTCCCAACGTGGGATTCATTTTCACAGATGTCCACTGGGCTTTTGGGGGTAAATATGCAAACACAAGGGCAACACTGCAGAAATATTGTGTGTATATAGCCAGGCCTTGAGAAAAGATGAAGTTAGAACATGTTTGTTTAATGTTGTCTCTGGTGTCAAAAATTAGGGGAAACTTGAGCAAAGTGAAGTATTTCAACAGGAGTATTTACTGTTTCTTAGCCCTGGAACAATTTATCAAGCTTGCCCATGAAACCTTCCTAGTCAAAGATTTTGCAATTGCTAACGTTTCATCCCACAAACCGAAACACTGGTTGAATGTCCAATCTTCCACCCTTGGAGATGCCACAGAGCAGAGGTTCCTCTCAGCGCTGTAAGGGTCACCGAGGTTACCTGAATGAGCACTCACTTCCTGACCACATCTTCTGCTCTTACTCACAGTTACTATTTGTAGAAATGGCAAGAATGTGCCCTACAGGTTTTATATCAAATTGCTTAACAAAGTTCGAAGTTCATTTCTCATAAATTACGTATTATACAGGATGGTCTGATCAGTATTTTAAATGATAGTGTCCTCTAAGTTGGTTGAAATTAAAACATCTGCCCACAGGCAATAGGTAACTGTACTAAAAAATGCATTCCAGGAGCTGACAACCTTTATCGGAGCTTCCTGGGAATGAAGGAAGGGGGCTGGCACAGCCAATTTATCATTGGTGCCAACAGCGGATTGGTAGCCCGTCACCTGGAGACCAGCACTGATGGCCCCCAGTCAGGGAGCATTCCTGGAAGGTCAAACTCTCCCTGTATCTGAGCCCCCACCCCAGAACCCAACAGAGCTCAAGCTCAGCAGTGAACTTCACCCAGAATCCAACAGAGCTCAAGCTCAGCAGTGAACTTCGACGAAGGCCCTCTCAGAACCTTCCCATAGTGCTTCATCCTATATGTCCATCTTGGCAATGCCATCTGGTTGCTTTTGTGATGGAAATATTTTAAATATATGAAGATAGCAGGCATTGCAAGAGATAAAATCATTAAATACTTTCAAATCTTTACATAGTTCTCATTCTGACACCTGCCAGTTCTAAGACAGGCTTAGAAATGAGTGCACCCCTGGCATAAGGAGTCATGCCATGTGTGTAAGACCCAGGAGCCCAATATTATTCCCCACTGCTTTCCCGTCCTTCAGAAAATGCTTGAGGTCTTTGGCGTCTGTGCCTCCTTTTGGCTGCTGAGTTGAGAGTTTGAGGGCCTTTACGCCAGTTACTTCTCTCCTTCAAAGAAAACCCTTGGGCCCACACGCTCTCTTCTTTAATCATTAAGCTCCTGGAGCCAGCTATCCTGTCACATGTAGGGTTTGACATTTGGTTTTAATTTTTTACGTTATATTTGTGATTTAATAAAAGCCTCTCTGATAGAAAGTCTGTCATTTCCTACCACCAAAGACAACTACTCTAGGCACTGGTGTTCCTATGAGGCCTGGGACGCAGCCAATGATTCCTCACCTGCCCTCTTGAGAGGGGTTTGTGGTGACAAGTCCACATTTATTTTTAAGGGGAAAATTGGTGTAAGAAATTTGTTTTAGGTACAGCCCCTGACTCTGCCTCTTTTGGTTGAGTCATCTTGCAAAACTACTGCCACCACACTCCTGTTTTTCTGTTGACTTTCTAATTCATTTGACTACAATCAGGTAGCTTGTATTAGCCCAGCCCTCCAATCAAGGACTAGCATAAAGGTAGGAAAATTTCTTTTTAAATAAATAAAAGGGAAGAAAGAAGGAAGACTGTTTGAAAACATGGGAAATTCAGCCAGGATTTTGGAGGCCAATATCCTGAAAATAAATGTTGTATCATTGAACAAATATATAATTTATAAAATTATAAATTTAGAAGATGTGTTTAAAGTAAAATGAATATGCAATTAAAGACGATTTATTAACTGGAAGATTGGTCAGTAGAAAACATCTAGGTTAAAGCAAGAAAAAGTACAGAAAAAAATTAAGATAAATATGCGGCATAGTGTAAAAGTAAAAGGTACCTGTAATTAGAATCCAGAAGGAAAGGTAAGGAAGAATTTGCCGAAGTGTTCAAAAAATATTTTAACTGAGAATGTTCCAAAACTGGCAAAAGATCCCCTGCTAAGGATCCGTGAAGCTGCACACATCTCAAACAGGATAAACGAGGAAAACCCCACTAAAAATAAGCAAAGGAAGGAGACTTATGGACATCACAGTAGTACTTCTAAAAATCAAATGTAGGGAGGAACTCTTAAACCCGGACAGGTAGACTGACATATTTCCTTCAAAAGAGACAGCATTTGGACTCAGCTGAGTTCTCCGTAGAACCAGTGGAAACGAAAATGAAATGCAATGATGTCTTACATGAGCCGAGACAATAGAAACCTTAACACTGTCACAGTATCAGTCTCTAACTAAGAAAAATATTGAGAATGAGGAGTCTTCAGGAAGGAAGGTCAAAGACATCATCAAACAAATAAAATGGGAGAAAATCATTTAGTGACAGAGTCACGCTAAGGGCAATATTGAAGGATGTTTTTACACAAATAGTTACTGCTTAAAACAATCAATCTATCTAGGTGGTTTAAAATATATGTAGAATTTAAGTATTGTACAACAGCAGCATAAAAGGTATGCATGTTGAGGAGGTGGGATAGTGTAAATGGAGTTGTACTGTTGGAAGACCTGGTATTATAACAAAATTAGAGGTTTCATTTAAAGTTGATATTAATAACTAAAGAATACATGTTTTCATTTCAAACCCAGAGCCAATATCATACTGAATGGGCAAAAGCAGGAAGCATTCCCTTTGAAAACCTGCACAAGACAAGGATGCTCTCTCTCACACTCCTATTCAATGTAGTATTGGAAGTTCTGGCCAGGGCAATTAGGAAAGAGAAAGAAATAAAGCATATTCAAATAGGAAGAGAGGAAGTCAAATTGTCTCTGTTTGCAGATGACATGATTGTATATTTAGAAAACCCCATTGTCTCAGCCCCAAAACTCCTTAAGCTGATAAGCAACTTCAGCAAAGTCTCAGGATACAAAATCAATGTGCAAAAATCACAAGCATTCCTATACACTAATAACAGGTAAACACAGATCTAAATAATGAATGAACTCCATTCACAGTTGCTACAAAGAGAATAAAATACCTAGGAATACAACTTACAAGGGATTTGAATGACCTCTTCAGGGAGAACTACAAACCACTGCTCACGGAAATAAGAGAGGACACAAACAAATGGAAAGACATTCCATGCTCATGGATAGGAAGAATCAATATCTTGAAAATGGCCATATTCCACAAAGTTATTTATAGATTCAATGCTATTCCCAACAAGCTGCCATTGACTTTCTTCACAGAATTAGAGAAAACTACTTTAAATTTCATATGGAATCAAAAAAGGACCCATATAACCAAGACAATCCTAAGCAAAAGAACGAAGCTGGAGGCATCTCACTACCTGATTTAAACTATACTACAAGGCTACAGTAACCAAAACAGCATGGTATTGGTGCCAAAACAGATATGTATATCAACGGAACAGACCAGAGGCCTCAGAAATAACACCACACGTTTACAACAAACTGATCTTTGACAAACCTGACAAAAACAAGCAATGGGGAAAGGATTCCTTATTTAATAAATGGTGTCGGGAAGACTGACTAGCCATATGCAGAAAACTGAAGCTGGACCCCTTCCTTACAGCTTGTTCAAAAATTAACTCAAGATGGATTAAAGACAAAAACATAAGACCTAAAACCATAAAAACCCTAGAAGAGATCCTAGGCAATACCATTCAGGACACAGGCATGAGCAAAGACTTCATGACTAAAACACCAATAGCAATGGCAACAAAAGTGAAAATTGACAAATGGGATATAATTACATTTAAAGAGCTTCTGCACAGCAAAAGCAACTATTGTCAGTGTGAACAGGAAACCTAGAGAATGGGAGAAAATTGTTGCAACCTACCCATCTGACAAAGGTCTAATATCTAGAATCTATAAGGAACTTAAACAAATTTATAAGAAAAAAGCACACAACCCCACCAAAAAGTGGGCAAAGGATATGAACAAACACTTCTCAGAAGAAGACATATATACGGCCAACAAACATATTAAAAAAAAGCTCATCATCACTGGTCATTAGAGAAATGCACATCAAAACCACAGTGAGATATCATCTCATGCCAATTAGAATGGCGGTCATTAAAAAGTCAGGGAACAACAGATGCTGGAGAAGTTGTGTAAAAATAGGAATGCTTTTACACTGTTAGTGGGAGTGTAAATTAGTTCAACCATTGTGGAAGACAGTCTGGCAATTCCTCAAGGATCTGGAACCAGAAATACCATTTGACTCAGCAATTCTACTACTCGGTAGATACCCAAAGAATTATAAATCATTCTACTATAAAGACACATGCACATGTATGTTTATTGAAGCACTATTTATAATAGCAAAGGCTTGGAACCAACCCAAATGTCCATCAGTGATAGACTGTATAATGAAAATGTGGCACATATACACCATGGAATACTATGCAGCCATAAAAAAGAATGAGTTCATGTCCTTTACAGGGACATGGATGAAGCTGGAAACCATCATTCTCAGCAAACTAACAGGAACAGAAAACCAAACACCACATGTTCTCATTCATAAGTAGGAGCTGAACAATGAGAACACATGGACACAGGGAGGGGAACATCACATACTGGGGCCTGTCAGAGGGTTGGGGGCAAAGGGAGGAATAGCATTAGGACAAACACGTAATGTATGTGGGGCTTAAAACCTAAACGACGGGTTGATGGGTGCAGCAAACCACCACAGCATATGTATACCTGTGTAACAAACCTGCACGTTCTGCACATGTATCCCAAAACTTAGAGTATAATTAAAGAGATTAAAAATAATACGTGTCATTTGTGAGTTCAACAATAATATTAAATGCTATGTAATTAACAAGTAAATAGGGGGAAATGAAAAAAAATTTAAGTACCTAATTGGTTAAAAAAAAAGTCATGATGAAGGAAAAAAAAACAAAACATATTAAATGTAAATGAGTCAAATATTTCCGTTTTTAAATTAATGACCAGGCTGAATTTAAAAAAACAAATGTAAGCTCCCATAAAGACATATCTTTCATTACAAGTATTACATTTGAAAGCAAAAGGATGGGAAAATATATACCATGCAACAAATAAGCAGAAAAAAGCTGGTGTAAATATTTGAATAACATGCAAAATAGGGTTTAAACTCATTTATGCCAAGTGTTTCATTATTGGAACGCTAAGCATGTGGGAGTTATTTATCTCCTGCTGCTCAAGATCATTGCCTAGGTCTGATTTTTCAAATTCAAAAAGTTGCCACCTCAGGTATAAATGAGTTAAGACTAAAAGCATAACGAGACATAAAGGTATTTTATAATGATGAAGTAGTCAATTCAACAGATAGATATAATTCCTAACTGGTTCTACTAATTACTGAGAGAGTTGTGTTAAAATCTTTATCTATGAATGTAGATTTTCCTTTTTGTTTATTTAGTATCACAATTTTTCTTCATGAAATTTGAGTCTTTAAATAGTAAGGATTTAGAAGATTAGATGATTTTCAAAATTGATAGAATAGATATATTCAACTCAAGAACACAGGATATGCATTCTTTTCTAACACACACAAAATGTTTGTCATTTTGTAGAACTAAATTGATTGAGAGCTTGTATTCTGACCATGGTAAAATTAAGGTATAAATTAATTTGAGAAGATAAGTCTCCAAGTATTTGGGAACTGAACAAAACATTTTAAAATATTCATTGAGCCAAAAAAGAAATTGATGAAAACTAGAAATCATTTTAACTAAATGATAATTACCTAATCAGAAATGATACAGCTGAAGCTATAATTAGAGGGCAATTCACATCTGAATCCTAAGTAAATTAATGTAGGAATAGAAAAGCAAATGCAGGATGTTCTCATTAAGTGGGAGCTAACCATGGAGTGCTCATGGAAGTAAAGATGACAACAGTAGGCACTAAGGACTATTAGATGGGGGAGGGAGGGAGCTGGGCTAGGGTTGAAGAACTCCTGAGTACCATAATCCTTACCTGGTTGTTGGGATCTTTCCTACCTCGAACCTCGGCATCTTGCAATATACCCATGTAACAAACCTGCAAACATACCCTGCAATCCAAAATAAAAGCATACACTTTATTTTTTTTAGTTCAATAGTGTTTGGGGAGCAGGTGCTGTTTGGTTACATGGATAAGTTCTTTAACGGTGATTTCTGAGAATTTGGTGCACCTGTCACCCGAGCAGTGTACACTGTACCCAATGTAAAAGTATATGCTTTTAAAACTAAAGCAACATCAAAGAAAAAGAAAAGTAGAATAACTAAGAATTAATCATCCAAATCAAGAAGCTGCTATTGTTGGAGTGTAAGCTAAATTTTTATTGACTTTTGAAGAAATTGTCAACGTGTTATAAGTAATTATTCCATTTTTATTCTGAACAGGAATTGAGAAGAGTGTTCAGTTTCTCTACATCTCAGCAGCTTTCCATGCCGTCATTGTCTGACTATATCCATTCTAGAGGGAATATAGTGTTTTCTTCTCATAATTCTAATTTAGATTTTTCTAATTACTGATGACAGTGAGCATGTTTTCTTGTGTGTATTACTTATTTTCAACTCTTCTTTTTCACATCCTTTGCCTTTTTAAAAAACTGGAGTGTATTATTATTGAGTTGTAAGAGTTTTTAATATATTCTGAATAAAAGTTCTATATTATATATACTATTTACATTATATTTCCCAGGTCTGTGGCTTGTGCTTTCAACTATTTAATGATGTTATAGAAAATATAAAAGTGTTTGGTTTTTGATTTTTAAAGTCCACTATTTCATTTCCTTTTTCTTTTATGTATTGTCATTTTGGTGTCATATCTAAAAACTCTCTTCCTAATCTAGGACACAAGGATCATTTCTAAAAATTGTATAGCTTTTAACTCTTAAGTTTATGTCTAAGATCTATTTTGAGTTAATTTTTGTGTATGGCGTGAGGTAGGAATCTAATTTCTCTCTTTCACTTTATTCTTCATATTGATATTCAATTGTCTCAGCATATTTATTGAAAAGACTATATCCATTGAATTGCCTAGTCCCATTTGTTAACAAATCTATTCACCATAATGCCAGGGTCTATTTCTGGTTTCTCTGATTTGTTCCATTGATGTATGTTCCTATCCTCAGTCCAGTGCCACATTGTCTTGATTCCTGTAACTTTTTAGTCAGTTTTGAAATCAAGTAGTCTAAATCCTCTAAACATTTCTTCACTGAAAACATTGTCCATTCCAAGTTCTTGGATTTTAAATAAATTTTGTAGTATTATCAATTTTACCTCCCTCTCCACCTTAAAAAAATGGCATACTAGGATATTTTTTAGGGATTGTTATGAATCTGTAGATGCATTTGGAAATAACTGATGTCTTAACAATCTTGTATGTTTTAGTACATGAAAATGGGACATCTCTCAATTTATTTATTTATATCTTATTTGGTCTCTCTTACAATGTTTTGTAATTTTTAATGTACCAACCTTCATTTCTTTTTTTCAATGATTCTCAGATATTTTATTTCTTCTCATGACAACAAGAATAATTTTCTAAATTTCATTTTCAGTTTTTATGTTGTTAATGTATAAACATACAATTTATTTTTAAAATATTGATCTTGTATTTTGAGGTTCTTTAAAAATTCATTTATTAGTTCTAGTTGTGTGTGTGTGTGTGCGCATGCATGCACATTCCTTACGATTCTCTATAAAAAGAATCATACTATCTGTGAATAAAAGGAGTTTTGTTTACTTATTTCCAACCTGTAAGTTTAAAATTTCCTAAGAACAATATGAAATCTCAAGTTTGATATTCAATAGAAATGGTGAAAGTATATATTCTTGGTTTGTTCATAGCACTGGAAAAGCATTGAGTCCTTTACCATTAAATATGATGTCAGCTGTGGATTTTTCATAGATGCCTATATCAGAGAGAAGAATTCCTCTATAATCCGATTATATTGAATTTTTTTCAAAAATATGAGTGAATATTGGAACTCATTAAATATTTTTTACACCTATTGATATATAGTTTTTGGTCATTAAACTATTAAAATTGTATATTGTCTTGTTTTGGGATCTTAAACCTACCTAGCATTCCTAGTATTAAAATCGTGGTCATATTTCATGAGTTGTTGAATTTGCTTTACTAACATTTCATTAAGTATTTTTGCACCCATGTTTATGAGAGATATTGGCCTTTTTTCTTTTGAGCTATTTACCTGGGCTTGGTATAAGTGTAGTACTGGCCTCACAGAATGAATGGAAGATGTTACTTCCTCCAGTATTTTCTGAAATAATTTGTGTAAGATTAGTATTATTATTTTTAACATGTTGATAGATAATGTGGGGATTTTCTATTTCTTCTCTAGTCAGTTTTGGCAATTCAAGCATTTCCAGCAATTTTTATATGTTATTTACATTGTCTAATATTTTGGCATAGAGTTGTCATAATATTTATTTACATTTTTTTTTCAGTTCTGTATTAAGGATGCCCTCCCTTGATTCCTGATTTGATATTTCACATTTGCTCTTTTTATTTTGTAGTTATTCTAGCTAAAAGTTTATGAATATCAACCTTTTCAAAGAGCCATCTTTCATAGTCTTCAGTATTTTTTCAGTTTTCTATTTCATTGACTTTTACTCTGATTTTGCAATTTCCTTCTTTCTGCCTGGTTTGGGTTTAGTTTCTCTGTTGTAATTTCATAAAGCAAAAGTTTCAGTTATTGATTTTATACGTTTCTTCTATCCTAGTATAGATATTCAGAGCTCTACATTTTTCCTCTAAACACTTCTGTATTTTTGATGCTGTGTATTCTTGTCATTCATTTCAAAATATTTTCTTTTTTTACATTTATTCTTTAATTCTTAGGTTAGTTAGAAGTGTGTTGCCTAATTCCCACATTTGATGATTTCCCAAATTTCTCCCCATCATTGAATTCTAATTTAATCCTGGTATGGTCAAGAAATATACTTTGTATGATTACAATCCTTTAAAAATTTATTGAGGCTTTTTTTTAATGCAGGATCTTACCCTGTCACCCAGGCTGAACTGCAGTGACACAATCAGGGCTCACTGCACCCTTAACCTTTCAGGCTCAAGCAATCCTCCCACCTCAGCCCCCCAAGTAGCTGGGACCACAGGTACTCACCACCATGCTGGACAATTTTCGTATTTTTTGTATAGACAGTGTTTCACCATGTTGTGCAGCCTAGTCTTGATCTCCTGAGCTCAAGAGATCCATCCGCCTCGGCCTTCCAAAGTGCTGGGATTACAGGCTTGAGGCACCGCGCCCGCCTGAGGTTTATTTTATAGCCCAGAATGTGATCTATCCTGGAAAATGTTTTATGTGTGCTTTACAAGAATGTGTATTCTCCTATTGTTGAATAAATTGCTTCATAAATATGCATAAGCATATAATATACTTCATACATGTATATTTATGTTATACAAAATAGGTCAAGTTGGTTAGTTATGCTGCTCAAGTCATTGATTTATCTTTTTAATTTTCTTTCAGTTTAATTGCTCTATCTATTATTGAGACTGGTTTTGAAGTTTTCAACTCTTTTTTTATTTCGCATTTTTCCTTTTACTGAGATATGGTTTGCATTCCATAGAATTCACTCATTTAAAATGTACATTTATATATAGTATTCTTACAATCAAGTAAGCTACCAAAAAGAGAATATTATTTAAAAAGTCATAAGAAATAGAATATATGTTTCCTATTCATTAACTGGAAGTGGATCATGATAAACGTTTTCATTCTCATCGTCTCATATTGAGTAGGTTGAAAAGGAGGAGGAAGAGGAGGGGTTGGTCTTGCTGTCCTGGTGTGGCCAACCTGGAAGTTCAAACCCATGTTGCTCATGGGCCAACTGTAGTCACAAAGGTGTGCAACCACCATCACTATATAATTCCTAACATTTACATCGTCTCTAAAAGAAGCCTCATACCCATTAGCAATCATTTCCCACTTCCCCTTGCTCCCAGCCCCTAGAAGCCATTAATTGACTTTCTGTCTCTACATATTTGCCCATACCAGCTATTTAATGTAAATGGAATTAAACAACATTTGGCACTTTACGTCTGTCTGGCTTCTTTCACTTGGTATAATGTTTTGAGGGTTCATTCATGTTTAGCATGTGTTAGTACTTCATTCTTTTTCATGGCCAAATAATATTCCATTTTATGGACATACCCCATTTTTTTTATCAGTCGATAGACATTTGAGTTATTTCTACATTTTGGCTATAATAAATAATGCTGTTATCAACATTTGTGGGCAAGCGTTTTTGTGAACACGTTTTCAGCTTTCTTGGGTGTATACTTAGAAGTGGAATTGCTCAGTCACATGGTAGCTCCATGTGTAATATTTTAAAGAACTGTGCAAACTGTTTTCCAAAGTGGCTGTCCTACCAGCAATGTATGAGGGTGTGATTTATCCATTTTTACCAATACTTTTTATTGTCTGTCTTTTTGATTCTAGCCATCCTAATGGGTATAAAGTGTAGTTTTGATCTGCATCTCCCTAATGACTAGTAATATGGAACATCTTTTATGTGTTTATTTACTATTCGTATATATTTGGAGAAATGTCTATCAACTCTTATTGTTGTATTGTTTGTTTCGTCTTACCACCTATCAGTTTTTAGCTCCATGTATTTTGGGGGTCTTTTGTTAGATATATATTTATATTTTTACAGCTTCTTGATTCATTGATTCTTTTATTATTATGAAACATCCTTCTTTGTTTCTAATACATATTTAGCTTTTAATATAGATATAGCTAGTATATAGATATTATTGTAGCTTATACAGTAACTGTCGCTTGATGTATATTTTTCATCACGTTATTTTCAACCTATTTGTGTCTTTAAAGAGTAACTCGTCTAGACAGCATGTAGTTGGATATTGTATTTTGTCATCTGATAATCTGAACTTAATCCATTCACATTTAATGTTAGATTTTGTTCTTCTATCTTGCTATTTCATTTCTGTATGTCTCATGTTTTCTAGTTTCTTTGTTCTTTACTCTTTTGTGAAAAATAAATAATTTTAGTACTATTTAATATTTATTACTATTTTAATTATGTCAATTTTTAAACTATTTTAAAATGCATTTTCCTGGTGTTTGCTCTAGGGATTACAACATATATCTTACCACATCTACTTTAGATTACAACTAATTTAATTCTGTTAAAATGTAAAAACTTTATTTATTTATTTATTTTTATGTGTATATATATTTTTTAATATACTTTAAGTTCTAGGGTACATGTGCACAACGTGCAGGTTTGTTACATATGTATACATGTGCTATGTTGATGTTCTGCACCCATTAACTCATCATTTACATTAGGTATATCACCTAATGCTATCCCTCCCTTCTCCCCCTACCCCACAACAGGCCCCAGTGTGCGATGTTCCCCTTCCTGTGTCCAAGTGCTCTCATTGTTCAATTCCTACCTATGAGTGAGAACATGCGGTGTTTGGTTTTTTTGTCCTTGCGATAGTTTGCTGAGAATGATGGTTTCCAGCTTCATCCATGTCCCTACAAAGGACATGAACTCATCATTTTTTATGGCTGCATAGTATTCCATGGTGTATATGTGCCACATTTTCTTAATCCAGTCTACTATTGTTGGACATTTGGATTGGTTCTAAGTTTTTGCTATTGTAAGTAGTGCTGCAATAAACATACAACATATATCTTAACTGACCACATCTACTTTAGATTAATACTAACTTAATTCTGTTAAAATATAAAACCTTTAATATTCATTTATTTTCTTCTTTTTTGTACTATATGACATAGATAATATATGAATATATATAACCATATTATATATGAATTTATTTAATAAGCCCCCCAAAGTATTATAATTATTGCTTTATACAATCTGTATCTTTAAAATAGGAGAAATATAGGACTTTCTTTAGTATTTCTTATAAGTCTGAAAGTAGCAAGATCTCCCAGTCTTTGTTTATCTACTCATGTCTTTATTTGCCTTTATTTTTAAAGAATAGTTTTACTGGATAATTACTTCTTCCTTGATAGTTTTTTCCAGCACTTTGAATGTGTAATTCCACTGCTATCTGGTCTTCCTTGCCTCTGGTGTAAAAGCAGCCATTGATTGTATTGTTAGTTTGTATGTGATGAGCTGTTTTTCTCATACCTTTTTTCCCAGATATTCTCATTGTACATATTTTCATAGTTAATAGTAGGAGCAAAATTACTGGGCTTTAAATCCGACTTTATTCAATACCCAGTTTTCCAAAATGGTTAGGCCAAAGTAACTTCTAATGATGGTAATGCTTTTTGTTTATTTTTTTTCCCGTAAGTTATTGGGGTACAGGTGGTATTTGGTTATTTAACCCCTCATCAATATTGGCTTGAAGAGTCAATATTAGATTCTAGAGTTCCAATATTCACAAGGGCCTAGTTAGTATTCACATGGCCCATGTGTCCATGCAGCCCTAAAATAATAAATTCATAGTTCAGACTCTCATGGCCTAGATCCAAAACTTTTTTTACTGAGACTCTTAAATTTGAGCTAATTCTAGGGATGACATGATTAGCAAATGCTCTGCCCCTGGTGATGAATAGCCACTCTTACCTTTTTTGGGTGTCCACTGTCAAATGCCTGTCACCTACTCTGATGCTCTGGTCTGCATCATTCCTCGGCTACCCCAATCAACATGTTGGAGTGGCTTTCAGTTATCCTGATGGTTTGGGGCGAAACAAAAGGGTCTACAGGTAAAGTTCCATGAAAGAAAAAAGAAAAGTTCCTGTCTGAGTGTCTGCTTCTGAGCCATGGCAGAGCAATTCATCTGTTTGTCAGTGGGTGGTTATCAGGTATGTGGCCAAGGTAACCAGCTATGCCAGAAGAACATGGCGGCCACAGCTCCTGCAATGGACATTGGAAGCCACAGGGTTCTAACGCCTTTTTGTTGTTGTTGTTTGAGACAGGGTCTCGCTCTGTCGCCCAGGCTGGAGTGCAGTGGTGCAATCTCGGCTCACTGCAACCTCCACCTTCCGGGTTCAAGCGATTCTCCTGCCTCAGCCTCCCAAGTAGCTGGGACTACAGCTGTGAGCCACTATGCCAGGCTAATTTTTGTATTTTTAGTAGAAATGGGGTTTTGCCATGTTGGCCAGGCTAGTCTCGAACTCCTTACCTCAGACGATCCACCTGCCTTGGCCTCCCAAATTGCCGGGATTACAGGCATGAGCCATCGTGCCCAGCCTCTAATGTATATTTTTAACATTCCCTAAATGTAGTTTTCTGAAAATGTTATAAATGTGTTTTAACACTTTGAAATAGTATAGGTTCCTAGTTTAAAGGGAAAAAAACTGGTATAAAATTTTGATTTTAGAAAAAAAAGTTTGACAATGTCTTAATTGTATATTACTCTTTTGTCCTATTTTTACAGAAAATGTATTTGTGAATGTCATCTTTGTATATATTTGCCCTTCCTTTTACATAAAAATATCCTTCAAGTTTAACTCAATTTATGTACCAGGCAATGAAACTTGTCTTCCTGGAAGGGCAACAGTAACTTCTAAAAGGCTGTTCATCCTGTGGTTGTATGGACGCCTGTGAAGCCTCCTTAAACTGTCACTCCTCTCACACTCCCAAAAGATGAAGCCTGCTAGTTACAGCAAAAGTAGAATAGAATAAGATGACTTAATCAAAGATGCTTCATGAAGTTTAACCTATTGTCTTGAGGTCTGAATTCTTGCTCTCTGAGGTAAGACCGCTTTCAGTGACATCTTACTTTTCCTTCACTCACCACCCACGGTTTTCCATACCCACCATGAGGCCTCCGAGAAAAATTTAGAAAGTAAGCACTGCCTGGGACGGACACCCCAGGAAAACAAGTTGTGGTACAGAGGCCCATGCTGATCCATGATACAATCTTCAAACACAGGGGAAGGCAAAGCTGCTCTTTCTCTCTTATCTCTCCAAGAACCAAGGAGATCTGCCTGTTTGGGTCCAAATGGCTTCTTATTTTATTTTTTTTTAGACAGAGTCTTGCTCTGTCACTAGGATAGCGTGCAATGGTGTGATCTCAGCTAACTGCAACCTCCGCCTCCCAGGTTCAAGTGATTCTCCTGCCTCAGCCTCCTGAGTAGCTGAGATTACTGGCACACACCACCACGCCCAGCTAATTTTTGTATTTTAGTAGAGATGTGGTTTCACCATGTTGGCCAGGCTGGTCTCAAACTCCTGACCTCATGATCTGCCTGCCTCGACCTCCCAAAGTACTGGGATTACAGGAGTGAGTGAGCCACCACACCCAGCCCAAATGGCTTCTTATATTTTGTATATAAGTACATGGCTAGAAAATGTCCACCTTGGACACAAAAATGATGAAATATGATAATTCAACCTAGAGGTTGAGACCTTCTCAATTCCACGAGCAATTTCTCCAGCTCACCCATGTGCCACCAGCTCCAGTGATTCCTTTTCATAGGAGAGACAGCAATCCAGTGGGCTGCCCTGCCTGTTCCCTTACATGAGCTTAGGTTTTGAGATATTCAGTCTGAACTCTTCTCACTCACTTTGGGAGATGCCCTTCATTTGTGCCTCTCCAGTCACACACAATGGAAGTTTCTACTGTCACTTCTAGCATAGTGAGCATTTCCTTTCTTCCCATTGACTTATACGTGCTGTAGCTCATTTGTGCCCACACAGACCACTGTTTCTTGGAGGACTGCAGAAGTAAACCCAAAGTAAGCATATATTGAACACTACTTCATTTGAATGGAAATGATGGGCAAATACAAATACTGTCATTTAGTGAAATCCCTTTGTTCTACACAGCCCATTGAAGGAATTGATGGCTAATTACTTCCATAAGTCCATTTCTTCTAAAATCACAAAATCTTAGAGAGAATTAACTCATTGCAGATGGTGAGATAATTGAAGAAAAATAATATTAACCCAATTAACCTTTCCTTAGGTTAACACAGATTTTCTCAGAGAACAGTAACTTAAGCTAAAGTTTTGGTTGCTGGCTAAGTTAAATTTAAACCTACTCCTCTAAAATGCAAGGGTTGTCTTCATATTTTGTAACTCATATCAGTTTGTTTTTGCTATGAAACAACCTCAAAACTTAGTAGCTGTTATTAGAAAACTTAGAAAAGTATTCACTAGTTTACAGCTCGGTAGGTGGACAATTTGGACTGGACTCAAGGGAGCGATTTTCCTACTCATCTCACTTGGAGTGAACTGTGATCAGATGGTGGCACAGCTGGAGGGGAAGGTCCAGAATGGCCTCACTCACCAGGCTGCTCACTGGGCTCCTCCATCCTTCTCTAGGGTGTCTTTGCAACAGGCTAGCTCGAGCTCACTTACATCAGGTACTCACAGTTCCGGGTGCAGTGAAGAGAGGGGACCCCCAATGCAGGATCACATTTCAAGATGCTACTTGAATCGTGTTTCCTAGTGTTCTGTTGGTCCATCTGTTGCAAGGCCAAACCTAGATTCGAGGGGTGGAAAAGCAGATGTCAACTCTCAACGGAGACCGCTGAAAATACTGTTTTGTGATCTCCCACACACCCTAACACTTTCCTATCTTATTACTCCTTATGGCCTTTCCCTCCCAGCCAGGCTTTCGTCTCCTCTCTCACAGTCTTATGCTCTTTATTTTGCATAGTTTGATTGGTTGATTGATCCATTCATTCAATAAATATTTGTTGAGTGCCTACCATGTACCTAGTACAGTTTCAGGTCCTGGAGACATAAAAACAGCAATATATAAAAACTTCACAAACCACTAAGAGAAAGATCAAGAGGACAAATAGTGCAAAAAGTGATGTTAGTAATAATAGTAAGGATTTCCACTGAGTAGGTTTTCAGAAGGTACATAGAAGAGACTTGACCTGGGTCTGCAAGAATGTGTTGGAGTTTAGCAGGGGATTGGGAAGGGAAAGGCCTTTAATCAGCATCTATAGGGGCATGAAATGAATATGGCCCAGGACTCCAGGTGCCTGGTACTGCTGGAAGGTAGAACCGTGCTATGGCAAGGTCTCCATCCTCAAAACACTAAAAGTTCAGTAGGAGAGAGAAGCAAGTAATCTTATGGTTACTCCAAGGTGTGGGAGGTGTTTTGACACTGGTGAACTCATTGAGGGAGGGGCACCTGTTATGAGGGGAAGAATGTTTTGATAGACAAATAAGAGAGGAAAATCTGAAGGAGGGGCTCACTAGGGCTAAAGGCCAGGAACAAGAAACTGCACAGAACAGGACTGTCTGCAAATGGAGGTGGACACACATGTGCTAGAGAATATTCAGAGTTCAGGGAGAGGCTTTTCGAGGTGGAGTGAGCTCAACTATGTCAATGGCGTGTGAAGCGAAGGGTAGGGATGAGGGGGGTCAGCTGAACATAAAGAGAGATAGGAGTTGAGGACAGTGCAGGAGCATAAGAAGGCAGGAGGGAAAGGGACTCAGCTGCGTGGGGGATTTGGCTTTCATAACCAGGAGACCAGGGCAAAGCAGGAAGGCACAGCTGCCCGTGCAGCTGATGAAGATAAAGAGGGGAAGTCCACAGCACTCCTCCTCACTGTCCTTGATTTTCTCAGGGGGTAGGAGGCCAGCCCACCCACAGTGGGAGAGGAGAAAGCAAGGTAGGGTCTGAAGGAGGCGAAACATTTAGATAAATGCTCGAGGCCCGCAGCTGGGAGGAGAAGACTGGACACATCGAAGAACCCCTGGCAGCATGGAAGGGTGGGTGCTGGTCACTCTCTCCAGAGCACCTCTGAGGTGGTTCCTGTGCTGCTGTCCCAGCACACTGGAGGTGAGCAAGACAGCGCTTCCGAGTCAGACAGGCCAACCAAGTCATTACCCTCCTCACCTCTGCTCTGCACCTGCCAAGGGAGGGTGACCACAGTGTCGACCTCATAGGGTGCTAAGGGGGGACAGGCGAGAGGCGTGGAGACACAGGCCTGGCACTGGGTAAGCATTCAATAGTTCTCATCTTCAACTGCAGTGCACGCAGCTGACTCCCAGAAATGTCTACGGATTGAAGGTAACATGCTGTGTGGCCCTTTAGTAAACAGCCTGCACATGAGAAAAAACATCTGAAGAAGCAAAACGTTAATTAAGTCTATGTAATGCTCAGGAGTGTTTGGGCAAAAATGACATTCATACTAGACTTACCTTCTCACATGGGAATAAGAATAATGAAGTTATATGAATGGGTTTCACAGTCAAAATCATGAGGTCTGAGCAGGGAGGAAGCTGCAAATCTCACTCTTGAACGTGTATTTTCTAGAAGATAAAACTGAGACCCAGGGTGGGGAAGATCCTGCCGAAGGGCATGCATCACTTGGATCTTTGCTGTGATCTGCATTGTCAGACAGCTTTGTACTTTGTTTAGTAAACCATGGGAAAGCATTCCAATGTTTGCAGCAGTGACGTGCTGTGATGAAAAGGGTATGTTCAAATAATTAGCTGGATCTGGAGGGAATCTTACTCATTACTTGGGGTTTACTTGTACTTTGTTCTAACCAGATATACCAGCCCATGATGATTAAATACATATATTCATACACACATACGTATACACATATGCACACATACATAGGCACACACATGCATGAGTGTATATATACATATGTACAATCAGTCCTGGTGCCAGATTTCAAGAAATTCTAAAATGCTTTCCCTGTTTCTTCATTTACATTCACTCGTGAACTTGGAACTGTATTTCTCAGGTCAGAAAATGAGGAGAGATGAGAAAAATAATCTCAATAATTGTTTAAATAAATGCCATTATATTAGCCACACTATTATTTTATAAAGTAGCACTGCTATATATCCATGTTCAGTAAAAGCTGTTTTTTTTTAAATCTGTTTTTAACTGATTATAATTCTACCAACTAACTGAGGACAGAGAATGTAATAACAGTTTGGATGTTAAGTTAACTCTGAGATTGTGCTGTATTTGTCCTAAGACACACAAAGGAGGAAAGAAGCAATTATTCAGCAACTTTGACCATCAAAACAAGAACGAAGAATGGTGAAGTTGCTCAAATTCTATAGTCAGAATGAGACAGGCAGATAAAATGATGGCATCACCTCTCATAATATACGAATGAAATTTGATATACTAACTAAAGAGATGATTGAATTAAACTGACAGTAGGCCATTATTTAATTCCATTGATAATATTCCTGCCAAGTGATTCATCGGGTAGCCCATTATATTTTTCTCAAGTTCTGGCTATTAAATTTTCTTCTTACAGTTTGATGTTGAGAACACATCCCAATCACTACACTCTCTTATGTTCTCCATATTTGAAATGAGCTTTTCTGTTAATAATTCCAATTTGCGATGTCAATGAATAGTAGTTTTCTGTGACAAATCTAAAATTAGCTCATTTTTTAAAAAGTAAAAATGTTCATTGCAAATTTATGACACTTGGCTCAACTTAAGTGAATTAAGTCATTACATAGTGAATGTATGTAGTTAATTTTCTGGGGTTGAATTATGTAAATTGGCTGTCTACACTATTCTGATTTATATCATATTGTAAAAATTTAGTATCATCTCAAAAGTATCATGATTTTCAATCAACTGGCATTTACTATTTCTATTTACTTTTTGAATGCACATGCAAAGATTTTTAGAGATCCAAAGAGACCACTATTAAATCAAATAACCTACTCTCATTTTACCTACTCTCAAACAAAAAATGTTTCACTCTAAATTTTATTTTCAGGACTCCTTTTAGAAGTCTTTTGTTATTTAAATCTCCTCAGCTCCTGCATTTGGATACCCCATGCATATTTTACATCATGGGAGAGCACTGCCAAAATCACCGTGTGATTTTGACTTCCCACTACTGCGAGGTCATAAAATCACGGGGTAAGGTAGAGCGTACATCAGGCCGGGTCCCTCAAAAACAATGACCTGGAGAGCCTGTCCTGCTGACTCTCAATGGGCATGTAGCCGGAATGAGAAATACACTTTTTGTTGTTGCTCAGTTACCGATACTTTAAGGTTGTTTATTACTGCTGTGTATTTAAAGCTGATATATTTTGTGGTGTGCACAGAACAGTCAGGGTTTGTTCCTAGCATAATTATGAACAGTGGATCCTCCCATTCACAAAAGTATCTTGGTTTGAACCACCACCCCGAGTATACCTGAGTCTATCATGACAAAAACCACTTCCCTACTACTAGAGGAAATGATCAAATGAATGAAAAGTGCTCAATCAATCCAAATAAAGCAAAAGAGAAGAGAAAAAGCAATATACAAAAGAAGAAAATATAAAAAATAATGATAGGAATAAATCTAAATAAATCCTTAAATACAATTAGTGCAAATAGACTAAATACTCTAATAAAAGTCTGAAATTATCAAACTGGATTAAGAAAAAATGAAAGCTATAAGCCATTTTGAAGAGACAATTAAAACCATAAAAATACAAAAGGTAGAAAACAAAAGGATGAAAAAATCTATACCAGAAAAATATTTGTGAAAACTTAAAAAGCTGTTTTAATTGTATTGAAAGAGTATAGACCTGACAAAGTAATGAGATATTGATAAACTGCCATTCAGAAAGATGATATAACAAATTTAAACTTGTATAAACTTAATAACACAGACTTAAATATATAATGCCAACATTCATTTAATTTAAAGGATCAATGCACAAATCCACAAAATCCACAATCATAGTAGATTTTTACCCATACTCTATAATAATTGATAGAAAAGTATATTTCAAAAATTAGAATATTTGAACAGCATAATTAGTAAGACTAATTTAAAAGAAATCCATAGAACAGTGCTTTTAACAACAAAAGAATACATACATGTAGCACCAAGCACACATGGGTTTTAAGATGCAACAGTAAGATAGTTCATCCACATATTAGCCCATTATGCAAACTTTGACAAATCTCTTCAGGTTGTATTTTAGAAAATACATGTTTTTGGCCACCATGAAGTAAAATCAAAAATTAATAGTGAATAAATAGGTACTATTGAAAACATATACAGACAGTCTCTGACTTATGATGGTTCAGCTTACAATTTTTCAACTTTATCATGTGTTTATTGTGGGATGTAGCCCCCATGATAAGTTGAGGAACAGCTAGCTAGAGAAATATGTTTTTGGAAATTAGGAATAACACTTCTAAGTACCTCACAGGTCAGAGAAAAAAATTGCTGTGAAATTTTAAAAATATTGAAAGTTGAATTATGTCAATAACAATCACTTATATAGCATTTACCATGTGCAAGCAGTGCTCTATGATTTGTATATATATTAAATTATTAAACTTTAATGATAATTATAAAGTAGGTAAAATCCATTTTACTGAGACATAAAGTGATTAAAGATTTTGTATGAAAAGCAGCAATACAGTAATTAGAAGAGATAATTATATATAAATAAATGCACTCCCATTAATTAAAACTCTTAGACAAAGTAGAGGCCGGGCGCGGTGGCTCAAGCCTGTAATCCCAGCACTTTGGGAGGCCGAGGCGGGCGGATCACGAGGTCAGGAGATCGAGACCATCCTGGCTAACACGGTGAAACCCCGTCTCTACTAAAAATACAAAAAAATTAGCCGGGCGTGGTAGCGGGCACCTGTAGTCCCAGGTACTCGGGAGGCTGAGGCAGGAGAAAGGCGTGAACCCGGGAGGCAGAGCTTGCAGTGAGCCGAGATTGCGCCACCGCACTCCAGCCTGGGCAACAGAGCGAGACTCCGTCTCAAAAAAAAAAAAAAAAAAAAAAGACAAAGTAGAAAATCTTTGAAAACTGTACAACAGCTCAAAATGACAGAAATAAATAAACTATCTGATTAGTCATACACACATAAAAGAAAAGGAATTAGTAAATAAATATCTTCTCACAAAGAAAAATTCTAGCACAATGGTTTGAACAGCGAGTTCTATGAAACAGGCAAGAAAAAATAATCTCTATTTTATACAGACTCTCTCAGAGGAAGAAGAAGAGGAAAGGGGGAGATGAGGAGGAGGAGGAGAAGAAAAGAAGTTTTCTTCAATTTGCTTTACAAGTCTGACAAATCTTGATATCAAACATAACAGGGTTGGTCTGAAAGAAAAAAGCTGTAAGTGCATCTCACTTATGGACATAGATGCCGAAATCATAATAAAATATTATCAAACTAAATACAGGAAATACAAAAATCATAATACATCATAACAAGTTGTTTTTCCCAGGAATAAAATGTTTGTTTAATATTGAAAAAATTAGTCCATGATAATTCACCAGATTAACAGATTCTTGGAAAACATTATGTCATCTCAGCAGATGTCAAATAATTCATTAGGAAATTGATTATCCCTTTATTATATACATATTTTATAATAATTATATGTTATATATAAAATTATAATATCCTCATATTCTATTAAGGTATATTGAATTTTTTTATATGCCTATAGTAGATACAATGATCACCTCACAAAGTTGTTCACATCCTAATCCCTGGAAACTGAATGTTGCCCTACCTGGGAAAAGCCACTTTGCAGGCATGCTTAAGGTGGGAACCTTGAGATGGAATATCCTGGATTACCCTGGAGAGCCTTACCTTCGAAGTGGAAACTCTCCAGGTTGTGGGAGGATGGCCAGAGAACCAGAGACACGGCTGCGTGGAAGTGGTCATGAGGCAAGAAATGTGGAAGGGTCCTAGAAGGTGAAAAGTCAGGGCAACAGAGTCTCTTTTAGACCTCCAGAAAGGAACGTGGTCCTGCCAACATCTTGATTTTAGCCAGTGAGACCTGTGTAAGATTATAACCAACAGAAATATAAGGTGATAAATCTGTGCTGTTTTAAGCCACTAAATAAATGTATGGTAATTTGTGATAGCAGTACTATTTCTTTGATTACTAATTAGCCTGCAGGATTTTTATTTAATTTTCATCTGCTTACGTTTTCGCTTTTGTGCATGATCTGTTCATAGCCTTTGCCCATTTTTTAAAAATCACTGTGGTCTCTTTATTTATATTAACACTTTTTACACTGAGGTACTAACTCGTAGGTGCCACACTTGTTACTTTGCCAAATTAGTGTTTATGTTTTAACATCAATTATCATATTAATTTTCTATGGGATTTTAACAATTTTTACATAGTAAAATCAAGGAAACTCCTTGTTTCTGCCCCTGGTGACATGCTTAGTAATCTTGAATTCATCCAAAGATGAAATAAATACTTAAAATTCGTCTCAGAACATTACTGGGTATTTTTTATTTAATATTTTGATTTAGTTCTTTTTTTAAATCAGTAGTGTAATTGCCATCTATATTTATCTTTTTCAAAAAATTAGCCAGTCAGGCCAGACAGGGTGGCTCACGCCTGTAATCCCAGCACTTTGGGAAGCTGAGGTGGACGGATCACCTGAGGTCAGGAGTTCGAGACCAGCCTGGCCAACATGGCGAAACCCCATCTCTATGAAAAACACAAAAGTTAGCTGGGCATGGTGGTGGGTACCTGTAATCCCAGCTACTGGGGAGGCTGAGGCAGGAGAATCACCAACTCAGGAGGTGGAGGTTGCAGTGAGCCGAGATTGTGCCATTGTATTTCCAGGCTGGATGATAAGAGTGAGACTCCATCACACACACACACACGCACACACACACACACACAAAGCTAGTCATATAAATATAATATTTTCAACAAATATCAACAAATATCCTTTCTGTACCAATTTGTAATGTCAAGTTTATCAAATTCTTTATGCTGTCCCTGCATTTTTAATTTTGTTTGGTGGACATGTCTGTTAATCCTAGTACATATACTGTTTTGATTATTTTAACCTTACCTCATATTCTTTGGTCTGCTAATACAAATTCCCCCTCATCCTCATTAGTCATCTTTTCAAAAATATTCCTAGTAATTCTCAAGTGTATACCTGCAGGTAAACTTCAGAATCATTTTGTGAAGTTAAAAAACCTGTCGAAATGTAAGATGATGTTACACTAAATGTGGAGTAATTTAACGATTTCTTCTATCCAGAATCATGAGACATAATACAAAATTAAGAAGAAAACATATCCAAAAAGTTTTAGCATTGCACTTATAGTTTCTACATTTTCAGTTGTTTTCCTATAGCTATTAATTAATTGCTGAAATTGTATGATTTTTTCATTACATTCTCAGTCACGTTATTAAACGTCTACTACTTTATTACTTTTTGAAGATCTACTCTATAACGGAGTATCTTCCTGAACTCTCATATTATTTGTAATAATTTTAAGTTATTTCCCTTAAGTTGGATGAGGTCATATATTATTTTAATTAAAATTAATTAAAAACTAGATTGCCTCAAATAAATCTCATTTCTTCTTTTTTTCCCCAAACTTCATTATTTATATAATTTACTTAGCACTTAAAATATACTGCAGTATATATTTAACTTAATACATAGGCAGAATGAAACCTTTATTAGAGCAGATTTACCTGCCCCATTGGTTCACTATCATCCCAAAGCCTTATGCATTTTTGTCATCCATAAAATTGATCTTGATATTTAGTGTCAAAGTTAAGATAGTGCAAAAAGTTTTTAAGTGTTTGCAAGATTCTAAAATTCAGAATCTACAAAAATCTAGAATGTTTATTTTTTCTGACCTGTAGACTTGTTTATCAAATAAGTATCATTTTATTCTCCTCTCAGTGTTTATTGTTTGTTTGTCTTGTTTGATTGCATGGGCAAGCATTTCTACAATGGTAGAACATGATAGAGGTGTGGGGATCATGCTGTTGTCTCAGGCTTCATGAGGACTTCTCAGGAATGGAGACTGCAGAGTCATGGGCAGCCTAAGGTAAGCGGCCTGGTGGCTGTATTCACTGAAAGGCCTAGGAGCAGAATTCTGCCTTTGAAATTGTTGAAAACTTTATCCCAAAGGCCAGCTATAGTTCTGATCTGTTTTTCTGGCTGATTTGGCAGCATCTTTCCCAGAGGTATCACTGCAATAAGCAGTGCTGGAGGGTACCTTGGAGCCCAGACCTGGAGCCAGAACAAGGTATAACTCCTGGCCAGACTGTCTCTAGCTGGAGGACCTCAGCCCCAGTGCCTAATCTTTTGATTTTGACTCTCTCCAACTATAGGATTGGAGAGAAAATGAAACCAACTATGTAGAGTGAAGGTGAAGAACAGGTCAAAGTATGCAAGGACCTGGATCAGGGCTTGGCACATCGTGTGTGTGTATTGAGTGTGCATATGTTTTACATGTAGCATAGATGGACACAGTGTGTGAATGTGAATATATTGTATATGTGTGTCTATATAGTATATGCAAGATAGCATTATGTGAATATACATAGTATGTGCATATATGTAGTATGTTCAGGAAAATAAATATATATATATCCATTTGAGAGATTTAAGAATCAATTATTTTACAGAAGAAAGGAGAAACTGGCCAGGCACTTTGGATCCCTTTGTTCAGACCTGTGTGGTCACCATGGGTCTGAGTGCAGCCGGTGCAGGAGCTCATGGTGAACCGCCACCTCCTCTGCTCTGTGTGTCCTCAGGGCAGCCAGAGACCTGAGCTGCAGGCTTGTTTTCTATTTCTAATCAGTAAAATTCCCTCTTACTTTTTCATTTTTTCTGGCTTTCATTATCTTTTTCTTGTTCTTTCTCTTTCTCTTTCTCTTGCAAACTCTCCCAAGGTGGAAAGCAGCTGTTACTGACGCCCAGGTGGGTATCTTCCCCCTGAGATGCAGTGAGGACGTGAGGCTGCGAGGATATGGCTGTCACAGGGTCCTTAGGATGTCACTTCTCCAGCAGGAAACCTCCATGATGGCTGGCGGTCCCTCTGCTTTGGTTTTGTTTGCTCCCACTGGGCTCATTCCACCCACTCGGCCTGGCAGGCTGTGCTTGGCTCTCGCTACCAGCCCAGATCCCACACCTGCCAAGGGTGAGCCAGGCATGGAGCAGCAAGGGGGTGTAAGACCGAGCAAGCACAGGTCCAGCCACTGCGCAGTGCCAGTGGGTGGGCAGCTCCTGGTACCAGCACAGATGCCAGCTCTGTGTGACGCTGCAACTGGACCAGGCGTATCGCAAACAGTTTCTACTGAAGGCGCCAGGGAACATGGTAGTGCCCAAAAGCTTGAAGATGCCAAAAACCACAGAACCCCAGAGAGGGTGTTACAGCATGTCACAGCTCAGGCTTGTGGAGCCCCAAGGTCTGGGATCCCAGAAGGGCTTCAGCTCTTCTCTCCTTTTTGCCACCTGAAGCGTGGTGAGCAGGGAGGTGTTTCCAGTGTTTGTGTGTTTCAGTCTGTTTGTGTTACAGCTCCTTCAGTCCTGCTATGCCTCCCCAGCCTGCAGCCGCTGGGCTGACCTGGCCCTGCTACTGCTTCCTGTCGTGTGGGGCAGCCACCCGGCACTGTTGGAGGGTGTGAGGACTATAGTGTTACAGCAGCTCTGGCTCAGGGAATCCTGAGGTCTGGGCCCCCAGAAGGGGTGCCACTCTTCACTCCCACAGTCCAGGAGCTTGTCATTGCCCACAGCTCAGCCAGCCATCCAGGAATGGGTAACAGCTCTTTTCGCTCCTGTTGTTCAGTAGGTCCCAAGTTCTTGTCCCATGTCCAGGAAGAATGAAGCTACATGGACAACTGGAGGTTGAGCAATGTGAGGAGGAGCTTTACTGAGTGACAGAACAGGTCTCAGCAGAGAGGGGACCTGAAGTGTGTAGCTCCTATCTGTAGACAGGTCACCCCTAAGAGTATAGAGACTCAAAGTGGCTAACTCCTATCCACAGGCAGGTCATCCCAAAGAGTGTAGTGGAGTCCAAATTTGGGTAGCTCCAATCTATGGGTGGGTTGTCCTGAAGAGTTTAGAAAAGTCTTGAAGTGGGTAGCTGCTATCTACAGGCAGATCATCCAGAGAGTTTAGAGGCATCCTGAAGTGGGTAGCTCCTATCCACAGGCAGGTTGTCCTGAAGAGTATAGAGGAGACTTGAAGTGGATAGCTCCCATCTGTGGGCAGTCATCCCTAAGAGTGTAGAGACTTGAAATGGGTAACTCCTCTCCACAGGCAGGTCATCCTGAAGAATGTAGAGGACTCCCAATGTGGGTAGCTCCAATCCATGTGCAGGTTTTCCTGAAGAATATAGAGAAGTCCCGATGTGGGTAGCTGCTATGTGTGGACAGGTTGTCCTGAAGAGTGTAGAGGAGACCAGAAATGGGTAGCTCCTATCCACAGGCAGGTCATCTCAAACAAAGTAGAGGAATCCTGAAGTGGGTGGCTCCTATCTGCAGTCAGGTCGTCCCAAAGAGCATGGAGTCTAGCTGAGTCAGGGATTTTTATGGATTCAGAAGTGAGGAAGTACGTGCTGATTGGTCCATGGGAAGCCATAGGTGGGCCTGGAAAAAGCACCATAAGTTCTCACTCCAGGACGCAGACTCTACCCAGAACCGGAAGCCTAGCCTCCAGGCTCCAGGTGGTTCCTGCCTTAAAGGTGGGGTTTCACCAGGGATCTGCCCTTTCCTGCCTAGGAACATCTCTGCCTCCCACAACCATCAACATGCCTTCTGCAGTGTCCAGGCTGTCCGTGCTGTGGGGTGCCTGCAGGCCACTGCTGAGCCACCTTGAGCCATCCCATCCTCTCTCCCTGAGCTCGCTGGCACCCAAAGTCTTCAGAGGAGGCCAAGGCAGAAGGGGGCTGGCATGTCAGCACTGCCCTAAACAGGCACACACCTGGCTGGGTTGCAACAGCACTCAGACTTGGCCACAACTTTGCTCTGCACTGGCTCATCACCTGTCTTCATGCAGGTGCTAGGAGTGGGGAGAGGCCAGGGAGCGGGAGCAGGCACTTCCAAGCCTGTGGGAGCAGGGGCTTCCCAGGCTCCTGAGAGTGCAGGGATGCCCAGGTCTAGAGCCACAGCTGGGTGGCTGCAGCTGTGCCCAGGAGTGTGGGGCTCCTGCACTGCTAACTCAGTAGGGGGAGGGGCTCCCACCTGCTCTCGGCCCCCACCAGCTCCACAGAGTATGCAGCCCTGGCCATGCCTCCCCCACTCAGCTGGCATCTCCACAGTGGCTGTTCCAGATGGGCTGCCACCACCATCACCACTGGGATGGGCTCGGCTGTCCCAGCGGGAAGGAAGCACTAGGAGCAGGAGGAGCAGTGCAGCTATGAGGGTGAGTTGGCAGGAACTGGGGTTCACTTGGGTGTCTCTGGGGGCTCACACTGGCCTTGGATGCTCTTCCCAGCATGAAGCAGGCATCCTGCAAGGGCTGCTGGACTGAGCTGAGGGGCCCCTTTAGTGCCAGCAGCTGGGCAGCCGGGCCGACCAGGACCAACATCGATTTCTAACGTCCTGCAGCTCCCGACCACAGACATGGGGCTGCCTTTGTCCAGTGCTCCATTTTGGACACTTTATGATTCTTAAGGGAATCTTAATGAAACAGTCCTGTGGGTCGCAGGAAGTGAAGGGGCCACGGGTCTCCACATTGTCATTTACCAACAATGAGGACTGCACAGACAAGGGGTAAAAAGCAACCACACAACGGGGTGCAAAAGAAGAGAAATGGCACGGAACACCAGTGTAGCCTCAACTCTTCATACCATGATGATTAACACACTTTCAGCTCTGCAGATTGTATGTGAGTACATGCTCACCTTCAACAGAAAGGTAGTCCCAAGCATGAAGACAGGTGATGAGCCAGGAAATAGAAATGGAAGGGACCCACCACCCTGCATGTGGAGATGAGATCCAGGGTGCACGTGCGTATCCTCAGGAAAGTAAAGCAAACTTTGCTGCTAGAACAGAACTGCATGTGGAAAATAGGAATCTATGGTCAATTCTCATCATTATCAACAAAAGTCAAGAGTATTTTTAAAAAGTCACCTTCTTTTTAAATCCACAGGGGTAGCAATCTAGACAATTCAAGAGTCTGGGTATATTAGACAAGTATATCCACCCTCAGGGAGTGGCGAGACACCAACTGACACCTGTGATCACCTGGTAAGATGTGGGCAGGAAGCCTGGTTAAAGACAAAGGTGATTAGATTCCAGCAGGAATGTCTGGAGACGTGGCAGGAAGGGCTGTCTGTGTAAACCTGTTTCCCTTTTTCACCTTTGGGTTTCATGGGCTTGTCCACAAATTGCATTGCCTGTAGAATTATCGAAAAGTCAAAATCAAATCTCTGGCAAAAATAAGCAATGATTTTGGATCACATATTAAATCAGAGCACACAAACTATTTCCCGACTCTCTGAGACATGCCCTGAGATGTCAGAGGCAGAGTCTACAACATCTCTCACGTCTGGCTTCACCCACCCCATCACAGCAACAGTCCTTCTGGGGCTTCAGCTACAGATTCTCTAAGTCTATAGAAAGATTAATGGGTCTTTGAATTAGACTCATTAAATAATCAATAAAATGAATAAAATATTTCCTAATAGTTTTCATGTATCTACATCCCTCAGAATTATTCGAAATACACAAAAAACATCCTCTCAGCAGCCTTTAGAAACTTTATGGGATACCCGAGGGTTTTCGGAATGTGCACCCTGTGGTTTATGTTAGGGAACCCGCTCCAGGGAAACGTGATCTGGACGGTTCCCAGGGACTGAGGGTGGCCACGTTCCAACACCAAGCTGTTACTGTAGGTAGCTAGTCAGACATGAGCAGGGCAGGACAGGGGCCCCCACCACCCCCAGGAATGTCAGGCGGCCATCAGGTGATGGTCAGGCAGCTGTTACACTGTCTCTCTAAAATAATAATTGGTCGCAGCCAGCGCTAGGGAAAGGCAGTCTCCCAATAGATACAAAAAAAACTGAAACGTAATCAGCACTTCCCAGTAAGATCTCAGGTTCTGGGTGAGTGGGCTCAAGCATGCATATTAAGAGACAAAATAGCAGCTTTTAACTGGTAAACGACCTTCTAGGAACATTGGACCGGTAGTGGAAGAACGCCTCGAAGTGAGTATGCGCACAACTCCAGTGAACACACTGCGCATGCTCCCCTCCCAAAGGCTGGCAGGCCCCAGCGCACGCAGACAGCCCCACCCACGCGAAAAATCGCGAGAAGGGACGCAGGACCCCGGAAGTACGCCAACATATAAAACCCCAAGTCAAAGGTCAAACTGCGCACTTGATCTCTCGAGTCACCTTCCTGGCTCCCTTCCAAGTGTATTTTACTTCCTTTGGTTCCTGCTTTAAAACCTTTTAATAAACATTCACTCCTGCTCTGAAACTTGCCTCGGTATCTCCTTCTACCTTACGCCTCCTTGGTCAAATTATTTCTTTGGAGGAGGCAAGAACTAAGGTTGCTGCAGACCTGTGAGAATGCGCCGCCGCTAACAAAACCAAACTGGGCACACGCGGTCTCCATGAATGCGTGCACGGGAGGTCGCTGCCTTATCCCCACTTCACAGATGGAGACTGGGAGGGACATAGTTTCGAATGGAGTAACAGTGAGGGGATGGAGAGGCCATAATTTACATACAGCTCTGTTTGACTCAGACGCCTGTGCTGGCCGCCCCTGTGCCTCTCCCCTGCTGGTGCCACGGTGGCTTCCGTGGACTGGGCTGATCCACGTCATGCCGTGGCCATGAGAAGTTCCGGGCTCCACGGCTCCTCTTGTGACACTCCTCCCTTTCCCTCCAGTCCTGTGCCCAGAAATGGCTTCTTGTTGTTGCAATGAGCTGTCAACTGTGTATTTTGTATTTTCAAAACACACTTTAAAATGTCTAAAATGGAAGCAAAGATATACTTACAAGCACTTAAATTTAATTAAGTGTCTTTAAGGGGCACAGTGAGACAAATACTGTAACATGACATTTTGCAAACCTGCACGAGTCAGAGACATAAAACTGTTTATAAGAGAAAAAGCTTAATGATTGGTGGTATGCTTATTTAAATGAAGAGTAATTCATAAAATCATACTTGTAAAAAACAGTCATACAAATTCATATTAAATCGTGATAAATGATCCGTCTTGATTAAAAAACCCAATTCTTAGAATCTGTATTTGAATAGAAGTTAAGGCAAGTGACAGAGAAAGACACAGGGAGACAGAGAAAGGATCCATGAATCAACAAATACAATAGGAAAGTCTGGCAGATTCGTCTAGGAATAAAAATAAGACATTTCTTAACCCTGGATTGATTGCTGACTTATTTTGAACCATCTTACTCTAAAACTGCAATTACTGCACAAATGAAGTGTTTCAGACACGAACACCTTCACAGGTATATTGAAAATATTAAAAGGATCTTATTAAAAGCCAAAAAATTAGGGCAGGTTCAGCTTCTTAAGACAGGTGTGCCTGCTAAGAAGTTTTCGCCAGACAGGTCTTCTCCAGTGTCTCTGGTTTGGGTATCAGGCTCCTTTTCTTTTCTTTTTTCTTTTTTTTTTTTTCTTTTTTCTTTTCTTTTCTTTCCTTTCCTTTTCTTTTCTCTTTTCCTTTTCTTTTCTTTTCTTTTTTCCTTTTTTTCTTTTTTCTTTTCCTTTTCTTTTTCTCTTTTCCTTTCTTTTTTTCTTTTTTGCTTTTCTTTTCTTTCTTTCTTTTTTTTTTTTGTGAGATGGAGTCTCGCTCTTTTTCCCAGGCTGGAGTGCAGTGGCAAAAACTTGGCTCACTGCAACCTCCACCTCCCAGGTTCAAGTGATTCTCCTGCCTTAGCCTCCAGAGTAGCTGGGATTACAGGCACCCACTACCACCCCCGGCTAATTTTTTGTATTTTTAGTAAAGATGGGGTTTCATCATGTTGGTCAGGCTGGTCTCGAACCCCTGACCTCAAGTGATCTGCCTGCCTCTGCTTCCCAAAGTGCTGGGATTACAGGCATGAGCCACTGCACCCAGCCCCAGGCTCGTTTCTTATAGTACTGCTGGACTACCTTCCAAGAAGTCAAATCTGACCTTCCCAGGCCTACTTGAAACTTGGCAGGTTTAAATTTGCTTTTGTTTAAAAAACAAAAATGAAAAATAGAAACAGAGAGGAATCCAACATGGGTTTAGAAATCCATATTCATATTGGTGTCCATCAGCCTCTAGGGTTGCTGGGTGCCTCCTGGGAGCTTCTGCGTCATTGTTCAGGACACAGCTTTTAAGCCGAACATGTCATTTCTTGTGTGTGCTGAAGACAGTGACCACCATGGCTCCCAGCACTCTCAGCGATGCTGACTTCTATCTTAAGAGTCAGATTGGATGAAATCTACTCAAAACACTTCATAATCATTTTGCTGTAGGATTCCCCAGTAACTCTCTACTCCTTTCCAGCATGACTTTGTGAACCAGCCCTTTTGATCTTCTGACAGCTTCCGACACTCTAATCCTATATTTAAACATATTTCTACATTGCATTGAACAGTTTGATTTAAATTTACCATAATCTAGATAGCCAAAGTCATCAACTCCCTCACTCTCTGTGATACGCCTGCCACTCGCGCTTTGAAAAATAAATAGAAATAAAAATGTTTAATGGAAACGACAATTACAACACATTTGAAAATGCTCGACAATTTAGCATCACAATAAGTGAACACTGAAGGCCTCTGCTTCCAAATGCCACCCTAATTAAAGGAGCGTTCCCTTTCAGTGCTCTTTTTTCACATGCAGAAGAGGCCTTATTCAAATGAGGGGAGACCTTTCACGCGGCTCTAATGGAGAGCTTAGCATAACGTGGGCTGCTTGGCCATGCAAATGGCAGCGAGCGCTTGGCGTGCGGGTGCAGATTACAGTTATCCTCTCCACACACCACAGAAGTCTTCACGCTCTGGAAATATTCTGCTTATCAGTAAGAAGCAATGATCAACACCTCACACCCCCAGCCCCGGAGAGACTCGGAGAGCGAGATCATCAATATTCAGATCGAGTCGGATTCTCACGCCGCCCGACTACTCATTTGCTTCTAAAGGGAAGGCTCACTGTATACTTCTTAATGTAAACATTTGACGACCACGTATCCAAGCCCAAATAGAATGATTAAAAGGTGGCTTCCCACAGAGACACTGAAAAGCAGCTGCTGTTATTGGCTCTGAAATTAGAAACAAAAAACGACAACAAAAAATCTTAGAAAAGCCTTTTGTCCTAGCTCCATGAAAGAATGCAAAAGTGGAGATTCTTAGAAATAAATAAATAAATAAAAATGGCAGTCGTTGAAAAGTAAACCTTCCTCTGCAAACACACGAAGCCACAGATGACATCGTCTTTTTGTTTGCTCTACGGAAGTTGTTTGCCTCTATGGTCCCATGGCGTGGCCCCAGCTCCTGACTGGAGAGGCATGGCAGATTCCGGGCCATCCAGCTATTCGCTAAAGAGGACAGTGGTGTTTCCATTCACTTTCAAACCAGGTCATGTATATCGTCCCAAAGGAGCAAGCCCCCACAAGTAGCGTGTGCCCGTGTACCCCAGGAAACAAGACAGTGGGCGCGCGCGTTAGAGGCCCTGTCTGGCTTTTGGCAAGTGGGAAGTTGGGAAGAAGGGCATTTGGCCAGATGAGGGACATGGCCGCCTGTGCTTTGTAGCCTGCTTTCAGGGGTCTATAATCAAGAGAAAAGATTCAAAAACAAAAACAACCTGCCTGTGGCCCATTCTTGCCCATTAGTATAAGAAGAGAAGGCACATCTGCCTCTAGAAGTCAACCCCGCAAGGGACCTAGGGTGAGCAGGGGCCAGGCACAGGGCTGAGTGGTTATCCCACAGGCACGTATCCACTGGCCAGCATCCTGCACCCTGCGTAGAAATCAAGTCAGAGTGCCAGGTGCAGCTTTTTAGAAAATGTATAGAATACATAGAAAAGAATAGACTAGAACGAAATAGAAAATAGCAGAAGCCATCACACTTAGCAAACTCAGGCTTTACAAACTTTCTATTTGTTTTACTCATTTTTATCTGTGTGTAGTGCTGTGTGCTCTGTAATGAGTGCATGGTGTGTGCTATGTTGTGAGCTGTATGATGTGTGCATCTGTGTGATGTGTTAGTGGTATGGGTGGTATAACTTACATATGTTGTGTAAGTGGTGTATGCTAGGTATGTGGCCTGTGTGATAAATGTATTGTGTGTAGAGGTGTGTGTACGATGTGGTGTGGTATTGTGGAGTATTTTGTGTGTGCACTGTTGTGGTTGTTTGTGAAGTATGCGTGGTATGTATGGAGTGTGTTGCATGTCTGGTATGTATGTTCTGTGTAGACAGTGTGTGGATTGTGTGTTGTGTGTATTGCATGCATGTGTGTGCACACACATGTACTTGCATGCCCGCACACTGGGAGGGGATATAAAAGCCTGAGAGCTGTGGGGGCTGAGGACTCAGGGCAGCTCAGGAGCAGACTGTCATGGGGCAGTTCGCTTTCCTGACAGGTGCTGGCCACACACCCGGATCCAAACTCTGAAGGCTCTGGGCCCCTATGTGCCCGTGTGAACAGCGTGGCCCTCACAGGCTTGGTGGAGGCAGAGTGCTCCGAGTCTCACAGCCTCTGATCTGTGTCTGCGCACACAGAACTCCACACTCACTGGGATCAGAGTCTTCCTGGGTTCCCAAGAGGGTGGTCACCTTCTGGGGACACAATTTGTAAACCTGGGGTGATGAGAAGAGAGAAGAACAGCATGTACCACAAAATCCACAGAAAAAAATGTAGCCATTGGAAAACATAGCATAACTGTCAGATGTAAATGGATGAGAAGTCTGAAAAACAAGGAGGCGATGAGGAGGACTGGACCCACCGGATAGCACGTGCATCACAGAGCCTCGGCACAGTGTCCAGAGAAACAGTGGAAGTCCATCAGCAGGACCCATCAAAAGGAGGCTTAGCCTAAGACAGAGAGGGCCTCCCACACCAGCGAATAAGACAGAGAGGGCATCAACACCAGTCAATAAGACAGAGAGGGCCTCCCACAACAGCGAAAAAGACAGCGAGGGCCTCCCACACCAGCGAATAAGACAGAGAGGGCCTCCCACACCAGCAAGGCATGAGGGAGAATCGGGCGGCCGGCCCCGTGGCGAGAGCTCTGCAAGCAGCCACGTAAAAAGGGTAAAATCTAGGTGAGTGGAAAGTTGATTATTAATAATTATAAAACTAGGAGAAGAAAACATGAGAAAACAATCCTTTCCAATTCCAACTTATATCCAAAAGTCAATTAAGAAATTAATAAATGTGATATGTAAAATTAAAAAAACTTCTTCATGGAAAAAATATCAGAAGGAAAAAAATGCATTCCACTGAGATTACTGACAAACAGCTTATTTTCCTGAGAAGTAAAGAATCCCCACCCATTTATTTAGAAAAGGTCAGCAGGCAATAATAATTGGACAAAGAAGATGAACAGAGAATTCCCAGAAAAGTCAATACGAACATCTCTTAGAAATATGGCAAGACCGTAGGCTCACTGATTTTTCACATAAAGAAGGAATGGCAGTGCCACCTCAGTGATATCATTGTCACCTGTGGATGGACGAGCTCTGAACTCCGGAAAGCACTGTGCAGGCTAACCTGCAGGAAGGCATTCTAACACCCCCAGGTAAGACTGACATGAGTGCAACTTGTCAGTTGCAAGTGAGGACTTCTCTTGTGGGCAACTTGGCAATGTCCATTGAAATTATAAATGCATGTGCATTTGGTCGAACAATTTTATTTAAATAATAGAAATCATGCATATGGAAAATGTCATCATTCATTTTAATATTAAAAATATAGTTTTTTTGTTTCTGATACTTAAAAAAATTGTTTCTAGCATTTTTTCTGATATTAGAAATTGTATATTAGATTACCATTACCCAAGTGTCCATCAACAATGACTGGGTTAAAAATGATTTTATTAAGGCTATATAGAGGAATACTACGTGGATGGACAAATGAACAAGAAGGCTGTTTCTGTACCGATGTGGAAAGAGCTCTCAGACATGCTGATAGTAACAGAGGCAAGAGGCAAGACATTGTGCAGTGAGCTTCTATTCACAAAATGGAAAGGCAGTGGGAGGAAAATATTTGTATTTGCTTATATTTGTGTAAAAGATGTTTGGAAACAACAGAAGAAATGAACATTTCCTGGGTGGATGAAGGATGAAGCAAAGTGGACCGGGAGATTCTTCATCGGGCATCTTTTTTTAACTTTTTGGTTTCTAAACGAAACTACCTATTAAAAAAAAAGGTATACATACATGTCTATCCATATAGGTACAGCAAAGATTTGGTACAGATACTTCTGCAGATATTTGCATATAAGTATGCGTGTATGTAACATGTATGACAACATGACGCATTGTGTGTGTGTATGTCAAGCATGTGGAACTAGCAAGCTACTTGAATGGTCCATAATGCAGGCCTGGAGTTCCCTGGGTCTCACCTGCGCAAAATATTAGGCAGGACAGAGTGTGGCTCCTCCTTTGCTGCAGATTCTATGAAATTTTGGAAATAAATGGGAAGAGAATTGTGGCTGTAGCCCCTAGTAATAGACAGTAGGGCTGTAGACATGAGAAATTCAGGACCAAATTCATGGTATTTTAGAGAAATGATCAATGAGATAAACTGACAGTTTATTGGGAAAATTCACTTTCACTTTTCTGTCTCTGACTGTCATGGTCCTATGCATTTGGATGCATTAAGTGGATACTGACTATATTACATTACTATGCATTATGTAGATACTGTATCTAGATTTATGTTAAACTTTATGCAATCCACCGATGGAATAAAAATTCACCACACTGGTATGGACCTGCGCATCTCTAGAGGTTTCCTTGCACTTTATGTAATAGACCTACACCCACTGTGTGATGGACTGGGCAGGTGCCATTGGGATGTGAACAGGACAATGTGGCCGGTCTTGCTGCCACCTGCACCCCCTGCACAGGTGCTGTATGGGCAAGATCAGGTGTCTGGGAGCAGAGTCGCATCCTCATGAGGCTCCGAGACATGCATTCTTGCTACCTCCATGGACTGTTGGCCAGGGGAATGGGTCTGCCTGTGAGGGATCCAGGGTCCCAAAGGTTTCTTTGTCCAGTACTACAAAGGCTCTTCCTGAGGCAGAGGGGCTAAGCCTCAGACTTGAGGACAAGCAGTAGCAGTGTGTTGTTAAGGTGAGTGGTCTGCAATGCCAAGAATGTTTTCTACACCTCCTGCCCACCACTCCACTCCACCATGCCCCAGGTCAAAGGTTCAATCCCAGGGCTTGCCATCTTCAGCCACCAGGACATGGCACCTTCTTGGGACTCAGTGGGATTGCTCCCCAAACTGCAGGATCCGGAGCTCCTCCAATGTGCCGCTGCAGCCTACCCCTGATGGCCCAGACCCAAAGACATCTTGACAACTGCCGGGGCCCTGGGGCTTTCTCCCAGGTGCTGCTCTAGAATACTGCAATCCCCCAGGAAACACAGCCCAGGCTGTGGTCCTCATTTTTATTTCCTAAAAGGCAAATTGTAGGAGCAGTTAACTCACCAGCATGCTGTTAAAGTGTTATTTATTTTTTCTAAAATAATGTCATAGTTTTCAAAAGCCTATTTTTTAAATTCAAATAAAGCTTAAGTTTCCAAAACTGCCTGAAAATTAAAATATTTCAAATGTACTCATTCAATCACAAAAATCTTCCCCAAATACCTAGTATTTTAGTATTCTCATTCTAATCAACTTATAATATCACATTTTAAATTCAAACTGCAGATTCAGTTTATACTTTCAATTATTAAAAGGCTTTCCTTTTTAGTTAATAATCTAACCTGTTCTGGAATGGAGGAGGTGAGGCACTAATTAACATAAAAAATTTAAAAAAATATTTATCCATCATGTTACCTAAAGCCATATTTTTGCTAGCCTCCCACTAATAAAGCAGGAGACTATAAAGCCGTCCTGAGTTTACTGGAATTAAAAGAGAAAACACAAGTCTGTGGTCCATACGTGTTTATCCCAAGGTGTCTGTGAAGTTGAGAAGGGGTCTCCAAACATGGCCTCAGAACCGTGACCCTGGAAAGCTCCAGCAGCATTGCTCTTACTCACACGTTTATTATTTAATGAATATTTCGGATTTGCAATGCAAATAAGACTTACAAAGCTGAGAATTATAATTTTGAAGCAATTACTCACATTATGAGTCATGAAACTGACATGGAGGATGTGCTACTTTAGTATTTTTCGGAAAAGCTACTGCAAGCCTTTTTTTTTTTTTTTTTTTTAACAAAGGAGCTGCTTAATCGCTTTCTGGAGTGTATACCCCCGTCCCCATGTTGCTTTTGAGATGGGTCTCTCTTCTGTTTCCATTCGACTCACAATCTGTGTTTAGAGTAAATCAAGAATGAAAAGAAAATTTACCTTCACAATGAAACTGCAATTTATTTCTTGAGAGCTTTGCCGGCTTCACAGACTTTCAATCTGTTTAACCACAGCTTCGTCTCGCTCCTCGGCATAATACATCTTTCCACCTAAGCACCCAGTATATAGCAAGCATTTCGCTCAGCATCGAGAGGGAATATTCATTTTCAACTGCAGAACGTCAGCTTCTAATGGATTTGGAACCACAGCAGCATGAGGATTCAAAAGTCTCTGCTTAAGTTCTGGGCTGAGCAGAGAGCTCAGTTGAAGATTGAGCACAACAGGCTTACTGTGGGCCGCGAAGGTTGTGGCAGTGTGCACGATGGCCGTGGTCTACACGCTTCCCAACAAGAGGTGTGCAGCCATGGTCGGCATATCTGAAAAGTCAGTCCTTGGACGGACTAGGGGAGGAACCAAGACATTATGTGTATGATAAAAGCAATGTGTTGCCCAAAACAAAAAGCACTGTTTCTTCACTCTGACAGTGTATTTTTTCTCATAAATAATACACGATGCATGGTAGAGTGATGTTATACTCTGAAAATCATCTTGACTCTCAGCAAATCACAGTAGGGACACTGAAATGGTTCCCGCAGTGGGGTGACAGAGGCAGCTCACAGCCCACGGCCGGAGGATGGCTATGCCTGGCTGTGCACAGTAAATGCCAGGGGCCTTTCCTGCAAGTCTCCCATCCACTTAGTGGGGAGCACAGATTCCATTTCATTTAATGATTTAGAAAAAGGCTCCTAAACAACAATTGATACCTTGTAAATAGCTAGTACATTGAATGTCTTTATTACTATTCTTCCTAAGCATTCAACTAATAAAACAGATGAATAAATAAAAGTGTATTCAGTGAGGTTCAAATAACCAGTGTTGAAATATTACATACGTGCTGATATATTGAATTTGAGAGGTTTTGCATGTCGAGTTACGTGGTGTAGGACCTGACTTGTAATTAATTCAAAGCCTCATTAAGGTTGGGAAGTTATTGCCTCATCTGTACCAGCTGTAGTCATGATTGATAACCTAGGAAAGGTGAACGGGTGCAAGCATCAACCTTACTCACAAAGTCAATAGAAAGAGCTAATTGGCTAAACCGAATTCATAGGCTTTACACAGTGGAATTTAGCTACTGTTTCAAAGTGCACGGTAACCTGTGACAACCACTGACTGTCAAGCAGCAGTCCCCTATCAGCCTGCGTCAGTGTGGTCACAGACTGGCCTTCTGTTTCTCCACACAGAACATGTTGCCCAGGGGGCCTTGGCTGCAGGCAGACTGCATGCTGCTCTTTTCCCTGATACCACCCTCTACTCCCTGGGAATTTGAATAAAAGATCAGAGAAACCTCAGAGGTCAGGGATCCACAGGGAAGAACATGGGATGGGGGAATGAAGAGGACACAGCCCAGAAGGCAGAGCAGGGCGCATCAGGTCTCTGAGGACCCAGACCTGCCAGGATAATGTTGTTGATTGAAGTCAGCACAGCTTCCTCTAAGAAGCTCCCAGACTCCGAACGTTGGTTCATCCTGACTCTGAGGTTGCTGTGGAGTAGCTGCATTTCAAGGTCACAGGTGGAAAAAACTGTATATGGGGATCGCATTCTCCAGCCTTGACATCCAGGTGGGGATCCCACTCTCCAGCCTTGACATCCAGGTGGGGATCCCACTCTCCAGCCTTGACATCCAGGTGGGGATCCCACTCTCCAGCCTTGACCTCCAGGTGGGGATCCCACTCTCCAGCCTTGACCTCCAGGTGGGGATCCCACTCTCCAGCCTTGACATCCAGGTGGGGATCCCACTCTCCAGCCTTGACCTCCAGGTGGGGATCCCACTCTCCAGCCTTGACCTCCAGGTGGGGATCCCACTCTCCAGCCTTGACATCCAGGTGGGGATCCCACTCTCCAGCCTTGACCTCCAGGTGGGGATCCCACTCTCCAGCCTTGACCTTTAGGTGGTGATCCCACTCTTCAGCCTTGATCTATAGATGGAAATCCCATTCTCCAGCCTTGATCTCCAGGTGGGGATCCCACTCTCCAGCCTTGAATTCCAGGTGGGGATCCCACTGTCCAACCTTGAACTTTAGGTGGTGATTCCACTCTCCAGCCTTGACCTTTAGGTGGGGATCCCACTGTCCAACCTTGACCTTTAGGTGGTGATTCCACTCTCCAGCCTTGACCTTTAGGTGGTGATCCCACTCTTCAGCCTTGATCTATAGATGGAAATCCCACTCTCCAGCCTTGATCTCCAGGAGGGGATCCCACTCTCCAGCCTTGAATTCCAGGTGGGGATCCCACTGTCCAACCTTGACCTTTAGGTGGTGATTCCACTCTCCAGCCTTGACCTTTAGGTGGTGATCCCACTCTTCAGCCTTGATCTATAGATGGAAATCCCACTCTCCAGCCTTGATCTCCAGGTGGGGATCACACTCTCCAGCCTTGAATTCCAGGTGGGGAATCCCACTGTCCAACCTTGATCTATAGATGGTGATCCCTCTCTCCAGCCTTGACCTATAGGTGGGGATCACACTCACTAGCCAGTCTTGACCTGTAGCTACACCAAACACATGGTACCATCCACAGGTCCCTGGCTGACCTGTCTCTGCAGAAAGATGATGGGGTCTTGCCCCCACTGCATACCCTCAGGTGCCTCGACTCTGGTCTCGCTGCAAGACACTCACCCTGTGCATCTTCCCACTCTCCTGCCAACCTCATCCCTGGCCTCTGCTGGCCCCACCCTGAGACTTTAATCCTGTAACTTCTTTCTAGGAACACACTCTGGAAGTGGGCACAGAACTTGCAGGCTGTAAACCTTCTTCACCATGTTTGACACTGACCCTGACTAAAGAACTTGAAAGGAGGCCTAGCGTGTCCTCATGGTTGACTGTGAAGGGAATTCCTCGTACACCTGTGGGCAAGTGGGGGCAGGTGGGGACAGGCTGGACCCCACCCAGCTGCAGGTGCAGTACGAGGACAAGGTGACTGCAGACCTGTGGGAGGGGCCACCGGTGCAGCTTTGGGAGCACATGCCTGTCAGTCCAGTGTTTCAGACACAAAAATGATGCCCAGGCTCCTGCAGGAAGCTGCATGTGGGATCTTTGCCTTGCATTTCGTGATGTAGAGTTCATCACAGGAGTGGGAAGGGGCATCCTTGCTGTGGCCAACCCCTGGCCCCAGCCCTCGCATTCCATTCCCTGGATGATGAGTCTTATTTCACAGTATTTCTGTTTCATGCAAATCTTCTATCAGGGTTGTAATTTGTTTAAAAGCAGAAGCAACATGGAAATGCACACTTGTATTTCCTGTGTCAAAACAGGCAAATAAACCTTTGGAAGTGGGCCTGATGGGGAAGAGCAAAGGGCACCCTGAGAGCAGTTGCCAGCCTCTCAGCAGTTGGAGGTAGGACAGAGAGGAAAAGGAGCAAAAACAAAGCTATGACTGCTGCCAGTTAAACACATTCCATAGGCCACATTCCAGCTAATTAAAATTCCTCATTATTGATTCTGATGTTCAGTGTGGACCCTGCTGTCCACGTGCCTATAAGTTTTCTGGGCCTTGTTTGTGTCGGGGAGATGTCCACAGACTCAGTGCCACATCACGTCTCAGCCACCGACCACACAGACGCCCACAGTGACCCAGCTCCTTACCGAAGGCACAGGATGAGGAGAAGGTGGATTTGAATAAAAGTATGTTGTTCTGACGGTAAACAGTTGACCCTCGTATTAGTCTGTTCAGTTTGCCATAACAAGTACCGTATATTGGGTGGCCTAAACAATGGGAATGTATTGTCACCATACACTGGGGCTTAAGAAGCAGAACTTCCTCTCTCATAGTTATCAAGGCCAGAAGTCCGGGATCAGGTTTTGGCAAGTCCTGAGCCTCTCTAGGGCATGGAGATGGTGACTTTTCCCTGTGTCCTCACAGTGGATCCCTCTGTGCTGCTCTGTGTCCTGATCTCTCTGTTTATGGGGACATCAGTCAGATGGGATGAGACACCACCCTAACAACCTCATTTTAACTTCAGTATCTCTTGGAAAGCGCTGTCTCCAGATAAGGTAACATTCTGAAGGACTGGGTGTCAGGACTTCCACCTATGAAGTGGGGAGGTGGGCACGACTCAGCACTTTTATAGAAAGTGGGAAGTTACCCATGGAGTGCCCACTTTTTGCTGGACAAATATTTCCCTTACTTCCAGAAGCTGCATTCACTTCCACTGAGGATCACTCTGTTTCCGAGGTCACCAGTTCACATGGACACATGGAAGTGTGAGGACACTCCCTGGCTGGACCGACAGGCTGCGCACATGACATCGCTCTCACAGGGGCCCGTCCTTGTGACTGAGGAGGTGGCCAGTGCCAGTTATCTTCCGTGTGTCCTATAAGCCCATTGAAATCTTAGTGAGCTGCTTGCAGTATGTACAGCCTGCCGGGGCTCAGAATCTGCCAGTGCTCCTATGAAAATCTAATACTGTGCTGATCTGAACTGAGGCAGAGCTCAGGTGCTTATGGTCACTCGCTGCAGAGCTCAGGTAGTGATGCTCACTCTCTACAGCGTCAGGTGGTGATGCTCACTCTCTGCAGTGTCAGGTGGTGATGCTCACTCTCTGCAGTGTCAGGTGGTAATGCTCACTCTCTGCGGCGTCAGGTAGTAATGCTCACTCTCTGCGGCGTCAGGTGGTGATGCTCACTCACTGCAGAGCTCAGGTAGTGATGCTCACTCTCTACAGTGTCAGGTGGGAATGCTCACTCTCTGCGGCGTCAGGTAGTAATGCTCACTCTCTGCGGCGTCAGGTGGTGATGCTCACTCTCTGTGGAGCTCAGGCAGCAATGCTCACTCGCTGCAGAGCTCAGGTAGTAATGCTCACTCTCTGCGGCGTCAGGTGGTAATGCTCACTCTTTGCGGAGCTCAGGTGGTAATGCTCACTCTTTGCGGAGCTCAGGTGGTAATGCTCACACTCCGCGGAGCTCACCTCCTGCTGTGAGGCCTGGTTTGTTACAGACCATGGTCGGGTACTGACCCATGGCCTGGGGGTTTGGGAGCCCTGCACTTGCACACAGCAGAGGCCCTCGGTGGCCTCTGGGAGCTGTGCTCAGATAGCCCCTGGGAGGGCTTCAGCCCTGGAGGGTGCTGGTGTCCCCCACCCTCCCCAGACAATGAAAATAACTAACCAGAAAATGGGAAGAGCACCCCACTGCATTGTGTTTCCAGGACTACTCAAGCATGCTTTTCAAAAATTATCGAATATCAAACTACTTCCAGAAAAGGTTTATTTCTGGTCCCCTGCTTGACTGTCACCTGGAACACACACGCAGTAGCCCTGCCAGCCGGCCGGCCTCATCATGCATGGGCTGCAGGGCGGCTGGTCGGCAGGACCTTGGGAGCTCGGGAGCCGGCAGAAGGTCGGCTTTCCACGACACAGCGAGGCCAAGAACCTGGTCCTCTCCATTGCGCGGAGGAGAACGGAATCCAAATCATGGACTAAGGCAGGCCCTGCAGACAGCACCCCCCTGCTCAACAGGGGGCCAGGAGGCACCCGCCACAGCCACAGCCTCCTCCTGGACCCGGAGCCCCACTGTCTATGCAGGCTGGCAGCAGATGCCCGTCCTTCGCCCATTTCCTTTGCCTCCACACCTGGCTCCCTCCCTACAGCGCATGCTGCCCTCTGCCTCGCAGCCTCCTGTCTCTTCTCGTCTCCCATCATCTGCCCATGGCTTCTGCTTGTCTTGTCGGCATGGATTTCCGGGGAATTCACCCTGGCAGGACCTGGGAGTGCAGTACAAGACGATGCTTTGAGGGTAGTGTGGCCAGGAGAGAGGAATGGATAACCGGTATGGGATCTCCAGCATCGCTGAAACTGGGGTGATATTGGAGATTGATGCTGAAACGTACCAGTGCTCTGGTGCCACTGTACATATATCGGGGAGACAGGCCAGTGGAGGGCCCTGCCCTGCCTCACCTCAAGCATGAAAGCAAGAGCAGAGCGGCTCATGTCGGGTGAGATGTCTGCTGACACCTCCAGCTTGGGCTCATTTTGCCTTGAGACTAAAGGAATGCTCAGAAGAGCAACTCAGGCAGGGCTGCAGGCATCCAGTACCCACTGGATGGGAGAGAGAATTTGCCTTTCATTCACTCATTCGATAAATAGTCCTGGGTGGCCTCTTTTCACTTACAAAAGCCCAATTTTGTCCCAAGAGGGACAAATCTGACCCCAGGCCATGATGCCAGGAATCCCAATTCATCCCTAAGGGGCAGCCCGGGGACCCTAGAACCCATTTTCCCCAGGAGCCTGTTGGAAAGCAAGAGTTATGGTGGCCCCAGACGGGCCAAAGAGGCAGCTTGGTTGCTGAGGCTAGGACCAGGGCCTTATCTTTTTCCTGATTCCCTGCTGTGGCCAGCAGGGCAGAAAGCAGATGGCAGGAGTGGGGTGTAGGGGTGGCGACACCCTGAACCTCTGTCAGGACCCTCACTCACAGTGTGGAGCCCACACTAGAACCAAGGTGCGCAAACAGCAGTTCTGGGGCCAGATGTCGCCTCTAACCTATTTTTGTATAGCTCCAAGCTCCAAGGAATGGTTTTGCGTTTTCAGGTGGTTCAGAAGAAAATCAAAACACAAGTCATGTTTTGTGGCATGTGAAAGCTACGTGGAGTCCAAACGTCAGAGTTTCTGAAGCTCAGCTGGCACACGGTCCGGGGTGCTCTTGCCTCCGTGTGGCTGGTGGCCTCCGGGTAACAGGGCAGAGGGCAGTCCCAGTGACATAGACCAGAGGACCAGCAGCCTACAATGCCGCCTGGCTCTTTATGGTCAATGTGTGCTAGCCCTGGTCTAGAATGTTCTCTCAATGCGTAGGTGCTTTGCTCAGAGCTGCAGGAACGTTGAACTGGATAGTACATAAATATGTTCTTTCTTGTATTCATTTTGTTAAAAAAATATATAAAATGTCAAAGATTTGAGTTTTAAAGATCTAAGTGGCTTCTATTAGTGATGAGTGGAACAGCAGCTTGCCTACAAAATAGAGGAAGACCCCCTGAGCAGGGCAGGACAATGGGCTTTTACAGGGCAGCCGCGGCCAAAAACCAGGAAATAGCAGCATGCAGACAGTACATCGGCTGTCTTCCGGTTACTTTCCTGGCCTGGGTTTAGGCAGAGGGGACTCCCTCTTACACTGGCTCTAGTGGACTGGGCACTTTCTGCCTGGCTGCTTCGAATGTCCTGGTGGGGCAGGGCCTTCTGTTAGGCTCCAATACCACATTTCAGAAGCATTTTGGTCACCTGTCTTTTTTATGGTTTGAGCAGCAGGCCTGGAAACTGTAGGGTTTCCCATGGGCAGCTCCTGGCCCAGCCACACACCTCCAGCAGCATCCTCACCCTTCTCTCTCTCAGGATGGGGCTTCAGGTTGGGCAGAGCAGGGTCACCCTTCAGTGCCAAAGAGTGGGGGTTCCTGGGGCAGGCCCAGAGATATGTGAAACAATGGCCCACTGTTCCTATCCCCAAATAATCAGGAATCGGTTCAGGGCATAAACACAAAGGTGATCTTCCGAAAATAAGCAGAACCCAGGAGCGAAGAGGAGAACTGAATGGTTTAGACCCACCATCTGGAGATGCAGGGCAGATGATGGAGATGTGTGACAGTTATGTTCAGTGCTCTGACTAAATCCGGGGAGAGGTGAGCAATTGAGCAATTGACAGCTCAGGACAACGACGGCAACAACAACAACAACAAAGAAACAATGAAGACATTCTCCAACATCTCTTGAGGAATGACACCCAAGATGCAGATAAATCCGAGCACAGTGCAGACAGCGTGCAGGCTTTGTGTCAAAGGCGTGTTTGCAGGGGTGTCTTTGCCACCGTGTGGAGATTCTGGTTGCCTGCACAGGAAGCCAACACCACGGATGACCCATTTCAAGGGGAAGGCAGGCAGGGTGGGAACTGGGAGACTTTCTACTAAGTCCATTAGAAAAGTATCTGGAACTTTGAGTGAATTATTTACTCAATAAAACCGAAAGTCAGTGGAACATGCTTTTCGTTGGTACTGGTTAAATCTTACGAGATCTGCTGTTTGTTTGTTTTTTTTTTCCTTTTTAAATTCGGAGAGAAAAGCATTGAATATGCCTAATACAGACCCAGATGTTCTCACAAAAGAGAGCACGGACTTGACTCTCCAGAGCAGGGTGGGGCCAGCAACACAGGACAGGAGTTAGGCACAGCCAGGGAAGGGGACTCAAAGGACACCCACCCTGGAGCCTCCCAGGTCTGCACACACCCACGCAGGAGGGCCTGAGGGGATGCTGGCTTCACGAGGCTCTGGAAGGAGCTCCGCTGCCAGCAGAGCTCCTTCTTACCAGCAGCAGAGACAGCTCTTCATGACCTGGATGTAAAAAGATGAACAGGCCCAAACACAAGGTGTGCCTTTTAACACGATGCCATCTGGGGAGACTCCTGGATAGCCATGTTAACACAAAAGTGGTTCTTTAATACCCTGATGCTAGTATGAACTAAACACTGGACACATGTCCTGACCTCCAGACCAGAGGCTGTAGCTTCATCAGAGGAGAAAGGCCCAAGTGGGGCAAAGTGGAACAGTCACACTCCTTCCCTACAAAGGGACAGATGGGCCCAGTGGTGGCTTATTTGATTCTGTAGACAGAAGATCAAGGCAGCCAGATGAGCATGGACATTTTCCCCAAAGTACAACCATGGCAGGGAGAAGCCACATTTATCTCAACTCAGAAAGAATCATGGAGCTGGGAGTGAGAAGCTGGAGAGGATGAAGGTGGAGGGAAAGAAGCTGAGGGGAGAATCTGGGAGTGAGCAGCTGGAGAGGGAGAAGGTGGAAAGGGAGAAGGTTGGGGTGGGGAGAAGCTGGGGAGGGAGAAGGTGGAGGTAAAGAAGCTGAGGGGAGAAGCTGGGAGCAAGAAGCAGGAGAGGGAGAAGGTGGAGAAGGGGAAGGTGGAAGGGAGAAGGTTGGGGAGAAGCTGGAGTGGGGAGAAGCTGGGGAGGGAGAAAGTGGAGGGGAAGAAGCTGAAGGGAGAAGCTGGGAGTGAGGAGCTGCAGAGAAGAAGCTGGGAAGAGAGGAGAGTGGGAAACACAGGAACAGACAATACCAGGCAGATTCTGCCCCTCCTCTGCTGAGGGCAAACACCAGATCTTTATGTCAACAGGAACAGGAAGTGTAGCATCTGTACACAGGGGATTGGAATTGCAAAGTAAGTAATAATTCATAAATCATATAATCACATAGTATACATTCTTGTATATCACATTTTATAAAGCATTTTAGAAATATAACATCTAATACATAATTAATTATAATACAATATGTTTAACTATATGTAATGTATTATTTTCTAAATATTAATATATTTGCTATATTAATATTTATGTTATTTTGAATATGTAATCAATTTAATTAAATATAACATGACAAGGTTAATTGCATATAATTATATCATAGAATGTATAAGTTATGAAAATAGAATAAATACATAAGTCAATTGCATTGGGTTTTGTTATGGGAAAATACATTATTTACAATTCCTTATTTTTTGCACAAAGTAGTAATAGCCACAGCTGGTGGGCAAGTTATAGGGAGTGAGAAAAGAGAATGCTGTTCAATTGAATTGCACCTGCTCCACAGAAATGAAATATACATAGATTAAGTGTTTTAATTTTTGTTATATAATAAAAATCTCATTTTTCCTTTTAATCTACTGGAAAGATATCACCATGGTTAACAGTTTTGCCACCTCGCATTTTGTCGGTAGTTGTGAAAAATGCAGTCTTGATGGCGTGCTGCTTCCGAATCCTGCAGAAAGGTGCAGATGCCCTGGGCTGGGGGAGAATGAAGCCCCCTGTACCAGGCGTAGGGCAAACATCAGGGTGGAGGTGTCAGCTGGGGAGCTGGCCCAGGTGTCTGTGGACAGGCTGCAATGGCAGGCATATGTGGAATAGACACCTGCACCATGTGTGCTCTGGGTTTTCCCCACGTTCTGAACAGGGCACAGCCTCTAGAGAGTGAAAGAGTGCAGGTGTCTTGTACTGAACAGGCCTAGCTCCTCCCGGCTCTGAGGTCCGCTAGCTCAGTGACCGATGCAGGTGACCAGCTCTCCAAGACCGTGGAAAGCAAAGATGAGGACGCCTTTCTAGAAGAGTTGTAGCAATGAAAATAATGGAAGCCACGCTTGCACTCAGAGGTTACCCTGCTCTGACCCAGGGCAGGTTCTCAGCGCTTCCATTCCTGGGGTGAAAGGATTGAGGGCTTCTGCAATCCAGGGAGGCCTGAGAGCATCTGCCTCCCACTGTTTAGCAGCAAAATTACCCAGGAGGCCCATCTGGGTCCACGGTGGGAAAATGGCGATAGTCAGACGCTCGTGGACACTGTGAGAGGTTCAATCATTCATTCATTCATTTCACAAGTGCCTAGTGAGGTCCTCGTGTCCCTGGAAATGCGTGCACAAAGATAGGGAGGGCTTGGCTCTTGTCCTCCAGCCTGGGAGACACAGCCATGTGCTGATAACAACAGGGAAGGCAGTAAATGCAGTTACAGAGGAATGTGCATTCAGGGAGCAAAACAGAAGATTCTGGTCTACCCCCGGCTCCCAGGGAAGGCTCCTGGACCCATCTGTCCTGAGCAGGGCCCTAAAGGCTGAGGAAGGGGAGCTGACAGGGAAGACAGGCTCTGGGCTACCAGCACCTACTCATGGCTGGGGGCTGGGACTGTCTGACATGGAGAAAGGGTCACTGGGCATTGCCACAGACTTGCTGGAGCAGCCTGAAGGCCCCAGAGCCACGCTGGCTGCACGTGCAGACCATGGACTCGCTGAGCACCTCCGCAAGGGCCTCCTGCCCACTTCTCTTTAGCTCCTTGGACCCAAGTCCTGGGAGGATGTCCCACAGGCTGGGTTTCCCGGGCAATGTGGAGATGGGGGCTTTCTCTTGGCAGCTCCCACAATGATGCACAAACATAAACAGAAGGAGGTGCAGTGATGGACAGCCAGAAAAGATCCAATTGTCCAATTCAGGGAAAATAGACACACTCCAGTTCTAACTCCAGGTACCTATGAACATGACTTCATTGGAAATGGATTTGTGGCAGATGTGATCAAGGTAAGATGAAGTCATCCTGGATTCAGGTGAGCCCTAAATCCAAGGGATGATGTCCTTATAAGAAGGCCCTGTGGCCCGGGCGCGGTGGCTTATGCCTGTAATCCCAGCACTTTGGGAGGCCGAGGCAGGCGGATCACAAGGTCTGGAGATCGAGACCATCCTGGCTAACACGGTGAAATCCCATCTCTACTAAAAATACAAAAAATTAGCCAGGCACGGTGGCAGGTGCCTGTGGTCCCAGCTACTTGGGAGGCTGAGGCAGGAGAATGGAGTGAACCCGAGAGGCGGAGCTTGCAGTGAGCCGAGATAGCACCACTGAAGTCCAGCCTGGGCGAAAGAGCGAGAATCCGTCTCAAAAAAAAAAAAAAAAAAGAAGGCCCTGTGGATTGGCAGGGATGCAGGGACACACCGGAAGCTGGCCACCTGATGGCAGAGGCTAGATAAGAATGGCTGTCTGCAAATCAAGGGTCCCAAGGGTCACGGGCAGAGCCAGCAGGTGGGAGAGGTGTGGCAGCTCCTCTCCCGGAGCCTCCAGAAGGAGCCAGTCCTGCCGGCCTGTGCACCCGTGGCCTCCCGCACAGACAGGATGCATGCCTCCCTGCTGTCTGAGCCACCCAGACTGTGGGTCCTGCTGCAGCAGCCACGGCACTCAACACTCAACAGAGTGAGGGGCATTCCAGCATGGGGAAGGCTGCGCAGAAGCCAGCACAGCCGCAGAAGCAGTCTGAAAAGCTGGTGGGGGAGGCCTCTGGTGCCCACCCGGGCCCCTCCTGGGGGCGGAGGAAGAAGAGAAGGTGACAGGTCAGGGAGACGCTGGAGCAGCCACTGTCTGGGGACATCGAAGGGTGGGTGGGCAGAGGGGAGTTGGTCAGGCAGGACCTAAGGGTCCGTGTACTCAGCAGCCACAGCGCAGGGCCAGGAAAATCCCACTGTTGCTGGAGGCACTGGGAGGAGGGCCGATAAGCATCTCAGTGCAATGAGAACAAAGATTCTAAAAGAGTGAGACATGGTGCTGGGGGGAGCAAGTACCCAGATGGCCCCACCCCAGGGACACAGGTGTGCTTCAGGGCGGCAGTCTCCCCAGCAGCACACATGTGTTCAATGCCTTCCCCATCTCTGGGATCTTGTCACTGGAGGCCAGGAAGTCCTCCCCGAGGATGCTGCACATTGGCCAGCTTCTCCCAATCCCCAGCTGCCTCTACGAAGGAAAGATGGGCCCCTGAGTGGCTGGCCAGGTCTGGCGGACTGATAGAAGGGCCTGAGCATCCATACAGGAATTTGGCTCACGGGGCCCAGAGCCGGGGGCGCGGCATCCTTGACAGTTTTCTTCTGGGAGGAGTCAGAGCCCACCTGAGGCTGCTGTCTGAGCCCAGAGAAGGAAGGGGCACCGGTGACTACACACCAGGGGTGGAGTCAGCAACTCCACAGGAATAACTTCGCCTAATCTCATGCTTACGACACCCGTGAGATGCCATGTTAAAGAAGAGGAAATGAAGCTCCAGTCTAACTCCCCGATGCCCTGCTATCAGAAGCCAGCAGAGCTGGGGTCCACAAGGGTCTGGCCACGCATCCATGGAGTCTGAGCGAACATTGCCCCCACAAGACAGCACCCGCGACCCCTCAGTGGGAAGGAGTCCCTGGACGTGTAGCTTCAGCAAACGCCCATGCACCCTGAGAATCGGGAAAGGAAGCTGATCTCCCAGCCGCAGTGGCCAGTGCTCGCTGTGGGACATTGCTGAGTGCTTGACCTCAGTGACCTGCCCACCCCCTGGCAATCCAGGGAAGCCGTGAGTGTTATTGTGCCCATTTTCAGATGCTGAAACTGAACCCTGGAGAGGGGACCTCGCTTGCCTACAAGAAGAAGGTGGGCAGAGAACAGGGCAGAGGCCGGAGCCTGCGTGGTGAGAGCCCTGGCTGCGGAGTTCTCTGAGATGAAGACCTAGGCTGCGGGTGGCAGGAGTGGCAGCTCCTAGGGCCGGGGGACACGGTCCAGCACCACTGTCCTCACCTTCTTCACCTATGGGAGCCAAGGCAGAAAGAAGAGCGAGGATAAGAAGGGTGAAGATTTTCCAGTAAATGGGAAATAATTTTCCAGACCCTCCGGCCTCTCCCCTGCTCCTCTGCCCATGGCTCCTCTAGGGCCTTCAGGTGTGGATCAAATTACTCCTGTGGGACCCTCCTGGGGGGTAAGGGTGCGGGGCATGGGCCAGCCCCACTCAGCAGAGAGAGAGAGAGTGAGGGACAGGTGAGGGGAGAGGCTGCGCCAAGGGGCCCTGCTGTCCCGCTGAGGAGGGTAGGTCCAGCCCCTGAGGTCCCCGTGCTTTCTGAGCTTGTGATCTCCAGTTCCTCCCCAGCCCCTCTGGGTTTGCGGCATGGGCACCTTCCAGCCTTCACTGAGGCCAGGGTCCCCTTCCCTAAGAGCCTGCTCTCACCCTTATGCCACTGCTAGGATTTCCAGGGAAGAAGAGGGGACCTGGTGGGAAAAGAGAAGGCTGGTCAAGAGGAGGCAGTGAGGTGGGCAGAGGAGCAGATGGCAGCACAGGCAGCACCCACTGCGGAGCCCAGCCCACACCTGCAGGCACTCTGGGAACTTCACTCCCTCCACCTCCATCCCGAGCTGGGACCCTCACTCCCTCCACCTCCATCCCGAGCTGGGACCCTCACTCCCTCCACTCCACATCCATCCCAAGCTGGGACCCTCACTCCCTCCACATCCATCCCAAGCTGGGACCCTCACTCCCTCCACCTCCATCCCGAGCTGGGACCCACACTCCCTCCACCTCCATCCCGAGCTGGGACCCACACTCCCTCCACCTCCATCCCGAGCTGGGACCCACACTCCCTCCACCTCCATCCCGAGCTGGGACACTCACTCCCTCCACCTCCATCCCGAGCTGGGACCCTCACTCCTTCCACCTCCATCCTGAGCTGGGACCCTCACTCCCTCCACAACCATCCTGAGACCTCCAGGCACGTGGCCCCGCCAATGCTTTCCTGAATCCACTTGGTCTGTTGGGTGATAAGTGTTGGAGGGGGTTGTTTCTATGCCTTGCAGACCTCCAACCCCTCTGGTTCCCTGTCCAACTCCCCGCTGGGGTGCTGAAGAACCCTTGCTGTGGGGGCCATGGGACCGTGGCTCAGTCAGCCCTGGGATCTCTTTATGCAGTCCGCTTCAAGTCTGAGGCATCAATAAGACTTTCTCGGGAGCTTTTCTTTCTTAAAGCGGTTAATGTTGCTTAAGTGTAAACCTACACCTGGGGTCATCAGCAGGGAACAAAGAGGGCTGTCACCAACGTCAGAATGCTCCAAGAAGGGGCAATTCTAAATTCTGCTCTCAAGAACAGAAGAAACTTCCCCTTCTGAGTGTGCATGACAGAAGTCCCATGGAGAGAAAGGTGCGTGGGGACACTGGGTCTCCAGCCACCATCTGTCATCCAGCCTGTGAGTTTCGCTAGCCTGGGGAGCTGTCCCGCGAGTAAATCAGGAAAGACGAGTGAGTGGCTGTCCAGCCGGCCTCCCGGCGGTCAGAAGATAGTTTCAGGAGCCTGTCAGGAAATTCTGTGGCCCCAGGCCCATGGCGACTTTTTATTTCCAAGCCTGTTATCGATTTTGTTGTGAAGAAAATAATTCGCTATTGTTGCTTAAGGTGTCAGAGGAATTAAAAAAAAAACACTCCATGTTTCATTTGCTAACAGATCTTGGTTCAAATTTGCCTTTTCATGACAAGGGCAGCGCAAGCTACAGGATGGAGGTGTTTACTACTGAAAGGTACTGCCACCGTTATGAGACATGGCACGCTAATCGAAAACACAAGTAAACAGAAAATTAAATTTAAAAGCCTATAATTTAGTATCTTCCTTGCCAGGAGTGATGGCTTTCATTTACGCACGGGATCCGGAGCTATCCAGGGTCGGAGTGGCGGGGGCGGTCTCCAGGCCTCTTCTGAGGGCTGATGGAGCTGATTAATTTCTTGGAGCCAAGCTTTGTCTTCCCCAGCTCAGTGAACAACTTCATTTCAGCTGATGAGTTCAAGTAGGGGTCAGAACAATCCTCATTTCTGACAGCCCCATGAAATGGGAATTAATTTTATGAGTTAGTGGCACTGCGCTTTAAACGAAGCTGGAAATAGAGAAGTTAACATAAGCAGCCAGGACAAAATCTGTGTGCAAATGCTCCACTTGATTAAAACTGGGGAAAATATTTAACAAGGTACTGGGGGCCCGGTATGAGAGGGTTCAAAGAATCAGAAACGTGCCAACGGGCCCTCTACCTTTGGTAAATACCAGAGGCACTTTACTGAACTTTTGTTCTTAGGTTTTGACATGAAAAAACTCTAAAAGAGGGCAGAAAAGGATCTCGGGGAAGATTAAACCATTGTGACCACAGCATTAAAAAATAACTAAAAAAAGCAAGCAAATCACATCAGATTTGGGTCAAATACTATTATAACAATTAGGACTGCAGCAAAGTGTCTTCTACAAATTCATCCAAACATTGGTTGAATGCCCATCAGTTGCCAGGCACCCAGGGTCCTCCAGAAGACGTGAGCACACTGTCGCACGTACACATAAGGCTCTGTTCTGGGCTGAATTGTGTCATGCCAAGTTCATGTGTGGAAGCCCTAACCCCCAGTACCTTAGCTTGTGGTGGTGTTTGGAGGTGGGGCCTTTAAAGAAATGATTAAGTTCAATGAGGTTGTTTGGGTGGGTCTTAATCCATTATGACTGGTGTCCTTAAAAGAAAAAGAAATGGAGACACAGGAAGGCACAGACGGACAAGCACAGGAGGACACAGAGAGGAGACACCATCTGTGAGCCAGAGAGAGAGGTCTCTGGAGGAATCAACCCATGACCTTGGGTGTCCAGGCTCCATAAATGGGAGAGAATGCATTTGTGTTGCTTAAGCCACTGCGTATGTTTGCCTTTGCCTTTGCTGTGGTCGCCCGAGTGAACCCATGCAGGCTTCTTCATTATAACCCACTCCCCCCATCTGTTTACTTTCAGAAATAATAATAACGGCTGGGCGCGGTGGCTTACGCCTGTAATCTGAGCACTTTGGGTGGCCAAGGCTGGTGGATCACCTGAGGTCAGGAGTTTGAGACCAGCCTGACCAACATGGTGAAACCCCGTCTCTACTAAAACTACAAAAATTAGCTGGGCGTGGTGGCAGGCGCCTGTAATTCTAGCAACTTGGGAGGCTGAGGCAAGAGAATTGCTTGAACCCGCTGGGAGATGGGGGTTGCAGTGAGCCGAGATCGTGCCACTGCACTCCAACCTGGGCGACAGAGTGACACTTTGTCTCAAAAAAAAAAAAAAAAGAAAGAAAGAATAACAACACAATACATCCCTGGTTCTGTGAATCTGGATCAATCCCAAGGAGGGCCTCTCAGTGGACGTTTCAGACTCTCGTCTCTGAAGCCTCTCTTCCCTCTGGCTCCTGTGTCCCCATTTGCTGGCTAGAAAGCCCGGGTATTAGAGGATTCCTTCCAGGCCGTGGTCTGAGGTCTCATTCGGAGTACTTCCATTCCAAGGGAAGCCAGTCTCGTACTCGGTCCTAAACCCACTCTACCGTCCAATGCACCCAGGTCACCCTGCCCCCACTGGCCCACCTCCTGCTCCCACTGTCCCCAGGGCCAGACAGATCCATCTGGGAAACAGAATCCCAAATGAGAAAGAGAGACTTAGCCATTTACCCAAGGCCATCAGCCTGGGAATGTTCCAGGCTTGGGACCTGGTGCCCTGACTCCCAAGCCACGCTCTGTTGCTCCATCACCCTCCATAAACAAACACGTGGCTGGATGTCCAGGCAGGCAGAAGAGGAGCTCACCAGCTGGGTGGGGCCCAAGGATGCTGTAGGGTGGAGAGAGTTAAACCCCTTTCCAAGTCCTTCAACCACCATGAGAAAGGAAGGGACCTGTTTTTTCCCAAAACTCTGACTCAGAAAGGCCCAGAGGCAGGAGGACATCTCTGAGTGTGAAGAGAGGTTGAGACTTGCCCAGGAATGGGCACAGAAGGCAGCTGGTGCAGGCGATTAAGAGCAGCATCTCCATTCTTCTGCTCCCTGTGAGTCCGCATCACCTCAGCCCACTTGTGAAGTGTGATGCCAGATCCAATGTCTATGCACATCTGGCCGTCCCAAAGTGAAAGCAGGGTGTCATTTTCAAAAGCTAAGAATTTAGGACAGGAATCTTTCCTGGTCACTATATTAGTGGGAAGTCTTAAAATCATTGGTGAAGAGCTCATACCTTCAATAATTCTCATGGCCTATTTGAATGAATGGCTCTCTATAAAGCGCTAACTTGGTCAGTTAAAATAATCTCAGCAAGGGAAAAAATCTCAACCCTAACTAGAATAAGCCTCTAGAAAATCTGACTCAGATCATAAGAAGCACAGATGCTGGTTGCCTGGGCTCCACCCCTGTGAGTCCTGAAAGTCTGAGTGTGGGGTGGGGGTCCTCAGTGTGTCTTCATCCACACTTGTGGGGCCAGAGACTCCCTTATTTCTCCCCAAAGCAAGCTTGCGTCTGCCTCTCAGCTGTCCGCAGAAGTCTGGCTTCCTCATCCCCTAACCAATTGTTGACAAGGCCAATGTGAATGTTACAATTGCTCTGTTATCTGTGGTGGTGCAGGCAGCAGAACCAGAATCATAGAGAATTTCAAACATGGAGCATTTGGGGGACAGAGACTATCTACTCAAGAGAACTGGGACCACCCAATCTAGAGAACTAGAATTACCCTAGTGAACTAGAAATACCTACTCTAGAGAACTAGGATGACCAACTCTAGAGAAATAAAATTACCCACTCTAGAGAACTGGGATTGCTCACTGTAGAGAACTAGGACTGCTCACTCTACAAAATTAGGATTACCACTCTAGAGAACTAGGATAACCCACTCTAGAGAAATAGGATTCCCACTCTAGAGAACTAGGATTACCCACTCTAGAGAAATAGGATTACCCACTCTAGAGAAATAGGATTCCCACTCTAGACAACTAAGATTACCCACTCTAGAGAACTAAGATTACCCACTCTAGAGAACTGGGATTGCCCACTCTAAAGAACTAGGACTGCTTGCTCTAGAGAACTGGGATTACCCACTCCAGAGAACTAAGATTACCCACTCTAGAGAGCAAGGCTTACCCACTCTAGCGTACTAGGATTACCCACTTGAGAAAACTGTGACTACATACTCTAAAGGGCTGGGGCCACCCGCTCTGGAGAACTGGGACTATCTTCTCTGGAGATAGTCGAACATGGGCGGCATAGCCCAGCTTCAACTCTTAGCAAGTATACTGTATGTGCCTGTGAGTGTGTGTATGTGCTCATGTGTGTTTGTGCATGCATGTACGTGTGCTCCAGAGTATGTGCATGTGTACATATATATGCATCAGTGTGTGCACTTGTGTGGTTTTACGTGGGTGTGTATGCTCATGTGCGCACATATATGTGCATGTGTGTTTGTGTGGATACATGTGTGCACCAGAGTGTATGTGTGTGCTTGTGTGTACATATGTATGCTTGTGTGTGTGTACATGCATGCTCCCTGAAACACAGCTTCACCTGGATACAGACAGACCAGAGCAATAATCAATTACAGATCACAAACGTAAGTATTTTCAAAGGTAGGGTTAACACCACAGCAATGCTGCCCGCATTCATGTTTTCATCATTTCCCGGTGGCCTTGCGGCCTGTGCGTGGTGTGTAAGGTAGAGCGGCAGATGTCTTAAACTTGGACTTAGTAACGACGTTTGACAATCAAAGAAGCTTTAGGAAGCTGAGGCCCAGAAAGCGTTTTAAATTTTATGTTCCATAATGCGCTGCCGGCTGTTTATCGGCTCTAAGTTACTTGCTGTGCCACTTCCATTTTCCTGTCTTCTAATGTATGAGGTCAGCCACAGCCATCTCTATAGATTTCCACACAGACACAGAGATGGAATAAACACTGAAGACAACACAATGATGGGACAGGAGCCTGAGCAAAGACACCGAGATTCCACCATTCTATAGGTTCCTTGAGTCCATCTCCAGACAGGGACGTGGTAGGAGCCTTCTGCCCCAGAAGAGGCTCAGCCACATCAGGTCCTGTACGCAGCCTCTTCCCTCTTCACTCTTCCCAGTTCTGAGCCAGTGCCCGAGGAGAGGAGGGTCTCTTTCTCCTGAGATGTGAAACCAAGGGTCCAATCTGACGTGGTCATGAAGGTTGCACAGAGCTTTTCTTCACGAGAGGAGAGCGCATGCTGGACGCCTTCCAGCTCAGTTAATTGCATTCCAGCCGCCGTGGAGCCGCGATTGCAGCGTCAATGGTACATTGTGTCTCATGCGCTAGTAAGTCTCTTGAACAGCCTCCCCCCACCCTCAAAATGGCTTGATTTCAGGGGATGGTAAAGTGATTCTTCATAAGCATATTTCTTCGTTGCACTCTAAGAAGCTTGTGGAGGCCAGGAATAATAGAGCACAAAGGATCTGAGATTCTCAAAATTAAAAAAAGAAAGAAAAAGAAACTTGATTTCTGCAAAAAGGGTAACATGATCGCGCTTTAACGTTTAGGGTCAACGGAGAAAATTAGCCCTAATCCATGAGCCCGAGGTCTAAATAAATTAAACAGGTGTGAAAGAAATGGCATCAAAGGAAAGCAGGAATTTCAATAAAGAATCGTGACTTACCTGACGGAACCTCAGCAGCCTGCTCAGTACTCCTGGATACGGCGTCACCGGAGTAAGAGGCGTCTCGGAGTCCGCAGGATGGCAAAAGGAACAGAGGCTTTCAAATCTTGTTTCAGCTGAGGTCTCCTCACTTTTTCCTGGAAGCTCTTCCCTGCCCGCTCAGAGTCTTTCCACTCTGGGGCTTCTGCTTTGCTTATCTAACTCCACTGTCCTTTGGCGTGTCCGTTTTAAAATAGAAAACATCATCAACCACTGCCATCAATCAAGGACGAAATGCTCCGTGAATTCCCGGCGCAGCATTTGACAGGCGAGGAAACTGAGGCACGGTGATTTACAACCTATAATGAATGGGGCTGGGGTTCAAGGCCATGGACTCACTCCAGAGCTCATGACTTTAACCACCAAACAATTGTTTTCTCCCCTAAAAACCATATTTAATTTCTTTAGCTGAAACAACCGTTAAGTGGCCTTTGATTTCCATTTCCGTATTACTCATGGCTTCAAATCCGCTCTTAAGTCATTTCCAAGATTTGTGTGCTTCATTATTCCTGCAGCATCAGGGACCAAGGACAACATTAAAGGAAGACAAACGTATCACACACACACAGACACACATACACAAACACACACCAAAGGGATGCACACACACATACACACAGACACACACACACAGACACACACCATACAGGCATGCACACACAGACACACACACTCACACAGACACACACACACACAGACACACACCATAAGGCATGCACATACACACATATACACAGACACACATACACAGACACATACCATACAGGCATGCACACACACACAGACACACACACTCTCACATGCACAGACACACACCATACATGCACACACACAGACACACACACCGTACAGGTGCGCACACACAGACACTCACACATACACAGACACACACCATACAAGCATGCACACACACACACAGACACACACGCAGACACTCACACATAAACAGACACACACCATACAGGCATGCACACACACAGAGACACTCATGCAGACACTCACACACACAGACACACATCACACAGGCATGCACACACACACACACGGGCACATACATATATACCATACAGGCATGCACGCAGACACACAGACACACACAGACACATACACAGGCACATACACAGCATACAGGCACACACACATACACATACACACACATGCACACAGATACATACACAGACACAAACATAGACACAGACACATGCAGGCATACACAGACACACACAGACACAGACACACAGGCACACACACAGAGACACAAACACATAGACACATCCATATACACAGATAAACACACATACACACCACACACATGACACACACATCACAAACCACACAAATGCACACATCATACACACCACACACATCACACACCAGAGCTACCCAGGATTGCAGTTTGGTGAGGATGAGACCACCAGCTAGTGACCTGAAAGGCCTGCGTTAGGAGACAAGCAGGTGAGTGCTGGGCTGGTGAGTGCTGGGCGGGTGGATGCTGGGCTGGTGAGTGCTGGGCAGGTGGATGCTGGGCTGGTAAGTGCTGGGCTGGTGAGTGCTGGGCAGGTGGGTGCTGGGCTGGTGAGTGGGTGCTGGGCAGTTGAGTGAATGCTGAGCACTTGGGTGCTGGGCAGGTGAGTGAGTGCTGGACAAGTGAGTGAGTGCTCAGCAGGTGAGTGCTGGGCACATGAGTGAGTGCTAGGCAGGTGAGAGTGCTGAGCACTTGGGTGCTGGGCAGGTGAGAGAGTGCTGGGCAGGTGGGTGCTGGACAGGTGTGTGGTGGGCAGGTGAGTGCTGGGCAGCTGTGTGCTGGACAGCTGCCTGTTGAAAAGGGAGTATAGACTGCAAAGCTGGCCATATCCACGTGGAGTCAGAAGCCCTGGGGAGACGCTGGAGAGGTGATGGCCAGGCTCATGCTGGAAACCCACATGGTGGCAAGGCCACATCCAGGAGCCTCTTTTTCTTCTCACCTGCTGCTGGGGGGAGAGCAGAGACAAGGTCGTGGGGCAGGGGAGAGCCCACTGGCCATTTACATAAGAGAAGAGGGAGCATCCACCATCCATGGGCACCTGGACAGGGCAGACACCAAGTCCCACCTTGGAAACACAGCTTCCTGTCCTCTGAGAGCTGGCACCCAGCGCTTGGGGGCCATTGAAGGTAAGGTTTGGGCCAGCTGTGAGAGCTAATAGAATGGGGTACAGAGCAGACTGACCACCAGGCAAACTCAGGACTCACCCTGGACAGACGAAGGGTCCCAGTCTGGGAGGAAGAGCAGGGGCAGCTCAGGTAGAGGGGGAAAGACACACTCCAGGCTACCACCAGGAGGGACGGGAAGCGGACCGAGGGGAGCCTCCGCCCACACCCAGGCCCAGACAGGGTGTTCAAGGCAGTGTTCTGCCCGCCAGGAACAAAGGAGAAACCTCCCAACAATGGCACTCTCATGACTTTTTCAGAAAGCTAAGTATTGTTGGAGAGCATCTCCTTCCCGTAGTTTTTGGAATTACAATGTGCCCTTTCTTTTTACAGATAACAAATGTTCTTTTAAAACAATGTTTTTGCTGGACAAAATAAAAACATGTCAATACCATTTGGACTCCTAGATTATTATTGTTTTTAATGTGATGTATCATAAAATCTATACATTTCTTCTTACGGAAATTCTTCTTGCAAAATGTTTGAGAGTGAACAGAGAACTAGAGGGGTCAAGAGCGTCTGTGGATATTGTTTTCTAAGGTGGGAGGAGTCCGAGTGTGGATTAGGTGGAAGGGCTGAGCCAGTCGGGGAGATCTGGGACAAGAAAAAGGGGGGATTATTGATGAAACCTTCCCTCTAGAACACGCTCTGTAGCCTGTCCTTGCAAATAAGCAAGGATGCAGAAAAGACCCACCTTCCAACGTATATAATCAGGAGCAAAATAAATTAAAAACATTTTTTTCTTTCTTCCCCCAACCCCCCTGCAATGGATCCACCTCCCTAAGTGAATACTTATGTGCCTATGCCTGGGGCCATTTCTGTCAATGGGTGACAGCGAAATTATCCTAGCCCAGGGCACATTTTATTTACATAATTGTTCTTTGGGCAAATTCCTCCACTTTTCTGCAGAAACCCTGGCTCTTTTATTGACATCATTCTCAAACTCCCACTTCCCTTCTGTGGTTCATATCCCTGAAAATAATTATGAGCTTTGATATATAAGAAATTATTACCCACTGATTTAGATAATGAAATAATATAAACTGCAGCAAGATGTTCTATGATTCTTACATACTTCCTGCTGTCTCTAACATCATTTAATGATTTTTTGATTTTTGTTCTAAAGTAAAAAAAAAATACTTCAGATTTGAAACACAGCAGAGACATCAATGCTAGGAAGCAAAGAAGGCACTTTATCTTATTTTCTGCATAGTAGTGAAGCAAATTTAAAAAGAGAAAAATCTTCAAAGCCAGTATGCAATGATTGAATGTTTTAATGAGAATAAGACTTTTTTTTTTTTTTTTTGTGAGAAAGCGTACCCTGTTGGCAAAATTGGTCTATCAACTACTATTTCATGAAGCCAGTCTGATTGTCTTTGGAGAAACCTGTCTCGTTTATCAATTCATCTTTCTATCACCATTTTGTATCATCAAAATATATGTAAATAATAATTAAGAACTGTATATCAGGAGGAGAATAACCATTAAATACCCTTGGCATAATGTAATATTGTATATTTGATGAATAAATGGTGTTTCTCAAATTTTAACATAGCTTCTTCTAATGGTAAAAGTAACTCAGATTTATTGTAAAAAGTCACAGTGTTGAAACGTATAGGAAGAAGGTAAAAGATACTCATCAAATTGTCAGAGAGGGAAAACTTTTCCTCTTCCCTCTTGGGTTCAGTGACTAGAGTCCTGAAAATTTAACTGACAAAAGACAGATTAGTAGAAAAGAAATACAAAGTTTTAATGTTTTAGGTGCAAAAGAGTTCACAGAAAGGAAGTGAAGCTCAAAGAAGCAGTTAGGCTTGGGGGCTTATATACCATTTTACAAAGGAAAGGCGGCTCGGGCTTCAAGGGATGGAAATGGTGAGAAGGTGACTAGGAAATGTGTGGTGGAAGCTAAAGACAGCTGTGAGACTCCTCTCAGTGGGTCTCCAGTACTAAGGGTTGCTCTCCTCTCGCTGGGATGAGACAGGGACAACCTCACAGAGGGAGATTTATGCTCCTCTTTTAAGCAGAAAAGGGCAGAGAAGAGAACTCTGCCTGCATCTATTGAGTCTCAGGTGCCTTCAGATCCGCAGAATCCTCATGCCAAAGTGGCATACTTTGGGTTTGTATTCCGATCCCCCTTTCAGTTTCAAGTACAATAAATAGTCTCTTCTGAATTTTACCCGTTAAAGAAAAACAACATCACGCCTGTGATCCCAGCACTTTGGGAGGCTGAGATGGGCGGATCGTGAGGTCAGGAGATCAAGGCCATCCTGGCTAGCACGGTGAAACCCCGTCTCTACTAAAAATACAAAAAATTAGCCGCCGGGCGCAGTGGCGGGCGCCTGTAGTCCCAGCTACTCGGGAGGCTGAGGCAGGAGAATGAAAGGCGTGAACCCGGGAGGCAGAGCTCGCAGTGAACTGAGATTGCGCCACTGCACTCCATCCTGGGGGACAGAGCAAAAAAAAAAAAAAAAAAAAAAAAAAAAAAAGAGAGAAACAAAAACAACAACAAGCTATTATTGCACAGATGGTTTTCTAATGTTCCAAGAAGGCAAGGATTCTCATTTTCTGTCAGGGGTGTAAGTTGTTGCTGTGTAACAAATGACTCAACAAACTCAGTGACTACTAACAGACAAACATAAATAACAACTTACGATTTCTCTTTGGGCCTCTGGGCAGCTCTTTCTTCTGGCCTGGCTTGGCTAGTCTCTATGGTCAGCAGCACTCTGGCCAAGCTATCTGGATGTTCTGTGATGACTGCTGTCACATAGCTGGTTGCTCCACAGAGCCTAAGCTCTGTTGACTGAGCCCCACTCCACATGGCATCTTATTCTCTGGGGAAGTATCCCAGGTTTCTTCGCAGAGTGGTCACAGAGCTCTCAAAAGCAGACAGAGAATGTGAGCCCCAATGTGCAAGCTCTTTTTAAGCTTCTGCTTGAAGCATGTTTGTGTTATCCCATTGGTCAAAGCAAGTCCCAAGTCAGAATGATTGTGGGAAGGACCACCTAAGTGTGCGGATACAGAGGGGCATAGGTCATTGGGAGCCTTATTACAACAATCTACCACAACTTCCCTTTTACATCTTCCTGTACTTGAAATAAGTAAAGGTAGTTCTGTAGGTCACCTCTGCGATGTCATGATCTTCCCTTGGCAATCACTAGGAGTCCACTCCTAATGACTCTGCCACGCAGTTCATAGCCTTCCTCTCCATTCTGTATCCTGCCGTCATTGAGGGTGACTTGCAGACCCACAACCTAGTTTGTTGATTCTTACTCCACAAGCCTCTACCATCACCCCAGAGACCTTATTATCCCCTGGAATACTCCCCATACCAATACAGATGCAAGCCCCTGCTGTAGCTCTCACTCTGGACCTAGCTGGCCCTGATGGCTTATTTTCTTTCCCTGTTGAATCTATGCCATCACTTTAACCATCCCATTTCCAGTATCTTTAACCTCTTCTTACTCTTTATCCTGTCTCCATATTAGAAGTCTCTGAACTACAATCCGTTTAGTAATTTTCATCCTATTCTTCCCCACTTGCTTAAGAAGTCCACCCCGGTCGGGCTCAGTGGCTCACGCCTGTAATCCCAGAACTTTGGGAGGCCGAGATGGGCGAATCATGAGGTCAGGAGATCGAGCCCATCCTAGCTAACACAGTGAAACCCTGCCTCTCTAAAAATACAAAAAATTAGCCAGTAGTGGTGGTGGGCACTTGTAGTCCCAGCTACCCGGGAGGCTGAGGCAGGAGAATGGCATGAACCCAGGAGGCAGAGCTTGCAGTGAGCCGAGATCGTGCCACTGCTCTCCAGCCTGGGGGACAGAGGGAGACTCCGTCTCAAAAAAAAAAAAAAAGTTCACCCCATGTGGGCTGCCCTTCCTCACAAGGGCTGCTGCAGACCATCCCTGCAATCCTCACCTATCGTCCCAGCCCTTGCGAGATGTGTGCTATGCCCTAGACTTGAGAAAACTCAGCTACCAGGAGAGGATGCTTTATCTAAATATGCATTCATCAAAAAATGTGTCTTCTCACTCTTCCCTTCTTTCATTTAGGTGTTGGAATCCCATTGCTCACTCTGGACACTGGCTATTCTCTTTCAGGCTTTTTAAGTCATCTTGGAACTATCACGTCTCCACAGCTTTGTGTCTATGTATGAGAAGGTGCTTGATGTTTTCATTCTTTACACAAACTCAATTATGTATTATCTTAGAAACACAACTGCAAATCAAACAAACTCATGTTTTCCTCAGCTTCAACTCTCATTTTCTTTCGTCTTTACAGCTAAGTTCCTTAAAATAGCATATTGCTTAGTTTTCATTTCCTCTCCTCTCATTCACTTTTTAATTTGAAATGTAGGATGAATAAACACTCCTAGGAAGTGTGCCAATTGTGAATGTGTGTTGAACAAGTTGAGGAATTTGCATCTTTGAATGTGCTGTGTACTCACTACCCAGATCAATAAGAGATAAAAAATGTTCAGTCCCGGTTGTCCCTTCCCTGACCAAGGAGAGCCACTATTTTAACTTTTATCACAATAGATGAATTTTGCCTTTTATCAAGCTCCCTATAAACAGCCGTTTGCAGCAGATGAGTTTTTGTGTCTGGCTTTTATTGCTCAGCATCAGCTTTGTAGAAGTCATGGATGAAGCCATCGGAATTGGTACTTTACTCATTTTTGTTGTTGTGTAGTGTTATATTTTGTGACTATGCCACGATTTTTGCACATTTTCCTGGCGGTTTTTTTTTTTTAGTGTTATGAATAAAGTTTCTATGAACATCCTTTTATGCATGTTTTCATGGACATATATGTTATTTCTCTTGAGTCTATGCTTAGAAATGGAATGGCTGGTACATGGAGTAGAATTCTATTTAGGTAGTGTAGTTACATATGGTCAAACAACTCCAAAATGACTGAATAAACTTACCCACTAAAATTAGGGTGGGGAAATTTCATTTCCTCTACATCCCGGCCAACACTGGGTATTATCTCTCTTTTTCATTTTATCCATAATGGTGCATTTGCAGTAATATCTTATGATTGGTTTAATTTGCATGTCCTTGGTGATTAATGATACTGAGGACATCTTCATATATGTATTAGCTCTTTGATATCTTTATTTTATGCAGATCTCATTTAAGTCTCTCTCTCTTTTGTAACTGAGTTTTTAAACATCCTGCATATGAGTCCTCTGTCAGACATATTTATTGCAAATATTTCCTCCCAGTTGGTGGCTTAAAAATTTATTCTCTTATTACTGTCTTATGATAAACAGAAATTCTCAACTTTTTTCATACACATATCAAATTCACACAGAACAGTGATTAGAAAGGGCCATGCTGTTGAATTATGGTCTACTCTTCATTTATTTGTGTCCTTTAAAATTTCTCTCAGCTATGCTTTCCGGTTTTCAGTGTAAGAATCATGTATAACTTCTCTCAGATGAATTCATAGGTATTTCACGTTCTTTGATGCTAAGATCAAGGCTCAGCATAAGACCCATGAACCAAATTGAGCCTTGCACCTATTTTTATATGGCTTATGAGCTAAGAATAATTTTTTACATGAAAAATGTTATGGAATGACAGAAGAAAGAGAGTGAGAATATGCAACAGACATCCTATGTAGCCTGCAAAGCATACATTATCTACCTGGCCCTTTACACAGAAAAGTTAGCTGATCCCTGATATTTTATAAAAATGTGTTTCCCAATTTTTATCACTTGGATACAAAACACAGTTCATTTTCATATTGACTTTAATTCATTGACTTTGTTAAATTCACTTATTAATTTTAATAGCTTATAATTTATTTTGCGTTTACTACAAACACAGTCTTGGTAAATAAGGGGAGTAATCTTCTTTCCAATGTTACACCTTTTTATCTTGCCTTATTGAATTTGCTTGAATCTCTAGGACACTGTTGAATGGCTGGGAGGGGAGCACACATTTCAGAGGATTCCCAGTCTTAGGGAGCTTGTTACATCATTAAGCACAATGCTATCTACAGGATTCTTTGTTTTAACATCTTTTTTCTAATTTCAACTTTTATTTTATTTATTTATTTATTTTTGAGACAGACTCTCATTCTCTTGCCCAGGCTAGAGTGCAGTGCAGATTTGTTACATGAGACTATTGTGTGCTGCTGAGGTTTGGAGTATGGATCTTGTCACGCAGGTAGTGAGCTTAGTATCTGATAGGTAGTTTTTTAACCCACTCTCCTCCCTCCACTCTCTAGTACTACACAGTGCCCATTGTTCCTTCCATTCCTAAATTTCTGAAAGTTTTTCTTATGATCAGATATAGAATTTTATCAGATGCTTGCTTTATAGTCATTTAAAAATGATCATGCAGTTTTTCTTTTTTTTCTGTTAATATGATGAATCGCACTGATTAATTTTCAAGTGTTGAAGTAAACATACATTTCTTCAATAATCTTGGTTAGAATCCATTATCCATTTTGTATATTACTATTCTGTTTACTACTATTTTGTTCAGGGTTTTTGTTTCTATGTTTATAAAAGATATTGGTCTGTAATTGTGTTGTTGTTGTTTTAATGTTCTTGAGAGATTTTGATTTCAGGGCAATACCCATCTCATAAAATGAGTTTGGAATTATTTCTACACATAGGTTTTCAGAAAAAGTCTGGGTATGATCAGTTCTGTCTCTTATTTAAATATTCCAAAGAATTAACTCATGAAACTTGACGGGTCTGAAATGTTATGACTGGTCAGCTCTTTAATTATGGATTCAATATTGTAACCAGATATTGGATTTATCTGATTTTGTATTTATTCTTGTGTCAGTTTTGATATGACATATTTTTCCAGGAATTTGTCAATTTCAAAGAATGTGCATTTCACATGTATTAACACAAAGTTGTTTATAATATACTTATTGTCTTTTTGATGTTTGTACGATCTGTAATGACACATTGTCTTTATATCTAAAGTATACCTCTTGCAAACAGCAGATATTTGGATCTTATATTTTTTACCCAGCATAACTATCTTTGTAATTTAAATGGATTTTGTAATCCATTGATTTGGCATAATTACTTATATATTTTGATTTAAGTCAACAATCTGAATATTTCTTTTCAGTTTTGTTTGTCACTCCTTTGTCTTTGCCTTCTTTTGGCTTCATTTTTTATGTGAATTATATATATTTTATTAATACTTCAGTTATAGCTTTTAAGCATTCTTTTCATTCTTACCCCAGAAATTACTATATGCATTTTTTAATAATTGCTGTTTACATTAAATAAATGTAATTATTATTTCTTGACCTTTGGAGAAAAACTCACAACAGTTTAAGTTTACTTACTGTCTCCTGTCTTTGTGGTATTTTTGTCATATATTTTAGAGCTACAGGCTAACCTCTTCCAGTTACAGTAATCTGTTTTTCCTTTATGCAGTTAATATTATTATACACATTTACACACATATTTACCTTTTCCAGTGCTCTTTCGTCCTTTCTGAAGTTATGTGCTTCTATTTAGTATAATTGCTATTTACTCTGGAAAACATCCTGTAATACTTGCTATGGTATAACTTTGCTGAAAATAATTCCAGATTGGCAGACCTTTCCATGCAACTCTTTCAGCAATGATTGTCTTTTGGCTTCCATAATTTCTGCTCAAAAGTCAGCTGTAAGTCTAATTTTTGCTCCTTTGTGTGCAATCTTATCTTTTCTTCAGAATCCTTTAGGATATTTTCTTTATCTTTGTTTTTCAGGAATTTGATGGCAATGTGCCTAGGTGTGTTTGTTTTGTGGTGTTGTGTTTTAGTTGTTTTGAGTTCACTGAGCTTCTAGAATCAGTAGGTGGACATCTTCTTTTATCAGTTTTGGAAAATGCTCAATTATTATCTCTTCAAATATTGCTCCTCTCCATTCTTTCTTTCCTTTTCTTCTGGACACAACTTTACTCATATGGTATTATTTGACCATAGCCTATATATGCATTTCTTTCCTCTCTGTTTCTCTCTCCCTCTCTTTCCCTTTCTTTCTCTCTCTCTCCCTTTCCCTTTCTTTCTCTCTCTCTCCCTCTCTGTTGGTTTGAAAACTTTATACTGACCTGCATTTGAATGCACTAATCCTTTCTTTTCCTGAAACCAAATTCATTCTCAGTGTGTGCCTATTGGCAAGTCATATACTCTTTTTCTTCTTTGAATGGAATGTGGGCAAGCAATCTAGCATATGGTGAAGTATATTGTCCAAACACAGAAAGAGGTTCATATGTTGGGGGAGCTAAACCTAATGACAGACGTTCACCACACAGTTAATACGATATGCCTTTCTAAAGCTTATTTGCCATATCCTTTTATTTTTAGTTGTATTTGTTTTAGTTTTTTCTCGGTTTATTTATAATATGCCTTTAATTCCTATAAATGTGTATATTTCTCTCTTAAATTTATCTCTAGAACCTGCCAAATCACTTATTTCTTTCTTCTGGGATCATATAGCCTCCATTTTCAATATTTATATGTATTACTTGAGCTTATTTTTAGATTGCTAATATTCTCTGTAATTTCTTTGAGATTACGGTGAACTAAGTGTCTAAACTCTTTTGGTACTCTTTTTGTGTATGTTATTTATTTACTTTTTTGCTTTTGTTGCTTTTCTTCTTTATTTTCCCAATCTTTGAGCCAATTTCCTTTTTGTTTCCTTTGGATTATTACTTATTTTTATGGTGCCAGGTATCTGCTAAGGAAAAAGTAGGGAGGGACAAGTGGAAGTTATCTGGAAAAATATTTAACTCTTAATAAGAGTTAAGGTCTCCAACAATTCTTCACAAATCGGATAACTACTTAATCTGAGGGACAACATCCCCTCTAATTCCCAGAGGCTCCTCACAGAGATCCAGGGTCCTAAGCTCTAAGCTCTCTGCATTGTCACCAGCCCTGGCTTCCTCCTCTGGTGGCCTCACTCCCCATCCCTGCCAGAAGTCAGTACTTGGCAAGGAACCCAATTCAAGGTGCTGGAAATGGCTTATAAACGTGATTTTTTCTTCAGCTTGCCACCCCCTGACACTATTTGGTATTAAAATGGGTTTGCTCCTCTGTGGTCCAACCACAACCCTAGATCTCATTGCACTTAAAAAAACTTCTTTGGCTGTGATTGTTACGTATATCTCAATTAGTATAATTGCTATTTACTCTGAAAAATGTCCTGTAATATTCACTATGGTATAAGTTTTTTTTTATGAGGATTTGACACATTTTCATAGAATTTAATGCATTTTTTTTCCTGGCATATACTTGTTTGTTATGAAATTTCCTTGGTTTTATTAAGGATGGCATTTCTCTTGTTAACAAATTATTATCCCTTTGTTTTTCTTCTTTCAGGTTTTGATGGAGGGGAGAAGTATTGCCCCAAAGCTCATACTTTTATTTTTGCTTATATCATCTTCAATAAACTTCCTTCAACACCCATTTTTAACCCTCCACAGAAATAAGTCCAGCGAAGTTCATGTACTCAGGCTACTCTATTCTCTTTACTGCTTTGTGAGAGAGATCTCAAAACCGCAAAGGTGATCATAACACTTACGTGTTTAAAATATTAATACATTGCCTGCCACAGAAAAGATGCACAGTAAATGGGTATTATGGACTGTCTGAATTAAAAGATGGTATCAGAAAGTGGCCTGGTTATCCACCCAGCCCACGGGCTTCCTTGGAACATGCCTGGAGCTTTGCAGGGAGCAGGCTTCTATATCCATGCCAGATCTGAGTTGCTGTGTTCTGAATGTTCCTCACAAATGCTAAAATCTCTGCAGGCAGCTCTGGCAGTCAGCAGAGAAACCAGGCAACAAGGGCATGGAGACCAACCAGTGAAAGGGCAGAGATGGAGGAGGAGGAGCGCTGACTGGCCCAGTGCCTTGGGAACAATCTCTGTATGTCAGCACTAAGCACTCTCAATGGAACACAAGGTTATTTTCCCAAGACTCAGCTTGGGACGGAAACCACAAAACAGAATTAGCGAATTAGCGTTTCAGTCATCTCTAAAATAAAGTTGCAGCAGCAATCCTCCCTGCATTCCAATTCTCAATATCAGGTTATTTAGATAAAACAAGGGCAAATAAACGTTGTCCTCTGAAAGTAAAATACATTTGTAAAACGAGAGTGTGGTTGAACCCTGCACAGGTGCAGGCAGTGAGCCTCATCAGTGCTCCCACAGAATCAGAATTTGCATCTGTTTATACACTAATGATACTATCAAGAAGGATGTGCCTATCAGATGGAAACCTATTTTCCAGCTTCAAAACTTGTTTTCGAAATAAATGGGCTACACACTTTTTCTCATATTAAAAAAATGGAGACACAAGTCTTTCCCATGATTATGTGAAACCTCAAACCATTTAAAATTATCTACCTGATCTTTTACTTACCTTTTATATTTACAGTAGCCATGTCTTCCACCTGGCCCAGGAATTGTGCAGAAAATCAGTGAGCTATCTAATTCCAACAAATATTTTTTCAATAATTTTGATTGGATAAGTACATTCCAGAGGTTCATTCTTTGAAAATTTTGCTCACTGCTGGGAATAATTCCTTGAGCATAAAATAGAAATATTTATTTTTAAGTCATTTTCTGGCTAAAATCTGAAAGCATCATTACATTTTGGTGTGAGCAGAAGATATGAAGCAGTATGGGTTTTATTCTGTTTCTCAGATGGTTCTTACCAGCATCAAGAGTAATTTTAAATGAGTTTGGTTGGAGTTTATAGTATTTTGGGGGTCAGTGATCTTCTAAAGTCCATGGCACTTTAACAGAAAAAAATGATGTCATCTCCATACCCAATTTTGATTCTGAGAGAGACACACAGGTTTCTGGTTCTAAACCTTAGTGTAAATTGAGAAAGGGTTGGGAAAGAGAAGCAAGATAACAGGCACATTTTACTAATGTTTTTGTTTGCCTTTGGGTCCTGATCTAGGGTATGTAATTGTTGTGCTTACTATTAGATTCTAAATCTCTCAACTTGTATTTTTGTTTCATAGTCCTACATGGCTTAACACAAGTCTTTTCACACAGCCGTACTCAAGCACACACACACACACATACACACACTGCAGGGTGGATGAGGAACAAACAGGAAGCTGGTGGTTCTGCCCCTGATTCTTGCTGGGTACCTGGGACAAGCACAGCAGCAGCCGTGCACAGCACTTTCCTCATCTGTAAGTTCTGAGTCTTGCGCTTCCTAATCCACCTGCTTCCAGGGCTGGTGGGTGAGAACAGGAAATCCTGTGATGTCTGAGCAGACCTCTGCAACCCAGACTGTTGCTGTGGCGGTGCTTGCTGCAATGGAACCTCTTTTACTATGGCTTGTTGCGATGTGCCCAGGCTATGTGCTTCTCTTCAACGGGTTCAAACCGAGACGAACCATAGAGCATGGAATCATGGTTCCATTTTTTTGTTTTCCAAAGCCGCCAAACAAGTGTAAATGTACCTGGCTTACCCCATTAGCCCCATTTCAGCTGATCAGTGGTAACAGAGCCAGTATTGGCCTAGACAAGCTACGAGAACTGGGTCTCTGAAGGCCGGACACCTGAAGAAGCTTCCCTCATCCAGCTGGTTTGTTTACCTTTGTAGTCATTGATTTGTCACTCAAAGGCTTTGGTGGAAAGACAGATCATGAGCACCCATCATACCAGTACAGTTGCCTCCCTGCACTGCGGTGACAAGCCGCCAACAGTGGACTTCACGTGGGCAGTCGTGGAGAGATGGGGGTCTTTGTTTCATGTACAGCAACTGTGCAAGCTTGAGGAAAGACAACGAAACAGTCACCACCTGCTGAAACAGGTGTGCTCAGCTTCTCTTGTCTTCTGAAGCCCCACATTCAGTGTACCAAAGAACTTAGATTCTCCTACAGTAAAAACAGAAATTCACATTCTTGCCCAAAAAACCCCAAATTTATATATGTAATGACATTGTGTTTTTAAAATTATCATTTGTGGTAAGCTTTAAAGACAAAAATACAGTAATATTTTATAGCGTCGATTTTATTGCTATTGGTTAAAACACAAACACAATAAATCTGTTATTAGTTGAAAATAGTAAGTGTTGAGTGCATTTTTTACACTGAGTGTATATTGAAAAACACAAAGATAGCACACTTAAATGCTTCTGCAGCATTAACTGCAAAAAGGACTTACTGCCTTGAATAAAAACATACAAGGTGAAGAATGCCATCATTCATTTGAATTACCAAAATACTCTTGACTACCTTTTTGCTGTAACAATAAAATGTAAAAACAATTTCATCAAGAAAAATTTTATATATTAATTATTCTTAATTTTTAAAAAATGACATCATGTATTCTGTGTGGCCCCTCATGGTGCCCATGGTCAAGTCTCTGCTCTCCTCCTGCCCTGGGCGATTCCATAAATCCAGGTTGTTGGTGAGGGTATGAAGGAACAATCCAGAAGGTGGCCCTCAGAAAGCAGCAGAGCCTCCCACAGGGCCGTATAGGGAGAACACCCCTTTTTTCCTCTTGTCCGAGGTTTCCTTCCTAGATATCTTCCAAAAGCGTAGAACAAAGAGGTGGTATGAAAATGCAGCAACACAATTCATTACCAGCACTGCGTTGAGGCTCAAGTGCATCTGTGTACACATTGCACGTGTTCTTCTCTGTCTTGCTGTGGCACAGTCTCCAACTGCTTCCCAGAACCTGTTGCAGGGAGAAGTTAGTTGGGGCAAGGTGACCAATTTCTACACTTTACTTGCATTTGGTTTTTTTGCAGTGCAATGCCGGTACCATCAGAGGAAACAGAGCACAGAGGTGCAAGTCTGAATTCCAGGACCCAATGCGGGGTATGTATTCCAACCAGGCCACTTTCAGGCTGCCTGCTCGTATGTTGGCTGGCCGTGATCATAGTACCACCCTCACAGGGTTTGTCTTAAATCAATGCAAGAATCATATTGTAAATACTCAAACAAGTATTAATGATTATTTTGACAGCACAAAAACCTTCACCTGCATGGCCTGTATATGGAGGTAACTTTTACATTCAAAGATGAGCAGGAATGATTTCCAAGAAAGGGATACATTGCCAAGGATGAACACCCTCTCCTGCATTTGCTCACAAGCAGACGCTTCTGTCAGCTTTGGCGAGGTTCTACTGCAGTAAGGGCCAATCCTAACAGCTCCATGCTGGAAAATGTCCAGGCTTATCACTCATTACATGCCAGTCATAGATTGACTGCAGCTCGCCCCACATCTTTCTTGTCTTCTGGGCTCCAGGCTGAAGGAGCAGCCCTGTTCCCGATGTGCTACCCTTGGGGTGGAGGACAGAAACACTATGCCTTGGCTTTGAAAGCTTCTGCTCATTAATGTCATGCATCATTTTCACTGACATTTCATTGATCAAAGCGAGTCACCTGGCCATGCCTGCTGTGTGTGTGGTCACGGGGATGGGGTAGAAAAGATGAGCAGTTGAAGTATAATCCCCTTAAAGGACAGGCAGTAAGTCATGGGGAACAACAGCACAATCTGGAAGAGCAGGTGTCCCAGTGACAGACTAATAAGGTTTGGCTCTGTGTCCCCACCCAAATCTCATGTTGATTATGATCTTCAGTGTTGGAGAAGGGGCTTGGTGGGGGGTACTGGATCTTGCAGGCAGATTTCCCCCTTGCTGTTCTCATGATTGTGACTGAGTTCCCACAAGATCTGGTGTTGAAAAGTGTGTAGCCTTCTCCCCTTCACTCTCTGTCTCCTGCTCCGCCATAGTAAGATGTGCTTGCTTCCCCTTCACCTTCCACCATGATTGTAAGTTTCCTGAGATCTCCCAGCCACGCTTCCTGTACACCCTGTGGAGCTATGAGTCCATGAAACCTCTTTCCTTCATAAATTACCCAGTCTCAGGTAGTTATTTGTAGCAGTGTGTAAACAAACTAATACACAGACTCTAAACACAACCACTTCTCTGCTGGCAGTCATGGGCATTCAAAGTTTGGACTAGAGGTTTCTGCTGGAGCAACAATGCAGGTAATTAACGGTGGGCTGTGTCTGTGCTCACACAGGCAGCTCGATACACAGATGGCACATGATAAAATGGGGTGCAGAGTATTTTAAAACCACGTTAAATACTGTAAGCACGTTTCCATGCATTGCTAACAATAATTGCAATCAGCGCTTCTGAATATGCATAATGGGAGTGGAGATTTTATTACTAAAATATCTACATATCTAATACCAACATTTAGCTACTAATAGCTCATTTCTAACACTAACTGGCAGCCAGTGATCAAGCATCTATGGCCTGGGGGAAGAAACCCCATTACTTATACTGAAGGACAATTGCTAAGAACTCACCCCTCAAGTCTTGTAGCACAAGAGAACACAAGCATCGCTAACATAGCATTGGAAGCTGGCAAGGCTTAGGTGACATTGCTCTTGGGTGTAGAGAGAGAGACACAGCACAAGGTCCTTGTGTAGGAGTGAACAAGAATTATGCACAAACATGGCCATAAGTAGGAACACACACTGTTTCTTACTTGGGTGAGGAGGCAGAGCCAATTCTAGCTGTGCCGGTGCTGCTGCCATGATGGATTCCTCTGTGAGAGAGGGAAGCATAACTTCCTTGCTCAAGCCAGCACTGGGACTGGGGCTGAGCTGGTGTGGGATCCTTGCTCCTTCATCTGCTAATGGCACATGGAAGTGCTCAGTGTGCGCCTGCGGAACCAGTGGGTAGATCGGATATGGATTTAGCCCTGAACTCAGCGGGATGTGTAATGAAGGAGACTGTTCGGCCAATACGGCCTGCAAAGCACTGTTAAAACACCTCCAGAGGCAGAGTGGCAATGAAGCTGGCTCCCTCCACTGCTATAGGAATGAGAGCTTCCGCTGGCACTGAAGAAGGAGCAGCAACACCTTTTGTTTTGTTTTAAGACGGAGTTTTGCTTTCGTGGCCCAGGCTGGAGTGCAATGGCGCGATCTCGGCTCACTGCAACCTCCGCCCGCAGGGTTCAAGAGATTCTCCTGCCTCAGCCTCCCAAGTAGCTGGGATTACAGACATGTGCCACCATGCCCAGTTAATTTTGTATTTTTAGTAGAGATGAGGTTTCTCCCTGTTGGTCAGGCTGGTCTCAAACTCCCGACCTCAGGTGATCTGCCGGCCTTGGCCTCCCAAAGTGCTGGCATTACAGACAGAGCCACCGTGCCGGCCTTTTTTTTTTTTTTTTTTTAAATGGGGACAGGGTCTTGCTCTGTTGCCCAGGCTGGAGTGCAGTGGCATGATCTCAGCTCACTGCAACCTCCTCCAAAGTTCAAGACATTCTCCTGCCTCAGCTTCCCAAGTAGTTGGGATTACAGGCGTGTGCCACCACGCCCAGCTAATTTTTGTATTTTTAGTAGAGACGGGGTTTCACCATGTTAGCCAGGCTGGTCTTGAACTCTTGACCTGAAGTGATCTGCCCGCCTGGGCCTCCCAAAGTGCTGGGATTACAGACCACCCCACTGGGCCAGCAACACCTACTTATATGCTGTGTTGTGATTTGTCTGTTGAGTGGATTTCTTAAAACCTGTTACTCTTCCTTAAGTAATCCCAGCCAACTCTTCAGTTTGGCTTTATATTTATCTTGTCTCTACAAATTGATTGTAAATGACTTACGTTTACATTGATTTGCACACAAATAGCAATAATAATAATAACTCAGCACTGTGAGTTAACCCTGCCCCAACACCTTCCATTCCTCTCATTTACCTTCCACCCGGAGGAAGCGCTTCCTACACAAAAGGGCATGGAGACGTTGGTGAAGGTGCAGTGCTGTGCTCCAGTCACGCAGTGGGTGAGCCATGGAGCCAGGGTTTCAGCCTGGTTCTGCTAAATCCCAAGACCAAGAGCTGAACTCTGAGGCAGAGTTTATCTGATGTCACTGGTTGGACCAATTGATGAGCAGTAGATTTTCACATCAGCTACAGCTCAAACACTGGCTTTCTTTGGGAACCTCTGATTTCCTTATTTGCTTACTAGACTTTACTTCTCCCTCCACCCTTGGAGGAGAACTCATTTATTTTATGATGCATGCCCTTGAATCACTCCCATAAACATATGTGGAAAGGTCAGAAGAGGTCTCCTGAGTGCCTGCCTCCCATAATGGCACTGCTGCTCATTGAGAAAATCCCTGAGTGCTGGAGGTAGGTGGCTGGCAGCCCGAGTGCTGGCTTTTATTAATGTAGACACTGTGCATAATATGCAAAAGAAACCTGGAATCAAACACAAGAGCGTATGTTTAATTACATCTTTAAAATAAAATGTAATTGTTACTCAATTGTCCCTTTCTAATGATTTTCTAAAAGACAATTAAAAATATATACTCCCATGAATAAAAAAGGAACCTACCATTTTACCATATTACAGTTCATGTGTTTAAGAATAATTGAATCTCTGTCAATTATGATTCCAGTAAATTATAAGAAAGATCCATTCTTAGCTATGTGAATGGGAATTTAAAGCTGGCATGGTCAGACACTGCACAATTACTTTATCTAATAAATTTATGACCTTATAATAGGCTCTTACCAAAGCACTTTCTCCATATAATTGATCATTCAGGTTGACCCACTTCCTGGGTGCTTGCGTCAAGGACTCCCTGGAAGTGTGAACAGGTAATGCTTCTGTTCTGCTCTTCCCTGGGCTGTTCGATCTTGCCCCCTGACCCTCGCCCTCCAACCCTCCATGGCCTGCACCATCATTGCTATCCAGCCACCATGTGCACGCCACTGCCCTGCACCTCCTAGGATCTGTGCCGGTAGCATTCATTCAGTATTCGCTTCCACTCTCAGGCTGCACAGCTCCCAAATCTTCTGTCAACTGTATGGTTTTACCTTCCACATTAGGTCTTTATTCTAGCTTGGATCTGCCATTGAATATGGTGTAAGGAAGGAAGGAGCTCTAGTTTTCTCCATATAGTGAGTCTCTTTTCCCAGAACCATCTGCTGAACGACAGATTCATTCTCTACTGATATTAGCACCACGGTGCTCACGTACTTAGAACTTACATTTGCACATGTAAAGGTCTGCCTCTGTGCCCTCCACTCTCTTCCACAGCTCTCTTTGCAATGGTCTTATGTCAATCCTGCACTGTTTCTATTGGGATAATTATGGACATCTTAATAAGTAGGAGGGCCAGCCTGTTGCCTCGTGTTTTTTAAGGTTAACTTAGATCTTCACAAGATTTTATTCTTCCATTAAATTTTAAGTTTATATCCAATTGGAATGTTGATTGGGATTTCATTAATTTTATAGATTTATTTTTGGGGAACTCACATCTGTAAATGTAAAGCAGTCTCAGGTAAGAACATAAGAAATTACCCCATTTATTCACATTCATTTCTATGTCCCGTATCAGAACTTTAAATGTTTTCCCATAGCAGTACTGTGTGTTCCTGGTAAAAATTAATCCTGGATACTTTATAGTCTTTGTAGCTTATGAATGATTTGAATTTTCTGATTGGCCATTGCTGGTTCAAAGAGATGCTATTGATTTTTGTGTCTGACAACATTTCTGGAATAGAGGTTGTAGTAATTTGATAATTCTGTTATTTTTTTCTGGGTAGGCAATTATGTCATCTGCAAATAGTGACCTTTCTAGCTTTCCTGTCTGTCTCACCAACACCAAAACTAAAGCAGTTGTGGCCATCTGCTATGCCTCCCTCATGGGTGGTACTGGAGATGAAAACCTCCTTGTTCCTTCAGTGCCCACCACACACCTGGATTAGTCTTGATGACGAGCCTGAGAGGCAGGTGCTATCACCTTCCCCCAGGGTGGAGCGTGGCTTAGAGACACAGTGTGACACTAGTGCACAATGGCTGTGCCTAAGTATTCTTCTGATGTAAGAAGGTTCCTATCTTGTCACACTTCTCCAACCCAACCCCACCATCTTTAGTTCCTCACCGTCTCTCCCCCGAGGAAGCTGAGGTGCCTCAGCCTCCCTGGCTACACTCCAGTTCACCATATTACCGCTGGGCGGTCCTCTGAAAGTCTCACTCCTTTGCTATGTCATAGAATGCATGTAGCCATCAGCTCAAGCCCATCTTCCCTCAGCACACATCCTAATCTAGCTGTGCTCCTTTTAAAATGTGACCCTTAAACTGGCATACAATATAGGCATGTTACCAGGGAGCTCAGGGTCCTGAAATAAGACAGAGTGGAGCATTCTATGGTTTCCTTCATCCAGAGACACGCATCCCCTGAGAAACCTGGAGGTTCCATCGTGGATTGGAGGTGAGGGTTTGCCCTGCTGCACTGTGGTCTGGTGGAAGGCCATAGGCAAACCTCACATGATGGGTAGGAGCACAAAAGACAGCCTGGCACCCAGAATCACTCAGGCCAGACTGTGGTCCTCCCGGCCATTCTCGCTGCCTCCTACTTCCTTTATCCAGATGCTCAGGAATCAGCGCAGTTACACTCAGACCTGGGGCAGCTACAGCCAGATCTGCAGCAGTTACAGTCAGAGCGCGCCCCCCACTCCCCCTCTACAACCCCGCCACATACACACATTTACTCAAAGGTCCTTGAAAACCATAAAAGGGTGAAAGGAAGAGACTCTACGTGGTATGGATTTTCCACGCCAGCCAGGGATCTGGAGTCTGTGAAGCCCGGGTGATGTGTTGATTTTGCTACTGGGTATCAGTGAAACTGTAAACAAGTTATAAAAGTCCATTGGTCTCCACCAAATAGGGGTGCTTCTGGTATTCAATGAAACATGTAGGAAGGGCTTTATATGTATTAAAAATACAATCATTTCTGATTTTCCCTGTGAGTTCAAACTAGGAATCCTTGAAGCAACAACTCAAATTTCTTTTGTGGACTGAGCCAAAAAGCATATTTCCATGGATTCAGTGGCCCAGAAAATCTTTTTTTTTGTTTTTTTTCGATGGAGTTTTGCTCTTGTTGCCCAGGCTGGAGTGCAGTGGCATGATCTCAGCTCACTACAACCTCTGCCTCCCATGTTCAAGCGATTCTCCTGCCTCAGCCTCCTGAGTAGCCAGGATTACAGGTGCCCGCCACCATGCCCAGCTAAGTTTTTTGTGTTTTTAGTAGAAATGGGATTTCACGATGTAGGCCAGGCTGGTCTTAAACTCCTGACCTCAGGTGATCCACCCGCCTTGGCCTCCCAAAATTCTGGGATTACAGGCATGAGCCACCATGCCAGGCCAGGCTCACAAATTCTTAACATTTGCTCTTTGAAAGCTGGAGAAACCCGCACCTCATCATTGCATAGTGGAGTGTATGCATAGAGACGGAGACACTGTGCCACTCAATCAGTTCCGAACTGGCACCTCTCAGTATTTGTTTCCAGGAGGAAGAAAATCACAGTGTGAAGGATATTAAGTGGTTTTTGACTGTTAAAAATCATTATAAAAGCACCTGGCTGAGAAAAGGCAAAGGAAAGTGCAGGACTCATGGAAGGGATTTTTGGGTCAGTCCCATCCCCCATCATGCCTGTAACTTCCCTGCACGGGCATTGCCAGGCACAGCCTCCCAAGACGCTTTGGAGTTTGTTTTTTGTTGTTTTTATTGTTTGTTTGCTGCCCTAAACAATTCTCATTATGTGTTTATATCACCCAAACTGTCAAAGGCAGGAATATTGGACTGAAAACTCTGACTTCTGAAAAGCAGGACAGAGGCAGGAGAGAGCAGGACACTCGTTCTGCCTACACATCCCCTTGGGAAACACGGATTCCGCATTGGGTGACAGGTTTTAAGGACTCGGAGGTTCCACAGCTCTCACACCTTTCCTCAGCTGTGCTTCTGGAAGCTTCGCTGGTTGGAGCCTGTCCTCGGAGGCTCCGGGGCACCAAGCCTTTCCGCTCTTCCTGGTTGATCCCATCAAAGCCAGAAAGGCAGACAGAAGGCAGGGACCTGCCTTGTCCTAGGCTGAGAGGGAAGGCACAGAAGGTGGGCTTACAACACTGCCCTTGGAGGCTCACTGACACCTTGACTCTTCTGTACATTTAAGAACGATGGCTGGTTCTGCAAAACACGTTGGGCATTTTCTGCCCACAAATGTGCAGCTGCTGAAGCACACGCTGGCTTTCCTCTGAGACTGGCTTGCAAAGCTAACGCCATCCAATTGTTTCTCTTAGATTCTGCAAATAAAAGTGACGACAATTTATCTCTTCCACCTGCTAAAAGACGTTGGGTTTTCCAGGAAGACCAATTTCTTTCCAGAGAAATACAGACTGCATGCTCTCCCCATGCCCCTCCTCTCAAATGTCAAGTCCGGCTGTTGCAGTTTTGCCTTCAGGAAGGCAGGCAGAGGGTCCGTGGAGAGGTGGCAGGTGGGGAAACCGCATTCGTAGGAATGTCGGGAACTCTCAGGAGAGCTGTTGTGTCTTCATCGCTTTCCGGGCTCCACCATGGTGCTCCCTGATTCTGACTCCAAAACAAAAGTGACTTATTTCACAGTCCGAACAAAACTCAGCAAATTGGCTTCTTAGGCTCAGTTATCCTCGAGCTGTCTCGGCCAAGACACTATAAAGAATCGCCTTGTAGGCTTTGGCTGGGAAGAGCAGGCTCTGATCTGTTCCTGCAACCTCACAGTATTTGAACTTTATGTTTCCCTGGGCACTGCAGAAAAGCCTTTTGCTCCTGTTGCTCTTGAAATAAAAGGCAGTGTTCTCTATGAATTTTTAATACCACACACCCTTTCCTCCCGGAGCTGGCAGGCGAGTCACGTCGGAGGCCGCCTCTCGCGTTTGAACCTCAAAACAGCGCAGCTTCTGTTTGCAAACACGTGTGGGCCGTGCGTGGGGGTGACTTCCCTGTGTGTTTTGTGTTCCCCGATGACAGATGCAGCCGCCACAGAACGCCTTGGCAGTGCTGCCCAGGAAGCAGTGCCTGGGAATACATTATTCACGGTCATTTTGTTCAAAATCTGACGTTTTGGACAACGTTCCTCCTGCATCATTACCCTACGGTGCGGTTGCCAAGGAGCGTCTTCTGCGGTTGGATGAACGCCGTGTGCCCTGACCCACCCTGGCCAATGCCTGGCACTGGAGCCAGGGGCTGGGTGTGGCGGCTACACCTGCCGGGGCTGACGTGGGAAGGAAGCAAGCTCAGAGGTAAGGAGTGACGCCCGCCAGGACTAGCTGATGGAGCCATGCCTGGCCTTTCCCCTTGCACAGAGTGCTGACAAAGTGAGGTCAGAGGAGGCTGACGTTTATGGCCAAACTGGGAAGCAGATGCCTAGTGACGGCCCTGCATCGCTCATCACGGTTCATCGGCCCTCTCAGCGCAGGAGATAGCATTACCTGCCTGGTGTCAGGCGGGCGCTGATGGCTGCTGGGAGATGAGCCCTGTCCCCAGCCTCCAGACCAGATGATGGCTGCTTGGCTGATAGGATCACCACAGCTCGATCATCATCAGAGGCGGCTCCATCCCTCTGCTCCACAGGATTTACCTGCCGGAGACGCCTCCTCCGTTTTGTGTTTCCAAAGACAGCAGGTGATGAACAAGAGGAGAGGCTGGAGGACCGTGATCCATGCATGCATGTCCTCACGCCTGGGGGTTTGTTTGCAGGGTCTCAGTTTTGAGGTTGGTGTGGTCACCCCTGGCACCACTCTCCTCCTCTTCTTTCTTCTCGACCAACTCCGGCTTTTTCTCGCAATTTCATCATGGGGATGACGACAGAGACTTCCTCTTCAGGTTGCTGTTGGTACTGAATGAAATAATCCATGCAGATCTCGAAGGACAGTGTCAATCCCATAAAAGGCATACACCAGGACTGGGCGCTGTGGCTCACGCCTGTAATCCCAGTACTTTGGGAGGCCGAGGCAGGCGGATCACGAGGTCAGGAGATCAAGACCACGGTGAAACCCCATCTCTACTAAAAAAATACAAAAAAAATAGCTGGGCGCGGTGGCAGACGCCTGTAGTCCCAGCTACTCAGGAGGCTCAGGCAGGAGAATGGCGTGAACCCAGAAGGCGGAGCTTGCAGTGAGCCAAGATAGTGCCACCGCACTCCAGGCTGGGTGACAGAGCCAGACTCTGCCTCAAACAAACAAACAAACAAAATGGCGTACACCAATAGCAACTATGATATTTCCTCAACTGTGTGCTTGCATCAAAAAGTAGGACTATGTCAAAGGCTGGATGCGTGCTAGTGATAGTGTACCTAGCAACAGAGATGAATAGTCTGAAAATTGTCGTCGCAAATGTAAGCCCTGAATAACCTGCAGGAGATAGAAAGGCTAGTTGGGCGATTCGTGCTGTGCAGACAGAGCCTAGTTAGACTGGGAAGAGGGGATCCTCTGGTTTCGTCATCTTGGCTTACTGAGTGTTGTTTGTAGAGAGAAAACAGGGGGCTAAGGTCTTAGAGCCCTCTCCAGTGACAGGCGGGAAATGAAGCATTATTCCCAAACCACTGGACTCACGGAATCTAAGCACTACGACTGTGACTGGAGATCCCTGAAGCCAGCCAGGTGATATTGGTGACCACCTGTGAGTCAGCACTTACAGGACAGCTTGCATTTTGAGAGTCGTTCATACCAGCCACTCCTGTTTAAAAGGAGAGGCTCTCTTCCCGGAGTTTTGAATGAGAGCACCATTGCCACTGCCGCCTCCTCTCCCTGTGAAAAACTGGCACCAATGAGCATCCCTGGCTGCTGCTGATTGGCGAGCCCAGCTGGTTCCAAAGTCCACGCCTACCGCTTAGTTTAAGAAAGCCCCGTTTTGCCTGCAGCTTGTCTTCCTGAGCTGATCACAGACATACCCAATCACCTGCTTCTTAGCTCATAGGAATGGCAGCTCCCTGATTCAGGGGGCATTGCTAGCTGCAGTGCTGGTTTGCCATGTCCTGTCTGGGAGCATCAGCACTGTCCAGCCTGGGCTTCCACGGTGGGCATCCACGACCCTGGGCACACAGGGTCCTGCACGTTCCTCCTACAGACAGCTTGTCTCTTTTTGGACAGTTGCTCAGGTCTCGTTGGCTCTGTTTTTGGAGTAGGATGAGGCCTGTTTGGGTGGGGATTTCCCAAGCCCTGTGTCTCGAGCGGGAGGCCGTTTGAGTGTCTCTCTATATTTGGGCATGCCCCAGTCCCCTTCCACTGCTACTTCAACAGCAAAGTTAGCTGGAAAAAAATTTAAATATTGATTCTTAGAAGAACTTACACACTTACAAGTCTGGGGCCCTTCTTGTGGAGATTCTTTTAACTGAGCAAAAGAGTAGTTCTGAGTAGGTAACATGTGTCCCCGGTACAAGACAACATGTGATCACGGCACAAAAGGGGTTGAAGTAAAAAGTCACCCTCCCCCTGCCTCTGCCCCTCAGTCCCCTCACCAGAGACAGCTCTGGCCGGCAGCCCCTGCACCCACCCTCATCCCACCAAGCGGCTGGAAAGGAGGCGTGCATGGGGCCTCGCGGAGTCTGAGTCTGAGTCGACCTCTTAGGTCCCTGGGCCATCGCACTGGGTTGTATCATCCTAAGAAACATGGGCTTCTTTGTGCCCTTGAGGGGGCTGTAAGAGGGCCTGCCCCTGCCTCCCCCTCCCCCTCCCCCCAGCATGAAGAAGAAAGACCACTCTAACTGCCCTCTGAAGAAAGCATCTTCTTATCCGTTGGCCATTTCAGCTCAGACAATGACCCAGAGGGAGGCCTGGATGATGTCGGGGCAGAGGCAGCTCCTGCCCCATCCCAGTTCTGCCTCCAGTCACTCCGGCCCCTCCTCGAAGGGAACCCGTGCCCAGGGGACTGCCCTTCTTGGGGAAGATGTAGGCAAGGACCCGGTGGGACCCCAGCTCTCCTGGGCTTGGATCTCTGCAGCCCACAGCTCTCTGTGCCTCCATTGCTCAGCTGTGCAATGGGGATTCTAATGCCCATCATGAGAATGACAGGAGAAAATGCATTTTAAAGCCGTGGCCCCCAGAAGGGCCACACATGCATTAGTCTGTTCTGCGCAGGGCAGATGTGGATCTGGAGGTCAAAACACCCAGAGCCGAGTCCCAGATCTGAACCCTACCAGCCATGAGACGTGGACATTTCCTCTCCACTACTGCACACGGAGGGGGAGGCCTCAGAGCTGCTGGGAAGTTGGAGCCAGTCCATTCATGTAAAGCATCCCCAGAGTCAGGTGCTCCATCTTCTGTCTCTCCAGTGCCAGGACACCAGGCTCCATGCTGAGAGCTGCAAATACAGTTGCCAACAGGGTGCAAGGAGCCTGGCCCCCAGGGCCCACATTCCTGGATAAGGTGGGAGCAATCCACTGGCCCCCTATGCACAGATACCTATTGAAGCCTGCTGGCACTGTGGCTGTGGCTGTGGCTGGCACTGTGGCTGGTGCTGTGACTATGGCTGTGGCTGGTTTTGTGGCTGGCACTGTGGCTGTGGCTGGTGCTGTGGCTGGCATTGTGGCTGTGGCTGGCACTGTGGCTATGGCTGGCACTGTGACTGTGGCTGTGGCTGGCTCTGTGGCTCTGACTGGTTCTGTGGCTGTGGCTGTAGCTGGCACTGTGGCTGTGGCTATGACTGGTACTGTGTCTTGGCTGGTGCTATGGCTGTAGCTGGCACTGTGGCTGTGGCTGGCACTGTGACTGTGGCTGTGGCTGGCTCTGTGGCTCTGACTGGCTCTGTGGCTGTGGCTGGCACTGTGGCTGTGACTGTGGCTGTGGCTGGTGCTGTGGCTCTGACTGGCCCTGTGGCTGTGGCTGTGGCTGGCTCTGTGGCTCTGACTGGCTCTGTGGCTGTGGCTGTAGCTGGCACTGTGGCTGTGACTGTGACTGTGGCTGTGGCTGCTGCTGTGGATGTAGCTGGCACTGTGGCTGTAGCTGGTGCTGTGACTGTGGCTGTGGCTGCTGCTGTGGATGTAGCTGGCTCTGTGGCTATGGCTGGCACTGTGACTGTGGCTGTGGCTGGCACTGTGGCTCTGACTGGCCCTGTGGCTGTGGCTGTGAGTGGCACTGTGGCTGTGGCTATGACTGGTACTGTGTCTTGGCTGGTGCTATGGCTGTAGCTGGCACTGTGGCTGTGGCTGTGAGTGGCACTGTGGCTGTGGCTATGACTGGTACTGTGTCTTGGCTGGTGCTATGGCTGTAGCTGGCACTGTGGCTGTGGCTGTGGCTCTGACTGGCCCTGTGGCTGTGGCTGCTGCTGTGGATGTAGCTGGCACTGTGGCTGTAGCTGGTGCTGTGACTGTGGCTGTGGCTGGTGCTGTGGCTCTGACTGGCCCTGTGGCTGTGGCTATGACTGGCACCGTGGCCGTGGCTGTGGCTGGTGCTGGTGTGATCGCTGTCAGGGGAAGGCAAGGACTGGAGTAGGAAGAAATGGAGTTGGAAATGGTATTTTAGGAACAGTGGCTCTGGAGTAACTTCCTTAAGGAGCCATGTGAAGGAAGGGAGGGAGGGGCACTGGGACAGGAGTTGGATGGCAGGTCCAGCTGGAGGGAGGGGCAGAGAGTCTGAGAGACAGGGCCCAGGCTACTAATCTGGGATCACCAAAGAAGCCCATGTTTACATAAGTAATTTGGAGTCAGAATCCCAAAATTATCCCAGAATCATTTCTACAAAATTCAAACTCCGTAGCCTAGAGTCGCTTAAATATAATGTGAGTCAATTAGAAAATCCTTATGAAATATTGTCACAGAAGCGATTCCACTTAACTTGAAAAGGATTATTTGTATTTCATTTCCTGGGGAGATTTCATCCTAATAGCCCAGATAACATTCTAAGTTTGTAATACTCCCGTAACTCTATGAAGTGTCCCACGGAGACAGGAGCAGAATGACTAACACTGTTCCCAGCAGAGCGACTGGTGTTTCAACTTCAGATGGGAGGGGCCGGGTTTCCGGACCAGCCATTCATCTAAACCACAGAGCAGTTAAGGTTGTCTGCACTCTATGAAGCATTAATTCATGATTTTCTTAATATCTTATTGATTCCCCCGCTCCAAAGGCCAGAGGTTAAAAAACTCCATAAAAATGTCCTGGCAATTTACTTCTGTCCCTTTAAAGCCTTACAGGAAACTTACAGTTACTTGCTTTTTTCCGTTGTCTTTTTACTTAAGGTTGCCGTTCAAAATGACAAATCTACCTTTTCTATGAACTTTGTATGAACTTGTTTTTAAATTTAATATACAGAGAGTTCTTGAATGGTTATAGATTCACATTCTCCATAAAACTATGGGTGGTGCAGGAGATATGGCCTGCTGGGCCCACGTAGAGGTCTGGATGACCAGTTGCACCAGAAAATCCTCTTCAAGTCAATATGTGGGATGACACCAGCTGCCAGTACTAACCACGTCTGCATTACCTCACTGATCCTAAAAAAATACTTTCAAAAATAGACAACAAGCCATTATTTATATTTCTAATATTGGTTTTCTCTGTTTTGTGTTTGTTTTGTCTTTCTAAATTTTCAATACTTTTTTAGGCAGCGAAAACTGGAGCCAGCAATCTTGAGGCTAGGGAGACTCATGCCTTGAACTCTTGGCTAAGTTAACTGGGTTTCTCGCCATGCTGCCTATTAATTTTGACCATAGTCCACTTTTTCTTTGTTTGTTTGTTTGTTTTTAGACAGCCTTACTCTGTGGCCCAGGCTGGAGTGCAGTGGCATGATCTTGGCTCACTGCGACCTCTGCCTCCCAGGTTTAAGCAATTCTCATGCCTCAGCCTCCTGAGTAGCTGGGATTACAGGCATCTGCCACCATGACCAGGTAATTTTTGTACTTTTAGTGGAGACCAGAGTTCACCATGTTGGTGAGGCTGGTCTCGAACTCCTGACCTCAAGTGTTTCACCTGCCTCTGCCTCCTAAAGTGCTGGGATTACAGGTGTGAGCCACTGCGCCGGGCCTCATAGTCCTTAAACAAGGCGACTACTACCTCTTAAGCTGAATGTTAGATTAACTTTCAACCTGAAGGAAATTTATCAGACAGGAGCAGAAAATCTTGACGCAAGAGATTACAAATGAAAACCATTTTGTAATTTCAGGGAAAATGTTGGTTACTGTAAAGGCTATAATGAACAGGTGAAAAATGTCCTTTAAATTACATTATTTAGCTTGAATAGGCACAGACTTGAGGGTTTTAATTAACCTGACTAGGAAAGTAAATAATCTCAAATTACGATTCTGCACAGCTCTGCTGTATAGGCTGATAATGTGAGGTCTAGGGCTCTGACCTCCACATGGGTGGCGTGGGGGCTGACCTTTATATCTGTTTCCCGGACGACCGAGGAGGACACCAGGAGGGCCGTCCACTCTCTCACCATTTCCTGCATGGCTATGGTTGATTCGGTGAGAAACAAAGGGAAAGAAACTTGGGCCAGGGTGGGTCCTGCATCTCACCTGTCTTTGGACACTGGAGTTTGCCCAGTCCAGATGCCCCTGAAGGAGGGCCGGGGTGGTTGGCTCATTCCTGTTCCTGCAGGAGCCTGCACTCCCATAGCCAGCGGATCTGGAGAACAGGCGAGGCCAGAGAGCTTGCTAGAATGGTGTCAACAATCTGTTCTCATCACAAGTTAGCACGATTTTTTAATAAATAACCACTAATAGATAGGAAAGAATGCTTTCTAGTTATGTATAAATACTAAATATAACACAAAATAATATAGTATATATTATTAAATGAAACTAAAAATAATATTTAAACTCTTGATAACAAGAAAGTGGAATTTGTTATCAGTCTTTTTGACAGGGTTAGAAAGGTTACCTGCAGCAAATAATTGATTATAGCTAAATTAATTTTGTTTGATTTCAAGTCTTCTGGAAAGTTCTGTGTTGGTGCAATAGCTCTTGGTAATAGTAATGATAATAATTTTTTCAATAACATACTGCATCATAACAATAGTATCTCCTTCATGAAGAAGAAACTTAGGATGGAATGTCAAGATATGTTCCCTTTCTACCCCAAATGTCATAAAATAATAAGTAAAATATATCATGCAAGAATAAATCCTGGAGATGATTAGACAAAGGGAAGAATACACAACAGGTAACAGAATGTCCTCCCCATCAGAAAAAAAAAATTGAGAAATTCTTAGAGACCAATCAGCTTTAGAGAAAACAAAACTGAGAAATCACAGTCCAAAATACAGACAAAATTCCTTCATAGATGAAAGTGATTCCAGAGGTTCTCCACTGAAAACAAAAGGAGAAATAAACTCCATTAAATAGAAGATTATTATTTGCTGCAGACAGCTGTCTAAGATACCAGTTGCCTTCTGGAGAGTGGGGCCAGCAGGGTGCAGTCCCTCACTGAGGGGGCACTGACCGGAAGTCAGAGCCTTCAGAACTTCCTTCATGATGGTGGAATGCAGCTCACTCACCCAGGCCCACAATCACAGGGGCAGATGCAACCAAGAGCTCCCAGGGGCAATGCCGGGTGAAGGCAGAACAACATGCCAGCAGGCATCACCCTGCAGAGGATCAAAAGACACACCTCCCCAGACATCAATGCACAGACAAGCCTCACCCCATGTTTCAGAAGCATCAATAATTGTAGAGATTCTCCCTGAGACTGTGGGGCGGGCGGGGGGAACTGCCACAGATACAGGTAGATAGAAACAACCCCAAACCTAAACTTAGAAAAATAAACACTAGGAAAAAGAAGTATCAATCTTAATAACAGGAGAACTAACATCGGAGAAAACAGAATGGTTCACAATGAAAGATATTTTAAACCTAGAACACTGTCTCAAATAAGATGTCTTTAAATTTGAAGACAAAACAAAAATTGTCAAATATGTAGAAAAGCAAACTCAGAAAGTTGCCACTAGGGAAAAAAATGACTGAAGGATGTTCTTAAGCAAAAACCAAAAGCAAGTCTTCAGAAAACAGTGTGGGATTTATGAAATTATGATGAAGAAAGAAATAAGTAAGACTCATCTTTACATATATAAAATAATTGAGTCCTAACAAGACAATGCTGATAGAAATCTATAAATGGTATCTGAGATGGTTTTAACATGAAAGCTTAGTGTGGAAGCTTAGTGAGAGGATATAAGATTTTTATCTCATACAGGAAGATAAAATTTATTGAATTTGGGTAGTCATAGAAAAAGTATGTTTAAACAATACAATTTAAAATTTGTCTAAGTTAATTAAATATGCTAAAATATTAAGAGAACTACCAACATAAGGCAACAAAATAAATCTAAAGATATTTAAGAACAATAATCATGGTGAGTTGGTTAAACTCAACTGTTTGAAGAAAGTGTCTAAGAGTAAATAGACTTCCTGCCTATATTCCACTGAAGAGTAAGTTAGTTACATATCACGGTGTAATAAACCACCCCAAAACTTAGTGGCTTGAAACCAACATACAGGTATTATCTCACAGTTCCCTGGAGTCAGGAATCTGGGCATGGCTGAGCTGAGTCCTCCAGTTCAGTCACTGCTGCAGTCTGTGTGCTGGCTGGTGCTGCAGTCTCAGCTCCAGGCTTGACTGGGGAAGGATCCACTTTCAGACTCACTCAATGGTTGTTGGCAGGACCTAGCTCTTCATGCGTCTTTGGACTGGGGGGTCTCACTTCCTGTCTGGCTGTTGGCAGGAAGCCCCCTCAGTGTTCTGCCACACAAAGCTGGCCTCTCCATCAGGTGGCTCACAACAGGGCAGCATGTTTCATCAGGCAGAGCACACAAGAGGAGCCCAGGAGGGTGAGCACGATCTCTGAGTAGCTGCTGTCCCTTTATCACCTAGTTGAGGGAATGGTAATCCACCTGCTTGCAAGATTCAGCCCAGAGGAGCAAATCACTGGCTCCAGCCCACACTCAAGGACTTGGATGCTAGGAGGTGGAGACTGTTTCTAAACATAGGAAGGGATTCCCACAGCAAGTAACACACAAACATTATGCAAAAAAAGAAAATGCCCCAGCATGAAAGTGATAAGGAATTATCAAAGAAAATAGCACCCAAGAAAAGAGTGATTAAAAGGAACAAATAAGTTTTATTATTATGTTGCGTGTTATATGAATAAAAATAAGAATCTAGCAAGAAGTTACAAATAAATAACCTTTTTATCTAACAATAAATTTAGAGACAGATAAAGTAAAAGTTTGTAGAAATATAGAGAAGAGTTTGAACATTCATTCTTCGCTCAGATAAAGTATCCCCAGAGAAGTATGAATACATGTTTGATTTGAAAGACAAGCCTGAACTAAAAACAATTGCTGCTGCTGGTGTACAACAAGCAGAGTGTATATGTTATTTTGAAACATGAAAAAAGTACAAAAACTGATATGAATTTAAGAGGTCCTTAATATTATGCAAGTAATATCTCTCCCCAGTAGAAATCAGCACACTGAATTCTCCAAGAACAATAAAAGAGAACCCGGTGAACATTTCAAGGAAAACTCAAAACTTGGAAATTTGAAAACACTCTACTGACTATTTTATTTTTATTTATTTATTTTTATCTTTATTTTTTGAGATGGAGCCTCACTCTGTCACCCAGGCTGGAGTGCAGTGGCACGATCTTGGCTCAGTGCAACCTCCGCCTCCCAGGTTTACGCCATTCTCCTGCCTCAGCCTCCTAAGTAGCTGGGATTACAGGCACCCGCCACCATGCCCAGCTAATTTTTGTATTTTTAGTAGAGATGGGGTTTCATCATGTTCGTCAGGCTGGTCTCTAACTCCCGACCTCCGGTGATCCACCCATCTTGGCCTCCCAAAGTGCTGGGATGACAAGTGTGAGCCACCGTGCCCGGCCCTATTGACTATTTTAATCTACTAACTCATAGCTTAAAATAAGAAGAAAGCTTTTAAAAATGGAATTCATCCAGTATAGGGATGCTAAGAAAAAAGTTACTCCCAGACATTCCTGGTGGGGCTGTGAATTGCTCGATTTTGGACCAGCAATCTAGGAGCAACTGTTAAAATTAAAATGACATACTGTGTGGCCCCAAAACCTGACTCCTGGGAATCGATTGCAACTAATTAAAATCACCAATATCTAAGAAAGTTTCTGAAGAATATATATATTCCCATTATTCGAAGTAGCAAAACATGAGCAACGAGGCGGACGTCCAAGAGGAACTGAAGAACGGATCACAGTTCCGTCTGACCACACGAGGTAAAGCAGCCCAACGCAGGGTGCACGGGGGTTGACGGGACACACCAGAGGGGCCAACACAGGCCGTGTGCAGTGAGCAAGACAAGATTTGGAGCGGGGTGGAGAAAACAGTGCCATCCCTACAACAGGAACGACCCTACCCTGTGTGCACCCACATGGATACATAGATACACGTGCCATTGTCCACATGGACAGTCCACAGAGGAGGGGAGGCCTTGGAATTCTCGCTTAGGGAATATTCAGGGAAAATGTCAATGTAAATGAGGGCTTCTTTGGGAAGAATGAGGCTTCTCTTGGAATGTTTATCTGAAAATTAATGCAGCAATGTACTAGGAAGCTTGAGAAAATCCTAAAACCGTGGAGAAGAGGAAACAGAGAACAAATTGGATCCAGGATTTCACATTCATTTCACCACATGATCTTTCAAGTTTTACTGTTTTCCTCCTTTCTCTCTCTTTCTTTCCTTCCTTCTTTCCCAGCACTGTTGATTTCTTTTTCCTTTTGTTCTCTGGGATCCTGGAAGGGAATGGAACAATGTGTTTACTCTCCCCTGTTGAACCCTGGTTCTCTCCATTGGAGCTACCTACTTGTATATTTTTAACTTTGTTACAATTAGACTGAACTGATTTCTTCTTTCTTGTAAACTTAAAATTAACCAAAATTACATTAGAAACGGAATGTTTGCATCTAGGAGGGAAGCTACCTCAAGCATAGCTCAAGAACAACAGTGACAAAATGATCAAGGGTGAGGGAATGGCCCCAAATTACAAAAAGGCAGCTGTTGGGTTTGCATGTCTGATGACAGAGCCTTGAAGAGATTTGGCCATGCCATTCCTAATTGACCGGTGCTACAGCTCCTGTCCAGACAGGCTCAGAGCCCTGGGAAAAAGGCGCCAAGTCCAGGTGTGTGCTCACCCACGGGGCCCCCATCCTGGAGTAAATGGAGCCTGTGCCCCGAGTACCTCAAGTTTTCCAAAAAACTCCACCAAGGCCCTGAATATGCCCAGGACCCTGGCACATTGACATCTGGGGGTGGGTCTTGGTTCTTCGGTTCCTCTGTGTCTACCTAGTATGAGTATAATTTATAGGCATACACTTCTTAACTGCAAAAAGTCCTAAAGACCACAACTTGATCCTTCAAGCAATGGTTAAGCAACAACAACAACAACAAAAATCCCATATAGACACTGGAGAGAGATCGCTTTACTTGAGATCAGGATTCTTGAACAGAATAACAGTAGTACTGAGCTTCCAGTCTCAGCAGTATTTGTATAGAAAAATTGATTAGGGACAGTCTTCCTAGAAAGGCGCTCCTACCCCCATTGCATACTATTTTGCATTATTTAGGAAAGAAGCAATGTATAAAAATATATTTGCATGTTCAATGAATTTCTCCTCCCCAAAAGTTCATTTTAGCACGTGGTTAATTACAGGATTCTGTTCATTTCCTTTCTGTTTAAGTTTCTAGTCTCAGAAATCATTAACTGCTCATTTGAAATACAATTTGAGAAATAGAAATTATCCATTATGTGGGATTATGCATGTCTCTTCCAAAATGTTTTAAGGGAATACATTATAATATAATAACTCAATCTCTAAGTGCTGAGGTGGGTAAATAAGAATTTAAATGACAGAACATTATTCCAGTTACCTAAAGTCACGCAGCTGGGGAAAGCTGACACTCACCCTGAGTTGAGTGCCCTGGGCAGCGAGAGACCACTCTGTTGGGCACCTGGTCCTGCAGGGAGGAGCTGGAGCCAGGTGTTCTCAGGGCTGGTAGGGAGGTGGTGCTGATATTGAGAGGTGAAGCCAGCTGGGCTCCTGGGTCGAGTAGGGACTTGGAGAACTTTTCTGTCTAGCTAAAGGATTGCGTGCTATGTGTCTAGCTAAAGGATTGTAAATGCACCAATCAGTGCTCTGTGTCTAGCTACAGGATTGTAAACGCACCAATCAACACTCTGTGTCTAGCTAAAGGATTGTAAACGTACCAATCGGCACTCTGTAAAAACACACCAATCAGCAGCCTGTCTAGCTAAAGGTTTGTAAATGCATCAATCAGCACTCTGTAAAATGGACCAATCAGCAGGATGTGGGCAGGGAGAAATAAGGGAATAAAAGCTGGCCACACCAGCCAGCAGCAGCTATCCACTGGGGTCCCCTTCCATGCTGTGGAGCTTTGTTCTTTCGCTCTTCACAACAAATCTTGCTGCTGCTCACTCTTTGGGTCTGCGCTAACTTTATGAACTGTAACACTCACTGCGAGGGGCTGTGGCTTCATTCCTGAAGTCAGCAAGACCACGAACCCGCCAGGAGGAACAAACAACTCCAGACGCGCCACCTTTAAGAGCTGTAGCACCCACTGCGAAGGTCTGCGGCTTCACTCCTGAAGTCAGCGAGACCAGGAACACACTGGAAGGAAGAAACTCTGGACACATTTGAACATCTGAAGGAATAAACTCCGGACACACCATCTTTAAGAGCTGTAACACTCACCTCGAAGGTCCACGGCTTCATTCTTGAAGTCAGCGAGAACAAGAACCCACTGAAAGGACACAATAAGGTTCGGCTCTGTGTCCCCACCCAAATCTCATCTCGAATTGTAATCCCCATAATCCCCACATGTTCAGGGCGAGACCTGGTGGGAAGTGACTGGGTCACAGAAGTGGTTTCCCCTATGCTGTTCTCGTGATAGTGAATGAGTTCTATCGAGATTTGATAAGTGGTGGTCTCCCCTGCTCTCCTCTGTTCCTGCTGCCTTGTGAAGAAAGCACTTGCTGCTTTTTTGCCTTCCGTTATGATTATAAGTTTCCTGAGTCCTCCCTCTGGAACTCTGGGTGGCCTCACCTTGCTCTTCATCCAGGATAGCTGGTATTCTTATAAAGAGACACACAGGGTTCACTGTGAGTCAACTAAACAATTAAACTTGTCTCCTCTATAAATTACCCAGTCTTGGGTATTTCTTTATGGCTGTGTGAAAATGGACTAATACACATGGCATATTTACCTTAAAGCCCATATGCTTGTAAGAGCCTCAATTCGCAACTCTCTTCCTCTTTCATCTTGCACAAAGGGTGCAAATGTTCTAGGAAGGGGATTGTCAAAAGTCCCAGCATACCTGAGAAGGGCCCAAGTCTTCCCAAAGAAGCGCAGGATTTTAAACAGAGCCAGTTACATTGAGCAGGAGGACAAAGCAGATGCAGAATGGTGGGAAAGATCCAGTGCAGCTGCTCAGTTTATTCTTACCCCACAGGTCCCCTGAAGGCCCAGAACCTTCCACACATTGCAGTCATCCTGCCGGGCATCCTTCCACCCAGGGGGCCCACTCTGTCTGTCCTCTGGACCAGACTCCCCGCTCCCCATTCAATGTAGAGTTGGATGCGGTGCCCTGGGAGCCACATGGTTTATCCTGAGAGAATCTTGCCCAGGGGTCTCAGGGAGGAGTTGGTCACAGAGCATAAGTGCAAGCAGTTTGGGGGTGGGGGACATCTGCACCTTTCACATGGAGCCACAAGGACACAGCCTTCTAGGACTGGCCTCAGCATCTGCCAGTCACGCCGCCTTTCGCAGCCCTCATCCTCCCCTGCTCCGCATCGCCGGGGCTTTCCTCAGGTGTTACTGGCAGTCTCTGAAGACTTTAGGTACGCTGGTTTACAAACACATTTTTTTCCATTTTCAAAATTATCTTGGTGTTACCAGTTGAATTAGGATTAAAATAACATGTTAAAATCCTAACCTCAGACACTTGTGACTGACCTTATTTGGACTGAGGGTGCTTGCAGGTGCAATGAAGTTAAGGTAATGTCATTAGTGCCTTCAGCTATTCTTATAAAGAGACACACAGGGAGACAGCCACCTGACTGACACCCAGGCTGAGGCTGGGGAAATGTAGCTGCAAACCAAGGAAGGCCAAGGGTTGTTGGCCATGAGCAGAGGCAGAAAGAGCAAGGCGAGGCCACCCAGAGTTCCAGAGGGAGCCTGGTCCTGCCAGTGCTTTGGTTTCAGACTCCTTGCATCCAGAGCTGTGGGAGCACAAACTCCCACTGTGTTATACCACAGTGTGTTTTGTTATGGCAGCCCTAGCAAGCAAATGTGGCTAGGTAGAAAATTGCAGACAGGGTTTTTAAAAAAATACACCAAGGAAGTTCTACTTATCTTCAATTATATCAAAGACTTTTCTGAACAAAAAAGCAAATCATTTTCACGCTCCTCCTGGAATCTCTTGCCCTTGTATAACTCAAGATGACTCAATTTCTCTTCTTCCCGTCTCCATTTTGAAATGAAACATGACTACAGAAATGACTCTCCTTGTGTTGTATCTGCCTCTTTCATACACAGAATGTTAGAGAGAGCTCACAGACTTCATTCCTACAGAGAGGCAGAGGCTGGGTGGGCCGGGCCAGGCATGCTCCCTGCTCTGAAATGAACATTTCTGTGTGCCAGGTCTCCCTCTAGGCAGCTCCAGCCCAGGGAGAAAAGCAGGGCCCGCAACCCTCCTGAGGCAAAGCCGGAGGTGAACGTCCCATTGGAAGGAAAGCTCTTGGCTGTGCAGGCTTTTACTATCTGCATATTTATTTCACCTCTTCAATGAAATCCAATTTGAAGCTATTAATATTAATGCACTGAGATAATTCTGATGATGAATTAATAAAACACTTGGCCTCTCAATGTGCTGTTTGCTCATACATTTAATGATGCTCTTAACTGGAAAGAGGAAGAAACAGGGCAGGTTCCACCTGGAGCCTAGAAATTAGAAACCACTTCATTGTTTTGAGCTTGCCGCTTTAATGACAATCAATAGAATCGATCTGGGAGTAGAAAAGTATTTACTCAATCTCTACCGTGTGTTACAGTTTCTATTTAGATCTCACAAGCATCATCTGAATACAATATTTCTGCACAGTCCTAGGTTTGCTAATGAATTACATGCTAAGTAAATTTTTCATCCCCCACCGGACTCCCCAGCCAACACATATGGTTTGGATACCATTACATACTGCTTGCTCCTAATAACAACCTAGAATGGTACTGCCGCAGGGCACCGACGGATGGCATTGTGAGAAAACCAAGACGTCATCTCCATGGCCGACTTGGATTTACTTGTGAAACAGACATTATCCTTGGCCTATGCTTCTTCAAAAACAACTCCAGGCTGGTGGCCTTTTATTGTTCAAATGAAGATAATTCACCACTCACACTCTGCTGGATTACTTATTGAAAAGACAATTTAACTCCAATTAATGTAACTAGATGTAGTATTAAACTTAAACTAAATGCACCTTCCCCTCAACAATCTTTCAACAAATCTTTGTTAAAGTCCTCTAATTAGGCCATTTTTCAGTTGATTAAAAACAACATCAACAATGTATTGTTCTTGGAGTTTCTCCCAAGCACAAACACTTTTCCGTCCAATATTGCAGCTCACAATCACACTCTACAAGGAAGAGACTATTACCCACTTTATCAAGATTGAAAATTCAAGATCTCACACTGAAGCCATTTATATAAAACCAGCTACTAAAGAGAACTAACAGCAGTAAGACAAATCTAGTTTGGAATGAATTTTAAAAATGGAATCACTGTAAATGAAGTGACGGTAATCAAAGAAAAACATCCACCGTTCTATTCTTCAACTTGCAAAATAGATATTATTTGAAGCCGATGTAAATTTTTAGGAAAACCAGCAGGACAGGATAAGACAAAAATCTACTGAGGGCAGAGCTGCTCATTCACTGACACTTACAAGGTGCTTCCTAGCATCGACTCTTCTGAAATTGGAGGGAGCTGTTGCATGAGGAACGTGCCACGGGTTTGTGTGTGTCTCTCAGTGTTCAAAGGGCATCCGCTGTAGGCTCAGAGAGCTTGCTTGATTTTTCTGTGCTGCAGGATAAAAGGGAAGTAAGTTTTAATTATTGGTGAACATGCAGGTTTAGGAAAGTTAACGTGAATGGCGACTGGGAGTTGGTGCTCTCAGGAGCAGTGAGAGGCGTCACACATTCCTCGTTCCAGGAAGACCGTTAGAAGACAGTTTTTCTAAAGGGGATACAAGCAGTAGCTAAGCAATCATCTGAAGCGGCAGCTTCAAGAGGTCCGTTCATGTGAGTACTTCAGAATGAAAAAATCTAGCGTCATAGAAAATATACTTTTAAAGAATATGGTGTAGTAAGTGCATTAACTATTACCTAGCCCAGGAAATGGCCACACACATACAAATGTATACAGTATGTGGATGTATGCATATACTTTATATAGTTTTATGTATATCAGGTGTATATATACTATATGTGTATTTGCAATCAGAAATGTAATTACAATGCTCTAAGTGTTTATTAGACATTTAATCTCTATAAACGAAGCTTTCAGTTATCGTGATATGGCACTTTTTGTCTACTTACAAATGGGACCATAATACAAGCTTAGAAAAATCATACACAAAGTGAAACACTAAAAAAATTCATTTATCATTAGTGCAAAACATACCTCTAGTAGACAGGATCTCAGCTGCAAAACAATTCACAGAAAGAAATAGCTGAGGCGCCTCTACATTGTTCACGATGAAATCTAATCCTCCAGACCCAATTTCTCACCTGAAAATAGTCAACAATAGCAACAACAGTTGATTTTTTTCATTGCTACTTCTAATTATTTCCACCCCAAGCAGAGTATTCTAGAGATTAAAAATAATACTTAATCATAGTGACATGGACAGACTTTATGATCAGTCTCTAGTTTAAAAATGAAAGGACAATATCCAAGACAATCAGTAAAACAAAAATAGGGCAGAGTGACTTCCCTGTGCTGGACTTGCACAGCCATGTCTGACCCACGTAAAGAAAGAGCAGCCCCTCGGGCCAGTTGGAGAACTAAATGAACTACTTTTAGGATGAAATTTGGGATCCAGTGAAGAGCTGCTGTTGGGAGTGCCCCCTTCCCCACCCCAAAGCACACACACACTGCACAGAGTCTGGCTGCTAAATGTTGCTGTGAACCTGAGGAACGTCATGGAGTTTGGAAATCCAGCCCGCCACCACTGGGTTACAGCTCAGAGAGTGTACCTTGTCGTCCCGTGAATGCTGGACCTCTATTCAAATAGCTCACCTTTCCCATGAATTGTTTTTGGAAAAGGTCTGGCATAAGTACATGAATAAATAAAATGAAATGAAGTAAAATAAAGTAAAAGTATTTTCAACCTTCTGCCACCTTCCACTGTGGCTCTGAGACTCAGATTCATGCTGGAAGTGGGGAGATATCAAGTGAAACATGAAAAACAGTTTTATATTTTAAATTTATGGGACCAGAGGATAATACATCATTTTTTTTCCTCAAGCTCAGTGCAGTAAATTGTCTTTAACCTATTTGGTATGTCTTGCCTATCACATTGGTTCCATTTGCGTTAATGCCTTCAGTCTTGACTAAATTGTACATTTTGGAAGTGCTCTGCCACAGAGTTAATTGTTTGGGGGAAGCAGTTTGCCCTGTTTTTTCTAGACATAAACAGATAATGTAAAAAGAGGAAAAAGGCAAGCAAGATCATCCTCGCAGCTCTTCCCTACCCTTGGTGTATATAAAATGCCTTCCTGATGCTTTAAGGTGACGAAAATGACGGGGGGTCGTGTCTAAATCAGCTAAGCTTGATGCGATGCCAAAGCCTTTGGCGAAACACAGATTGACTTAATTCTTTCAATAATGACTTTGGTCCGGAGCACTTCTCCACCACAAGAGGGAGAAACCCAACAGAACAGAGAAAATCTCCTCACTCGGGTTATCTTGACTCTGCTGCAGGCAAAACCTAGAAATATTTTTTTAATCGAGATTCTCTACAGCAGCCCTTTCCAAATGCCAGTATCCATCACCGCTGACTGGATCAATAGCTGTGTTTTGGCCCCAGTCTCCTGCGAGAGATGGCATGCCATCAGTGATAGACAAATATCACAGTTAAGCAAAGTATCCAGCCAGACCTGGTAACATTTTTATTGATTTTTGTTGTGCAAATAATGTCTTTTTGGGCTGAATAAATGGCTTTGAGCCAAACAGTCATTGTTTATGATTCCAAAATGCAATAAAGGGACAGGAAATATATTATAGCCAATGTCTCAAGGCACACAACATAATCATCCCTTGGTAGTAAAAAACTACCCATCTGAAACCAAGAGTGCATATTTATCCATGCTTAAAGGTGCCTGTAGGACTTGCAAATCTTACACAAAATGTCCTGTTAGGAAACAGATGGCATTGCCCTTTAACCTATCGAATAACTACTAGAAAACCAAGCAAAAAAATAAGCACTATATTTCTTCAATCAATACAAAGAAAACAGTTTATTATGCTCCTTTCAAATGAAATATCAAAGTTGCCAAAACAGCATCCATTCACTTTGAAAGAAAACACATCAAAAAGCTCCCTGACTTTATCAAATGTTGTAAAATCAGAGAATATTTTAGTAAGGTTTTTAAAACTATGCTCATTCAAAATAATCGTGAATTCATTTCACTGGGTCGCTCAGCAGAAAGTTGGCTATGAAAGTCTTGTCCCTGAGCTGAAAAATGTCTTTGTGTGTGTGTATTAATGTTGGCATCCTCATTCCTGCTTCGGGTAGCTGGAATTTCCAGCGAGGCTATGGAGCTGGGTGACACGCATTTCTTAATAAGATGCATACTCGCTGTTTGCATTCAAACCCCCACATAAATGATGGGAGTGCAAGTTATTTCATGCCCGTCCACACTGCAGTGCAGCAGCCCATGGTCTATGAAACGGTCTCCTGAGGAACATCCGGTTGGTGTTGGATTCGTACACAGGCAACGCCTCCAGGAGTAACTATGATTTGGGTGTAATTAGACTTGGCTTTCCAAAGTCCTGCAAAAGTGAGCATGCGTTCCAAACCATAAATTACCCAACTCTTCATGTCCTGCCATGGACCGGCAGATGAGAAAACATAAACTCAGCTTCACCTGTGTCTTTCTCATATTCCCTGAGCCTGATGTACTAAGATTGATTCTTGTATTTAGTATCCGTAATTGGATCAGTATTTTCCCTTTTCAGAAATATAAGGATTATTTTTTAAAAAGCTCAATTATTTATATATTACTCTAATTTATTTACTACTCTACTTCTTTAATTACACTTTCAACAACTAAAGCATCCTACTTTCAAAAAATATTTCATATTTCTTATATTATCAAAGTATGCTCAATGCAAAAAGCACTCAGAAAATATTTTTAAACTAACCTACAATTCTTACTATAAAAACATTACATTCATTTATTCTTTGTGTGTGCATGTATATATATATATATATATATATATATATATATATATATATATATATATATATATGTTTTGTTTTGTTTTGTTTTGAGACAAGGTCTCACTCTGTTGCCCAGGCTGGAGTGCAGTAGCGCAGTCTCGGCTCACTACAAGTTCCGCCTCCCTGGTTCAAGTGATTCTCCTCCCTCAGCCTCCTGAGTAGCTGGGATTACAGACGTGTGCCACCACGCTCGCCTAAATTTTGTATTTTTAGTAGAGACGGGGTTTCACCATGTTGATCAGGCTGGTCTCAAACTCCTGACCTCATGATCCACCCGCCTCGGCCTCCCAAAGTGCTGGGATTGCAGGAGTGAGCCACTGCACCCAGCCCTAACACAATTTTTATACTTATATACATATATTATATACATATAACAAAGTGTGGTTTTATGTATGATACACACACAGAAAGATGTCTTCCAGAAAGATGCTGTTGACACAAGGTCATCCCGGCAGGTTCTGCCTCTCTCTCCTCCCCTACAGCATCACCAGCAGTGAGCATTAGTGTTTTTTTAATCTTAGTCAATTATAAAATTTTTAATCTCAAAAATTAAAAAAAAAATAATCTCAAGCTTTTTAATCTAAATTTTTAGGAACTTTTTATTTCCAATGAAGCCAAATAGTTTTAATGTTTACGCATTTATCTTCTACAGAAAGCTATTAATGTCATTTCTATGTTTTATTCTGATTTTCCCATTATTGTTTAGTTTCTCATTATTCCACATGCACAGTAGAAGCCCCTGGCCAGCCTAGGACAGCTCTGCAAGTTGTCCCCAGTTTTTCTCTTTGCCTTTTCATTTGATTATGGTGCTTTTGATTCAATGCTGTGACCTTTAATTTTAACGTGTCACCTTGACTGACCACAGAGTGCTCAGAATAAATATTATTTCCAGGTGTGTCTGGGAGGGTGTTTTCAGATGAGATCAGCCTTGGAGTCCTTAGACTCAGTGAAGCAGGTGCCCTCCCAATGTGGGTGGCCTCATCCTATCCATTGAGGGCCTGAGTGGAGCAAAAGGCAGAGGAAGAGGGATTTGGCCCCTTTTTTCTGTCTTACTTCTCAGCAGAGACAGCTCATCTCATCTCATCTGCTCTGGCCCTTGAACTGGGACTCACACCATGGTCCCCCTTGCTCACAGGCCTTTGGATTTGAACTGAATTACACCCCCAGCTTCCCAGGGCCTCCAGCTTGCAGAGGCAGGTCATGGGACTCCGCAGCCTCCATAATCATATGAGCCAATGCCTCCTAATCCATCCCCATCCCCCTTTCTCTCTCTCTCCAGTATTTCTTATTGACCGCTACAAATACTGGAGGACCATTTTCTGTTGGTTTTCTTTAATCTGCTCTATTAGTCTTTTGTGGTTTCTATCTCTGATGTTATTCTTAGGAAGATGACACCCACCGCACCTTTATGTGGACGCTCTCCCAATTTCCCTTTTTACATTTCATGCCAACCCCATGGGAACTTGCTTTAGCTAAGGTGAGCAGTGGGGATCTTATTTTATTTTTTTCTCAGTACTGTTTATTTAACACTTGATCCTTTTCTGGATCATTTGAAATGCTTCACACATCAGCTATTAACCGCTTCTTCAGAATTTAGACTGCTTCTGGAATTTCTGGATGTTTTTGTCTCTAGTTTTGTCTCTTCTCTTCAGTTCTCTACAGTGATTGTAGCCTTACTTTGTGATGTAATATCTGGAAGTTGATAATCTCTTAGTCTTCTTTTAAAATATGTGGAATGTAATATTCATGCAGCCTTTTAGATAAACCCTAGCATTCTGATTGGAATCATATACTGTTTGTAAGTTAACTCATGGAGGGTTGGTTATAATACTAAATTTTGCCCAAGAATCTTGCATTTTTCTCTTTACTAGGCTTCTTTCTTGTTATGTAATTTTATTCTTCAACTTCCTGTATACTTTTATTACATTGTTTCTTAGCATTTTTAAGGTTTTGTCATTATAGAAAATGAAGTTTGTTTCCATAATACTTTCTATCCCGTTCATGGTTAGCAGAGGCCCAGGTTATTGTTCAAATGTAATCATTGAATCAAATGAACTCATTCACTTCGTTGTTCTGTAACTAGATATTTTGCTAAACTGTCTTACAGTGTAAATGGTTTTTATTGCCTTTCTTGAGTTTTCTAGGTGAAGAGCCATTTTCTGAAAATTATGTTGATCTTGTCTCTTGCTTTCAAATATTTTAGCTTGCGTATTCATAACTAGAATTTCCAGGGTAAAGTTCTAAACAACAGCCTGACAGTTGGATCCAAATCCTCATCGAGGGGCTTTATTGGACAATAATCTTTTTTTTTTTTAATTTCCTCCTGGGAGCCTGGAGGTTGGTATATGCTAGGGGAGAGAAAAAGGCTCTTTCCCACCCAGTTTTTCATCTTGGAGGTGTCATGTGAGAATAACAGTGCTGGCCAAATAAATCTAGAAGTGGCGTCCAATGGGCAACATCCCCAGAAATTACCAGGCGGCTTTGTAGAATTCATCAAATAACATTTTAATATCAGCATTACTTGTAGTTATTTTTATTCTGAAAGATGAGGAAATATGCATTACAGATTTATAAAGTTGGTGCCGATGGTGTATGCAGGCTAATTTTTGAACTATTCTCACAAAGAAAAGTTAATAGTCCAGAAATCTCCACTCATGTGTATGATCTAGCTGACCCAAATCTTACTTCTCATCTACATACTCAAATGTTACACGTGGAAACTGAACGCCTCAGATATGATTTTTCCTTTGTAATTGCAGGAGTTTTAACACATGAGTTTTGTAAGTGCAACATTTTAGTTTCATCTGCAGTCAACCAAAAGAACAGGACTAGCAGATTTCCGGGCATTTTCCTCCCTTTAGATCCGGTCTCAGGTGTTTCATCTCTGTGATCCTGACGGATGCATGTGACAATCACTGTTCTAGCTGGAGAAATAATGGGACATTTGGTGATAGGAGGATTTCCTCTCACTCAACAACAATTGGTTTCGTCGATCCTATTAATTGAGGAGCAAAACTTCCTTTCTGCTCTCTCCTGCAAGATATATTCATCATCTGTGTCCTTCACACAGATCTCAGGCTTAGTCTACACTCTCCAAATGTCCTAAAGAGGAAACAAGATATGTAACTGATATACATGGGGAGTTTGCAGAACCTTCATCTGTTCTCAAAATTAAGTTCATTACCCCAGCCATATTTAGAAAAGAGCATACATGCATGTGCTTACTCTCTGAAAAAAAGAATGCTTTATTTAAACATTGAGAAAAGGAGCATTTAGACTTTCTTAAGTTTGAATACTATATGCGTGTTAAGGAGATCCTAACTACTAGGAATCTACCCAAGATAAAACAAAACATATTTCAACACAAAGACTTGTGTGTGAACGTTCACAGAACATTCTTCCTAGCGTGCAAAGGTGGCAACACTCTAAATGTTTTTCACCTGGCAAATGGATAACAAATGTGGTATATCCACACAGAGCAGTAGTATTCAGCAATAAGAAGGAGTGAACATCAACCTGCAACATGGATAAGTCTGAAAATATTATGCTAAGTGAAAGAAGCCAGTCAAAAATGTCACACAAACACATTTTCATCCCATTTGCTTGGAGTGCTCAGAAAGAAGATGAGTGGTTGTCAGGGGCTGGGGGTGAGAATGAAGAGTCACTGAAAGTAGACACCCGATTTCTTTTTGGGGTGATGGAAACATCCTAAAACATCCTAAAATTAGACTTTGATGGTGGTTGGACAACTCCGTAAAGTTACTAAAAGTCATCAAATTATACACTTAAAATGGATGAATTTTATGGTATGTAAATTTTACCTCAAAAAAATTGTGTTTAAAAAGGATAATGCCTGTTAATTTATGTTTTAACAAATGTTTATTAAGCACTAATCTTTGAAAGAGATACATGAGGCCTTTTCCCACATACTCTTTCATTGCAAGAGGGTAGCTAGGATGCATGAAGCCAACAGACAGGAGAGGGGCATTAAGCTCTGGTGGAGATCCCTGGGCAATTCACCAGATGTTCTCCTGAACCCCTTTCTTTACCTTTGACAGGGGGTACCGCTATGCTCCTGACGGTCCCACTTTCGTCTACCAATGGGAAATAGCCAATGCTTGCTCGTGGCATATGGTCAGGCTCAGCAAACAATCCTTTCATCTGGATTTGGGGCATCTCCATGGGGGAGCATGATGGAGAAGGCGCATGAGCCCTGGAGCAAGCAGTTCAGAGCAGAATCCTGAGCTCCACCGCCTATCAGCCGTGCAAGCCAGGCCAATGGTCAGCCACTGCTGCACCCCAGCCATCTCATCTGAAATACAGCAGTATAAGTTTTACAAGGTTGTTGTGCGACTGCAATGCCATAACCTTAGAAAACACTGACCGCAGGTTCTGTACACAGGAGGAGCTCCGTAAGTGTTGATTTTTTAAAAAAAGTCAGCCTGCCTTATGCAGTAGAAAAATGTAAAGCATTGAACTGGTACTTATCTCAAGTATTTAACCAACAAAGGAACATGTGTTCTAAATGTAATTATTCAATAGGCAAGACACGCATGTGTTCATCTGCCACCTTAGTGACACAGATGGGGTTCATGACCTCAGACACCTGGGAGATTCCCCATCGGGTAGGGTCTCCTATAGTTCACCAACAGCCTGCCCCATCTCTAACTGTCTGACACATACACACATGACATCATGGGGAGTGAAATACCAGAAGCAGATGGGAAAATTCAGGAGGCTTTGTATCTTACCAGATGGTTGAAAATCTCTCCCAATGACATAAACTTTGGTAAAAATAAGTGCTTAAATAAGTGCTCATTCAGACAAGCCAACCTGAGGGTGTCCTTGTGCTTGCCTAGGCCATCCCCAAGGGCAGGTGTTCCATGCCTCATGTGACAGAGAAAGGCTCCTCAGGAAACCCACTGGAAGTAGTTGGACACCATCTGAGGAAGTCAGCCTGCACTGCCAAGGGGGATGTGTTAGATAAACACCTTTTACTTGCTGCAAAATCAACTTGACAGGCACTCAGGTGTCTACAGGCTATGCCAGAGTTGACCCTCCCAAGAGCTGCCATACTGTCAGTGCTGCTAACAGATCAACTATCAACTATCACAGCGACATTGTAAACCTGAGTTATCCTAAATTCCAGATCAAGCCAGCTTCTTGCATTGCACAACTTGGCAGAGAAGTGGGAATGATGGAGAGTGGGAGACACAGACAGGGAGCCCCTACCGCCTGGCACAGCCCCTTAGACTCACCAAAAGGAACTGACAGACACCTTGCAAGAGCTCCCAGCCACTGCAGAGGACTGCGCAGTGACCACAAAGTGGTAATGGCAAGGTGTCTGTTGGTCTCATTTTACCAACATTTGTTGTGATCATTGACAAGTTCCTTAATCATCTTTAGCTTCAGGTTGCCCATTTTTTAAATCACAATAATAACACGATCGATCCCAGGGGATCATTATAAGAAACTAAGAGTGGTAGGATCTATAGAGTGCCTGGAGCCAAAGAGGAGTGTGCAGAAATTCATTTCCTTTTTCACCTTGCACTGCTTTTCTTCTTTCCCAGGTGACGCATGTTTTAAGGTGCAGGCTAGCAAGCCCAGTGCTCCCAGCACTACCTGATATAAAACCAGTGCAAGGAGTAACTCTCACTGGCCAAGAAGAATGTTTCCTGACCTTTCATTTTGAAAAGCCCCTTGACTTTCCCCACACAATCTTCCACCTTGCATCCACAAGCATGCATTGTGATAGATGGCAAGGGCAATGTGGGGAGGGGTGGAGGCAGCTGGCCAGCCGTCTAGAGGAGAAGCAACACACATCTGGGGAGGAAGGAACTCTCTTGTGGTGGATTCATCACCGTCGTACTTGCGCAACCAACATTGTCCTTGATAGAAAGCCATTGAGGGACTTTCCTGGAGCTGAGTTTGCACATCCACTGTGGCCAAGCACCCCCATGGTAAGACGTCTAGACTGTCAGAATCCAGCCCAGACACCAGGAAGAGACTTTGGTGTCTAAATGGACCAAAGCCACCTACATTGTGAGCAGCTTAACACAACCCCAAAATACTACTTCTATTGTTTTGTTTCTTTTTTCCTTCTCAAAAGTTCTTAAAGTTTTTGGGCAGACAATTGTAATCTTTTTGTCTCTATGTCAGGCTGAGAGGTTTCATTTTTATTAGCCACAAAAGGGTCTATTTTAATAGGTCATTATAATTTTCATTGCATAGTCTACATTCTTTAAAATTGTAAATTTGGGGTAGGAAAAATCAGAAACAGATTTCCAGCAAAACTCGTCAAGTTCCTGAATGAGCCTCCCTCGAGAGAGGTCAAACGTGAAGAAAAGCTCAGAGGAACAGAACTGTATCCCCACGGGTGCTGGGGTTGCTCCAATATGATGTTACATCCACTCAGGTCCTGGCCTCTTTAAATAAATGGCAGGAAATCATGTTGCATAATTCAGGAAATAAAAAAGACTTAGGAGAAGTGGCAAATAGCCCAACAGATCAACAGTATTTGTTCTACAGACCTGAAGTTCCTGATCAACAGCAGGTCACAGTGGTTGGGTCTTGCTCGTTTTTCTTTCTAAAGGTTTGACAGGACAGCCAAAATCTTGGTTTTCTGGCGGGATAAGAAAGATCTGCTGTCTTTGTGTAAGTGAAGAGATGATGACGTCATGAACGAGGCCAGGAATGAGAGCAGTCGTCTCTCAAGGCTCACATCCGGCTTCCCCTCCACCACCGAAAACATTATCAGGACCATTGGCTGTGGAGATGCTCTTCCAAAGCACTGCGGGGCTGTCTCAACCCCTCTTTATGTTACTTCATGAAGAGGTGGCCTTGCTAAGTGTCCTGGAAGCAGACCCCTTATGGAATGCAGCGCAAGGGCCAAGTCACAGCGCTTCCCATGGGAAAGCAGAAGATTCTCATCACACTCCTAAGTCTACATGGAACCAGGCCAGTGCTTAGGAAGATCATGACATCGGGACAAAAGAGGACTAGCTGATGCTTGTAATCCCAGCACTTTGGGAGGCTGAGGAAGGCAGATCACAAGGTCAGGAGTTTGAGACCAGTCTGGCCAATATGGTGAAACCTCGTCTCTATTAAAAATACAAAAATTAGCCTGTGATGGCATGCACCTATAATCCCAGCTACTCGGGAGGCTGAGGCAGGAAAATAACTTGAACCCAGGAGGCGGAGGTTGCAGTGAGCCGAGATTGTACCACTGCGCTCCAGCCTGGGTGACAGAGCAAGACTCCGTAAAAAAGAAAAAAAGAGGACCAGCCATCGTGACCTCCGAGTGTTCCTTTGGATTCACTGCAGTAGTGACGCTTATCCTGGACTGGAAGAGCTGCCTTCCAGCAGCCGTGCGGTGTGCATTTCCCATCTCAGGGACAGCACTCGAGGAGTGGAAACGCAGGCTTCCTGCAACGATGGAGAGAACATCATTTGTACACACAGGGGGAGATGTTTACATGGGACTTCTAAAAATACAACTTTATTGAAATACAATTCACATGTCACACAATCCATTAATTGGAAGTGTACAGTTCAATAGTTCTAGTACATTTTCAGATACATAAAATCACAGTCAATGTTAGAACTGTTTGATCACCTCAAAAATAAGCCACAAATCCTTTAGCCACGAATCTTCAATCTCTCCCACACCCCTAAGCAACTACTGACCACTTTCTGCCTCTGTAGATGCACCTGCTCTGGACACTTCATATAAATGGAATCATAGATAGTCTTTGCGTCTGGTCCTCTTCACCAAGCATAATGTTTTCAAGGTCCAATCATCTTTTATTTTTTTATTTTTTTATTTTTATTTTTTGAGACGGAGTCTCTCTGTCACCCAGGCTGGAGTGCAGTGGTGCGATCTTGGCTCACTGCAGTCTTTGCCTCCCGGGTTGAAGCGATTCTCTCGTCTCAGCCTCTGGAGCAGCTGGGATTACAGGTGCCCACCACCATGCCCAGATAATTTTTGTATTTGTAGTAGAGACGGGGTTTCACCATGTTGGTCAGGCTGGTCTCGAACTCCTGACCTCAGGCGATCCGCCCACCTCAGCCTCCCAAAGTGCTGGGGTTACAGGCATGAGCCACAGCGCCCGGGCAGGTCCAACCATCTTGTAGTATGTGCCTTGCTTCATTCCTTTTTGTGGCTGAGTAATATTCCATGGTACAAATATATCACATTTTCTTTATTCATTTATCAGTTGGTGGGGATTCAAGTTGTCTCTACCTTTTGGTTATTGCTAACAATATTATTGCTAGAAACATTTGTGTACAAACGTGTGCATGAACAATGCTTTTGTTTCCCTTAAATATATATTTAGGGGTGGAATTGTTGGTAAGTCTATGTTTAGGCATTTAGGGAACCACCAGGCTGTTTTTCAAAGCGGCTGCATCATTTTACACCCCTAGAAGCAGTGCATGGGTGTTGGCGTTCCTGCACATCCTCACCAACAGGCCATTATTTGACCTTTTGATCCCAGCCAGCTTAGTGGCTGTGAAGTGACATCTCCTTGTGGTTTTGTTTGCATCTCCCTGATGATATCCAGTGTCTTTTCTTGTGCCTATTGGCCATTTGTATATATTTCTTGGAGATATGTATATGTAGATGCTTTGCCCATTTTTCATTGAATTATTTGCCTTTATGTTATTGAGTATGAGAGTGATATAGTTTGAGTGTTTGTCCTCTCCAAATCTCATGTTGAAATGTGGTCCGCAATGTTGGAGGTGGGCCTAGTCAGAGGTATTTTGGTCATGGGTGTAGAGCCCTCAAGAATGACTTGGTGTCCTCTCCATGGTAATGAGTGAGGTTTTCCTACTAGTTCACACAAGACATGGTTGTTTAAAAGACCTGGCATCTCTCTTGCTCCCCCAGCCATATGACACGTCTGCTCTGCCTTCATTTTTTCCCCAGAGTAAGAGCTTCTTCACCAGAATCCGAGCAGATGTGTGTGCCATGCCTGTACAACCTGCAGAGCTGTGAGCCAAATGGATGCCTTTCTTTATAATTTAGCTGGTCTCAGGTATTCCTTTATAGCAACACAAAATGGACTAACACAAAGAGTCCCTTATATATACTAAATATGAGTCCCTCATCACATATATGATTTGCAAATATTTTTTCTCATTCTATTGGTTGTCTTTTTACTTTCTTAATAGTGTATTTTGAAGCACAGAAGTTTTAGATTTTGATGAGGGTCAATGCATCTGTTTTCTTTTATTCTAACTGCTTATGCTTTCGGTGTCATATAACAATGGATTGCCAAATTCAAGGTCATAAAGATTTGCCTCTATGTTTTCTCCTAAAAATTGTCTTGTATCAATTCCCCTTTAGATCATTGATCCATTTTGAGTTAAGTTTGTAAATGATGTGAGGTAGGTGTCCAACTTCATTCATTTGCACATAGCTATCCAATTGTCCCAGCACCATTTGTTGAAAGAAAATATTTAGGCTCCATTCAATTGCCCTGGGCACCCTTTTCCAAAGTAAGTTGACACAGAGGTTTGCTTCTGAAATGTCAATTCTCTTCTGTCGCTCTATAGCTCTATGTTAGGCCACTACCACCCTGTCTTGCTAAATTGCTTTATAGTAAGTTTTTTTTTTTTTTTTTTTTTTTTTTTGAGATGGAGTCTTGCTCTGTCACCCAGGCTGGAGTGCAGTGGCGTGATCTCGGCTCACTGCAAGCTCCTCCTCCTGGGCTCACGCCATTCTCCTGCCTCAGCCTCCCGAGTAGCTGGGACTAGAGGCGCCTGCCACCATGCCCGGCTGAATTTTTTTGTATTTTTAGTAGAGACGGGGTTTCACCTCGTTAGCCAGGATGGTCTCAATCTCCTGACCTTGTGATCCGCCCACCTCCGCCTCCCAAGGTGCTGGCAATACAGGCGTGAGCCACTGCACCCGGCCGCTTTATAATAAGTTTTAACATCAGAAAATATAGTTATCTATTTGTTTTCCCTTTCCAAAGTTGTTTTGGCTATTCTAGGTCTCTTATGAATTCCATATGAATTTTAGGATCAACTTGTCAATTTCTACAAAAAAGTCATCTGGGATACTGACAGGGCTTGCACTGTATCTGCAGGTTGGTTTTGGCAGTATTATCATTTTAACAATATTAAGCCTTTCAATCCATGAACATTGAATGTTTTTACAATTACTTAGACCTTGAATTTATTTCAGCAATGCTTTATAGTTTTCAAAGTGAAAATTTTATGTTTTATTTGTTGTTTATTCCTTATTATTTTATTTTTTGATGCTGTTTTAAATAGAATTGTTTTCTTCATTTTTGGATTGTTCAATGAAAAGCTATAGAAATACAATTGATTTTTGTATATTAGAATTGTATCGGGCCAGGCACAGTGGCTCACGCCTGTAATCCCAGCACTTTGGGAGGCCAAGGCGGGTGGATCACGAGGTCAGGAGATCGAGACCAGTCTGGCTAACACGGTGAAACCCCGTCTCTACTAAAAATACAAAAAATTAGCCAGGTGTGGTGGCAGGCGCCTGTAGTCTCAGCTACTCGGGAGGCAGAGGAGGGAGAATGGCATGAACCTGGGAGGCGGAGCTTGCAGTGAGCCGAGATCGTGCCACTGCACTCCAGCCAGGGAGACAGAGCGAGACTCCGTCTCAAAAAAAAAAAAAAAAAAGAATTGTATTCTGCAACTTGCTGAATTACTATAACAATGGTTGTTGGGTTTTTTTGTTGGTGGTGGTGGTTTTTTAAATTCTGAATTTCTTAGAATTGTTTACATACATAATCATGTGTCTGCAAATAGAGATAGTTTCACTTCTTTGTTCCTAATGAGGATGTCCGTTATTTCTATTTCCTGCACAACTTTCCTGTCTAGAGCCTCCAAAACAAGGTTGCATAGACATGGTGAGAACAGGCACCCCGGTCTTGTTCCTCATCTCCGGGGAAAAGCACTCTGTCTTTCATCACTAAGTATGGCAAGCATGTGACTTCTTGCAACGTTTTTATTGCATTCACTGCCATTTATGAGTCTTACTTAAGTACAATGGCAGAGGAGAATCTCAGGAGCGGTGGCATGATCACAGTGCACTCACCAGAGTGAAAACATTGCATGTGAATCCTCTGCTGACCACATGAATTCTAAACATTTCCACCCACCCTTTGAGTTCTCACAACCTAACTCCAAGTAGTTTTCCAGGCTGCCTGCTCCCAACACGCCCAGGTAAGACCTGTGCTTTAATTGAGCTTCAACAGTTTATTGCTTCCCAGTGCCTTTCTTGCACTCCTTAATCTAACAACATTCTACCAATTCTCTAAGGCTTGACTGATTTGCCCTTTACGGAATCTCCTTAGATCTTTTAGGCTGGAGGTAATCTTGGCTAAGTTTAGCTCCTCTATATAATGTTTATGTCACAGAATAATTTATATCCTATACTCCTACTGTAGACTGGCCTCATCTCTTCTATTTGATTGCAAAGTACTTCAGAAAGAACCAGATCTAATGGATTTGCATTTCTTCTCCTGTATCTCTCTGTACAGTAAGTAGCCAGTGAAATTGTGGAATAAAGAAATGAAGTGTGTGTCTGTGTGTGTGTGTGCATGCCAATGACAAATTTTAGGTAGAAATAAGCTTTGCTTAATTTGGTGTGGCTAGAAAATTGACACCACCTTCCATCTGCAGCACGCGTTGGATTTAGAATTGATGATTCTCATATATCTTATTAGCTTCTTAGCGAGTTGTCAAACAAGCCATGCACTTACTATCAGCCGACTTTACAGAGCAAGCGGCAAGTGTTCCTTGAGTTGGGTGATTTGCCTGAATGGAGGGGAGTCCCAATGCTGCCTCGGCCTCATCATGGATGGAGCCCACCCAGAGGGCACTGAAATTCATCTTGCATTCCTATTGACCTCTGTAGAATAGTGTATCTGTAATAAAAGATTCTGAAAGACTGCTGGAATTCAACAATTTCACAAACAGTTGTCAATATGCTAACACTATGATATGAACAAAGCAATTTTTGGACTTTAAGGGGGTACTGGTGATGCATTTCTTGGGATAAATTTGTGGAAATAAAGAGACCTAACCTTCAAAGCTTGCAATCAAGTCGGAGGATTAGAACCCCTTGCATTCTAACCAAATGGGGTGCTGTGATGGAGAACTTCCCTTTGAGTTGTGCCTTCGCCTGTGTCAATTGGTGCTACTCTAACAGAATACCACAGACTGAGTAATTTATAAAGAACACACGTTTATTTTTTACAGTTCTGGAGTCTGAGAAGGCCAAGATTAAGATACCAACAGGTTTTGTCGTCTGGTGAGGTCAGCCTACGCTTCCAAGATGGTGGCTTGTATGCTGTGTCTTCCAGACGGGAGGAACACCGTGTACCTCACGTGGCAGAAGGCAGAAGGGCAAAAGGAACAGACTCTCTCTGCCAAGTCCTTTAAAAGGGCACCTAACCTCATTCACAAGAGTGGAGGTCTCCTGACCTATCGTCTCTTAAAGACCCCACCTGTTAACATTATGATATTAGCCATTCGGTTTCAACGCATGAATTCCTGAGGAGTCACATTGAAACCATCGCAGTTACTACACTCCAGTTTAGCAGTTATGGTGTACAAGTCCACAACCACCTAAGAACAGAAGTTGAAAGTAAGTATTTAGAAGTCATTTCAGCACATGACAGCAATTTTACATCCGTTGTATCTAAGGATTTAAAGGTTTCTATATTTTTATTTTATCATGTATTAATTGGGATTTTATTTTACAAAAATAAAAATATTGGTCTGCTGTGGGTTAGGGAAAAAGAAACCCTAGTCCTTCCTGCCAGATAGTGGGAGAAGCCCTGATCTTCAGAATCTCTGTGTGGGTGAAGTAAGGACAGGGAGGGCCCTCTTCTGGGTAGGACCTGGTGGGTTCTCAGGAAAACAAGTTGATTTAATGAGTGGAAAAAATCTAGGCTGATTCAGCCTGGCCAAGAAATATTTCTATTTTATCTTATCTGTATTAAATGAAGAGTCTACTGTTTAATGCACCCTTTTAGAGGAACATTAGAGAGTAACACATCTTTCTCCAGTTGGCTAGGAAGCCAGATTTGGGTATTAGATAGAGGCAAGGGGTCATTACTGGAGCTGATAAGGCTGAGTCTTTAGTACAATTTCAGTGGCCCAGTTTTCAATATACTCAAAAGATGCACAACTGTGCACTTATAAGCTAACTTTTTTCTATCTTACAATTTCTTCTGCTCATTCGAAGGAAAGCAATGAGAGCATATTACTTTGCAGGCACATAAAGACTGAAACCCAAATAGATAACCACAAGAAAGCCTCCTGATCGAATTCTAATAACTGACCCCTCGGGGACGAGGATGAGGGGGATCGGGAGGGAGCAGCCAGAAGTCCCTCTGAGGCCTTTCCTGGGTTATCTGGCTTTGAAAGGATCATGTTCAAACCCTGCAAAGATAAAAAGCAGCCTCCACAGGCTGTGAGCCGGACCGTTAAACATTTCCATATGACAAAGTCCTCTCCCGGGGTCTGACCTGCCCGGAGCGCCCAGTCTGCAGATCTGAGGCCCGGGCCTTTCCCTGCCTGCTCCTCCGGGAAGAGTCTGGCAAAGGAGCTTTGAAAAGGACTTTAAAATGCTTTCTGTAGGGGGAAAAGTCTCAATGCAAAAGGAACCAGATACATAACAATGTTCAAACAGACTCTTCTTTAAATGGATTTTTAGAATTAAAAACAACCTGGGAATGATAGGAAATCTTGTGAAATAAAGTTCATTTCTGTTGGTATCTGCTCACTCCTTTGATATATTTATCAGATATTGTTTATTTATAATGTTTCTATTTATTCAATCAATGTAAAATAGCAACAGCCTCATCATAAGACCTGAAAGCCTTCTTTCCACAGACTTGAGAATCTATAAAGAATCCAGGAAAATAACTAGGTTTTATTTTCTACCTTTTCCATAAATTAATTTTAATTTTTTTCTTGATCTTTTTACTCATTTTTAATAAGTACCTAAAGCCAAGCATGGAATAAAATTATATATTGTATGTAGATGTATAGATGTATAGTGTAATTATATCATTTCTACCCAGTAGCTCACACATTGTACAGTAATTGTCTGCTGATTATAAAGGATACAATCTTGAAGGAATAGCAAAGCTCTTAAAAAAATTTGAAAAACCCAAAGAAAATAGATTCTCCAAAAAAAATTTATATAGTTGGAGTTTGTATGCTTTTCTTTTTAAATGTTACTAACGTGTGCTGTTTTTCCAGAGTTATTAATTGTAATCTCATTCAATTAAGACTTTCCTAATGGTTTAGAGAAAAACATAATAATTCAATGTGACACTCAATTCTTAGTTTTAACATAAAACCTTTTTGGTTTGCTATTAGTATTTAAATTTAAGTAGCTTTGAGGAGTGAAGCAAGAGGGAAAATTATGGGTTTGATAACACACTGCTGAAGCTCTAATCTCAGAGGAGAATAAAGACTGCTTAAATTCAATGTGTTCAGCATTCATGAGAAAAGTAACATGTTTGTGAATCCCTTAGCTCAGCTACCACATAAGACAGGACACAGCCAGCTCCCAATGTTGGGAGTAGCACTGCATCCATGTGGCATTCATGGGGAGGAGCCGGGATGGACACTGAGGTCTCTAAGAAGATACCTCCTCCAGCACAACAGCTTCCGCTGTGAGAACAGGGCTGATCTCCCGGTGGGGAGCCAGGGGTTCTCTGTGCTTGGTTATCCCTCTGAATAACCTGCTTCAGGAAGGATTTCTGCTTCCGGAACCCTGAAACATCACTTTTTTCCTTTCACCCTTGGAAATTAATAAAACCCCATTTCTGTTTTCTCTAGGAGTTTCTTTGATGCCCAAGCTGACCTCTGATAGGGTGAAGCAGTTTGCGTTACCCAACGCACCTGCATTTTCAATTTTAAGCCCAGGGGAACTATGGATTTCCAAAATAAAATTTTTAAAAACACACGCTGCTTGTTTTAGTTTAACTATGTCTCAGGCAATAAGGAGTTGCTAAAATATGTATGTAGGAGCCAAAATGCTAATTAAGTTCATTGAAATTAACTTCATTTTTTAAAAAACTGAGCATTTGATATTTTTTAAGACCATAAATTCGGAAGGTCTAGAAATTTGTTTTTTAAATTTGAATAGCTCTTTAGAGAGCAGAATTTATTCTCTCCTAAAATTTCCCTTTGAAAATTAGATTTTAAAATGTATCAAACTAACTACATTTGAAGTTAATATTAAAGATTCTGGGAAAATAAATTCAATGTATTGTACTTTCTAACTCCTTGTAGCTATACATTGGAAGTTCCCATATTAACATTAAGGAGTTAAGAGTAGAAATTAAATAATTTGTAGTTGTGTCAGAAGTTTATGACTGAATATTTCAGTGATCCAAATGCACCCTGTTCATTCTCTGGTATCCTTCAGCTCTTCATTTCAGATAGTAGTAGAGGAGGAAACACACACAAACACATTTTAAGTAACAGTCTTTATAGATTATTAAAATGTTTGTTTCAACAATTTTATTATTAAAGGTATTAAACGTTGCTCTGCCGGTAAAACTCCCAATTCAACTTTTCTTTTCTCGGCTCTTCATTACAGTGATTGCTGGCAATTATTTTTGGGGGTGCCTCCCCTGCCACGTCTGCACCTGCAGCCCCTGAGTTTGGGCCTCTCCTCCCGCGGGCCTCCTCAGGCCTCGGCCATCTATCCCTCCTCCCTCCCACCCACCGCACACTTAGGCAGTGTATGGCAGGCCGGGGCAGATGGTGTCTGCACTGAGTGAGGGTTCCATGGGCCGTGGTGGGTAAGATGCACAATCCTGGGAGCCTGGTATAGGGGGCACCTGTTGCAGCCGTGCAGAGCTGTCCTGCGTGTGCTCACCACCCCATGCTCACCTGCGTGATGCTTGGGTGAGATGGTCAGAGAGAGAGTTCTGACAGCAAAGTACCACTGATGTTTGCTCATCAGATCAGACGTTTCATAGGACAGGCAAAAAATATGGTTGCCAGAGGCAGAGAATTGTTAGGCTAGCACACTGATGCCTCATGAAGAAAACTCTCGCCAGTCCAGTTACAGTTTTGAACCTTTTGCAGGTCATTATTCCTCTGTTGTCTGTCACTGTTTGTGAGTTTGTCTAAGGAGGTTAACTGTAAGTGTTCTAAGGCATGTGTTTGGTCTCCAGTGGTGCAGGCAAATGCCACGTCACAGATCCTGGGAAGAGAAGAGGTGAAGACGACGTCTTGGACAGCTGCAGCCCTCAGCTCTGGGAGCAGGGACCACCTAGAAGCTCACAGTCACTGTGGGCTTACCATGTGCGGGATCTTTGCAAGCACTCTAGAAAAAATATCTCAGTCCTATGGGGTGGATGCTACTATCATCTCCATTTTACAGATGAAAAGACGGAGGTTTCCGCAGGACAGCGTGCTGTGCATCAGTGAGCAGGCCTGATGGGAATGAGCAGGGGTACGACTCCATCACCCACCCTCGGAGTCCCCTCTGTAGGAGTCTCTGTGCAATCAAGGATGCTTTAGGTAGGGGCCGTCTCCTTCCATCAGGCGCCTTGGGGAGACTCTGGGCCTTCTTAGGGAGGGTCTTCCACAGAAGGGGGCTTTGTCCAGTCCCAGGAAGTGAGAAGTCACCACTGGAATCCCTCCTAAGTGATGCACCTTGTTTATTGAGCTCTCTCTCAGAGATTCACCTAAAGGCATCTGTTATGCGCACAGGTTTTTAAAACTAGAGGAAAATGATAAGGACACGTGTTCTGCATCACGAAGCTTATTCATTCTGCAAGTCCTGGGTAAGTGGAGATGAAGCCTGTCTGGTGACAGGTGACAGCCAAGAACCTCCTGGGAGACAGGAGAAACTTTCCTCTGCCTTTGCCATGGAACAGAGTGAAGAGCTGACTGCACACTGAGCAGGAATCCACTGCCTGGGGACCCTGGCTCACCTGCATTGTTGCATGGAGGGAGGTCAGTTCCAGAACTTCCCCTGATCCCATGTGGGGGCTGGAGTGGTGAGGGCCAGGTGCTACATGGGCCTGGTTGGGGGTAGGGGAGGCCACTGCTGGAGGAGGGGGTGCCTAGGACTCAATCAAATGCTGAGAGTCCATTTCTAAGATGTTTTACCTGCAAAACCCAAAGGAATGTCGTAGTTGCATCAAGTCACTTAAAATGACCCACAGAACAAATTTCACCTTCTGAAACTCAGTTTTCTGAAAGCTTTGTTTAAGAATAAACGGACCTGTTTCCAGTCACTTCTGGTCGCCCTGATGTAAGTGGACTGGATTTTTGCAGTTGTCAGCATGAAGAGAAAGTTCCAACCTCCCCACAGCCTCCTCCCAGAGCAACAGGGGAAATTAGATCAGCTTTTATTTTATTCCTTTCATTAAAAGTTTGCTTCAAACACCACCTTCCACGTAGTCACTTTATCTCCTGTCATTGGTTCGGTGCAGGATGAAACCTGTCCTGAGTGTTAAAGAGTCAACACCGTCATTCATTTCATTCCTAAATGACATTTACTCATATGTTGTAAAACCAGGGGAGAAAGCAACTGTGTTGGCTTTATCTCCTCCTAAATTAAGATAGCGGTTTAAATTGAAAATGTAATTTAAATCCCTTCCGACCTGGGAACCGTTCTCTGGCCCCTCTGCAGAGCTTCACAGACAGCCTGGAAAACGGCTAGGTGCTGGAGGAGCAGCTCTTCAGTCAAAGGAGAATTCAGAGCAGATAGAGACAAATCATCCCATGACATAGGTTAAAAGAAACCTGTTACTATGACAACAGATAGGGTCAGATAACAAAATGAACAGCCACTTTTGATCTTCAAAAAATTCTTTTTCCTTTGCTCTCTCTTCTGTTATCTGGACCACTCCATCAAACACCTAGCAGATAACACAGTTGAAAACCCAATCGACCTTCAAGAAAATCCAGACAAGTTAGAAAGTGTATAGAAAGGTTACCATCACAGTGAAAGTGCTTCTGATGATATTTGCCTGTATACACAGAAACACACGCACATCCATTTTTCACGAAAGCAGCAGGATAGGCTTCAAAGCGATATACAATAGTGCTTAACACATGTACATAACAGTAATATTTTTATCACTGTGAATTGAAATAGTAAGAGGCATTCAAAGTTAAAAGCTTTAGATGCCAGGACTCATTGTCATCTATTTTGGATTAGTTGGTGTAGCACACTTCATATAAACTGGCAAGCAAAGAATGCGTAAAATTATAGTGGAGAAGTAAGTTGAGCTCAGAGAGTTCTTGCTCACTCAGTAATACTCATAGACAAGTTGATCAAGATCACATATAAGTGAAAATAAACAGACATCTTCAAAACCTTATGACCCTTTTTCATTCTGTTTAATCCTAGAGAAATTGAATTAAAATCCAATTGTAAGGCATAGTTCCTCGTAGAATCTGCATTCACACTGCATTACGTGCAGAATACTGTGACCGTTCTCTTCAGGTTGCAGATCCTTCTGCAAAAGCAAGAGAAAAATATTCTGTTTCAGTTTATGTGAGTTAACATTTTTATTCTGAAGGTCAACAGAGACATTTTGCCATGAGGCCGTAAAGTCGTTTTCCCAAAAATGAAGTAAATTCCAATATTGACCCTGTGCAATCTGTTCCTTGTATGTGGGATGCTCACGTCTGAATGGTTTGGCTGGATTGTAGGACAGAGATGTGTAGTAAGCAGGGGATTTGTTACTTAGTTTATTTAAGCTTCATGTACACTCAGACACTAATTCATCGTGGCCTTGTAAATAGAGAGAGGTGCTTCCCTGACGGCCACCTGCTTCCATGCTTTTAACTTTCCACCGTGTTGTGCCATTCTGTACCGAAATTTTTATTCTATGGCTCATATTTTATTTTAAAAATAAGAATCCACAGTCAGTCATATCTTTGACTCAAAGGTTTTTGAAAAGCACATCTCATTTCCCCATTGCCTTCTAAAATCAATTATTTTCAAAATGAAATAATTTTGGATGGAGGGAACGTGAAACTAAGACAACCGTGAAAGAGTGAATTGAAGGGGGCTTCAGTGATCATCATTTGCATTCCCTAAGACCAAATGCACTGAAAATAATGGGACTCCTACATGTTTAGTTAAAAGTGGCAATAAATGTTTACATTGAACAGGAATGTGGAAAATGATTATGTGTCATTTTTAAAGTGACCCAAAACTCAAAATGTTCATAATAATGAAATTATTACAATATTGCAACGTGTAGATGCTCAAAGTCTTTCCTTCCTTCCTTCCCTTTTTCCTCCCTCCCTCCCTCCCTCCCTGCCTTCCATCCTTCCTTCCTTCCTTCCTTCTTTGCTTCCTTCCCTCCTTCCTTCTTTGCTTCCTTCCTTCCTTCCTCCCCTTCCTTTCCTTTCAGCTTACATGGTAATCAGTATTTATAATTTCTGGTTCTAGGCACTAAATTGCAATAAGAAAATCATATATGAAAATCATAGTCTTTTTGTTTTATTTTTAATTGACAAATAATAATTCTCTCTATTTTTGGGGTGCAATGTGATGTTTTGATACATGTACACATTGTGAAATGATCAAATAAGGCTATTATATCCATCACCTCAAATATTTATCATTTCTTTGTGATGAGAACATTTAAAATCCTCTCTTTTTACTACTTTGGAATACACAGTACATGATTATTAACCACAGTCACCATGCTGTGCCATAGACCACCAGAATTTATTCCTCCTGTCTAACTGAAACTTCGTATCCTTGGGCCAATGTCTCTCCTTCCCCCATCTCCCCCACATCCCAACCCCACCAACCTTCTGCCTTCAGTAACCACCATTCTACCCTTTACTTAAAGAAGTTTGACTTTTTTTTTAGATTCCGCATGTAAGTGAGATCACACCATAATTGTCTCTGTGCCTGGCTTATTTCCCTTTGCATAATTTCCTCTAGGATAATCCATGTTGTCACGAATGACAGAGTTTCCTGCTTTTTAAAGGCTGAGTAGTATTTCATTGTGTAAATGTACCCCATTTTTTGATCCATTTTTCCATTGATGGAGCCTTCAGTTATGTCCATATCTTGGCTATTGGGAGTAACACTGCAGTGAACGTGAGAGTGCAGACCGCTCTTCAACACACTGATTTCAATTCCTTTGGATAAATACCTAGAGGTGGAATTGCTAGATTGCATGGTGGTTCTATTTTTAGTTTTTTAAGGAATCTCCATACTGTTTTGCAAAATGACTGTCCTAATTTATATTCCCACAACAGTGTATAAGAGTCCTCTTTTCCCCACATTCTCACCAACACTTGTTATTGTTCATCTTTTTGCTAATAGCCAATCCAACGGCTGTGAGGGGTACATTAATGTACATTTTCCTGATGATTAGTGATGCTGAGCTTTTTTTTCATATCCCTGTTGGCCATTTGTGTGTCTTCTTTTGAGAAATGTCTATTTAAGTCATTTGCCCATGTTTAAATGGGTTATTGGCTTCCTTTTTATTGCTAGTTTGAGTTCCTTGTATATTTTAGATACTAGCCCCTTATTCAACATAGGATTTGCAAATATTTTATCCTAATCTGTGGGTTTTCTCTTCCCTCTGTTTGCTGATGACATAATTTTATATATAAAAAATTCTAATGATTCTACCAAAAAACTGTTAGAACTAGATAAAGGAATTCAGTAAAATTTTAGGATACAAAATCAACTAACAAAAATCAGTAGTGTTTCTATACACTAACAATGAACTATCCAAAACAAATTCAAGAAAACAATTCCATTTACATCAAAAGATAAAATACTTAGTAGTAAATTTAACCAAGGACGTGAAAGATCTGTACACTGAAAACTATAAAACATTGATGGAAAAATCTAAGATGACACAAATATATGGAAAGATATGCTGTGTACATGGACTGGAAGAATTAATAGTGTTAAGATGTCTGTACTACCCAAAGCAATCTACAGATTCAATGCAATCCCTATCAAAATTCCAATGATATTCTTCACAGAAATAGAAAGAAAAAAATTGTAAAATTTGTAAAGGACCACCAAAGACCTCAAATAGGTAAAGCAATCCTGAGCAAAATGGACAGAGCTAGAGACATCATGTACTGAACTTCAAAATACATTACCAAACAACAGTGATCAAAACAGCATGGTACTGGTGTAAAACCAGACATGTCATTCAATAGAATAAGACAGAGAGCCCAGAAATAAACCCACATATTTATGGTCAATTTACTTGCAACAAAGTTGCCAACAACACACAAAGGAGAAAGGACAGTATTATCAATAACTGATGTTGGGAAAATTGGATATTCACATGCAGAAGAATATAAATAATTAGTTCACTCCTTATACAAGAATCAAGTTGAAATGGATAAATGACTTAACCATAAGACCAGAAACGTTAAAACTACTTACAGAAAACAGGAGAAAAGCCCCAGAACATTGGTCTGAGAAGTGATTTCTTAAATATGACCCCAAAAGCACAGACAATAAAAGCAAAGATAGATCAATGGGATTGCATCTGATTAAAAAGCTTCTGCACAGTAAAGGAAACAAAAGTCTTAATATTAAAGGAACATTCTCCAAATATTCTTCAGGACATGTTAGAATAGTGGTCAATACATAGAATATGTGTTGGGTCCTTATGAAGTAGATTTGATGGAATTTATTCTGTAGAAACAGCAGCGAACTGTCAGTCACTGGGCATTTTGGGGAGGATGGGAGGCAATAAGGTTGGGGCAGAGGTGCAGTGAGCCTCAGTGAGAAATGTACAGACCACCCACCTTCGTAGCCGGGTGTTGTGTCATTTAAATCCCCTCATGAATGGGGGTAGCTTTTTTTCCTATTTTCAAGTCAGGAAACGAAAGTTTGGCGAGGTAAATTGTCGCCCAGCTCACTCAGGCTGCTGGGCAGGCATTAATTCCAGGTTTGTCAATATTCAAGAGGGAATAACCTTGTGGCTCAAAGGTTCTCAGAATCTCTCCTATTTCACCAATAAAACAATGCATCTCAGATGCAACAGCAAAGCTCTCAAATTTTTGTTTTGCATCTCTTCTCCCATTTTTGTTCCTTTTTGTCTTCATTGAAGGTGCAATTTTTATGTGTCAAGATCTGCGAAGGAGGGTGGCTGGGGTCTAAGTCCCCAAACACCTCCCCTGTGTACACCCAGGAGCCATGGCAAGCATGGAGTCATTCAGGTGGGTTCCAACAAGGTGGGGCAGGACAGAGGGTGCCAAGCAAATAGACCCATAGAAGGAACTTTTTTCAATAAATTTTCATCACAGACACCTGGAAAGATACTTTGTAACACATACATAGTCAGTTATTTGTCTCATTCATAAGTAAGCATGACTTCTGTGTTTCTTCACCATCCCCCGTGGTATTTTCACTTTTATGTGTCTCTAATCTCTCTGACAATCAAAAGACCATTTGGGTTTTGTGTATTATTTCTACCCTCTCATTTACAAAAATAATTGAGTTAGTAGAAGCTTAAGGTGAAACACAAGAAGAATAAAAATAAAAACTCAATGAGCAAGAACATTCAACAGAGCAAATAGCATTCTCGTTCATTCTATGATTTAGCGTAATAAATATGTATTATTTTCTTATAACTGAGTATAAGAAATTCTAGTATGTTGCTACCCGGGCTAAAAATAAACACAAAGCCCTCTTCCATCTGGAAGGAGGATATCAGCTACACACAAGGGCCTTAAGAAAAAGACAGTGCTCAGGAGAGTTGAAAGAAAAAGCTGTCACCCTAAACTTGGAGGATCAGGAAAGACTTTCTGAAAGGGGGTGCATTGAAAATAAAAGGTGAAATATCATTATAATTTTACAGTTAAAATTCAGAGCCAATTAATCTATATAATGATGACTTCTCATTCTGCCTTTACTTCTAGCCAGACCGGCTGGCCCGAGGCATGTCAAGCCACATTGCTCTAACTTTTCCTTAGCTTGATATTGAGACAGGGCATGTAGGAGTGGGCAGTCTGAACGTACTCCCTTGCCCTAAGGAAAGGGCTCTGCTCTTCCCAGAACTTACATATCCTCCTGCAGTCTCCAGCATGGGCATCCTACCTTATGGACTGGGCGGCATTTCTGCTCTGCCCCTGACGAGGTTATTGACACCTGCAGGAAGAAATGGCTTACTTACCTGCTCTCTTTCAGAGTCCACCTCCACCTCTCTCAACCAGGGCCCTGCAGTCTTGGCTATTCTGAGCTCCTGATTTTTCCCATTTTTCTCTGTTCTTTCCATTTTGCTGACATGTACTCAGTAGCCAGTGGCCTGTGCTGTGCATACCCTAAGCTTGCATCATAGCTACGCGAATGCTTGGCGTGGGACGCTCCTTAGATTTTAGTGACCTCTCATCATTTAAAAATCGGTGCATAGGCACCCAGATATCCATCCTACATGCACATGTGCTCAAAGACACGTGCACAAGAATGTTCACTATTGCTTGTTTTCGTGGCGGAAGACTAGAAAGGCAGGGTCAGCAGAGCCACTGCACGGGGCTGCTGTGGAATACCACACAGCCACTGACCAGCACCAGGCAGCACCGCCTCTGGCAGAGAACATGCTCCCGAGGCCCATTGCCAAGCGACAACCAAGTCCCAGAATGGAACCTGCCATCAGTCCCACTGATGTAAAATAAGCGAGCAGCCAGGCTGTGGATTTGCAACCATAGCTCTTGCTCCTCCCTGCAGGCAAGCCTCACCCGGGAGAAAATCCCCCCAGGCCGGGGCTCCTACCCCTGTGCATAGAGCTTCTCAGCCAATACACAGCCCATGCTCTCTGTCAAAGCTGCTCGTCCGACAGACCCCACCCCATCAACCGCCTTCTCTTCTTGATCACCCCGGAGGGAGGGGTTGCTTTCCTGAGTGTCCTGTCTGGGCACAGCTCACCTTGAAAGCCCCCAGAGAAGTTCTTCTTCTTGTCAGAGGCCCTGCAAGCCCAGGCGCGATGCTTTCAAAGTCGGCAAATTTTAAGGTGTGCAGCCTCCAGCTGTATCATGGAAGGCCCCTGCCCCCAGCAGGCCCCTGGCTTGCCTCGATCCTCCCTTCCCTGGCTGACATTAGCACCGTGGTCATGGGGAACATCTCCCAGGGCTTCCTGCTTCAGACCCGAGCCCTCTTCGGGCAGCCCGTTTTCCTTCTTCCTCAGAGAAGCTCTTATTTCCCGGCCCCCGTGCTGAGCCAAGGCACTGACAGCTTGGGCATTCCTGGGTGACTGAAGCCAGGATCTCTGCTCTTCCCGCTGCCTTTGGGCCCCTGTGATGGCTCCACGTCAGATTCCCTGGGAGAAGCAGTTAGCCTGAATCCGTCTGTACAGAGCAACTCCAGCTTCTCAAAACTGCAGCAAAACAAAAGACAGTAGCCAGCCAGGGATGCAGAATCATCTCCTGATTAAGGGTGGGGGGATTTAGAAAAGGACATGAGGAGAGCAGGTACCAGATGGGGGTGGCCGGGTGGGTGGTGAAAAGTTCCATGACCCAGGAGGGGCACAGAGTCAGGAGGGATGCGTGGGATCCAGCCTCTTCCCGCCTCACAGGGCACTGGCCTGCCCTGTCGTCCCCAGGGGAAGAGCCATCAGCTCATTTTGGGCCCCGTTACCAGTGCATCCTTCACTTGTGCCCACCACAGCTGCAGCAACAGAATGGCACAATGACATCTCAGCAGGAACATTCCTGAAAGAACTGGAACTGGAGGACTGTGCTAATACACGATCTGTGGTGTTGTGCAAGACCACCTCAGTCAACAGATTGATTTCGACTCTGTCAAAGGCTTGGGAATAGAGACATGGCTTGCGTTCAATCTTCACGTTCTATAAATGCCCCCACACCAATGCCTTTTCCTTCAGGAAATATATACGGTGTTGTGTATTGGATAGGAGAATATTTTGCCCAATATTCCATTTACAGGATGACTAGCAGGCTGTAGGAATCAGTCTTACACTTTTAGGTATCCTCAGATGTTATGTAGTCACGCATCACTTAACAACAGGATTCCATTCTGAGAAATGAATTGTTGGGTGATTTTGTCGTTGTACAAACATCATATAGTGTCATTATACAAACCTTGATAGTATCGCCTACTACACACCTACACTGTATGGTAGATCCTACTGCTCCTAGGCTACAAACATGCACAGCATGTCACTGTACTGAGAGCTGGAGGTAATTGTAATGCAATGGTTAATATTTGTGTCTCTAAACACACCTGAACATAGAAAAGGTAGAGCGAAAATACAGTATTAAAATCTCGTGGGACTGGTGTCATATACGTGATCCATTATTGACGGAAATGACATTGTACAGTGCATGACTATGTAAGAAAAGCCTTCCCACTATTCACATACCCACAATATAAAAGTCGTTAATACTTTGGCATTTTGAGAAAGACCTTCTATTTTAAAGAGTTGTCCAATAGCACTTTGGGAGGCCGAGGTGAGAGGATCGCTTGAGGCCAGGAGTTTGAGACCAGCCTGGCCAACATGGTGAAACCCCATCTCTACTAAAAATACAAAAATTAGCCAGGCATGGTGGCACATGCCTGTAATCCCAGCTACTTGGGAGGCTGAGGCACGAGAATCGCTTGAACCCGGGAGGCAGAGCTTGCAGTGAGCTGAGATAGCGCCACTGCACTTCAGCCTGGGTGACAGAGCGAGACTCTGTCTCAAAAAAAAAGAAGGAAAAAAAAAAAAAGAATTATCCAATAGATAGCTTCTTCCTCCCAAGTTTCCAGCAGCACCATTAGATGCAGCTCCCAAATCTTAAAAGGGTTCCAGGTCCTCCTTTGTGAATATTAAAAGAAAAAACAAAACAAAAAAAAACTTCAAAGTTATGAAGATGTAAAACTAAATAGGAATTACTCTCTAATAAAGCAAATGCGGGAATGTTCTTTCTAGGCAAAAAGTGTGAGTTTCTGTTTTATTTATGTCAGAACAGTGTCTGAGAAATACTTTTTGGATTCGTATCGTATTTTGTAGGCAAACACACACACACACACACACACACACACACACATTTTTTCTCTACTGGGATGGGATGTGCTTATCCATGAAGCGATGTTCACATTGTGGGTGCCACTCAGGGGGTGATTCTGCTGGTCCAGGGTATTTTTTCCATGGAACAACGGGAACCGTGCAGGGAGCAGCTGGAATCCCAGGAAGCTCCAGCCCTTCTCATCTGCCGTGGGCTCTCAGCTCGCGTTGGGCCTCATCTTTACCCTCTGTAAGGTGAACATAGCCTTATTGCCCTTCCTAGAAGGCAAGTGCAAATCCAAGTTGTCTTAGAAAACCTCAGTATTCTTCCTGAGAGTCTTCGAAGCACAAATACAAATTTAAATATTAATAATAATAAAGACATTTGTATTTATTCTCAGTTTTTTTCTTTTTTCAGAAGTAAACAACTAGTATATAATATCTAACACTGGAAACATTTCTAAATATATGCAGATAACGGTACAATTAAAAGAAGAAAAAATAGAAGTGTACAATAACTTGAATAGATCAAATGAAAATGTTTTATGATGCTTTATGGCCAGCCTTACTTGCAAAGCTTTACTTCCTTCCAAAATATAATAGTACAAAATGCTTCATCAAATCAATGCTGCATCAAATCAATGACTAGCAAAGAAAAATGGTGCTAAAGCACCCTTAGGAGCAGAGAGGTGGACAATGATGCTGCTGGGTGAGAGTTCACACTCACAGTTCAAACTAGGGGTTGAAACTTGCCAGGAAAGCAGAGCTAGTGAAAGGAGCATGTGAAGTATTCAGTATTATTATTATTATTATTATTTGAGATGGAGTCTCGCTCTGCCGCCCAGGCTGGAGTGCAGTGGCGCGATCTCGGCTCACTGCAAGCTCCACCTCCTGGGTTTACGCCAATCTCCTGCCTCAGCCTCCCGAGTAGTTGGGACTACAGGTGCTTGCCACCACGCCTGGCTAATTTTTTTGTATTTTTAGTAGAGACGGGGTTTCACCGTGTTAGCCAGGATGGTCGTGATCCACCTGCCTCAGCCTCCCAAAGTGCTGGGATTACAGGCGTGAGCCACCGCGCCCAGCCTTAGATATTATTTAATATTTATATTTAAAAGCAAATTAAGGGCCAGTCACAGTGGCTCACACCTATAATCCCAGCACTTTTGGAGGCAGAAGCGGGCAATCACCTGAGGTCAGGAGTGCGAGACCAGCCTGGCCAACATGGTGAAACCCTGTCTTTACTAAAAATACAAAAATTAACTGGGCGTTGTGGTGTGGGCCTGTAATCCCAGCTACTTGGGAAGCTGAGGCATGAGAATCTCTTGAACTCAGGAGGCAGGAGGTTGCACTGAGCCAAGTTCATGCCCCTGTACTCCAGCCTGAGCAGCAGAAAAAAAAAAGCGATTAAGGACTGTTGAAAGGATGTTTGCATTCAGAGATTGGATTTGCTTTAATTATTTGGTTATTTGTTGTGCCTATATAGCATTTATTAGTCAAATGATAATACAACTTTTAATAGATTTCATTTCTTTTAAAGCATACTTCCTTGAATTATTAAACTGCAACACCGTCCTTGAAGCATCCACGTTCCTTGGTGTTCATCTCCAGCCTGGTCCTCGTCGGATTCACCTTCCTCTCTGGTTTGTGAAGCTGATTGCAGATTGCAAGGTCACAGCGCTCATCCTCATTGGAGCAGTGCTTCTGTTTATTACTTTTATTAATTTTAGTTGAACGCTCTCTTTGGACCTTGCTCACACATCAGCATTCTTTGCCTCAGCAGATAGAGAGCAGAACTAGCGGCCCGCAGTGAAGGGCACTGCTGGGGCCTCACGGTCCCCTGGCCAGCAGCAGGGGCATTCCAGACTGATCCCTCAAGAGCCCGTTGCCTCCCGCTCCTGTTCCACCTCCATAAAGCGCTTCTACTTCTGGACATCAGGGGGCCATTTCCAGTCTTGGAAAACATGGAAGGGAGACCTAAGGACAGAGACGGGGAGAAGCCGAAATGCCCACAGCTGCAGGCTCTGCCTCACCTCCCCAAAGCTGGCAGGAGTTAACTCGTAGGGAAACTCCTTGTTGACTCCGCCTCTGTGTTTCCACTTCACATGCTCCTCTATCACCAGGGGGGTGCTCGTTGAGCCTCAACTTCCCTCCCCTGCAGGACATGCTGACTCCACTGTCCCAGGCCACGGGCAGCACAGCTTCCTGCATGCACCCACCTGAACCAGGCCCACTGCCAGAGCTTGGGAAGTGCCCAGCAGAGGTCTTCTGCTCAGGACCGTGGTCCACAGGTAGATGCTTTGTGTACCCCAAGGTTGACAGCCCCTGGTTAGACCACATACTTCATCCCAGTCCTGCCACACTAAGCACAGGCTCCAGACTCCCAGAGGACGGCCCTGCCTGCCTCCTTGGCAGAGTCCCCAGGGTTCAGTTTTCACAGGAGGAGCAAAGGAGGCACAGCTGATGGAATGAACCAATATGTGAAAGGATGAAGGAATGGCCCATGGATGACCCCAGGCTCTCAGGAACTAGCACTCCATGCCACCACCTGCCCCTGGGCTGGCTTTGACTCATGGCCCTAATTCACTCATTTTTGACTCTGACCCTCCTCTCTGACTTTCAGGGCCTGTCCCTAAGCTGCTTACTGTAAAAGTCCACTGGCTCAAAATATGCCCAAAGAGGCCTGGCTGCCACCATCAACACCTCTCTCTACTGACCCTAGGCCACCAAAGCTGCTGGCTTCGGGGGAGCACAGAGCCCTGATTCCTTGACACTGCATCCTCACGTGAATTCCTAAAATCCCAGAATCGATGTCTGTTGGTTTTCTCCAGTCTGTAGTGTGGAGTCCCCCCTTTCCTGGGTGTTCTAAAACCATAGCCAGAATGTTCCAATTGGAAACGTAATGTGGCCTTCACCACCAGCCTCCACCTGTCAACACTCAACAGGATACTTGAGGCTGCAGTGGAAATCTTCCCCAGATGGCCATTGGACAGAATGTATCCGAGGTGTGTTTTCCAGGGGGAAAAAAGGCAGAAATTAAAGTACAATTGTTTCTTAGCCTCCATGGGGAACTGGCTCCAGGATCCATCACGGATGCCAAAATCTGCAAATGCTGAAGTCCCTGATACAAAATGACATAGTATTGGCATACAACCTGTTCACATCTTCCCGGATACCTGAAATCATCTCTAGATTACATATAAAACTTAGTGCAATGCAAATGCTAGGTAGATAGTTGTTATACTGTATTGGGATTGTTTTGTTCGTATTACTTTTTACTGTATATAACTGCTTTTTATTGTTTTCTTTCTGAATATTTTTGACTCCAAGGATGCCGAACCTGTGGATATGAGGGCCAACTCTAATAGTTTCAAAATCTTACTGAAAATACCTCACAGTACATCCACCCATCTTAGTTTCATTGTGTAAATTTCTGGCCCATCGTGCTGGTCTGATTGCTACGGGAATCTTGACAGTCCTGTGGATGTATTAATACTAATCACCACCAGCCCCAGCCTGGCCTTATTTGATCCCTAGAGTATGTCTTCTGGGTAAGCGGTGATCATCGGTAACCCTCCCCTTCATCATTTGTTTAACTCACCTAACTTAATCCTTGCCCAGTCTGCGTTTTCCTCTCTTGTTCATAAGATACTCTGTCCAATGCCTGCTCAAACCAAAAGAGATCAAATTTATGTTATCATCCTAACAGAAAATTCTATCAATAAAGAGGAAACATGCTTTGTTAGGCACGGGATTTCCCTTAGTGGATGCATGCTGACTTCTATGAATTTCATCTTTCTTTTTTGATGTGCTGCAGATCCTTGACAGCCCCCAGGGGCTTAACGCTCCCAGCAACAATGGGATGAAACAGCTGACATGTGTTATGTGTTTACCAAATGCCAGGTGCCATCCAGTCATCTTACAGTCACCTTGAGCTTCTTATCTCATTGAGTCCTCACCACAAGCTTTACCAGCTGGGTATTAGTATCACATTTCAATATGAGCACGTTGAGGCCAAGGGAGGCTACAATAACTGTAATTGGTCAATAGTCACCAACTGATAAGGGATGTGGGGAGGATGCCGTCTCAGGGAATCAAGGATCCCATTCTTGACTATTACACCACACTGCCTGCAGGGCTTGGTCCAAGTGTAAATTTGATACGCCCACTTCCATCACCTCATGCCATCCACCTGTGGGCTCTCTCTTCAGCATTCAGGAATCCAAAAATTCAAATAATAGTCCCAGAACACCAACCATATGCTAAAAAAGATAACAGGTACAAGTAAGGGAGTGAGTGCTAGTGAGTAAAGCAATAAAACCAACAATTGTACAGAGCAGACACCTACGAAGTTTCCTTCCATCTTGAATGTGTCACTGTCCTGCTCAGTCTATGCCAAAAGCAATAATAATAATGTTCTGATCGTGCTTTCAGAACAAAAATCTGTTCATATGACTTGATTACTATAGGTAACTTTCAAATAAATTGTGCAAAATATTGAAATCTGTCCTATGTCTGAGAAAATCTGGGATAAACATTTCCCAAACACAAAATAACTGCTTAATACAAACAATTTATTTTTTCCCTGCCTAAGCCAGGTTTGTACTTTCCTTGTTCAGTTTCAACATGGGACCCTCATTGCTGGGTCCTGGGAAGGAAGCCAGGGAAGCCCCCTCAGGATGGCCCATGGAGCTCAGATTCTGCCCCTTCACTCCTGCCAGAGCCCAGGTAGCCCTTTGGATCAGCTTGTTTATGCATCAGGGAAACCGACAAGCAAATTTTCCAACAGAAATACGTGTCTTCAATTCTTATTGATGCTAAAACTTTCCTTTTTAGCAAAACAGGAACTGTTTGATGAGCATGATACTCTGTGTCAATACCAGGAAGGAAAATACATGTTAAAACACGCTAAATAATTGCCCAACGGTACTTGTACTAATGACCGCAAACTTCTACTATGCTAATTTTTCTCTACACTTTTAATTACCAATCAATAATACTTTGCAGTTGACATTTAAAAATGCTGAACCACATGTAGGAACACAGACTGAGAGAAAATCCACAATGTGGGACTGAATTTGCCAAATCAATAAACTTTGCCATTTAACAAATAGTAGCATGTAAACAGTCACCAAGATTAGCAAGCGTAAGGAACTGAGCCTGGAGAACTTAATTATTGTTTAATAATGGGAGGCTACACTTCCCGACAGAAGCCCTCTGCAGGAAAACCATGGCTGGGAAAAGCCACTGTCACCAACTCTGCCACCCAGAGCAACCTCCACAACGAGTGACTTAGAGCTAGGTAGGAAACTTGCTTGGAAAAGGCAGGACTTTGATGGACTGAAAGGAAAGGCATTTCCATATATGGCCATTCTCCTTACTTAAAAGGAATTTCTTCATAAAAATCAAAGGGCCTGCCCAATAAATGTAATTGATGGACTCATAAAGGTATTAGATAAAGATATGTGATTTTAAAACCATCCTCTTGTGAGTGTATCAATAAGATACCAATCATTCATTCAGAATCTAAGAAATAGATGCAATAAAATATCCATCCACCTTGCAGACTCAAGAAAAGGAAGGCTTTGCGCACCCATGCGGACCTCAGGAAAATCAATCTTTGTGGAGGACTGTGGGGGGAAACAAACAATCTTTATTTTGATTATTATTAACAATAATAATAAATCTAGACCCAAAGCATCTCCAGCATGAGACTATTGAAAGGTCGTTATCAGCACTGGAGGTGGGAGGGGTTTGTCTTGGCTGAGTTGGGGTTTGTCTGGACCCGCAGCCTGAGGGTCAGTATGTATACCTGCAAAGTGGCAGTGGTCAAAAGGCTCACGGATCTTCTCCGGATCAGTGCTACCCCCTGTGACCCAGCAACTCGCTAAGTAACTTTTGGCAAGGAAGGCTAAAAACCTTGTGAGAGATAATAGCACACGTTTTTGTTGCTTCTGATGGGGACCATCCGCACCTAGGCCCAGATCATTCTCATAACCCCAAACTTTCGGAAATTGTCTTGTTTCTTTTTACATCACAGCATCTCATCCACCTAATGGGGTGGGCTGAATTCTGCTGAACAGATGGAATTCCAATCGAGTGAGACAGAAACAAAGCTGAGATGCAGAAGAACACTCTCGTGGTCAGTGACAACCTTGAATTCTGGAGATGTGGGTCTCCTACCGGCTCCTCTCCCTGAGCTGACTCACGGGGCCAGAGGATCCCACTGTGGCTGCAGACTCTGTCATTTTCCAATGAGCACTTTCATTTGTAAAAGCAAGAGGAGACCATCCTCCACCTTGGGCTGACCTCCCCACTTTGTTCTTCCTCCACCCAGAACTTCTGCACGCAGATGGACTCCTGGAGGGGCTCAAAACCTGCCTGTGTTTCTCCCGCATCAGGGTGCTCCATCTGCAGGCAAGCCCTGTCCTGCACGTCCACTGACCAAGCCCTACGGATCCTTCAGAATTTGTTTAAACCAATTCTTGGTTCCAAAGGCTTCCTTCATTGTCCAGAGTTCAAGTGGCTCCATACTCAGGCTTCAGTGACCTCAGAGAGCACAGAGGAGACAGACTGTGTCTGAGTGGTCTTGGGAGCTGCCCAAGTATAATAGAGGCTCCTGGGGGACAGGGAAGCTGCCTGAGGATGGACTGCACTCTCCCTTCACTCCTCCTCCCTCAGAGGCAGCTCCTCCTTTTCAGGCTGATGTCCCCAGCCCCTGCTGCATGACCCTGTGGGTGCCATGGTGTCCCACACCTCATGACCCTGCTCTTCCAAAGTTATTCTTTCCCCATCTCTGGCTGAGTAAGCGGAGCCACCATCCCATCCGGACAAATGTCTGCTGGCTCCTGATCCACAGACCAAGTGCCCACCTTGAGGCATCCGGGGGCCTGGACATTCTGCACCCACTCCTGTCTACCAGCAGTGCCCTCCTTCCAGCCCAAACACCTCCCCTGCCCTTGGGCCCTGCGGACCCTGCCCCAGCAGGATGCTCTGCCCACCTCCTTTCCCTGCAGAGTCCCCAGGTCTCTGGGTTACTTGCTTTTACCCTCAAGTAGCAATGACTTTGTGAAAGCATCAAGGATGTTGCGAAGTCCTGTAGCATCTTTTAAATGGAAATATGTGCTTTCTCCAAAAAAGCTGATTTACAATAAACTGCAGATATTGCCTGTCTCTGAGAAAAGAAAAATAAAAGGTGAAACACCCGAGGAAGAGCTTAGTCTTAAATACTGTCCTACCTACCTAGCCGATTTGCTGTTGTGTGCCTCTGAGGGATGCGTGGCCCCTGGCTGCTGTTGTCCTCGTGGCTGGGTGTCGGGTGACTGTGAGCGGGAGCCCCAGGAACTGCTGCGGCCACGCTGAGCACCTAGGGCTGGAGAGCTCAGTGCTGTGAAAAGGCTCCCTCTATCTGGAGGCACCTTGGACAGAGGATCCCAGCCTGCTCCTACCTCCCCTGGCAGCACTCCAGGTACAGAGGGACCCCAAGCAGGGTCAGCCTCTGAGGCCAGGGCCAATGTGGGGGTCTCTCTGCAAGCCCCTAGTGGATCAGGGCCTGGGGAGGGGATCCATTCAGCACAGCGGGAGGGAACTGAGCTCCCAAGGCTGGGCCATGAAACAGGCTGGGCTGAGGTCAGGGTGAAGGGCCAAGAGTTCAGAGTCATGAAGTGAAAGAAACAGAGAAGAGGGGCCCGGCAGGCGCAGGCGGTGGCAGGGAGGGCCTGGAGAGCTCCTCTTCAGGTTCTCACTGCCCGGTGCACACGGCCCCCTGAGGCCTGGCCGATGTGCTGGGAGCTGGGACGTTGGTCCCTTCAATCCAAGGGAAGAGCAGGCAGGTTCTCCTGATTCTCTTTTTAGAGATTTCTCCATCACCATGATCAGCACTTGAAGCCTGAATCAGGGTGATCAATAACAGTGAATTATTCTTCATGCATTGAAGTGTGCAAAGAATAACCACCCCACCCTGCCACCCCGTCTTCTCTGGGAGAAGCTGACAATAGTGGGCCCTGGGGAGAGCTATGTAGTCAGGGGAACTTAAGGAGCACAACGCAAGACCCTGGGCTGGTTTCTGGGGCAATGGAGCCTGTGGCTGTGCTCAGGCCGACGAACCTGGAGAAAACACTTGCTCAGGACTGCATCCCCATCCTCTGGAGACTGTGGGGGTGAAGGTGATTGCTTAGGTCCTGCTTCCATTCACCACCGCGAAAAGAAAAAAATGGGTCTGTGTGACAGCAGCACGCGGAGGAGGGCAGCTCCAAAAAACTCCCAGCTAACCAGATGCAGAACCATGTTCACACTGAGACACATGTCTCAATTCCATCCCTGCCGCTGAGCTTATCTGTTGTGGGCTCTCCTTAACTAAGACAACTAAAATCAAATGTAGGGCTACAAGGGGTAAGAAGTGGCATAGATCCAAAAGTTTTTCTTTAGTGAACAAGCATAGCTTGCACATGATAGGGACTGATTGATTTGTTGATGTAAACCAAAGTTTTGGCATTAGAAAATTCCTGCTGGGACACAGGAAATTCCTAAAATAAACTCCATGAACACCAGAGAAGCTCGGCCAGCTCATGAAGAAGCAAGCAGAGTGGGCTCCACTTCACAGAGGCTGGTGCATCCAGATGAGCACTCACCAGAGCTGCTGCGGGTCTACAAAAACCACAGAAGCCTCTGCACGAGGCAGTTTAGAAAGAATCACAAGAAATACCTCAAGAAATGTCAAAGATCTTCCAAGTTATCCAGCTTCATAATTCCAGGCAATAGGAGTGCATCAAGTATTTCATCAACTTGAATTTTTTTTTTTTTTTGAGACAGAGTCTCCCTCTGTCACCCAGGCTGGAGTGCAGTGGCATGATCTCAGCTCACTGCAACCACTGCCTCCCGGGTTCAAGCAATTCTCCTGCCTCAGCCTCCTGAGTAGCTGGGATTACAGGTGCACACCACCATGCCCAGCTAATTTTTGTATTTTTAGTAGAGATGGGGTTTCACCATGTTGGTCAGGCTGGTCTTGAACTCCCGACCTCGTGATCCGCCCACCTCGGCCTTCCAAAGTGCTGGGATTACAGGCATGAGCCACCGCACCTAGCCTAGCTTGCAATTTTTTAATTAAATTTTAACGTGTGTTTATGCTTCACACTTTCAAACAACTGAAACATCTCTGAAAGCCACGGTATCTCAACATTATTCAATATTTCCAGTTGGAAAATCAGCACTGCAGTCCTTTGGCAGAAATCACCGGGAACAGGTTAAAGTGATCATCTATTTTTCCCCTATTGCTTCTCAGGTTGTTTACAATTGGCTCAAACAAGGTGAAGTAATGGTCACAACGAGTGAAACACAATTTTACATGAAACAATGTTTCAATGGCCTGAAAAGTTACTCCCCACAAGGAAACAATAAAATGTTCTTAAATGTTGTATGAAACTCTGTAGGGTCTATCTTGCTCTTGCCAGCTTATGTAGTTTCTGTAAATACCTTCTCTTAGAATAAACAGAGCTTTCCAGTCAAGAAAGTGCCCAGTAAATGCATCGTTGTAAAACTACTTTCCCATGATGCTGGAATTAGAAACATGTAACCAGATAATTCAGCAGCATCAAATGAGAGAAAGAACCTGGTCTGGGGGGCTGCAAGCCAGTGTGGGGAACAGAAGCTGCAGTGATTGCTTTAGGCTTGTCTCTTGTGGCGAGTTTTCAAACAGTGAAATTGTTGGTTCATCCTTTTTTTTTTTTTTTTTTTTTTTTTTTGTGATGGAGTTTCACTCTTTTCCCAGGCTGGAGTGCAATGGCGCGATCTCGGCTCACTGCAACCTCTCCGCCTCCCGGGTTCAAGCGATTCCCCTGCCTCAGCCGGGATCCCGAGTACCTGGAATTACAGGTGTCTGCCACAATGCCTAATTTTTTGTACTTTTAGTAGAGATGGAGTTTTACCATGTTGGCCAGGCTGGTCTGGAACTCCTGACCTCAGGCGATCTACCTGCCTTGTCCTCCCAAAGTGCTGGGATTACAGGCGTGAGCCACCGAGCCTGGCCTAATTTTTTTTCTCATGCTGATAAAGACTAAGTAGTAAATTATAAAAATATAAAAATTCTTTGAATCTGAGATAGAAAAATGAAAAGATTGAACATTCCTCAGCACTGGCTACTTACACCTGAAATATTCTCTGCTACTGTTTCAATTAGCACTCGTGACTCCACTGTGGACCATCAATACTGCAAAGGGATATAATCTGCAAGCTAGTTTTGCTTAGTCCAACAATCAAATTAGCTTTTTGGGACAATTTGGAAACAAGCTGGCAATTTTGGTAAAAATATATCCAAATAATAAGCAAGGGAAGTGTGAGGGATATACCTGAAGGGATCTTTAGAATTCCTTAACTGATGGTACTGAGGCACTCAAGAAAGTCGGAATGTCAGAAGCCTACTCCAGGTTACCCTGCTCACTCTAGAGTCACGCCTCCAGGGGAAACTGGTCTTACTACAGCAAACACCTTAGCAATCTGGTTGAGATGCAGCTGCCACTTAATTGCAGAAAAATAAATGCTCATGCTCTAGACTGTCATTTAATTGTCCTACTGTAGTAGAAGGAAATTTTCCTTCTGGAGAGACAGGCTGTTCCTCGACTCCACAGCTGGGATGATGGGCAGAGACAGAGGCAAGGGCTGGCCATGGTGGCGGTGATCGTGCCAGCCTTGGAGGAAGCAGCCTTGCATAGAGATCTGGAGATGAAGGGGTGTGGGAGGGTGGGGGCAAGGATGTCACCACTGAGGGTGACAGGGTAGAGAGCAATTGTTTCAGCCCTGTCTCCTTAGTGTGTACGCTTTCCCAGTGAACCCACCCTACGGCAGAGAGACATCCAAACGCCATTCCTATATCAAACTATGTTCTATGCTTGCTGGCTTCATTGATCAGAAATTCCTTGGTCAATTCTGCATGATGGTTTAAAGATCAATTCAAGAAAATGCTATAGTTGTAGCATTTAAGGCACAAGGCATTTAAGATTAAAACTCCATGAGTTGAGAGGTAGGGAGGTCACATTTGATAAAATCCAAATTTCTAGCAAATGTGAGCATCCAAATAAAAATTTTTTCTTAACATGCTATGAGTATTTTAAATCAACCAAGTTATAATTACAGGGAAACACTAGGTCAGATTTAAAATTAGAATAGAAACAAAAATATTTGCTACTGTATTATGATTAAGATTTTGATTTTTAATAATTTAGGCCAACGTAGTAAGAAATGTTTGGCTGGGTGCTGTGGCTTACACTTGTAATCCCAGCACTTTGGGAGGCCAAGGTGGGTGGATCACCTGAGGTCAGGAGTTCGAGACTAGCCTGGTCAAAATGGTGAAACACCGTCTCTACTAAAGATACAAAAATTAGCCAGGTGTAGTGGTGAACACCTGTAATCCCAGCTACATGGGAGGCTGAGAAAGGAGAATTGCTTGAACCCTGGAGGCAGAGATTGCAGTAAGCCAAGACCACGCCATTGTACTCCAGCCTGGGCAACAAGAGCGAAATTCTGTCTTGGAAAAAAAAAAAAAAAGCTGCAGTAAAAATAATTCAAGACACTTAAAAAAAATTGATTATTTAAATTAGGATTTTGCAATATACTAATTCTACAACTCGGAGTTTTTCCAGGAAATAATGTTCAAAATTGAATACGTATGGCAGCATGGACCTGGACAGGGCCGCTCTGGGTCACAGGGGTGGGGCCTGGATCACTTCCCACCACTGATTGCCTGGGGATTCTTGGGTGAGTTACTCAATCATTCTGGGCCTCAGTTTCCTCATGTGTAAAATGGAGATAATCCTGTCATTTACCTCAGAGGATTCATGTGCATAATTAAATTATTTAACACATGCAAATTGAATAATTTGCATACAGCAAGCACCCCAATGTTAGTTATTGCTATTGATATAATTTCCCAGGTTCCTGCAGAAAAGACAGCCCTGGGCAGCATGTAGTGTCTGAGACTCCCCAAGAGCTCACAAAAGCGATGGACATTTCTGGCAAAAACAGACTATTTGGCTCCAGATAAGCTCCATGACTGGAGGTCGAACTGATGTAAAAGAACAGCAGCTGGTTCCTCTAAGCAGCTTTAAGTATCACAAACTGGAACCATCAATTGGACTTTGGAACACAAGGAAAGCCCAGCCCCTTTGGGGAACCAGTCAGAGTCTGTTCCACAGGCACCAGCCCCACACATCATGGAAAGACAGCCAACCAAGGAGCACACGCTAATAGAATTGCAGGTGCATGTCTGCCGCCAACCAAAATGGCTTTCCTCCCGCAAAGGCGGCATTCTGGTAACAGAATACGTGGTGGCAGCTAGCACCGTCACGCCCTCATACCGCAGGCTCTGGTCTGAGAAGAGTGAGAAGGATGCTCCCTACCACACGGAGTCCCCAGAAGTCAGCCCTACAACTCTCCCTCCTTCCTTTTGCTTCCAGTCCAGGAATGTAGATGGATCCCGCTTCCTTCCAAGACAATGCGGGATCTCCGGGAAGAGTTCACAGATTGAAAGCACATGTTCTTTCTGTCCACGCATGCATGACTATCATTTATTAACTGGGTTTGTACCAGTTTCCTGAGGCTCCCAAAACAAAGCCCTACATACTGAGTGCCCTAAAACAGAAACTTACTCTCTCAGTTCCAGAAACCAGAAGTCCGTGGTCAAGGTGTTAGCCAGGCATTCCCGGTAGGGAATTTTCCTTCTGACATCTGCTGGGAAGCATCGGTTCTTGCTTCTTCCAGCCCTGGTGCTTCTGGCAGTCCCTGGGGTGGTTCCCTCGCTCCTGGATGCACCCCTGAGTCTCTGCCTGGTCTTCATGTGGTCACCTGCTCCTGACTATCACTGTGCCCAGCTCCTCTTCCTAGCAAGGTATCCTGCCCTAATCTATCTCCCTATCTCCTTAACTTGGTTCCATCTGCTGTCTAAATGTGTCCCGATCTGGGCACATTGTCTGGAGCTGGCCGTCCACACAACTCCACTGCTCTCGGAGCTGCTGTCAGTAAAATCGCACTGTGGATAAAAATCTACACGTTGAAAATGGTATCTGTGAAAGCTGTCAGAATAAAAATGGAGGCACTTGTGTCAAACCCTGACATGATGGATCTGGGGAAGGCCATGAAGGGGGCAGTTCTCACATAAGACTGCCTAATAATAACCACGGCAAAAGACTGCAAAAAACCATAGCCCTGCACAAAAGCCATTGCAACCTCACACAGTCAATTCTTCTGGGAGGACGTCTGCCCACCCACTGCCCATCCAGCCTCAGACTGACACCACTCTTGTTATCAATCCTTGTAGCCAAGGATAACTTTCAAAACAACTTGTATGGACCTTGTCAGTTTCGCTTTAAAAACTCGTGTCTCTTCTCAAAAGAAGATACTGATGCAGCCAACAGACATATGAAAAAATGCTCATCATCACTGGTCATTAGAGATATGCAAATCAAAACAAAAATGAGATACTATCTCATGCCATTTAGAATGGTGATAATTAAAAAGTCAGGAAACAACAGATGCTGGAGAGGTTGTGGAAAAATAGGAACACTTTTACACTGTTGGTGGGAGTGTAAATTAGTTCAACCATTGGGGAAGACAGTGTGGCAATTCCTCAAGGATCTAGAACTGGAAACACCACTTGACCCAGCAATCCCATTACTGGGCATATACCCAAAGGATTATAAATCATTCTATGATAGAGACACATTCACACGTATGTTTATTGTGGCACTATTCACAACAGCAAAGACTTGGAACCAACCCAAATGCCCATCAATGATAGACTGGATTAAGAAAAGGTGGCATATATACACCACGGAATACTATGCAGCCATAAAAAAGGATGAGTTCATGTCCTTCGCAGGGACATGGATGAAGCTGGAATCCATTATTCTCAGCAAACTATCACAAGATCAGAAAACCAAACACCGCATGTTCTCACTCATAAGTGGGAGCTGAACAGTGAGAACACATGGACGCAGGGAGGGGAACATCACACACTGGGGCCTTTCAGGGGGTGGAGGGATAGGGGAGGGATAACATTAGGAAAAATACCTAATGTAGGTGATGGATTGATTGGGTGCAGCAAACCACCAGGGCACGTGTATACCTATGTAACAAATCTGCACGTTCTGCACATGTACCCTAGAACTTAAAGTATAATAAATAAGTAAATAAATAAATAAATAAAATAAAAACCTGTGTCTTCCTCTGCCTCCATGAGTTCACCCATCGCTTACCATGGCTCCTGTATTCCACAGTGCAATGCTCATTCCTCATCAAACTCATCAGCACTAGAAAATTCTTCTGTGTTTGTTATTTGGTTTGACATCACCAAAAATGTTTGAATGGCTAATGCCATGAGCATTTTGGAAATATAGATAGGGTGTATGTTTGCTATCAGAATGAGAATTCAATCAGCCAAGCTACTGAGAAATGCATCTCTCCCCTCCATCAGGTGAGGAGGACCGTCTGCTGCTCACCCATGGTCCTCCACACCTCATCACCAACGTACTGCTCCAGCCCCAGGCTTCTCTTCACGCCCAGCAGCCAACCCCTGTGTCACTCTCAGAGGCTGCCTGTGGGCCTCCAGAGCCAGCTGTGCTTGAGCTGACAGTGCCTGGGAATTGACAACATGCTCTGGGGAAGCAGCTGTTGAGCAGTGGGGATGTGAATGTCCTGACTGCCTCAACCCCCATTACTCACCATGCAGATAAGTCTGGGCGCACTTGAGCTCCCGGGGGCACTGACCTGGTTCCCTCCGTAAGGTCTGCTGGGGTGCTTTGCCCTGTCGGCCCCTCTGGTTTTCGGTCCTTCCCCTGCCCAAGCAGGTTCTCCTGGAAATGCTTCCTCATCCGGCAGGTCTGGGACAAACCCGGCCTGGGGCAACATGCAAGTCGCCTCTGATGGCGTTACTGCTGCACAGGCCTCTGCGAGGAGCTGGTCAGGACAAGCTGAAGCTGCAAGACCAGCCACTGACTCTTCCAGAGAAGGCCCCAGTGCCAGCAGCCCAGCGAACCCCAGGAAGACCTCCAGCCCCCTATGGGGCCTGTGCTTCCCAACCCTGGCATCCCACTGACGGTGCACAAATCACATCCCAGTGATTGGTGGAGTCTACTCTCTGATAGCTAAGAGTTGTATCCACCTCCTGCCTTGACTCTCAGTGGCACCCTATGTGGCAGATACTTAGTGGGCGCTGGGCTGAGGGCCTCCTGTTACTCCCACAGAGGGTTCCTCCAGCGTAGGGAGCAGAACGTGAACTCCAGGACCACATCCACTGTCATTAACAAGACCACTGGGCTTTCTGTCTTTCTGTGGGCAAGAAGCTGCTGCCATGTCGCATAGCACAGCAAATTTTATATTTCACGATCAGATTGCCCCAGAGAAAAGTTTATATTTTCCTAAAACTTAGAAGATTTTTTTACAATATGGCAACCTTGACCTCAACTAAAAGAAAATGACATCTCATTGACAAGCAATATATTAAGCCATTGAACATTATATAAGATTAGTTTAAGGGGTAAAAGTTATGAATTTGACTCCAAAACTAAACATGAAATCAGTTAAAATCACCAAATTAATTAAAAATGTAATCAACTCTTCTGAGAATGGTTTTGAATTTGACAAGAATATGACCCAAATCATATTTTATTCCACTACTGTCAAGGTAAAAAGTGGGTAATGATTTGGTGAAGCTCAGTTTTCACGTCAAAGGTAGAGTGTGGTCTTTGAGGAGATCATGGAAAATTCAAAAAAACGTGTCAGATGTGACCCTTCCAGTCAAACCACAGCGGGTTTTTGCGGGAGGTATTTGTTGGAGCTATAGGAGAGTGTCTTCGTCTGTTTGTGCTATTCTAACAAAATATCATAGACTAGGGGGTTTATAAATAGCAAAAATGTATTTCCCACAGTTCTGGACCCTGGAAATCCAAGGTCAAGGCACCTGCAGCTTCCCTGTGGTTTCCTGGTCCACAGAGGGCGCCCTCTCTCTGTGCCTTCACATGGTGGAAGAGATGAGGGAGCTCCTTGGGGTTGCTTGGATAAGGCCGTGAACCCTGAATCCCATTCATAAGGGCTCCACCCCCCTGACCTAATCACCTCCCAAAAGCCCCACCTCCTCATACTGTCACCTTGGGAGTGAGGGTTTCTACATGTGGATTTTGGGGGTACACAGACATTCAGCCTGTAGCAGGGAAGAATATTCACTAAATGCAGGAAAAGCTCAGTGCAAGCTCCCTGGGCTGCCTTCAACACAATGGATTCCACAAGACACGGGGAAATATCACTGTTGATTTCCTCTTCTTCATCAGGTCTTGTTCAATTTTATGTACAACTAAATCCAGGCTGGGCACGGTGGCTCATGCCTGTAATCCCAGCACTTTGGGAGGCCGAGGAGGGTGGATCACAAGGTCAGGAGTTCAAGACCAGCCTGGCCAATATGGTGAAACCCCATCTCTACTAAAAATACAAAAAATTAGCCGGGCAAAGTGGTGGAAGCCTGTAGTCCCAGCTACTCGGGAGGCTGAGGAAGGAGAATTGCTTGAACCTAGGAAGCGGAGGTTGCAGTGAGCTGAGACCACGCCACTGCACTCCAGCCTTGGCAACAGAGCAAGAGTCCGTCTCAAAAAAAAAAAAAAAACTAAATCGAAGGAACATTTTAGAAAACTTAAAAGAAGATATCTTGGTACATTTCTCACAAAGCACTTTTCATCTGAAAATGTGAACTGTTGCCTTAAAACAAATCAGTCAAGCTGATAAATCTGACATTAAAATTAAATTTGTGAGATGTGCAGTGGCTCACTCCTACAATCCCAGCACTTTGGGAGGCCAAGGTGGAAGGATCACTTGAGGCCAGATGTTCGAGACCAGCCTAGGCAACATAATGAGACCCTGTCTCTACCAAAAAATAAAAATAATCAGCCAGGCATGGTGGCTCAGGCCTGTAGTCCCAGCTACTCAAGAAGCTTGAGCCCAAGAATTTGAGGCTGCAATGAGCTATGATTGCACCAGTGCACTCCAGCCGGGGTGACAAGTGAGATCACATTTAAAAAAAAAAAAGTTGAATTTGCTGTTTCCTGAAATAAACTTGCATTGTTCTGGTTTTTGTTATTGTTGTTGTAGTGGTGTTCCATTAGCTGCCTTAACTAAAAGGATAACTCCTAATTAACATTATGTAAAAGAAAAAAAATTATGTGGCCCTAGGAGATACTCTGCATAATACTTCTAATGAAGCCAGTGAAGCCACAAACCATCTATCCTCCACTCAGGCCACCACCCAGCAGGCAAGCCCCCAATCCGGCCCACCAAGCCCACTCTGCAGTCAGCCCAGCCCTCCCAGCCTCTCAGAGGAGGAGAACCAGGGAGGAAAGGAGGGATGACCATGACGGCACAAGCTGGGCACAGGGAGACAATGGCAACCAAGACTTTCCAACAAGTCTCCATGGGCTGCATGTGTGTGAAGCCTCATAGTAGAATTTGGTTTTTGTGGAGCTCTCTTTCCCAGTTGCCACAAACTCCCATTGGATTGTCTTACATGTAGTCTTAATAGCTTTCAAAATAATAAATATTTATGTGTTTGTGTTATAATGAATTCCAAAATCTGTAACTCAAAATGTATTTTGGAAAATGAAAATGTTGTTAAGAAAATTCTGCAGCAACAAAAAACAACAACAAAACCAGCTTGGTGTGCCTTCAAATAAATGTGCTGGAGCAGAGGTTCTCCTCCCCCAGCATGTACAGAATACCATTTGATCATTAATAAAATAACCACACTGCCCCGGAGATGGAGTTGAAAAGGCCCGTTTCCTCCCCTGAGGTGTGGCTCCCAGGGAATCCTGCTCTTAGGATTAACCGTGATTACATCCTGGGGGAAATTACGCATCGGTCTAAGTTTGTTTCTCGTTTCTTCAAAAGTATTTGTACAAAAACAAGGCACAAATTAAGCACCCAGAATGATTTCCCAGGGCCTTTGAAAAGCCATTCATCCTGCTGCCTGCATTCCTGGAGCCATGAGGCCTTGAGCTGTGGGTCTCGACGCTTTCCCTCCATCTGCCAAGGTCCGTTCTTCCGCAGGCCCAAAATCTCAACATGTTTTAGAAAGTTAATTATTAAATGCTGTCAATTGTTGTTGAGTTGTATAATAGCAAAGGTAGAGGCACAAGTACATTATGCCATCTTTGCCCCATCTACCGCACATTTAACTACCTTTGATCTTATCTAATAGTAGATATATAACTGGAATAATCACCTTTTAAATATATGAGGTTGTTTGACATAGGTACTACACACAGGGAAAATCAATAATGATTATACAATCACCAGATACAATGTAAACGGCATACCACGAAGTCTTTACAGGCGAGATAACATCACAGAATTCCCGAGAGTCAATAGCCATTAGTCTTAAAAGTGGCCACTTGAACTTGTGTGTGTAGGTGTGTGCACTACAGCCAGGTTGCCCATGGGTGTAGGATCTTCAAATAAACGAGGTTCAAAGAAATAAAGAGGAGGTTTAAGGAACACACCTTAGTGGTGGTCAAGATGCCCTGAACTTTTGAAAACATAAGTATCTTCAGGCATGTTTGTTTTCAAATCAGTCCTAGTCCTTCGCATTTTGCCAGACTTAAGCTAAGGAGGCCACTTACAATGACAAGGATCTAAAACACTTTTCACAACACAGAGAATTCAACCTTGCAGCTACAATGCCTAACAGGACCCCTTGAAGCTGTTTTGGTCCTCACAGCAAATGTGCCTACTGTCAGCCCGGTGGGGAGGAGGGGAGTCATCCAAACGAGTCTCTTTTGTATCATTTTCTTCAAGGCCATGGAATCTTGACATTCTCATAAATGATTTTTCATCACTGAGTCATTTGGGAAGGAAAATATTTTTCACTCAGTAAAAAAATCTGCAAGAATTTCTGAAACCCAGAGACCTATCTTGACATCTGAAAGTTGATCAGCGTCAGAGTTCTTGGCCAATATTGAAAAGTTAAGAAATGGATTCAGTGAAAGGTAAGCAGTTATCAACTTTTGAGATTGTTCTCAGGCTGAACAGGAGCCTCGATGATGAATCTTTTCTGAGTCCTCGAAGCCAAGCCTGGAAACGCATGTACAGATTCTGTTGACATATGGGTCCCTCTCTGCTGTCCAGACGCAGTTCCAGGAGGGCCAGCTTCCCAGCCATCAATCAAGGGGGCAGTGGATGCATTTTCCGTCTGCTGAGAGCCATCTAGAGAGGTACTGTGAAAAACGTCAGCATTATCCCTCTATTTACATCCACCAGTGCCAAAATCCTGGCACGACTAAATCCTAAACACATACGATGAGGCAAAGAGAAATATCCAGTGAAAACCAGAATGCTGCCATTCTTGTCCTCTTATAAAATTAAAAGCACTTTGAAGGAATACAGCTGTCACTTTATAACTCTTATCCTCTTCCCCTCCAACGTAGCTGTCAAATTTACTGTTTGAGCTTCTCTTTGTAATCACACGAATATGCACTCCGTCACCCTCTCCGCCCTCATCATTCCATCTAATGGTTTTAAAGGGAAAGGAAATTACTTGTCCTCGCAGCCAGCACTTGACACTTTTATGGGTCATTTGTAATGAAGCTATTCTTCGGCTTTAATGAAGACCTTGATTCCGAACAGTGTGAATAATTGTCAAAAGGTGATTAATTAAATATTCACCACTCCCCTATAAAATTGATCAACATATTACATTACAGCACTCCAAAAGTTATTTTATTTCTTCATTCTACTTCAAATTCTATGCATTTAAACAAGCTTTAAACTGGAACCATATAATTTACTGCATATTAATTATACATGCCGACTGAATAAAGTTCAAAAAAATGTTTTACACCTTTTTTTAACTCCATACGAACATGCTACCATTACTTATAACATTGAGAAGTCCCATCTTGAATGTGAAATGTCTCACAATTGTTTCCTGAATGTATATAGCACAGATTTCTCAGGTAATAGGTATTAAGTTCTGCAAGCACGTAGCTTTATCTGAAATAAATTGCCAAGACTAAAAGTAATATATTAAATTCCACTGATATATAATTTTCTTTTTTTTTGAGATGGAGTTTTTCTCTGTCCTTCAGGTTGGAGTGCAGTGGCATGATCTTGGCTTAAGGCAACCTCCAGGGTTCAAGCGATTTTCGTGCCTCAGCCTCCTGAGTAGCTGGGATTACAGGTGCCCACCACCATGTTTGGCTAATTTTTCTATTTTTATAGAGACAGGGTTTCGCCATATTGATCAGCTGGTCTCTAACTCCTGACCTCAGGTGATCCACCCGCCTCAGCCTCCCAAAGTGCTGGGATTATAGGTGTGAGCCACCATGCCAGGCTGATACATAAATTTTTGACTCTTAAAAGACTAGTGACCATTGCTCATCCATCTCTTCAAACTCTCAAAGCCCAGCAATTGGGATGTGGAGGAAGGACAGGGAAGGAAAACTGCCATATTGAAAACTTTGCTAAACTAAAAATAAAGCCTTAGCTTTCATCAAGACCATGAATCTCTGGCTTTGGCTAACTCTGGTCTTTGACAGGCTGAGTAAATAAATGAAAAATCTTCTCAGAAAATCAGTCCTTCCTGCTTCCGTTTCCCCACTGCATTAGGTATTCTCGTGGCTGAGTAGAGGGCAAACAGGGAAGATTATATAAAGCAAAACTCCTAATTTCAAACGTTAAATTCAATTAAAACATGCCCGAGTCTCAGTAACCAAACAAAATTTTACCAACAAGGAATAACTATGACATAGGAAATTATGTTTAAAATGTATGAAAATAAATTGAAGGAAAATTACAAAAGATCAAAGCAGAACCTGATTCTCTATAGACAGCATTTCTGCACTTGTATCAGGAGTTATCAATGAAATGGAGTGATATGAGTGTGTTTCAGATAACGTAGAATAGTGCCAACGTGTCAAACGGTGATAGAAAAAGCAGCATTTCACAGAAATGTGCAGAGTGAGCCCCACGCGCAGAGAGGGACCAAGCCGTTCTAAGCCGCATGGAGCAGCTAAAGGTTTAGCCTACACCTTGGACTCCTGCTGCTGGCAGTCGCGCCCACAACTAAACCCAGCGCAGTCTGGGACCTCTGATCAAAGTCTGCGTGAATCCACCCACAGACATTCTAGAAGTCCTTGGAGGCGACTCTTTTAATGCAGATTACTGATTTCATTGAAGTAGTCAATCAACTGTTTTCCCCCCTTGGCTGTTAAAATGTCATTGAGTGAACACAGCAGATAAAAAAAAATGATGAGCAAAAAAATAATATTTCAACTTGAACAAACTTGCTATTTGTAGACTTGATCACATGAATCTGCTGCAGTCAACATGATTTCAGCAGCAGCTACGGGAATGAATCCCACAAAGGGACTGAGTTTAATCATCCAATCCCAGACTGTATTGATTTTGGGACTACTTGCAATGACTATATAAATAAGCCATTTCTTTGCAACTGTATCTGCAGCCGGTCATGAACCCAAAACCTTCACAACCTGGTCCAAAGTGAATTATGCCCTGAAGAAATAAATTAATAAAACTAACACAGCCGGCCTTCTCCACCAACTTATTTTCACGTTTCAAGAGCTTAAAAATATAAAATCAATAACCATTTAGTCATAAGGGTAAATGAAGCAACATAACATCAAAGTATCCCCTTTAGCCATTCAAGTCATCCTAGGTAATTTATCTCATCAAAAGGCAGAGGTAATAATCCTTTCCACTCTGAGACAAGCTGCCACACAGCTGCTGTATTATCCTAGAGTAAACAAGTTGGGAGAAAATATTAAAAATCAATATCTGTTTCCTTCTATCAGACCAGCTGGCATCCATCATAAACCCACCCCTGTAAAGAGTTCTTGGAGTTGGGCACCCAGAGTGAAAAACACAATCGAATTAACAACAGAAAACCAAGATCTGCTCAATGGGGAAAGACAGCTGGATTTCTTTAAAAATGCACTATTTTACAATTGCAAAAATTTACTGAAATTATAATTATGGGGGAAAAATCTATCATAGCCATAGGGTATAAAAAAAGCAATTACCGGTGTTGTAAAATAAAAATACAAACAGCAGCTTTTGATAGTAACTGCAAGTCATTCCAGGTATTTGATTTATTTAATTGGTCATTTGTTCATTCATTCACTTATTTATGTAGCGTGATGATTTCCTGCCATGAAATTCAGACCCCAACCCCTCCAACTGGAGAATCTGTCACATTGTCACATATCATATTCCCTCCCCGCACCCCCGTCCCAGGATGCCTAGGAAATGGCTGGACTCTCCCTCATGTGATCACAACTGCCCACATAGGAATGGCTGTGATGCAACATCACGGAGGGGTTTGTTCCTGGGGGAGGGAAGAGAGCGTGCCTGATCTTAGATGTGGCTTCCATGGTGACAGATTCAGACGCTGGACACCCCGGACACGTGAGCAGGAACCAGAAGCTACATCCACCCAGTGCTGAAGGAGAAGGCTGCTGGGACTTCACGTCTCCTGCTGCAGGAACAAACTGTTGGACAAACCCATCCATAAAACAGAGAGCCGGCTGGGCGCAGAGGCTCATGCCTGTAATCCCAGCAGTTTGGGAGGCCTAGGCAGGCAGATCATTTGAGGTCTGGAGTTCGAGACCAGCCTGGCCAACATGGTGAAACCCTGTCTCTACTAAAGATACAAAAATTAGCCGGGCGTGATGGCGCATGCCTGTAATCCCAGCTACTCACGAGCCGGGACAGTAGAATCACTTGAACCCAGGAGGCAGAGGTTGCAGTGAGCCGAGATCACACCATTGCATTCGAGCCTGCGTGACAGAGCAATACTCCAAAAAAAAAAAAAAAAAAAAAAGCCTTGGATTCTGACGATCTGCTTGCCTTAACACCTAGTCTAACTCTTATTATTTCTGGAAAATATGATGTGATTGTTGTTCTCACTGAAGCTCTTAGATTTACCTTTTGTAAAAGTTATCAGAATGTCTGTACACACAGGCACACACATTCACAAACACACCTAAACACGCACAGTGTATTAGGTACTTGAAACACACAAAATCCTATAGCTACAATTACTTCTCAGGAATGGTTGACTCAAGTCTTTGGAATTTAGTTACACGTCATCATCATTCTGATAAACCACTTCTGTCTCATACCCTCCTTACAGTTTTCTGTACTTTAAGCTCAATACAAGGTCTTCCTCCAAACTTCCCAAATGCAATAGCCTTATGCATAAGATCTTTTCACAAAGAGGCTTCTTCTATTCCTGAGTAATTAATGCCTTGAAGAAGCCCAAAAATAAATCTCTCATAGGGTAAATCCTACCTGTGTCAGTTTATCTCATATTTTATTTTTAATAATAGTGTCATTCTATCCTATCTCTATCAGTGGAGCACCCCTGGCCCCAGGCATTCTCATCTTTAAATGTGCAGCCCCAAATCCAACATCTTGTTCAGGTACTGCCTGACAAGCACTCCTGCCCTCCTAGTCCAGGGATAGACACCAGGTATTCATGAACAAGGGCTAAGAACACATCAGATTACAATAGAATCTTCACCATGTCTGACTTACTGGGAATTTCTATTTAACCAAAAACCCTAAATCATTTCTACATATATATCTGTTTAGAGATTCATGATTCCTCTCCTGTCTGTCATTTTGAAGTTTTTATTTTGGGTTTTGTTTTAACCTAGGTAGCTGCCCTTCATTGTTCCATAGCAAATGTGATCTCATGAGTGCTCCCCCAGCTAGCTCAATGAAAGTTCCATGTGGATCTTGATTCTCAGGTAGCGGCACATCTGCTGCTATCCCCAGATCAATTGTCATGCCAGAGAGTGGAGGAAGACACACTCAGAATTCACAGGGCCACGGGGCCTGAGTGGCACAGAGCTTTCTGCTTCCCTAGAAACAGAAACCCCAAGAGAGCAGGGCCTCCTGCACCTGCCGGCTGTGCACCTGCCACACTCCCACACACCTGCAGCTTCCTGGGCAAGTGCTCAGAGATAGTCTGAGCAATGTAAGACTGCATTGCTTTTCATGATGTCAGAAAATAGCAGAGAGGTTCTTTTATATTCCAGGGTCAACCCAAATTAGAAACCAATTACAAATCATTCCAAGAAGCTAAAACAATGTGCTTTTGATAGAAATAATCAGAGGGTGATGTTTCAGGTCACTTGGCGTCTTCCACAAAGCATCAGCACTCTTAATTCTCATTTGAAAATTTTCCTTCAAATTAGACACTTTTTAATACTAAATGCTGGTAGTAGAATAATATTTGCAAAATTGTCCTCTTCTTTGAAGATAACTTTTTATCGGAGAAATGACTAAGTGAGCTCTTGTTATCTGCTTAGTTCAGAACACAAAGTATAAACCTAAAAACCTTCAGATTATGATGTATTGGAGTATCAATCCTCAGAAATATCACTTTTGCAGGCACGTAATACTACACTGAAGGGTAAAATAGATTACAAATGGGGCTCTCTCGGAGGAAGGTACCTAAGAGTCCGGTAGACACCATCCTAAATCCTGACCCACAGCTTGTCGCCAAGACAGCTATGAAGGCGGGACACACATCGCAGTTCCATGGCCAAGTGTCATGATGTGGGCTGAGGCCATCCATCATGTGAGCCTCCCACAACACTCTCCCAAGCAGATGTGCTGAATCTCTTTCTTTTAGGAAACATTTAATTATTGACACACTTCTCAATGGGTACTGAGAAAGTGAACTCTTTAAATTTCTATGGTTGCTAAGAAACTGATATTTAATGTTTGAAAATTTTCATCTATATCAGATATATTATTTGTTTCCATTGCAGACAGAACTCGGAGATCTGCTAAAAGGAACAAAATAGGACTTTTATAAAGAGAAATAATGCAGTGTCATGTCTGATTTATTAAGGAATGTTTAGCACAGCAAATAAAGCATAGTTATTCTGGCTAATGAAGATTATTTACTTGCATTTACTAATTGAATATTCAATGAGGAAAATATTTATGTACTGGGTAACATTTTTCTATTTATGCTAAAGGTAATATTGAATGTCATGTAATAAACATCCAAGTTTTTATTTGTTGAGATGTTACTGAATTAAAACTTTATTTTCCTATAAAATTTGATTAAAAAACATTTTCAGCTTAATAATTCTGGAGAGTGGAGAAATGCTAAATGTACCAAATTGCTTAGTTCCAGTGACTCATGCAATCTATTTGACTGAGAAGCAGGTATAGAAGACTCCCGCCTTTGCTATGGGAAACACGTCCACAAAGGGCGGCACCAGTGTCTGTTGTTCATGCTCCTGTCTAAGAGGAAGTTAATTCGTGGCCACCGTGAGCCAGATTATCCTTCCTGGGAATGTTGATTTGGACAGGGAAATACCAGTCTATTCTCAGTGTTTGGGTGGAACTGTAACATGTGATTTGGTTGCTTAGAAGAAGTCATGGATTAAAAAGTAGAGAAAGCCAGCCATCTTGCAAAAGAAGAGAAACAAAACCAAGGGGCAGAGGAAAGAGATGGAAAACCACACTGAAAGCTTTTCAGCTCCTAGTCCCAGGCCCTTCCTGAGCTTTGACTACATTTCTGCCCTTGAGTTCTACAAGACTGTCGTTGCAAGAATTCCTTTCCTGCTTAGGTTAGACTAAGTGGTTTCCTAAACCAGATTTGAAAACTTAGATGAAATGGTCAAATTACAAGATTAATATTTATTTCTAAAACAGAGGCCAGAAGAAATAACACATATAAATAAATCTACACAGTTTTAAAAATTGACTCAGTAGTCGAATACCAGTGTCTTCATCATCATCATCACCATCACCACAAGATTCAGATGGTATTAGTAGAGATCGTAAGCCATGTCTTATAACCCCGCTTTTCCACTTAACTGCCAATCATAGAGAAATTCATGCACATATATACTGGCACACAAACTGTTTTGGGCATTATTTATGATAGCATTATATCTTCTACCTCTAGGCCATCTGGTATATATTTTACAAAATACTATGCAGCTATTATTAAATACAAATACATGCAGGTTTTGTTATTTGTTTGGTTTAGGTCATTGATGCATACTATATCCAATTTTCTATGTTGTGCTTCTCTCATTCAATACCTAATAGAAATCTACTCAAGAACCAAATAGATCTTCTAGAGGTAAAAAAGTCAATATCTGAAATGAGAACTCACTAGATGGATTTAGCAGATTAAAAACCTCAGAAAAGTGTCACTTGGAGGGCAGAGAAAAGGGGAGATGATAGCAAAGCAAAGATGAAAAAGGAAAGAAATGACTGCACTAAAATAAAATATATAAAATTATCACATTAATTATTTTGTGTAAATTATATGTATATGAGCAACTAGAAATGTTTGAGTCAGAAGATTTGAAAAGTGAAGAAGTTTGGAAGGGTAAATAAGTTTAAAATTAAATAAATATTCCTTTCGCCCAAAGATCCCAGACCTAGAACTCTATCTCATAGAAATAAATTAAGTAAAAACATATGTACAATGATATTTGTTGCAGGACTATTGCAAATGGCAAGAAACTGGAAATAATGTAGTGCCCTTAATTAGAAAAATGGATGAGTAAATTATGATATTCTATTTTCATGAAATAGAATACAATGCAACCATCAAAAATAAATAGAGCTATACATTGCAGAAGACAAATCAGAGAACTTAAATATATAAAAAACGCATCATATCCCCTCAAAAAAAAGCACAGAGATGGAGGAAAAACACTAGAGCCTCAGGGACCTATGGGAAAACATTAAACAATCTAATAGAAGTATATCTGGAGTCCCTGAAACAGAAAAGAGGTCAGAAATACACTTGAATAAATAATGGTTAGTATTTTTCCAAACTGATGAAAACTATGAACACACAGGTAGAATAAACTCACTAAAGCCCAGTCAAATAAGTACAAAGAAAACCCTGCAAGCAGCCAGGGATTAGAGGGTGAGAAAACATGAACAGGGGAGACTAAGATAATAATAATTACACATTGCCTAAGAGAAACAATGAAAGCCAGAAGACAATGAAAACAATCTATAAAGTGCAGCAAAGAAAAAAAAAAGTCAACCTGTAGTTCTATGTCCAGGGATATATTTGTCAAACATAAGGCAAACATTTTTTTTGAGTAAAGAAATCCAATTATCACCATAGATATGAACAACAACGTTAGTAGGAAAAAAAAAACCCACAACTTTATGCTGAAATTAAGCAAAACCAGCTCAGAATTTGGATCTATAAAAATAAATAAAGAGCCTCCAAAATGGTAAATGCGCAAATAAGTATTAAGGTTATTTTTTCCATTTTTGAAATTTTTAGAAATAACTGATCATTTAAAGCAAAAAGTAATACTATATTATGAGGTTTATATGTATAAATAAGATATACGACAATGGGAAATGGAATCACACCCTTATAAAGGTCTTGCATTATATACATAGAGATATAACATTTAAAGGTGTACTTCACTCAGTTAAAGTTTCATGTTGTAAACACTAGACAGCACTAAAATTATATATAATTATAAAGAGGTACAACTAGTAAGATGATAATTCTGATAAATTGGAATAATTTTATAATCTCAATATAGAAAAAGGCAAAAAAAATAAAGACAAAGTAGTAAAAAACAGATGGGACAAATAGTAACAGGCTGATTTAAATCAAATCATAATAATAGTTACACTAAATATAAATGATGTAAAAACATTAATTGAACAGAAGAGATTATTAGATGATAAAAAAGCAATACTCCAATATATCCTATCTGTAAGAAATAAGCTTTAAATATAAAGACAGAACCAGGTTAAAATAAAATGACAGAAAGGAGGATAAAATGCAAAAACTAATCATAAGAAAGCTGAAGTGACTATCTCAGTATCAGACGAAGTAGGCTTTAGGACAAGAAATACTACAATATATAGAAAGACATACAGAATATATTTTATTATAACAAAAAAGTCAATTTAACAAGAAGATATACTCATCCTAAGTTTGTATGTACTTAATAATATGTGTGTTAAAATCATGAGGCATACAATTTCTAGAGTGAAAAAAGAAATAGATACTTTCATGAGTAGAGTTGGTAATATTAGCACTCCTCTCTTAGCAACTAATATAACAAGTGGAGAGAAAATCAGCAAGTACATAGAAGACCTAAACAACACCATCGACCAACTCAAATAAGTTGACCTTTATAGAATCTCCACCATACAATGGCAGAATTCATACCTTCTCAAGTGAACCTGGAGCCTTCTCCAATGTAAACCAAATAATAGGGCATTACATAAGTTTCAATAAGTTTAAGAGGACTGAAATTATACAGAATACATTATCTGACATGATGGCATTAAATTAGAAATAAATAATAAGAAGATATTTTTGAAATTCCTAAGTATTTGGAAATTAAGCAAAATATGTTTCGTTTTGTATTTTTGAGACAGGGTCTTGCTCTGTCCCCAGGCAAGTGGCACAATCTTGGCTTACTGAAACCTCACCCTCCTGGGTTCAAGGGATCCTCCTGCCTCAGCTTCCTGAGTAGCTGGGACTACATGTACATGCCATCACACCTGGCTAATTTTTGTATGTTTTGTAGAGACAAGATTTTGCCATGTTGCCCAGGCTGGTCTCAAACTCCTGGGCTCAAGCAATCTGCCCACCTTTGTCTCCCAAAGTGCTGGGATTATAGGAATGAACCACTGTGCCCAGCATAAAATATGTTTAAATAACCCAATGAATTGAAGATGACAGCAATATTTTAAACTGAATGAAATGAAAACTAAAAATGCAACATGTAAAACTTTGCAGGCTTCAGCTAAAGCAGTTCTTACAACAAAATGTATAGCATTACATGCTTTTTTTGAAAAATGGGAAAAGTCTAAATTCGGTAGTCTAAACCTCTACCTTAAGATACTGATAAAATGAATATCAAAGCAAACTCAAAATAAGAGGAGAAAATAATAAAGATCAGATCTGACATTAATAAAATAAAAATGGAAAAACAATAAAATCAAAAGGTCATTCTTTGAAAGGATCAACAAAATTTATATACTTTCAGTTGACTGAACAAGAAAAAGAGAAGAACAGATATAAATTGCCAGTATCAAGAGTCAATTAATACATACCACTACAGACCCTAGAGTCATAAAAAGGTTATAAGGAAGGATTATAAAGAAATAGACTTACACAAATATATTCAACTACTTAGATAAAGTGGAGAAATTTTTTAAAGATACCACACATAAGAAAAAAATAGAAAATCTGAATAGCTCTGTATCTATCTAAAAAAAAATTTTTTTAAACCTTCCTACAAAGAAAACTCCAGGCTCATATGACTTCAGTAGTAAATTCTATCCATCATTTAAGGAATAAATAATAATACACATTCTCTTTTTAGAAAATAGAGAAGTTTCCTAATTTATTTTATGAGGCCAAACTACCTTGATACCAAATTACCAAAACCAGACAAAAATATCTCAAGAAACATACAGAACAATATCTATCATTGAATATACAAATTCTTTTATAAAATATTAGCAAATTAAACCTAGCAATAAAAATAAAATATATTGTGACCAAGTGGAGCTCATCCCAAAAATTCGGGATTCATTAACATTAAAAAATTCATTAACATGATTCACCATGTTAACAAAATAAAGAAGGAAAACTACACGATTACCTGAATTTATGGAAGAAATAAAAGAAAAGCATTCATCAAAAATCAAGCTCTCAACAAAATCAGGGGAGAAACGGACATCCTCAATCCATAAAGAACATATACACTCAGTCCACAATTAACAACATTTAATGATGAAAAACAATACTTCCCTCCCTATAATCAGGAGCAAGGCAACGTCTGCTCCCACCACTTCTACTAAGCATTGTCCTGGGGCTTCTACCCAGTGCAATAAGGCAAGAAAAAGAAGCAAAAGTCATACACATTGCAAAGAAAGAAATAAAATTGCCTTTATTTGTAAATAACATAATATCTGGATGTAGGAAATTCTAAAAAATCTACGAAAGCTGCTAGAATTAATTGACTAATTTAGCAAGGTCAGATAATAAAAGGTCAATATATAATAATTATATTTCTCTATGCTAGCAATGAGCAATTGGAAAATGAATTTTTTAAAATATCCATTATCAATAGCATCGAAACCTTAACTATGTAGGAATAAATATGTGCCATATTATATGCTAAACTACAGAATATTTCTGGGAGAAATTAAATAAATCTAAATAAATGGGAAGAAATATAATATTCATTGATGGGAAGACTCAATATTGTGATATCAATTTTCCCCCAGTTAATCAATAGAGTCATTGAAATCAAAATCCCAACAGACATTTTAGTAGAAAATGACCAGATTTTTCTAAAACTTCTATGAAAATGCAGATAATCTGGAAGAGCCAGCACAGCTAGGGAAAAGCTGAAGAACTTGCACCAGCTGACTTCCACGTCTGCCCCAGTAACAAAGTCAATGTGGTATCCACTTTGAAAGACACATGCAGATCCATGGAATAAAGTTAATAGCCTACAAATCCATGTGCTCTTAAAGGTTCAGTTGATTTTCCAGTCAAGTTAATGGGGAAAAGATAATCTTTTTAACAAATAGTACTAGGACAACTGGATATCAGCTAAAGTACAAAAACAACAAAAGCAAAACAAACAAAACAGCACCTGTCAAACACATGCAAAAAAACTTGAAATGGGTCATAGTCCTAAATCTAAAATTATAAACTACAAAACTCCTGGAAGAAATAAGGAGAAAATCTTATTTTTGTGACATAGAGGCTAGCACAAATTTCCTGCATATCATGCAAAAAGCTAAACCCCATATTTTTTGAAAAAACTGATCATTTAAACTTAAATTAGAAAGCTTCTGTTCTTAGACTTTTTTTTTAAATGAAAAGGTAAGCCATATATTGGGGGAAATATTCATAATACATGTTTCAGACCAAGGTTCTGTACCCAAAATATATAAAGAACTCTTACAACTTAATAATAAGAATATATTGAAAAACCAGGTTTTTTCAAAATGTTGGCAAGTATTTCAAAATGTCATTTATAAACAAAAGATATATAAATGATCAGTAAGCACATGAGAAAAATGTTTGCCATGTTATCAGAGAAAAGCAAATTAAAATCTCAAGAAGATATAAGCACAAAACCACTAGATTAGCAAAAGTTAAAAAGCTGAAAAATAGCAAGTAGCAAGTGTTGGTATGAATGTTACACCTCACTGGTGGAAATGTCAAGTGAGACAGGCCTTTGGCAAGCAGTTTGGAAGTTTCTTACAAAGTCGAACATTCACTTAGCATATGGCATGGTGCTTGTGTGCCTAGGTATTTGCGTAAGATAAATGAAAACATAATCCAACAAACGCTTGCACATGAATGTTCATAGCAATTTTACTCAACAGCCCCACTAAATCACCACATTGAAAATTATGCCTTAATAATGATGCTTGAAAAAAAATTGTGTTTTTGAATATCATTAGAGAGAGGTTGGAAAGTAACTGAGAAAACATGATCAATTAAAAACAATGGCATTTATGAGGAAAAAATAAAATGGCAAATATAATATCTAGAAATAAATTATTTGGCAGAAAAGAAAAGTGAAACAGATCAGTACTTGTAATAAATATGAGTTCTGTTCATGTAGCAAAAGAGAGAACCTTACAAATTGGGTTAAAAAAATCCAATTCTGCACCAACAGAAGAGACGCACCAAGGCACAACTTTCATATGGAAGTTGAAAAGAATTGGATGGGAAATGGATGCCAATCAAATGCTAATAAAAAGCTAGCAACTGGAGGCATTGACAGAAAATAAATTAGAAGTCGGGGTGAAAATAACAAGGGGGATTAAATTGGTTATTTATATAATAAAGGGAATAATGCATTAAGAAGACATGTCAGTCATAAACTTTTTTGCACATAACAGCTTAAAACACACAATGTACAAAAAGTAGAAAATTCTCAGTCATTGTAAGAGACAGTAACTTAAAATTCAGAAACTAACAGATTAAATAGAAAGAAAGTAGAAAAGTTGAATACCTATATGTAATAAGCTAGGTCTAATTTGCCTTTCAATATTGAACTTGCACAATTAGAGGATTTGTTTTAAGTGTTCAACAGGGGCAGTGACTGGCTTCCAAGCCCACTCACCTGGCTGTTGACCAGCCTCACTCTCCCCACATGAGCTTGTGCACAAGGCGGCCTCACGATCTCCAGGTCGCTGGTCTCAGGGAAACCTTGGCAGCTGGTTTTCCCCAGATCAGTGATTGGAGGATAATGAGAAAGAAAGGAGACTCAAAATGGAAAGTCAGAATCTTTTAATACTTAATGTTGGAAGTGACATTCCATCATTTCTGACATGTTCTGTTCATTAGCAATTAGTGAAGTCTGCTCTCACAGCTGACATGTATATATGTATATATATGCCTTACATGTCTACAGGTGCACATACCTGCGGATGCAGGACTTACACATCTATAGGTGCACACGTATGTTTACATAGGATTTACATGTTTATAGATACACATGCGTGTATATACAGGCATACTTCAGAGATGAGGGCTGGGTTCCAGACCACTGTAATAAATCGAGTCACACAAATTTTTTGTTTTCCCAATGCATATAAAAAGCTGTATTTGGAGGTGCTGGAACCATCCGGGTGCCTCTTGCTCTGCTGCTTTAGCTCCGGAGTGTTTGGCGATGGGGCAGCAGGAGGTGGGGAGGCTCATGTCGAGGTTTAATGCATTCAAAAGGATTAATACCATACTGCACCATTTGAGAATGTCCAAGCACACAGATGCAGCAGAAGACGTGCTATTGGGGGGGGGGAAAGAAACGTGTGCAGATGTATCCATGGCTAGAGAAGTGGGAAGAAGATCCTGAAACTCTCCTGATCATTATAAAGGGAGCCGGAGGAAAGGCTTTCTGTGATGGGAGTGATATTAGAGTCATCTCGGAGGCTGAAAAGGCAAAACGGAAGATAGCGCCAGTTTTCTTCAGAGAAGAATATATGCTGAACAATGCTTTTGGTTCTTGCCAGAAACCTTATGTTGCACTTATTCATGGAATTACAATGGGTGGGAGAGTTGGTCGTCAGTCCATGGGCAGCTTCAAGTGGCTACAGAAAAGTGTCTTTTTGCCATGCCAGAAACCGCAGTAGGGCTGTTCCCTGATGTGGGTGGAGGTTATTTCTTGCCATGACTTCAAGGAAAACTTGGTTACATCCTTGCATTAACAGGATTCAGACTAAAATGAAATGATATGTACAGAGCAGGAATTGCTACACACTTTGTAGATTCTGAAAAGTTGGGCATGTTAGAGGAAGATTTGTTAGCCTTGAAATCTCCTTCAAAAGAAAATATTGCAGCTGTCTTAGAAAATTACCATATGGAGTCTAAGATTGATGAAGACAAGTCTTTTATACTTGAGGAACACATGGGCAAAATAAACAGTTGCTTTTCAGCCAATACTGTGGGACAAATTATTGAAAACTTACAGCAAGATTGTTCATCTTTTGCCCTAGAGCAATTGAAGGTAATTAATAACATGTCTCCAACATCTCTAAAGATCACACTAAGGTAACTCCTGGAGGGGTCTTGAAAGACCTTGCAAGAAGTACTAACTATGGAGTATCAGCTAAGTCAAGCTTGTATGGAGGGTCATGACTTTTATGAAGGTGTCAGAGCTGTTTTAATTAATAAAGACCAGAGTCCAAAATGGAAACCAGCTGATCTAAAAGAAGTTACTGATGAAGATTTGAATAATCACTTTAAGTCTTTGGGAAGCAATGATTTGAAATTTTGAGGTGACAGGCTTTCAGGGTATATTCTGTAGCATGGGTTGGCAATCTGCAGCACGCAGGCCAAATCCAGCCTGCTGCCTACTTTTATATGCACTACAAGCTAAGAATGGTTTCTGCATTTTTAAATGGTTGGGAAAAGAAATCAAAGACTAATATTTAATGAAGTAAAAATTATATGAAGTATCAGAGTTCACAAATAAAGCTTTATTGGAACTAGTTATAAAAAAGTTATATTAATCCTGGCCAGGTGCGGTGGCTCATGCCTGTAATCCCAGCACTTTGGGAGGCCGAGGCGGGTGGATCACGAGGTCAGGAGATCGAGACCCTACTGGCTAACACAGTGAAACCTCGTCTCAACTAAAAATACAAAAAAAATTAGCCAGGTGTGGTGGCAGGTGTCTGTAATCCCAGCTACTGAGGAGGCTGAGGCAGGAGAATGGCATGAACCTAGGAAGTGGAGCTTCATGTAAGCCGAGATTGTGCCACTGCCCTCCAGCCTGGGCAAAAAAGCAAGACTCCGTCTCAAAAAAAAAAAAGTTATATTTATCCTTTACTGTAGTCTATTAAGTGTGCAATAGCATTATGTCTAAAAAGCGGTGAGCATAACTTAATTTAAAATATTTTATTGGTAAAAAAAGCTAAGGATGATCTGAGCCCTCAAGGAGTCCTCATCTTTTTGCTGGTGGATTGTCTTGCCTCAATGTCAGTGGCAGCTGATTGATCAGAGTGGTGGTTGCTGAAAGTTGAGGTCACTGTAGCAATTTCTTAAAATAATACAAGAATTGAGTTTACCCCTTTGATTATATCTTCCTTTCATGAAAGATTTCTATGTAGTATGTAATGCCATTTGATAGCATTTTACCCACAGTAGAACTTCCTTCAAAATTGGAGTGTTTCCTCTCTGCTGCTTTATCAACTAAGTTTAGGTAATTTCTAAATCCTTTGTTATTTCAACAATGAACACACAGCATCTTCACCAGGAAGATATTGCATCTCAAGAAACCACTTTCGTTGCTCATCCATAAGAAGGAATTCCTCATGTGTTCTCTCATGAGATTGCATCAATCCAGTTCCATCTTCAGACTCCACTTCTAATTCTAGTTATCTTGCTGTTTCCACCACATCTGCAGTTACTTCCTCCACTGAAGTCTTGATGCCTTCAAAGTCATCCATGAAAGTGGTAATAAACTTCTTGCTAAGCTCCTGTTAATGCTGATATTTTGACCTCCTCCTACAAATCATGAATGTTCTTAGTGGCATCTAATATGGTGAATTGTTTCCAGAAGATTTTCAATTTATTTTGCCCAGATTCTTCAAGTGGAATCACTGTCTGTGGCAGCTAGGGCCCTACAGAATGTATTCTCAAATATTAAGACTTGAAAGTCAAAATGACTCCTTGATCCTTGGGCTGCAGAATAGGTCTGCTAATAGACATGAAAACATTCATCTCATTGTACATCTGCATCAGAGCTCTTGCATAAAAACCAGGTGAGTTGTCAATGAGCAGTAGTATTTTGGAAGAGATATTTTTTTCTGAGAAGTAGGTCTCAACAATGGGCTTAAAATATTCAGGAAACCATGCTGTAAACAGATGTGCTATCATCCAGGCTTTGTTGTTTCATCTATAAAACGTAGGCAGAGTAGATTTAGCATCATTCTTAATGGCTCTACGACTTTCAGAATGTTAAATGAGCATTGGTTTCAACTGAAAGTCACCAGCTGCACCAGCTCCTAACAAGAGAGTCAGCCTGCCCTTTGAAGCTTGGAAGCCAGGCACTGACTTCTCCTCTCAAGGTATGAAAGCCCTAGATGGCATCTTCTTCCAATAGAAGGCTGTTTCATCTACACTGAAAATCTGTTGTTTAGTGTAGTGACCTTCATGAACAATCTTAGGTAGATCTTCCAGATAACTTGCTGCAGCTTCTCCATCAGCACTTTCTGCTTCACCTTGATACTTTCATGTTATGAAGATGTCTTTTTTCCTTAAACCTCATGAAACCACCTCTGCTAGCTCCTAACTATTTTTTTTTTTTTTTGCAGTTTCCTCCCCTCTCTCAAGCTTCATAGAATTGAAGAGAGTTAAGGCCTTTCTCTGCATTGGGTTTTGGCTTAAGGGAATGTTGTGTATGGTTTGATCTTCTATCTAGAGCATTTAAACTTCCTCCCTATCAACAATATGCCTGTTTCACTCAAAATTCTTGTTTTCACTAAGGTAGCACTTTTAATTGCCCTCAAAACTGTTTTCTTTACATTCACAATTTGGTTGACTCTTTGGTACAAGAGACCTAGCTTTTGGCCTAACTCAGCTTTTGATATTCCTTCCTTGCTCAGCTTAATCATTCTTAGATTTTGCTTTAAAGTGAGAGACGTGCAACTTTTCCTTTCACTTGAACACTTAAAGGCCATTGTAGGGCTATTAACTGGCCTAATTTCGATATTGCTGTGATTCAGAGAATAGGGAGGCCTGAGAAGAGGAAGAGAGTTGGGGAACAACTAGGTAATGGAGCAGCCAGAACACAAACAATGGTTATTGCTTAAGTTCTCTGTCCTATATGGGTGTGATTCCTGGTGCCCCAAAACAATTACAAGAGTAACGTCAAAGATCACTGATCACAGATCACCAAAACTGATATAATAACATAAAAGTTTAAAATATTGTGAGAATTTCCAAAATGTGACAGAGACAGGAAGTGAGGATGTGCATGTGCACCTGTAAACATTCAAGGCCTAAATGCATGTGCACCTGTAGACATACAAGGCCTGTGTGCATATGTGTGTGCACCTGTAGACATACAAGGCCTGTGTGCATGTGCACCTGTAGACATACAAGGCCTGTGTGCACATATGTGTGCACCTGTAGACATACAAGGCTTGTGTGCATATGTGTGTGCACGTGTAGACATACAAGGCCTGTGTGCATGTGCACCTGTAGACATACAAGGCCTGTGTGCACATATGTGTGCACCTGTAGACATAAAAGGCCTATGTGCATATGTTTGTGCACCTGTAGACATACAAGGCCTGTGTGCATACGTTTGTGCACCTGTAGACATACAAGGCCTGTGCGCACATATGTGTGCACCTGTAGACATACAAGGCCTATGTGCATATGTGTGTGCACCTGTAGACATACAAGGCCTGTGTGCACATATGTGTGCACCTGTAGACATACAAGGCCTGTGTGCATGCATGTGCACCTGTAGACATTCAAAGCCTGTGTGGATATGTGCGTGCACCTGCAGACATACATGGCCTGTATGCACATGCATGGGCACCTATACCTATAGGTGCACCTGGTATTCACTTTATCACACTTCACAGAGAATGTGTTTTTTTGTTGTTGTTTTTAATAAATTGAGGATTTGTGGCAACCCTGCATCAAACAAGTCTATTGAAGCAATGTATATCTACATACATTATATGTCTACAGGTGCATGCACATATGCACACAGACCTTGTATGTCTACAGGTGCCCATGCATTCATACAGGCCTCGCATGTCTACAGGTGCTCATGCATGCACACAAGCCATGCATACCTACAGGTGTGCATGCATGTGTACCTAGGTCTAATTTATTTATAGGTGCAGAAACATGTATACATGTCTGTAAGTGTATAAACATGCATATAAATCCTTAGAGAGAGCTCTGGGGATTTCCCTGGGGGGGGAAATGAGATTGGGTTAGTAGTCGATAGTGAGTTGGATGGTGGCCCCCAAAAAAGTACGTCCATGTCCTAAACCCCAGAACTGGTGAATGTGATCTTATTTCAAAAAAGGGTCTTTGCAGATGTAATTAAGTTAAAGAGCTTGAGAAGAAGTCATCCTGCATTATCTGTGTGAGTCCTAAATCCAATGGCAGTCATCCTTACAAGAGACAAAAGAGAAGACAGGAGCAGAGGGAAAGCCATGTGAAGACAGAGGCAGAGACTGGAGTGCTGTGGCCACAAGCCAAGGACCCCCAGGATTGCCTGCCAGCCTGGTACACAGAAGAGAAGGGGAGAAGACGGATTCTCCCGTGAGCCTCCAGAGGGAGCCAGCCTGGCCAGCACCCTGACTTAGGACTTCAGGCCTCCAGAACTGTGAGAGAAAATATGTCAGTCACCTTAAGCCACCAAATTTGTGATCATATGTTACAGCAGTCACGGCAATCTTATTTTTATCAATAATGTTGAAATTATTTATAGGAACAGTAGAATCTTGTATAATTTATGTAGATAAAATATCAGGCTCCAGATTTGTTTGGATGTGGTTCACCCATGAAAGACACAAAGCCAGAACAACGGTGGCTGAAGGACTCTCCCTGGGGGTGTGGCTTGGTCCTGGGAAACAGGCGCGGGCATCTCAGGACCCTGACACCATCCTGGGAACCTGTCCGTGCCCCTTGCTGCTTCTGCCCTGTGGACACAGGGTCTTGCCCCCTATCTGCGTTGTGTGGCCACATTGCATTCCAGCCAGGATCAAGGATGCAGGGAAGAATTGTGAGCCATCCACCAACAAGGACACTGCCAGGGAGCTGACTTGATCTCTTTGCTCATACCCTATCGGCCAGCACTTGGCCATATGGCCACACCTTGCTGTTAGGAATCTGGGAACTGTAGTCAAGGCAACCATGTACTCAGGTGAAAGCCAGGCGTTCCATTAGCATACAGCAGTATTTCTGGGATGAGGGTGATGAGGATGATGTTGGTATTCAGGGCAGGGTAGTCTGTTGTGCAGTAGGGTACTAAGTTATCCAGTTCCCCAGTCATATGACAATTCAAAATCATCTCCTGTTGAGGACCATTGCCCTGTATGAAGCAGAGGACTGCTGCCGAGGTACAATTAATTGGAAGTGCTTGCTGGATCGGCCTAAAGCAATACATCACTGATGCCATCCACACCACCTCTATTCAGGAGGATTGTCCTCTGTGACCACGGACTAGGTCAAGGAAGCAGTTGTCGTTTTGCTTTACATGTCTTTATTAATGCATACATGTGCACACATGGTTATGTGGGTCACCGTAGCTTTGCCACACATGTAGATATTCTAACAAATTCTAGCGGCTGTCCTTCCACTTAATTGCAGACACCACTACTTCATTCATTTTAGCCATATTATAACATATTTAACCAAGGATCTATTTTCTACCTTCTCTTTTTCTTTCTTTTTTTTCTCTTTGAGACTAAATCTCACTCTGTCACCCAAGCTGCAGAGCAATGGAACGATTTTGGCTCACTGTAACCTCCGCCTCCCAGGTTCAAGGGATTCTCCAGCCTCAGCCTCCTGAGTAGCTGGGACTACAGGCGTGCACCACCACACCCGGCTAATTTTTGTATTTTTAGTAGAGATGGGGTTTCACCATGTTTCCCAGGCTGGTCTTGAACTCCTAACCTCAGGTGATTCACCTGCCTCGGCCTCCCAAAGTGCTGGGATTACAAGCCTGAGCCACTGCACCTGGCCTAACTTCTCTTTTTCTAAGCTTATAAACTGACACATACTTATGGTGAAAATTGAAATAATAAAATCACATGGAGAAAATAAGAATGCATACTTATCCTATCTTCTCTTTTTCTAAAATTATAAACTGATACATACTTATAGTGGAAATTAAAATAATAAAATCTTATGGAAAAAATAAGCATATTTTAGTTCCCATTATTCTGTTGCTCAGAAATTAAACACTTAACCATATAGTGTAAATCTTAACAAATATTTTAATGTTCATGTAATCTGGATGAACAACTGTTTGTAAGAGCTACTAACTGTTCCATTCATCAATGTGTTGTTACTTATTGGAAATCTTTCTGCTAGTGGGTGTGTAAGTAGCTTCTGATTTTAAGCTATTGAAAATATGCAAGAATAAATACCCTCAAGCACATATTTCAGTGTATTTCCATAGTTTAAATTTCTGGAAACGTAAATTGTTATATCGGAGATTATGAAATTTGAAATTTTTGAATTGTGATACATGTTTTAAAATGGCCTGCAGAAATACTTAACCAATTTACCTGGGCAGCAGAAACACATAATTTCCTTTTCCTCCCCATGTTCATGAACACGTGCACATTCATTCTTCAGATAGTTTGAGCTCTGTTTCTATTTTTGCTAATGTCGTTTAATTTTCAAGTAGTCTATTTTGGGCTGCCTTGTTGTTAATTTATGATATTATTGCAGCCTCCAAAATTTTTACTTAAAAAATAATGAAATAATTTTGCAAGTTAAGCTTCTCTTTTTATGGATCTCTATGTATTTTATAAATATTCATTATTTTGGAAAATGTTTATATATGTGCATTTTTCAGTCACATAAAATGTATTAGTTAACAGCTGGCATAAGCGGCTTTCTTAGAGAGGAATCTGTCTTCGTCAGCATAAAATCTTCTTAAGAAATTCAAGATTGATGGTTTGGCTGTTGGCAGAAACTAGCACAAAATTGTGGTTTTGCTGGTCTTCCTAAGATGTGAGAGGAGTCAGGGAGGGTGGAGCAGAAAGGTGAGGCAGGGACTAGGAGGGTGAGGAAGGCGGCCAGGGAAAAGCAGTGACCAGTATTTAATCTGCCATTTGCCTTTGTCTTACAGTAAACCTGCCTCACGCCCTTCCTGGCTCTTCCTCAAAGCCACTGAAGCCCAGGAGACTCCAGACGAGGAAGGAGCAGAGGGAGCTGGTGGGTGGGAGAGCGTGGCCATCCTCTGCACCTGTGCCCCCAAAGCTGCCTGCTCCCCAGCAATGCGCCTGTGCCCACTGCAGGGCTGCGATGCAGGGCCTGGAGCCCCTTTGGTCAACCACTGTCTGGGGCAAAGGAGGACTCAGGGCTTCTGGAGCTGGTCTCTGGAATGGCTGGGATTCCATCCCCTGGTCCCCTGGTGGAGAGGCTGGAGTGGAAACAGGTTGAACCAGTTATGCTTAGAGGCCTCTCACCTGCATTTGAGGTGTGTGGGACCCGAGGGCACATTCCAACAGTGTTGGAGGCAGAGGGCTGGGGGCGGGGGAGCAGGGAGAGGCCAAGTGAGTGGGCAGCTGGGGCCATTGCACAAGCGGAGAAGGACCTAAAGTACAAGAGTGAGCTTGCCGAGGTCCTGGCGCATCTGGACGGGTGCAGCCCTGGCTTGAATTGTGCTCTTTTACAATTCATATGTTGACGTCCTATGGTTAAAATGTACCTAAAATGGGACTGTATTTGGAGATAAGCCTTTAAAGAGGTAATTAGGGTAGATGAGGTCCTTAGGGTGGGCTCTAATCCCATGGGACTGCTGTCTTTGTAAGAAGAAATTAGTTCACAGGCGAGCACAGAGGCCATAGGAGGAGCGGGTTCTCCCCACAGCCTCCCAGGGAACCGACCCTGCCCACACCTGGATCTCAGGCCTCCAGCATCCAGAACTGAGGAAGATAAGCAAGCCTCTGTCCTTTAACAGCCTCCTTTGTGGTCCTTGGTTATGGCAGCCCTAGCTAATGGATTCAGATGCTTTCAGGACCAACACACTCTTAAAAACAGTGAAATGGTGAGTTTTGCCCTCCACAGCTGGGGCCATGGCCCTGCCATCAAGGGCCTGTGAGGAGGGAGAGAGGGAAACAGATGAGATTTGAGTTTGAGTAGCCACAGGGCACCACGGGGCCCTGGAAACCATAGGTGGGAGGAATGACCACCTGAAGTCAAAGGAAGGCAAAGAGAAAACAGACGAGGGGACTGTGTGTCCAAAAGACCCACGAGGCTGACCTGCCAAGGTCCCCACCTGCGAGGCTGCTTCCCTCAGCACCAGTTCCCCTGGGGCCTTCCCTTGCTCTGTCCGTTGAGTTGAGCAAGTCACCACTGCTCCTTGGCCCTGTGAACATCTTGTCCATCTGAGATTGTATCTGAGTCACCAGCCTGAGGGCAGCCACTCTCTCAGCCTCTTCCTATACCGTGCTGGGCGCCGACAACAAATACCCTTTCTAGGGTGCGGCACTCATGCTGAATTCCTCCCAACATCTATATTTTCTACACGCATAGTGGATTGGATGGTCTCCTTTACCCCCAAAAAAGACACCATCACCAGAACCTGTGAATCCAACCTTATTTGGAAATAGGTTCTTTGCAGTTGTGAATAAGGTAAAGATCAGCCCAGGTTAGAATGGGCCTAAATCCAGTAACAGGTGTCATTCTAAGAAGAGGAGAAACACAGACCAGAGGAGAAAGCTGTGTGAAGGCAGGGGCAGAGCTCGGAGTGATGGGGCTCATCCCACTACCAGAGCACCCTCCTGAAAGTCCACACTGAGGAAGATGATGAGCCATTGAGACACAGGCCATGTTACTCCACCCAACAGCAAAGGTGGTCAAGCTATAGGTGAGAAACTGCTTGTTAAAAACCACACAGGAAATGGATACAGGCCAAACAAAGGTTCTTCGACGTGGGTCATACTTTTAGAAATAAAAAGTGTAAAACACACTCTAAGCCCTGGAAAGGTTATCATTCCTCAGCAGATTCTCAGGAGACAAAGAGAGGAGACCAAGAAGAACCACTGGTGATGAGAGCTGGCTGTGAATGCAGGCTCCTGCTTCAAATGTGTGTACATGCAGCCAGGGAGGGTTGGCTGAATCTCACCATTCAGCATCAAGCGCCCCGTCCCTTCAGAGGTGGGTAATGGACTTGGAGCTCCTCTTCTGAAATTGTGCCCTCCCTGCTGCACCGTTCTCTGTATTACACAGATAGGTGAAGATTAGCATCTTTAGCTAAGTGTGATCTCTCCAAATCTTCCAGTGGGTGCGGGTGGAAACTGTTTCATCAACTCTTTCTGCTCCACACTGCTAAGTGTCCTTGTACGTAGTGAGCATGCAGTAAACATCTGAATATATAAACAGAACATTCTGGTGCCCCTGCTCATTCTGGCTTCAATTTCCTTTTGCGAACGCAAGGACAGATTCCCCGAAAAATAAAATTAGATCTCCTTGTCTTCTTACCCAATTTTCACAAAATGTGGGGGAGTCCCTGGCTCTCCATGACTTCCTCAGCCTGCGTCCCGCGTGCTTGGAGTGGTCGAGGGCACGTGCTTTCAGGCAGGCTGGCATCCCACCACTTCCCTGCTCTCAAGAATTCTGCCAACAATTTCATCTATTTCAAAACCCCAATCTATATTCTGAGCACCCCTCCAGAGAGAAATCACTTGGGAAGTGTGGTGGACCATTCTTTCTTCACTAGGTTATGGCATACAGTTTAGTGGGCAGGGGACTATTGCAAACACCACGGAAGTTGGTGTCACCCTCAGGAGAGGCCATAAGAGGTTCCTGATGCTGGTGTGATTTCTCAATTTGTGATTTCCATCCTCATTCCCACTTGAGAATAAACCCCAGGAAAACAAAAGCCTGGGGCTTCATCTGTAGTTTATTGTCTCGCAGTCCTGGAGTCCAAAAGTCTGAGATCAGGACTCGGCAGGGTTGGTTCCTCCTGAGGCCTCTCTCCTTGATTTGCGGGCGGCCCTCGTCTCCCTGTGTCCTCAGGTGTCATCCCTCCAGGTGTGTCTCTGTCCTCCAAGGTCCTCACAGGGTGGTTCTTCTGTGCATGTTGGTGGCATCATCTCCTTCTAAGGACAACAGTCATGCTGGACTGAGCCCACCCTACGGACCTCATTTTAACTTAATCACCCATTTAAAGGCCCCATTTCCAAATACAGTCCCATTCTAAAGTACTGGGGGTTAAGGCTGCCACATATGAATTTGGGTAGATCACAGTTCAGACCATGACCGTGCTCAGAAAGTGCTTTTGATGCATTTAACAAACGAGGTAACTACCAGACAAAAAAATTAATAAATAGGCCTGGCGCAGTTGCTCATGCCTGTAATCCCAGCACTTTGGGAGGCTGAGGCAGGCGGATCACGAGGTCAGGAGTTCGAGACCAGCCTGGTCAACATAGTGAAACCCCGTCTCTACTAAAGATACAAAAAATTAGCCAGGCATGGTGGCGAGTGCCTGTAATCCCAACTACTCGGGAGGCTGAGAAAGGAGAATCACTTGAACCCAGGAGGCAGAGATTGCAGTGAGCCGAGATCATGCTACTGCACTCTGGCCTGGGCGGCAGAGTGAAACTCTGTCTCAAAAATAAATAAATAAATAAAATAAAATAAAATAAAATAAAATAAAATAAAATAAAATAAAATAAAATAAGGCAAATTTCAAATGAGGTCAGATTCTCTCAATACCTCCAGTCCCGGGCAGAGAGCTGCCTACCTTGGTCCAGTGATCTGGTCAGGTGGTGAAGACCAAACAGGATATTGAACACCCCAAAAATAAGAGTTGCCGAGTTGCCCAGGGTTGGTCACAACACAGTGGCCAGTGTCCCAGGAGGCCAGCTCTGCTCCCGTGGTTCAGAGCCGCCCGGGCCGAGGTGCAGGGTACTTCCCACACAGCTTCATGAGGAGGCAGCACCTCAACGTTAGCCCAGACAGTTTCGTTGTCTTCCTCTCAGAAGTTAATAAACTGAAGCTTCACTGCAAAGATATGTTTCTTAACAATCTCCAATTTCCTCTGAAATCACCGCATCAAAGCCCTGGTGCTGACTTTCCTGTGTCCTAAACTCCCACTGAATCCCCCACTCCAGGCAGCCAGCTTGTAACTGAGCCTTCTCCAAGTATAGCCCTGCAATCCCCAAAGCTCTTTCTTTCCTGGAGAGGCTTGTGACTTCTTTTCCCCTCTGCTTTCCCAGCTGGCTGTTTTGTGTGTTTTCCGTCTTCCGCCTTCTCTGCGCTGAGACTGTTCTTATGAACGCCACAGCCAGAGTCCTCCTCAGTTCCGAATGGCCTCAAACTTCCTTTCTTTGGGGAAAAAATGTTTTCTCAGAATGTTTCTGAGCGCTCATTCTCACTTCCGTTGTTTTCTAAAGACCCCAAGCCCGATGCCATATTTAACCAGAAGTCACACTTTGGTAACAGGTGCTAAAAAGTCAAGTTTCTGAAACCTCATCCTTGCTCTTTGAAGAGGTTAGTTTGAGTCCACGGAAAATGCTAAGTAGACACTTTTAAAAGAGGAGGCCCTCAATTTAAATAACTCGATGGATTCAGACACGAGACAACAATTATAGGAGATGGAAGACAAATATATTAAATATATAAGAGAGGAAATACAAAATATAATCAAGGAGTAGGAGACTATAAAAAATGAACAGCTGGACTCGAAACAGAGCCAAATAGTGTCCATGACTGCAATTTAGGACTCCATCCGTGGCTATAGGGAACAAGGATACATTGTGTCTTTCAAAATAGCTAGAAGAGAAAAGTTGAAATGTTCTTAACACAAAGAAATGATCAATGTTCGAGTTGATAGATATCCTAAATGCCCTCACTGGATAATTACACATTATATTCATGTATCAAATATTGGGTGTACCCCCAAAATATGCACAATTACATGCATCAATTAAAACACTAAAAAAACTCAATGAGTGGCTTACACAGTACATATGACACAAATAAAAAATCACCTGCAAGATAAACCTAAAAGAAATGACTGCTAATCGAGCACTGAGGAGGGAGAGGCAGGAAGTATGACAGAGAGGTGGAGGCATGTAAGGTAAAGTGAACAGTTCCAAAGAACATCTCCTTGAACTTCCAAAAACATAGGGCACAAAATGAGAGGAGGGGCAATATTGAGGAGATAGTGGTTAAAATGATCCCTAAATGAATACAGACATAATTTCTCAGAATCAGGAAGGTTAATGGATTCAGGAAAAACATTTTAAAAACTTACACCTGAAACATCAGCAAAAACATAGCAGCCTAAGAGAGGATCTTCAAAGCAGCCAGAGAGAAAAGTTAACTTATCTACAAATGAACAACAGTTAGATTGATCACTGATTTCTCACAAGTGATCATGAAGATGAAAAACAATAGAATCGCTTTTGAAAGGGCTGTGGAAAAAAAAATAACAACAGTCAACCTAGATGATATGCCCAGTGAAATTATCTTTCTAGAAAAAGACCAAAGCATTGATAGACTAGAAAAGCATTCCTCAATAACTCCTACAAAATGTTCTCCAGAGAGGAAGGAAGTGATCCCACAAAGAGTATTAAAGATGAAAGAATGATGATAAAATTAAAAAGAGTAACATGTAAGTAACTCTTGTCCAACACTGACTGTGTAAAGCACCATGAATAACATATTTTGTGCAGTTAAAAAACCTAAAATGTAATCTGTTATACATTTAATATTATATAGGTTTATATATTTATAAAATATATAAATCAGAAGAGTTTTATCACTGTTTCCAGCTTCTAAAATCCTTCTAAAAAGGATTAATTAATTCATACTGCTTGAAATTAAATATGCATCTGTCAACCATTATAAAAATTAAAATCAACTATGGAAATTCCAAGCAATTAGTGAAAAAGAGAAATGGTAATCAAATTGTTTCTAAATATGATAAGAAAAGAGAAAACATATAGAAACAACGGATATAAATAGCTTTTCAAATGTATAGTAAAAAATCAAACTACAAAGATAATCAACACATGTGTACAGCCTAAACGTTCCAGTTAAAAGTGAAAGTTTTTCAAGTATAATTATTTTTTAAAATCCAGTAAAAGCAGTTTGCAGTAAATACAACTGAAGTATAATGACATAAAAAGATTAAAAATAAAATATGAGAAAAGATTTTAAGTGCTAAGGGTAGGTTAGAAAAATCATGTTAAGATAAGAAAAATAAATAAATTACATCAGTAATTGGAAACATTTCCAAAAAGGAAACATCAAAAACAGATGGTTTTTAAACTAGTTCTATCAAATATTCAAGGAACACAAAATGTTGGTTGTCCAGGAATTCTTCTAGAAAACAAGTTAAGAGAACCGTTTTAATTTATTTGAGGAAAGGAATACATAGGTTAGTCTCCCTAAAGAACATATATGCAAAATTTCTAAATAAAAGTTAACAAATCAAATCTAGAAATGTACTCTCAAAAAGGTAAATTATTATGACCAAATTGACTTGATTCTGTAATATAAGGGTAGTTATTTATTTATTTATTTATTTATTTATTTTTGAGATGGAGTCTCGCTCTGTTGTCCAGGCTGGAGTACAGTGGCACGATCTCCGCTCACTGCAACCTTCGCCTCCCGGGTTCAAGCAATTCTCCAGCCTCAGCCTCCCGAGTAGCTGGGACTACAGGCGCATGCCACCGCATCCGGTTACTTTTTGTATTTTTAGTAGAGATGGAGTTTCACCATGTTGGCCAGGCTGGTCTCAAACTCCTGACCTTAGGTGATCCAACCGCCTCGGTCCCCCAAAGTGCTGAGATTACAGGCGTGAGCCACCATGCCCGGGAGGTAGTTTAATATTAAATAATATATTCACATAATGCACCCATTTACGGATAAAAGAAGAAAAGCCTCTAATTATTTCAACAAATGTGGAAACAGGATGGGTGGAATCCAGATCGTGTCTAGAGTGTGGCTACTGGTACCACACCAATGTTTGTTTCTTCCTTGTGACAGTTGTTCCATAAAGTTTTACTTTGACACTGATGGAACCTGGGTAAGGGGGATACGGAACTCTGTACAATCTTTGCAACTTTTCTGCAAGTCTTAAATTATTCCAAAATTAAAAAGTCACTTAAAAAATTCAGAAGGAAAATTATTTTCAGTCTTGAATTCTAAACCTTTTGAAGTGTCAGTAAAATTCTAGGGTAAATAGAAATACATCATCAGACTTTAAAAACTCAAAATACCTATCCGGTAACCTCTACTTCAGGAAGTTGGGGAAAATGTGCTCCAGTAAAATGAGAGAGGGAAGCGGGGAGGGGAGAGAGAAAAGAGCCCCTGGGTGGGAATGTGTGGGTTTGGAGAGATGTGCAAGGAGACCCAGGGGTGAACAGACAGTGTGGGGTGATAGAGATGTCGCAGGTGCGGTGACTCCCAGTCCTGACCAGAGCAGGAGAGGAGATGGAATTGTTGGAATGCCTGATGCGTCCAATGGCTGAGAAGAGAGGCGATACATAGGGGATAGGTCTGGGTTTGAATTAGTCAAGCAAAAGAAAAACAAAACCACTATTAACTCAGGATGTACTGCACATCTGTGAATGACGTTTATATCACTGGAATATAACTCTACCAAGCTTACCAAGGACATGTATAAGTATATTGGGAGAGTGGGTGGATAAGAAGGGCCAGGGGTGAGAGGATCCACGCTGCATCTTCCTAAAGTGAAGAACTCCATGGAGCACCTGGATCATGGAGCCCAACAGACGGGGGAGAGGACACATGGTGCCTGGCAGCAGAAACCCAGGGAGAGGAAGCCAGGGGGCTTCTGTGGGGCTCTCTGAGTCCTTAAAATATGAGGGGATAGAACTCTGATAAAAATAAAAACAACATTAGAAAAAGAAACATACGGACTAGATAAGAAACACAGATTTGGAGAATTTTAATATGGAAAAGGGGGATCATTTCAGATATGTAATCAGTAGAGGAGATGAATTAGAGGCTTGAGAAAATTTGCTATTGATTTAATAAATGTTACCTTACATGATTAAAAAGTAAATTCCAAATAAATTTAAAATGTTAATGTGAAAGTCCAACAGATATAAGAAAAAAATGCATATTTTTATTTCATGACTTAGAAAAAATGATTTTAATCAACCAAAAGATTACAACCCATAAATTATTAATATATTATACTGTTAAAAATCAAGAATGTATGTAAGCTAAAAAACATTTCACAGGTTTACACCAGCTGGAGTGAAAGTAAAAAGAAAAAAAATTAAACTAACTTGAAAGACCAAAACCATGAGGAAAATAATCTTAATTTCTATGGCTGTAAAAGGCTTAATATCATAAAAATATAAAGATATCTTTTAACAACAGAAGATTAACAATCGAGTAGACAGAAAAGGACCTGAAGAGACAGTTTACAGAAACAGAAAGATAATTGATAAATAAATACGTGAAACAATGTCCAGCCTCAAATACAATAAAAACAAAGGAGAGTTAGAACAAGTAAAATATTACTTATCACATATCAGATCAGAAAGATAAAAATGATAACATCCAGTCTGCCAAGAGTTTATAAATAGGCGTTGTAACATAAGTACAAACTCTTCAGTGAGTATTTTAAACATTATAATTTCAGTAAAAATGCAAGTATATGTTTTATTAATTGAGGTATAAATTATGTACATTAAAAAGCCCAGATATAAAGTGTAAAATTTGGTAGTTTTTACACATATGACACCCATGTAATCACAACCCCAACTAGCATATAAAACACTTCCATCATCCCATACAATGCTCTCCCGTCCCTTCTCAGTCTTCCCTTCTCTCAGTCCCAGGAGACTTCTATCACCATTGATTAGCATTAATCAGTATTGCTCTGGAGACGGTATAGACTGCCACATAAATCAAATCACAGGATGTGCTTTTTTGTATCTGTTTTCTCCCATTCAGCATGATGATATTGAGATTCACCTGTGCTGGGTGTGTGGTTCCTTCCATTCTATGCTTGTATATATTACATCCTATAATTAGAACACTAAACCACTCGGAATGGCCAAATGTTGATGAATATTTTGGTTGTTGCCAGTTTGAGGCAATTGTAATAAGGCTATCACAAGCATTTGAGCCAAATCTTTCAGGAGACCCACGTTTTTATTTATCTTGGGTAAATAACTAGAAGTAGAACTTCCCGAACAAGTGGTAAGTGTACGTTTAAGGTTATGTTAAACTGCCAAACAGTTCTCCAAAGTTCTAGTATAATTTTACACTTCTACCAATGCTGCTTGAGAATCTCAGTTGCTCCAATGCTGATATTGTTTGCCTTTTTAACTTTAAACATTCTCACCAATGTGTTGCAGTATCTTATTATGGTTTAGATTTATGTTTCTCTCAAGACTGATGTGAATCATTCCAAAAACACTTATTGACCTTTTATATAACTTCTTTTGAGAAGTGTCAAATCAAGACATTTGCGAATTTTGTATTAAGCTCATTTTTTTGTGATATAAGATATGCTATATATACAAGTCTCTTGTCAATAGACTATAATATTATTATACAATAATATGATATTAAATTAATATTATATACAAATTACAGCATACACTATATTATTGTAATAGTTAATATGTTTATGTTTATATACATGTATGTTGTATCTTGCTTTCTCATTTTATAATCCTTGTCACCTAAAGAGAATTTTATTTCTTTTTTAAAAAATCGTTAGTCTTGTTTTTGTGCTAATAAATATTTGCATAGCTCAAAGTTGTAGAGTTTCAGTCCTATGTTTTTGTTTGTTTGTTTGTTTGTTTTTGTTTTTGTTTTTTGAGACAGAGTCTCCCTCTATCACCCAGGCTGGAGGGCAGTGGCACTATCTCAGCTCACTGCAAGCTCCACCTCCCAGGTTCACGCCTTTCTCCTGCCTCAGCCTCCCGAGTAGCTGGGACTACAGGCGCCCGCCACCACGCCTGGCTAATTTTTTGTATTTTTAGTAGAGACAGGGTTTCACCGTGTTAGCCAGGATGATCTCGATCTCCTGACCTCGTGATCCACCCGCCTCGGCCTCCCAAAGTGCTGGGATTACAGGCATGAGCCACCGCGCCCGGCTTTACTCCAATGTTTTTTCTAGGTGCTTTTCCTTTTACATTTAGGTCTATGATCCATTTTAAAATAATTTTCTATATGATGAGAGGTAGGAGACATGATTAATTCATCTTGTTCATATGGACATTGAGTTGTTCTAGCACCAGGACATTGATATCAATAATTAACTGATCCTATATCCATAGATCTTTTGCTGGTTATTTGTTTATTTATTTATATATTTGTTTTTGAGACAGGGTCTCACTCTGTCACCCAGGGTAGAGTGCAATGCCACAATCACAGCTCCTGTATCTGGTCTCTGCATTCTGTTCCATTGATCTATGTGTCCAACTTTTCACTAATATGGAAGCGTCTTAACTACTGTAACTTTACGGTAAGGCCAGGAATCCAGTAGCATAAGTTCCCTGGGTGGGCATGTGTATTTCCAAATTATTTTACCATTTTAGTCCTTTCTAATTCCACATAAACTTTATGATTAATTTATCAGTTTCTACAAAAAGGTACAGTTGGGATTTTGATTGGCATTACATTAAATCTATGTATCAACTTGGAAGAATGGAAATATTAGCGATGCAGAGGCTTCAACCCATGACTGTGTTGTATCTCATCTTATTTATAAACTTTCTTATGTGTAACTCTTTAATAATGCTGGACACTATGTTGTAATTTTCCAGGTAGAGGTTTTGTGCATCATATTTGATTATTTCATTCCTATTTGTTTAATATTATTGATGATATTGTAAATGGTATTTGTAAATGACATTTTTCTGTAATTTGTTGTCTCTTTGTAGAAATATAGGTGTTTTTTTTTTAAAGCAAGGACTTTATAACTTGTGACTTTGTTAACTTCTCACGTTAATTTTAAGAGATGTTTTGTAGATGCCTTGGGATTTTTCATAGAAAACTAGGTTGTCTAGAAAAACTTTCTGCACTTTGTCTTACTGATTCATTTGTTTGTTTACATGCAAATGTATGCCTGTGCTTCTTGACTTATTATACTGGCTAAGACCTCTAGTACATTGTTGAATAGAAGTAGACGTTTTTACCCTGCTCCCAATCTTTAAAAGCACTCAATATTTCATAATGAACAATGATGTCAGCTCTAGATGTTTTGCTGATGTCTTTTGTCAGAATGAGAAATTTGACTCTACCCAGTTTTCTGTGTGTTCTTAATGAAGGAGTTGTAAATTTTGTCAACAGCTCTTTTTGCATCTATTGAAATGGTTATATGGTTTTTCTTCTTTATTCTATTCAGATGGTGACTTACATGGATTGATTTTCCAAAATGGTGTTAATCTTAAATTCTTGGGATGAACCCAATTTGTGCATAGTGTGTTAGCCTGTGGTATGCTACTGACCATGATTCACTCATGTATTTGATGATTTTTCTTTCTATGTTCATGAGAGATATTAATGTCTGGTAAATGATAATTTAACCCTAAGTGGTATTCATCTCAAATTCAAGGTTGGCTTAACATTTGAAGATCAATTAATGTAGCACACCATATTATAATAATAGAAGTAAATAAAAAAAAATGTTTATCTTAATAGGTGTGGAAAAATAATTTCCAGAAAAAGTGCAGCCCTCCACTCATGATACAAATTCTTAGAAAACTAGATAGAGGGAAACTTTCTCAACCTGATGAAGGACGTCGAAAAACAAAACAAACAAACAAAAAAATTGGTCAGCCGGGTTTGGTGGCTCATGTCTGTAATCCCAGCACTTTGGGAGGCCAAGGCGAGCGGATCACCTGAAGTCCGGAGTTGAAGACCAGCCTGACCCACATAGAGAAACCCTGTCTCTACCAAAAATACAAAAAACAATTAGCCGGGTGTGGTGACCCATGCCTGTAATCCCAGCTACTCAGGAGGTTGAGGCAGGAGAATCGCTTGAATTTGGAAGGTGGAGGTTGCGGTAAGCCGAGATCACTCCATTGCACTCCTTCCTGGGCAACAAGAGTGAAAGTCCATCTAAAAAGAAAACAAACAAAAAAAAACAAACAAAAACAAAACAAAACAAAAAAACTCTTACAGGTAGCATTCTATTTAGTGAAGAAAGATTGAGCTTCCTAACTAGGATAAGACAAGGCAGGGAACACTGGAGGTCAGAGCCACTGCAATCAATATAGGACATGAAATTTTCAAACAAATTAGAAAATAAGAAATAAAACTCTTTATTTACAGAAGACACAATAATTGATGTAGATTTTTTTAAAATCTTCTAAAAAGCTAATATAACTAATTACGGAAGTTAGCAAGGTTGTAGAACATGGAGTTACTGTACAAAAAAAATCAGTTGTACTTCTATATATTCACAATAAGTAATTAAAAATATGCTACAAAAATACATTTCCAAAAGCATAAATAATACATAAATAGATAAAATGCTTAGGCATAATTTTATTAAATGTGTTCAATATCTGCACACTAAAAACCATAAAACATTGCTGAGAAAAATCTTTTAAAACCTAAGTGAAAAGAAACATATACCATATATATGAACTGAATGAGTCCATATCTTTAAGAGAGGAATTCACAAATTGATCTGTATTGTCAATTTAATTCCAATCAAATTATAGCAGGTGTTTTGTAGAAATTGAGAAGCTAATTCAAAATTAGTATGTAATGTAAATAAATTAGAACTTCCAAAACAATTTTATAAAAGAAAAGGTGGAAAACACACACTACATGATTTAACACTTACTCTAAAGAGATAATAAACAAAACAGTAGGGTATTGATCTAAGGATAGACATAAATACTAATGGAAGAGTTAAAAAGCTAGAAATTGACCCATGCTCGAATAGTCAAATGATTTTTGTCAAAGGCACCAAGATAATTCCATGGAAAAATAGTCTTTAATAATTGATACTGTATGGGGAAAAATAAATATTGACCCTTATGTTCATGACACACCATAAACAAAATATTCCAAAATAAATTGTAAAAGACTTAAACCAAAGAATTAAACCATAAAAAGTTCTAAAAATTAAATAAGAGAAAATCTTTATGACCTTGGATTAAGCAAATACTTCTTAAAGGGAAGACATGGTCACATATATACACAAGGCAAAGCAAAAGAAAGGAGATGTTGTAAATTGGAGCTTTATCAAAATTGAAAGTTTTGCTAATTGAAAAACTTGATTAATAAAGTTAAAAGATGAAAAAGGCAAACTGCAGATTGGGAGAAAGTATTTACAAAACATTTATCTAAAAAAGGGCTGTGACCATAATATGTAAAAGCTCTTTATAAGGAAATAATTAGAAGAAAAGTAAGACAATTTAAAAATTGCCAAAAGAGTTGAGAAGATGCTTCAAAGAAGAAGACACCTGGGTGGCAAGAAAGTACATGGAAAGACGATCAACATCGTTTGTCATTTAGAAAATTTGAATTAAACCACAGTGGGATGCCACTTCATCCTGAAATGTACCTAACAGGATTTTAATTCACGGAGGTGCCCAGGCAGAGAGGCTGATGCTATTGAAAGAAGAATTTATTACCCACTTTCCTAAGAAAAGAGAGCGTAGTTCATCAGGCAGGGTCATGTGAGGAGCATCAGGTGTGGCCAGGAGCAGACGCAGGATCCAGGGGACACCAAGGCCAGAGCCTTCACCGGGGTTTCCAGGGAAAAGATGAGTCTGGGCAGACATGACAGTTTAGCATGGGCTGATTGGGTACGATTCCGGGGCTCTGGGGTGCAGGTGTGATCTCCAGCTGCCTGGTACCTGTCCCTGGGATGATTTAGGGCAGTGGAAACTTTGGCTTAATGAGTACAACTTTGCCCTGCTAAAATACTCCAGTTAGATATTATTTTTCACATATTATATTAGAAAGACCCCAATTTCCTTCAGGCAGTCTAAATTGGTTAGGCTGCAAAAGGAACGTGCAATCTCTTACACCGATGTTAGGAGTGCAAAACACAGCAGAAACCTGGCAATTCTTGGTAAAATTATACACTCACTCACTATAGGAGCCCACAATCCCATTCCTGAGAATCCATTCTGAAACTGTCTTCACTAACACAGAAAAACAGGTGTAGAAGGCCATGTGTAGTCACACTGTTTATAAGAGCAAAAGATTATAAACAGCACAAATTACCTGCAGTTGGATCTGGTTGAATAACTACTGTGAATTTCTAAAGTAAATGCTATTTACATGTTTTTTTAAACAAGGAAAATCTCTACTCACTACTGTGATCTCCATTATTATTAAGAAAGGTACCAAGTTGCAGAAGAGTGTATATGATAGGTTATCTTTTACCTAAGATAAAAAGAAAAAGGGTTTGTTTACTTATGCTTACGCATGCATACATGTATGTGTTTACAGATGCAAAAATAAATGCAGGAAAGACTGCCTGGAAGCTAATGAAAGGGAAGAAGAGAGGGCAGGGGCAGTGAGCTGGAGAGAAGGAAAGGCACCAGAAACTACCAACCACACTTCTTACAACTTGTCTTTTTATTTATTTATTTACTTATTTATCGATTTATTTATTTTCTGCTCTTGTTGTCCAGGCTAGAGTACAATCGCGAGATCTCAGCTCACCACAACCTCCACTTCCTGGTTTCAAGTGATTCTTCTGCCTCAGCCTGCCGAGTAGCTGGGATTACAGGTGCGCACCAGGCCTGGCTAATGTTGTATTTTTAGTAGAGATGGCATTTCTCCATGTTGGTCAGGCTGGTCTCGAACTCCCGACTTTAGGTGATCCGCCTGCCTCAGCCTCCCAAAGTGTTGGGATTACAGGCATAAGCCACCGCACCCGGCCGACTTTTAAACCAGGTAAGCTATTTTGCAAAACTGCAAGCAAGTCAGAAAAGGGAAACACACTAAAATTGAATACAGAAATAAATAAGCCTTTTTGTAGATAACAGATAAAACAATAGTTTCAAGGAAGTTTGAACATGATGCTTTCAGTATAGATCCCAAGTGTGATATTTCATAGATGCAAAAAGATGTGCAAAGATTTTTTTAAAACTGTTCTCAGTACATTTATTGTTAGTAGTCATGTCAGTATTATGATTTTGAAACTTTTACATCTATTTTAAGATAAATTCAGTAAATAAACATGCCAATGTTGAAAAAAACAAGGCTTCTAATCTATGAGAAGATATATTAATAAAAACACTTCAGTTTTAAATATGAATTGGAAATACATGTGTGTGGGCAGAATTGAATTAAGATAGACTGTTATCTTAGTTGTGTAATAGTCTACCTTAATCCAAATATCTGTGTATGAAAGTAACATTTCTCTCAGTCATATAAATCTGTGGAAAACTCAGAGATTGCAAAAGATAACATATATAAAAACATTTTGTTCTCATTTCATTGAGATATACCTCCAATTCAACACTTTTGTATGCAAATTTTTTTAATCAGCAAATACATGCTTATTGTAAAATGGTCAAAAAGTATAGGAGTGATAAAATGTGAATATTTCTCCTTTCATGCCATAGATTTCATTCCTTATGATAAAAGCAATGGAAATTCTGTTTGTATCCTTACAAATCTTCCTGTAGATAAGAACTCTGTTTTTAGAAACAAAGAAAAACCATGCCACAGTCCCATATTGTACCTAGAACTGACGTTCATCCTCGTGAAATGTTCCGTGCCTTCTCTGCTATGCCTTCCTTAAAGTAGAAGAGCCATGAGGACACTGCCTATGAGATGGCCATGACCCACTTGTCCAGCTGACACTTCTGAAACCCCTGTTTGCACAGAAGCTCCCCAGAGTGCAGGTGCTGATGTGGTTCCCAGCTCTGCACCTTCAGAAGCACAGCCTGTTCCCTGCCCTCATCACTTGCCCTACCTTTGCACCCTCAGAGGAGTAACCCTGTCAGCACACTCCACATCTTCTGCTCTCGTGCCATATCGATCCCTTGAAGACCTCTAAAAACAACATTGTAAAGTCCGTCGCATTAAGTTCTTGTCCATTTCTTCATGAAACACATCAAATACCTGTTACGTTAGTGACGCGTGCTAGACTGCAGGAGGAACAGGAGCCTGTGCTTTTGACAGAGGCATCGCCAGAATGTCCCTGCATGCTCAAGCGAAGGCTGGTGCAGAGCTGAGGGCCTTGGGTGTGGTGGCGGGCGGGCAGGAAGGACCCCACTTGCCCAAGCACTCACCCTGGGACCCCGGGCAGGGAAGCAGGATGTGACTGTCCATGGAAGATGGGAGAAGCGTGGCTGGCAGGGAGAGGGGCGGCTTCCATGGTCCCTGGTGAGTGCAAGTGGCTATGACGGATGTGCTACCGAGAGAAGCAGCAGAAAGCGTGCCTTTCCGTGCTGCCCCCAAACTCGCAGCTATGACCATGAGCTTGTACTGGACTTCTGTCCTGGCCTGGCTGGAAAAGAAAATGGCGACATTCCCCATGGGGCTGCGCAGCTTCCTCTGTTTCTGGCTGGCTTGGTGGCCCTTCCAGAGCCCTGGTCCCAAACACTCCTCCTGCTTCTTTCACTTCGAAACAAGCTTGGAACTCATTGACCACAGGGAGCTGCTGCCGACCCGAGTGTGACCCTCACAACAGTATCCCGTTCCAACAAAGATCAGACCTGACATGAAATGAGGCTCTAAAGGAGAATCGCAGACCCAGAAAGAAGAATGTTAGAATTAGAGAAGATCTAAGTCAGAGATACTCTGGTGCTGGTTATAGGCAAGTTTTAAAATTCCTTATTATGATTTGGATCAATTAAGACCATTTTACGGATACACTTATGATAGAACTTGTTTTTAAAAAACATGCTTTCTTACATTGTCAGATTCTCACTCAAAGGAAAATGAATGAGTCAGATTGTTGCTCAGCCCCCAAAAAACAAAATAAAAACAGGTCCTGCAATCAAATGGAAATGACGATATTATACCACCTATTAGTAGCCGTGATAGCTGTGGGCAACCTCTCTGAGGCCTGTCCCCAGAGACCCGCACATCTGGACATTCTAGAAAAGTCAAGCGCACATGTACCCCACACATACACACATGTGTGCAGTCACACACAGCCTGCCCTGCACACCAGCATGTACTCGTGTACACACACACAAGTGCATGTAGACTCACAGGCAGGCCTAAAGACTGTACACAGCAAAGAGGATACTATCAAAGAGAACTTTCGGTGAGGTCTCTGTGTCAACAGAGTAACAATTTGGACACAAATTAAACAAAACTCAAGTATATGTTCCAACTAAAGTAAAAACAATATACTCTAATAGAAACACTGGAGGCCTCACTGCACGCCAGGAGGACAGAGGTCTCCCGGAGCTCCCCTTTAGCCTGGGACCCATGCATGTACAGGAGCAAGCCCCAGCTGGTGTTAACAGGAGGCTGAGGTTGTCCCTTGCCTCCGGCCTGGTGTTGCCGTCTCTGGAGAGGAGGCCAGGAGAGGGGACACTGCCTAAGGATCCTGAGCAGATCAGTCCTGTGTCTCCTGAGCAGATGCTGGGACCATTCAGCAAAAGACTAGGAGAGGTTGTTGGCAATTTCAGAGAGCACTCTTCTGCAAGTACAGTCCAGTGTTAGCAGTGGGATGTGGGCACTGCAGTGGCTGGAGCAAAAACAGTTCTCTAAAGTTTCACTGCTCTTGATGATGCATTCCATAAAGAGATTTAGAATGTTCCTAAACACCGCAAAGAATGTCCAGCAAAGGATGCAGGGCAGGGTGGTTGTGGGGAGCAAAGTCACCCACAGGTATGCAGTGGAGCCACGGGTGGCAATGGGGTGGCAAATGCAGCACCTGTGTCAGGGCCTCCTGGGGTGGCCGCCTGGCTTGCTGTGCTCCCCCAGAGGCTGAGGGGCCTCGACTTCTCATTGACCATAACACTCCTGAAAGAGGAAGCAAGACAAAGCCAGAACACTGGGCTGGATGCCTCTCGATGTACTTGGGAGAATTTGAAAAACAAAAGTGGAGGGACTGCTCTGGGTGAACGGAGGCATAACCACCCGCCGCCGTCCACGTGTGCTGGCCGGATTGCCACCCAGGGCTACAGGTGCAACTGCTCTCCAGGGGCCACTGGGGAACTCTGAGAAGCGACAGGGTACATCCTGGGGCTGAGGGTCCTCATGGTGACAATGCCACTTCAGCCTTGAGTCACTCCCCTTAGCCCTCACCTTCCAAAATGGGAAGCCAATAATTAATTAATTAATTAATTTCAGGCATAGATAAGGTCAACAAAGAAGTGTAAGATTATTACTTTATAATATGAGAGTGAATGCTAAAAAATAACGTCAGAATAACTGCAAACGCTGCCTCTAAAAAGCAGGACTTGAAGCTGCAGATGGCAGGGCAGGAAATTACACATTGTACTAAGCATCTTAGAACTACTTATCCATTTTAACATTTTTCTAAATGTATATATTACTTAGAAAAATATATATTTGTATACACGTAATTTCTTACGTAGGCATATAAAGAGCTTTCTAAACACTGTGGTAGCTGCTGTGTCTCCCTCTTTTTTTTCTTCCTTTTCCTTTCTTCCTTTCTCGCCTTCCTTTTCCTCCTTTTCTTCCTTTCCTCCCTCCCTTCCTTCCTTCCCTCTTTCTTCCTTCAATTTTTCTCTTTTTTATTCCTTCCTTTTTCCTTCTTCCTCTTTTTTCTCTCTCCTCCCTTTCTCCTTCCTCCCTTCCTCCTTCCTTCCCTTCTTTCCAGCTCAGAGCTGGGAGGATGGGCCCAGCCTCCTGCTGCCTCCCCTCCATCTGCCTATAACAGGGTCTAGTCTCCTTCTACAAACAACAAAGCCCTCCCCCGTGGTTGCTCAGGGCTGTTCCCCTGTGCGGATAAACCACACTCTGCTTAGTCATCCTTCAGCAGACAGACACTCTTCACTCTCCAGCTATTGTGAAGAAAGCCACTAGCAGCGAAACTCAGAAACAGTATCCTCAGCAGAGGAGGCCAGATGCAAGACTTCCAAAGCATACAGGGTTTCATTTTGGGAAGACAGAAATTTCTAAAATTAGATTGCTGTGAAGGTTGCACTACTCTTTAAATATACCAAACATCATTGAACTGTACACTTAAAATAGATAAGTTTTCCGGTATGTTAATTATATCTCAACGAATCTTCTTTTAAAAAGTAAATCAAACTATTTTACTCCCTGCCTAAAGCCTGCGCAGGACATCTGGGCTGATTCTGGTTTTTGCCTGTTACAAATAAAGCTGCTGTGACTGTTGATATATAGGCTTCTGTGTGAAACATATGAGTCTCTGGGACCAGCACCCATGAAGGCAATTGCTGGATTGTATGGTAGATGCATCTCCAGTTTTATAAAAAACTTCCAGACTGTTTTCCAGAATGGATGTAAGATTTTATATTCCCACCAACAATGTATGAGTGATCTGTTTCTCTGCCTTTTTGCGGTAGTAGGTATTGCTACTATTTTTAGATTTTTGCTACTCTGATAGATATATAGATCTCACTGTGGTTTTAATTTGCATTTCCTTGAAGATTAAAGAGGTTAAAATCATTGTATGTGCTTTTTGTTTTTTACCATCTGTATTTTTTCTTTGAAAAACAGAAAATGTGTTTGTGTTTTTCCCCCTAAATTCTAATTGGTTTGTGTTTCTGTTTTTGTTTTTGTTTTTGTCTCTGTTTTACTATTGTGTTTCTATGTATATTGTAAATATGAGTCCTTAATCAGATATGTGGTTTGCAAATATTTTCTCTCCGTCTCTAATACATCTTTTTGTTATCTTAAGGGTCTTTCACAAACAAAAGTTTTACATTTGGTGAAGTCCAGCTAATCAAGATTTTGCTTTTATGTATTGTGCTTTAGATATCTGATCTGAAAACTCTGCCAAGCCCTAGGTCTTGAAGACCTTATCCTATTATTCTCAAATTTTATAATTTTCCATTTTCCATTTAAGTCTGTGATTCATTTTTGGTTAATTTTTACATAAAGTGAACTTTTTTTTTCCTTAATGGGTGTCTAATTGCTCCAGCTCCATTTGTTGAAAAGGCGAACTTTTCAACAAAGTTGAAACATTGAATTGTTTTGTGCCTTTGTCAAAAATAAATGGAGCATATTTGTTTGTGTCTATTTCTGGGTTTTCTGTTCTGTTCCATTGATCAAGGCCTATCCATCCACCAACATCACTCTATTTTGATTACTATAGCCATATAAATATCTTGAAATTGGGTATGCTGATTTCTCCCACTTTATTCTTCTTTTTCAAATTGTTTTAGCTATTCTAAGGCTCATGTCTTTCCATATATATTTTAGAATAAACTTGTCTATGTCTACAAAGCCTTGCTAGGATCTAATTTGCTTTTAAAATAAGATATCTATAACTCTTTTTGTTTGTTTTTTTACTGAAAATATCATTAAAGTTTAGTTTGCTTTTATTAAACTTTCTTTTTCCCCAGACTTCAACATGCATTCATTCATTCCCTCAACTAGCTATATTGAGCACCCACTGTGTGCTGGGAGCTGTGGAGGTCCTTTGGAATAGAACGATAAAAATACGTGTCTGCTTTTCTTAAGGAACACATGGTTTTGGGTTGATTGTTAATGTAAGAATTTATTTTACTAACTAAATATTATTTTAAATGTACATATCTATTTACCGAACCCTAAAATTTAACTTGCAAAACTGTTCTTGCTTTGTTCTTGGGAGCCTGTGCCACTGAAGAGTGCCATCAAATGATCTGGGTGGAGCCTGGGTGGTTCACCCGGGTCAGGTCTAGTGACGGCTCTTGGTGGGGCAGGGGGCCTGTGAGCAAGTGTTCCTGTCATTCTTGTTTATCTCCTTCATCACCCCGCCATGCCTTTTAGAAATAAAGATGAAAAACCAAGAGTGAGTCATTCATTCTTTCTCATATACGTTCATTTAATCAATGTTTGTCTAGTGCCCCCAACATGCCAGGCATGGAGTCAGGGGTTGGGCTGAGGCCAGAGAACCATCCCAACAGGAACCTGCAGCCCTGGCAGCTGCTGCCGCAGAGCTTTGGGAGCCTCCTGGGCCTCTGCTGACCTCCAAAGGGAGAAATAAATGCGAAGTTTACAGGAGGAAGCCACCTGGAGAGCCCCGGCCTGGCGGGGAGCCTGGCTGCAGGCAGAGAGACAAGGGCTGCAAACACATCACCTTCTAACTACTGACCAGGGCTGGAGTCCACAGGCCGAAGCAGCTCCACAGGGTGGTCAGGCATGTCAGCAGAGGGAGGGCTGGATTTGTGTCACTTTCCAGGAAGCAGTACCCTCCTCCCTGCCTAGTTCCAAGCACAGCGAGGAATAGAATCAAATATGCAGACCTCGTGTCTCAGTTCGTTTGCATTGCTATAAAGGAATACCTGAGACTGGTAATTTAACAAGAAAAAATGTTTATTTTGGTTCTTGGTTTTCAGGCTGTACAGGAAGTGTGGTGCCGGCGTCTGCTTCTGGCAAGGCCTCCAGAAGTTTCCAATCACAGCAGAAGGCAATGGGGGATCAGGCATGTCACAGGGCAACAGTGGGAACAAGAGAGAGAAGAGGGAGTCTCAGTTCTCCTGTGAACTCATGACCACTCATTACTGTGCCAAGCAGTTCATGAGGACTTTGCATCCATGGCCTCGACACCTCCCATGAGGTCCACCTCTAATACTGGAGGCCACTCTGCATCCATGACCTCGACACCTCCCATGAGGCCTGTCTCTAATACTGGAGGCCACATGTCAGCATGAGATTTGGAGGGAACACACATCCAAACACATCACCTTCTAACTACTGACCAAGGCCACCCCCGATGGCCTCCCACTGTGCTGGGGCTCTCAGCAGATTTGTATTTGCAAAGATCCAGCTTCTTCTGGCCACAGTGAAGAGAACTAGGCAGAACTGGTTGTTTCTGGAAGGAGCATACTGGCCAGAAAGGCCCTGTGTTCTACGCTGAGAATGAGAGGGGATGTGGAAGGGGAAAGGACCTGCTAGGAACCTGGAGTCCAGCCGAGCACTGAAGGCCAGCCTTCCCCTCTGCCTCCGACTGCCCTTTTCCTTTCCAGGCTATATTCTTTATACCACAAACACTCTGGAATGAGAAAATGTCAAATGGCATGTAGAAGCATGTCTTTTCCCGTAGACGCATGCGGGTGATGGCATGCAGCCACACTGTGCCCAGCACACCCAGGCTTGTCCTTTGCCTCCAGAGTGCACCCCTTCCTCTCATGCACCACCATGAGCAAAGTGGGAACCAGGCCCTGGGCTTGGAGAGGAAGTGGAGGGAGGGCCAGGGCTGGGACAGCCTCCACAGGATGCTCAGGACAGGGGCACAAAGACATACGTGCAAGTGGAATTCCCTTTAAGGCTAAATGGCAATTCCAAGACATGCTTGGATTTTTTAGAGGTGGGGGAATTGAGACGAGAAAAGAGACATTAAAAATAAAATATTCTAAGAAAGCTGTTTTATTTAAACGAATCCCAAATTAGCACATTATACTTCAGTGCATATGCCACTTTTATAAAAAGCTACTATTTAGTTTTAATTGTCAAAATATAAAATATTTCACATGATGAAAAAATAGAGTAACATAATCCCATGTAACCGGTATTCCAAGGTAAGAATTGTTAACATTTTGCTACAGTTACTTAAGATCTAGTTTTCGAAATAAAATATGACTAATAGCTTAAGTCCTCCTCCCATGCCCACTCTCCCTCTTTAAAGATTCCTCGGGCCTGAGATGCGTGGGAGACTTTTGTTCCCATGGTGACGCTGCAGCTCCTCCACCCCCACGCCTGTAGACACCACAAAATGTTGCTGTTTGTTTTTAAATTCCATTGTCAGCATCATCCTTCTGTATCCCCGCCCCCAAGGTTACACTTTTAGGAGGCACTCAAGTTGGTACAAGTAGAATGACTTCATCCCCTTTCGCCCCAGGGGACATTCTGTTCCCTGAAATATGCCACGAATTCTTTATCCAGGCCTGGAGTGGTGGCCGTGGAGGAGGCTTGCAGTCTTGCACTCCTGCAAACCATGCTCCAGGGCTGCCTCGTCCCCGCTTCCCCAACACCTGTGTGCTGGGTGCCAGGGAGCACGCACCTTCTGCGCTTTCAGATGCGGCCAAATGTCTCCCGAATTTCTCTATAGAAATTTAAGCTGCACCGCAGGGAGAGTTTGAACAGGGCACATCCTAGGCCTTTCTGGGTGCCATCGATTGGTGTGAAGAGGCATCTGCTGTTGTCTAGAGATAGACAACCAGTGAATGTGCGCATTCTCAGGCGTCTCCTCTGCGTGGAGGGCTGCCCCATCCCTGCCCCTTTATTTCCCTGGGTGCCTCGTCTTCACCCATTGGCAGTCAGAATTCCTCCTGGTGCTGTAGAACAGTCTCTGTTATTTACATGTGCGGCAAATATCTTCTCCCCCGTTGCGGTTAGCAGTTTATGTTTTGTCCAAGAGAAGTTTTTACTTTTAACACACTCAAATGTATCCATTTTTAAAATTTCTGCATTCCCAGCCATATTAAAAAATAAAAATAAAAAGCAAAGAAAGCAAAACCCAACCCTCCCCTCCCGCTGCCTATATACTCCAGGGGTGTAGGATCCTGCAGAAGGATTTGGGAAGGAGGAGTTCGGTGTGTGCCTGGCCATGTGCTGCCGAGCCCCTGGTCAGGGCTAGCAGTTTCGGGCACACACGCCGAATTTACAGTTGGCAAAGGGTATTCAACACGGCCTCAAGACAAACGCTCTTTAGAGCCTCGCTGGTTGGATTAAAATAATTGTAAAAACACTCGAGGAATTATTTTCTTTTCTCCAGTGTTTCTTGCGAGCGAGGAGTCCTATCTGCTTTCGTCGGGATGGAGCTGACCCCTGCACTCTTCGCAGCCTCCTGGGTGACCGCACACCCCGCGACCCGCACCCCGCACCCCCGCCGAGGCCAGCACCGAGGTGCGCTCTGGTGTTTAAACAGAAGATTGCAGAGCCACGGAGGAGCTGCTGGAGGGACGGAGGGTTGAGGGAGCTAAGTTCTGCTGAAGACTGTCTTGTAAAACACATTTAAAAGACAAAACAAAAACAAAACAAAGCCCTGACAACTCCACTTGACCAGAACAGCTTCAGCGAGACGCGCCGACCTCTCCGGGAAGCGCGAGCGCGCGCGTGTCTGCGTCTCTGTGCGGATCTGGGCCTGCCGTGCGCGTGTGTGCAAAGGTGAAACGGCGGCGGAGTTTCAAACATTTCATCTTCGAACCATCTCCTGTTGAGGAACTAAGGCTGCCAGGTCGTTGCTGATTTTGAAGAGGGTCTCTTTCAACTGCGATCCCTTTAAGGAACTCGGCTCTGTCCATTTCCAAGGAATGTCCCTTTTCCTCACTCTCCAGACGCTGCAGGCTCCCCGCGCTGCGCTCCCTCCCAGGCTGGAGCCGCAGCTGGCGGGACGCGCCGTTTCCACGGTATGCCGGGTGAGAGCCGCCCACGAGCGGCCCAGCGTGGCGGACCTCGGTCTTGAGCCGCGCGGACGCCTGGCCACGAGGGGCTCCCGACCCGGGCGGGGAGAGGTGCGACCTGGGGGGAGGGGGCGGGGCGCGTAGGAAGGAGGAGGAGAGAGAAAAGGGCGAAGCCAGCGCGAGATTAGGAAGGAGAGGAGGGTAGAGACGGAGTCGGCGAGATGCTGGAGAATTCAGGATTGTGGGCACCCTGAGCGGGAGAGAAACTTCAGGAAGCACGTCGGAGGCGGGGCATCTGTGGGAGGAAGGCAAATTTTGCAGAGCGCTAAAGGATGCCGGGAGGGACAAGTTAGCCATGGGGAGACCTCCCAGAAATCCGGAGCTGAAAACAGGGCAGTTAAGTAAGCAAGAGCTGGTTAGCTGAATACGAGGTCCCTAGAATGTAAATTATAAATAAGAAAGAAAGAAACGAAAGAAAAAGAAAAGAGCGCGCGCAGGGTCCCGGGTCCAGGCGCTCAGAGCAGCCCGTGCGGGGGCCCTCCCGGCCCACAGTAGCCGCCGCCCCGCGTCCCTGAAGTGGCGCCCGCGTGGCTACTCGGGGATCTCCCAGGCCTCGGGGGCCCATTTGAAAACCTCGAGAGGCCTTGCACATCCTGCCAGGACTGGAGCTGCGGGGACCTTTCAGTCTTCCACGGATGCTCCTCTGCACGTGTTTTCCAGGAAAACATTTAGGCCTCGGAAGCGTCTTTGAGAGCCTAGAAATGCCGGTTGAGCGTGAAATCCAGTCCAACCTACTCACAGAGTACTAGACCTAGAAACGACGTTTGAAAGAGATGTGGGTTCCATGTTGACTTAAATTTTGTTCCATTTATAACAACGCTTTTGTTTTCAAAGAAAAGAAAAATTTCTTAGCCAAACTTCTCATGTCCCCGGCCCCCTGTTCCTGCCTCGCTCTCTCCCTCGACAAACGCGGGGAGCCCTGGAACGGGAGGGCCGGTGACCGCGAATACGGTAGCGATGTGATTTGATGCACTGAAACTACTTACATTTCCAATGTTACTTCATTAAAGGAAACCCACATAAAAGCGTCTGTTTCATCTTAATTGCCAAAAAAGTTTGCCACACCCCCGAACGGTAACTGTTTCCCCGCCAGACACCGAAAGCTCATAAGGAACCACAATGAGAAAGGATCAGGAGTCGCTTAGGTTTTATTGAAATGCCTCGATGCCGTTTTTTCTTCTTCCCCGAATTAAGCCGCCGGGGGAGGAGGTGGGTCGCGCCCACCGTTGCCGGGACTCGGGCCGGCAGACACGGGCCACAGCGCCCCCTCGCCGCCCGCGCGCACGACTCCTGGCCTGCGTCGCCTCCTTCCGTCCCCGCGACACGGAGGACGGCGCCGCGCCCGGCGAGCGCCCCGGCCTTCTCAGTCGGCCGCGTCCCCGGGGAGACCCCGAGCCCGAGCCTCCGGGGCCGGCTGTTCCTCGCGCTCGGCCTCGCAGGAAATCCCCGCTCGCTGAAACTTGCGTGTCCACGTAGACTCGTTCTAAATTCTTTGGCTGTTGCAGGGACAATAAAGAAAAATAGAAACAGTGTTAATTTTTTCCCCACCTCCTAGGGCACACCTAGGAAAGGGGGCAGGGCCCACCAGGAACCTGAAACTGCCCCCATCGCCTGGGTTATTGTGACCAGGGGTCGCGTTTGCAAAGCAGTTACTGGGTTTTCCCTGCGTGCCTGCTCATTCCCTCCCTCCTGCTCGGACGGCAACTGAAAAGCCTCAGAAGCCAAGTGCCGGGCTCTCCCCAGCGACCCCACAGGCCTGAGCACCCCGCCTCGCCCTTGAGCAAAACATCCCAGGCCCTCCTCTTCGGGAGCCGCGGCCTTGCAGCCCTCGTGGCCCCGAGACGGAGTCTGGGCTGAGCCCGCCACCCTCTCAGGCAGCCTCGCCGGGACCGCCGCGCCAAGACTCCACGCTGGCAGCATGTTTTCTCATGATTGATTTTTTTTTTTTTTAAGAAGAAGACCAAGCCAACTTTAACTTAAGAAGAAGGAATGTGATTTTTTTCTTTAATATCAGAGAGCTTTAAAGCAAAACGTAGTTTATATATTTCAATAACAATGACGAGTGTTAAGTTTTTAATGTCCCTGCGTAGGCATTTTAATTTGCTACAGTCACTACCAATAAAAACGGCATGTAGTAAGAGTCGACTGTTTAATAGTGCAAGGTAGACGGTTTTTATTAGTAACAGGCAGCAGCGGTATGGAACATATAGATTTCAGTGGAGGAGTATAATTGCTAAGGGGAAAATACACACAGGACGGGAAGAGGCCATCTTCAAACTCCCAACACTGAGCTAAAGAGGGGGAAGGGCAGGCGGCGTTTCTGGAGATGCACCCTGGGTGAGGGGACCCTCCCCGCCACTGCACGTGTCTGGTTATATATTTAATTGATGTCAGAATCGACTGTATCCAGAGCAGACACTCCAGCTCCAAACTGAGGATGTTTGTATAATAACTGGCTGTTTTCTCTTCTGCCCCTGGCAGAGGTCCGGCGGGGGGAGGGGGGTGGGTCAAGGGAGGGGGAGGGAGGATGAGCCCCAAATGCTAATGAAACCACAGCGGGAACCGCTCTTTAGAAATGGAAATACTCCAGGCCAGTGCTCCCTGGTGATAAAAATTACACCCGATTTTTTTTTCATTTAAACTGATCTGATCGTAAAGGAACCCTAAAGGTTGCCATCTGATCTGACAGTGTTTGTGTTTGCCATCCAGCGTGTGGGCCTCTCATTTACCCCTCTTCTTGGAGGAATTCCCTCCCAGGAAGCGCAAAAATGTCGCAGACTGTCGACGGCTTGCCCAACCCGGCTGCTTTCTCTCTCTCTCTGTTTTTCAGCTCTATAGTAATTGATTAAAAATATCTGTCCTGGACTGAATTAGGATGTCCCATGTGGAGTCGCAACAAGGTTGAAACCCCCCGCTGGGTCGTTGCAGGGGGCCCAGCCTGTGGGAACGGGGTGTCTGTGGGTGGAGGGAGAGGTGGTCGTGGGTGTGTGTGCGTGTGCGTGTGTTGAGATGGCCTGAAGAGGATGTGTGCAGGATGGGGGTGTGGTTTGTAGGAAGAGTGGTGGGGGAGCAGTGTGGGCGAAGGGGTGGGTGGGATAACTGGTAGGGGGCGAGTGGCTCGGCTCGGGAGCTCCTGGCGGGAGGGGTAACGTGCCTGGACCGCGCCTACCGGGAGCCTGCCGGCTCAGGAGGAGCCATCCTCAAGCACAGCACTGCAGTTTGCAACTGGTTCCCTTGCACCTGGGGAAAGACAGCCTGATGCCGTGAGTGTTTCTCTTGCGCCCTGGACCAGACTGGCAACCCGGGCTCCGCTCCCTCCGCGCCGCTGCAGCCGCACCACAGGGAGGCCGCAACATGCCCTGCGTCCTGAGATCACTAAGGCTGCTCCGCAGGCTGCAGGGCCAGCAGGGGTGCAGGAGTCGGCTGCAGGCCTGAGCTGAGGCCCGCCCCAGGCCACTGCGCTCTCTCTTCTCCACCGCACCCACCCGAGACGGCTTCCGAGGATAGAGGCACCTGCTGGGTGGGTGCTCCCAATAGGCCAGCACAGACCTGACACTCTTCCATCCCCCTGAGCGCCCCCCATAGGTGACCCTTCGGAGTGGGCAGCCAGACGCCCTCTTCGGCCATCCCCGAGTGGAAAAGGGTTGGAGAAGCGTGATGGGGAGAGGGTTCTAGGAAGCTGGGGTCCTAGGAACCCTCGCCAACCGCCTCGCTTCTGAGCCCCGCAAGGCAACCGCCCCCCTACTCCAGCCGCGCGTCACCTGAGCTACCTGTAATGCCCACTGCACCGGCGGCGCCAACCTGAGCTCCTGCCCGTTCTCGACGTGACTGGGAGGCTTCAGGTCCTGCCAGAGGCGGTTTGTCAGGTAACAATCATCCCCCCAGTGTTTTGACAACACAAATCTGAAAGAGGAGTCAACTTAGAAAAACAAAATAAAATAAAACTCTTTAGGGGACGGCGTCTTCTTAGCTGAAGCCCTGGCGTCATTCCCAACAGTGGAAAGTCGTAACGTTCAGGGCCCCGGGGGTTGCGCTGCGGATTTGGGGGCAGAAAGCTCACCTCAGGGCCCTCCTGGCAATTCGCAACCAAGGCGCCCCGGATCCAGGTCCATGCTGGGCGGAGTGGACCGCGAGGGGTAGGCGACCAGACGCGAGGCCACGCGGGGAGCCTCGGGCCAGGAGGCAGAGCAGGTCCGGGACCGTGGAAGTGAGAGCCGCGCGCACTGCCCGGAGGAAGACCCGAGCCGCGGGCGCCACCATCCTGACCTCCCCACTTCCCTGCGACTTCCGGATTGGACACAGGGGCCGGGCCTCCTCGGGGTGCACAGCGGGGCAGGCTGTGAGTCCCCTAATTGGACCCGGCCTGGCCTGACCGCGGGCGGCCTCTGCCTAGTCCGTGAGGGTGGAGAAGGGGGTGGGGGCGGGGTAGTGGCTGGAAGGGGCGGGGGCCGGGCAGGGGCGAAGACGGTGGCCGGGGACGGTGGGAGCCGGCCGGAGCCGGGCAGGGGACGTGGCTCCGAGTGGATGGGAGTGGGAGGGGTGCGCGCCGGGGCACGCAGCGCGGCCGGGCTGGGCTGCAGGTCCGCGAGCCGCGGGCTGGGGCCGGAGCTGCTAGAGAGGCGGCTGCGCCACAAAAGCCTGCCGGTCCCTCCCGCCGCCCGCCTCCGTCGCCTCCGCCCTCCCCCGCCTCCCTCCCGTCTCTCTGCCCCTCCCCCGGCCGCGGCCCGGAGGCTGCAGCGGGCGGAGCAGGGGAGGGGCGGGCCCCCGAATATGCAGATGAGCGCGTGATGGACAGCTGCGCGTTCCAATGTCCCTCGGAAACTCGAGCGCTCCTTCCTCAACTCCTCACTCCCGACTCCAGACTCCCCCAAACCCCGACCGCCGGCCTGGCGCGCGGCTGCGCCCACCGGCTCCGCGCTGCTGCCGCCGCCACCGCCACCCCGCCGCCGCCCCGGCCCGCGGGCCGCCCAGGCTAGTACCCGGGCCGGCCTGCCTCCGCCGGCCGTCCGGGTGCCCGCCGCCGCGCCGCGCCCCGGCCGGGCGTGGATGGAGGGCGCCGCGCGCCCTGCCCGCTGCTCGGCGTGACGCGGGCCCCGCGCCCCGCGCCCACCATGTCCTACCCGCAGGGCTACCTGTACCAGGCGCCCGGCTCGCTGGCGCTCTACTCGTGCCCGGCCTACGGCGCGTCGGCTTTGGCGGCTCCGCGCAGCGAGGAGCTGGCGCGCTCGGCGTCGGGCTCGGCGTTCAGCCCCTACCCGGGCTCGGCGGCCTTCACGGCGCAGGCGGCCACCGGCTTCGGGAGCCCGCTGCAGTACTCGGCCGACGCCGCCGCCGCCGCCGCCGGCTTCCCGTCCTACATGGTAACCGGGCGCGGGCGGGACGCGGGACTCCTGGGCGCCGGGACCCAGACGGGGCTCAGGCGGAGCGGGGCTCGGGTTCGGCGGGCGGGGGCCGCCGGGAATGTGGCGCGGCTGGCGACTCAGGAGTCGCCGGCTCGGTTGGCCGCCCCGCAGGCTGAGCCGGGCCCCGGGTGGGGAGGGCAGCGCGGCAGGCGGGGACGTCCCTGAGCCCGGCCGGGACCCGCGCGCCCCCCGCGCGTCCCCTCGGCTCGCCGGCTGATTTTCTCTGAGAGCCTGGGAAGTGCGTCTCCGCCGGGGCCGGGGTCTGGCGCCGTTTGTCCCTGGTTTCCGCACCGCAGCCTGGGGAGGCGTTCGGAGCGGGCTGTGTGCTCGCCTGCATTGGCGTGGGGCGCGAGGGTCCGCGTCACTGCGGCCTCTGAGCCGACGGCCGGGCGGTTCGCATTCACTCGCGGGGCTCAGGGCGGTGGGGGTCACCGAGTTAGGCCCAGGAGCCGAGCATTCAGCTGCGGCTCCGGAGTCCGGCCCGAGGCGCCCAGGTTTCGGCCTTACTCTGTCCAGCGGACCATGCTTTCAAATATCGTGCTTGCGGGCGCGTGACCCGCTAAGGGCCGCCTGAGTCCTCCGTGGCCCGAGCGCAGCTCCTGCTCCGGCGACCTGGGGGCGGCTCGCGAGTCTCGAGGTTACTGAGCTGGGCCAGGCCCGGGCCGCGGCGAAGCACGTTACGGGCGATTGAGGCCATTACGGGGTTGTCGCGACTGCCGGCCCTCGGCGGAATTTCTGGGCAGCGACCGAGTCGCTGGGGCCTTGGCGAAGGCTGCAAATGCCTCGAATTTAAACGTTAAAGGATGAATTAAAATGCTAATTACGGCGTATTTGAAGAATTCGAAACGGTGACTGGCTTCTGAGTTGCAAATTGGATTTGCCCAGCTTTAGAGCAGTGAATAGTGAATTGGGGGCTCTGGGGTGTTTTTTTAACCATATAAGGGAGGGGAAGAGGGAGTAGGGGGAGGCAGCCGCACTCCAAGCATCTGCAGAAATTTAGATATCAAAGAGCTACCTGTGGGCCTGTGTGCGCGCACGTGCAAGGGTTTGTGTACATTGCCACGAGCGGCTCCGGAACACTTAGGGGAAGATGGGTCATTTTAGGAAAGTGAAATAGTTCAGAAATTCGAGAATAAAACTCCGGTACTTTTTGTGATCAACAGCTGGTCCCGAATCACACTGCGTTTTTCCTGCTCTTTTGCGGCGGGAAGCGCAGCCCCAGAGCCAGACTCACGGGGGGAACGGTGGCCGTGGGCGGGCGGAGGGGTGGCATCCTCTGGCTGGTTGCCCGCGGGGTCTCCGCATACTCCACTCACAGGCTCTTGTTGGTTCCAGGGCGCACCCTACGACGCGCACACCACCGGCATGACCGGCGCCATCAGCTACCACCCGTACGGCAGCGCGGCCTACCCGTACCAGCTCAACGACCCCGCGTACCGCAAGAACGCCACGCGGGACGCCACGGCCACTCTCAAGGCCTGGCTCAACGAGCACCGCAAGAACCCCTACCCCACCAAGGGCGAGAAGATCATGCTAGCCATCATCACCAAGATGACCCTCACCCAGGTCTCCACCTGGTTCGCCAACGCGCGCCGGCGCCTCAAGAAGGAGAACAAGATGACCTGGGCCCCGAGAAACAAAAGCGAAGATGAGGACGAGGACGAGGGCGACGCTACCAGAAGCAAGGACGAGAGTCCCGACAAGGCGCAGGAGGGCACGGAGACCTCGGCAGAGGACGAAGGTGAGCGGGCAGCGGCCGGCGCAAGGTCTCGGGGCGCTTTCTTCCCAGGCGGGGCGCAGAGCTAAGGCGGGGAGGACGTTGCCCGCCGGACACCCCAGGTCCGGGCCGGAGCCCCAGCCGCACCACATTGCCCTGGGGTCGCCGGGATTTGAGCGAGCGATTCCTCGGGCCCTTCCCGGGGAGGTCAGGCTCCGCCTGTCACGTGGCCGGGTGGGGGCGAGGTGAGGGGTCCCGTGGGGAGGGCCCAGTGCCGCAGGACAGGGGGCGGAGGGGGCTCCAGGTGCCTGCGCTGTCCCCTCGTGCCACCCACCGTGCCCGCGCCCCCACAGGGATCAGCCTGCACGTGGACTCGCTCACGGATCACTCGTGCTCGGCCGAGTCGGACGGGGAGAAGCTTCCGTGCCGCGCCGGGGACCCCCTGTGCGAATCGGGCTCGGAGTGCAAGGACAAGTATGACGACCTGGAGGACGACGAGGACGACGACGAGGAGGGCGAGCGGGGCCTGGCGCCGCCCAAGCCCGTGACCTCGTCGCCGCTTACCGGCTTGGAGGCGCCGCTGCTGAGCCCCCCGCCCGAGGCCGCGCCCCGCGGTGGCCGCAAGACGCCCCAGGGCAGCCGGACGTCTCCGGGCGCGCCGCCCCCCGCCAGCAAGCCCAAGCTGTGGTCGCTGGCCGAGATCGCCACGTCGGACCTCAAGCAGCCGAGCCTGGGCCCGGGCTGCGGGCCACCGGGGCTGCCCGCGGCCGCCGCGCCGGCCTCAACCGGGGCACCGCCAGGAGGCTCGCCCTACCCTGCCTCGCCGCTGCTGGGCCGCCCCCTCTACTACACGTCGCCCTTCTACGGCAACTACACAAACTACGGGAACTTGAACGCGGCGCTGCAGGGCCAGGGTCTCCTGCGGTACAACTCTGCGGCCGCGGCCCCCGGCGAGGCCCTGCACACCGCGCCAAAGGCGGCCAGCGACGCGGGCAAGGCGGGCGCGCACCCGCTCGAGTCCCACTACCGGTCCCCGGGCGGCGGCTACGAGCCCAAGAAAGGTAGGCGGCCCGCGGCCGGCGGCGCCCGGGAGGGGAGGGAGAGCCAGCCCCGGGGAGGCGGAGCGCCCGGGAGACCCGAGGGAGGGTCCGGGAAGAAGATCCAGGGGGCCACTCCTGGGACCCAGAATTAGCAGAGTGAGGGCGGAGGGCGAGATGGAAGCCAAAGAAGGTGTGGCCCTCTTTTTAGACTTGCCCTGTTATTATTTATTTTTACTTAATTTACTGTTATTTTGACTATTACTATCGTGGCTGTCTTAGTTTCGGCAAACCCAGATTGCCACGAAATTCAAATTACAGCGTGTCGCCCTAATGAGCCTGGGTGTGTTTCGGTGTCTTGTTAAGGAGTCAGAGTTGAATCCGCTTTTCTGCCGTTGGCTAGAGGCAAACAGAACGTTCCAGTTACTCTCAGAGGCGTTTTGTCTTCAAAAGATAAAATCAAATGTTTTTTCCGCTTTTTGTTGTTGTCGTTGTTCGGAAAGAAAACCGTTTTTTCCCCTGTGCTATGTTGCCTGTGTTGCTCCTAAGTCAGGCTACCCGAAAGAGGAGTTCAAGGGGGGAAGTTAAGAACTAGGGACCATCACCAAAAGTCGTCTCAGATAGCGGCCCTGGAGACAGTCGGTTTCCCAAACTGCTGTTTGCCTGGGAGTGGAGGATGGTGGGTGCACGGTGGTCTGCGCAGCCAGCAGGCTGTGGGGTCGGTTCTGACTAACTGCCCACTCCCCTGACAGATGCCAGCGAGGGCTGCACCGTGGTTGGCGGGGGCGTCCAGCCCTACCTATAGAAGGGCCGAGCACAGCAATGCAAGTAAGTGGGCACCCTGGTGCTTCCCAGACCCTGTGGAGCCTCCCAGCACCAACTTGCTTAATGTGTTTTTCTTGCTTCTGGTCATGGGGTTAGAAGACAGAGCATTTCAATCTTGTCCAGCTTTTCTTTCCTTAAGGGGGAAACTATATTTTCTGTTTTATAGATTCCCTCTTTTTGGCACAAGTTCTATCACTCCTTTACCTAGGGAAGGAAAAAAAAAATATATATATATATGTGTGTGTGTGTGTGTGTAATATATATATGTATATATATAGTACATGTATATATATAGTACATGTGTATATATATATTACACACTACTGTTGTTTTCTTTTGAAACAATAGATTATTAAAATCTGGGCATTTATATGCAATTTAGAGCCATTTTTACTATGCTAGACACATAATAGACACATGCTTTGATGAGCTTGGGCTACCAAAACTTGGAGTAGCAAAAACCTTTATAGATGATGTTTGCAAAATAAGACTGAAGAGACACGAGGCGTACTAGTCTTTTATCAGCCCTGTCCAACCTCCCCTCCACCCATGTCCAAGTGGACAGGACTCTGACATTCTCCCGGGGCTCACAACAGTATCTCAAAAAATATGTTGCTTTGCAACGAGTCAGAATTACTAATCATAGATCTTGAAGATAAGAAAGATTTGGAACCACTTCAGATCAACTCGTTTTTATAATGGTGTTGTTGTGGAACTGAAAGATTGGGGATGATTTGGTTTTTTCCTTGGTCCACAGGTAGGTGTCACAATTGCTTTGAAAAAAAAAAAAAAAAAAAAGTCAGCAGGCCATTCTCTCTTCCCAAGCTCATAAATTTACAGATACAACAAACAGATGTCTAAATCCAGACCACATCTTGTGCCACTGTAAAAGAGAAGGATCCACACAGCACTGTCAGCCCACAGACTCTAACAATTGGAACAGACTATTGTTGGACATATGTGAATTTGTTGGCATAGTATAGTTTCCCCGATGTATGTGTGACTTTTGAAAACAATCTGTTTTTCTCAGGATATCTTGAATTGATCACTTCATTGCCACGGTATATATTCTATAGGTGTGATAGGATTTACTGTAAAGTTTATTTGTAAAAGATGTACACAGTAGAAATAAAACGTGATGGAAGAACTTGAGTACTTCAGAAGTGGAAACAAATTTGATATTTATTTTTATAATGATATAAAGCTTCTAGTAATTTATGCAAGTTGTATTGCAATGGAATCTAAACTTTTTGTAAATAAATTCTGCCTGGTTTTTATTTGAACATTGCTGGTTATACAATCTTTGTTGGTTGTTTAACACGAATTCTTTACTAATTTATATCTTAAATTGTAAATAAAAACAGACTAGTCTACAATAATATGATGTTTGGGGCTTATTTTTCCTAGAAGAATGATTTGGGGTAGAGCGCTAGTGAATAACCTCCAGGTGATCTGACCTCACCTTTTTAATGAAAACCTGTGTGAAATAAACTCTCCTTTCTCTCCTGAGCATTGAAAAAAAAAAAAAAAGGCAGATGGAAGAGAAGTATATAATCGGGAGAAACATGTGCTGTAGATGATTTCTATACAGGTATTGCAAAAAAACCAAAAAACATAAGATTTTTGTGCCCTGAGTGTGCTAATTACTTGTTAGTGTAAATTTTTAAAACTTGGCAAAATAAAATGATCTGACACCCTATGCATTTTATATTTATTTCTGATGCTGGCTTCTTGAACCTCCTCAGTAAACCAAACTGGAGAATAATATTGATAATGGAGAGCCACACCCCCCCACCAATAAATTACTGATGGAAATAATTGTTTTTTTTAAAGGCTGAATTATCCAAATTGGCCTAATTATTCAAATTTATGGAAGGATTTCTTAACTGTCCTTTTCCTATAATGCACATTAAACCTCGGGTGAGGATCTGGGGGAGGGACTTACTTTCCTTTCAGTGGCTCTTACTCTTACCCTGGGGGAAAAGAAACCTTTAAACAACCTTAGACTACTGCCTCTTTATTGTGTTACTCACTTTCTAATTATAGGACAAGTCTAAAATTTGTAGTCAAGTAACATATCCCCTTTGATTAGTATCATAAAAGTAGCAAGCCTGTCACTTTAATTTTCAGCAAAATTATATGGATATCCATATAATATAATTTCAGAGAAGAAATGAACAATCATTTATTTCCTCTCGAAAGATAAATTGAGTGAATATAACTTACGGTTATAAAACAAGAATAATAGCTTCTTAGATTGCCCTTTAATCAATCATACACTTATTTTTCAAGAGGTTCATCTATTTTATTCCATGATTAATAATGTTGCAGCATGAGAGCATTATTGGATCCCAGCGGGGGAGGTCTGGGATGCTTTTAGCTGCTTTGGAATGGTCAGTTGGGGTTCATTATGGGCTGATATTGAACAATTTATAAAATCTTGTCTAAACATCTGCCAGCTCCGATAGGCCAATGTGTCTGAGGATGGGAAATTGCTGGACCAGTTGATATTGACAAACGGATCTCTCTCTAGTGGCTTTTTTTGCCATAGAAATTAGTGGCCTCTTGCTGGGGTCTTGTTAGAAAGGGTATTTGAAAGTAATCTTAGATACTTGAGGCCAAGCCAGGGGACTGTTAACTGGACACAGAGCCATACCGATGGGGAGAAGTGATTGTGGTTTGACTGTGGAGAAGGGGGGCAGAACCAGGTTTCTGTTTTCTGTTATTTCTTATGTATTTTGTTAGTTTTAAATATTGAAGCATTTGGAGGTCAGACATAAAGTAAATCTCTGTGGTGGAGAACTGTTTTTCTGTCTTCTCTGCCTCTCCTAGTAATAGATATGAGCGTGTGTGGAGCTGAGCTATCTATTGGCAGGAGGAAAGATTTTTCACATGGTAAGCTTTGCCACTCTGGCAGTGTATCTGGAAACAAACACATCTGAGGTCTGGAGGGTAAAAGGGGGATTGAGTATATTTGCTTGTTTTGGTTTTAGAAATAAAACCTTCATAGACTTTTCATAGAGATAATGATTTTCCCCTTCAGGAAGCGTTTTAGATTGTTGTCTGAAGGTCTTACGTAGCTTACTTTTATTAATATTACCCATATTTCCTAAATCAGCAGGAAATAAATTGCACATGGCAGCAATGTCTCTGCTATGTGTAATGTTATAACTAGAGTAATTGGAAGACTTCTGTGAAAAGTATGAAAGTTAACAATATTTAACAAAATAAACACGGAAAGATCATGCACTCTAATGAAGATACAACATTTAAGGCAGTACATTTCTTAAGTGTGAGAGTAGAAAAGCTAAGCCAAAATTAACCTTTGCGCTTATGTTCAGGCATTGGAGCAGGGGTAAAAGCCGCCTCCCTTTGGAATGAGGAAGATTGTTTTACCTGAACATGCGATCCCTGTTCCCTTTCAACACACACACACACACACACACACACACACACACACACACACACACGACTCCATTCTCTGGGAGGACATGCATATTTCAATTGGTGAAAACTCAAAGCAGCTCAGGAGATTAGCCAAGGCTAAGGAAGCTTCTTTGATGTTTATATGCCCAACAAATTATTAAAGATTTCCATAACTTACCCACTCTGTCTCCTGACCTGAATTTCCTTCTAGAGAACTTGATTTCTAAAATATACACTAAGAACCTAAAACCTGCAGGTGTTTAGAAGGATCTTTTTAAAGAAATGTAGAGTGATTTATGAGCTCCTCTCCATGCTGGTCATTGGAAAAGATGAACGAGGAAGGAAGGAGAGAGAAAGAGAGAGATATCTTTCACTGGAGAGGGAAGTTAATGGGGTCTGAATTTTATTTTTGCTTTAAAATTTTCATAGTCAAAAATTACCTAGCCCTCCAAGATAGAAGTTTGCTGTTGTTGACTGAGGCCGGGGAGACGTCGGCAAAACGGGGCGACCAGGAGCAGATGGGCTTTGGGGCGGTGGCCTTGGCTTTGCTGCGGGTGCAGGCCTGGGCGCGCTCCCGGCTCCGCGGCCCGGCGCCCGCGTGGTGGATCCGCGACAGCCCTTCTGCTCTCCGCGGCCCAGGGTTTCCTTAGAGCTGATTTATCGGAATTCGCGCTTTAATCTCAGGTGGGCCCCGGGGGCCGGGGGCTGCCGAGAGCACCGGGGCGCTTGCCCGGCGGCCGGCGCGGGCGCTGCCTCCCGCGCCCGTCAAATGTCAACATTTGTTCCCAATAAAAGAGTTATTGTTTCTGCAAAGCTGCCCAGCAACTGCCTTTGAAACTTGAAAAGAACTTCATCCACCTTTGTCTGATGCGAGGAAGGAGGGGCGGGGAGCGGAGAGAGGAAGGGGGCTGGGTGCTGGGGCCTAGAGGGGCAGCCTTGGGCCTGGGCTCAGGGTAGCCAGCCTGGGGTGCGCCTCCCCAGAACCCCCTCGCCGGGCCGCCGCGGATCTCATTCTGGAGTTGGGAGAGTGGTGGGAGAGGGCTCGGGGTTCCCCTGAGGCTCTCTTTAACTTATGTGTTTATTAGATCTCTGCGGATTCTGGGAGGCGAGAACCACTGCGAAGAAACACAAAGATGAAATAGCCACCTCCGAAGCCCGTGCGCGTTTTCGGATCATTTACAATTGCATTTAAGTACATATCAAGGAGGCTAAAAGTAAAGTGGACCCTTTGTTTTTTAACTACGGAGTGAATGTACATACTAAACTACCACTGTTACAGCCTAATTAAACAGACATCAATTTGGAAAAAAAAATTGTTCCAAACAAATTTGTGGTCCACTCAGAGGCATTTTCAAATTTCAATAACACTCTGAAGTGAATTATGAGAAAGTTTCATCCAAGTAACAATATACAATAATTATCACTATATAATTTTTCTTTAGTTGCCCAGTACCTTGAGAATCCCAAGGAAAACATTCATTTAGACTCAAAATTAAAATATAAATAGATATAATAAATATGTTTTAAACTGCTTTTACAAACATAACATTTTAACTATTTTTTTGAAAGCGTTAACCGAAGAGGCTATCTTGGGAACAATACACAACCGTCTGTGCTATGTGGATATTATGATTAACATCATTTGAATTTCTACAAATCGCAAGGGGGACATGTCCCTTTGATGTATTTTCAAACCTTTATGCAAGTGACAAATCCCTACAGATATTTTAAAGGCTAATTATAAGGAGAAGTAATCTATGACAATATAATTTTCCAGTTGCTGAAAATTACTATCTATTGGCCATAATGAAAGCACTCACTAGCCCTCCCCTTTGCTTGGGCTAGAATGCTACGAATCTGGTTTTCAACAATATGCACTTGGACCTCAGCCATTGATGGGTGGAAGAGAAAACACTTTGAGCCCCAGTTTTAGGAAGCAGACACCCCACTTGTATGCATCAGCCTCTCCCTTCAGCTGCATCCCTAGAAACAGATGGATGTGGCCTCAACCGGCACCTCTGTCCCCTCCACCCTTGGAACAGAGAATAGTCTTGTGTTTCCTACCGTGAAGGCAGAGTGTTCTCTCTCTTTCTAAGAAAGATAATAATTGAAGACACAATTTAAGAGGACTGTATTGCTAATACAATGAAGAAAGGAAATATCTGTTGTCCGTATTTGCGCAATCCCAGATAAAAGGAAAGAGGAAGAATTTTTTTTGTTTGTTTAACTCTGGCCCCATGATAATAAAAGTATTTTTAAAAGGTGTTCTAATGTTACTTTGTTCTATATGGAGCTGTAAATAAATGAAATGTAATATTCTTAAAGAATTGACTATGAGGTTTGGGGCTGCCTCCAATACGGACTCGATATTCACAGAAAATACCCAGAGGGAAGAAACAAAACACAATGCTACACAAGCACTCGCATTTTTGTGGGGAGATAAATTGACAATTTATTGTGTGTGACTCCTGATCAATTATTAATCGTTAGTGTCAACAGCACGGTTATAATTACCTTGGGTTATTTTAGGGAATTTTTTTTTCATTTATCTGATCTGGTAATTAGTTAATGCTCTTGAGTAATAAATTCAAAGAAGAGCTCATAAGAGTCAAGACTCACCCCTACACCTCTCCTCCTTTTTGGTGACCTTTAAGGAAAAATACATTCACCCAGTCGTTCTCAGAAATTCCCTCCTTGCCTCCATTCTAACAGTGGGCTTTTTTTTTTCCTGCTATAAATAATGATTCCAGAGGAAAAGGGGAAAATGACAAACAAATAGAGCACAGCTGGAATTAATAAGGCTGATCAAAGTTAGTGGGACTGAGACTGCTGGCAGCAGCCACAGGTCTGAGGCCCATAAAGGTGCCAGGAGTTCTTGCCTCTTCCCTCTAAGATCAAGAAAAAGGGCAAATCGAACGGTTTAACCCTTGACACCTTCTTACTGGGGAAAGGTGGGCTTCGGGGAGAACTTTTGTTTTTAGTCCTTACTAATAGCGGCGTTGCGGTCCGGCTCGGCCTGAGGCCGGGAAGGGCGCTGCGTGTTCGCCCAGAGCGAGTGCGGGTCCCGCGTGCACCCGGCTCTGCACCCAGCAAGGTGGGGCAGGACGCGGGTCCTCTTGGACCCTGAAAGGTTAGGAGGTGAGTGACCAGATTAGGTGGGGTCAAGGCAGCATCCTGGGGAGTCGGGGGGCTGCCGGCCGGGTGCTCAGTAAGCTCGGAGGGGGCGAGGAGGTCTCAGCTCCAAGACAGGCTCCTCAGTGCGTGCAAGGGGGACGGTGCACTGTCGCCGCTGTCGCCTTCCCAGTGCTGGAGACCCTGGGCCGAAGGTGCGGGAGCTGGAGGCGCTGGCCCGGCTGCCTGCCTGGTGCCCTGCCCGCGTTCTTCCCGGGGTTCCGGGCCACCTTCCACCCGGCCCACGTCCTTCCCCGCAGGCGCGTGCTCCCTGGGGAGTCTTGAGGGGCAGAAGCTGGCTCAAGCCCTTAAACGCCCACCCAGGGTTGGTTCCAGGCCTACGTGTTTTGCCTGAGCAGCTGCAATCATTTCTTCAGGGAACTGGGTTGCTCCCGGCTCTCCAGCCCCGGGACTGTCCGATTTGGGAAGGGCTCCTTCACCTCTAGGCCCATTTCTGCCCTGCAGTCTCCCCAAGCGCGGCGCTGCCGCTGAGTGTCTGCTTAGTTGGTCACACCGAGACCCTAAAAGGCAACGACCAAGGCCAGTCGGGAGAACCGAACAGTCGCAGGTCAGGGAACAGTCGCAGGAGAGGGGGTGAGCCGGCTCCTGACCTCAGCCCCGGTGTGACCGCTCGCCTTCTGCGGCCCCAAGGTGGTGGCTGGGAGCCCTGGGCCGAGGCGCACCTGGAAAAGGAGGCAGCGACGGCCAGGGAGGCCGCAGACCGAGACCCTGAAGTCAGCCTGATGGGCAGGACCCCCGCCCCCGCACGCCACGACTGCCCCGGCGGCCCCAGACCCGGCCGCCTGTTCATGAGTTTTCGACGCCGCTTTTGCGACCCGGTGCCCTGGAGGGGAAACCCAGTCGGGCCCTCCGAAGCCTCCTTATAGGGGAATGCAGCCAGGCTTCTGGGGATGGGTAGCCACCAACCGACCCAGAAGAACCCGCGAGGACCCCCGAGCTCCCACTGGAGGCCCCGCTCCTGGCACCCCCAGCTCTGGTCCCGGGCTTCAGTCCCCTTCCTGGTCCTACCCTATACCCCGCGCCTGAAGCCGCAGCGGGACCCATCGGGTTCCTCCCGCCCTGACCCCGGCCTCCCCCGACCTCTTGCCTCCCAGTCCCCCTGCTCCCGTGGTGGTCGGGACTCCTCCGTGGCTGGCCCCGGGTGCTCGCCTCGCTCCCTGGCCCTCAGCCTCAGGCCCGCAGCTCTGGACTCTGGGAACCGCGCGCGCAGGGTGAACAAAGCAGCGCCGCAGAGCGCCGGGAAACCGAAAGCGCCCGGCCCGGGTTCAGGACGATCGCGGGGTCCGGCGGCGACGGCGGCGGGGGTTCAGGGCCCCCGGGACCAGGGGAGGTGCCGAGCGCCCGGGTTCCTGCCACAGCCAGCCTTCCTCTCCTCCCCGGTCCCCCCGGTCTCTCCTGTTTCGGGTCCTGCCTGCACACCGTATTTCTGCTGCGCTCGGCGGCAGAGCTCGAAAGCCCCAGGCCGGCCTGCCCAGCGCTTTTCCACCGCTCTGGCGGCAGCGTTCGGTCGGCGCGAGCCGTGTAGCCCCGATCTGCGGCCCCAGCGCCCAGGCGGGCAGTGGACACCGACGGGACCCCAGGCCGTACCCCCGGCACCGCCGCCCCCAGGACCCGCACTGAGAACGACGTACGCGGCTGCCTTGCAGGCGACACCTCGGGGGACGCCCCTTGGGCGCACGGAGCGAGGGCCGGCGGGCTCGGGGTGGGTTGCCGCGGTGTCTGCACCGCTCCCCGCGGGCCCCTGGTCTGGGAAGTTTGTTCTCTTCTTCAGGGAGCTTATGCGACAAGCCGGATTTCACAGGCCCTACAAAGCGCGTTGAGTCCCCTCGAAGCTCTCGGCGCCACCAGAACCCGCTGGAGGGCTGCCTGGAGGTGGTGATGGATCCAAGGGGACACAGCGGAGTCAGCGGCCGGGATGGAGGCGACGGAGAGCACGTCTGGTCGCCTGAGTCCCATCCCACAGTAGGCCTACCCGGCAGCCTGGGGAGTCAGAAGAGGGTCTCCAGCCACAGCCATTACCTCGCTCCTTCCTCTCCCCGGCCTCGGCGTCCAGGCCCATTGGCTTCACCCTCCGCGACCTCTGGCGGCCCTGACTGGGGCTCTGGGAGCGGGTAGTTCAGGTGGAGGGTCTCTGGAGCCACACACCTGGCCTCCCGCAGGTGGGGAGACGGTCCCGGAGGCACAGGAGGAGGGAGGCCCAAGCGTGCGGCTGGGGGTGGTGAGGGTCAGATGGGGAGGGGTGGGTGCTTTGTAACCTTTGGGGTCCTGGGCCCTGTGATGAGCCCCATCCTTTCTGCCATTGGACTCGGGGTCACTGTACAGCCCTGGTGGAGAGAGGGTGAAGGCTTCCCTGGGAACAGCCCACTGAGCCCCAGAGGCCAGGGGACCAAAGAGGCGGCCGGGAGGACAACTCGGCCCAAGCGGGGAACAGGGGGGCGAATCAGGCTCCTTGGTACCCAGGATGACGTTAGTTTATTTAAATAGGAGGCCATGGCCCGTCCAGGTTTATTCTCCCTGGCTCTCAAGCAATGGAAAAACAATTTGTTTTATAATGCTAATGTAATACTCAACTCCTCAAATAAAAGTGCCCTTCATGATAATGGGCCCAGATATAAACAGAAGCGGCTGAGAGGGCCCAACCTGCTTCTTCCAGGCAGGCCTGTGACCGGGAGGGGGCTGAGTCCAAGCCCAGAGGAGAGAGACAGTTTGTTTAAAATTTCTATGGAGCTGGACTGTTTTATAAAGGAAGGGGCTGAGTTAAGGCATGCTTTGAAAGAAGACAAACAGACTTTGCAGGAGCTAGACCCTCAAATGAGTTATATTTTAAACAATTTACTGACTTTATGATCTTTAAGCAGAAGCAAATAACACATTCAGGTGCACAGCCGATGCACCCCAACTTTCCAGTGCAAACAAGGCCGGGAGGAGTGGGAGGAGACCTGTCAGCAGGCAGGACAGGTGGGCTGTGGGCTGCAGGGGGTGGGCAGGGGGACACCCCCAGGCCAGGGGTTCCCTTAACCTGGCTGTTACTTTGACGTCAGGAAAAGCCCCTGGTGAAAAACTTCTCTGGTGGGTGAAGATCAGTGATGGCCCGAAATCATCTCGGTGTTCTGAAGCCTAGGAAAGCTGTTGGCCTGGCACCGGGGCCACTTCCTACAAGAACTGGCAGCCTCAGGCGGAATGTTTGAGGGCAGGTAATGACTACTACGGGTAGACATGAGATGGAGTACGATGGGTGAACACCCAGGCATGGTCCACAGCCCTGTCTTTGGACAGTTGCCCTACAGGACAGGCAGGAGATGGGGCTGGGGAAGTGGGTGCTCACCATCGACTCCTGTGATCTTGGTGGAGAGGACAGCACTCGAGACCTGCTAGTGGGGCTCATCTGAGTGGGCCAAATGACTGCCCCTGAAAGCCCATCTCTTCCATGTGCCACCGGGCCCCACGTAGCAGGCTCTGCAGAGGGCTTCTTGTTAGTTAGATGAAGCCAAGGAAGGCCAGCGGGCACAGAAACATGTCCAGGGTCTGCCTGTCTCCGCCCTCTGTCCTCGCCAGTCCTGTCACTTCTCTGAACCTCTGAACACTGAGCTCTTTCCTTTCTCAGCTGACCTGAACAGACTGATCCGTCTGCCTGGAAGATTCTTCTAACTCAGCTGGAGAATGGCTGCTCAATAATGCAGGTATTTTTCTGTATTTACTTGTCACTTGCTACCCACGTGGATGTTAAAGTGACCAGGAGCCACACCTGAGGCCTCTCGTGAATGAACGGAGCTACTTCTGTGTCAGGTTTTGGGGTTCCACAGGCATGAGCAGGCCATGGGTCAGGCTGGTTCTGGCATGGCTGTGGTCGGCCCACTTCCACAGACCACCACCGCATGCTGTCCATCTATCCACCGGAGATGGCCGCAGTGGGGACCAGGACAAGAGGACAAATGAGGCCCTGTGTGTCTGAACACTGACCACTTGTAAATCAGCTGCTAGATACAATGTGCTTATACACAACATGCTTATCCTCCTGCCTTGGAAAATACGTTTTCAAATGAGAGAAATCACAAAATATGTGCAAAGCATGATTTGCATGGAAGTCATCAACATATCAAAAGAGGACCAGATTTAATGATTCTTATGTACGTCTGGCATTCTATTCTGAGGGGGTAGCAATGTTAGGATTTGCAAAAAAATACAGACAGAATAATTCATAAAGTACATATTTATCCTATGAAATATTTTGCCTTTAAAAAAATAGAATCACTCCATATCCTGTAGCAATCAAGATTTTCACATAATTTGTGTTTTGACAATAGTGGTTCAAAAATTAAAAAGTGATCCTTCTCAAAGCATACATTTAAATATATCTTCATCAAAAATTGATAGCAAATCAAATGTAAGAAATAAAAATAACTAAATTATTTGTGATTTTCCAAAAAAATTTTTCTTCTAGCATATTCAAAGCTTTCTATTAAAATTTAAAGACACAATGCACACTATAACTTATCCATAAAAAGTTTTCATTAAAAAGTTTCATTATGAAGCTGAATTGTTTTAATTCTAAAAATTTAATCCCTGAGATGAAAGAGGTCTCAGAAATCGCATCAGAAGGGGCCAGGGTAGTGGGAAGGGCATACATTTGGGAGATCCCAGGTGTGAACTCAGGGCTGGAGTGCTTCACCAGGGCCCAGTGGAGGGCAAGGCTGCAGGCATCCCTGCTGAACCTCATCCTCCCACCTGCACACATCACCTACCCGAGGGCTGTTGGGAAGAGTAAATGCCAAGGTGTGACACAGGGGCTTGGGGGAAGACTGGGATGTTGGTTTCAACTGCACTAGATGTTAGGAACCCATGGCGTGGGCTGATAGGGTAAGAAGGTCAGTTCAGATGGGAGGAGGCCAAGGAGCATGGCAAGACCTCAGAGCTGCCCCACAGGGAAAAGGGCCACGTGGAGAAGGGCACAGAGTGGAATTTTTTTCTTCCTTGAGGTTAATAGTTCCAATTTCTACTTCATTTTAACCTCGGTGCAGCACAACTAGACTCAGAGGTAGCTTTTGCTACAGTCTGGGCTTCTGAGTTCTGAGTTCAAATCTCAGACAATTTACCAAGCTCCACTAGTTGCTGGTGAGCATCTTATCAGCAGTTCACCAGGATCATGGGGCCTGGCATTCAGCTCAATTCTCAGTTTCCTTCTAACTTCACACCCAGGATGCCAGACTCTGCTTACATCATATAGAAAATAAAACATATTAGCATGTGTTTATACATGTTGTATGTTTGATTTTTTAAAAAATATTTTGTTAGAGAAGTTATGGGTTTAGAGAAAAATGCATAGCAAATGTCATGTTCCCAGATAACCTGACACTCAGGTTTTCCCATTATTCACATCTTGCATTAGTGTGCACTTGTTACAATTGATAAACCAATATTGACACATTATGATTAACTATATCCATGGTTTATATTAGGGTTCACTCTTTGTGTTGTACTTTCTATGGGTTTTCATTTTGTGTAGCACAAAAACAGATCCCTTCCTAATTTCAGAAGTACACCTTAGATATCTGAGACAAATAAAAAGTACAATAGAAGTACAATGCAATAAAACCAGAAATGACATATAAATACTCAAACATGAACATATAAGTATATGTAAAGTACGGAGTTGCTAAATACAAGACAACCAGTCACATTTAACTTTTGTTGGTTATCTGAAATCCAAATTTGACTAGGCATTCTTAATTTTCATTTACCAAAATCTAGAAAACTTAATATTGATGAAACATATTGAAAAATATTTGCCAAGTGAGACTTTTCTTTATGCATAGCTTGGAGCTCTGGAGTGCAGTAGGGGGAAGCTGGGTCAGAATTCACATAACTAAACTCACACATCCGAACATCTTTTATGGATGGAGATGAAGGGTTACACAGCCTTTGTTCATCCAGAATCACCCTATGGTAACATACAAAGTAGAGAAACTTTGTCTTTCAGCACAGGAATCCCAATATTGATTTCAACATTTCTCTTCGCTTGGTGGACTTCCCAAGCCTTCCCGTTCTTTCCTTTCTCTAAGAAAGCCTGTTCTTGAATCATGTACTCTTCTAATGAATAAGTAAATGCTACCATTTAAACATGATCATTTTAGCTCAGCATGGATTTACTGACAGTCAGCATGTGTGCCACTCACCGTTCACATTCGGTGCCTTCATGTCTCAAGCCAGGGTCCTTAAGCCTGGTTGGACATTTGGGCCACCGGGAAGCAGATTGGAGCTCAGTGGGCTTGGAGTGGACCCAGGAATTGGTACTTTTTTTTTTTTTCTAAAAGTTGACGAACCAAGGCTGAGAAAATAAGAAATAAAATCCTCCAGGTGAAAATTTAGGCAGCATTCTGGCAGCCAGGCAAAATGAGGTGGAACTTGGTCCTTCCCAGCATCCTTGGAACAGTCTCTTCCCATGGCAGGAGGCAGATCTAGAATACAATGCCTCACTCACTCTTGAAATGGACTCCAGACTTTTTCATATAACCCTGAGGTCTCCTTGACTTACGAGGATGCAAGATTCATAGTCCAGGGAGAATTGCTAGGTTTGCACTGACCTGAAATAAACACAGCATATATTTGTGGACTCACTCCAAGCAGCCTCTCCAACTGAGAGGATGTTTTTAAGTGTTCACAGATAGAAAAGGGGAGAGACAATTTGATGCAATCAAAGGAACAGCTCTGGGCATGAGGGTTTTCAATGAGATTTGGCACTTGGAGCCACCTGTGCAAGCTACATTCAAATGCATACATGTTGGATACATTGCTTGTGGCTGACGGATTAGAGTTCCCTCAAAATTCTCACTTTCAGCTCAAGTGTAACTGGAATCATGAGATGGTAACTTGAGCTTCCAATAATTTCTTGTTGGATTTCACTGTGTTTCTAATGCAATCCAACTTATGAATCTAAATGCACTAGAAATGAGACCATTAAAACCCACTTCAAACCTACAGGGAAGACAGCTTTCTTCTGGGTCCTCATTGGCTCCAGGGCAATGCAGCCACTGCTATCTTGAGTTGTGTATTTAGAACAACTCCTGGATGTCTTTTGCCTGTTATGTGGCCCAGAGCAGCACCTCCTCTGGCACCCTATCAGCTCACTTCTTCTTGACTGTGGCTACCCTGTATGTCTGCAGAAGACACCGGATTTGTTCAAAAAGGATGCAATGTTCAAGTAGTAATTTACGCTCCAGGTCCAGAGAATTTACAGGAAGAAGAAGAAACAACAGATGTCATAAGCCACAATCTCATATGAGATTGAGCATTTTCTTTTCAGCAGTTTTGATAGGAAAACACATGGCAATTTAAAAAGCGCTGCTCATCTGCCCACTGGCCTCATTTTACCCTCTTCTCCTGCCTTTCCCATTCCCTGCTGCTGCTCACTCTCTGCCCTTTACGGATCCTCAACACCAGCCTCCTGCCCCAAAGCCTCCCTTTACCATGCTGCCTCGCACCCACCACCAGAATGTCTTCCCAGAGCGCAGCACAGCTGCACCGTTGCCAAATCCCAGGGCTTTTGGGTGAACTGCTACCCTGAAGACTGCAACCCAAGGCTGCTGGACCCCCCTGGAAAACCCCAGTTTTGCCAGTTTCCTTCTGCTCCACTCTCCTCCTTCATCCCTGCTGGGATTCCAGTGGGTGCATTGCTATCATCTGAAAACACCTCTTCCTTCTGGGGCTTTGCGTAGACTACTAGCTGCATGGGCCCCTCGTAGAAAACCATCTGCTGGAGGCTTGTGTAGACAGTCAGGTGCAGGAGGCTTGAGTAGACAGTCAGGTGCAGGAGGCTTGTATAGACAGTCAGGTGCAGGAAGCTTGTGTAGACAGTCAGGTGCAGGAGGCTTGTGTACACAGGTGTAAGAGGCTTGTGTAGACAGCTGCAGGAGGCTTGTGTACACAGGGGTAAGAGCCTTGTGTAGACAGTCAGGTGCAGGAGGCTTGTATAGACAGTCAGGTGTAAGAGGCTGTGCAGACAGTCACAGCAGGTGTTGTGTTGGCTGCAGGGCCCCGATGCAGACAGCTGCCTGTCTCAGAGTCCCTGGGCCTCCTGACTGGAGGAAAGATCTTTGTGTTTGGGCCAGGGAAGCAGCTCATGTGTAGAACAGGGGATTCTCGGGGTGTTTCATGCAATCTCAGAATCTCTAAAGTCAGGCTCTCAGTGAGCATCCTTTGCTCTCTCTCCTGCACAGGAGACTCACATGACCCTCTTCACATTCTCAGACCCTCTTCCTGTGAATGCTTTTTAGCTCAATCTAAGATGCAGATAGTTATAATTTATTTTCAACATGTGCCCTTATTAAGGTACACATTTAAATGATCCTGAAGTCTTGGAATGCCATAAGCTGATGGAAAGATTTTTAACGTGAGAAGCAGAAGGGGATGTGACTGAGAGAAGGAGGAGAGGAGAAGCCGCAGGTGGACCACCATGCCCCGCTCAGGTCCTACTGGCAGCTCCCTGTGGGTACTTACGCGCCCCATCTCTCCACTGTGCAGGGATGTGAGCAAGCTCATGCCTGCTTAACCAAACATGCTTTCAGTAAAACTTGTAGGAAAGCTCTCTGTGAGGAGTACAGTCCCCGTTAGGTACAAATACAAAGGGAACCCAAGTTTCTAGAACAAGTTTAAGTACTCTTTAGCTGAACCTCTGGGCTTTTTTCTGCTGTAGAATAAATGATGGCCTTTTAGCAATGACGTCAGTGAAGTTCACAACTCTGCTTACAAATACACCAGATATATTATTGTCCAAGGTCGAAAACTGCACAGAACTGTGTGTGCACACGTGTGTGGATGTATGCACACATGTCTGAATGTGTGCCCTTGCAGGTGTGAGCATGCCTCTGTTTGGGACAGCACACACATGCTTCCCCTGCAGGGCTGTATTATCTTCCAGGCCCTCTCAGGACCCCCAGCTCAGGAGAGGCAGCATGCAAACATTTTGATAGGGCAGGAAACTCAAAGATGAAAAAGAAATTCATGAAATTGAAAAAACCGGGTTTATTAACATTAGCTACTATTTGTTTAAATAAATGGCCTCGACGAGAGAAGTTAAATAGGCAAATGCATGTGAAAGTGTCCTCTCCGTCAACATGTTATTTCTTTAATTAGTGGCTGATGACGGCATTTGCGTGACAACTCAGTGAATGCTCCCTGGTCCTAGAAAAGAAATAAATTACACATGTGTTTACTCTGGTTTTCAGGGAGATTTCGTTTTCAGGGGTCGCAGGGGCATGACTATGTTTGGGAGGTGAGAATGCAGGCAGAGATGAATTGGGATAATTATTATGAAACTCACAAGTGCTTCTGCTCAACAACTGACCCCAGGCCTCCTTGACTTATTGGTGCAGGAGGAGGAGCCTCCCAGGACCCAGACTGGATGGAATGATAGCCACCAAGGACCCTGGAGAGCTTTCATTCTGCCATGGGGGTTACATAGCGCTGGGCCCAGCCAATTCATCCTCAGGTCACAGTTTATGTGACCCCAAATAGGTCCACTAACTGAAAAACACACGTCTTTCATGGCTAATATCTAGGGCCCATTAATAACAGTGATATGGGGGAAGCTGGAGATGTCCGGGTGCTGTTGAGCATTTTGGACGAAAACTTGGATATCTCCTGTGGCCTGCCCTGGGGAAGGGCCTTTGGCTTGAGTTGTTTTACAGCAGATTTTATTCACAGCTGTGGTTGATACAAGCTGTTGTGGGACTAGCTAAGATTTAGTTGTATGTTGTTTACATAACACCTTCAAACACAGCTTCTCATTTATTTATTATTTTTTGAGATAGAGTCTTGCTTTGTGGCCCAGTCTGGAGTGCAGAGGCACTCTCACTGCAACCTTGAACTTCTGGGCTTAAGCAATCCTCCTGTCTCAGCCTCCTGAGTAGCTGGGACTGCAGGTGCACAACAGCATGACTGGTTTATTTATCTATTTATTCATTTTTGTAGAAATGGAATCTTGGTATGTTGCCCAGGCTGGTCTTGGCATCAAGTGATCCTCCTGCCTCTGCCTCCCAAAATACTGGAATGACAAGCATGGGCCATGGTGCCCACCTAACATCTCATTTAAAGGTCATAAAAATTCCTCAGCTCATCTGAGTTGATGCTATTTTGTTCTCAGGAGACACAGGAGGGTGCAGAAGCCCTGAGTGGCTTGTGTAAGGATGCCAGCTGATGATAACGGCAACTGCAGCGTTTAGTTAGTGCCTGCTCTGTGTATGTATCCTGAGGCATCTCGTCTTCACAACATTCCACAGGACAGGCAAGGAAACTGAGGCTTGTCATTTGCCCAAGTTAATCAAGGTTCAGGAGTTTGCTCTAGATGCTCTTCTGTTGAGGTACAGCCCCCAACCTCCCTGAGGCACAGACATCCTGCACCCAGTTTTCTCTCCTGGGCTGAGGTCCTCTTGTCTCTGCCGCATGCCCTGGGCAGCCCCCACCCTCTCTGGCCTCTGCTGCCAGCTTTCATTCAGCTTTGCGCAAACGATTCCATGCAGGAAACGGAGGCCATGGCAATGACCAGCGGCCCAAGCCAGCAGCTCTGGATGGTGCCTTTCCCAGATTCCCTCCTCACTGCAGGGAGTTGCCTTAGTAAGTGCCCATCAGGACGCTAAAGATTTGTGCAAACATATAGCAAAACACAAAGGACCTAGGCTCAATTCTCCAAGCAATATGGACTTTCTCTCCACAAATTGGAATGGCAGCATGTCCTTCCTGATTGAAGTAGAGCTGCTGCTAGCATAAGTTGTTTTTCTTAAATGATTCCATGGCAAATTCACAAGCAAAAGGGAATCAGTATTTGCAAAAATAAATAATACAGCCCCAAACCATTGCCATACGAAAAGGTAGTGATGATGACTGTGGTGCTGAGCTTCCAGTCTTGGCTCCCAGGCCACACCCTCTGCTGTTCCTCAGGGTGCACAATGTTGTGGGGCCACCCTGGAAACTGCCCCTGTGCTTAGCCTGGAGCCTGCACATGTGCACCAGGAAGCAACTCTAGCTCTTGTTCTTTTTGAGTCTGAAACTAAAATCCAAGCCCTGGGTTTCTTTCTGAGATCTTATCTTTTTTAGTTTATAAACCCATGACTATCTGTATATCTAATCTATATCTATATCTAATCTATATATTATCTGTATCTCTATCTATATTTATAATTTATATCCCTGTCCCACGGAGTTTAAATTTCCGAGAATAAGCAGAAGTCTGAAAGGGAGACGGAATACACAGCTGCGGCTTTCATAAACATTTCCTTTAAATTACTCTCTCCTTGTCACCTTCTAGCTGACTCCTTGGCAGGTCAGTGGCAGGTCCTGGATTGGCACTGAACGGAAGCAACAGGCTCAGTACACACGTTCCATCTTCAGCTCTTTCTGTCCTGCTCCTTTCTCTTTTTCTGCCAGGCTTCCTTTGCCTTTAGGACACACACACACACACACACATACACACACACACACACACACTCCTGGAAAAGCCCACAAGTCTCTTCTAATTGCATAACCAGGCTCAACCCCTTCGATTCATGCCTCGCCGGCACAATCTAATTTTGGCGCAGGGGTTATGTGTGTGTTGCTGCACATAGATTAACAACCCTTAAGCAAGACTTATCAAGTTGACCGTGCATTTCAGGAATATTTTAGGATTGTCAGTCATCACCAATCAGCAGCTTGGCACATTCTCTCCAACACCAGTTGTGTGGAGAAAATTGCAGGGGTACATGGTGCTCACCCTCTCCTTTTCATTAAGCAGTCTCTATCGAGTGTATCTGGAGCTCAGTGAGAAATCTCCCGGTTTCAGGAGACACAGGCTTCTAGTTTTTGAAAACAAATACATATTTTACATTAAGGGCGAACTGTAAAGGCATGGCTTAAGGATCGGCAAGCAGGTGGTTCCAGGCAGAATGCTGAGAGGTGCGTGTGGACTTCCCTATGTATGTCGTGATGTACGGCCTCAGGGTCCGGGTCACAGAGATGCCCCTCCACACAGAGGAGACACCTTGCTGGCATTCTCTGGGCTCTGCACAGGCTCTGACGGCAACCAGCTGATCACACAGTGTACCTTCCTACAGCTTTGCCTTTCTTACTGGACCGTCAGCACCCAGGAAAGGACTGTCCTTACTCGGCTGTGGCCCCACTCCTGGTATGGTGCCAGGACATGGTGCATTCTGAAGGAACAATTGTTAGATCCAATATTTCAAAAACTGCATTTTAATGTGCATTTATTAAGCACTGTGTAACCTGAGAAGATGTGGGAAGAGCACGGGGCACCCAGCAAGGCCTCTGACTTCCCTGGTCATGGTCGCCTCCCACGTGCAAGGAGAGGCCAGTGCGTGATCATTCCTGTAGCCACATCCACATGGAAATGCTGGGATTCAGCTCCTTGGTTTGGATCAGGCTGCTAGACAATTCTACAAAAGTTTACAAATATACGGTATAGTAATTAGCTTATTACCTGGAAGTAAAGTTAGTTTTAATTGTAGACTTTCATAGCTTCAAATAGAGTATCATGGTTAAAAAACTTCAGATTATCTTCCTTAATGAAGGTGATGTTGAAAATGGAGCTCAGAACAAGCACTCAGGGGTCAGGAGATTTCATCATGCTGCTAAGAATTATGAAACACGTTCTTCAATTCATTGAATATTATTAACTCTATTGTGCTACTTTCAGAATTTTTTATTGGAGGGATAACTTAGAACGGCTCATAAACCTTCTGGAGTGTAAATGGATGTTGTGTGTACTGTCCATAAATGTGCTTCCAGACCTAAAAGGAAATTTTAATGAAAGAGCAAAAAAACCCCTCCAATAGCAGCCTGCTCATTCGATGGTGGGAAGGAAGGAAGAGATTGACTTGAGAATGGCTTTATAACAGTGGAAAGAAGTCAGCATGAGCTCTATTGATTTAGGATTTGTTGGTGAAACAGTGAAGATGTAGTGGCGAATTGTTTGCTTTTATTTCAAAGGTGGGTCCATGAGCACTTGCGTTCCTAAGTGAGGCAGGATGCTGGAATTAAAGGGGGCCATGGGCCGAGGGAGGTCACCCGGCAGCAAGGAGCTGCCTCGCCACGCTGGGGCGAGCTGCCAGGTGGAGCAGGATGCATGTCTCCGTCTCTTCTCCACGTGTTTCAGTCGGTGAGAAGAGGAATGCGATTCCTGACCGCCGAGACTCTTATCCAAATAGTTCCAAATACTTTACAAATAGTAATTCATGAAGGCACTGACAGCCGGGGAGGCAGGAAAGTAGAATGAAACATTATCCGCGTGTTCACGAGACTGAGTCCCAGCGACGGTGTGATTTCTCTGAGGTCATAGACGGCTTTTGCAAAGCTGGGGGAGAAACCCCCAACTCTGGACTCTGAGGCTGTTCCCCTAACCGCAGTCCGTCTATGCATAGAGAGGCGGCATATACTTCGTACCCTGAGCCAAAAGCCCGACTTTTTTATTTTCCCCTCCTTGAGAAGAATCCTGTTTCAGATTGCAGCATTTTCATGATGTGGTAGTGAAGAAAACGGTCAAACGCGATTAGGATGATGGTTTGCCCTCTCTAAAATGCTAGTTCGTTTGAGCTCTTTTGGAGTTGGAAGGGCTGTGTACATGGATGAGCTCTTTCTGCTGCACTTGGAAGTAATACAATATATTGAAGGACATTTTAGAATAACTTTTCCGGAAGAGCAGGGAAGGGAGCGTCTAGTGTGCTCCGAGCGAGGCTCTTTACTGGAAAAGCTGTCGGGTGTCCCATTCATATGAGAAAAGTCAGTGATTGTTATCCTCAACCTCACAGAATCCTTAACACCTTGCTTGTTGAAGCATATAGATCATGATCCTGTTTGAACAGTATTGTTCAAAATTTCTGTTAATAATTCCTCACAACCATGTGACTAGTGACTAAAATGACCTTGGATTCTACAAATGAAAAATTATCCCAACCACACGCGGGGGTGGGAGGTAGGCAGGAGGCTGCCGGGGCCCTGGCACTGTGACATTATACCCATAGCCTTCCTAGGCAGCTTCACTTCAAAGTCTATTTTAACTTCCCTTGGGCTATTTCTTGGGTGTGCATTCATAGAAAACACTTCCTGTTTATTTATTTTTATTTATTTATTTTTTCCAATCCAACCTCATCAAAAAGTAGTGCTTTAGGAGATGACCTTTGTGGGTTTGACATCTAGATGAGTTTAAAACAAATTAAATCACTCTCTGTACCCACAAGCCCCATTTTATCTCTCAACTTGGAGGCCTGGGAGGCCAAGAATTCGAAGATGGCTCAGAGTAATGGGGATTCTGCCTACTCTACCTGGAAGGAGGCTCAAGGCGGGTCCCTTTGGACAGTGTGTGAGCAGCCTCTCCCTCCAGGGGGTTCTGAGGGGAGAAATGTGATGAACGCCGTTGCGTCGTTCCCTGAGTTGGGTCTCATACACGTTCTAAAAACAACACGGGAAGAAAAATGCTCTGAGCCCTGGGACCAGAAGCCCAGTTTCCAAGCCCCATTTCTTCCCAACATAGAGCACAATACTTAAACCTGATTTGCTTCCAGTGCAATCTTCTTTCAGGAAACCCACCAAGGAATATTAGTCTTATGCTATTTAATCACCAAATCTGAACAACGAAGAGTTCTCTTCATTAAAGGCACTCAGAAATTCTGACCAGCTGTTTCCCGCCACTTGGCTGAGGACGAGGTGGAGAAAGACAAGCCGCCCAATCCCCGGGAACTCTCTGCGGCGCTCGACCCCCATCACGTGACCGTTCTTTCATCGTTCTGTTCCTAAACCGGAATCGGAGTCCAAGAGAGGGACTGGGCTTAGGGGTTTAACAGTTGGCATGCTTTAATGCATAGTACACACAGTGCAGTCCTGGAGCTTGTAGAAGTCACTTCGAGCTAGGTCTTTGTTTTGTCAACCACCTTCACCCCTTAAATTCACTGAACGTAATGTAGCAGCATGGCTGGGGAAAGAAACTGTAGCTAGTACGCCGTGTTCATTTGCAACTCATGGCTCCTTCGCATGCCTAGTGTCTAACACAGGCTGCAGAAACTTTTCCTGCCGCTTTGTTTTAGGAGATGAAGAATTCTTTTCCCGAACAACTGCTGCTCCAGGGCACTGTGCTCACTTTTCTAGGGGAAGTGACTCTGAAACCCAAAATTCCCTGGATACCACCAGAGAATGGCTGAACAGGAAGTTTTCTTCTTTATTTAAATTAGTAAATTCGACTGTTCATGCGAGCCAAAGGCAGTGTCATAGGTGTCTGTGTGGACCTGAAGGTGACCTTGTCCCATGAGAGGGATGCTGTCCACCAGGGAAGGGACCATCCCAGATTGATGGGACTCTGGGTTTCGCTATGAGCACCCACGTCATTTTCCACAGGTAAATTCCTTTGGATGTTTCTTATTCTTAGGCAGGTTAATGGTCACTTTGTACCACGGCAAGAAGTAACTGCGTGAGTGCATGTGGCCGGGGCTTTGTGTTTCTGTTTTAATCGGTTAGGAATCTTCTCCTGTATAATGTTCTAACGACATGTTAGTCCACGCAGTTTGCTCTGTGGTGGTAAACCTGGCTATTCCTCTCAATCAGGAGGCTCCATGGCCAATAAAGTGAGGGCTCCTCGATGAGCCAGGAGATGAGGCTCAGCAGTGTGCTGAGCAGGGCTGCAGCATCAGACAGTCCTTGGACCCAGAGTTCAAGAACAGGCTGGAAACCTCGAACTCGTCTTTTTATGTTTATATATTTTCCAAATTAAGTATGATAATTTTCTACGACTGAAAAATCCAATAAATGTCAACAGTGATCACTGGATGGGGTTCCCGGTTCTCTCAGCACCTGCTGGGTGAGGAGCTGGGAATGCATCTGGGCCAGGGAGGACAGTGGGGGCTCTGGCCTGATGTCCCTGTCAGGAAGTAGGGAAGTTTCTGAGGGGGTGACAGTCCCATGCCAGCCTCCCCTCCTCAGGCAGCAGCACCTGCCTGGGCCACACAGCCCCTTTAGTACCTAATTCCTGGCCACATAGCCCCTTAGTACCCTGCCCTAGTCACACAGCTCCCTTCTTAGTACCCACCCCTGCCTTGCTGTCATAGCCCCTATAGTACCCCGTCCTCATCACACGGTCACTTAGAACCTTGCCCCAGGCTCATAGCCCCTTTAGTACCCCACGCTGGTCACACAGCCCCTTAGTATCCCACCCTGTTCACATGGCCCCTTAAAACCCCATCCTGTTCACACGGCCCTTTAGCACCCCAACCTGGCCACACGGCCCCTCTAGCACCCCAACCTGGTCACACGGCCCCTTTAGCACCCTAACCTGGTCACACGGTTCCTTAGCAGCCTGCTCCTGGCTCCTCCAGGGTTTCTCCCATTAACATGAAGGTGTGGGACCTTTTCTGCAGTAGTCTGTCCTCCCAACTCTGCATATGCCTTTCTTCCAAGCTCCAGGTTCCCTTCCACCCAGTGTCACCAACATGGATGTTTTGGAGAGAGTTGGGCTGAGGGAGAAGGGAGGAGGGAGGAAGAAGCATATACCGGGCTGTGGCCACGGCCGGTCTGGCACTGGCGGTGGCTCATTTCTGCACCATAGCTACAGCTGTTGGGAGATGGGATCGTGTAAGGATCTGGTCCTTCTGGTGACTCGGCCCTGAGCCAACCCTTGGACGCAGGATTCTGGTGGAGTTGATGGCCAGGATTGGTCCTGTGTGTCTCTCTCGGAGCAGGGCACAGTCCCAGCTGAACCCCAGGGACTGACTGCACTTATGTGTGGGATGGGGAGGGGGTGGCAATTCAGGGTCCAGGAGGCAAAAGCAATCAATGCAGCCTCCCGCCTTGAATGTCACGTCTATGTTTGTCCTCAGCACCCACCCGCCCATCATTCTAAAGCCACAGGCGTGGAGTTGCACAGAATTACTCACCAGCACATTCCCAACGGCTAAGTGGAGCTCTTCTGCCACTGTGGCCACTAGAAATCTAAGTGGCCAATGGGTCTACTTGCGGGGAGAAACAATGTAATTAATAATGTAATGGACATATTGCTGTATCTTTTTCCTGCATGATACACACCATTGTGAGTATGAGGTCTTCTCACTTTAGGAGTTTTTTAATATCAAAGTAATTCATGGGGCCGGACACAGTGACTCACTCCTGTAATCCCAGCACATTGGGAAGCCAAGGCGGGTGGATCACTTGAGGTCAGGAGTTCGAGACCAGCCTGGCTAACATGGTGAAACTCCATTTCTGCTAAAAATACAAAAAAAAAAAAAAATTAGCCAGGCGTGGTGGCATGGCTATAGTCCCAGCTACTGGAGAGGCTGAGGAAGGAGAATTGCTTGAACCTGGGAGGAAGAGGTGGTAGTGACCCGAGATCATGCCACTGCACTCCAGCCTGGGCAACAGAGTGAGATTCCATTGCAAACAAACAAACAAACAAATAAATAAATACTCTCAGAATTTTCTTTCCCAGGCATTTTAGAGCCAGCTAAGCTCCTGGCTAGCGGACATGCTGCCTTCAGCCTCGTGCTCCTTCTTCAAATTCCAGTACTGAAGGGTCCATTCTCAGTTCAGGAAGACGTACGTGTAAGGCAACTTCCTGGGTGTTGGTAACATATAGGATGCCTCCTTCAGGCGAGAGCAGAGGGGACTTGAGGGAAAATGGGATGAAATCACGGTTGTGCTTTTGTTAGTTTTAACCAGGCATCGTCAGGAGCTGCAAACTCTTTGCTTTTCTCAAAGACACCTGAGTGTGCTTTGGGGTGCCAGGACTAAGCTGCCTGCTGACCTGAGTGAGGTGTGACCACCTTGTGCCTAACCAGAGGTTGGGAGCGCCCTGCAGGTCTGGGGGATGCACCTGTGTGTTGTGGCCATGACTCAGGGCGAGGACACCACGGAGGCCCCTGATGTGCGCTGGGCTTGATGGTATCTGAAGAGCCAGATATGCACTGTCTGACCCGTCACAGTCACTGTTCATCCTCCTCACTTGCAATCTGGCAAAAGTTAGAAAATATAATGCCTTCTATTTTTAAATGTACAGGCAGGGATACTCCGAATTATGAAGTTCTAGTGTCTTTCTATAGCCATCAGATATTGGGGCAACTTAACACTATAAAGGGAAGTTTGTAATTTATAAATGTGGATATTGGCATTCTGATAAGCAGAAAAAATAAATATTCCTTTAAAAATATATGTGTCTTTTTTTGCACTGACAAATAATATGTAATTACATAGTAGTTTTATTTTAAATTAATCATGGGAAGGGTTAGCAAAATGTAATACTTTAGGCATGCCATATATTAAAAAAATTATTTTTACTTCTGAATTTGTGTTGTGTTCTGCAAAGCCAAGAAGCAGACAAAACCCATTCTGGGATTACTTTCCCAATTCTCTCCTGCTAAAAGTCCCAGATCTTTGTTTTTCAGCCAGAAATGATTCATTCTATTTCTTTGTGCAAATGCAGAAATCAACATCTTTCTCCACTGATTCTTCCCTCCTACTGCAAATTAAGAATAAGAATTTTTGGATTAATTTAAAACATTTTGGAGCAGAATTTTCTAAATGTTTATAAAAATAATAGGACAATCAAAATTAAGCACCTGAAGTGATCACCACCTTAAACCATGTTGATCAATGGTGGTTCTTTCGAATGGGGAGCCCTGTAGATTTGCTGGGGAAACACGACTAAGGTGGAATGAAACTTTAGAACTGAAAGCCTGTTCAGAGACCCTCAGCATCCACTCATTCCATTCTGGAGATAACATAATGGACAACATGAATTCTACTGGTGATGATGTTGATTTGCAGAAGGCGTTCATAAACCATCTGAGAGGGAGAATTATACCATGTTAGCATCTGTGCCATCTTCATGAGGTAGTCTGCTTTTTATTCCCAGAATGGCAGTGCCCAAGGTGCAGGGAGGAAGGCTGTGTGTTGTGGAGGGCCTCCTGTGCTGGGGTCTGACTCTGTGTTTTGCACCTGGGGCCACAACGTACTGCTGCATCCTTCCTGGGCCCAGTGGGCTGAGTGCAGCTTGCAAGAGGGCCTTGGTTGACCTCAGGTGTGGCCGCCTCCTCCCTCTCCCTCAGCCCTTTCTCTGTCTCCTGCTTCTTTCTTTCTCTAGAGGCTGGAGAAGCTATACATTCACTTCCCAAGAATTTTCTGCAGCTAAGCCTTGGCCACATGTCCCAGTTCAAGTCCATGAGACAAAATGGGAAATTACTGTGGGTGTGTGGAGGGTGGGAGACGAGGGATTCCAAGAAAAATATTCTTCCCTGATTACAATCAAAACAAAACAAAACACGCTTTCCTTATTTTCCTGCCCAGCCCCTTTCTTCCTGTAAGCTGCTATGGGAGTGAGTGCTTCTTGGAAGGGCAGTAGCTGGTTTGCAATCTACAAGGATGAGTCTGAGGATAGAGAGCCTCCAAGGTACGTACGTGGAAGACTTGGAAAGATTCAGGGCATCTGGGTCCTTGGCCCCAGGACTGATCTCCTAAAAGAGAGTGTGTGTGTTTCTTGTCTTCATAGTGAAGGCTGACTGCAGAAATCAGAACACAGGAATCTGTTAACTTGCATAGTAACAAGCTTTACTAATGGTCAATTAGGTCATCGGTTTAATAATGGTCAATTAGGACTACTTTTGGGTGCAATAACTGCTGAAATAGGAATTTTGGCTTATAGTCCTAGCAATACCAATAGGAATCTGTTACTTGCAGCCAAAGGCAGTCGTAATTGACCCAAATTCAAGCTACTGAGACCTTGAATACCGTGTCAATATCCCAAGTGTATTCTCCACAACAAGCAAGTCAGTTTTGTCTATTCAGTGTGGGATGAACTGAAATGTGGTTTGTGGACATGTCTGTCACCTTAACCAACTCCTTTGCACAGGGTAGGCATTCAGTAAGTATTTTTGAGCAAACAAATTAACTCAGCTCTCCATTTTCTTGCATGCCACCTTTGACAATGTCTCTATTTGAAGTTTATGATGAGACTCACAGAGGAGAAAACATTTCCCTAAAGACATTAGGGCACCAGGGCATAGGACTTCTGTTTCACACACAAGCACCAGTTTTTCACAAAAAGATGGCTTTTGAGCATCAGTGTAAATATGTGTCACATCTGGATATGTTATGACCTGTTCATTTTCTTCCACTCTGATCTTCCCCTCTACTTTGACGATTTGGCAGCGAAGACATCCTGCCTTCAGGACAGGGAAGATGCAGAGAGGGCGAGAGGCCGTTCCTTTCTACGTGTCAGCTTTCTAGTTTAAAATCTACAGTCAGTGTTCAGTCTATTCAGTCATGCAGGTAAGTAGCCTTGTTTCTCTGTATAGATATCAACCCTTTAGAAACTGCTTTTGCTGCTGGTGCTGGGCCTGTGTGGGTGGGAGGGAGAATGCCCTCTTGGCATTGGCTGCTTTTAGTTATCTCCAGGTTAACTTAGCCTCTCTCAGGAAACTAAGAGTCTTGCAAAGTGTCTGCCTCTGCTGTCTTCTCTTCGTTTTCTTCTTTTTCTCTGCTGTTGGTGAATGTACCCAGCTCCTGTGACTCCACATGTCTTCCCCTGCTCCCATCCCACCCCTAACTCAGGTGGCTCTGTTTGTGCTGGGGTCCCGGCACAGTCAGTTCCTGCTGGCAGCTCATCCCATGGCTACTGGTGAGCTGACCAGCTCCTGGCGTGGCACTCTGGGGCATGTGAACCTAAATTCCTCTTCACTATCTGCAAGTCAGGGAGACCTTGGGTAGGTGGTGGCGGGTGTGCAAGGACCGTCTCGGGGCCCCTAACTCCAGCCCTTCCTTCCCTCCCCTGGTGGAAAAGACACTCTGCCTGTGTCTGGCTCTGTGGGCACCCTCTCCGTCCTGTGCTCATAGGCTCTGGTTCTCAGCATCTCAAGGGAGGCCTTGAGAAGCCAGGACATCCTTTTCTCCCTCAAGGACATGGCTCTTGCAATTGAAAACTTGGCTTCCAAATGTAGAGGCTCCTTTGTTTTTTTGAGACAGAGTCTCACTCTGTCACCTAGGCTGGAGTGCAGTGGCACGACCACGACTTACTGCAGCCTCGACTTTCCAAACTCAAGTGATCCTCCCACCCCAGCCTCCTGAGTAGCTGGAGTAGCTGAGAATACAGGTGTGCAGCACTCTGCCTGGCTATTTTTTTTTTTTTTTTTTTTTTTTTATTAGAGACGAGGTCTCCCTGTGTTGCCCAGGCTGGGGGCACCTCTTGGAAAAATGCTATTTTGAAAGTCAAAGGTAAGTCATGATTATTGTCTTTCGGCTTTATCCACCAAAAATCAGTGGCTTCCTGGACTCAGGAAAAAATGAGCCATTAGCCAGATAAGAGTCAAGGGGAAGTCAAAATATATTGTGCAAAAGAAAATAACAATACCTTTAAACACATTTTACAGCACGTGATCCCAGGACAGGAACTTTCGCAAATCTCCGACAAAGACAATAGACTAGAAGAGCAGGTTTCTCAATTCTAGAAACAAAGTCTAGAGAAGGAAAAACTCTTCCTGATTTCTAAGAGCTTCGATGGAAGCCTCTAGAGCCAGAAGCTGGAGGGCTTGAGGCCTGGGCAATTGTCTATATTTCTCTCTATCAACACGTAATCTATTGTCTGTCTGTCTGTCTGTCATCTATGTATCTCATGAATAATCTCTTTGGGGAGACTGGTTGAGTCGTTTTGTGATGCGGTCTTTAAACTCAGACACCAAGGGCTATTCTGGTAGACAGACAAAAGCCTGCATATTACTTCTTAGAGACAACAGAGACAAGTTGACTAATCAATTAATTAAACATTTCATTTATTCTGTTAACAATTTATTCATTCAACACCACCTACAAGTGAACTATAGGTAAGGCACTTTTCCACCTATGACCAAGAACTGCAAGTGGAAAAATCAAGATAAAATATTGCTGCATGTCAACATTAAGCATAAAACCTTTAAAATGTCTAATTGTTAATTCCAAACCAGAAGATGTTTTGAGAGTGGCATAAGAAAGCTATTGGATTTCACACTATGAAATAATGAGTAAAGAAAAAAAAAACCCTGAAGAAATGTTTTCAGAGCTCAAGAGTTAAACCCTTCAAAATCATTTTTTTAAAGATAAAATTTTACTTTATGGAAATCATGAGCCATGTTACTACAAACCCAGTTCAACCCACTGCATATAAAAACCCCATCACCTTGCCTCAAGGTAAGAAAATAAAGTTTACTGCTATTGAATCATACTAAAATATTCATCTGTCAGTACTTTGTCAACCATGGTTTTGATGGCATTTAAATTGCATTTAATATAAATTTAAAGGCATCTCCATTTGATGTAATGAATAATGTGGTGCCACCATCAGCTTCAATTTTACTACCTTAAATGTAGTAAGTTTCAGCTGCCTTGATGCGTTTACAGTTGGAAGTCACTTGCTATAATATATTTTTTAAAACACTTTGTTATTTTAAATGTGCAAATAATACTGAAGCCAGAGGTGGAATCCCAACATTAATATCATGCTCTTAAATAGGTGCCGTGAGCAATTGTCGGGCAGTTCCGCCTTCAGTGGTGCCTCTTTTCAGCCTACGGAGGGCTCCCTGGCTGAGTTGCCACCTCTGAAAATACTGATTTTAAATATGCTGACGGCACCAGCTTATGCACCGGCCTTCTTTAAATATTTTATGCCTGCATAATGGGGGAGCATCATCATTCTCTCTCTTCTTTTTTTTTTTTTTTTTTTGCATAACATTTTCCTTCCTCTGTTTTGCTGTTACAAAAATGGCTGATAAAATACACTGACAATTTTCAAAAGTAGGTGTGGTCAATTTCTTGGGGGATTGGTCTAGTAATAGATGAAAGTGTAAATTGTAGAGATTATTTCTGGTGTTTGGGGTGTGTGTGTGTGTGTGTGTGTGTGTGTGTTGCTTTCAAAGAGAATAATGCACACTGATGGTAGAGCTGGGTCCTGAAGGATGATGACTCCAGCAGACATGCTGCTAATGCCAGTGAGCCACTGGGGCAGTGACCCCCTCTGGGTGCCATGAAAGGTGTGAATGAGAACAAGACTGCAAAGGCAGAAATACACCTGGCCAGGTAGCATTTTGTATGAATTTGGACTTTAGCTTGAGGGTAATGGGAAGGTATAAAGGGTTTTAAATCAGAGCAGTGGTGATTTTCACAGTAGAAAAAGCCGTTGGGTATCAGTATTGATGAGAGTTTGGATGTCGTGAAGTGGCAGACAAGGGAATCTAGATGGTTCTGGATGAGAGATGATGAGGGACTGAGCCAAAGCAGTGCCAGTGGGAACAGAGGGGAGGTGACAGATAGGAGAGGGGATGGGGAGTGGGAACGGGCACAGCTCAAAGAGGGAAAGGGGAGGCAGGAGGATGCCAGCACTGGTGAGGATGACAGGTGTATGGGAGCCATTGCCAAGACAGGGCTCTGGGTGCCTGAGGAGGTTCTGGTACCAGTTTTGATGGTGACGACACATTAACTTTGGACCTGCAGTGACTGGGCGTTCTTTAGTAGAAAGTTGACATATTGGTTTGCAGATTAGGAGAGAAGTCTGTCTGGTACTCCTAGAAGGTTACCAAGTGTGTTTGGTAAGTAAACACAATGGATATGGTTTCTCCCAAAGAGAGGGAGTTAGATAGGGCGAGAAGATGGCAAAGTCTCACCACCCCTTAAAGGAAACATGAGATGCATTGATATCTCCCATGCCAAGGGATCGAACAAAGGGGACAGGTTTAGAAGCTGTGGAGGCCAGTTTTCCAGATTTGACTACGGGGGACTTTGCCGAACATTCCCAGGCCATTTCTCTTGAGTGGTGCGAGGAAGAACAAGGTCGTAGCTAGTTACGGTGCAGTGCAAAGTGGAGGGTAGAGAAATGAGCCTGGGGTCTCTGACAAGGTTAGTCATGAGCGGAAGGAGGCGAGAGGAGAGGTGGCCAAGGGAGGACACCCGTTTTGAAGTCCAGAGTGCCTTTGGTTATGACAGTCAGTGTCTGTAACTTGAACTGTGTGGGATACTTATGAGCAGGAAGCCAGTAGGGCAGGAGTAGAATCGTGCCTTGTGTTGGTCTCTGTATTGAAAAAAGTTGAAGGCTCCTGAAGAAAGGAAGACGGTTCTGCTCTTGGCATTCAGATAGGACGAAAGCTTCCGGCGACCAGATGAGTGGCATGGTATGTCAAGATGCTTAGCAGTGCTCATGGCAGAAAGTACATATCCCTGAGACTGTTGATGAAGCATGAGCTATTTCAGTAACTGATGACTACTCATCTATAAACTGCAAATTAAACACACAGATGGAGGCTTAATTGTAGGTAGTTTGCTTAGACTGTGCAAGAACCAACTTCATTTTCGAGAAAATGGCATACTAAATGTTGTAGATGATAGCTCAATATTTTCTTAGGTTTAGGTTATTTTTTCTTTTATTTTCCTTTCTAAGGACCTGTGTTTGCCTATCAGATGGCAAAAGAAAAGTGTTGACATTTGAAACCGAATGTATAGGGTGCAAAACTTCAAAAGAATGTGATTGAAAACATAGAGTCTGTTTTCTTCATAATTCTATAGTGGTTTTGCTTCTCCTAGGAGAGCATCTGATTGCAGATTTCATGGAGATACTCAACATGCCAGAATGAGCGGGAATGCCCTTGCTATGCGCTTTGTGGAGGGCGGTGGAGCGGCCTGTCTGATGATACCTTCTCCCTTTTCACTGGGTCTGACATTCATGCAGTTGTTGTGCTCTCAGACTCCTGAGGCAAAGACCCCTTGTGCGTCCCATTTATTCTATAGGGCTTGTGAATTCCTGCCTGGCCAGGGAAGGGCTGCAGCCCAGATGTTCCACTGCAAGGAGAAGCGCAGGGCCCCTGGGCCTCCTGGGCAGGGTGGAGTCCTCCCAAGGGAGGAGGGAGGGAAATCTGCCCTAGCACAAGGTAGCCTCCCATCACGCCTTGGCCCAGTGACCTCCGGGCTCTCCCCAGGGACAGTCTGTTCTGGACGCAGGCACGTGTGGAGTCCATGAGTCAGCTCTGGTTAATTTTACCCCTCAGTATGAGTAGAAGCCTGCAGTCTATTTGTGCAAATGCCCATTCTTGTTGTTGTTGTTGTTGTTTGAGAAGGAATCTCACTCTGCTGCCCAGGCTGGAGGGCAGTGGCGAGATCTCGGCTCACGGCAGCCTCCGCCTCCTGGGTTCAAGCTATTCTCCTGCCTCAGCCTCTTGGGTGGCTGGGATTACAGGCACACACCGCTACGCCCAGCTAATTTTTGTATTTTTAGTAGAGACAGGGTTTTGCCATGTTGGTCAGGCTAATCTCAAACTCCTGACCCTGTAATCCACCCACCTCAACCTCCCAAAATGCTGGGATTACAGGCGTGAGCCACCATACCCGGCCGCAAATACCCATTCTTACATGTGGCAGGCATCACACATAAGATGCCTTATGCCTTTTGATGAGTCTAATTTTTCTCCAAAAGACACCATGGAAGGGAGCTCTCGGAGGCTGGGGCCCACGCCTGGACCACAGTCAGTGTCTGGGGTGTGGGTGGACATGAAGTTCCCGTTCCTTCTCTTGGGGAGGTGCAGGCTCAGGGGGCCAGGATGGGCGGCAGTGGAGAAGGAGGCTCTGGAAACCCTTTCCTGGGATCTGGTCTAGTGGTAGGAGTGCGCCATCCTTGGCGGGAGGGGGAGCCAGAACACACCAGCCTGTGCATAGGCAGTGGTGCCAACTATAGGACACAGATGTCAGATGTGGGTTCCAGTGGAGGCTGAGCTTGCCTTTCCGGGAGAGGCTACATTGTGGGGCAAGGCAGGCAGGGACCTTCGGCAAGCTCCTTTTCTACCCTGCAGTTCAGAGGTTTGTAGCTGGCAGGCTGAGTGGGTGGAGGTTGAGGCAGCACCTGCAGTGTGAGAACTTTTGGGACTTGGGCAGGTAGAGCTGCAGCCAGGAGCCCGGGCCCTCCTGAGAGACAGCTTGATGCATCCCAGCAGGGGTGGGTGGAAGGTGCCCAGCTCTCTGCGCCAGGCAGGGCTGAGCAGAGAGAGGAGCAGCAGGCAGAGAGAGTGTTCAAAGCCCAGTCAGACCAAAGACCCAGCTGGGGCAGCAGCTCCCCCGAGAGCGGGGGAGACATTTCTGAAGCCAAGGTCCCATCAAGGTCTCCCGAAAGACGTAGATCTTTCCACTCAGCAGGCAAGAGCCTCAAGACCAGACACCCCTTGCCGGTGACAGAGCATCGGTTGGGTACCACAGCAGACCTATGATGCTATTGGACTCAGCTCCATGCCCAGCCCCACTGGCTCTGTTTCCGCCCCTTCCCCCATGGGTCTCCCACCCCTGCCTGATCACCCAACTCACAGCCTGCTACGTGGGGGAAAGAGCTTGAATTCATTTCATCACTAATATTAATCATTTCCAACATTTCTATTTTAAAAAATGCCTATTTCTCTTTCATCTGTTTTTTTTACACATTTGATTTTTATGTATTTACTTAAGAATGTAATATATACTTACTTAGCTCAATGCCCCTGAACAATCGCCTTGCTATTTCTGTACCTGCCTTGCTATGTCTTCCCTTTATGAGACTCTTAGTTGTTCCCAAACCCAGTGTTCCAGACCCCATCCTGAGCGGAAGTTCCATTCACCGCTGTCTCCTCCAGCTCCAAAGCCAAGCCTGGGTGGGCTCTCCTGCTCGGGGCTCCAGTCCGCAATAGCCCAGGGTGGGGTCCTGCCTATGGGTACTTTGCAGGTCCATATTTCAGTATTGAATGTGTCTGGGGTATTTCTGGCAGAAGCTCATTTCAGCAGAAGCCCTGCCTGTGTGGGAGAAGGGAAAGCAGTTTCAACCCCTTCTCAGTTCACAGTCAGAGTCCAGTCACCCCGGAGCCCCTGAGGCTGTCACCCCATGATGAGGTAGGGTTTCCCACCCTGGACAGGTGTTGGCCCTGCTGCTGGTCTTCTGGGTCCACAGTGGTCCTGTGGCCACAGCACTGATCACCCCAGGGACTCCAACCCCATTTCTGTACCACAGAGATTCTCCTTCCTTGCTTTCATGGGCGGCTGTGCTTTTAAAAAAAAAATTAAATATTCCTTATCCACCTTATCCATGTGTTTGGAGGGGAGGAGAAGATTCAGTGCTGACTGTATTGATCAACGTGATCATGAGGTTAAGTAAGTTGTCTAAATCATGAAAAATTGCCTTTAGAAACATTTAGGAGAATATAAAACTAACACACAACAATCAGTCACCTTTTTACCTATCCACATTACCTCTTAGAAGACATAAGGAGAGAGAAACATCTCGGTTTAAAATAGCAGTGAAAACCACAAAGTTCTTAGGAATGATCTTGATAAACGATGGAAAACCTAAGGGGAAAAGCTTCCAAATGCTTTCCAAAGGCTCCCAGGTGGACTTGACCAGCTGAAAAGCAGTTCTTGATCTTCGGCAGGAAGCATGCTATCATAAAGTTGTCAAATTCTAGCAGAGCTAACAGACAAATTTAACACTAATCCAGTTCTAAGGCCAGCAAGAATTTTTTTTTCCTTGCTCTGTAGCCCAGGCTGGAGGGCAGTGGTGCAATCTCAGCTCACTGCAAGCTCCGCCTCCTGGGTTCACACCATTCTCCTGCCTCAGCCTCCCGAGTAGCTGGGACTACAGGCGCCCGCCACCACGCCCGGCTAATTTTTTGTATTTTTTTTAGTAGAGACGGGGTTCCACCGTGTTAGCCAGGATGGTCTCCATCTCCTGACCTCGTGATCCACCTGCCTCGGCCTCCCAAAGTGCTGGGATTATAGGTGTGAGCCATCGCGCCTGGCCCAGCAAGCATTTTTTATAGCTATACATTGGTAATAAAGTTTACATGGAAAAACAGTCATGCAACAATAGCTAGGAAATCCCTTAAAAAGATGAGCAAAGAGGAAGGAGAAGCACCAGGACACCAGGCATAAAAAAAACAGCTGTAAAATCTCTGCCACTAAAGTGCTGTAGTTCTGGTGCAGGGTTTGACAAATGGGCCAGTGGAATAAACCAGAAAGGACAGAAATAGACCCAGAGAACATCAGACTTCAGTAGATAATAAAGGTGATCATATATGACCAGAACAAAGGTAAACGCCCTCAACGGAACCGAGTATCCACTTGGAAAAGCAACAATAACATACAATTGAAGTCACATCCCACTCCAAACAACAGAACAAACCCCAAGGACATCAGCAACCTGCATGATAAATAGAATGAGACTACATTTGTACTAGAACACAAATTACTAGAAAAAAATGTGTTTTTGACTTGAGTGGTGAAATTCTTTGTTATGGCTCAAATAACAAATAAAATACAGGAAAAAAATAAAAATCCAACAACGTATAAAAGTTTGCATCTGCCTCCTGCCACTGGGGGTGGGGGGGAACCCGTCGTAATCAAAAGCAATGGCCGCTGGGAAAAATGTTTCCAACTCTTACCCTAAGGACTAAAAATGCTAATTCATAAGAATATTTCAAACCATCGGGGGAAAAATGACAAAAACACTTTGTAGAAAATTGGTAAACAATAAAAATAAGACATTTCACTGAAAAACACATAAAGATTCCCTTTAAACACATGCACAGATGTTCAGTGTCGCTGGTATTGAGAGAGCCACAGCCCTGTTGCTTGGAATCAGGTAGTTTCTAGCAAATCTGCCCAGGCAGTGAGCCTTCGACCCTGAGCCCTACTTCTTGGTATTGGGCCAACGATTCGCCACATACACACGGCAGACACGCACAGAGGGCATCACACAGATGGGGGCAGGACATTGACAATCCCTGCCTGGAGTGGGTTGAACAGTAGCCCCCAAAAGGTATCCACGTCCAACCCCCAGCACCTGTAAATGGGACTTTATTTGGAAAAAAGGTCTTTGCAGAAGTACTTTAGTTGAGGATGTGAGAAAAGGAGCTTATCTAGGATTACCTGGGTGGGCCCTAAACCCAATGAATGGCAAGCGTCTTTGTGACTGTGAGGCACAGGGAGCTCAGACACAGGCCCGGGGAGGAGGGCACCAGGAGGCAGAGGCAGAGACTGGGGCCATGCAGCCACCAGTCAAGGAACAAGTGGGGGCAACAGACCCCGGAAGAGGCAGGAAGGCTCCTTCTCTTCAGCCTTGAAGGTAGCGTGGCCCTGTGTCACCTGCATGTCAAACTTCTGGCTTCCAGAACTGTGAGGGATTAAACTTCTGTTGTTTTAGGCCGCCCCCTTTGTCGTGGCACCCCAAGACGTTCCTACAGTGAACTGTGTCATAGAGATGTTGATGGTGACAGGGACAGCCCCTCACAGAGCTGCGTGGTCACAGGACACGGAGGCGGAGGGGGCGGGCGTGGAGGCAAGTTTAGCAGGGCGTGTTTGCTGCGGGTGCACTCAGGGATGGCTCGTGTCGGAGAGAAGGTGAAGCACAAACAGACATCCTTCCTTACTCAGGGAAAAGAAAACCCAGAAAGGACAGCCTAGAGCAGGCGAGGAAAACAGTTCCTGGAGAGGCTGAGGAGGGAGTGGAAGTGCTGATTTTTGCAACATGAAAACCTCTTACGTGGTCAAAAATACAATTATTAATTTTTTTAAGTTAAAAGGCAACCCTAAAACTGAGCACAAACAGGAACAAATCCATATCGAACTGATAAAAGTATAGGAGAAAAAATAACCAACTGACATGTTGAAGCCCTGTACTCTGTGTGCTGTTAGTGGGATCTATTCAAAGGACAGCATAATAGGCTGCTGAGAAATATTTGAGGGATATTAAACACATGAATTGAAGTATGTCACATGGAAAAAAAAGATCAGAAATATACGTGGTAAAATGTGAATGAATACTGCCTTTCCCCCTGGTGGTGGACTTATATATGATGTTCGTGCTCATCTGTGTAGCTTTTGGTATTGTGTGATTTCAACAAGGAACATACTTTTTTAGTGATCAGGAAAAAAATGCAGCTAATTGTTTTGTTTTGTTTTTTGAAAATGATGGTATCAGTTGGTACAGACGGCAGAGAATAGAATCTCAACTAAGTTGTATATGTTCTTATAGAACAAGCTAAGGCACCTAAAAGACAAGCCTATCAGAAAAAACGTGGAAGGAAATTTTCCTGTCTTAAAAAAGAAAATTTTCAATGCTCAGCATATTCCAGGAAAAATAGTGCTTGCAAATGTATTATTTTTTAATCACAGAGATGTAAAAAGGTATTGCTCTGTAAGGGGAGCAAAAGTGAGGTTTACCCCAACTTCTTGGCAAGACCAACTCTATAAAGATTTAGGAAATTATACTTTTATTTCAGCGTTTTACACCCAGGTGACTGGTTGTTTAGGCAGGAAGGCAATGAAAGCTAGTGTCCTGTAGAGCACATGTGTTCACCGTTCCCTCTTTCGAGATTGCTTTCTGGTGGCTTCCCATGTCTTCCCCAGGTGGCCAGGAGACTCAGAGGAAGCCGGCCGCTCGCCCCGTCCACCACAGGCCTGACATGACCAGACTAATCCCAGACTCTGCCTGCAACTGGGTCAGAAATGAGAATAGACCCAATTCAGATAAGGAGACCTAAAGAGAGATGTGTGGAGGCTGCTGGGAGAACCATCTGATTGTGACACAGAGCCATGTTCACCCAGGAGGCATGACTGAGGGAGAAAGTGTGTGGCCTGGAGGGGCGCTGGCAGCCCTGCTGTGACCATGAGGGCTTCCAGGCCTGGGATGAAATGACTGCTCCATGTCACAGAGCCAGGGGCAGAACACGCCTGCAGCATTGATGCTGCCTTTTAACTTCTCCACCCGCCACCTGCGCAGCCTCCCTCGCCTCTGCCCTAGGCAAGTCCAGGCGCCTTGTTCTGGCCTGTTGCAGCAGCACTTGTGTCGCTGCAGCTGAAAGCTTCCCGGCAATGTAGACATGTCACCCTGATAAACAGCCTCAGCCAGCAGGACGCTTAGGGACCTTTTTTAAAAGATAAAACCTACAACTTCAGATGCAAAAGAAGCCTGGGAGTTGAAGCGAACACACATGGGGCAGAGAGGCTGAGAACGGCCTGGGGCCTTAGAAGGAAACATGGACGGAATCCCAAAAGAGGCTGGAGAGGAGGTGATGGAGGGTCTGAGTATTGAGAGGAAGGTGAGCTGTGGCTCCAACCTCAGATCTATCAGGAAACCAAGGGTGTTGGAAGATGGTAAAAATACACTACAATTGCATCTTGTGTTAGGAAATGAAAGTGATCTTATATTTGCTTTTAATAATAAAAATATGAATTAATATTTCTAAATGTAAAGTAATCATGCAAATAATTGAAGGCAGAATGAATATACACTTTATTTCTTCCTAGAAGAAATAAAGTAAACTAAATATAGTTCAGGTAGCAAAGACAGAAAACATCAAAGGCATTTTCTCAAAGGCAAAAATAAGTGACAGAAGGCCAAGCAGATCATTTTTATTAAAAGAAATAGGACACAAAATCATCGACGCCAGAATCCTGACTGCATTAGAAATGCAGGTGCACAGAATAAAGACTAAAATGAAATTCTGCATATTAAAATGATGGGCTAGTCAGATCACACAGGTGATTCATTGTATTCTTTAAATTTTTATTAATAGTTCACGAGTGCATTTATAACCAGAAACTTACCGTGCACTTAACTAAATCTGAAATACGAATGTGCAGTTATGAAAACGATAGGCAGATCTTTGGGGTTTTATTTTTGTCATGCATTTTGCATTAATAATTTCACGATTGACGGAATTTCCCAGTGCCGGTGCCCTAGGCTGGTGGGCTGGTGTCCCTGGGCAGTGGTGTGAGATGCTGCAGAGCGTTGTCTTGCCACCATCTCAACCTCCTGCCCCACCCTGCAGGGCCCAACAAGCACCTGCTGCATTGAGGAGAATCACTGCCCTCCACGTCTTCTTGGAAGAGTGAGTCCCTGGCAGAGAAAGTTCCATGTGGCCTGGAGAAGGCCTCTGGGAGTGGGGCTTGAAGCAGGTTGGAGGGACGCAGGACCGGAGACCACCTCTGCTGCTGGGAGGGATGGGCAGGGCCGATGTCAAGGATGGCAGTGATCCTGCTGAGACACTCGCTGTCTCCAAGGGTGTGGCAGCAAGGAGTGGAGACCCGATGGACCAGAGCCGTGCCCTGGAAGCAAAGAGTGGTGAGGAGAGCGCAGGATAGGAAGGTGGGAACATTCTGGCATTTCCGAACGAGGACATTGGCCAATGGCCTGGATGCGGCTGTCCTGAAGAACATGGAGTTCCAGAAGGAGCACAGGGTTCAGGCCATCCGTCCCCAACCCTAAGTGAGAGGATTCACGTTCCCAGGAAGCTGGCTCTTGGGGGCCTTGGCTCTGGGACAATCCTGTCGCTACCACCGGAGGCTGGTCTTTGGGGGAGAACACAGATTTCATTTCTCGTGAAGGGAAGCACCTGAAGCAAGCCTGTTTATGGATGCAAACATCTGTTAAAGCCACTCCGCTTTTTGACGAGGAGTTAAGGTGTGTCAATGCTCGAGTCCTGAGACCCGGGGATAAGGTGGAGAGGATGAAGCCCTGGGGAGGGGCCGGTGTCTCTACGGGAAACACCTGTGGGTACACTGCCCCGGATGGCAGCTGTCCTGTATCCGGGAAGGACAACCTGGCATTGCAAGTGTGTAGAGATCGCCGTGGTGCAAGCTGCTCATGGTGCACTCAGACGGCTCGTCCTGAGACGGCTGAGGCTGCGGTGTGAATGCTGGGGACAGGGTGGGGGTGCCCTGCCCTGCAAGGCTTTCTCACCCTCACCTTCGCAGTAGCCCTGGCAGGCCACAGACTCCTGTCTCAAAGTGAGACTCCTCTTTATTTTATTTATTTATTTATTTTTTCAGTTTTTGTTTGTTAGTTTTTTATTGATACATAGTTGTACATATTTTTAGGGTACATGTGACATTTGAACTATGGTTCTGGAATGCTTAAACTCATTTACCCTGTCAACTAACATTTACTGAACACCTCTGTATATATTAGATGTTCTCTGACTCTTCTGTATCTGACATTAAATATCTAAATAGTTCTAATTGTAGTGATTCCTTATTTATAATGCTGGGCATTATAAATAGTCAGGCTTGGGCATTTTCTGTCCATATACGTTTATTCCTAGAGCCTCTCCTGAGTTTCTTTTATTTATTTTTTTAATTTTATTATTATTATACTTTAAGTTTTAGGGTACATGTGCACAACGTGTAGGTTTGTTACATACGTATACATGTGCCATGTTGGTTTGCTGCACCCATTAACTCATCATTTAGCATTAGGTATATCTCCTAATGCTATTCCTCCCCCCTCCCCCCACCCCACAACAGTCCCCGGTGTGTGATGTTCCCCTTCCTGTGTCCATGTGTTCTCATTGTTCAATTCCCACCTAAGAGTGAGAACATGCGGTGTTTGTTTTTTTGTCCTTGCGATAGTTTGCTGAGAATGATGGTTTCCAGTTTCATCCATGTCCCTACAAAGGACATGAGCTCATCATTTTTTATGGCTGCACAGTATTCCATGGTGTATATTAAACCCTAAGTCACCGAGAGAGCTAGCTGCTAAGGAAAACAGAGCCAGATCACTCTGAGGAGGTCACTGTCAGGGAGATGGAGGTGAGAAATTCGTATGAGAAGGGTCTTACCCAGCCGCCCTAAGATGTCATCAGGAGAGCCAGAAACTGCAAGTCAGGTGTCATAAATGCCAGGGGCAGCTGCAGGACGGTGTTCGGGCTGAGAGGTAGCGGGTGGGAAGAAGGAGGCAGCCTCTGGGAGTGATGAGTGGACTGTGTGGATCTCCTGCTGAGGGCCTGATCATTTCTACAGGAAAAACGCCACGCCAGGGGTTACTTAGCGTTAATGTGAGGATATAGAATTGTTTCCCAGGTGACCTGTTGGTAATTCCTGTTTTATTTAATGTCCAGCTGTTTTTTCTGTAGTTTTTTGGTTTCTAATTCAACATCTGGAGAAGCTCATTAAGTGGGGGACAATTCGAAGGCTGAGCAATTCTCTTCTAATTAAAAAAAGCAAACTAATTAGGAATATGTCCAGGGTGAGAGATAAAAAAACAGAGACTGTTTTTTCTTAATGGGTAGGGCAATTTGATGGAAGAAAGGGGATGCATTACTCACCTGGGTACATCAAAATGAACTCACTAATTACAGTACAGAGTTAGATAAAAACGCTGTGTTTCCTGAATGTAGTCTAATCCAAACATTTTTAAATGAATAACGAGGTCATGTTTTAGTAACCTTGACTACTGCAATAGCATTTTCTCATAATGTTTTCTTTTTCATCATCATTATTATTTCTTTTAATGGCAAAGAGGGAGCATTTTCTCAGATGACTCCCAACTCATGCTCGGAACTCCCCTGTCTCCACACCCCTCTGGGACGCCTTGCCCTCCTGCAGGCAAGACCCCTGTGTTCCTGTCTTCCCCTCCCTTCTTTGTCCACATGGTCAGCACTGGCCATTCTTTTATGATATTTCCAAGGTGTATTTTGATAACACTTCCTCCCAAATCCCTCATTCATGCCTTAAAACCTCTTAACTTGGACTGCCCCAAAGCAGTTTCTAAGTAAAGAATTTGGGGACAGGAGTTTATTTGGGAGGCAATCCTAGAGGCCAGGAAGGGGCAAGAGTTGGAGAGAAAAGTGTGCAGGAAAAAGAAAGTGTCCCCCTTACAGTCCCCAGGCTGTCACCATCATCCCTGTGCTTGCTGCTCCCAGGATGCCGCCAGGAGCAAGACAAACCTGTGCACTTGTACACCCGAGTTCCTGGTGCCAGCCCGATGGGCTCCCTCTGTGGGCCGGGGCACCTGAGCTGCAGCTGCCGGCTCTGAGTTCCCAGTGCCAGCCCGACGGACTCCCTCTGTGGGCTGGGGCACCTGAGCTGCAGCTGCCGGCTCTGAACTCATGGGATTCCCAGCCACTCTTCCTTGCTCCTGGTTTCCACGTTCCCATTCCAAGCTCACACCTCCCCAGGCACCCACAGTGAGCCTGCACCACCATCCCCTCCCTCCCGTCACAGCTCACACTTCTCTAGACACCCACAGTGAGCCTGCACCACCATATCCCCTCACTCTCATTCCAGCTCACACCTCTTTAGACACACAGTGAACCTGCACCACCATCCCCTCACTCTTATCCCAGCTTACACCTCTCTAGACACACACACTGAGCCTGTACCACCTTCCCCTAAGACCCAACAACTCACACCTCCCCAGATACCCACAATGACCCTGCACCACCCTCCCCTCACTCCCAGCACAGCTCACACCTCACCAGACACCAACAGTAACCCTGCATCCCATTCCCTCACACCCGTCAGAGCTCCCACCTCCCCAGAAACCCATAATGAGCCGCATCCTCATCTCTGGGTCACATTCCTATTGTTGCACTCTTGCCCGAGATGTTCCAGGAGCGCCTGGTTTGGCTGTTCCAGCATCCCCTGCTCACCCCTTCCCAGGACGTCTCAGATCCCTGCACAGAAGCGTGCTGTGCTGGGCCAGCTTTCCGGCTGCAGGGCTGCCCACTGCATGTTAGCTGCAGGCCTTGGGTGCTAATTCCACATCCACCTGCCGAGGGGATGCTCCTCCGCATGTGCAACTCCCCACGCTAGGAGGGGAGCAGCTCCACAGCAGACAGGGCCTCTGAGCCCTGCCCCTCTCTCCTGGAAGTGAAGGCCGCAGACCCTGCAGACCACACTCTCCCTCTGCTTGCCTCTCCCCAGCCTGGCCCAGGGGAGCCCTGCAGAGCCCAGGGGAGCCCAGGCCTTGATTTTGGAATGGAGTTGCCCAATGCCTGTTCTAAAGAGGTAGTTGGGCTTTGAGGCCTCTGCGCAGGAGCCTCACTCGGGAGAACCCTGTATGTCCAGGAGGAGCCACCTTGGCATCCGTCGCCCCTGCTGGTGCATAAACATCTGAGGTTTGCTGCTTAGGCATTTTCAAACTGACCATGCTGCTACCCCAGAACCAGCGGTCCCCATGTATATCAGCCTGTCTGAGCAGGCAGAGGATGTGGCCCTGGGTGGCACAGGGAGGCAGAAGTCACCCTGTTCCTCACTCAGCAACCTCTCTCTCAGCAGCACTGTCTACCCTGCATGGGGTGCTCTCAATGCACTGTCTGATGCCAGCAGCACCCCCCAAGGCCCCTTCCTCTTACCTCGGGTGTCCGTGTATGCATGGGTGCTTAGTAGCTCTATATGAGAAAAGGAGGTGGCTGCTTTGCAACAAGAAGTAAACATCTTAGCATAATTCCTGGTTTCCAAAGTACAAAAGAAAAGGTCTCTTTCGGCAAGAATGCAAACTTTTCTGTAGTTGCCGCTTCACATAGTTGGAAGGTTGGCCTGCAAACGGCCACACGTGCATGTTGGACCTATGACCACTGTGAGAAGTGAGTCTTTTATTACTATTATTATGATTTTAGTTTTTGATCTTTAAATTATATGTGTGTGTATATATATATACACACACATATAATTCTGTTTTGTCCCGTTTTGTCCTGCCATGTGGCTCCGTGGAGCAAGCACTTGGCTTTCATTCCCTCGCTTTTAACTGGCTCTCGTGACGCCAGCCACTCATCCCAATACGCAGTAAGCAAACCTTCCCCCAAACTCTGAGGATTTTCCAACTCCATCAGCGCTCCCCATCCTCAGCCCAGACCGATGTCCATGCTCCTGGATCACTTTCGCCCGTCTAATACGAACACTTTCCTGCTGGTACGTGAGGCCCGATCCGGACCCTCTGAACAGGAAGGGTACACCCTCACCAGGGCGGGGGAATCCCAAACAGCTGAACTCGTGCGGTATCAACAGGCTGAGACCTTCCTAACACGTTTCACTTCTGATCTTTTAAAGCTGTCAGACCAGAATGATTTTCAGTCACTTTGCTCTGGAGTGGATTTAAAATCATGTCCCTAAGGTGGTAGATTAATAGATTAAAAAGGTAAAGTATTAGGCTAGCACTGCATCCTGTCTCCTTACCTGTAAAGGATAGTACAACTGTCATAAGGTTGTGGCAGGTCTTCAATGAAATATCAACGTACTCCGAGCAGCCTTCTCAGAAACTTGGCGGCTGACCATTACCGTTGGGCCAGATACTCTTCAGCAGGCCCAGATGTGGGGGAGGAAGAGGCTGGACCCACGTCCTTGAAAACACCCAGCTTTGCCGCCAGGTCCCAGGTTCTAACTCGCTCCTTCGGACACAGGAGAATTCCAGTAACTCTCGAGCGGTGTGACGACTGTGTGTTTATTTTCTCTATTTTCTTGAAATACATAAATATTATATTTTCGATAATAATGAATGTTGAGTTCCCAAGGAAAGCAGAGAGGAGATGTTAATGGCATCAATCCACTTTAGCATTTTGCTGATAAGAATTTCAGAATAAAAAGGCGAGCTCAGAGCAGCCGCTCTCTGAAACCTCGCCAGCTTACTGGAACTTTTTTTCCAGTCATGAATTTGCTAAAGTGTTTCTGTGTTCAGAGGATGCTGAGATTTTAGTGCCTTCTCTTGCATTTTGCAGTTTTGTGGTCCATTTCTGGAGGAGAATTGGGCATTCTGCTTAGTAAGAGAAAAAGACAGCTTTAGTTCCTCTCTCAGTAACACAAAACTCATCCCGACACAGTGGAATTCCAGGAGATGAGCTTGTGAAGTCCAGAGCGTGTCAAACATGAGGTCCCCTCGCCGTGCACGTGTGAGTGCATGCACGTGCCTCTGGGGCTGGGTGAGTTGTAGGGAGGCTGTGTCTCCGTCCCTGCAGGGTACACGGTGCTCACAGCTGACGTGTGTGCACCTCCTGCTGAGCGTGTGCGAGGTTTGAGGACAGAGCCTCTGCCCTTTCCTCTATCTCTGCATGTACCAGGCATACAGTAGGCAGTCAGTGCAGGCTCAGTGCACATTCGCCTGCTTGGCTGAATCCATGATCCACATCGGCACCTGGAGCCTTCACGCTCCTTCCGGAACAACCTTTGTATACCCTGAAGACACGCTTTGGCAACTCTTCCAATGAGTTGCTCTTGAATATCATCTGTGCTTTAATATACCTAATGTTGAATGACGAGTTAATGGGTGCAGCACACCAACATGGCACATGTATACATATGTAACAAACCTGCACGTTGTGCACATGTACCCTAAAACTTAAAGTATAATAAAAAAGAGAAGAAAAGAAAGTGTTCGAGACTTTGTGCTTTACACGTGGCCTTTGGAACCGACTGCCCTTACGAAGGGAGGCCCAGGAGCAGACCTCTCTGCACGCCTTTCTCTCCTGCTCAGCACACGCGGGACCCAAGCAAAGCACAAGGGGGAGTTTGAACGCTAACAGTACAGGCTCATCTCAAAGGTGTGTTTTCTTCTGACATTTCAGAAACAAAAACAAATTCTTCCCGAGATCCCTTCGCCGTCTCGCCCCCTAAATCACGAGGATGTCTGAAGCTTCATGTCACTGGGATCGTATTTTCTATGGTGTTCTTTCAAAGTATGTTCCTGGAAAAGTACTTTGGGAGACTGAACCTGAAAGTCTTAGAAATTATTATTATTTTCTTTTCGCTGTGCAGCAATGGGGCAGAACGGCCCTCGAGGTCCCCACAGGCCTCTAGCATGTCTTGTCTGCATGAACCCTCTGTGGGGCCCCCATGCACGGGCTGGTGGGGCTCGGCGGGGGGGTCCGGGGCTTTGCTCATTCTTAAGCCAGGCCCCGTGGAGCTGCCAGGCGGTGCCACTGGACACAGACGGCTCCTTACAAAGACCGAAAGAGGAGATGGGTAGGGGAACAGGGGGTTCAGGTATTTGGAAGAGTGGAGGTCCCTGGAGGGTTTGTGGGGATTAGAGACTGGGGCTGAGGAAGCGAAGAGTTTGCCCGGAAGGCTGTCTGGGCTCCATCCGTAGACCCTCTGATCGCTACTTTAGAAACTCAGGTTTTCTTGCGATTGCAGTTAGTGCTCGACTCTGTTTGGAAGCTGGGCATGTTTTGCTTTTTAAACATGATTCTGGAGTGAATTCAGCAACGTGCCTTGTCGGGTTATGCATTTGTGTGCAGAAGGGTGTCATCTTGCAGGGCGTGAGTGCACACTCGATGGGTACATGACCCCACAGGGGCCAGTGCTGCCCACCCTGAGGCCGTGGGCTGTGGGGCTGCTCACCTCTGCCTCTGCTGGTGGATGATGACAGTTTGCCTCACACGGTGAGAGAAAGAAGCTCCGACCGGTGTTCTTCAGGCTGTCCTGCCAGGTGGGAAAGGCCTCGGTCCACAGAACTAGAGGGCTGGGGACAGAAACTTTAAGAGTCCCAACACCCCCAGGGACCAGAGGCAGAGGACCCAGCAATGAGATGGAGCCCTCAGAGGGTAGGAGGTGCAGCCGAAGCATGAAGTGTCCTGTGGCCATGGGAGGAGCCAATTTCCAGAGGGCTAAATATCACCAAGATGTCAAACAAGAGAAATGGGGAGATGTGGCCTTACGATTTATCTGGCTGGGAAGTCTGCGGTAGTGACAGCAGTCAGATCAGTTCTGCAGAGGAGTGCGAGGCTGAAGGCAGACAGAGCAAGGTCAGACCTTAATAAATATTTTAGATAACCCAGCATCAAGAGTGTGGCATCTCTCACAGTCCCAGTTATTTGTATCTGAGAGAAGTACAGAACTTTTCCCAGAGGTTTTTGTGAAATGCGAAAGGCATTTAAGCTTATCCATTTTGCAAATTGATCTTTCAGCCTTTGAGAATGGAGTGGTGTTCCATGAATCCCCCTTCCTCGCCTCAAATGCACATTGTGAAAGGCCTTGCAGGGAGAGGTCGTTTATCCGTTGTAACTTGGGTACGAACCACGGTGTCCACCAGGCACCTTCCAGTGGCGAGCAGGGCAGGGTGGGGACAGGTTGTCCTTGCAGAGATCAAAGTGGATTCACAAGCAGAAGCGCTGCTTGGCATCCTAGGCAGGGCTGGCTCTGGGCTGGAGGTTTAATTACCGATGGAAGGGGAGGTGCTGGATGGGTTTTCTCCATTTCAGCTGCAGGCACAGTTCCCAGACCTCCTGCCAATCTAGAAACAATCAGAGGAGTGAAGTGTGCATGGGGACCAGGGGTGAGGTGGAGGGCTGGGAAGGCACTCGGAAGAGAAAGATAAGGGACCCCGAATGCAGGATCCCAGAAAAGCAAGGCCAGTTTAAGGCCTGAATGAATGCCTGTCTATTCTCATTCTCTCGGGCTTTCCCTCTCCCTGGTTTGCTGTGGTTGGCTGTAGAGAGAAGAGAGAATTGGGGATTTTTGCTGGATTTGCTTCTGCCCCTGGAGAGCCAGACACCTGAAGTAATTCTTAAGTTGGTTTTCATTCCATTTAATATGTAGGAGTGGCAATGTTGGGTGCCACCACCCATCCTGATTTTGTACCCTAGACGAGTATAATTGAGAGGAAACGCCGGCTGGGAGAGATAAATGGGATGGGATGGACTCCATCAGTCTTTGCTAGGTTCCATCTGAAGCCATTGATCTGAGTATTCAAATGCAGACCTGGTGGGAGGATTGCTGGGGCAGGGGGAGAGCCCGAAGGGCGGTGGCCACAGGTGGCTCTCCTGGATGCCTGCAAGAGGCACTGGCAGGATTGGGTCTGTCCTTGTCCTCATGTGGGAAGTCCTAGTTGGAGGTGAACTCATTGGTTTTCTTGCAAGGAGGCTGCATGTTCTCTTGATTCAGGATGGAAAGTTGACAAGCGGCAGGATGTCCATGCGGTTTTATGTTTTCATTTTTCTTGGATACACAGTTCGGGTCTCTGTCGCGTGGCCTCAGCCTGAGAGAGGTAGCTGGGCCCAGGGCTGGGTGGCTTCTACAGGTGCCTTCGCCACTCAAGCCCCTCACCTGGCTCTGGTTCCCATTCTGGTGCCTTCTGAGAGACCTATCTTCCCCGGGGGTCTGAGCCCTTAGCTGTGCCAGCACAGGGTTCTCTGCGGCCAAAGTCCACGTGCAATACGGAGCGCATGATGAGTCCATGTTGCAGGTGAAGGAGAAGCGTCTGACCCCACGCTCTCAAGCAGGTGTCCCGTGGCTTTCTCGAGGAAGGCAGGTGCGCTGCAGTGTGTGGGCTGCTGGCTCAGCAAGCAGGTGCCGCCCCGCCCCCAGGCCACCTTCCTCACCGTGGCTGGAGTTCTGAGGTCCCGGGCTCCAGGCAGAGCCCAAAGCAGGTGCCACCCCGCCCCCAGGCCACCTTCCTCACCCCAGCTGGAGCTCTGAGGTCGGGGGCTCCAGGCAGAGCCCAAAGGAGAGCCGGGCCATCCAGCTCCTCAAGGGTGAGCACTGTGCCTCTTCCTCTCAGAGTCGCCCTCAGTGTCTTCAGAGTCCTCACTCCCTGGGCACCCCCTCCCCGTCTCTGCTCTGCCTTTCTCAAGAAGCTCCTTCTGCCCATATTTTCCAGTATTCCCTACTGGAGGGTGGGAAGGGCTGCTCAGTTCAGCCGGGCTGGGCCGGTGTGTGGAGGGCCTGCAGCGCCCCCACCCCTGCCTTGGTCTTCCCTGCTCCCTCGGGGTCCCAGACAAGTCCATCCTCTGTGTCCAGGCATCCTCTGACATGGAGAGATGAGTCCTGACAGCCCCTCCTGGCCCTTGGGGGCCGGCACCGTCAGGGCAGCTGGACACCAATGGTAATGGAGGCTGCTACCGGGCCACTGCACCAGGAGATCAGCCTCCTGTGGGCAGCAGGCTTCATGCTCTTTCTCCTTCTTCCATGACTACCTTGTCCCTTTTCCTGGATGAGTAAATGTATGTGTTCCTGGGGCCGCTGTACACATTAACACGGACTGGCTTAAAACAACAGAAAGTTATTGTCTCATCATGCTGGGGGCCAGAAGTCCAAGATCAAAGTTCCAGCAGGATCGGTTCCTTCTGGAGGCTCCATCCTTGCTCTGTGTTGCCAGTCACCCAGACACAGCCCTCTCTCTGCCTCCATTAGCACGTGGCGTGCGCCTCCATGTTTTCTCCTGTTCTGAGTCTTTCAAGGACACTCCCATTACACTTAGGACGCATCCCGACCCAAAATAGCCTCCTCGTGAAGTTCTTAATTTATTTACATTTGCAAAGTCTCTGATTTCAAACAAGGTCACACACTGAATTTCCAGCAGGACATGCCTTTCCGGGAGGCCCTGTTCCACCCACTCTAGGAAGGGTCACTAAGTGGCATCTTACTCGCATATCAGGAAGGTCAGCGGTGCTCGGACGACGCACAGGCCTCCGGCTCCGTGGCTGGTGTCCTCATCGCTCTCCAGGTTCGGGCAGACTTTCAGGCTGGGTCTTGCCCTCTGATGGACAAGGTCATGTCCAAAGAGACCCAGTGAGAGCCAAGTGAAGAAAAGCATGTTTGTTTTACTTATTGCATTTTATCTTGTGAATATGTTAACTATTTTATAATAAACCAGTCAATGTAGTTTCTAAGGTAAGGACAAAAATTTAGTCCACCTATGGAAAACCTAGCGTCCATGGAATTGCAAAAAAAAACTTATGTGTATATTTTCTTTAAATTTTTCTTTGGGCTTCCTGTTGCATTTTGTGTTGGAAATTTGAGACCTTCTGAGAATCCCTTGAGAGAATGGGAGCATCTTAGATTCAGAGATACTGCTCTGAAAAATCCTAGTCCCTGGCAGAACACAGCTTTCTGGCATGAGGAGAACTTGCACAGCTTCATTCCAGCTATCTGGGGAGGCCTGAGGGTTTGACCCATGCCTTTTCTGTGTTTTGGTTTCTTCCTATTTAAAGTGGGAATTAATGAAAACAGAATCTTTTTGCTTTGCCACAGTGATGTCAGGACAAATGTACCACGAGTGCCTGAGAGTCCAGTCTTCCCCAAGAAGAGACAAGCACGAAGATCCTAGGAGGAAGCACGCTGACGGGGACTAGTCACGGCCACGACACCTCTAGTGTCAGGTGAGAAACGTGACTCACAGGGCAGGGGAGGAACAGCTGCTTTCTCTGGCCCTGGTGTGCCCAGCAGCAAACCACTGGCATCTGCTCCCAGGGCAGCCCTGTGGCCCCTCGAGCTGCTGTGTAACCAGCTCCTCTGGGAAAGCACAAGCCCTTGGAATGCTCTCCAGCTCCCTTGTGAGTAATTTTCGAGAAGAACACAACTTTGCCAAGAACATCCCGCAATCTGGGTGTCTTGTCTTTGAAGACTTTGGAAAATTTGGATGACGTGCCTAGCGCCATAATTTATACTTCAGTAGGTAAGGCTGATCTGGGGAAACGCAACTTTGACTAATTTACTGGCAGGAGGTTGACTCTTCCCGGTGACACATCTGCAGATCATTTTCCCTCCATGCTCTGTTTTGGGGTTTTTGGGTTATCAAAGCCCCAGCACACCTGCTGGCCGCACGCACATGCTGCACTGGGCCTTCCCCGAACGCCCCATGTCCGCCACCTGGCGTGGCCATGGAAAAGAGTCACACACGGAAGAGGGGTGACAAGCAGCCTCTTTGTGACTTCACTTTTCCTTCTTCTTCTTAAGGCCGGTCTTCATCAATGCAATGGAATCATCCATGTGTGGCTCCCGAGGAAAGAAGGTGTGGTTTACTGCCAGGTGCTCTTCAGAGCTGAGTCCCTCTAACAGCAGGCCTGTTAAGGCGTGGCTGCGGCCTGAACCCTCCGGCTGAGCCTTTGCCTCCCAGGTTCCTGGACATCCTCCACTCACTCCTCTGTTTGTGGGACCCTGCCTGGCCTGTCTGATCCTCCTTGAGATTTTGGCCCACATATATCAATTTCTCTCTGCCCCCATGCAGTGGTAGTCACCGTTCTGTCCCCCGCGGGTGCTGGTGAGAAAGGTAAAAGGGCGGTTCCAGAGCCTGAGGGCCTGTGAGTGCAGTTTACATAACTGCCGAAACTTAAGGAAGCGTCTAAATAAAAAGAAACATGTTAACCCAAAATGGTTTATTTGTTTTTTTTTTTTTTTTGGTTTCCAGAGCTCATGCAAACATGCAAAAAATAGAGTAAGAAAAAAGCAATTCTTCTCACAAAACAAGCAAGCAAATAAAAACAAAGCAAAAAAAAAAATCATCTGGTGAAAACAAACCCTGCTCCGCAGCCACCTGCCCAACCGTGGAAATTCAGGTCACGTGATGGCCTGGGCTGTGTGTCCTCCTCTCAGGCCTGGCGACCCTGGATCCCAACAGGCAGGGTCTCCTCCACTGGGCCAGGGGCCTCTTAGGCTTTTGCGATTGACATCAGCGACTTCTCTCTTGCCTGGACACCCAGGAGACAGCTGGCTAGGATGCCTAAGGAGACTGTGGGGGATGAGGTCAGGGCACTCTGGTGCGGGGATGCCGAGGTCGAACCCTCCATGGCCAGGGCAGCCATGTAGCTCCCTCTGGCCTGCAGGGGAGGGTGAGCAGACTCAGGCCTGGGCAAGCGTGTGGTGCCACAGGGCAGCAGGGGTGTGAGTTGCAAGGTCACCTGTGGCTCTGGGCTGCTTTTCCACAGCCAGAGAAGGTTTGGACTCAGTGGCCCAGAGTCTTGAACGATGGTGCCCCTCCCCAACTTTGCGTGCACTTCATCTTGTGGGTACAAAGAAGCATTTTCTTTCTTGTTTTTCAACTTACTCTTCCTCGTGATTCTGCTAGCAAACAGCCAGGGGTGCTGGCCCGGGCGCTTGGCCGCGCGTGTGTTTGCTGGAGATGAAGCCTCTCCCTGCAGTTCCAGCCACCGTGCAGCCCACTGGTTTCTTCCCCCTAGGGTGACTGCTTTCCTACAAACAGGATTTCATGGCACGCACTCCCATTTTATATTTCAGTCCTCAAATGGCACAACTAAGTCAGTCTTAGTAAAGGAAAGACAGATCCAATTATTTGGATAACAGAGAGCGGTGTTGTTCACGTTCATGCAAATCAGGCCTCTGGACTCCATAAGGTTACCTTAAAACCGAAGGAATGAAGCAAAGAACAAAACAAAACACCAGGGACCTCTGAAGTTCACACAAAATCCCAGACAGGAACGGGGGGAGCTGCCCACCCTGGATTGAGGGGAGAGTTTATTTCTCAATCTCCTTTTGTTTGCCTGAAGAGCTTCCAAATGATCTTAAGAAAGACAGAAGGAAAGAAAAAAGGCAGAGGAGAGGGAGGAAGTAAACCAAAGGAAAAGAAGGCACCCAGAGATGTCCTTAGAGGGAGCTATTTACATCTGAGGCCTAGGTGGTTTGCTTTTAAGAACTCCCTACTATTTCATATTGATTTAGCACCAGCAGTAAGTGAGCTTCTGTTTGGATGATGAAAGCCTAAGAGATTAAATCTATTTACAGGAAGTGATGGCCTCCACATTTCTAATATTTGTCTAAAGCACCGGGGAAAGGCTGGAGGGAGGGCCTTGGTTTCAGGATACAGCGTGAGTCATCCTGGGCAGTAGGCGCTCCCAAATGGAATTGCATCTGAGGCTTTAACACTCTTGTTCCAGTGCTGCGGTTCTTAATGAGTTGGTGGTGAACACAAGCCTTTGTGGGCCCTGCCTGGCCCATGCCTTGGTCCTGCCAGAGGCTGGCCAGGATCTGGAAAGACAGAATGAGATCTAGCTCCAACCCCAGATGCACCCTGCCTCCCTGGGGTGCTGCCTTGCATCCCTCCCTTTCACCCTGGGCATTCTCGTCTCTGTCACTGTCATCGTGCATTCATCTGGTGCCGACTTGTGTGTCACGTGTGTTTCAGGGTAACACTGTAGACTCTGTCTAGTGTTGTCTCTCCTTGTTCTTTTCCCCCATGATGACTAATTCAGCCAGGACACCACAGCTAAGGATTTTTGCACTCTAAAGAACTACCTGAGACTGGGCAATCTATAACGAAAAGAGGTTTAATTGATTCACAGTTCCACATGGCTGGAGAGACCTCAGGAAGCTTACAATCATGGCAGAAGGTGAAGGGGAAGCAAGGCACATCTTACATGGTGCCAGGAGAGAGAGAGAGAGAGAGAGAGAAGGGGGAAGTGCCAGACATTTATCAAACAACCAGGTTGCCTGAGAACTCCCTCACTATCAGGAGAACAGCATGGGGGAAACTGTTCCCATGATCCTGTCACCTACCAGGTCCCTCCCCTCACACATGAGGATTACAATTCCAGATTAGATTTGGGTGGGGACACAGAGCCAAATACAATTCCAGATGAGATTCGGGTGGGGACACAAGCCAAACCACATCACCATGTACCAGGCTGGGGCTGCTTTCATGACACTTTGTCTTCACACTGTTTTTTGAGGGAGGGTCATTTTGTTCATTTCTTGTGAGTGTTGTAATAAATTATGAAAAAATTTATGTCTTAAACAATGGAAATTCATTCTCTCATAATCAAGGCATGGGCAGATCCTCACTTCCCTCTAGGGACTCCAAGGAGGACCCTTCCTGCCTCTTCCAGCTTCTGGGGGCTTCAGACTTTCTTTGGCTTGAGGCTACCTTGCTCCTACCCCTGCCTCTGTCTACCTGTGGCCCCTTCTGTGTCAAGTCAACCTCTGCCTATCACAAGGACAGGATGATGCATTTAAGCCTCACCAGGGTAGTCCAGGAAAACCCCATCATCTCCACATCCTTAACTTATTTCCCTCAGTAAATTCTCCCCAAGTTTTTTGTTTTGTTTTTTTTTTTTGCTGTATAAAGTAGCATTCACAGGTCCAAGGATCAGGGTGTAAATATATTTATGACGGGGCAGGGTGTGTCATTACTCAGCCCTCCTAAGTCATCTCCAGATGGCTATGAATGTCATCCCTGAACTCTACATCCTGAAACTGCCCAAACAAACTCAGTTTCTCCAGAGACTCTTCCTTAACTAATAACCCTACTTCCCACTCTCCTCACCTTTCTCCCTCCACCCATCCCTCTCGTGCCTCCCTACTTTCTGTCTCTTTCCCACCTTCTCTACTATGAACTCAATTGACATGTGATCTGTTACCGAAATCCCTGGTCCTAGTGTAGTAAATGTCTGGTACATGGCCCGGCACCCCAGAGAGGCTCTGTAGGAGATAGCCCCCTACCCCTCTCTCATTTTAGCCCAATCACTTTGGCCAAGAGAAAGTTTAGAGAGAGCTGAGACCCCATGCTCTTCTTCAAACACTGCCTCAAACTCATGAAACTGTCACCATTTCAGGAACTCCCATCTGTACCTGCCTATGGGTTCCTGCCTGTCTCTACACATTATCTGAACGTTAGGATTCTTTGGTGTCTGAAAACGACAACCATCTGTTCATCACTGCTACTATGGGATTAGCTTTCCTGGTAGAAGCAGTCCAGATAATGCCACAGCTTTTGGGGCACACTCTTGCACTATAGAGAGCTTTCCAGAGGTGGCTTTTCTGGGGGTGGATTGTTTTAGCACAACCCCTGTGTTGAAGGGACCATCTTTTCATGCCTTGTATCAGTTACTGTTTCACAACAACACACCCTGAAATGTGGTAGTATCAACAACCATTTTATGGGCTCACAGGTTTTGTGGGTAAGGCATTCAGGTAGGTTACAGTAGGGAGGGCTTGTTTCTGCTCCGCAAAGTCCGGAACTTCAGCTGTGAAGGCTGGAAGGCTGGGGTGACTCAAAAGTTAGGTGGGATGGTCAATTTTGCATATCAACTTGACTGGGCTACAGTACCCAGCTATTCAACTGCACCCTAATCTAGAAGTTGCTGTTAGATATTTTGTAGATGTGGTTAACACCTAAAATCAGTTGACTTTAAGTAAAGGAATTATTCTGCATAATGAGGTAAGCTTTATCCAATCAGTCGAAAGGATGTAAAAGCAAAACAGGATTACTTGAGGAGGAAGAAATTCTGCCTTAAGGCTTCAGTATGAGCTCCTTCCTGACAGTTTCCAGCCTGCTCAACTGTCTTATGGATTTCAGACTTACCCGCCCCCACAATGGCAAAAGCCAATCCTTGAGATTGTTAATCAAGGAAAATGACCTCAGCAAGTCTCCAATCATTTTAGGAGGTTTATCTGTCAAAGTTAAGGACATGTGCCCAGGAGACAGGTCTATGCCTTTCTCAGAAGATTATTTTGAAGGCTCCAATATTTAAAAGGGAAAGGATGGGATACTGAGAAATGCACAATTTTCATGTGGGGTTGGGGGGAATAGTCACTCCTGCCTTTGTCTGGCTCAGTGAATCTGCATTTTTACATAAGATAAGATAGACAATCGGGCAGAGGAAACAGTCAGATGTGCATTTATTTCAGGTGAGCAGAGAGATGACTTTGAGTTCTGTCCTTGGTCCCGCACCTGTGGAGTAAGCTATCAATTTACATTGCCATGGTGCACCTAAACAGAAACGCTGTAGAGTAAAGATCTTGAGACTCACAAGGGATTTCCTGGTGGGCACAGTGTGAGCTTTTCATCTTTGTAGGCATCTCATTTAGGAACCAAAATGGGAGGCAGGTGTGCATGACCAAGTTCCCAGCTTGACTTTCCCTTTGGCTTAGTGAGTCTGGGGTCCCGAGATTCATTTTTCTTACACGACATAAATCTCTTATTATATCTCTGTCTACATCTGCATCTCTTTCTCCTGCTGGTTCTGTTTTTCTGGTGAATTCCAATGGGTGCAGTGGGGAATGGAGTCACCTGAGGCTACTTTGGTCATGTGTCTTGGCTAGGAATGTAGACCTGGGCAATGTGACCTCTGCTGTTGTGGACTTGCTCATGTCATGGGCCTTAGGATAACAAAGCCCCTTGCATGACGGCACAGGATCTCATATTGAGCGTGCCAGTAAATATCCATTTTGGGGTCTCACGGGTTCTGTAGGTAAGGAGTTCAGACAGGATGTAGCAGGGAGGGAAAAGCTGGATCACTTCATGTAGAGTAACCTCACAAATCAGAAGAATGCCTTTTGCTGCATGTAAATGAAAACAAATGCACGCCCTCCTAGATTTAAGAAGAGGGGACATAGACTCTATATCACAACAAGAGACATGTGGAAAAAATTCATGGTCATCTTTCTTAAAAAGAACATTACAGTCTGCTTTCTGGCCACACATTACTTACATTTAATTTGTAAGGCTGAGGCTTCTGTGCATGGTTCCTTGGTACAGCTTCTCTCAATCTGACCTGGGAACACAAGTGAAAATTATCTTTGCCCCTCTCCCAATCTCCAATGATGGGACAATACAGGTTGGCCACTAAAGATACCAGTATTCATGGGATGGGGGAAGAAGGCATGTGTGAGCCATTGGACCACAGCAATTCTGAAATCTAAAGATACCACTATTCATGGGGTGGGGGAAGAAGGCACGTGTGAGCCATTAGACCACAGCAATTCTGAAATCTAAAGATACCACTATTCATGGGATGGGGGAAGAAAGCACATGTGAGTCATTGGACCACAGCAATTCTGAAATCTGACCAAGTGCATTTTCTCTGATCCCTGATTAAGACATCATCTCATTTGCTGGGGTTGTTCTCTGTGGCTCTTGGCTCAGCCATCTGGGTTCTGGCTTACACCCTAAGCCCCCTCTCCCCCCTCACTTTATTATTATTATTTTTTAAAATAAGAAAGGACCTGAATTTATAACTGAATACCCTTCTCAACCTACCTCATGATGTCAGATGTTATCACTCCAAAATACTCTTTTCATTTCATGTTGCTTCTATACTGCTTCAGTCCAAGGTGATATAAATTCTTCAAAAGCATTATGGGTTTCCTTTGTATCCATTTATAACTCGTTCTATTAGTAAAAGCCACACCCAAAAATCTCTCCAAGGTAAGCCCTTCTCTAACTCAAACTCCTTTGAGGATAAGGTTGGAAACACCCCTAAGGTCCTAAAAGTTCTACTGTTGGCAGGCAAGGTCTTCGAGGCACAGTCTTGAGACTCTTAGGAGATTTTTTTTAGTTTGAAAGAATCTGTGAAGCACTGCCTTCAATATTTCTCTGGAGAGCCTGAATATGTAAAATAGTTTAATCCCAGAGCTAACAAGTCTTGCTTCTTTATATTTTCTCTAAATTCTCCTTGAAAACTGAATAAACCCTCTGGTAATTCACCCCTCTTCATCCTTACCTTTTGATGTGCAGCTAACAGAAAACAGTTGACACTTTCAACATTCTGCCCAAAAAATCTCTTTAGTCTAGTCCATCATTTCATTGCCTGTGTTTTCTACATTATTGCAGGCAACAGTTTTGCTAAATTTCTACCACATATAGCAGGAATCTTCTTTCCTCTGGTAACGTTTTTTATTCTCTTCATTGCGTTTTCCCTGGCAGCTCCTGTGAAATCTGCCTAGCTTCTGCTGATGGTCTCCTCAAGGCTCTCCAATTTTCTCCAACCCTAAAATGAGTGCCATGTATTTTAGGTTTTTATTGTGGTGGCATCCCACTTCCAGCGGCCAAATTCTGTTCCAGTTCCTATTAATGAAAAACAAATCACACAAAAGTTAGCGGCATAAACGACTATTTCATTCGGCTCATGTATTCAGATTTCAAGAATTTAAACAGGCACAGAGAAGACGGTGTGTCTCTGACTCACAATATCTGGGATCCTAAGTGGAAATACATGAGGCCTGGGGCTGTTCTCAAGGTTTGGGAACACACTCATTTCAAGAATAGCTTAGCAAAACAAAGCCACCTGGTGCTAAAAAGCTGAGCTCAGCTTGGACTGTCAGCCACGAGGATTCCACATGGCCAGGCTTCTCCAACCTGGAAGGCTCCTGAGATCCTGGGCTCCAGCATGACCATCCAGAAGAACAGGGTGGACACTGCATGCCTCTCTGGATGAGTTTCCGGCATCCTATAATATACTTCCCTCATACCAGGTGGACTGGAGCAGTCACAAGCCATCAGAGATTCAAGAGGAGGGGACTTACAGCCTGCAATTCAGGAAAGGATCATCAATTTTGTGGCCTTAATAAAAATTGCCTCATGTATTATGTAAACCTGTTCTAAAGAGTGAAACTGTCAGATAACTGAGAATCAATGTTTTTCTACTAATCCATCAATAGAATCCATCCATCCATCCATCCATCCTTGATTCATGCATTTACACACATGTTCACCAGGCATCAGAGCCCTCCATGCAGCTCACAGGACATGTTGCACAGGCCTGTCTCTGTGGCATCCCTTCTCCTGCTGCCCCCAGCCGTCCCTGTCCATCCTTACTTGCCCTGCCTTGTCCCAGCAGACCACTCCCACTCCTGGGTGACAATGAAGTCCTCCCAAGAATCCCCTGCCTCCTCTCTCAACCACTGTCTGCCCAGCAACTGGAAAATTATCTCTAAAAGGCAAGTTAGATGGTGCTTTTTATCACTCACAACTTTCAGGGGCTCTATTGCATCTAAGATAAAGCCACGTGCCCTAGAGCAGTGGTCCCCAACCTTTTTGGCACAAGGCACTCGTTTCACAGAAGACAATTTTTCCATAGATGGGGCAAGGGGATAGTTTCACAATGATTCAAGCCCATTACATGTATTGTTTCCTTTATTTCTATTATGATCATTGCATTATAATATATAATGAAATAATTACACAACTCACCATAATGTAGAATCCGTGGGAGCCCCGAGCTTGTTTTCCTGCAACTAGATAGTCCCATCTGGGGGTGATGGGAGACAGTGACAGATCTTCAGGCATTAGATTCTCACGAGGAGCACAGTGCAGATTCCTCACACGTGCAGTTCACAGTAGGGTTTGTGTTCCTATGAGACTCTCACGCCACTGCTGATCTGACAGGAGGTGGAGCTCAGGTGATAATGCCAGCAAGGCAGAGTGGCTGTAAATACAGATGAAGTTTCGCTTGCTCTCCTGCCACTCACCTCTTGCTGTTAGATGTTCCTAACAGGCCATGTACCAGCCCATAGCCCCGGCAGTGTTATCTGCAGCTTAGCAATTTGGTGCCTCCAGCCACCTCCTTCCTGTGCTGCTCTTCTGATAGGCCCAAGCCTTGAACATGGCACCCTTCCAAGGTTCTCGAATGCGCCATTGCTGGCTCCCCTCCCTTCCTCCCTGCCTCTTTCCCTCTCTCCTTGTCTTTCCCTGGGCCCTGGTAACCCGTGTTCCTGTTATGTGGTTCCCTCTTTTCATTTCCCTTTATAAGAGTAATTCCTATATTGCCTTCCAGTGTCAGGGGTCATGCTAGGCCCCTGAGAAGCTTTTCCTGGCTCCTAGGGTTGGCTTGGCTGTGCTCCTGTGGGCTTCCGCCCAGACGCTTCGCTGCGCTGGGTTCAGTGTCATGCCCGTGGCTGGGCTGTATGCTCAGTGAGATCAGGGCTGCTTCTCTTGCTCAGAATTGTGATTTTGGCCCCTTGCCCTGCACCTTGCACCTGGAAGGGGAGCAGGAAGCATGCAGGGAATGAAAGCCTTGAGCTGCACACAGCTTCATAAAAGACCCAGTGTGGTTTCAGGAACTGTTTTTCTGTGCTATTGAGGTCACTTGAATCCTGGGTGGGACTCCTGAGCTGAGGGAGGGGGGTCCCCCCTAGTGGGACAAGGTCCTAGCAATGTGACGGCCAGGCGGGGCAGTGGCAAAGAGAACCAATGGATTTCCCACGTCCCACTAAGGGTGGGTGTGAATGCAGGTTTGATCTTCATGGTGCTCTGCACGGTGCAGTGGCTCTTTTTAAATTTACTATCTAATGGCCGGGCATGGTGGCTCACGCCTGTAATTCCAGCATTTTCAGAGGCCATGGTGGGCAGATCACTTCGGGTCAGGAGTTTGAGACCAGCCTGGCCAACATGTCGAAACCTTGTCTCTAGTAAAAAATACAAAAATTAGACAAGCGTGGTTGCGAGTGCCTGTAATCTTAGTTACTTGGGAGACTGAAGCATGAGAATCACTTGAACCCACGAGGTAGAGGTCACAGTGAGCTGAGATTGCACCACTGCACTCCAGTCTGGGTGACAGAATGAGACTCGGTCTCAAAACACAAACAACAATAATAAGTAAATAAATGTATTGTGTAAGATTTCAGGCTCAGAGGGAAGAAGAGCTGACCAGTGGAGCTGGAGGGAGATGTAGGAGGCCAGAGAGAGAGCGGGTGGCTGAGCTGTGGCCACCAGGCATCCTGAGCACGCCCCTGCCATGTTGAGGGTACTGAGCACAAGCTCCTCCCTCATAGCTTGCCATGGGGATGCTCAGAGCCCACCAGGGATTTGTGGCCAAGCGATGCAGGAGCAGGAAGTGCTGCCGGCAGGGCATGAGCCTGTCTGGGTGAAAGTTCGAAGATGGCTGCTGGGCCACAGGGGACCCTGGGAGACCTCCACAGGCTGCAGCGTGTGCGCTTCTTGTATGTGCACAAGAGCAGAGCCCTATGGTCCAGCTGAATGCATGTATGTGCATATGCTTTCTTTGTCCAAATCACAGATAATTTTGACTGGAAGATAGGTGAAGAGATGGGCCAGAGGTTTTGGAATCCTTGGTCTGCACCAGTTTGGAGCTACCACAGAAGAGAGGAAGGGCCTGCATGAGTGTCATGGTATCGTTGCATTTTCTGGGGGGATGCATGTGACTGGCCGTGCTTTTCAGGATTGAAGAACCGCATCCCTCACCATGAATTCAGTTTCTGATTCAGCCGTGACCCACCCCCTGAGTTAGCTATTCCTATTCCCAGTTTACATGTGGGGAAACTGAGGCCAGGGAGGATACATTATGCATGTGAAGCCCCACAGCCAGCAAGGTCACAGTCAGAATGAGAACCCAGTCCTGAAGCCCCCATGGCTCCCAGGAGGTGCCATGGAAGCCTGGCAGGGGATGCCAGGAGTGGCCCAAAGGTCATCGTGGAAACGTATGTCTGCACACCGCCTATCCTCAGTGGGTCCCCTTCGACCCCTCCCATGTCGTGGTCGTGGTGATGGGGAGACAGCAGAGCAGCCGTGCTCCTCCCCAGAAACTGTACAAGGCGGAACCCGGGGCCACAGAAGCCCCCGGTCACTTCATAGGTCTCACTCTCACTCCTGGAATCTGGGTTCTTTCTTCAGAAGCAGATTCTCAGAGACAGAGACGTGGGCAGCATCTTCGTGTGGACAAAAGCCTGCTCCAGACTTCCCTAGCTGCTCCTCCTGCAGGCGCCTGTTTTTCCTGCTGGTGACTGCGCCCACGTTTCCCAGGGAGCCTCCCTGCTCCAGCGGCAGCCTCTGCACCAGTTTGAACCTGTGCTTTCCTGGAGTCACACCTCCTTGACCAGCTGGGGGCGTCTCGTCAAGATGGGGGCAATCGCTCGTGGAGGGCGCTTGGCTACCCCCCATGCAGTCACCTCAGCAGCAGGTGCACGTAATTACTACCACACACGTTCACCACCCTGCACCGCCATTTCCCCTTTAGCAAGACGGGGGTGAGTGTGTGCATATGTGAAAAAACATAAACAGATTGTACAACAAAGTGTTCTCTAGCTGTCAGCAAGAGCTTTGAAAATAAAACACTTCCCTCCCAACTCACAATTGGCTGGCAGTCCGTACATAATGAATAATCGCTCCGGGGACCTGCGGAGAGACGTGTGGGAAAACTTTAATTAAAAGCTTGTCAGTGCAATTTTACCTGGGTGACATCACCCGCGTGAAATGCTGCTGCCGGCTTTGTTGTCTGTGGGATTGCGGGGCACACACTGGCTTTGCTGACAGTGAGCCGTTCAGGAAGGCCTTTAAGAGCTGCTGGTGGTGGAAGGGAATGGGAGGGAGCTGTGGCGCTGCCGTGAAACCCCATTGTCTTTGGGGCCTCATTGTGTGATTAGCAACTGGAGTCAGCTCCCCGGTGCTCAGGGGCCAGGAAGGCCTCAGTCCTGGGTCCCAGTGTGAGGCAAAGCTGGCTGGGTTCACCTCGACTTTGGGTTGAGGTCCCATTCGAGTCTCCTGGGTGCTGCTGAGTGTGGATTCTGGGAATGCATCCACCCTGAAGGTTCTTCCAAGCTCTCCCAGTCAGAGAAGGCAGGACAGATAATCCACTCAACCAGACCAAGGCAGAATAAACCAGAACAAGACTCCATAGCCAGGGTCCCCACTCCCTCCTGGACAGACTCTGTATTAGACAACTTGTTCCTGGCATGAACCCAAGCTTTCAGATTTGCTAGGAAGTGTTTGGATTTGCAGGCAGTGAATAGTCGGGGGTTCTTGTCCTCCCAAACAGACCTGAAATGTTCCTCCCTCCTCCTGGAAAGCCCTTATCTTCAGATGTCCTCTAAGTTGAAGGCACCCACTCCTGCCAAGGTACGTGCATCACCTCTGAGTCATCAGAACTCATGCTGAATGTACCTAAGCCATTTAAGAAGACCTTTGAGGTTAGAAAGAGAAATGCAGTTTTCACCCATGTAAATACATTGAGATTCCTAACAACTCATTCAAAGCTGCAGGAGGGCCAAGTTCTCTTGGGTTATGGATTTGGCAAAAGATCCTTCATTCCTTGTTGGTTTCTTTTGTTTGTGACTAATTTGTTGCAAGCTTACATTCCTAATATTAATGGATTAACTGCAAGTTATAGCAATTAAATACTAATTAATCCAATTTCCAAACAATGTCTTTCTTTATCTATAACTGTTTACTCGACATACAAATATTTTGGTAGCAATTAAACATGACAATACAACCCTACACTTTCCTAACTGTGTTCAGTCAAGTAAACAAACAACCGTATGACTTTTATCCGTCATTTAAAATCATTGAGTAAGAGCAGAGGGGAGTCTGAACGTGGCTGAAATCTTGACCAGCCTGGACTCGAGTGAGCACATGACGCTGAGGACACCTGCCCTGCCTATTCTGTGACTTTACCTGGGACAAACCACCTTCCCGTTGCCCAGTAGCGTCAGTTCAAACGCCTTGAGGCCACCACAGCCTAGGCAACACGGTGGAGAGGCAAGAGCAGGTTCAGCCCGAGGAGACCCACGGACTTCCACGCAGGAGTTCCTGGAGCCAGAGGTCTCAAGGGAAATATTTGGAATTGATTCGGCTCCCATCAAAGGTGGCTTTTATAGCACTGAAGTGATCACCCCAGGAGTTAGCAAATGTAGTTGTGGCAAAGATGGGTTGTGTGTCGCTTATGATTGGGCTTAACTTCAGAAGTTCATTTATATTGAACTATATATTGAGGTGGGATTCCAAGGCCACCTCATAAAAAAAGCTCAGGTATACCTTGTAGATGCGGCTGACGGCCCTAATGCTGACTCCAGGAGAAAGCGCTTTCTGAGGTTCAACTCAACACGAGGCTGTGACACGCCTTTCTCCAGTGGAAGCCCCACCCCCATGAGTGTTGGGGAAGATGGTGGGGGCCGGGCGGGGAAGCTGACAACCCCCGGCACCCATGAGTTGTGGGGTTCTTCCCACCATGGGGGAGAAGTCGCACTGGGGAGCAGCCTCCTCCAGATTCTGCGTTGTCTAAATTAGGAGTGGAGGGCAGGTTCATCCCTTGGGGAGGAGGGTCTAGATTTGGACCCAGGCTCGGGGGGCTGAGCCTTACCTAGGGTGACTATGAGCTGGGTTAATATTGATTTGGTGTTTCCCTGGTAAATCACCCCTTTATCTGATATTTTCGAGAATCAGTACTGTCCCTTCCCCTGGGGTTTCTCCTCCTTTTTCTCTTCCTTCTCTTCTCCTTTCTCTCTTGCCTCACTTTTTTCTGTTTCCCAAACTAAATCAGTTTTTCCAAACTGCTTTAGTCTCTACCTTTTATTTTCTGGAATGAGATCCAGGTATATTTTCAGATTTATATTCTTATCATTCTCCTTTTTTTTTCAGGAGTACCTTTACTTCATTATCAACTCTAGCATGTTGCATCGTCAATGAGATTTTCATTTCTGAGATACCTATGACTTTAGAATGATGAGCTTTCTGCCTTCAACTTTCATAAAACTTAAGGATTTCTTTTTCTCTTCCACCTATGTTCAACTTAGTTGACACCAGTAAAATTCAAATATTCTCAAGAGGTCCTTTTATAAAAGCATTTAGTGGTCTGCTTGTTAAATATCATCATTTTGGTTGGTAAAGAGTTATTTTTTCTAAAATCATAGTTTCCAGAGAACATTTGTTAAAATCACGAACACTTGCATGAGAGTTCTAGCCTTAAACACAGGTGATTACTTCCCACAGATGTACTGGGTCCCGAGTGGACCGCCGTCCGCAGGCCATCGTGGGTTTCTGGGGGACATCAGTGCTGAGACGCCTGGCAGCAGCAGGGAGGGCTGCAGGCACCCTCCACGGGCTTCCAGACTCACGGTGGTGCCGCCCAAACTCGCCCTGTTGGCTGCTGCTGCCCTTGTGGTGAATGAAAACCCTCCGTCTGTTTCACAAGAGACCACGTTAATCTGGGGCTTTACCGCCCAGTACAAGGGGAATCATTCTGCTAAACCTAAGAGCCCTGTGTTGCAGTTACCCGCTGACTTTACCTTGTTAATTCTGATCCCCCACTTTCTTTTTAAAGTCGGATTCTGTTCCTTGGCATTAGCCATCTCTCCCAACTTTGTGTCAACACGGTATTTGATAATCCTGCCTTCTGTGTCTTTTCCCAACTTGTTGATACAAATGTTTCTCTTTTACTTTTCTATTCCTGGCTTAATGTGAGTTGTACATAACTCATTACCTTTTTTTTAATTCATAGATGAGTTATTTAAAAATTCTTCTGTGAGTTATTCACATTACTCTACAAAACAGTTCCAGTAATTACAATAATTGAGCACTTGCCTAGGAAAAGGCAAAACAACAAATGGGCTTGAATTCCTCGCTCGGGGAAGATGATCTGCGGAGTGGCATCTAACATGTCAGGAAGGATGGGCTTGCATCAGTGAGGCCGTGGTGGGACGCTCACCACCGAAGGGCATCTTGGCTAGCCATTCAGAAGAAAGGCACATAGGCAAGAGATACATACATTGTGAAAAATGTATCTTATACAAGCATACATCTTACACAAAAATAAAATTAAGGTGATTAAATGTGCAAGGATGCAAGATAAAACAGCAGAAATTCAGGAAGAAAACTCAGTAGAATTTTGGTGATAATGGTTTGATTGTGAGAAGGGTTCTCCGAATATAAATCTTAATTATCCCGTAAAAGAATGAAAAATTTGGCTCATGAAAGTTTAACGTTCATTGAAACATAAAAACAAAAATAAAGTTAAATGAAATGACAAAATGAAAAAAAAATACATTTCTGACAAAGAAAAGAGCTCTCCAAACCAAGAACGCCATGAACATCTAAACAGAAAATTCGACAAGGTTTAAGAACAGACTGTCTGCAGCAGCAGCCACACACCACGCAGGACCTGTAACCCACCCAAAGTTTTAATCCAGCTGAGAGTGGAAAATATGACCTTCATTTAAATAAAAGGCCTATATCTTAAACTGGAAAATACTGAACTATGGCTGATGTGCAGGGCTGGGGAAGGCTGCTGAGGTGGGCACCCACATCCTAGGCTGCAGATTTTCTGGAGGACGTTGAACAAAATGTATTTATATTGAAAATGCACAAAGTCCTCAAATGCTCACTATCTGCCTTTCTTCTTTGTTGGTATCTGTACTATTTGATTGTTTTTTGATAAACACATAGCACTTTTATGTTAAGAAAGGCAGTTATTTTAAGATTAAATATTCCTCCTTGCAGGTACACATTTTTAGGCCCCCAAAATTTTAAATCAAATTTGCAAAATAAAAGTTATTTTTTAGTTATGCCCCATCTTGATCCTGAAATAATTTAAGGCACCTTGTATGTCGACATAAAATGCTATTTGGCATCATTGAAGGGAGGGGCTGAGAAAGACAGAGAAGGGGGCCGTGGAGAAAGCACAGCCTAGAATGAGGCTGAAGTGCACACACTTCACACAACTCTGCTTTCTGCTTCCCAGTGGCTCATCTGAAATCCCAACACAAAACAAAATGACATGAAAACTTGTTCTATAATTCATATGTCCAGGAGACGATGAGCGAAGGAACTCTGGAAGAAAGCAGCCCTGTTCTCCTTGTCGAGCACCGTCACAGGCTCCTCTTAACACTTCCCATAAATAGGGTTCCGGTGATGGAGGAAGAACATTCTCAGCTTTTCTATGAGCCATGGAGAAAGAGGACTTCTGCTAGTGAAGACATGGACTCTTCAGTGTGAAGCACTGCTCTCCCTCCAGCCACTTCCCACCATTTGGTGTTGGCTCAGGGCACCTCTGCCTGTGTACACGGCCCCTGCAGCTCTCCAAGCCGAGTGAGATGCTGTACCCTCACCACCCATCTCTAGGCTCGGTGTCCACAGCCACACTGGGATGACGAGGAGCTCAGCGTCCCTCCTCTTGGCTCAATGATCTGGGTGACTTCTTTGCTAACAGGACTTGGATGTAAAAGATGTAAGTCCAAGCTTCAGCCTTTTCTGATTAACCTTTTCTTTCTCTTTCTTTCTTTTCCTTTCTTTCTTTCCTTTCCTTCCTCCCTTCTTTCTTTCTTTCCTTTTCTTTCTTCCTTTCTTTCCTTTTCTTCCTTCCTTCCTTTCTCTCTCTTTCTTTCTTTCTTTCTCTCTTTCTTTCTTTCTTTCTTTCTTTCTCTCTTTCTTTCTTTCTCTTTCTTCCTTTCTTCCTTTCTTTCTTTTTCTTCTGTCTTCTTTCTCTTTCTTTTTTCTTTTTTTAAAATCTTAACCACTGAGATGCTGCACACACAGAATGTGGGCAAGTTTAAGGGGTATGACTCTGTAAGAAAATGCAGTGTCTATGGTCCATGCTGTGGCTGTAGCTTGGTGAACTCTTGTTGGCCTTTAGTGCTTGCTACTGCATGGACAATACTATGCACCCTCCACTTCCACCCATGAGCAGCCAAGCTGAAGCACAGAAGATTTCCTCTTCCACCTATGAGAAGCCAAGCTGAAGAATAGAATGTTTCAAAGTAGCTGGGCCCTGGAGTGTGGAAGTTGCTGATGCCATCCCATTTTGCTTGGGTCTGCCTGCTGTGGTTATGGTAGCTGACCACATTGTTTGCAGAGCTAAATGGAACCTCTGAGTCAAGCAGCACAGCCACATCTTGTGTGGAACATCACCTCTTTAGTGGTAGAGTTGATTGGCTTTTCAAAGTCGCTGCTGGGACATCACTAGTTTGGCCTTCACTTGGTCCACCAGAGTTGTTCATCTTCGGCAAGATGCTATCCAGGCTGCATAATTAGCTGTCAGTTCTACAATGCCTGAAGAGCGAAGTCTATACATAAATATCCTTGTTTTCACATAGAATTAAGAGACATGTCTCCCCTTTGCTCGTCCTCTTCATCTGTTTTAAGCAATGCATCAAAATTTGCTCTGGTTTCATTGACTCTCCCCAAACCCAGGCTTTCTCTCTAATGAGGTGCTTCATTACTGAGTCTGGAACCAAGGAATGAGCCCACCCAGGGTAAAGAGCAAATGGCCCAGGAGAGAGGGGAGAGGGGTGCCACTCACAGAGTCTGACTGAGTTGACAAGAGTGAGAACTTGGCCGGAGCATCTCTCCTGCTGCTGACGAAGTCGTGCTCCTGCTGTCCCTTCTGTCTCTCTGCACTGCTGCCTCTCCTGCTTCTCTCTCCCCCGCTTCTACTCAAGCCAAGCTCCTGTGTCAGGGTTAAGTTTGTGTTCTGTAAGAGTAGATTGAAACTTTTAAACTTCTGTGAACTATTAATTAAAATAAATTGTAGGCTGCATGAGAAGTCAATTTTTATTTTGAAAAAAAAAAAAAGAAAATAAAAACAAAACACCATGACTATCACCAACTTTTGGATTATAAAAGATCATTTTAATCTCCAAATCATAGGAATATGTAGTCCTAGAATAAGAAATAATTCTTTCCAAGCATGGTTGGTTGTCAGCTTCAACCCACACATACTACATTCTTTTTATAATTTGTATTTACCTTCAAACTTTAGAAAACTCTGTGGCTCAGTTGTGTTTGGAAGCCACCACTCTAATATTCCAAGGCATGCTTACTTGCGTTACTGACGTATTTCTACCTCAGTTCTAAATGGAATAAAATCCAGTTATTATTTAGTCTCAAGGGAAGGATAATTTTAAAATCTCCTCAAATATGCCTCTGTCCATTGGAAATGGATCAAAATTAAACAGGTAACAGAGTTGCTTCCAGAAGAATCTTTTCATTCACCAACTTTTTACTCAAGTTTTGTTTGCCAACTTCCACATTAAACTAAATTTTATTCCTAAAGGTTCTGCTTTGATCTCCTTCTGCCTGCCACCCTGAGAAAATCATGTAATATGAGATATGTTCTTTGGCATTCATCTAATTCTTCTTTTGGCTTTCGATAATTTTGTGATGTTGAGTCGGCCGAGGAATCCACTGGCTTCGGATTCTATAATTTACTCACACCCCTGGCTTTGTGCAACACACAGCATTTCAAATAAGCAGACTCTAATTTCTTTGTCTGAATTTATTTTGGCTAGGAATCCTGTGTCATTGCTTAGATCATGCCAAGGGCCCTTTCACAGTATATCATTATTTAAGGATTGTAGCTTAAGACAAAACAAAAATAGAGGCACTGAAGCTTGTGCAGCAATACTTCTGCAAGAAAACACAGATCAAATAATCAGCTTGTCAGAACTTTACTCATTTTTTGTTTCAAATTGAGTTATGCAAATCATCAACTAGGAAGCACATAATTGAGTGATTGGCTGGATCAACTCCTCTAGTCAAAAGGATCCATCTTGAGATAACAGATATAAACCGTGCTGCTCCTGTTCTGTAGTGATTTAATGGCAAGAGGAGTGCAGATCCTCTTGGTGTCCATCAAAACATGCACAGCTTTCAGGTTGGTCACATTGCGGTTTACCTAGGCACACTTAATTTTTAGGACGGGGTATTTACCAGTGTTCAGAGTCATCGGTTGAATAAATTAATGACTTTTTCTCCTCGTCAGCTTAGGACAGAGCTTTGTCTGTGACAAAGAATGCCAATCATCAGCTCAACAATGGCACAGCCTCAAAATCACCTTTGGGTTTCTGAGCTTTTCCATCCATATATCTGGCTGGTCATGTAATCCTGCAGATGGTAATGGTGGGTGATGCTGGCTGTCTGACTCAGAGACAGATAGGATGGCAAAGGAAGGATGTGGCCCATGTCCAGGCTCATCTGAGGACCAGAGGGTGTCAACACCACAGTTATGATATTGAGGATCAGTAGAAATTTTGAGTTATACAAGGCAAGTGATAAGATGGTTGTTTTTGCAGTGGTCATATTTTTAAATTAATTTTTTCTCTCTTTAAGATAACCTCTTCAGTTGGGAGGCCCATTTTAACTCCAGGTCTATTTTAAGCCTCGGTAGTGATGATTTGGAATTCTTAAAATCCCCATTGCATTATAGCTTTACATACGTCCTCAACAACAAATATTCTTTTGCTCGGGGTAGATTTAACATGTAGAACCAGCCCTTAACCATTAAAAAGTGAAGAAAATTTAAATTTAAATACCCAATAATTAAATACTATTTGAGGGCATAAAATAAATTGTGTTTATAAATAATGAGACTAATTATTTTTAAGATTTTTAGAATATATTTTGAAAGATGATTCCAAAAGGAATTTTTTATAAGTTCTAAAATTTTTAAAGCAGTGGTTGAATTATTCAAATGTATATATACACTAAAACTAATACAAATTATTCAAATGTATATATACACTAAAACTAATACCTATTGAACACAACAGTATGTCAGGTGCTGTGCCAAGAGTTATGCATGCATAATCTCATATTATTTATACAGAGTCTTTTAATCCCAGTTTATAGTTTCTTTGTGAGGACAACTCTTTTACATACACACTAAATCTCTATATGCATAAAAGGACATTCAACAGAGTAAAAGACAACCAACCATGGAATAGGATAAATCATTTGCAACTTATATATCTGATAAGAGATTAATATCTAGAATGTATGAAGAATTCCTACAAAAAGAAACAAACAACTTGGTTTTAAAAAACAGCCAAAGAACTTAAATAGACGTGTCTCCAAAGAAGATATAAAAATGGCCAACAAGAACATTTGTAGATGCTCAATATCACCAACTATCACCAACATCACCAAGATCACCAAGCATCACCAATATGCCCAACATCACCAACCATCACCAACATCATGAACATCACAAAGATCACCAAGATCATCAAGCATCACCAATATGCTCAACATCACCAACCATCACCAACATCACTAACATCACCAAGCATCACCAACCATCACCAATATCACCAAGATCACCGAGACCACCAAGCATCACTAATATGCTCAACATCACCAACCATCTCCAACATCACCAAGCATCACCAATATGCCCAACATCACCAACCATCACCGATATTACCAAACATCACCAATATGCCCAACATCACCAACAATTACCAAGATCACCAATATGCCCAACATCACCAGCCATCACCAACATCATGAACATCACAAAGGTCATGAAGACCACAAAGCATCACCAATATGCTCAACATCACCAACCATCATGAAAATGCAAATCAAAATCACAATGAGATAACACTTCATGTCTCCATTCTACTGAGATTGGTGGAAGACCTTTAGTGTTGTCCCCAAGACATTTTGACTAGTTGAAAGCATGATCCTTGCCCTGAGATATCCGAATCTATTCAGAAAATTTAACAAAGGATGTGATGACCATGTCTTTGATGAGAAGAAGTTATACCTTCCAACTCTAAAAGCTCTCTAATTTCTAGACTCTCTATTCCTTACTTTATTTTCTGAGCTCAAATCTTTTCTGTAGAATCTTATTAACAATAATTAGCACATGCTGCTAAATGACCAACATTCAATCTCTTCCCATACAGCAGCACATCTAGTAGGTATATTATGTATCACCCAAGTTATCATAGGTGAAGGATTCATCTAATAGTTTGCTATTTCGTGAGATGTGGTAAAATTCATAAGATGCGTTAACAGCCTCACAGGCTTGAATACCAATTTCCTCATCGGCTGATACCTGTCCCCTAAGCCATGCCACATATTTTAGATTGTCTCTTATGCTAGCACCCCACTTCTGGCACTGATTCTGGTATCATTCATGGTAAGCAAAGTTGTTCTGTGATAACAAACAATAATAAATGTCAGTAATTTGAAATCACAGATGGCAACTTTTCTTTCTGGAGGCTCTTGAAATGAACCCACTTCCAAGTTCATTTGGGTTGTCAGTTGCATTTAGGATCTTGTAGTTGCTGGCGTAAGGTCCCCATTTTCTTGCAGTCTACCAGACAAGGGAAAGTCATTGCTTCTAAAGGGCATCCACATTCTCCTTCATGCCCTCCACATGGCCTCTCTGGCAATGGCGAGAGGCAGGATTCTCCTCCCATGCTTTAAATCTCTCCAGCCTTCTCTTCTGATGTTTCTTTTCTCCCTCCAGCCAGAGAAAGTTCTCTGTTTCTAAGGGATCCAGGGATGAGATTGGTGAGACTGGGCCCACCAGGATAATGCAGAAGGATCTCCCTATCTTAAGGCCTGTAAATGTAATTACCTCTGCAAACTCCCTTTGGCCATTTAGCGCCACACACGCCCAGGTTCCTGAGAATGACTGCCTGGACGGACATCCTCGGGGCTCTCATTTTGCCCTACCACATCATCATAGACTGAAAGAAGAAAGAGCAAAGGATACATAAAACAAAAACGACCTCCAGGTCAGACAATGATTGTTCATACCCACTTGGCCTCTGCTGTGATGGACACGTCCTCCAACCTCTCCTTGGACTTGTCCCCTGGGCAGACTCAGCCTCCTGCCTCAAGCACAGGTTGTCCTCCTCAAACGAACTTCATGCTTGAGTGGAAAGAGCTGAGTTCCAGATCTTCTTGCCCAGGCAGGACAGGAATTCCCTTCCTGATTTGGGAAATGGAGTAATATATTTTTGTTGAACCCCTTGGTCAAATCATATCTTACCTGGAAACTCAATCTGTACATACACAGAGGGATTCCTCTGGGTGAGGCCAGGGTGGGCTCTGGGACCCTCCCCCATGGCATGGCCCCTTGCTGGGAGACCTCAGAGGGAAAGGCTTGAAGCCCCTCCTCTCGCTGCATCCTGCAACTCTGGGAACACGTCATTTTAAATCTCCTGATTATGAGGAGTCCTTGAGTGACAGTCTCATGCTCTGTGCATTTTGAAGGATCCTTCAGCTTTCCCCAAGGACATGGCTCGACACTGAATCAAGAGCTCCACCAGGGTCTCCTCTAGATGAGATTTTTGTCCCTTTTTGAATCAGCCACTGGGTTTTTCTTCCAGCTCCAGGAGCGGCAATTACCCTGTGCACAGAGTGCTGCCGTCCTGATAGATATCTCTGCCTACAAGGTTTGATCGGGTTCATTTGTACAGCTCACAGAAGTGTCCTGATTTGCCCTGGCTTTTGGTGACCTACTTGCAGGCAAACACCTGCCACGACCTGCCCACTGCCTCTGAGCTCCAGAGCAGCCTTTGGGTCTGCTTAGCATTGGCTCGCTTATGTCGTGCCATAAAGAAGCTCTTTACAATTGCCTAGAAGCACTCTTTTTTTTTTTTCACTTCTAAAAAAAATACGTATTTATTTTTAAACCATATAAGTTTCAGATGGCAAAAACGGCTGGTCAAAGGGAAAATTAGAGTGATGCATTCCACATCCTATATCATGGTGGTTAGCATCTTTTCTAAAGGTTCATTCTGATACTCTGGAGGGAACATGGCATATTTTTTTCAAGAGGAAAGGCCCCTTTAGAACATTTTGAACCTTTAATCTCAAAAGCAAAGAACCTTGGCCAAATAACAGATACATTTTCATCGGTTAGTAGAGGAGAGATGTCACCTAAGGTGACAGCATTGGCTGAGTAACCTGACCCAGTGTTGACTCTGTAAATACAGGTTGCAGAGTATGAGGCGAAGAGGTGAGTCCTTGGGGTGCTTTTGTCTGCAACGAGCCAGACCTCACCTCTGGCTGGTCCATAACATGACACAGATCATGCTGAGCATTGGTCAAAGCTGGGCTGCGTGGAGGTTCCCTGGAGCACGTCCAACCTGCGCTCAGGCCCTACAGCTTGGTGGTCTTCTCCAGCCAGGACAGGCAATGCTCCTTACACTCTGGGCTAGTGCCCTATGGCCACTCCTACCCTCCCTGCTCTGGCCATCTCCTCTGACTGAGGGGGCAACATTTCAGACAGAAAGAAATGTGGGTCTTCTCCTCGCCCCCTGTTCATACAGGTCACCAGGCACAGGACACTCAGGTGGGTTTCAAGTTAATATCTGATCAGATCGTGCCTGCCTGGGTTTGATGACTGCAGACTTCATTTACATTTGGAAAGAAATTAGAGACAGCATGTCCAAGCAGCCTTATGTGAAGATGAACTATAGAAACATGCCTGTTCTTGGAAACATTTATGAGTTCACCAGCAATCTCCATATTTCTCACACATTAACTGAAATGTGAGCAGCACTGGGGGAACCCGAAGCATAGAATGTGGTTTAGTTTCCATGGTGATTAACATTCTTACTTAACCAATACCCGTTTTCTCTGGCTTGGGTCTTGTCTAATGATGTCAATCTTTGGGCTGGTCAGAAGATATTAAAATAGGTTCATGTCATTGTGCCTTCTGCATTAATTGAGTACAGGGTATCGGTGAGTTTCACTGTATCCACCCATGGTCTTGGGTCCTTGATAATGGGATGAAAACTAGGATTTCACTGTGAAGACTTCACAGTTGGCTTTGAGCATGCAATGAAATCAAGATCGATTTTTATTATGAATGACGTTAAAAAAGTGTATGGTCAATGGCAGTTACTTTCAAACTTTGCAAAATCACCTTTGACGTGGTAATTACTGTCTCTGAAGGCTAGGGTTGTAGATCACCACCGTGGAGGGTGGTGTTCAAGGGCTTAGTGACTGCAACTAAGGGGACCAAGAATTTCTCTCCTTTAGATAAATAGCTTTGAAGAGGTCCATATAGTTAACAGGTCCACCAAGTTATCATGTTGGGAATTTCTGGATACTAGGGCTTCCGTCTAGTTTCCAAGAGTTACGCTTTAATTACAGATGTGGTATTATTATAAATTATGAGGTGGAGGCTATAGAAGGGAGAGAGACATGGAGTAGAAAACCCACCCCTAAATATTTTTGCTCACTTGCAAACCCATTATTATTAAGGATTTCTTTGGCATTACGTAACTTAGTTTCCTACAATTTCAATGTAAAACTGAATGATGAATATATAATAATCACCATATTCTAAAATGTCTTGAAAAAATTAAGGCACCTGTGCACGCAGTTAATCCTAGAAGACCAGCTTGCGAGTGTGGACCTTGGCTGATGTCTTGAAACGTGGATTTCTGATGGGCTTCGTCACGCTAACTGATAAGAGTGGCTTGCTGTGCCCAAACTGCTTGTACAAGCAACGTGTTCATGCTGTAACCTTTTCACAGTCTGGAATTTTGGTACATGCTAGGCAGAGGGTACCTATGTGGGCAGCCTCCAATGAAAATCCTGGGCGTGAAGTGCCTGATGAGCATCCCTGGTTGACAATATTTTACACATGCTGGCACAACTCATTGCTGGAGGGAGGATGCGTGTCCTGGGTGACTCCACTGGGAAGGGACCCTGGGAAGCTCACACCTGTTTCACCCTGGACTTCATTCCACGTGTCTTTCCCTTTTGTTGCTTTTGTTTTGTGTCTTTTCCCTGTAAGAAACTGGAACTGTGAGTTAGACTTTACGCTGAGTCCTGGGTGTCCTCCTGGTGAATCGTTGCCCCTGGCAGCAGTCTTGGGACCCGTGGCATCTTTTGAGTGTGTGGCTTCATGCACAACCTTCCTACCCCTGCTACCACCTTACCAGGTTCCCCATGAACGTTTTCTCAGGAAGCTTCAATCTGTACACATGATGTTCTGGGCACCATGTGGGCAGTAACAAGAACTCAGAAAATGCAGCGTGAGGGGAGCCAGGATTCGAGTCAGATATGCACAGGCTGCAGGGTCACGGGAAGTGGTCAGGGCACGATGCTGGAGCACTGAGTGGACACCCACTCTCACAGAAATGCTGCCAGGTGGCAATGTGGTCCCCTATGTGTTGCAGGGAGGATTTTGCCTCGTCTTGTTTGTGTTATGACATCCCATGAAGGGAATGTGTGGGGAAGCCATTGCTCTGTTTGCAAGCTTTGTTGGTGCTGAGCAGGCTTTATCCTGATGGACTGGAGTTGTACTTCCCAAACTTCAACATGCACAAGAACCTTCTGGGAAGCTCGTGAACATGCGAGTTCAGATTACTCAGCAGATCTGGGGCAGGCCTGGGACTGTGCATTTCTGAGAAGTTTCTGGGGATACCATGCTGCCAGTAGGGAGAGACAAGAGGGCACGAGTGTCCAGGGCTTTGCAGAATGAAGCACCTGTTTCCACCACCATTTCTGTCTTGCAGACTTGGATTGTTCCTGAGTTTTTACTGTGGCCATGGAGTCTGTACAGGATTTTGAGCAGCACCCGGAAGAATGAGGAAAGTTTTCTTATATCATCTACCATGAACAGGGGAAGAAACCCACCTGGAAAGGCATCACAGCTTTGCCCAGTCTGCTCAGTTTGCATACGCCTGACAGCCTGAGAGTTGATTATGACTGTTGATTGGTAGGGCCCCTTAGGACCACCAAATTCTAGTCCCCTGAAGGGTAGAGTCCCAGTGGCTTACGGGCTTTTGATAGATGCTGTTGAATGACCAAGCTACCTTCACATCCCATTCACCTATTTACCGTTTTGATGATAATTTCTTGAAAGTGCGGCTCTGGAGCGGGGATTCACGCTCTCCTGGTGGATTCTGCTCCAACTGCCTGGTGCTGCCTGGGAAGCGCTGTCTTTGTGGCCTCTAGCTTTTGGGGCTGGGTTAGTGTCTTCTCCCCAGCTATGCTTGGCCGTTTACCTCTGGAAGTCTGAGTGTGTCCCTTCTCTATTTGATCCAGACCCTGGGAAATATTCCTGGCAAAAGGGGCAGCCGGCTTGCCAGCCGTGATGGGAAGGACTCCAGGATTTTAGGAACAATTCTTTGCCCATATGATTCACTCTGCTCAGGGACAGATGTCACCTTGGAAGGGAAATGGCTTTTTTCATTTTCAGGCTCACCTGGTGAAATCTGTAAAGTGAAACTGCTGGGGCAGGATAATCTTCAGGGAGATGTGCTGGGGTGTCTTTTCCTGGGGTATTTCTGGTGTTGTGTAATCTATGCTAATGAGTTAATTTTGAAAAACTTAAGAATGACGACAAGAAGATTATTGGTTGTACTCATGAAGCTGTAGAACTCTCCTTGAAAAGAAAAGCAGCACATTTTCTCCAGAGTCACCAAGCTTTCTGCCTTTCTTTACCAATTAAGCAACTTAAAAGCTATAAACCTTGTTGATTCTTCAGGGAAATAGCAACACGCAGAAAACACCGCACCCGGTGGCTTAGCGCATACATTGCTTACTTTGTTCTTGTTCATTCTATTTTTAGTTTTATTATAGGCTTTTTGAATCACATTTACATATTTGTTAATTTAAGTCATCTGAACATTGGGATTACTTAATATGCCTTAAGCCTAATAGTAATTACTGTAAATTCTTGAAAATAATAAAATTGCCTGCTTTTAAAAGTATCTGCAATTGAGAATTTTTATGAAGTAGCTCATATCTTTTTCCATTTAGTCTGCAGTCATGAAGGTTTCCCATTAATAATGGAAACATGGGCACATGCTGATGGGAACCATCAGCATAGGCAGTAAAGATGACCTGTGAGGGAGGGGAAGGTATCCACGTTTGCAAAGAACCCTTACAAATGCAGGTTTCCACACATATTTAAAACACAATCACATGCCCACGTGCTGGATGCCCCCGGGGAATTCCAGTTGCCTCCCCGCCGCACCCTGGTGTGGCCCTGCCTCAGCCCAGGGCGTGCTCACTCAACAGGAAAGGGAGTGTCCACCAAAGGCCCTCCCAGAGGGTGGCCGGCAGCCTCTGCATCTCCACCCTGGGCCTGTGGGACCACGCGGGGCTCTCAGACGGCTTCCCACTGGCTGTGGGCTGAAGACAGGAGGGAGGTGCGCAGAGATGAGGATGAGGTGCCCTAGGAGGGGCCCCTCTCCAGCCTGGAGTGTCCACTGCAAGTGGAGTCCTAGACGGCGGTGGGCAGCCAGTAGTCACTAAAGAGTCTGACACGACATGTCACAAGCCCTGCCCGGAACCCTGTTCCCACAAATGGTGGGGAAGGACCACCCCTGGTGAGAGTGACTGTCCCCTCTGGGCCTCTAAAGGGCTTGCTCGGGCCAGCTAGGGACTCTTGGGTGGGCAAGATGAAGCTAATGAAACCAGCCCTGACGTTCTTAGGTGAATGAGCACAGACGCAGAGGGCCTTGTGATCCCTGCAGCCTGAGATGGCAGCACCCAGGCCCTAGGTGGGGGTTGTATTTCTAAAGCAGAGCTTTTGGCTTTACATCTCACTTGACTGTAGTGTGACCATGTGGATCACAGGAGACAGGAACCCCAGTGTTCCTTTTCTTTTCAATTTTCAGAAAAATACTTATTCAAAAAGGACAAAGGCAATTCCATTTAAAGTATATGAATTTTCATTTCTTATGTATTTTATTACCAGATAAGCCATGCTTTTTTTTATTTTTTATTTTTATTTTATTTTATTTTATTTTTTTGCAAATGCTAAGATATTATTGATAGTGAAAGTATTTAATGAAGTTCTTTAGGTCTCCAGAAATGAATCTGAAAATTCGCTGGTTTGGGAGCCGTGAGAGCAGCTCCGTCATTTGTTCGACCCCCGTTCAGGGAGTATTTCCTGGGAGCCTCTAAGTGCATCTGCGGAGAAGGCTGGAAAGCAGGGCCCTGCTGGTCCAGAAGCTCTGACGTAGGTTGGGGCTTGGGCAGGGGTCGGGGCAGGCCTGGAGCTTTGTGCTGCGGGCGCTGGAGGCCGGGTGAGGTGCAGAGCAGGCCGGGGTCCAGTGGAAGGGGAGGCTGGAGGGGCCCCTCCAAGGCCACCTCGTTCTCACCTCTGCACATCCCCCTCTTGTCTTTGTCCTAGAAGCAGCGGGAAGCTACTGGAGCCCAGCGTGGTCCCGCAGGCCCGGGGTGGAGACTCAGGGGCTGGTCGGTGCCACTCGTGGTCCCCCAGGCCAGAGCAGCCCAGGCCTCTGCTGGAAACTCAAGCGCTCTCTGATTTAAATGAAGACGCCTTGAAGAGCTCCGGCTGTCCTGGATGGATGAAGCAGCATAGGCATGACTTGGAAGGATGTGCGGTGGAAGGGGGGTCGCTTCACTGCCAAGAAACCCTTCCTGAGTCTTCTGGAAATTTCAGGAAAGGCTGCTCATCCCAGGAGGCTGAAAAAGTATGGCTGTGTGTTGGGTGGGCCTAATGCAGGGCAGCGGCCAGGCTGGCACTCAAGTGTGTGTGTGTGTATGTGAGTGTGAGTGCAAGAGTGTGTGTGTCTGTCTGTGAGTGTGTGAGACTGTGTGTGACTGTGTGTCTGTGTGTGAGAGTGTGTCTATGAGTGTATGTCTGTAAGAGTGTATGTATGAGTGTGTGACAGTGTGTGTGAGCATATGTGAGTATGTATGTGTGTCTGTGAAAGTGTGAGTGTGAGTGAGCATGAGTGCGTGTCTGTGAGAGTGTGTATGTGAGAGTGTGTTGTGTCTGTGAGAGCATGTGTGTGAACGTGTTTATGTATGTGAGTGTGTATGCATCTGTGAGTGTGTCTGTGAAAGTGTGTGTGAGGATGAGTGTGTGTCTGTGAGCATGTGTCTGTGAGAGCATGTGTGTATGTGTGTGAGTGTGTATGTATCTGTGAGTGCGTCTGTGAATGTGTATATGAGTGAGCAGGAGTGTGTGTGTGGTCTGTGAGTGTGTGAGCGTGTGAGAGTATGTATTTGATTGTGTATCTGAGACTGTGCAAGTGTGTGTGTGCCTGTGTGCAAGTGTGAGTGTGTGTGTCTGTGTGTAAGTGTGAGTGTGTGTGAGTTTGTGTGTTCATATGTGAGTTTATCTTCCGTGAGAATTTTAGGCGAAACTGAGGAGAACCGCAGTCATCTGACGTTGTCATGATGGCTGAAGTCCAGGTCTCAGATCTGGGTGGAAGCACTGGGTCTGAATAGTGACCATCTCATCACAGTTGTCTCCTGAGACTCCCATTCCCGGGAAGGAGAGTACTTGCCAGGGAAGCCAGCAGCACTCTGGGCGAACGTGTGCCCCTCAAGAGTGGCCGCAGGCTGTAGCAGGATCCAGAGGAGAGGCGGGGCCGAGGCCCAGTCAGGGTCTCTGCAGGGTCCCTGCAGAGGCAGGGCCTCTGGGAGCCTGGGGGACCCGGGACAGGGAGGTGAAGGAGGAGTAACAGCAGGTGCGAGGCACCAATGGCCAATGTGGAAATTATGAGTGGGCGCTCCAGCTTCGTCTGCTGAGACCTCTCGCTCACTTCTCTGCGTCTTCACCCTTCCCCTCCTCCCCGGCGCCCCTGCCCTCTGTTAATGCCATTAACAGTGGGCGTTATGTGTGGCACGGCAAGGCCATGCTCTAAAACACGCGCCTGGGTCCTGATGAGCCTGCGCTCTCCCTGTGTTTTGGGCGCTGCCTTCAGAGCATGTTGGTAGTGAGATGTGGAAGGCCACGCAGCTGTAGTGCACTCACTGTCGCAGCCTAACGGTGCCACACGGACCCGTAAGAGGACGCACAACTGTCAGCTGACTCCGTCACTGGGAAAAACAACACGGTAAACTACCCATTTCCTGACCACAGTGGGCAATCCAATCTTTGGGGTACTAGACTCATTAATGCCTCCAAACAGCTTCAAAGTTAAGATAAAATGCAATCTAATTTCTAATAAGAAAGCTGGAATTTGGTTCATTGTTAATTCGTGGCAGCCTCACATGATCCACGAACCCCTTGGGTCATGCAGGTCTGCGGGCCATGCAGGTGAAGCCTCGAAGGGGGTGCCTGGCAGCGGAGGCGGAGGGTCACAGCCGCTCTCCTGTGCCCACGAACTCCTGCAGGATTACTTTTCTTTGCTCTGGTGGGCACGTTTTTGGGCCTGGCAGAAGACTACCTGTTTTAGAATTTCGCCAAGATTTCAAGTGCTTCTGAAATTGTACATTGACAGATCTATTAAAATGCGAAGGATTGAGACAAAGGAAAGATTCTATTTTTTCTCACTTAGAACTCAGAAATCAAATATATACTGAGAGGAAAGACAAGTCACAAGAATTCTCAAATATTCTGTGAATTAAAACCAAAGGAAATAATTATTTTCCTCACTGAAGGATCTGAATCTTAGATATTTAATGTGTACTTCACATTTGCTATCTGGATACAATCTCTATAGCATGAGCCTTTGTAAATCCTTCCTACTGACCAGTGATGAAGACAGTGTCCATTTCTAGGGTACATTGTCTGCGATTGCTGTCACTCTGATACATGAGAAATACATGGGAGGGAGTTTGAAATGACATTGAATGAACTTGAGCATACCTGGTCTTTGGCCTACTTTCCTGTAAGTTTATGGTCTTTTTCTTCTCCATTCTTGAAAACTCTTTTTCCATTCAGTATATTACCCACTTTGTCGAAATATACATAGAAATGATTTCTTCTCTCGGTTTGCTACTTATCTTTCGAATTTCATTATGGTGATTTATTTTTACCATAAAAATTAAAAAAATTGTAATTGCATTTTTAAATATTTCATTGCTTTTGAATTTTCAATCATAAAAGTTTATCTCCACTCCTATGTTAGGGTGGAATCAATCACATGCTTCTGGCAAATTAAGATCTCTCATAAATTTACAGTTCTTTCTATTTTTATGTTTTTATAGACAGGGTCTCACTCTGCTGCCTAGGCTGCAATGCGGTGGCACGACCATGGCTCAGTGCGTCCTCAACTCCTGGGCTCAAGTGATCCTCCCACCTCGGCCTCCTGAGTAGCTGGGACTACAGTTGCACACCACCAGATCCGACTAATTTGCAGTTCTGTCCGGCGTACAGTGTGAGATGGGAATCAACTTTTGTCTTCATCCAGATGGTAAATTAAATGTTATTTATGAAAAATCCATTGCTTAAGGTAGTGATCTGAGAAGCGAAGTTTACCAATGGCTCAATAGCGATTTGAGAAGCGAACTTTACCGATGACTCAATGCGTGTTTTACTTTGGTCCTGGGCTTTCTACTCTCACCTCATGTCTGGTCTGTATGGCGGGTCTGACACCGTGGGATGCAGAGATACAAATCTGCCTGCCTGTCGCCTCCTCTCATGGAAACGGTGCATAGCTCGCCTTTCATGATTTATAAAGTCAAAGCCTTTTTAACTTAGGTAACTATTATTAAAGGTAAAGTGTTGTCAAAATTACAGGGATCCTTTGGTTAATGCTGGGGAGAAAATCATAAAATCATGAAGTTTTTGGAATAAATTATTTCCTCAGACTTTGAGATAGACATTTTAGCCACTACACATTGGCTCAGCCAATATTGTGGAATTCTCTATTTCTTGCTTATTAGACAAACGTTGAATTTTCTTTTCATGTCTGAATTATTATTTTTTCTTCCCTCCATACAAGGCATTCCCTCTATTAACTCTTATTCATTGCTGACACTGCAAGGTATTTCAGATTGGGAAATAGTTGTAAAAATAAAGACAATGTATTAGAAGGGAACAACTGTTGAAATATTACTTTAAGCAGAAGTCACAGACTATAGTTTATCTTCTTCTATTAATAAAATGAGATGCTTTCCCTCGACAAAAGCAGTACCAAGTTGAAGAGGGTCACGGCTTTCCAGCCGAGAGTGAAACAGTTTGAGCAATGCAGCGTGCAGGCTCGCGGGAGGGGCGCTCCGTCTCCCCAGAGCACAGCTGGGAGGTTCCCGCATGCAGCCCAGGCTTGATCTCCTCCTGGTGAGAGGGGACCGGCTCCAGGGCAGGCAGGGGAGGCCCGTCCATCACTCACAGTGAGATTTTGGCCTACTGTGGTTTCTAGGGAAATAAATCTCTTCTTCCAGTCCCTGAAAGAACATAACCCATGCTTCCAAATGACTTAAAACAATTCAGGTTTCATTGAAAAGAAAATATGTTTAACATTATATGATTTTCGCTTTTTTAGAGACTTTTATGTCAGTGAGAGGGAGAACACAAATGCTGATTTAAGGAAGTGTTGAAGGGCATTTCCCCAAGTTGTTCTTTTCCTCTGAGGTAATATTTGAATTTCTAAAAAATATCAACTTTAGTGTGCATTTTTTGTGACTTCTTTTAATACTATTGGCAACAAACTCATTGCTTTCTGAAGAATAAAGGAAAATATCATACTTTGAGTTAAAAATGATAGTTTTTCATGGTGTATATTTGTGTGATTACATTTTATTTCATTTGTTCCTTAAATCCCTTGTCTTATGCCAAAAATAGATACATTTAATTTTGGAAAAAAAAGAGAATTAACCCCCCACAGACATCAATCTGAAAGCAGAATTTCCTTTTATTAAAGCAAAAAGTTCCCAAGCATGAGGCTGTATGTTGAGCGAACACCTTTGACTGCTCTAATTTCTCACTTCTCAAGATTTCCTGAACTCGATGGGGGACAAAAAGACCAAAACCAAACTTTGGAGGAAATAAAATTAATAATTTTTTTCTCTAAAGAAAACATACTGAGCATATATCTGTATACGGTGCTAGTGACAATCTTATAAACCTCAAAAGACAACAATTTTGCTTTCTTTTCTTTGTGCACAGGGGTTTTAAAACCTTACAATGCTGGCCGGACGCGGTGGCTCATGCCTGTAATCCCAACACTTTGGGAGGTTGAGGCAGGTGGATCACCTGAGGTCAGGAGTTCAAGACCAGCCTGGCCAACATGGTAAAACCCATCTCTACTAAAACTACAAAAATTAGCCAGGCATAGTGGCGAGTGTCTGTAGTCCCAGCTACTCGGGAGGCTGAGGCAGGAGAATCGCTTGAACCCAGGAGATGGAGGTTGCAGTGAGCCAAGCAAGATCAAGCTACTGCACTCCAGCCTGGGCAACAGAGCGAGACTCCATCTCAAAACAAACAAACAAACAGAAAAACTTTACAATGCTGATAAACTTAAAAATTATGAAACACAGCTCTTCTTGTCCTCCTGGGGCGCCCCCCATCACCCCCATCACAGCCCAGCCTTCTTCTGCTCCTCTCTGTTCTGAGGGAACTTCCCATCCTTGTCTTTTTATGGCCGTCTCAGCATTTTCCCAGGTGTGTGGCTGTCCCTAAGTTAACCCCGGTTTAGCACACGGGATGTGATGCTGAGTGATGGGAGTTCCTCAGATAAAAGTGGCGGATCTTCTTTGACTCATCTTTTCCTTCCTCCCTCTCTATCTCAAATTAGAGTGAGATCAAATATAGTGAAAATGTTACTAGAGACTTTGGGTTTTAAATCTCTGTAAACCCAGTGAAACACACTATTTCTGGGGTGTGCACGATGTGGTCAGTTAGTTACAAATGCCTTTTTATCTAGTGAGAGGTGTTTGGGCAATCCATGTGCACACAGAGGAGCGTTTCTGGTGATTTGATCAAATCCAAGTGAGCTAGCTCGTTAGTACCTGTGGCAAGTTTAGAACTTCTGAACTCACAAACATATTAAGAAATTTCCTAGGTTCACAGTGATTTTTGGTAAACATGAATTTAAGTACCAAAAGAGGCAGAATAATAGTTTGCAAAGTTGTGTTTCCTTTGAGCTTCTGACTCAAAAGTTACATCAAAGATGTCCCTGCCTACCCTTAATATTTAAGTAATGGAATAAAGCTTAAGGGCCCCGAGACTCAGGAGGATGCCCACAGGGAGAGGCAGGTAGCGCAGCACCTGGCATTTAGTGGCTCAGCCCTGGAATGCTAGAGCCTTGGGTTTTCCTTACAATTGGGATGGGATTGGCCACACCTATCAACAATTTCTGTTCACTAGCCAATTATAAGAAGTTTATGCATGCCTAGACCATTAAAAAAAAAGAAAAGAAACGTTCGGGGGGCCTGACTTTGTTAGCATGGCCAAATGATCTGTTTTTAATGTAAATATTTTGCTACATTAAAGTTATCAAATCAAAGATTCTGCTGTTCTTTTGTTCTAAATATTTTTGGATGATACTTTGGCAGATGCATGCCAGACAAGCTATGTAAGACAACTTCAAGTGATGTGGCCCTTTTTGGGAATTCGTGGCGTTTGACTTGCCGAGGTTTGCAGGCTGAGATGTGGTTATAGGCAGAGATGAGCAGCCCAGGGGAAGCCTGTGCTTTGCATGATGGCATGGCCAGATGATCAGATCCATTCTTATCTGAGAAGGGGAGAGAGAGGGAGGGAGAGAAAGAGAGGAGGGGAGGAAGGAGGACAGGGAGAGAGGCAGCAGAAAGGTGTAAGGAAGACCTCCTAGGACCTGGGTTATCACTGCCCAGCTGCTGGGCCTCATTACACTGAAGATTGTGCAATTACATTGATTTATTGTTAGAAAAAGATGTTTAGACTTCTGGGCTCCCCTGATTTAGGAAGTGTGTGGGGGTGTTGAAGCGGGTGGCTATGCGTTCTTCCAAGGATTCAAACATGCCCGAATTTAGGGTTCAGGGTCAGGAACTGTGTAGCAATGAGGGTGGGAGAACCTTTATGGAGGGTGAACTGCAGAGAGCTCTGCTGGGCTGCTGAGACCAACCTTTCCATGAAGAGAAGGAGAAAGAAGTCAGAATCTGCAGCAGGACCGAGTTCCGGTGTGAACTGAGAGGTGTGCAATTCTGCCTGAAAAAAGCCCCCTGCCCCAGTGTTGGGGACAGCCATTACTCTCCACAGTGAACAGAAAGACAAACGCCCCGAACAAGACAGAAACATTAGGTAAGGCGCCATGGCTCATGCCTGTAATCCCACACTTTGCGAGGCCAAGGTGGGCAGGTCGCTTGAGCCACAGTTTGAGATCAGCTTGGGCAACATAGTGAGACGCTGTCTCTACAAAAGAAATAGAAAAATTAGCCAGGTGTGGTGGTGCATGCCTGTAGCCTCAACTACTTGGGAGGCTGGGGTGGGAGGATCATCTGAGCCTGGAAGGCGGAGGCTGCAATGAGCCATTATTGCACCACTGCATTCCAGCCTGGGCGACAGAGTGAGACATTGTCTCAAATCAAAAAAAAAAAAAAAAAAAAAAAAAGAAAAAGGAAAAAGACAGAAATATCAGGCTTCAATTGACATAGGACTGCACCTTCTTAAACTAGACATTAGGCCAAATCATTCTGTTATGACATACCATAAACATTTACGTTTTTCTTCCTAGAAAAACTGATTTTCCTCAATGAAGAACGTTTTTATCAATGGTTTCAATTCATTATTCCTTGTAAGTTACTGATAATTTTCATTTTAGAATTTAGTAGCTTGCTTTTTAAAAAAATATACTTGTATTTAGATACAGCAAATGATTCTGGTTACACTAAGAACATAAAGCTTTGTCTTACATTAACTTTATTAAGTTAAAAAAGGTGAATCTATCTGATGAGCTAGCAAATGGCAAACATGGGCAGGGTCTGGGAGGAGTGGGCAGGCACCTGGCGTCCTCCAGGAAAGAACTGGGTCCTGCCCAACAGTATGGACTCCATCTAAGCAGGGGTCCATCAGAGCCTGGTCAGAACCAGGCAGGGTCATGGCTGAACCTCCCCTCCTTGCTACTGTCTGCAGTGAGGTCAACCCGCGAGTCCAGTGGAGGTGGCAGAGGCGAGAAGCAAGCGTCGGCTTGTTCTTCCCTGGGTGCTGACATTGCAAGCAGGTGCACAGATCCTTATCTTCCTAGGGAGAAAAAAGCAGGAAGCCTCAGAGCCATCTAATAGGGGAGCTTGGCCCTGGCACTTTCAGAGAGCTTGTAAAATGGGTTCATTACTTACACACTCTTCAAAACACAAACACGTTTATTAAAAAGGTTGAAGCAGTAAGCGTAAGAAGCCTCAAAACCACATTGGGCCTAATGCACTGAAGACGATTGTTCACAAACCATTTATTCAAGTGAAAATTGTCCCTCCACGTTTAGGACATGATCCTCCTTCCACCCCAAAGATCTGGCCATCTCTTCAGCATCAGTTCACTTTATCATATACACTGTTTACTAGAGAAAGCTTACATTTTGCCAAATCCCTTTGGCCGTGGGTTTTTATTGTGCTTTTGTAAGGAGAGAATCTCGAAGATTGCACAGGGTTCATTTCCAATTGTAAGCTTCTAAGGACTTCAGTGGCCTCGCCTTGCAGATCTGCTGAGAACTGACCTCAACATTTCCTGAGACTGGTCGTGTAATTGTTTTCAGTTCTTACCTTTGAGCTCACTCTGTTAGCGAATCATTCCACATGGAGGTTGATTTCGTAAAAATAGTTGGTGTGTGTACACAGCACTCTGCTCTTGAGAAGATGAGAACACCAAGACAAGAGTCACCTTTTTTTTGGTGGTGTTGTTGTTTGTTTGAGAAGGAGTCTTGCTCTGTTGCCCAGGCTGGAGTGCAGTGGCACGATCTTGGCTCACTGCAAGCTCCGCCTCCAGGGTTCATGCCATTCTCCTGCCTCAGCCTCCTGAGTAGCTGGGACTACAGGTGCCCACTACCAAGCCCGGCTAATTTTTTTTTTGTATTTTTAGTAGAGACGGGGTTTCACCATGCTAGCCAGGATGGTCCCATCTCCTGACCTCGTGATCCACCTGCCTCGGCCTCCCAAAGTGCTGGGATTACAGGCTTGAGCCACCACGCCCGGCTGAGTCAACTACTTTTTTAAAATTAAAACTTTTAATCATGACTTTTCAGGAGGAGGCCTTATGCTTACAATGAGGAGATCCATGTGATAAATGGAGAATGAATTCCAGAGACAAAATGAGAGACAGTGAGGGCTACAGGAATACATATTATCCAAATGTATTTTTTTTTCTTTCTCACTCTAAAGTTCAAGAATTACCCTGGTTTCCCTACATGGGGGAGCCGGGCCTGGTCACAGCAAGTCCTATGCCTTCTTGGAAAGATGGTGGATTGTTCTGGGTCGAGCATTGCACTACACTTAGATCAAGGTTGCAGATATTCCCATCTTATTGAAATAGGCAATTATTTACTCCTTAGTTTACAAATGGTAAAACAGAAAAACAATTTAGCTGAACGGTGAGTGAAATCTGACATGACTTACGTCTACCCATTGTTGCTTCAGGAGCTATTTATGTTGGTGTTATTTATAGATTTCAAATACATATCATCAAAGACCCTGTGGTTTTAATCATTTTTTATGGAAGTCTGAATGTCACACATAATGCTATTTTTATAAGAAAAAAATCCCCAAGCAAATGCAGCTAAATGCAGTTAAAACCAGGTTACAAAAATATAAAGGAGAAAATGAAAATGTTATTACCATCTTTAATTTTTATTTTCTTGGTGCTCCAGCCTCCTGTGTTAGGAACCATATCACAGGGATATAATCACAGTGGTCTTAATGAAGGCAAATGCTAATTTTTCAATGATGGCAAAAATTAGAAAAACTCTACTGGCTCTATATTTTCGTTTTGTGAAACCAATGAAAATGTAAATGGGCTGTGTGCTTTTGTGTGAAGATTCTCACCCAGCTTTATCGCTCCTCTCCCACCCTCAGCCCCGGAATCCAATTACATTACCCACGGTCCGAGTGCACGGCCCCAGGCTGTGTGAGGGGAAGGCTGGAAAACGAGATGAGAAGCTGCAAGTTAAATTCTTTTCTCTGCTTCCAGGACGTGGCCATGGAAAAGCTTTCCTTTCCTTTTACATCTTGCAAAAAGATTTATTAGCCTTAAAACCAGAAAGAAACAGATCTTAAGCCCTTTTAGAAGCTAACTTGGGATGAGGAGAGATGAGATGTCCTAAGAGTAAACTGGGGTTCCTCCAGGTTGTTTCCTAATAGACATGTTGTTTCTGAGAGAGCTGCCGTCCCTAGGTGTGATCTTGGCACTGCACACAGGAGATGAATGCTTTACTTAATTTCGGCCACTTAGATTTGTTTATAGGCCAGGCGAGGCCACTCACGCCTGTAATCCCAGCACTTCGGGAGGCTGAAGTGGGTGGATCACCTGGGGTCAGGAGTTCGAGACCAGCCTGGCCAATATGGAGAAACCCCATCTCTACTAAAAATACAAAAATTAGTTGGGTGTGATGGCGCATACCTGTAATCCCAGCTACTCCAGAGGCTGAGGCAAGAGAATCACTTGAACCTGGGAGGTGGAGGTTGCAGTGAGCTGAGATTGTTCCACTGCCCTCCAGTCTGAGTGACAGAGCGAGATTCCATCTCAAATAAATGAATAAATAATAAATAAATATTAACAAATAAATAAAGATTTCTGTTGATAGTGTGGATGTTCCTTTACCTTGGAATCCTATCAGATGCTAGCACTGGACACTTCAAAGCCATCAGGACATCCAGAGGTGCTGTCTGTGTGTCTGCGTGTGAGGGAGACCACTACATCCGGCGGGGTGGGGGTGGGGTGGGGTGCACCCCTGGGACAACCTGAGAATGTTCCCTTGGAGAGTAGGGAGTGTTTACATGATGGTTATCAGTTGTAACTATGATGGCAGAACCATCAATTAGCCCTCTACTTGCAAAATAACACCTGGGAAAGCGTCTTCCAGAAACTTGTTTAACCTTTCTTCTCCCCTTCTCTTCAGTGACAGGTTAAGATTTACGATTTTTAAAGACTGTTACAGCACCTGGGCTGATGTTATCACATTGATGAGAAATGCCCGGGGGAGGGGGAGTTGAGCAAGAATTGCAGTTCATTAAGAAGGAACTTTACCCTAAGAGCAAATTTAGTGTTTCGACTAATAACATTCTAGACAACAATTAATTCTGACAAGCCAGTCCCAGGCGGCTGCTTGGATCATTGGTAAGAAGCGCGCCTAGCTTTCCACCCTGGGAGCTAAGCTTCCCAGCTGCACCCGCCCCACCCATACTGATGGGAAAGATGAAGATGGAACTGAGTTCCCAACAGTCGTAATATTTTCAGAAAAGAAAGAGGCTGGGGAGCCACGGAAGACACACCCAAGTTCCAAGTCGCTCCGTTAAGTGGTGAATGTGATTTTCATCCTGTAAAATCTGGGTTCAATTTAGTGTTCCTAAAAAACACATAGGGATAAGAGATTAGATTAAACCAGCTGTCTCAGCTCTGCCTGCAACCTCGGCTGTGACCTGCGCATCTCTGATATTCCGTTCCTGGCCCCTCCTGCCACCCGGACGCCTCTTCATTAGCCCAGTTATTAGAGAGGGTCGGGTGTTTCGCGTTGTGTGGCAGTTCGGCGATGAAACTCGGGTTTATTGGAAAGATGTAATCGGCTGTCCCTGTTTGTAAGGAACCGTAACAAGCGTGCTTTGTGTGCACATCTTGTTGAGAGTCATGTATCTTCTTTCATTCTAAGCTGTCAGCTACATAGCTCAGGCTGCAGATAGGCATCTGATTATGTTTAATGGGCTGCCTTTTTTTTTTTTTTGCATCATTAAGGTATGGCTACAACTCTAAGAAGCTGTGCTTAAGTTGAGGATTGCTAAATTTGGAAGTCTGGAGGTGATCCAGGGAAGGTAAGTCAGTTAACACGGCATGCGGAGGGTATGTGAGCTGCACGTCAGTGTGAGCGGGGGCGGTATGACGTGTTCTTCCTACCACCGGCCCGTGGGATGGGGCTAGGAGCAGAATAGCTGATTGCCAGTGGCTCCAAATAGGACCCTGAACCCACTCAGATGAAACAGCATCTTTTTATAGGCTGTTTAAAAGAATTTTCCGTAATTATAACAAGTACAAAATCAATGAAGCAGAGGGAAATTGAATTTTAGCCCAATAAATCAGTTCATTGTTTTCTTGCATCTGTCCTCCATGTGAGGAGTTTCATGACAAGGATCCCGCTTGCCAAGGCCCCTGACGGGGGGTGCCTCAGAGATGGGGATCACTCATGGTTTTGGGGGGGCTCAGCTAAGCTTGGGATGATTGGGGAACTTTGGTTGGTGTCCACAGTGCAGCCCAGACAAGGCCAGGGTGGGGAGACAGGGGCCGTGTGCTGAGGCTTCGGGAAGGCCCAGCTCCACTGGGAGGTCCTGGAGGGGCCCTGGTCTCCCTCTTGCTCAGTTTCACTGACCTCCAAAATGAGATACATAACGTCCCCGCCAGGGCCATGGGGAATGGCACAAGGCGTCCCTGAGAGAAACATCTCGAACGTAAACGAATGCTACCAAAGTCTCAAAAGTGGTCTTTGCTTCCTTTCCACTGGGAATGTGATGGACTGTGGCCAAAGGCTGCCATAAGTTAGCTGAAACAAATAAACTTAGATTCAACTTTTACTTGACCCATGTGCCTTGCAGAGAGCCACATTCCAGAGGCCATGAAGCCACCTTTGGTGAAATACAGAGCGTGGCAATCAGATAATGTTGTTTGCATGGGAGGATGAACTTAAAACCACGATTTTCAATGGCCCTGCTACCTGCTGGGGGTGGGTGAGGAAAACTTTCTCCTCCTCCATCCTCCAGAAGTGCTCCTTCCCTGCCAGCCCTTCAGGAGGAAGACGCTGTGCAATCACTGGACAGGCTCTAAGGAAAAGTCACTGCTCCCTCTCGCTCCCATGGCAAAGCTGGGAAGACACACTCCATTTGGGGTCAGGCCTGGTTTTCACCTCTGCTCCCTCAGCGGCACCCGAGCACACCCATTGTCCCTTCAGACGCACACCACAAGCCTGTCCACTTGAGGGCTGCGCTGGCTGCCATAACTTAGGCTTTGGCCTCACAGACCTGCAGCCGGGCCACACCCGCCAGGTGCTGGATCTCTTGTGGTCCTTGGACACACTTGTTTCTCACGTCCCTTCGTTGGGCACGGGGCTCCTGCTGCCAACCCTTTACCCCTCATGGCGGGTAGACCTGCTTCTTCCAGTGCGTTCATTCCCCACCGGCTCCTGCCTCCGCTCCTTCTATCTACCTGGGGAGGGCCCCTGATGGGGATGGAGTGGATTCTACTGGTGACAAGGAGGATGAAGCACAGAAACGCCATCAGGACGGTCATCTGGGAGCCACCATAGGAGGGACCGCCTGGGAGTCACCACGGGAAGGGGCCGCCCGGGAGTCACCACAGGAAGGGGCTGCCTGGCCGCCAGGACCAAAGCCCCCTGCCTGGGTGAGCCAGCCTGGTGGCCTCGTGAGAGCTTCCCGGCATTTCCAGTCCCTGTTTTAAGGCAAATTAACAACGGCAAGGGCAACAACAATGAACTGAAGTCAGTCCCCATTTTTCTAGTATCACGTCTGCACAGCATCAGCAGCACGGATAAATAACAATGCCACACAGGGACATTTAATCTCCCTCAACTGACTTTGTATTTGAGTGGGGCACAGATGTAAGTGTCCTCATCACCTTTTCATGTCCCGGTTTCCTCGTCTATGAAATAAGCATCCCATATTGTCTGTTCACCTTATCTGCTTGGTGATATGTTCATCTGGAGTAGAACTGGGATTTAAGATTTTTTAAGGATGCCATAGTACAAGGCATTGGCATTCTTTCCTTATTTCCCCCCCACTGTTTTTCCCCTGTGGTCTTCCTAAGGAACTAGCATCAGTCACTTCGCCCTCTGAGAAATGAACTGAAATGCCTGTGAAATGAGTCCTGGGTGTGGAGGGAGAACTGAAGGTTGCAGATCCCTGCTCTTCCACATTTCTCCATGGGGACAGGACATGAAGTTTGCAGTTCATCTCGTATTGACATGAATGGAGGAATGAGCTTCAAAAAGGAAATGAGTCAGAGTCTCTGGGTTTGGGAAAATTCCCGAAGGCTGGCCGGGGGTGATAATGACCTCGGGAAAGCCAGGAAAGCCGTGGGCTGCACTTGGCACAGACTTTGCCGACGCCTTCCGACAGGTCTTGTTTGCATAGAGTCTCATCCAGCTGAGTTCTGCTTCAACGTAAAAACATCCCGGGCCAAAAATCAGACCAAGTCCATTGAGGCTCTACGTCTTTGCGTGGCATCTGTTAACAGCAATCCATTAGCCAACACCTCTGAGGTCTTGGAAGGCAAGTACCGCAATTTCTATTTTTGTAGCTGCTCAAAAAAGGGAGGGTTGCCACTTGTCACACTGTCAGAAATTATAGCATTATCGTTTCCTGGCTGGCTCAGAATTCTTGGCTGGGTCTCCTTTTAAGTCTTTTGCCCTCATTAAGACCACACTTTCAGCTGGATCACAAGGAGAGCCTCCATTGCAGGGTAAACTTCAGACTTCCCTGAAGACCATCATCTCTCCTTCCAAACTGCAGTGTTCAAGGGATCACCTTCTGATTTCTTCCTTAGACTTGCAGCTTTCTCGAACGTGTCCTCCGACATATCATCTGTTTAATTCCTGTTTTTAAACTTTGTTTAAAGGCAAAATTTTCCCACCTTGTCCTGAAAATTGGAGTAAAGTCCTGCTCTCATCTCCTTTCACCTACTTACAGAGGGAGCATTTTTAAGAAAAGAATAATCAGGTTTTGAAGGAAAATTCTTCAACCCAGTGGCTTAAACAATAAAAAAAGAGGAGACACTCCTCTTGAGATTTACAGAATGACAAAAAGTAGTTTTATTCTTTAAAGAATTACCTAGTAGAACTGAAAGTGCCTCCAGGCTTTGGTAAATATAAGCAGTCATCTCTAAAACAACAGAGAAATTAATTCCATAAAGTTTCCAGGTTCTCAGTGGTATAATTCACCATTGAAGCCAGTAATCTTGTCCCTATAAATCTAAGTCCTTCCCAGTTACCCTGGCCTGAAAATACCCTTTCCTCCTCTCTGCATCCCATCAAGACCAGTGTTTAAAGCTGTGGATGCCCTGGCTGGAACAGGGTGAGAGGCAGTGATCACCCACATTCTCATTTCAGACGCTCTCTTGGTTGGTGTGTGGGACACACAGTCTATGCGATATTTTTGCCCATAATTTGTTCATCTCTATAAAAATTAAAAAATATATATATTAGATCTGATCATATCACGTGAACACAATAGCTTCTTAAATAAGTCCTTAAAATAAAACCCTTATAGAATACAAATTACTTATCACATTCCATTAATCTGATACTCCCACTAACTAGCAGAGTAACAGATTTCCAGTGCCTATCTCTTAAATCCTGTAATTAAAACACGCTAGTTAGTGTTTCTGAAGGTCCACTTAGGACAGCGCAGTTGGATGAGTGGAGCCAGGGAACAGGGCGCCTATTCAACTTCTGGAAAGTTACATTTTGCAAAAATGTTTCGCACCAAACAAATCAAAAGGCAAAAACAACAACATGGTTAGATGCCTGAAACCACAGGTTACTATCAAGCAGCAGCAAATCAAAAGTTATGGGAAGTTTAATTTTGATAATAATGGAGTGAGATAGACATCTTTTTCTGATAATGGGGTTTTTTTTCACTGTCCTTTGCTGAGGGCTCTAACACTCTTTGTAGCTTTTCTCACTGGTGACCTCTTTTTCTCTCATGTGTCTATTCTGACAATGGCAATCATTCTACCAGGGACTGTGGTTTGATTGCTTCTGGAGCCATCGAACAGTTCACAGTAAGTATTCCAGTTCCTCTCTTTGGGAACTCCTGTGGGACTTCACTTCCCGTCTCTCGGAAGCCAGGGGTGTACAGGGGACTTGCGCTGGTTGGGAGATTCCAGTGGAGGTGGTGTACGTTGCTTCCACGTGGACATTCTAAGAGCTGGTGTGTGGGGGCCACAGCCTCCCTGCCTGCATCCCAGGGAGCATGTGCAGAGGTGGGGCCTCCGTCAGCCCAGGCTCCTGGGTGACCAGGATGAGCAGAGGTTGTATCCATCCCCCTCACCCCTCACCTACACACCTTGTACAAGTAGTACCAATGCTTTAGAAAGAAAACTCGGTTGTTTAAATCCACTGAGGTTTTAGGCTGGGAGTTGCCATAGCATTGTGCCCCAGACTATTCTGCTGGCTGCAATTACTGGTGGGCGTTTTTGTGGTAGAACTGCTTATCAACCAGCTGCATAAATCTCTGATAAAAGCCCTTTGCATTCTGTTTAAAACATGCTGAAAGCACTTGCTACGAAAGGTTCATAGGTTAGCTTCAGTATCATTTCTTAGCAACTGTCTCACGAGTGACAGTTCAGGAGGGCAGGTTTTCCTGGAAGACGAGGGGGACCCGGGAGTCCGTGGGCAGCTGGCCTGACAGATTCAGCCTGCATCCAGACATGGCATTTTGACTGGTCTCTGTGGGGACAGGATCCAGTAGGGTCCTCGTGCCCACGCATCACTCAGCAGGACTCACCCTTACACACAAAGGGAGATGTTTCGGTTATTCAGAAGACGTCCAGTTGTAGGGTGGTAGTAAATTCAAGGAGAACCCAAAGAGAGTTGATATTTGAGCACTGATTTTCTTGTGAATACATCCTTTCATCCTGGCTGACAGCCACTGGTTTAAGGCAACTTCAGGGAAAATTATTGAGCTCTGTCAGAGTTAGGGACGGGGCTGGTCTTTATTTCTTAGGGGCCATTACTCTCTGTGTCCTAGTGGAAAATCTGCAGCTGAGAATGGATGCTGAGTGCCCCCAGAGGTCTGTTCAGCCAGCTCTTCATTGGGTTAGACACAGAAGGAGCATGGATGGGAGCCCTTCTGGTTACGCCACAAGTGGTCTCTGGATTAGAAAGAGTGGCCCCAGAAGGAGAGCTTTGAATGTGCGATGAAGGAAAATGGAACAGCAAGAGAAGATAAGCCTATTGAGTGGTTCCTTTGATTCCCCTATCTCTTGTTAGATGAGAGGGAAGAGATTGGGAGGCTGGGGAGCGGAAACGTGCTGATTGCTATCAGGAGGAAAAAGCGCAACTCAGTAGGAGGACGCTCATGGAGAATTTCAGACTAGGGATCGAGGGCATCAAACAGATGTCCACAAGCAGATGGCCTAAAGCAAGTTGTGGTCTCTTCTGGACGTGGTTTTAATTTTGGAAAATAATTCAGTATGAGTGACCAAGAAGTATCACAAGGCAGCCTGGGAAAGAAACCAAGATTCAACTAGATTGATTTACCCTCTCCAACTTTCCATTAAAATATTATTATTATTCTTTTGCTTTCCCTAGATTTATCACATTAAAATATTATTGAAGAGACAGAAGATGAAGAAAACATACAGACTCTTGGGTGAATTTCAACCACAAAACCAGTTTAAACTGTTCAATATCTATCTGTCTCCATATATAGGAAATGTAGCACTCCAGGAAAAATGAGAACATAGCTTGTCCCTTCTCTATTGTCTAACTCAGGGCCAAGAGATCCAGGGTGGATACCTGGAAGAAAACAGATTAGACATCCCTTTCTGAGTGGGGTAAAATTCTGTTTTCCACATCCTGGGCTGGTCACTCTTTCCACCCACTCAGCTTATGCAATGCAATGTCAAGGAGAGCATAGGGGGCAGGTGGATGGAGTGAAGGCTGGTTGATAAATGCAAGGGAAAAAGAGCAGAAGATGAGCTGCTACAGGAATTAAAAGAAAATGTTCCCATATCTTTTAATATTCTTAAAGAAATGTAAGAATGCACGGTCCCTGGGAAGCAGAGGCAGCATTCTGAAAGATAGTGCAGAGATTGAGACATGGGAAGACACTGAGGGCATGAAACGTCCTTCAGGCTGGCATTAAAAGACACAGATGAGTCAGAAATGGTAAAAAGTACAATTTTGAGAGAAAAGATATCTCCTGCACTTGAGGAAACCAGAAGCAGAATTTACACCTTAAAAAGTTAAATCAGATTTCAAAGTACAGATGGAGCATGTCTCTAAGAAAGTGGGAACATAGATGATGAGAAAAAACTGATTTAAAAAGAGAGCATGATGTATGTGGAGAGTAGGAAATGAAAGCTCAACCTAAGAGCCATAGCTCTCCGAAGGAAGAAATTACAAGAAGTAGAAGAACAGCAGTAACTGAAAAGACAATGGGGAAAAAATAACTTTTTCAGATGGTAAGAGATTATATGGATTAAAATGGCTTTCAGTGTTCTAGGCAAAATGACTAAAGAAGTCCCCATCTAGACACACTCACACCTACATGGACTCTGGCAATTTTTTAAAGCATATATATAATATGTATTTGTATATGTGTATATACATATACAGCAATATATACACATATACACTGTTGGTGGGAATGCACCTTAGTTCAGCCCCTGTGGAAGGCAGTTTGGAGATTTCTCAAAGAACTAAAAATAGAACTACCGTTCAACCCAGCAATCCCAGTATTGGGTATAAACACAAAGGAAAATAGATTGTCTACCAAAAAGGCGACTGCATTCATATGTTTATTGCAGGCAGCACTATTCACAATAGCAAAGACATGGAATCAACCCAGGTATTCATCAACGGTGAATTAAATTTTCAAAAATGTGGTACATATACACTATGAAATAGTATGCTGCCATAAAAAAGAATAAAATCATATCTTTTTCAGCAAAGTGGATGGAGCTGGAGGCCATTATCCTAAGCAAATTAATGAAGAAACAGAAAACTAAATACCATATATATATATATGTATATGTATACCTGCAAGCATTTAGAAGAATAAAAATAAGAAGTTAAGTTAGCTCAGCTTTCGGTTCTGTGCTTCCAGCTGACGGGAGGTCAAAAAATAACTTGACACGTGAAGACCCAGGTGACTTACACCAAGATTTCAGTCTTTTAGACGTCATCTTTCATGTGTGAAAATGTTCTGAGGAAAAAGCCTGGAAAATAGACCACCTGTGTATGTTTCCTGAAAAGAAAGTACACTCTCTAGCTTTTGGAGACAGAAGTTACATAAAATCAGTGTGAGGCACCCACGCTACTGAGGACACACATGTGGGCCTGGAGCCAGGAGGTCCTCTGACTCCCTGAGAGGTGTGGCTCCTTGGCCTCTAAACACCAGCTCCCATTGCAGCTTGCAAAGAATTCTAGAGCAGCGGTCACTTCTGGTTCGTTGTGGTTTGTTTCTTGCCAGTTTGTTTAAATATTGCTGATTTGTTTTCTTTTCTTGATTTTAACTTCAGGAAGTTAACATAACTTTTCTAAGTTACAAATAAGGAAAGGACATTTAAAAATTTCGTGCCTGGGCTATAGGCTAAGAAATGTGGACCAAATATTTATTGTTATTTGGGGACAGCTGACACGAATGGCAGTTTTATTTCTCTGTGCAATAAAAAATTACCTTAAAAGCTGAATCTGTCTATCTATTATCTATCTATCTATCTATCTATCTATCTATCTATCTATCTATCATCTATCTCTATCATCTATCTATCATCTATCTATCTATCTATCTATCTATCTATCTATCTCTCTATCATCTATCTATCATCATCTATCATCTATGTGTCTGCCTATCCCTATATCCTTCTATGTTTTTAATATGCTGATAATTGTTCATTTTCATGACCGTGCTTATTGGACATGCTGTTAAGTGGATTTTTTAGTGGAAATATGAGAAAGAGTAATTGGTGGCGATATTGTTCTTGAATCCATGCAATAATACATTTATAATGATCTAAGAAAGCCCTGCAGACAAAAATCCTTGCACTCTAAGACCCTGCCGATTGGTCTAGCTTTCCAGCAAATCTGCAAATAACTATCACTCAATCTATCTTTTGACTCCATTACCTGTGGCACATTATCATGGCTATGATATTTTAAAAATAGTTTCCGCTATCATGATCTTGTAACATAGTTGGAGAAGCAAGCATTCAGGAGATGAAAATGTACAGGAGACAAATTGTCATTCACCTCCAATGTTCCCCTTTCAGGGACCTACAGTTTCTATCTCAAAATTGCTACAATCTTTCAGGGATATAATTGAACAATAGTAATTAAAATTTAAAATTCATCCTCCCTATAATCTAGCATTCCCAGTTGGAGAAGTTTGCTTGATATAAATGAGATCACTCATGACTAAAACACCAAAAACAATTGCAACAAAAGCCAAAATTGACAAACGGGATCTAATCAAACTAAACAGCTTCTGCACAGCAAGACAAACTAGCATCAAACAGGCAACCTACAGAATGGGAGAAAATTTTTGCAACCTACCCATTTGACAAAAGTCTAATATCCAGAATCTACAAGGAACTTAAACAAATATACAAGAAAAAAACAATCCCATCAAAAAGTGGGTGAAGGATATGAACAGACACTTCTCAAAAGAAGACATTTATGTGGCCAAAAAACATATGAAAAAACGCTCAACATCACTGATCATTAGAGAAATGCAAATCAAAACCACAATGAGATACCATCTCACACCAGTCAGAATGGCAATTATTAAAAAGTCAAGAAACAATAGATGCTGGTGAGGCTGTGGAGAAATAGAAAAGCTTTTACACTGTTGGTGGAAGTGTAAATTAGTTTAACCGTTGTGGAAGACAGTGTGGAGATTCCTCAAGGATCTAGGACTGGAAATACCATTTGACGCAGCATTCCCATTACTGGGTATACACCCAAAGAAGTGTAAATCATTCTACTATAAAGACACATGCACATGTATGTTTATTGCAGCACTATTTACAATAGCAAAGTCATGGAACCAACCCAAATGCCCATCAGTGATAGACTGGGTAAAAAAATGTGGCACATACATACCATGAAATACTATGCAGCCATCAAAAAGAATGAGATCATGTCCTTTGCAGGGACATGGATGAAGCTGGAAGCCATAATTCTCAGCAAATTAACACAGGAACAGAAAACCAAGCACTGTATGTTCTCACTCATAAGTGGGAGTTGAACCATGAGAATACGTGGTCACAGGGAGGAGAACATCACATACCAGGGCCCGTCAGGGGGTTGGGGGCACACGGAGGGAGAGCATTAGGACAAATACCTAATGCATACGGGGCTTAAAACCTAGGTGATGGATTGATAGGTGCAGCAAACCACCATGGCACATGTGTACCTATGTAACAAACCTGCACATTCTGCAAATGTATCCCAGAACTTAAAGTAAAAATAAAATAAAATAAAATGAAATAAAATAAAATAAATAAGATCACTAGTCTGCAATAATACACATCTTGTTTAAAATTAACATGTCTAATATTAATTTATTAAAATTAACATGTTTGTTGTTTAAAATTAATTCAGATGTTGAATAATAATGGCATATAGATACTACAAGATATAATGCGACTTTATTAAAAAGAGTATCTTAAATCTCTACATATTGGTATGTAGGGTGGCCATAACACGTTTTCTATGGAAAAGGGGGAATTTCAGAATCCTCCATTTATATTTGCGTGTTACTGAAGTAAAACAGTTCCCAGGAGTGTCTGCCCCACACTGAGCGGTGTGGACAGAGCAGGAAGGGGTGCAGGCAGGGGTTACTGACCGGGCAGTGGGAGGCTCAAGGGTGACCGTGGATGTTTTCTTTACATACCATGGAGTAGTTTCAGTTGTTACAATAACCATATCTAGTTGTGAAATTTTAAAAATAAAGTGAAATAAATCTAAAAGCAAATAAAATCTACTTTAATCAAGTGATTCACCATCTGAAAGCCATCGGTGACTCTCAGCCACAGCATTCAGCTGGAAAGTTCGAAGCGTGTCAGGCAACACCACTTGCATCTGGATCCTAACTGCCTCTCCAGCCTCGTCTTCTACAGCCTGGTCCCAATCCCACCCTGCAGCTCATCACAGGGTCCTCCTGCCAGGTACAATCCCCGCTTTTGCTCACATGACCCCACTTAACTGGCATAATTCTCCACCTCCCCTCTCTCAAAAATTGCTTAAATCTTACCCTCTCCTTAAACCTATTCTAACATACTAGCCTGATTTCTGCTTCCTCAGAAAACTTGTAGAATTCTTTACCCAGGCACTTCACTGGGTAATTCATCCCTGAGTGTCTTGTGTCATTTATTTGATACAGACCACTCTCTATAGTATAGTTTCCCCATTCGCAGAACTAGAAACTGGAAGGTAGCAGTGCATCAGAGAAGACGATGGTGAGATGAGACTTTGCATCCCCAGCCAAGATGTGGTTCGTCTTTCGGGACAAATGTAAATGATTCTGCACATGTGAGGAGTTTGAGAGAATGTCATCCTGTTTTCTGTGTAAAGAAAATAATCAGGAAGTAGCTTATCAAATGACAACGGAATCAGAAATCTCAAGACACGAAAAGACAAAAGTCAGGATAGAATTTCAAGCCGTCAAACTTACAGTATTTTATTCCTCGAACTTACAAGCAAATTAAGTATTAAAGAATGCTTTAGCAAAACCCAGGTATGTGGGAGATGCAGGAATTTGGAGAAATGATAAATTTAGGTGGTAAAGGGCCAGGGTGGGCAGATTAACCTGGTAATGGGCACAGCTCTCCTAACTAGGCCATAACTTAAGGTTGTCACAGCAGAGCAGCAGAATAAACAGAAACTTTACTAAGATTACAAATTAAGAAGAGGAAGAAGCAGCAAAAACATGGTGCAACAGACAGGAAACATGAAATATGGTGGGGTAGAGCCCAGCCCATCAGTTATCAAGTTATGGAGCTGAAGGTGAGTGGGCTGAACACTCACATTGAAGTGTTCAGGGGTGGATTGGATTATAAAAGAAAATACAGCTCTGTTGTTTGCAAGAAACTCCTCAAGATCAAGTAACAAGAGAACATTGAAGGCATGGGTCAATGTATCCCACTGAAGAGAAGATTGAAGGGATGGGCCAATATATTCCACTGAAATCAAACAAAATGAAACCAGAAGTAGAAATGTTACCACTGAATACAGTGGACGCAAAGGCCCAGCACACCAGACAGCACTTACAGCAACATTCCATCATGATAAAAGGTGCCATCTACAAAAAAGCTGTGGCATTCTCATTTTTTAAAAATAAAAAGCAGCTGAATATAAACACAACATGTGCGTTTATATCCATAGAAAGCAAAGATGATGCAATTACAGTGGTAGGTTCAAATATGCTTTGTTCATAATTTGACAAATAAGTCAGTGTTTCTCAAACTTATTTTTCATCACTGCTATCCGATGAGCTTTTGTAAACTTTTCCCCTCACTTGCTGCCCACACAGATGTTATAGACATATAATATATCTATCGATGTATTATGTGCACTGAGTATCATGCTTCATATGTGAGAAAGTAAGGGTTTTGCCCCCATAAACCAATTTTTGTCCCTTCAAGTCACTATTACTCCTGTCTCGAATGCATGAAATAAATTAATTAGAAAAAAATGTATAGGAAGTGTGAATAACACAACCCATAAGTCTGTCAGCTGAAGAATGACGAGGTTCCTAAGTTGGAAAGGAGAATTTTATTTTTCATCAAGGGTTGTATCTGGCAGGGTGGCCATTCCACAGGCTGGGAAGCCTTGGCTCTGTCCAGAAGCCTGGAACAGGCACTCGGAGGGAGGGAAGAATCAGACAGGATCTGTGTGGGAACAGGGTGGCCAAATACTCGTATTCCATAAGCTGCAGGAGGAGTTGTGGATACTCATGGAAGGAGAAGCGTGTGCATGTGTAACTGAGCTCTGTGCCTCTCCATGGGACCCATGTTCAAAGCACGGTGGGATTAGCATGAGCCCAGGGTGGAGTTTTGGGGCCTCTGAAGTCAAAAGATGAAGCAGAGGCCATGGAAACCCTCCCTGAGCACCCTCCCCAAACTGGCCAGAACCACTCTGGGGTCGGTGGTCTCCCATCAGGAAGGAACCTGGTTGCTTGTTTTGTTGATATCTCCAAGAGGGGAAGAAGCATCAGGCAGGTGGTTGATATCAGGTGTGGAGGATTTTGGCAGGGCTGGGTTCTGTTTGCCCTTAGGGAAGAAAGCCAAGCCTGGGTGGTTAGCGAGGGAGGGTCAGAACGAGGCGTATCCACCACCCATCCCATCATGGCCAGAGTTCAGTTTTCTTTTTTGTTTGTTTGGTTGGTTTTTGTTTTTGAGACGAAGTCTCACTCTGTTGCCTAGGCTGGAGTGCAGTGGCACCATCTCGGCTCACTGCCACCTCTGCCTCCCAGGTTCAAGTGATTCTCCCTCCTCAGCCTCCCGAGTACCTGGGATTACAGGCACTCTCCACCATGCCCAGCTAATTTTTGTATTTTTGTAGAGATGGGGTTTCACCATGTTGGCCAGGCTGGACTTGAACTCTTGACCTCAGGTGATCTGCATGCCTCAGCCTCCCAAAGTGCTGAGATTACAGGTGTGAGCCACAGCACTCGGCCAGAATTCAGTTTTCAAGGTTTCTTTGGGGTCCCTTTGGCCGGGAGGGGTCTGTTCCGTTGGCTGCTGTGGGGCTTAGCATTTCGTGTTAATTTCTCAGGGCCCCTGAAGCGATAGAGACTAGAACTCTAGGGGCAGCAGACAAAGCCGCAGAGGAGGGGAGTTCCTGAGATGCAAAGACCCCCGCATCTGAGGAGGAAACCGCACATGCGGAAGCCCCGGCTTCGGCTGAGGAGGTTTTGTGCCATGGGTGACGCAGTCCCTGAGCTGTTCCTCAATATAAGGGCACCCTGGACAACAGGTTTGAGAAACAACGTCCAACCCAAGCCACTGGTCACTCCAAGGGGATGCCAGTGCTCAGTGCGCTGCAGCCCCTTGTGAGGCTCGAGCATGGAGACCAGCAAGCAGTGTCCTAAACTCGACCCGCTATGGAGGCCGTTGCTGGGGACTTCTAGGAACACCCCATGGAAGAGCCTAGAGAATCTTGTGTGAGAAATGCTGCCTCCATGCATGGACTTCCTCATTGCTTCCAGCAACTAAACTAGACAGAGCGAGAATAGAAATAGGATTAGACAATGTCTCTGACTTTGAACTTGAGCTTTTTCCCTCCCTTTTTCCCTTTCTCTTTTTTCCTTCTTTCTCATGAACTACGTTTCAAAACTAAGAAAATTGAAAATATAAAAGGAAGGAAACATTTAAAGAAGAGCGATCAACTCCAAGGCAACCCACTCTTGTTGTCCTGCTCCTCTGGGGTCTCTGTTGGAACCCAGTTCTGTGGCATCCCCGCCATGTGCCAGGCCCTCATTTGATCCCCCGGGAGGACAGGGTCACAGGTAGCAGAGACAAGACGTGGTCTGCACTCCCTGCCCTTACAATCCATCCTGGAACTTGACTTTCCACATGTAATGACACATATGGTGTCAGTGCTACAGGAGGGCCACGCCTGGTGTGCAGAACAGAGCAAGTTCATTCCTACCCTTAAAAGCAGTCTCACGGTTTCATCTTTAGAATAAAATCACATAAAGAATGGAAAGAAGGGCATGTGTTCCAAATGCGACGTGGAGGAGTAGAAAGCTGTTCTGTGAAAACCATAGAGCTCGTTCCAAGACCTGCTATCCTGGTTTCTTTTAGAGGAAAATGGTGCCATCTCTCCATAACTCGACGGTGATTTGGAGCTGGGACGAGAGCGGGTGGAGCTCATGCTGGCCTGCCTTATGTCGCCGTGAACACAGTGTCCGCCCTTCACCAGGCGCTGCGAGGAAGTTGGAATGGACGGTGTCCAGGGGCACAGCAAAGTTAAGTCAGGTGTACTGCAGGTCCTCATCTGGCTCCTGTGGTCAGTCCCAAAAAGCCTAGGAGATTCTGGACACAGAGGCATGTAAGCAGAGCCTGTCAACATCTGCACAGCCCTCACAGGAAGTTAGGAGAGCAACTGGGAAGGTCCTGGTGTTTCTATCAGACTTGTATTAGGGACAGTGTCAGCCTCTGCCTGCTGTCCTGGAAGGGGGCTGTGGACCAGAGCCCAAAGACCTTTTACAGGAGCACCAGGGCCAGGTCCCTTTGTTCTTGAGCGTTCTGAATCTTCAGTGGTGTAAACTGCGAGTCAGAACTGGAGATGAGGGTTTGATGCCTTTGTGAAGTTCTCTGTAGACTCGTGGAGGAAAGCACTGTGCAGGGATGAAGAGCTGGACATAAGATACCATTTTCACTAGGGTTTTGTGGTTTTCCAGGGTCTCCTTTATTATCTGAGAAGGAAATGGCACTGGAATGATGCAGCTTCTCATGGGACCTGCCATTTATGTGTCATTTGCAGTTGAGAAACTGAATCTATGCCTGATACGGCTGTTGTTCAAAAATTATATCTGAGGGCATTTTTAACTCACTTAAGAGACTGGTTAAGATTCATCGGCGAATCAGAGCTTTGGGAGGAACTCCCATTCGTATTTTCTTGGTGCCGCTAGATCCTGCCTCGACAGTATTGAATTTTGCATTTGGCTTTAAAGAAATAAAGCAAAACCTATGAAAAAGTCATCGGCATTATGACCCAAATATCCAGTTTTATTTAGCTTTGCAAAGCCTAGTTTCCTAAAAAATGGTGATGTCCACACCACCGTCTTTTGTTCAAGAGAGATGAGTTGAGGTTAGCTTGAAACTTTTTTCCTTAGAAGCTGCTAGGATGTGTTTCCAAGTAGCTGAGGAGGTGACACCTGTGCATAGCACCTCCTGAAATTGGACATCTACCCCTGGATTGATGCTTTGCTTGGACATCCTGAAAATATGATAAATCCACTCTCAATGCAGGGAGCTCGAGGAGAAGAAAAGAGACCCATGCAGACCTCTGAGTGATGAATACAAAGGCCAAACTTGAAGGACAATTGTCAGGACATCACTCCGCTTCTGGGGGGTAAACTGTGAGGCGCCAGAGAGAGAAGAGTGTGCTATTTCTCCCCTAAAGCTGAAAGGAGGTTTTGAGAGCTTCCTGCTGCTCCCTGCACCTCCGATTGCCACCTCCCTGGGCCCGTTTCTGCCATCACTCACTGCCCACCAGGCCGGGCAGAATCCCACCACGTTGCAGGTGGGGCCGGCTGCTGCCAGTGGCAGAGAACGAATGACATATTTATTAGCTTGTCAAAGCCTCCCCTGTTTATGGAAGGCTCACCCAGCTAAACAAAACAGTCTGCTTCCCATTGGCTCAGCCCAGGGCCCCTGTTGAGAGCTTCAGCAAAGTGCTTGATGAGGCATAAAATGATGATTAATTAATTTACTGCTCAGCTGATCATCACACTGCGAGGTTTATGGTTCTCCCAGCGGTCAGCCCGCGCTCTGCGGTGCGTGGCCGCGGCTGCCTTTGCTTTGACCTAAGCTCGGAGACTCCTGGGCAGGGAAGGAGGCGGAGGCGGGAGCCGCGTCTCCAGAGACCCCAGGCAGCGGGCACAGGGCGCAGCGACAGAGACACTCCCAGCTGGTCATCAAGACACACTTGCCCTGGGAACGTCGCCGGCATCCAGGGCGGTGGTGAGGGCCATTTCTTTACTGGTGATGTGCTTGGAGCCGCATCTCAAGGGCCTAGCTCTCTACCTCCACAGGAGAGCTGAGCAGTCTGCAGTCTCCCGTTCCCCCTCGTCCTGGAGGACAGCACCCAGCACCCTCGAGGGCTGTGTTTGCTTCACAAGTTGAGTACAAGGGAGGTGCCGGGCTCACCCTACTCTGGGCAGAGGTCAACATCAAACACGCTGCGGAAAACATTGCAATCATGCAGTTCAATGAAAGGAAGGCTTTGAGGAATGGGGTCTTCTTTCTTCTTTCTTAATTTTAGCTCTACTTAATGCCTAAGTGATTCTATTTGTTGGATTTTAAGAGTTCGGGAAGTCTAATTTTACTGAAGTGAAAGTAATATTTCAAATGAGAGGTCTTGGTTTATATATACACTTTCACATCACTGTAAAGAATAGATTTACAAGATGGAATCCGTTTATGTAGTCAATGGTAGACCGAAATGTTCACATCCCTGAGGGACACCAGTGAAGAAACGCACTGATGGGTGAATCACCTCTGTCCTGAGGAGTTCACCCTCGGGGCACCTAAACACTACCACGCAGGTTGCATGGCTCGGAAGCCACTGCAGCACCAAGTCACATGAGTGTTGGCTCTCGTTCAAGGGACGCCTTTCCACTCTGGCCCCTCCATGGCAGGCAGGGACTGGGGTCCTGAGGAAGCTCCACCCATCCTGCAGGCCCAGCACGTGATTCTGCATTCTCCGTAGGATGTCAGGAGCCCAGGCTCCTGTGTACTGTTGATGTAACCTTCCTCCTCTGGCCCAGGCCACCTTCCAGAACTGCTCCCGGTGGACCCTGTAGGCTGCTCTCCCGGTATCAGCAGAACATGGGTGAACTCCAGGTTGGAGAAGCCCTAGAGACCTTGCAAGACAACTGCTCCCTGCCCCCGCCTTGCCCCTCCAGGCTTTAGGGTGAAGAAGAGGCTCAGACACTGACCTCACCGACCTGAGATCGCACCTTTGGCCACGCCGCTCTCTCCGAGAGAATCACAGCCAGTTCAGCTGGTGACTGAGCAGAGCCTGTCCGATGGACGCCACGGTGAAGCCATCAAGGGGAGGCACGGGGTGGTGGGGGCCAAGTTCTGTTCATAGCAAGTGACCTCTCCAGGTGGTCTGCTGGGAGGAACAGGTGCTGGCCCAGGTGGGTGGTCCAGGGGGTAGGGGTGGTGGGCGCTGGGCCACCAGGCCCCATTGCTTCTGGGACCAGACCCCACTCCTGGCTTCCAACCGGAGCAGGCCAACATCACCCAAACAGATGCTGCTGTCTAATCGGGGACACAGCATTTCACAAAGCATTGTTGCCATGCATCACAAACACCACTTCAACCCGTGGGACGCTCCTGCCACCATTCCGTCACCCACCCAAGACAGCTCAAGGGGCAGAGGGGTGCCACCTGCCATGAGTCAGGACCAGAGGGCCTTTGCCTGTAATCCAGGTCACTGTCACCCTTGGCTATTCAGGGGTGTGAAGTGAATTAAGGAAGCTATAATGTGAGAAAGTATTTTAGAAATGTAAATTTCACAAGGGGATTTCTCATACCGGGTTTTCCTCAGAAAAGGGGCTCATGGTCCATTATGGTTGCAGTCACCTGAGATTCTCAGTATAGTCAAACGTGAGCAGCACTAAGAAGCCCACCAGCTAAGAAGCCCACCAGCTAAAAAGCCAGTCCGATTTTTCTCATGGCAACCCTTCCCGGACTTGGAGCACACAGAAATCAGCATTCACCTTGCAAGGCCCGATTCTCTGGGCAGCACAAAGCCCGTGTGCCTTGGCCCACACTGGGAAAAGGTTGGCCTCCTAATTGAAGGCATTAGAAACAACCACATCTTCATTGAATGCCAATGTGCAAAGTGACTCTAGGGACTGAACAAGGCGTGGCGCATTGTCTCCTTGCAGGAGGAGCTATACTGGCCTAAGGGACTAGGCTGACAGGGATCAGGGCTGGAGGGGGAGCCTCTGAGTGGGCCTTCAGGGAGCCCTCAGCAAGTGGCGATGGGTGCTGGATGTTCCTGTAGAAGGAGCCACGTGGGAGCCACGGGTTCTGTGCCTTGGCTGCTGTCCAGAGTTGTGCATGGCCAGGTCCTGGGAAGAACCCCAGTGGCCTGGGGACCCGGGCTGGCATTGGATGTCAGGGGTGAGGGTGCATGGGGAGGCCATGGGAGAGGAGCACTCTGCAGTGAACCTGAACCTGGGGCAGGTGGTGCATGCTCACTGGGCTGGACTGGCACTGAGAACAGGAAACAGATGCCACCTTGAGCTGCCTGGGAGTGGAGTGGCAGCCTGAGGACAGGTCTGGAGACATCTAGGCTTTCCACAGTCAAGGGTGGAAGCCCTAGGTGCGAGGGCAGGGGCAGTGCTGCAGAACAGCAGAGGTCCCAGCTGCCTCTCAAACCCACTCAGTCCCTACACCCAGGGCACAGCCCCCACGGGAACCTATGACTCCCTGGAGCCCCACAGTGAGGACGTGCGGGCAGCTCGGCCACACTCACCTGGGCATCTGGCTGGGACCCCAAACGTGCAGATGGTTGTGAAGATGGCAGAAAAATGTGCTGTCCAAACATGTAGGGCAGTGATGGCCCTTGTGGCGAAGACTCCCTCTGGATAGAACAGGGCAGTCCTTACCTTTTCGGGTGATTTGAGGAGACGATGCAGGAGAATGATCCAATGCTTGAGGACAAGGAGGAATGCCAGGCAAGCCTTCCACCTTTGTTTGCTTCCTCCTGCCGCCTGGGGAAGAAGTCTAAGCACTCGGCCCAAGGGGAACGAAGGGACGTGTTGGGTCTTTGGTGGGTAGGTTTGTCCCCAGGTGACTGTAGGGGCTCGGCCGGGGGCAGTGGTCATCGGGGAGTGGGTTCCAGCCAGCATTGGGGTCGGATGGAGAAACACAGCCCTCCTTACTGCTATCGCTTCCTCTCTCAGGGCTGAAAATAGAAGTGCCTGGAGTTGGTTATTTACCCCTAATTTACTGCTTCTCTTTTGTTCTTTTCAAACCCCTGCTTGCATTTTCTCCAGTTTGAAAGGGTCACTTTGGTGTCACCAGGATTATAAACCATCGTCTCCATGAGCTCATGCAAGGGGGAGGCTCTCTACAAGGGGCGTTTTGAATTTTCTAGCATACACACACACACACACACACACACACACACACATATATACATTTCTTTTAAAAATTAAAAACTGTATTTTGCCAGGCCTATGCATGGGGCAACTTAAAACCAGAGTTTAATTTTTAGAGAGTGGCTAAATGTGGCTGAATGCTTTCTAAGGCCAATTATGACATCATCCCAGGAAAGGCCGTCTGTGCTAATGGGGCCGCATTCGCTCCCATTATGGTAAATAAGCCCATGTTTCACACAACGGTGCAATAACCCCATCTGGCTTGCACCATTTTCTCAGAATTTTTTTTTCCTACTGACTGTTAGCCATGTGTCCAGGATATTCAAGCTAATGAGTGCCATGTTTCCTTCTGAACACAAACAGTTGAACTCTACAATCGGGACTTGATCAAAACTTTCAAGTCAGAGAGGTTATTTTTTAAAAATGGATCTCAGTCTCCTTTTCCTGAAATTTCCAAATTGCTTGTAATTTGGCATCATAGGAAAAAATGAAGTTAAGCACAAAGGCACAATTGCCGAGGAACGTGATTCTCCGGAGCCGGTCACTGAGCCGTGCTGCGGGACAGAGACGGGGTGGGCCAGGCACCTTCTGCTGTGGGCCCAAGCCCCTGGGCTCATTCCCTTCCCCAGTTGAGCTGTGTAGGTGGACTCACCCCATCTCCTGTCCCAGCAAGCTGGGAAACAGCAGAGCTGCATTTTTCTTTAGAATCCTGAGAGACTGCCAAGGAAAAGGATAAAGGAAGCAAATTGAAATTTAGCATATTTCAAAGGTGTCAAGGATGAAATGTGAAAGCAGAACCCTCCTAAAAGTGACGGTTAAGACTCAAGCATATTAGGTGAGTATCGTAATCAAGCTTTTTAAAGTTTGAGCTTTATAAATTTCTTCCTAAGGGAGGAGCATTTTGGGTGCCCACTGGGAAGGTGGTTTCGTGAATTCCAGGTGATCCCAGAGCTCTCCAAGGGTGGTAGGGGCACTTCCCATGCAGGGCTCTGGGTGCTACAATAAGACAAATGTTGACACTCTAATCTGACCTTTTGTGGACTGCAACAGGCCCCCCTACTGAGTAAAAATCTTTTTTTTTTTTCCCAGAAGAGCATCAGGAACTTGAACTAAATCAGTGAAAGAATAATAAAAATAACCCTGTATATATTTCTTGAGCAAATGAAAGATCAATTGTTTTCAAATGCAAATGTTCACACAGCCTCCATTCACGGTGGTTTCCCTGCTCACTGGAGGGCCCCCGCCTCCAAATGAAGATTTTCAACGATTAGGTTGCCCAATATCTGATGAGTTGTTCATTCTTTGGAATGAAAAGTTAAAAAGTAAATGTCCATTTTCCCCCCGTTTGATTTACAAGTGTTATAGTAGGGAACTTTTTTCCTTAAAAAAATAAGATATTTTTTATTGAAATGCAAATGTACGATGAAGTGACTCAGTTTAGATGAAGTATCTCAGTTTAGAAACTGTGACTGAGGTATGCACAGTCAAGGTGGGCAGGACAGTAACTGAGACAGGTTGATGCTGGCTTCACACTCAAGATTTCATTTACTCCTCCCGGTCTTGCTAACTCCTGAGTTGTACAAGTTTCAGGAGACTCATTTTATACACGCAGAGCCCCAGACCCTGAGAGATCGTGTCTGAGTCTGGGCCAGAAAGAGTCCCCCGTTTCCTTATGTCGGGCCATTGAACAGAGACTGTGGGAGAAATGTGTGGACTCACAGCAGTCCCCAGACACTGGACCCAGGTAGTGTTAGGAATGGAAAAGGGGAGAGAGTCCCTGAGTGGAGAGGCCCATGTCGCATGGAAGCTCCAAGCCCTAACTGGCCATTAGCATTAATGGTTCGGTTCCTTCTTCCTTTTCCACGCAGATGCCCAGCAGCTCTCCCCACCTCTGCAAAGACGCTCCCTGCAGTGTGGAGATGGACGGAGGGCCGGGGAGGGAGTTTGCATGCAGCACTGTTCTCTCACTAATAAAGATGCAATGCCTCATGTTAGGTGGAGATTTACTTGTATTGATGCAGATTTACTGCTCCAAGAAAAGAAAAAAAAAGCCTTATTGTATGATCAAAGCTAATAAAAAATAGGAAACAAATGACATTGTAGACTGAATAGAACCCGTGCACTGTTTAATGAACATTTATTGACCAGTAACCTGCAACTAATGTAGCTATGGATTTTTACTTTGTCTATTCGTGGCTTTAAGAAGCAATCAGTTGGTCTCCCTGGACAGGAGGATAAGGTGGTAGTTAACAAAGCTGCACTTTATTTGGTGCTAAACAAAGCATCAATTTAAATTTGAGGTGGATGGGAACACCGTCTCTTTGGTTTATGTAGGCTGGGATCATTTCAGCGAAGGTGTTTCTGGATGGCTCTGTTGTGGGATACGGATTGTTTATTACGTAGGGCGGGATCCTACCCATTTACAAAAGGTGATGGGAGAATTAGTCAATGTCCAACATCCCTGGGTGGGAATTTAAAACTAATATCACTCATGCAGAATGTTTTTTCCAGTAAAATCTGCCAAACACAGTGTCGTGTCTTCCAGAGACTCAACATCCTAGAGTCTATTATAACCCATTGCACATAGAGATACAAATGAATGAATGGGTTCTGTTCATTGTACATACAATTTAAAAAAGACACATGATCTGAATCAGATAACCGGACTTCCGAGGCCACCACCCTAGTAATCGTCACAGCCTAAGCGGGACCCTGGGGTGCCTGTCTCGACCCCTGCAGGATCTTTGAGGGAAAGTTATCCCACTGCCCCTCTCCTGAGATGGCAAACTCGCAGCCTCACGGGGCTGCCCATTTCAACGTGAGCCAGGACAATGTCTGAAAATCTCTTTCTTTACCATGGATCCACCCCCATTCCAGGACGTTTGACAGAGACCAGGCCCACCCCACCTTCTCCCCACCTCCATGGGAAGGCAACAGCTGTCATTGCCCCGAGACTTCTCTTCACCAAGGCTCCTGCTTCCGAGGTCTTCTGTTGAGCCTCAGACACTGTCCCCTAGCCTGCCCTCCCTCCCCTGAAGCCAGGTGGGGGATCTGACATAGTGCCAGACATAGGGCCATCTCTTCTCATCGTCAAAGCTGAGATCATCCTTCTCCAAGACGAAACTCAACCTCAGAAAAGCTAAACCTTTGCACAAGACTCCACAGGGGGTTAGCAGCAGGTCTGGGGCTGGCTCCCAGGCATCCGGCCTGCTGCCTGCGTCCTTCCAGCTGGACTTCTCATGCTTCTAATTGGCTGCCCATGTCCTTAAAAAGTCCACAGCTCCGACAAGGGGGCCGTGGCTCATGCCTGTAATCCCAGCACTTTGGGAGGCCAAGGAAGGCAGATCACAAGGGCCAAGAGATGGATACCATCCTGGCCAACATAGTGAAACCCCATCTCTACTAAAAATACAAAAAATTAGCTGGGCATTGTGGTGCATGCCTGTAATCCCAGCTACTCGGGAGGCTGAGGCAAGAGGATTGCTTGAACCTGGGAGGCGGAGATTGCAGTGAGCCAAATCGTGCCACTGCACTCCAGCCTGGCAACAGAGCAAGACTCTGTCTAAAAAAAAAAAAAAGAAAGAAAGAAAGAAAGAAAAAGAATAATAAAAAAAAACGCACAGCTGCAGGTCCCAGGGACCTGCACAGGGAAACACACACCATTTTCCTGCCTGGGCCACAGCGCGAGGCTCTCCCGGGCCCTCGGTGCTCAGGGCTCTTCACAGTGTCGGCTCACTGTGAGGTGCTTCTACGTTCACTCGCCTGGGGAGTGGCATGGGGAGGAAACAGCCTTCTTGGTGCACTAGTGGCCCCCATGCAGTGGGCATTTTTTGGCCTCAATTCCATTGGGTTCCTCCAGAACGAAATAGAGAGCATGCCAACCTCAGTGTCCAGAACGAGAAGTCCAGGCTCAGTAAAGGTGTCTGTCCTGGTTGGAATAAGTGGCTGCATTTTAATTTCTCCATTGGAAGTTGTTTATGTGAGGAACAGAGAACACAAACAATTTAAAGTAACTTTGACAACATAGATTCTGACCATCTCGGCAGTACCAGCTGCTGACTCTCTGTCCCCTGGAAATAAATCAGGTCCTGTACGATCCACCCCGGGCTTGCTCTCCCTTCCTGCCAAGGGCCAGAGTAGTTTGTGTGATGCAGCGGATGACTTTTCTTCAGAAGGCTGGGGAAATGGCCCCGCAGCGTGGAGCAGTCTGGCAGGTTCCCACATCTTCAGAAGGTTGGGGAAATGACCCTGCAGCGGGGAGCGATCTGGCAGGTTCCCGGTGCCATTTTTGTTCCTGGGCAGGCCCATGTCTGACATGTGCAGCTCTGCCAATCCCACTGTTAGCACAAAGCAATTATCCACAGTGGGGGGACAGCTCATTCCTTCTCGAAGCATGGTGTGTCACCGTCAATCAAGGTTTGCTGAAAGTCAAATGTCAGCAGTGTCGCTGGGTTTTGGTTCAAATGCTCCCTACAATGGGCTCAGTGCACAGTTGGAACTTCCAGAGAAGAGGGGGTTCTGGGAGAAGTCAGATCATTACAGACCTGGCCCAAAGACTTCAATACAGGCGAGTTCACCTGTGGCTCTGGATCTTACCCCCCTTCCTAACTGAGAAGAGACAAAAGTGACCACCCAGGGATCGGAATCAATAAACGGAGAGTGGGCTGAGGTGAGAGGAGAAGCTCTAACATCTGGGAGCTAAAAATAGAACAACACCTGGAAGGCAAGCAGAGCACTGGTGTGGCTGCCGACTTCTGCCACGGGCTGGGTTCCTGCAACCTGAGCAGTGAGCTCTGGGGCTATCTGCAGAGCAAAACACAACCCGAAGCTCATCCCAGCCTGAGTGCTGGGCTTCAACAGCCCAGCTCCCCACATCTGCCTTTCACGTGTTTACGCTTCATCCTGGAAGAGGGCGCCATGCAGGTCAGAACGGTGAGGAGCTCCACCCCCTGAGCAGAGCTGCCTGGCGTGGCCCCTGACTCCATGTCTTTCAGTGAAGAGCCCTTCTATTAGTGAGTTCCTGGATCTCTCCCAGTGGTGGCTGCAGCCAGCTATACCCTCCCTTTCCAACTTCCCATGCAGTGAAGCCATCCTGGGAACTTGAAACTGGCCAGGCTAGGGACATTTACACCATAGAAATGGGCACACACTGCAACTCAGCACTTCTGTTTCCTAGACAGCAGCCACACACTACCTCCTCCACATGCCACTCAGCTTCTTCGTGCAATGAGTGTCTGGATAGCACTGACTCTGCCCAGGTAGTGTGAAAGCTGAGATAACACAGGAAGAAAGCTTGTAAATATACACGTGGAGTTGCTTTCATTTTTATTATTAGTCCCTGTCTTTGGGCTGGACTCCTGTATTCAGTTCGTCCCATATGACAGCTTCCCCTAACCCAAGAAATGAAAGCTTGGGACAAAGCAGCACCAGCCTGATGGCACGGAATAGCAGGTGCGGCCTCGAAGAAAAACAAACTTCACATGATTCATGTTCAAGGTGAATTTTGTGCAACTTGTGGAGGGGAAAAAATAAAACCCAGCAAGATGTGGCAGTGATTGAGCAAATAAGCTCCAAATGAGTCACAGGCTCCACAGGACTCAGTCCTCCACAAGGCTTTCTGAGAGACCTGGTGAAGCAGGTGTCAGAGCGGCCTCCTCCCGCCTGCCTTCTGCAGCTCCACAAGTAGAGGCGTGGGCGCTGCTCACAGAGGCTTGGACGCCTTCTCCGAGTGCGTCTCCTTCTCGCTGGCACACAGCTGACTCGAGCAGATAGGGGCACCGCGGGGAAGGAGGAAAAGACTAACTTTCCAGACCTTATGTGAGCTCCGATTTCCAAAAGATTTACATTCTTGTTCAACAAGCACATAAACACCCTGTTTGCCGAGTGTTTGTGATTATGGCTGGAGCCCGGGCATGGTTCGCATCCGGCCTGCAGACTCCCGTTGGAGGGGGCGCCACAGCTGAGGAAGTGCAATTCCTTCTTTGCCACCAAAGAAACTACAAACTGCAAATGTTGTCACTCCCCTGCAAAGGGTATTTTATAAGGAGTCTTTGGGAATTCTCAATGTACATTTGCGGTGCTTTGATGTTTAGTTTTAAAATTCTGACCCATGTTAGTGTTGTGAGTGAATCACTCAAACTGTTTGGGCATGAGGCCCCTCTGCCCTCTGAACACAGATGGTGACTCTACCCCCCGAACACGGATCGTGGCTCTACCCCCCGAACACGGATCGTGGCTCTACCCCCCGAACATGGATGGTGACTCTACCCCCAGAACACGGATGTTGACTCTACCCACTGAACACGGATGGTGACTCGACCACCTGAATGCCGATGGTGGCTCCACCCCCTCAAAATGGATGGTTGCTAATGGAGCCAATTTTTAGGAGCAGGAAACAGAAGGGAAACACCACCGCTCTTAATTCTTTAAGACAGCTGAAAATTGTCTCTCCAGCTTCTGTGAGGACCGCCTGCGTTCACTCAATTCCCAACATGTGAACTCCACTTTCCCTTCCTTCTCCTGAGACGACAAGTCAGTGCTGAGGTCACGTCGTGGCTCCGATGAGACGTGTCCTCCTTATTTTCAGACCATGGGCTATGATGTTCCTCACAGTGTACAAATATTTCCGTTACCTCCTGCCTAAAAAGGATTAGAGATGCACAAATCAAATACACCAAGTCCAGCATAGCTTAAAGGCTCCCAAGCTAGCTGTCTGTGTCTCCATTTTTAGTCCTGCTGGTGGGGCAGCCACTGAAGGGGAAAGTGTGCTGGGCAGAGCCCTGATGGCCAGACGGGGGGACCTTGTCCAGAGCCTTGTTCTGTCGGCTGAACCTGCGCCGGGGTCCAAGCAAGGGGCCTGTTTGCAGACCCGCACGTTGTCATTTTGCTGGCAATGTTGTGATAAGGCTGTGACCTGCTCACCCCAGGCCTGTGAGAAGCAGGATTCTTACTAGGAAAGTGTCCACAGACTCGGGTCTGTTCTCTGATCCTCACATGGGAGGGCTTCGCTGGTAGGAATGGAAGGGTCTTGGCTTTGCTGCTCTGCAACATTAACTTCAGTGAAAGCACCCGCTTACCCTCCAAATCCAGGCTGAGTCCTAACTGTGGCATTTCCCGATGTTTTCCATCAGCTCTCTCCACTCCTCTGCACGTGCACCTCTGTCAGCCCAGGGCCACGCTGGGACCTCACCCCTGCTGCAGAGGTTGAGTTGCAACATTCACCAAGAGTCAGCAGTGAATTTCCTAGACCCATTCACGCCAATTGTCCCTGTTACTAGATTATACAGTTTAATTAAATACTGAGTAACTGAAGCCTCAACATAAGAACAATACAAAATAATAATATAAGTGTGAAGAAATTTTTGTCTACGAGACCTGAATTGCATGCTTTGTAGGTGTTTTATGAGGATATCATTTAAAGATTCTGTCATACAACTCTACAAGATTTTTTTAAAAACCTGTTTCATCACTACACTCAGGTTACTTTGCAGTTACCTGAATAAATTACTGGACTTTACAAACACACACACAAAATCAGAAATCACAGATGCCAAATCCCTCTAACGAGGAAATTCTAATCCAAAGAAAAGTCGTTGATCCTATAACGAAACTAGTGATTTGAGGAGTATCTAGATTTCTGAATGTCTGAAGCATGTTTATATCCTTTATAATTGACTTATTTTTACTGGTGGACCTACTGCCCACTCCAGCAGGAAGGAATGGAGGCTGGTGTTGTGCTCCGGACGCCTGGGCTCTCTTGGAGCGCCGGGTTGTGGAGCGCTCCCCCGACTGCCGCTCCTACGCAGAGCCCCTCCTTAGCAGAAGCTGCGCGTGTCTTGACCTATTACATCATAGTCATTTTCCTGGTAATTAAATGTACATTCCTCACAATGAAAGGTTAGAAGACATCAAGGGCTTCCTGGCAGAAGAACTGACAGGGATGTGTGCAGAAGATCCTTGTATACACATCACAGGCAAGTCCCTGTGCTCTGAGACAACGCAGGGATGACAGATGTCAAGAACAAATGTTAAAGGTAACTACTTTCTGATATTGCTTGAAAAGTACATATCTAATTAGAGAAAATCTGTTTACACTCACCGGTAAAACGAACTGATGAAAGAAAGAAAAAAACTAGGTCAGTTTGAGATCTGTGTAAGTCTGGTCTCTAATGGCACAATCATTAAAAATAATTTCAATTATTCACATTTGAATGACTTTAATATAAAGCTTTTTAAATAACGTGAAATCTGCTGCACAAAGTCAAAATTAAAGAATGGCCGAGTTAATCTCTGACATATGATTTGAGCTTGTGGAATGTGAAAAAGAGCACAGTGGAATGTTAAATTTCACATAAAATATTCTGGTTTTCTCTGGTTTATTTCGGAGTTATGGTGTCATTTATGATTACATTTTATGAGAAGATAATTACAAGCCGAATTATTTTTCTAAACATGCAAAGTGTAATGTAGATGTTAAGATAAATGCATTTGAGGACATTAATAAGCTCAATTCTTTCCATCTTGATGGATTTGTAACTTTCAACTGTGTCGTGTAGACTTGAAATAGCGCTTCTTTATTGCATTCTTCTCTACAGCCCAGTGCAATTCAGAAATCCCTACTTCATGAAGAGGAAGACAGAGTTAGGCTCACAGACAAATACAATCTCCAGCTCTAGATGGGATGTAGCCAGATCATATATTGAATTAAGTGCGTTGAAAACATGTGAATATTAAGAAATGAGATCTGAAATGTGTGTGTCTTTCGCTGTTGTCACCAATAGTATTTTACGAGTCGAAAAGGGTGATGGAAGCAAATTGAAATTTAGACGGTTTCTAAGGAGTAAAGGATGAAATGACAAAATACGATAGAGCTTCCTAAAAGTGACGATCAAAACTCAAAGTATACTGGATGAGTAGCTATAATCAAACTCGTACGTTTGGGCTTAGGACATAGTTCATTCTAAAGAAGGGGCACACAGGGAACCAGTGCACCTGCAGTCCCAGGTGAGGGGATGGGTCCCTCTTGAGTCCCTGAGTTCTTCTACTTAGCACTCAAACACTGCTAGTTCCCCAACAGTCAGTGAGTTTTCTGGGTGCCAATGCTTTCTCGAGGTGTTGCAGACGTCACATGTATAAAGGAGAACAGGGTCTGTGCCGTTGAGTATATTCCCCAAAAATGGCAGGTGCCTGCCTTCTGGTTACTGCCTGAGTTAATGTGCAGATTTCTTCACATGTGAGAAAAATTGATGATGTTCATAGCATTCTGAAACATAACAAGTATCTATTAGGTAAGATTGTGATTACATTCATTTTCAAAACTCATGCTAATAGATATAAACAAACCAAACTGAATTATTAAGTGGTCTTGTTCAATAATTGTCAAATGGCACAGACTACTTTTAATGAGGGGAAAATGTGATAAAATAGAGAATATCTTCTGAATGTCAAGAACTCACGGAGAGGAAAGCTGAGGGCCTTATGCGCTCCGGTTTGAATCCTATATTGAAGACACATATCTAGTTGTAGATTAGATATATTCTATTTTTTTTCTAGCTTTCTCTCCCTTTTCCTGATTCTGTTTTTTTTTTTTGAGACGGAGTCTCGCTCTGTTGCCCAGGTTGGAGTGCAGTGGCATGATCTTGGCTCACTGCAAACTCCGCCTCCCAGGTTCACACCATTCTCCTGCCTCAGTCTCCCAAGTAGCTGGGACTACAGGCACCCACCACCACGCCCAGCTTTTTTTTTTGTATTTTTAACAGAGATGGGGTTTTACCGTGTTAGCCAGGATGGTCTTAATCTCCTGACCTCATGATCCTCCCTTCTTGGCCTCCCAAAGTGCTGAGATTACAGGCATGAGCCACCGCGCCTGGCCCTTTCTCCTTTTTACAGGTTATCTTACATCTGTCCTTGTTAAACTACATATTACCTGGGAGCGATTAACTGTTATTGCTCCTTTTTATTCAGATGGTTTAAAATTTTCATCTGTGTTTAAGCTGTTCTATCAGTTATTCAATTTCATTTAAAATAATCAACATAAATAATGAGAGCATTTCCATTCTCTCATTAAAATAATTGGTGGAAGGGCCAGGCACGGTGGCTCACACCTGTAATCCCAGCACTTTGGGAGTCCAAGGCGGGTGGATCAGTTAGGGCAGGAGTTCGAGACCAGCCTGCCCAACATAGTGAAACCCCATCTTTACTAAAATTACAAAAATTAGCCTGGTGTGGTGGTGCGCACTTGCCGTCCCAGCTACCCCAGAAGCTGAGACAGGAGAATTGCTTGAACTCAGGAGGCAGAGGTTGCAATGAGCCAAGATCCCACCACTGCACTCCAGCCTGGGCAGCAGAGAGAGACTCTGTCTCAAAAACAAACAGAATAATTAGTGGAAGTCCTGGAGTAGAATGGTCTCAAAGTTATCACTCCACATTACTCAGTAGTCACAATCTCGGTCAGACCATTGTGATGAAAGAGGGGCCATTCTTTTCTCTACGTGATAAACAGCAGTGAGGTGAAGATCTCAGGGGATAGCTTGTTTATAAGAAAGCACTGCTAGTGAAACAAAAAACCTCATTTAGCCCAAGACACAGCCCCGCCCTCGCATTCCTGTGTCTGCAAGATCCCCTTGCTATGGGTCTGGTCTGACCTGGGGTCTCAGAGTCCTTCCAGCATGTTCCTGCATCAACCCTTCTGTGTGCCACACACTGTTCTAGGCACTGAGGATCCCGTGGTGAGCTAGAAGGCATGCGGTCTCTGCCCTCGTGGAATTTATAGATGAGAGGCAACACAGGCATGAGTTAGACATCACACGAGCTCACGTGAAATTGCAGCTATGGACAGTGTGAGGAAAAGGAGGCACAAGCCAGCATGGAGCCCTGGGATGCAAGGAGCTCAGCAGGTCTGGGAGGTTGGGAAGCTTTTTTGACAAAGTGGGCTTGAGTTGACATATGATGGAGCTCCCTGTGCAGGGGGAGGGAGGAGCCACTGAGAGAGGAAGCAGCATGTGCAACGGCCCTGTAGCAGGAGGTGATGACAGGAGTGTGAGCTGCAGGGCGTGGAGTGCAAGGGGCGTCTGGAAGATGGGGTAGGAGCAGGCAAGCCCTCCTGACCATAATTAGGGAGGGCTTTCTCTCCAGAGCTTCAGGAAGCCCTAGAAGGTGTGCCAGGGATGGGACCAGGCTGCTGGGTTTGCTGTGTGTTTCCAGCAGAGCAACTCACTGCCAGTAGGGGTGGAGGACACTGAGCAGGAGCTGAGTGGGCAGGGCACGCCAGCCAGCGAGTACCTGGGGAGGAGTCTGTGGGCTGTGTCCTCCTGGGAAGCCAGTGCTGTGAGCCCATAGCCAACACAGCAAGGCCTACAGTGCCATTAGGACCCTTGGCTGGGGAGAAGCCCAGCACCTGAGGTCTGATCTGTTCCCAGTGTTGGAACTGGAGCATTTCTGGATCCCCTGGAAGCCCCAAGTGGAGAATCTCTAGACTGGTTCCATCTTATGGAAATTTGATTTTCATGTACAGTGTATACCAACCAGAAAGAAGGGAATACTTGGATTCTCGGTGGGCGGTACTTAGGACAAATATTTTCCTGGGACCCCGAAAACCGGAGAGAAACAGTGTTTTCCCGTGCTGGCATTACCTGGGAGAGCCTTCACCTCCTGCTCCTCTCCTCAGGCTCCCGGACAGGCTTGCCTCCCCAGCCCTCTGCACCTTGAGGACCCCCATGCCCGTCCCAGGCTGTCATCCCCTCTCCCGTTCCTGCTGGAGCCCACACGCGGGTCTCTCACCGCCTGCAGTGCCCCCGAGCCACAGCCCCGCCAGATCCACCACCTTCCCCTGAACCTCTTGCTTTCCCGCTGTTCTTGGTGGCTTAAATGCTGATCCAGCTGCTCAAACTGGAACCCTGGGACCTACTGAGTGGCCTCCCCTTCTCTCTAGTGAAGTCGTGATGCTCTGCCTCCTTGGGATTTTGCAGTTCTCCATTGCCCCTCCACGCTGAGTGGCTTCCTTACCTGGGGTTACTCGCGGCTCTGCTGTTCCTGATTGCTCATGGTCAGGCCTTCTGCCAAAGCTTCAGATGCTGGAACTTTAAGGAAACCAAGAAGCCTGGTCTAAATGACAGGGATCTGTAAGCTCTTCAGACGGTTAGAAGCCCCCTGAAGGCAGACATGAGGTGGTACCCCTCTGTTTGTTCATCTTTTAATTCCCCACCCAAGCAGTGTATGCTACATGTGGCAGGAAGCCAAAATCAGTTGTTGTGAGGTTGCATGTTAATGTTCTACCAGATCACACTGGTAGTGGGTTGGGCCATAGGCAGACAAGCATCCTTTACCACACACAGAGGGGCTGTCCACACAAGGGAGAAATCAGAACTGCCTCATTCCCCTCCTGGCTGTGAAAATCATGTCCGGCTCTGGAGACATCTGGTGTGAACCTAGAGACCTAAGACCAGACATCTCGGTCATCCTGGATGGCCCTGGTAAGAGGTGCCTTGTGTCTACTTTTGCAGGTCACCTGGGCACACATGGAAATGGCGTGGGCCCAGCCAACGGGAGGGAAGGGCAGGAGTCTATAGAGATTCCCGGTCTCAGGTTTGGGATCTGATCTGAGTAGATAGTAAGGCCTTTTTCAGAGGTGAGGGCATGCTTTGAGGGAGGCCAGTGGGTTGGTTTTGGGCGTGTGGAGTTTGAAGTTCTGAGGGCAGTCCCAGTGTCCATGTGTGGCACCCAGGCGGGGCGGGAGCAAGGCCACGGATACACATCTGGAATTGATTTGGGGGAGCTGGGGCTGGAGCAGTGGATGAGGTCCCCAGCGAGTGGAAGGAGAGCATGTACATGCCATGAGTGAACCAGAGGGACAATTGCTCAGCCTTCACTTTGGACTTTCTTCATGTCTGTCTTTAGAGGAATAATTTACCTTGTTATGACAAGAAGTATGGAATGTTTGATGACAAGTCAAGTGATGTCAGAAGACAATGAGGGCATCTGATAAGACATTGTAGCTTACTAATTAATAACTGTGTTTCCAAGAAGTCATAATTGTCATGCATTCCACCCACATAAAATGGTGTCAGATACTCCAGTGCCTGACAAGTGGGAGGAACAGGAAAATCTGCTGCTCACTGCTCCTCTGTGTAGGTGTTTGATAATGCCTGGCTATGTGTCAACCCACTTAGGAAGCTGACTAGGGAATACAGTTGTCCTACCCTCTAAAACTGACTTCTCCCAACCAAGTCTGATCACACTTGAAGAAAGCGTCGGGCTCAGCCCCTGGCCTGCTACATGTGCTCCCCAGGTGTTGGGGGCAGAAGCTCAGCCCTCAGGTTTTGACAACAATAATTGTATCTGTTGAAGAACAACCAAGAACGTCAATCCCTCTCCCTAGCATTGCCAATGCAGATTGAGGGCTAGCTACTGTGTTGCTTCATTTGCCCGTTATTTTCCCAGGAGTTCTTAATTGCTTTTGGCACTAGATTGTAGATAGCATTTATTTAAGGCATACAACATATTCCTGATGAATTTATTCCATGGGGATGTGCCAGGTGCTGGTCAGGATTGTGCTGGTTTGCAGCCAGAATGAAGCAATGGGGCTTGCCTGCAATAGGCAGTTATGATCATTGACCTCACATAGTTAAGTAGGTTGAAATTTTTCCATTTTGGAAAATTTCTTTTTAAAAAAATTCTGAACCGCTGGATCAACCTAGCTAACATCTTTCCATTTTACCTTAGCAATGATAGCAAGAGCATGTTCCAGTTGGCTGGGCCAATTTTTTCCTACTCTCCATAATTTCCCTTTGTCTCTAAGACTCACAGGTCATAATAGGGTGTACATCAAAAGGCAGACTATGGTGCCTCTTAAGCCCTGTGCCCCACTAGGTCACCTCCCCAGTGGCTCCCTGTCTTGCCTAGAAAATGCATTTCTCCAACCACAGGTAAATATTACACATAAAATTGTTGAGCAAGTTTTAAAACACTAAAGTTTTTTTTCAATTTACTTTATCACTTATATTCTTAAGAATATATCAGTGAGATGCAAGATTATGATTTTTGACATTATGAGAAATATGTACTTTGAATTTCTAACGTCTACCATCTTGCATGATTTTTAGGTCACATTCCCCAGAAGTGTCCTCTGAGACAGGCAGTGTACGCATATGCTGATTATTAAGGAAAGACTTCCAGGTGTGGAGGGAGCAGGACAGGGAAGGGAGGACACCAGGTAGAGCTGAGTCCGGACAGAGTCCCAGCCTCAACCTGGTCCCATGAGGAGGGATCTGGAGTGCATTCCTGCTTCTGAGCTTCTCCAAACGCGGGCAAGGGATCTGGGTCCCTCCTCTGCCTCAGGCAGCCCTGGGCTGGGCATCCCTGAAGGGAGTGAACAGGGGGGTCCATCTGCAGGCACTTGGGCTTTCATCATTTAAACAGAGTGGCCCCAGTGGCCCAAGTGGAGTCCTCCAAAGAGAATCTCAGATGCAGGCGGTTGAAGCGGAGACTGCATCAGAAGGGTGCAACAGGCACACGTGCAGAAAGATTTTGGAAGAAATAAATGAAGAATGAGCAAATAGCAGCTTGAGATAACCATGATTTTATTCAGGGAAGGTTCAGCAAGTATTCTTCAGCTTTAAATTTTAAAAACTCATTTCACTAGAGACTAAGGTATCAGCCCAAGAAGGCTATTAATTTATGTGGCTGATAAATCTTGGTTGATAAATGGACATTTCCCATGCTATGGAAAATGTTTTTGTTGTTTTGCTAAGATGATAAATGTTTCTTTACAACTTTTCAAAATGAGCTTGACTATATAATACTAATACATAATTTGCATTCCTTTGATCATAAAAATGCATATAGAAAAACATATGGAAGTGTTAAAATGTCAATACATTGCACTGATATTCTTGGTACATCCCAACTCAGTATTAATGGGAAATTTTACTGCAATATTTGCTTCAAAGCAAATTGTCTGAGTTCATGCCAATTGTTTTTATAGTAAAAAGAAGAGCATGGCAATGGAAAGAATAGGCCAATTATAGGTGAGCAATTTGCCCTCTCTCCAAATAAAGGGTATACTTTTGACAGCAGAATACTTTGTATGAGAGAGCTGGGTCATATCCAGGTGGGCAAAGAATCTGGAGAAGGAGCCACAGGAATATGGACCCGCTGGACACAGAGTCTGGGAAGAGCTGCAGCCGGGAGCACTGTTCCCATGGAGTCCCGCTCCTCCCTGCCCATGGCTGGCTCCTTTCAATATCTTTTCTTTTGATTTCTGAAGAAATTAAAATTTATTCCAGCACCTAAAAAGGAAAACAATTTGTGTAAAATCCCATAACTGCCTTCTATTTTATAATCTTTTGTTTTTCAGCTTTTGCCTACAACATATACATATTATGTTCGCCTTTTAGGAATGATTTACATAATATTCTCTGAAGTTAGATTCATGAAAGTACAAAAAAAATGGTGAGTTGTACTTGTAAAGGTGAAATCTAATATTCAAATGCTAACACTTAAAAAGAGTTTTTTTTTACTAGCTACCTTAAATTATTTGATGGAAAACACTGAGGTATAAATAAAAATAATAAGTAAATACAGAAAAATTAAAAACTCTCAGGGGTCTCCTTTTCCCGGTCAGCCCTGAGCTTAAACAGACAGACTGGGTTAAGACACTTGCCCACAGGTTGTGACCAGGGATTTATCTGTGGCTCATATATCCCCAAGGAGTCCACCGAAGGAGGAGAGGAGGTCAGACAAAGCAAAAACAGCCAAGAAGGACACAACAGAAAAACACCGCGCTGAGCTTGAGGCCAGAGTTTGCAGATTGCAAGAACATTGCAGTTACTAGTCAGTCTATGGGCAATGGCGAATACGTGGTCATTTCCTGGTAACTTTTTCAATGAAGAGGATAAGAAGAAACTGCTACACATTCTTAGGAAAGAAAAACAAAATATTGGATTTTTTTTTTTCTAAAGGGACAAAAATAATCTTGGTACAGAATTTTTATCTGTAATATGAAGAAGAACATTTAATAGCAAAGCTTCCTATTTGGGGGCTTAAACGATTATCTCAAAGATTCTATTCATACCTCAGAAAGTCGTTCCCATGTCTGGTAAACGCAGACATGCACAGTCACACATACACTTGCACTCACACTCACGCACACTCACGCACACTGGGATGGTGCTCGGTTTCAGATCCCACACCACGCATGTGTGCACCGCAGGAAAGCTCTTGAGGTTGAGTCAAGGTAGAAGCAAATTTAACGGTGGTGGTAACTTAAAAAAAAAAAGGTAGAGGAGCTGTTACAGAAAGGACTGGTGATTAGTAGCAAAGCTGGTGCAATTGATTAAGGTCTAATAATTCTTACATCAGACAAAAATGCTATATCAAAATCAGTCTTTATAAAATTGATGTTTATATATAAATAAAGCTTTTATTTATATATACTTACCTATAAATAATATACGTATAAAAATCAATCTTTATATATAAAATAGGATATCCAAAATCAGCCTTTATATATAAAATCAATCTTTATATTTAAATATATCTATTATTTATATAAGCTTACATATATAAATATATATATAAATCAGTCTTTATTTATAAAATACTAAATCCACTCTCAGTCTTGGAACATAATACATGTATATATAAAGCACATATTTACTAACACTGCAATGATTCTGTAATGCAAGCAGGTTCTGAAGTCCACTTCCCAGAGCTCAGAGGTGGAAGTGTGAATAAACAAAAGCAGCAGGTCGGTTGTGTCATTCCACTTAGGAGTGTACACTACACACCATCATGCTTCAAACTGACAATTGGGAAAAAATGAGGTCATCTCTTTTATAATCAGAAAAGAATGATAGAAACACTGTCGGTCAAAGGCTGCATGGCCGAGAATCGACTGTGGTCAGTGTGAAACATCTTCCACTGTTGATGCTCTGGGTGTCAGATCCAGTGAGCTCGACCCTGCACCAGGGCAGGGATTTCTGTCTATGTTGTTCTGATGAGCCCACAAGGCTTAGAACAATGCCTGCTGTGGAGGAGGTGCTTAATAAATGTGGAGTAAATAAAATGACTCAAAGCAACCATTGAAAAATAGCCATTCTGAGTCCTGGCCCGCTTACAAGGCCAAATGGGGCAGCGCTCAGTCTAGAGCCCAGGTCAGCATGCGTCCTGTTGTTTCCTTATTGAGGCCACAGTGTCACCTTCCACCAACTAATGGTGGGTGCTAAAAATCTCTGCTCAAACATCTGGCAATGTGGGACCTGCCACTCCAACATGTCCTTATGAGCACTGAGTAACACATGCCCAGTATCAGCTCTTCCACAATTCTGAGAAGTTAACATCGCAGATCCTTGAAGATCCTTGCTGACTACCCTAAGCATGGTGTCCAGTGAAGTCTGTGTTGCTGCACCCACATGTGCACAAACCCTAAAGACTCCAGAAAATCCCACCAAGCTCTGGAACCATCGGAGACAAGCCCATGCATTTGGAATTTCTGGGACTTTGTAATTGGCTGGAGACCTGTTTCATTCCACGACAAGTTGTAGAGAAACATACATATGATGCTTTGGGAATTTCATACCCAAAGCAAATTATCCATACTTCTTCAACCATTTATTTCCTGTGAATGCAAGTTCCTAACTAACAGAGAAAATGATTCAGCAAGCATTATAAGCATTTACATAGGAATTTCTTTCCGTTTTGAAAATTTGCAAGTTTTAATTTTTTTCTGAATTCTAGCTAACCAAATTATGACCAGTTTCAGTAACCTCATGGTGCTGTTGAGGTACCATCCACACCTGCTGTTGATGTGAAAACCTGTGTAGGCATAAAGAAAAACAATTTCCAAACTGATGTGGGCTTTCCAGCTGAATTCCATTTGAGGCAATGATGGGGAGCCGGTGGGATGAGCAGTAGCTGAACCTGGACGGGGTGTCTGCCCCTCGCTGTGCCTGGTGGGCAAGCGTGAATCCCAGGAAGGGTCAGTGTCACAGAGGAGAGAACCAAGCGGCAGAGGAGCTTGCCTGGGGCCATGCAGTCCTTCAGTGCCTCAGCAACCTCTGAGACTCAACCCAGTCTGAGCTTTGCTCTACGTCGTGCTGAGATTTATTAGAACTCAAGAACGGCTCTCTCTTGCTCAGCATCAAAAACATTATTTCAGCTAAGCTGACATTTTAGTTTACTTTATTGACAAATCAGTGCAGGGGACAGAAGTGGTTGTGAATACTTTACATACTGTGGAGGCGTTGAAATGTATTATCATGATACGTAATCGACTTATAAGCGAAATGTAATTTGCATGCAGTTTTCAGTCTTCATTAAGAAAAGAAATTTTATATTTTAGAATCATCTTAAGTGACGAGGGTTTCTGTGCATTCTTTAACATAAGATACGACAAAGAATAAGCTGCTTTTATTTTGCATGTGTGAAGCAAGTCATTATTCTGTGCTGTGAAGCAGGTAATTATTAAATGGCAACTTCATGTAACCAACCCATAGTCACGAAGCCTAGAAAGGCAAAAAACAGAATTCTGTCCAAACCAAAGTAACAGGGTTCAATTTCAAACAGCAACTGTAATAACTAATAAGCTGAGCCACATCATCAGCATGTATCTGGAGTCCTGAGTGTGCTATGTGTTAAACCATCCCCACAAAGGCTGCACAGCAATGCCACAAACACACACAAAAATGCCAAGCCTGAGGAACGTGCTTTTTTCACTGCATAGACAGAAATGTCAGCAGCACTATATCCAGCACGGCAAAACTAGACTATCATCTCCAGTGTATCTCAGGTCCAAACTTTCCACTGGTGGGGACTGCGGGCTTTTTAAAACATTTAACAATTGTGTTGGATTCTTCCTCCCTCCGAAGTCCCCCTTTGGCTTCTCCTATAATAACAAAGGACAGTTGGATCTCTGTTTTACTTGATAGGTCTCCAGCTTGACAACTTTCTGCTGTGAACTCTGGATAACTTCCTCCAAGCTAAAGAGGTCCCACATTTTCATTTGCCACCTGCCCCCCTCAGTCCATACTCGATACAAAAAATGTAAGAGGCAGGTGCTTTGTCCAGCTGGGGAGTCAAAATCATCCTTAAAGTCTCCACAACACTGGCATCATTTTTCTGCATTTCTGTTGTTTTGCAGAATTGGCTTTTTCAAAGAATCCTGCATTTTTCTATAAGGACTTTCTGTGGTGATCATTTTCTCATTTTTTCTTCTTATACTGATCTAAAGTAAATTTTAATGAAATCAAAGGCTTTTCGGGGTCGATTGTTAACTGTCTTCTGTCTCAAATGAGTGCAGAGTTACCTGTTTACTTCACCTGTGACCTTTGCAATGAGCTTTGAGGCGGGGGAATCGTTGCTATTTTTCTGAATGGGGAGCCTGGGCTCTGAGCCACTGAGGGCCTCTCACCGAGTCATGGGCAGACACAGCACAGATGGGTCTTTGCTTCTGTGTCTCACTCTGCCTTTGGGGGCTGCCCAGGGTGTGGGCTGCCCCAGCCCTTTGGGGGCTGCCCAGGTTGTTTCTGTAGTGGGTTCAGTGAGATCCTATGTGGAGCTCGCTGTTTACATCACTTACCTAAAAGTGGCTTAAATCAACAGGGCTCTGTGTGTTTCCCCAGGCAGATCAGGGTGAAGGCTCAGGGATACTGCAGGAAGCCTACCTCCAATGCTGACCTTCACCCTGGCAAGAGGGGCCTTGGCATTTGGGGGCCCACTCTGCTGCCTCCTCTGTGTGTGTTTCCCCAAGCCTGAGAAGCTGCAGGGACTGGGGACCCACACGTCCCTGCTCAGAAAACCCAGCGCCTACTTCCTGGCCATGTGTGCATCTCCAGCCCTGGCTACTGGAGGGCTGGCCACCCTGGCCCAAAGCATAGCCGAGGGTGGCTGTTGGATGAGATGCATCTCAACTCAGAATTGCCAGCTGAGATGTCCACCTATGGGTGGCACAGACCGCCCATGGGTGGGGGAGAAGCAGAGGGTGGGGGTCTCATCTACTCATAGGATTCTAACTCTAAGCCCAAACTTTCCATTACCTGTGAAGTTGTGTTGTTAAGGCAGGAAGCTAGAACAGCCCACTTTTTGTTGTTATCAAGAGTGTTGGCTTGATTGACAACTCTTACCTGTTTAGACATATAGCATTGAAAACGAAAAAAAAAAAAAAAAACAGCCTGCTAGAAATGTGTCCTGCTGGCTGGAAAGAACTGATTGTTTCTTGTCAGGCATTTTGTGATCCAGTTGTTAAGGCCTTAGCAGCTGGAAGTTGGCTGGGAGCATATATGCCACGGACATGGGCAAGTGCTGGAAATCGTGTCCTCTCCTCCTGCTTCAGGGAGCTGCTTGTTGGACATGACCAGCCCGCCAGGGACTGTTGCTCCAGCCTGCACGTGACAGGATGGGCCTGCAGGCTGCTTGGCACTCTTTGCTGTTCACTGTTGTCTCATGGGCACAGCCTGGCAGGGGCAGCCTCTTCAAGCATCCCCTCCGTGGTCCAGGCTGACAAAGGGGGAGCGGAAGGGGAGTGCCTGTGCCAGGACATCTCCATCCTTCTGTCCCCTGCAGACTTCTGCTTTTGTTCCCTCAGCCCTGCTGCTTGTCTGCTTTTCTGCAGAGGAGCTTTGAACTTGGCCTTTGCCTCTCCAGTGCCTGCATGAGACAGGTTAGGAGTGTGGATGGGCAACCTGAAGGCTCTGCTACACCCGCATTCCGGCTTCCTGGAGAACTCCTGGATCCTGTGTGGACACTGATCCCAAGCTCATTCAGGTTCCCTTTCCCACTGCTGTGGGCTGGCCATGAGGAGACTCTGGGGAACTTCGGCAGGCTGCCCTTGCTAAAGGGATGGGAACCGGGAACAGCTGCACTCTGGCGGGCAACTTTTGTCCTGTAGGAATGGTGCAGAGGTGGCCAGGCCATAGCAGGAGAGGAGCAGAGGCCACGGAGGAGGCGCCAGGCAGGAGTGGGGCCAAGAGAGCCATGTCTCTTCAGGGGGAGCTGCAAGCGGAGCTGCCTCATTGTGAGGTGCCTCTTCCTGCTTCCAGCACTGCAATTGGGTTCATAAAGTCCCTGTGGGTCTTAGGAACACACTGCACATTCCAGCTTAATCTAACCTGGTCTGGTTCCTGTTCATTAGCACTGAACCATGTTTTGGTTCATTTTTTTTTTTAATTAAGACAGATTTTATTGTCTTTGCATAGAATAAATTGACTTTTTTTTTTTTTTTTTGACATAGTGTCACTCTGTCGCCCAGGCTGGAGTGCAGTGGCACTATCTTTGCTCACTGCAACCTCTGCCTCCCAGGTTCAAGTGATTCTTATGCCTCAGCCTCCTGAGTAGCTGGGATTACAGGCATGCACCACCACACCCGGCTAATTTTTGCATTTTTAGTAGAGAATTGGTTTCACCACGTTGGTCAGGCTGGTCTTGAATTCCTGGCCTCAAGTGATTCGCCTGCCTCGGCCTCCCAAAGTGCCGGGATTACAGTTGTGTGCCATCACGCCTGGCCATAAATTGACTTTTATAAATATTTGACAAGCATTTAGAATTGCTTTATTGTATTAAAATAATTTCACTGTATTATAAAGAAAGAAGCGTTGAAAATCACACGAGAATAACTGAAGGTGCTCACAGTAACATGCAAGTAAAATGGGGATTCTCTGTCTTGGAGAGGAAGAAATTGAATCCCCAAAACTTTTCAGGGGTGTCTTGACATATTTTGAGTTAGGAACATCAATGTGCTAGAAACATAGAGAGAAATGCTACATTTTCCATATTTAAAACTAAGGCTGGGAGGGAAATGGAGAGAACATCACATGTGCCCCGGGCAAGCCTGTCCCGAATCCTGAAATGTGGCAATTGACAGTCATCATTAGGATCACGCTCTGTGGCCCACTCCTACGGCTGCAGGCCAGAGTTTCCATATTTAGGAAGACTTACATCTTGTCTAGGTTTGCAATAACTTATCCGTACTTAATATCACGACAGTTCCAACCGCCAAAATCCACATGGCATGTACTTTCAAATCATAATGAATTAAAGTTAGTGGTTGCCTTTTGGAGGGACAGTGGGTAACCCTTTGGATAATGACAGGCACTCTAGGGGGGCACCCTCAGACTGTTTGGGGTGCAGAGGGAGGAGCCTTGCTCTCAAATGCAAGAGACATACCTGGGAGTGTACCTGGTTCTCAGGTTTTGCAGATGCCGCATGCCCTGGAGGTCACAGCCTTCTCTCCCTGGCAGAGAGGAGACTCGACAGCATGGTTGTAACTCCACGGGAGACCTGCCTCCCACAGCATATCTGGGACTTGCTAGACCTTTTTTTCTCCAGCATCCGCCCTTCTGAAGGGTGAATGTTAGTTTTTTTGTGGACTTGAGTTATAATTCCTGGGCATCTAGGGACATTTGAGAGGCCTTGTGTATGAAAAGATGGACCCATACAGAGGGAAAATTCAGACTCTTTGTGTCCATAACAACTGCCGCCTGGAAAGAATACATGTTTCCTTGGACTCCACAACTGTGTGTTGGACTGCTGGTGCTGGATAATAAAATTAGTTTTGGAAGACAAATAAGAGAGCCAGTTCTGATGGGTAAAGCTAACCTCACATGGAGGAGTTTGCATAGTCAGGATAACTGTGGAGCCAGCATATTCCTTCAAGGGATCCCGAGGGCAGCCTCTCTAAAGAATAATATGTTGGAGGAATCAGAAGATAGTCAGAATTCGGTTGCACAGTTTAATTACAGTCTGGTAATATAGTTACAGGGAGATGAATATCTACCAGTGATGTGAGATAAGCAAAATGAGCAGGAAAAAAAGACGATGAAATTAATTATCTAGGAGAGTCCTAAAGAAACTAACAAAACTAATTTATGAAGCAGTCACAATTGCTTAAGAGAGAAAGAGAGCTCCTCCCTGCATATCAGTTTGAGACAAGCCAGCCCATGCAAGTCCAAACCTACTACTTCCAGCAATTTCCTGATCTACAGAATGCAAATACAACCAGGGCTGAAGGATGCATTGGCCAAGATACATACCTTAACTGCAGGTGGGACTGTATGCTTCATTTCAGGTAGACTTGGGAGGCATTTTTGCCTTGCTTTGCTTAATATATGAAAAAAATGTATATGTAGGTATGTACTCACAGGAGTGGGTGGTCTTAAATTCACTGAGGTAGAAATTTAACATGAGTTCCAAGGAGAAGTACTTCTTCCAAGGCAGAAGGCTTTCCAAATAACTTACCTCGGGAGAGAGAGTATAATTACCTAATTATGCAATGTAAAGGCATTTTGTTTTTAGAGAGGAAACCAAATGCACAAAAACATATGCGAAACGAAGCATGGTGAGGAAGAAGATGTATGCATGTGTTATGGAGGCAGTGATCGTAACCTATGCGTTCTCCATAGACATGACCTCAAAAGGCTTGCACTTGGTTGCCCAAATATCAAAAGAGCTCTGGTGCTCATTGTGGTGGATTCAAGATAGCCACAGATTTTTTTGTCTTTACCCATGGGGAGGTGGCATTTAATTCCCCTCTCTCTCCTTGATTATTGACTTGCCTTAGTGACTGCTTTGACCAAAATAATGTGGCAGAAATTATCAGACCTGAGTCTTAAGAAACTGGCAGCTTCCACTTTCTGTGTCTGAAAACACTCTGCGGAACTCTTGAGCCACCATGAGAGAAACTGAAATAGCTCGAGCCTATCTTGCCAGAGACCAGACACACCATGAGTAGGCTCTCTGGATGAAAGTCCTGGCCAAGTCGAGCCTTCCATCTGTCCCCACCAAAATACATAGTGTATGAGAGAAGTTGTCTTGAACTTTATGACCAAGTAATTTGCCAGGCGAAAACCACCAAGTCATCTCAGTTAACACAGCCTGGAGCAGAAGAATGGTCCAGCTGAGCCCTGTCCAAATTCCTGGTGCTAGTGTTGTGCAAAATAATAAGCTGGCTGTTGTTTTAACCTATTAACTGTGTAATAATTTGTTACAAAGAGGTAGATAACTGGAACAGCCACCAATAGTCCACTTTCAGGATTTTAACTGGTTCTCTGGGTTTAGCATAGTGTCTATTGGGCTCTGTTCTATAAATTTAAACATTATGAGTTAGAATCATTTGAATACTCCTTTCTCAGCTTATAGTTGATATGAAAGGTCATTCTGAAAATTAGAGAGTGATGTTTCTGTGATATTCTATCGACCTGGTAATCTTGGGCACATTATTTAAGCTCTTTTCAGTTTATTCATCAGTAAATGGGCAATGCATAATTTCAACCTCAGAGTTGCTTGAGGGATTACATGTGATAATGTTTACAAAAGGCCTGGCATATTAAAAAGTTGAATATGTTGAGAACAAATACTATCAGAAGTATTTTTTTTTCTTTTGAGACAGATTCTCGCTTTGTTGCCAGGTTGGAGTGCAGTGGCGAGATCTTGGCACACTGCAACCTCCACCTCCCAGTTTCAAGTGATTCTCCTGCCTAAGCCTCCCTAGTAGCTGGAACTACAGACGTGTGCCACCATGCCCAGCTAATTTTTGTATTTTCAATAGAGATAGGATTTCACCATAATATCCCTGCCTATATATAAGGGATAACTTAATTCCTTAATATTAAAGCTCCTACATGATATATTTTCCCCCAACTCCTCATTTATACAAAGACTTTTCCAAAGACTTCAGCAAGTTCTTATTATAGTTATTACTCACAATAAACTTAATGAGGATCACATAATAATCTATAGAAGAAAAATTTTCAATGCCCAGATTATTTAGGTGTTTCAAAATATTTGGCTCAACTTTATTTTCATGTGAAAAATATGACAATGCAATCATTCAGAAGATTCTATTACTGTAACTATAATCCTAAAATCCTGAAAGGCCTTATAAAGTAGTGAAAAAATACTTCAATGTCAGGATTTTTATGGGCTCTAATTTTCTTCACGCATCCCGTTTGTGTTAAGACGTGATTGAAGCAAAACATAACACAAAGAAGGTCAGAACTTGGCATGATGGCTTCAGACCTGCTGTCCCATGTGCGGGAGGGGAGGCCCAGTGGAAGCATGCCGTGGCCGGAGGCAGGGTCCTGCTGCCACCAGCGCATCCCTCGGAACCTGTCCACTTGTGGAGCTGCATTAGCTGTTTCCCTAAATGCAACTCTGGGCCGTACCGAGGTTTATAGATAGCGGGAGGAGAGGAGGCTGGAGAAGATTCCAGAAAGAAAGACAAAGGAGGAAGTATGAAAAGCTGTGACTTGGAGACCACAGAAAAGAAAGTTTCAGGAAGCAGCATTCAGCCAGCCTTGGTGAGTATGGCAGGTGAGGCTGGGAGGACCTGGTGGGTTAAGGTAGGTGGAGTTCTCCAAACACCTTGGCCGGGGATATGAGCAGACACTTCTCAAAAGAAGACACTTATGCAGCCCACAAACATATGAAAAAATGCTCAACATCACCAATCATTAGAGAAATGCAAATCAAAACCACAATGAGATAGCATCTCATGCCAGTCAAAATGGTAATTATTAAAAAGTCAAGAAACAACAGATGCTGGCGAGGCTGTGGAAAAATAGGAACACTTTTACACTGTTGGTGGGAGTGTAAATTAGTTCAACCATTGTGGAAGACAGATGGCAATTCCTCAAGATTCTAGAACCAGAAATACCATTTGACCTAGCAATCCCATTATTGGGTATACACCCAAAGGAATATAAATCATTCTACTATAAAGACACATGCACACATATGTTTATTACAGCACTATTTACAATAGCAAAGACATGGAACCAACCCAAATGCCCATCAATGATAGACTGAATAAAGAAAATGTGGTACATATACACCATGGAATACTATGCAGCCATAAAAAGAAATGAGATCGGGTCCTTTGCAGGGACATGGATGGAGCTAGAAGCCAGAATTCTCAGCCAACTAACACAGGAACAGAAAACCAAACATAGCATGTTCTCACTCATAGGTGGGAGTTGAACAATGAGAACACATGGACACAGGGAGGGGAACAACACACACCAGGACCTGTTAGGGGGTGGGAGGCAAGGGGAGGGAACATAAAGGATGGGTCAATAGGTGCAGCAAACCACCATGGCACACGTATAACCATGTAACAAACCTGCACCTTCTGCACATGCATCCCGGAACTTAAAGTTAAAACAAAGACCTTGGCCAGGGCAGTGTCTGATATTTCCAGGAAAAGAAGCCAGACAATGTTGAGTGGAGAGAGAAATGCTGAGGAAATAGAGAGAAATAATGAGTGTTTTTCTTCCGGGGGTTTGACTGTGCAGGGAGGGAGGGCCGAGGATGGTTTGACTGGACTGTGGGACATTTGTTTTTTAAGAACAGAAAGGCTCCAGTGTGTTTATTGGTCCAAAGGACAAGGCTGGAGGGAAGGCAGAGGGTGAGGGGAAGGGAGGGTGAAGGAGTTACGGGGTCCCTGTGGAGTAGGAAGGGGGGAGATCCTGCCCAGACAGAGGACTCTGGAACCCCTCCCTGCCAAAGGCCTCATCAACAGAAAGGAAGAAGCAACAGTGGGCACAGAGGCAGGTAAGACGGGAATGCAGGGCCCTGGGAGCCGAGGCAGGAGGGGGCTAGAGATTTCCTGTTTTCCAAGGTGGTAGGGGTGACTTAGCCTCTGAGACGCAAGAGGAGGCAGGGCTTCTGGGACATGGCCACAGGGAGTAGGGGCAGGTCCCCAGCAGGAGGCCAATGGGATGGGTTAGCTCCTCAGAGCCGCCACAGCACCCCCGGGTTTCTTTAGCAAGTGGTACCATTCTACCTCAACCTCGGGGTCCACGACCCTGACACCCCACCGAAATCTCCACCTGGGGAAGAGCCTTCAACTTCTCAACAAGCCTGAAGACAGAGCCACACAGACCCTCCATCTGCAAACAGCTGATGCCTGAGAAAGCCAGCCCAATAGACGGTCTTCCGCCTGCAGATGTCACTTCCTTCTCTTGTGGAGCTAGTTGACAACACAGAGAGTCCTTAAAAGATGAGAACTTACTGCTCACCAGCCAGCTCCTCTGTGTTCTGTTCAAAGGAGAAGATTTGGAGCAGACATTTTATGTCTCATCAATTTACTGCTCTCTCTCTTCTCTAGAGACCAGTGTTGAAAGGTCAAGGCCATATCAAATGAGTAGTTGCCATGGTCCCTTCCCTCCTGACTTTTTTTTTTTCCCTTGTTGGGGAAATAACACTCTTGTTCAGTAAGCGTTCAGTAGGAAATAGGGCATGTAAAATGAAGGCCCAGGGAGGGCAGCGTGAGAGGGTGAGAGCTTCAGAAAAGGAGTCGATGAAGGGGAGAAACATCACCAGGACCCGTGGTTTGAGCAGTGGGGACGGAAGACCATCCTCAGCCAACGTTAGGGGCTCATTTGGAATCGATCTCTGCCACTGGCTTGCTAGGAGACCAGGGGAACCAAGGACTTTTTCTGTTCTTGGTTTTTATCACTGGCAAAATGAGAGTAGACCACAATCACCAGTTAATCTCTCCGGTTGTAGCTCAGGAATCCTACAAGATCCACAAGGCCTTTACAAACGAGTCGGTAATCCGTTTCCACCCAAAAGTCAGTGTTTTCTGAAATTTCATGATTTAATTTGGGAGTCTTTAAAATTTGAAATCCATTTGTTACTTGTCCTGTCATTGTGCAGCGTCTATTCTGATCATGCAGGCTTGAAGTTTTTGGATGACTTTCAAATAATACCAAGAGATATTCTCTGAGCACACGCTGCAAACTAGACACTGTCCTAAGTGTTTTATGTGGGTTGCTTGATTTGATCCTCAAGACAAGTCTGTAATTAGGTACAAGTGTCTTGATTTATGGGGGAGAAGAGGCCTAAATACTCTGCCCAGGGTCACACAGTGAGACGCCACAGAGCTGGGCTCAGGGGTTCCGTGGTGCGGAGTTAAGGATGCGTGACCCCAGGATTTTTCCTCCCTCTGTGATTTATGGATTTCTTTGGGTTACAAATCTGTGTCTTGTGATCATAGGGTAATTGAAATGCACCGTTATTCACATGTTCTAGATACTTGCAGGTCCCTGATGCCGGGAGCTCAGCTGCTGCAAGCTTTGGAGCTCACTCAGAGCCTCCTCTTTCCCAGCAGCCACAGATCAGCAGCAGCTCCTGACATTTCTCTCCACGTCAGAGTTGCCAGAAAGAGGTGACACATTTCAGTCAGTTTTGCTTTTTAAGTGTGGAATTTTTATTTCTGAATTCTGAATACTTTGGACAGTTAAGTCCAATTCTCTTACAAAGACCTTTCCTGGAAACAAGCACCCACAAACTGAAAATGAGAAGTTTCTTTCTCGATACCAACTGATTCTATTGGAAGAAAATACTAAGGGAAATTAAGCTTTCTTGATTAACAGCTCAAGTGTCGATGTCTCTGCTTTGCTGAGGGAAAGTTCTAGCTGGAAACACAGGTAGCTGCACATGTACCCTAGAACTTAAAGTATAATAAAAATATACATATATATAAAAGAATTGCTTCTTCCTGGAAAACCTGACTCTTTGCTCTTAAGGCTTTCCACTGATTGGAAGAGGCTCACCCACACTACGGAGGGTACTTGGCTACACTCAGAGTCTTCTGATTTAATGCTAATGGCATCTACAAATACCTTTACAGCAATATCTATGCTGGTACCTGATGCAACCGCTGAGCCCCGTTGACCCATCCAATTCACCAGCACAGCGAGTATGTTTGCTACTCTGTCCAGGACCTTCTGGTTACACATAGTGTCTTGGTGTCATTGTTAATAGTTCCCGGTGCTTTTGAAAAGTGTTGCTGTTTGCAAGGTCCAGACTCATCTCACTTCAAGGAAGTGGCTGGGACTTCATTAAGCCTACAGAACAGGTTATAGGAACTTTTACACCTGCTTGTTAATAAGGCATATTTAATAGGTTTCACGGGTGTAGCCTAATTGAGTCTAATGTTTTTTCAATATAATTACATTATGAGGTTAGGGAATTGGTGAGTTGACTCTCACCCATCTAAAGCGTTCCATAGCTATAGTTAGCTACCACAAAGCACCTATATCTTCTAAACTGGCTTAGGCCTGCTTGCAACACCCAGAGCCAGAGAAGATACAGCTACAGTAGTTTTCCCACTGGGGGAGCCCATGATGGCTTGATTTGAAATAGACCTGAGCTGATGGCATACGATAATTGTGCAGCATCCGAGTGGGCTGTGGGAACTGTGGCATGGTTGCTGCTGGAAGTGGTAGTGGGAGGACGATTTTCTTCCTGATACTCAAGTCTCACATGCTGGTTCTTTCCAGTTCAAATTCTTTAATGGGATGTCTTCATCCACACTGGAGTTTCTCAAAGCAAGATCCAAATGTTCTCTGAATCAAAATAAAACAGCATCTTATTTAAAATGCAGACCTCTGGGCCTCAACTCAGACCCAACCAGTGAGAATGGGGAGGGCAGTTGTTGGCCTTCGGGGTGGCTCTGGAGGTACAGCCTCCTGTACAGCCTCCTGCCTGGGGGTCATGCCCTCAGGCAGCCCCAGGGTATTAGACTTGGTCTGTGTGACAGCAGTAGGCACAGAGTGACCGTGTGGCCCTGCCAGCCCAGGTCACAAACCACATCATGACCTCTGCCTGGTGTGGGTCATTTACTTGGGGAAGCCAGCCGCCATGTCAGGAGGATGCTCAAGCAGCCCTGGGGAGAGGCCACGTGCTGAGCCACTGAGGCTCCCACCACAGCTGCATGAGGGGCCACTCTGGAAGCAGACCCTTCAGGGCGCCTGAAGGTGACTCTGACTTCCTAAAAAGCTCCAAGCCACAATCAGGTGGCTAAGCCATTCTGGATTCCAACCCCCGCCCCCCCCCCCCCCGCCCCCAAGGAACTGTGTGAGATGAACACTTGCTCTTTCCAGCTTCACAGTGTTGGGTTGATTTGTTACACAGGGGTAGGCAAATCACAGAGAGGAGGCAGGGAATCTGTGATTGTTGTCAGCAGCTGAGTCTCAGGCATCCTGAAAGGTGGGGCCCCTGGGGTGGGAACATCCAGGCTCCTGAGATGGACCCATGAGACATCATTCACACCCTGGGGTCAGGCCACCATTGCCGGCCACCTGGGCCACCATAAGAGACCCTTACCTCTGTCCTGCGTCCATGCATGCCTTCTGGAGCTGGCCCTCCACACATCAGCTGGAGTGAGCTCTTATCAAGCTGATGAGGTTTGGGCCGTTTCCTCCTTGGTGCAAAATCTTCCTTGGCTGTCATCTCATTTACACGCAATTCGCAGGCCCACCTTGCCCTCCCAGGTCTCACGTCCCATGCTCTCCTCCCCACTCTCTGCTCTTGCTGTCCTGGCCTCTGCTCTTCTTTGACACAGCAAAAGATACACTTGGTTTGGGGATTTTGTTCTTGCTGCCCCAGGTCCTCCTAGCTTGCTCTAAATTCCCACAGCGCACAATCTGAAACCCAGGTACCTGACTTGTCTGTCCATTCCCGTTCTCCTACCAGAAGGCCAGCACCATGAAGATGATGACCCAGTCCACCTGGTGCATGGCTACCTCCCTGATGCCTAGCTGTGCACCTGCACACATTCTAGCCTCAGTTGGTGCTTAGCAAGAAAGTAGCGACAATCCATGTCCAGAAAATACCCCAGACGCTGAGCTCCAGTGTTTACTGCTTCTGTCTAATTTTCATCAGTGAATTTCCTAGCTCATTTTGTTTTCACTGGTTGGTAATTAAAATTGGAATAATGATAACATGTAATTGTATTTTTTTCCTTTTTTTTTTTTTTTTTTTGAGACAGAGTCTCGCTGTCACCCAGGATGGAGTGCAGTAGCGTGATCTCGGCTCACTTCAACTCTGCCTCCCAGGGTTCAAGTGATTCTCCCACTTCAGCCTCCCAAGTAGCTGGGACCACAGCCGTGCACCACCATGCCTGGCTAATTTTTCGTGTTTTAGTAAAGGCAGGCTTTCACCATGTTGGCCAGGATGGTCTCGATCTCTTGACCTCGTGATCCGCCCACCTCGGCCTCCCAAAGTGCTGGGATTACAGGTGTGAGCCACCGCACCCAGCCGTAATTGTATTTTAAATAAAATACTTATCTTTAAAACTCAACATGAGGCTGTCCTCCTGTTGGTTCTCTGTACCTGCACATGCTGGTGACTCCCGTGGGCTGACCTCTCCCGGCCCCTGTAAGGTCCCCTGGGACTCATTCTCCCAACCCCTCCTCCCCGCAACACCATAAGCTCCTCTTGGGCAGGAAATTATCACATTCTTCCAGCACAGGGGTCAGTGAGGTTCCCACAAGCTAAAGCCGGCCAGCATCTGCCTTTGGAGGTCAAGTTCTTTGGAGACTCCCATTCATTCATGGACTGTCCGTGACTAATTTCAGGCTACAAAGGCAGAGTAGAGTCTTGTGAAGGCTGCAACACTAAAAATATTTATTAATTGGTCTTTTATACTAAGAATTTGCCGGCCTCTTATCTGACCCACAGGAGAGAATTGACTACATTCAGGTTCATAAAGAAATAAACATATAGCATGAGGAATGCGGCAGTAAGTCAATACAAATAGGTTAAAAACAGATGGTCTGACCATTTGCTGAATCCCACTAAGAGAGCTCACTTACTGCTACCCAGCATCAAGAAGCAGGTCACACAGTGTCTATTATTCAGTGACATACATGTCACGGAACCCAGGGCTGAACATTTCAGCAGTTTTCATGTTAATAAGCAGTAACTCTGTGCCCCAAATATTCTAAAATTAGAAAAATTAAGAATAATTGAGAAAACCCCAAATAAATGATTATGATAAATTTTACACTGAAATATATTCCATGATTAATGGATCCTTTAAAATTTGTCATTTTATTACTGTCATATAACTTTAATTTGCCTTTAAAATGGATGAATGACCTGAGAAGCTTCCAATTTGTGGTAATTTCTATTTGATGCCGACACTAAATGTGTGTACTTAATATCCCGTAGAAGAAGTTACTTTCTCATGGTTCTTAAGAGCAAAACTCGAGCACTCACTGTGGGTTCTGCACTCCCTCTAACACGCGGTGACTATCTTCCTGTGGTCACTGTTTCCTAGCTGAGCCTCCCCATAGCGTAGGCTCCTGCTACAGCACAAAAGATTTTCCAGTGTTATCCAGAATGGCATAAGTGAGGTATCATCATTTATACAGAGTTGAAACTGAATTTACATGAAGAACAAGAGCAAATGAATATCAAAGGCAAGGCCATTAAACACCATTAAAAACAAAATTATGACCCTGCCATTCCCAGAACACTCTGGGCTTGGGAAGCCGGGGGAGTTTCTGTGGGAGGCGGAGTCTCTCTGCCAAAAGCCCTCCAGCAAAGCCACCTTGCCTCTGCTTTCTGTTTTCTGAGCATATTTGCTTCATCTAACACATGGGAAGTTTATTTTATTGCTGATTTTTAGCGATTATCTATCTAGAAAAAGTGAAGGCATGACTGTTATTTCCTCTTCTCATTTCTTCATTTTAGCCAAGTGACTCATTAGCATGAAGGAGCTTCTGTGGAGAGCCCCAAGCCCAGCTCGAGCGGCCCCCGCCCGACTCCTCACTGGGCCACCCACTCAAGAATCAAGCGGTGGAGGCATCGCACCCCACTCACCTCTGCCTTGCTCTGCAACCACACATTTTACATCTGCGAGGGGTCTTCAATCCACTCCATCCCAGGGCTTCTTGGGCTGTTTACACATTTGTTTTCACCCAAAAGAATGAGCCATCAGTGCACCTACAGTGAATGCAGAGTGTCCCCCATGGCTTGAGAATACAGCATATAACACACCATGAGGAGGTCAGAGTTTGTGATCCAGGTGCTGACCACACCAGGCAGATGGAGCAGGGGGCTGAAGGACCCTGCAGGGTCCCTGGTGCTGCGATGTCAGTGACGGTGCACCTCGGTGACCTCAGGATGGGCACCCCAACCTGTCGATGCAGAAATTATGGCTTGAGTTTACTGAGGGTGCTATGTATGAGGTGTGGCACTAACTCTGCTGTAGGTGACACCGAGCTGAAATGTAAACATAAGAAGCCTTAGTCCAGGACGCCGAGGAAGTCCCCCCAGATTCTTTGACAGTGGAGGGAAAACAGAATAACAGGCAAAGGAGGTGCTTAAACCAGGGGCAGTGCCCTGCTTCAGGCTAGGTCTGCAGCCGCTGGAGGAGCACCTGGCACCCAAGGACTCAGTGTGTGTTTTTTGAGTGAATGAATGAATCATTTTTACGAATGAGTAAGTTTGCGTCTGGTGATCTTGGTAGAAGCTAAATCTTGTGCTGAAAATCTTTCACTTCCATGGGATACCAGATTGGGCCAATGGAATAGAAAGGTTCATATCTTTGACCCCTCTCATCTTTTTCCCACCTTTTGTCAATTGCATTGACCATTTCACACAGGTCAACCCTCTGTTTGGAGGGCTCCTTGGTGGGTCAGGGCCCCTTTCCATCTGCAAGCATTGTTGTGCTATGCAAACAGACAGTGGAGGAAGGGGTTGGCATTGACCACGGAAGATCCTTATGTGTGGATTGCTGAAAATCTGTACCTCTTCTTCTTTAAATAACAGATCTTAAAGGTTCATTGTTGCTGGGCAATATAAAGGTTCACCAATGATAAGGAACATAAATGGCTGGGACTCCAGGGATTCATACGTACACTAATTATTTACTGAGGCCCATTTGTGTCCAAGACATTCAATTCTTGAATGAAGGATTTCTTATTAGTAAGGTATGTTGGATGAATTCTGAACTCCCGGAAACTGTATTTTTAGGAATTATGAAATGGCCTACAGGGTTGCATATTAGCCATGGAGTGGAAATTAACAATCTCTAACTAGGAACCGTTTGCACCGAAGACAATGAGCAACACCCTGGGCATGGACTGGCAGGGCACAGAAATGCGTGGCTCTTCCCCTATGAGGAAGCAGCCTCTGCAATGCTCAGAGATTCATCATCTTTTCACACATGAAAGATGTGGACTCTGTATTTATAAAATAATCTATATTTGCATGGTAATCATTAAAGTAATGAATATGTTATTGCTAATTTCCTTTCAGTTTATTTAGATCCACACAGAGATCAGTGTCTGAAATGATTTAGTTTTCAAACCCTTTATAAGAAAAAGGACTGTGTTTTGATCAAGAACAATGTGAGAACTTTGAATAAAAGCTCCCCATGTAGTATTGCCCTCAGCACTTGGGCAAAGTACTGAACATTTGAGCAAAAACATAAACCCAACATCAAAACTGCTGGCTAATATTATTTTTTACATAGAATCCATTGTAGTTTAGGTCAGTAAACCTGTCTAGCAATTGAATGTGTGCATGTTGATAAATAGCCAACACTACTTGAGGCGTAGAATGTTGCATGCTAAGAACTCAAAGGAATGATTGAAATACAGAGAAAAACAGAGGCAGCCCACAGCACCACTGAAACTGCAAAGATGCCCAGCCCAACAACTGGAGCCGGCACACTTCATGAAAGTCAAACACATCGGCATCTGGGATTAGCACACTGCTTACATCAAGAACTGGAATGATCTACAGAGGAGTGTGTGTGTGTTTCTGCACAATTTCTGCATAATTTTATTAAAATATCTTACATAAGTAATAATCATTTTCTAATCATAAAATATTTGCCCAATAATGAAAGAAAATTTAAAATTACTGATCTATGTTACCAAATTAAGTTAGAAAAAGAAATATAGATTAAATTTAGTGTAAGCAAAAGAAAAGATTAAAGTGGACATCAAGAAAAACAAATGTAGATTAGATTTACTGTAAGCAAAAGAAAAAATTAAAGTGGACATCAATTAAATAGAAAATTGAAAAATATACAAAAAATTAAAAAGTCAAAAGTTAGTTATTTGAAAATATTTTTAAAAAATCTCCTAAAAAGAGTAATGAAAGTGGTAACAGAACTACACGTCCCGGAGACAATTAACTCTAAATGATATAAAATATCCTCTTAATATTTCTAGAATGTGTGGTGTCCTCTCTTCCATGGCAATCTTCTGCAAACACTTTCAGGAAATACAGAAGAGAGAGCGGCTTCCCAACTTATTTTGTAAAGCTGAGAGTGCTGAGAATTATTTTATAAAATCTTTTCTTTTACAAAAATTGAAAAGACAGTATTCCTCATGAAACTAGACACACAAATCTTTTATAAAAAACTAGTAAATTGAATCCAGCAATTTATATATAATGCTTTGGTATATTTAATCCCAGAAAAGCAAGGTTGATTAACAGTTGAAAATCAATTAATGTAATTCACCAACTGACGCGGAATGGTCTGTCTACTGCACTAGCTCCATGACACTCACAGCCTCTGCGGGAATAGTGAGTGCAAATGGACAAGGTGGAGGTCCAGCCTGTTATCAAGGAAGTCATTGGTTTAACGAAAAGACTCTATAGAAAAACCTTGTAGGTATAAATAGGTGATCAACAAAATATAAAGTACATATTTGGCACATTAGATTCTAATAAAACTGGATACATGGGTTTTATAGGTTTTGGTTTCATTAACTCTAGAGTGAAGTTTCTCCTCAATATGGATTTGCACGTGTTATTTATTCTCATGCTCTGTGTTCCCATATGGGTTTTGAGCTGATACTTTCGGTGCGTAATACAATAATTTCCTGGCTTATCCAGGCCAGAAGGGAATGTGACAATCTGAAAACATTACAAGCCTAACTCTGATTTGCTTTTCTACCAGTGATTTAGGAATAGACAATTTTACTAATGGAGTTCCTAAGGCAACATCAGTGGCAATTAACAAATGTTTTCTGGAATTGGATACAACATATTCCTCTTGCCATAATTGCCTGATAACTCCTAAGCTATCTAATAAACTAGAAATAGAGCCTTTTACAAATATTTATATAACATATTGTCTCAATAAGTAAGTGCTTTTAAGAACTATTATTTATTTCATTAATTCCCAGAATATCTCTGTGATGTAGGGGGGTGTGTGTGTCTGTGTATGTGTACATATATATAAGTATATACATGTGGGTCTAAACATATTATACAGCTATAAATATATATTGTCCTTCTTATAGAAACTAATAAACTATTGCATAGGAGTCCTAACAAATGCATCTGGTTTTGCATGGAGGGCCTGAAACCAAAACACAGATTCACTGGCTTTCTTGCCCCTTGGAGGGGTGGGTATTTACAGAGCTTCAAGGGCTAAAAGGTCAGAGAAGTTCCTGTGTATTTGAGAAAGTGAGAGTTAATGTTGATCCCTCTCTTAGGACCAGGGGATTTTCAACTCTCCATTCCGAGTAGGACTGGAGAAGGCACAGTTAGGAATGGGCTGGCCGAGGGAAGTTGAAAGATGCAGGCAGAAGCCCACACCAGGTTACAGGGTCAAGGGCTGGGCTCCGACTCAACTCAGCTGGGATCCGTATTAGGCCAAGAAGCCCTGCCAGGTTTCCTACTGGGAAAGGGATTGTGACAAATGGGAGTCAGGCTCAGGCGTCTCATCTGAAGGGTCCCCTCAGTTGGTCCAGATCTCACTTTTGGAAACATTTCCTAATAGCACAGACATGCTCTTGTCCATGGGCATGATGCTGTCTTTAAAGCATAGGAGGGTGGGGGCTGCAGAGTTGTCTGGTGGGGTCAGTGACTATCCGGTAGAAGAATCCAGGTGTCCAGCAAAGTATGAGACAGTGTATGTGTGTGTTTTAAAATGAATTATTTATACATCAGCGATGACTATGAGCATGAAAAGGAAGCTCTGTTTGGTAATATTCATACATTTCCATCAGTAAGTTGAAAATACAATATGTATTTATATAAAAAAAATCACTGGTTTGATATTAAGTTCCTGAAATTCTTTGTTTGATGTGTAGGAAGGAAATAAGTCTCTAAGAAGCCGAACCACCCCTTTTTCTAGAGATGGCTATGTAAGCCCAGATGTCCAATATGCCTCTCCTCAAACTAAGAGTGATAATCAAAGGAAGTTAAAAATAGACTTACTGCTGGAATCCAGGAAAGGGCCTCGTCAGAGTGCCAGAAATGATAATGAATTTCTTCTACATAAAATGCAGATGGGGCTGGATGAAAAGAAGCCCTGAGCACTGACAAGTTGCCTCCGTGGAAGACACTCCTGCCTCCTGGCAGGGCTCCTAAGACTCCTCCAATGAATGAGTTAGACCTGGAAGAAATTGAAGGGGCACCATCTGGACGCCCACATCCTCTTTAGGGACAGACTGATAGAATTCAGAAGCAGCTGTGCTAGCAGTTCCTGGGGCGAGAGGGGTGACTCCCAGTGAAAACATCAGTGTAACTGGTTTTTCCTGGGTGCAGATTTCTGTCAACCTGGAGGTCTCCTTCCTGACCCAGTGGAGCTGTTCTCAAACCCAAGAGACAGCAAAGCCATACAGAAAAGTCAACTTGATCACACAAAAAAACCCAGAGTAGAAGATTCTCTACATAGGCTCTACCTGGAGGACACTGGTTCCTGGAAAAGCCGTTTTAGTAAACATAAGGAAAGTGCCTGGAAGGACGAATCTGGTTGGTTCTATCCAAGTCTCCAGATTTCCCCCATTTTTCCTAGGCTGTGGCATCACTGGGCAGGGAATCTGAGCTTAACACCCAGCCCTCCACCTTTGCCATGAAGACACTTCCAGTGGCTCCGGTGCACCTGTGTAGAGAACCCACCATAGTGGCACACCAAGACATGCTCCTATGAAAGCAGGTAAATTGAGAGAAACCAGGGTGGAACTTATAAAAACATCCTGCTTTGTTACAAAGAGGGTGTATGCATAGACCTAAGATAGGGAAAGAATATATTTTGAAAAAGAAGTTTCCTAAAGGAAGTCTAAGGTACGTGCAATTAGAATTTTCTTTGTGCTCTCTCTGAGTATGAAGAAAATACAAACAAGGAACTAAAAAATTAGTGAAGAGAAATGAAGGTGCAGAGAGGAGGGAGTTCAGAGGAGAATGAGAAAAGAAATAGCACCTGAGGGTGATGAAGAAGCAGACAGAACAGGAAGGGTCAAGCCATCGGCAAACATTGAGTCAGGTTTATCGATGAGAAACTCCGGAAATATTTCCCCAAAGCTGGTGAAAAGGCCAAGGAGAGAAACATCATCAGAGAGAAAAAGGGAAGAAAACAGATTTTCAAAAAGTAATCAGGTCCCTGAAGGAGAAACTGCGTCAGTGTGGTCCAAGCCCTTCTTCGCATTTTGCACTGCTGCTGCGGATTCTCCTGACATTTCCAATCCCTTTACTTTTTCTTGAAGAGCTGAGTTTCCATCTGGAATCGCTTTCTTTAGCGTGAGGAACTTCATTTAGCATTTCTAGTAGGGCAGGTCTGCTCACAACATATATTCCTAGTTTTCTTTTTATTTGATGATATCTTTATTTTGCCTTCTTCTTGAGCACTTTTAGCTGAATGTAGAATTCTAGATGAACCTGAGTAATTTTAACCTTCCAGTGTTTGATGAGTGTTATTCCACTGTCTCCTGGTCTCCGTTGCTTTATATTAGAAGTTAGTGAACACTGGATCATAGTTCCTCCTCATGCAATGTGTCATTTTTCTCAAGCTGCTCTGAAGATTTTCTGTTTACTTTGGTTTTCCAAGTAATGTCTGTAATGTGCTTGCCTTTGTATCTTTGTATTTGTTTTGCTGGGGTCCACTAAGATTCACAAATCTGTACATTTATGTGTTTGTGCACATTTGGGAAAACTTTAGCCATTGTTTTCTTTATATATATATATATATTTCATTATATATTTATTTGATTTTATATATGTGTGTGTGTGTGTGTGTATTCTTCCTTAGTCTCTCTTCATTTTTCTTTTGTGACTCCAATATCTGCATCTTAAGTCCTGTTGATGATATTCTCCTTAGATCCTATCAATCTTTTTTCTTTTCTCTCTATTCTTAAGTTGAAAAATTTCTATTGATTTTTTTAAAAAACAAATCCACTAATTTTCTGTCATGTCCATTCCACTGTTAGGCCCATTCACTGATTTTAAAAAATTTTCAGATATTGTAATTTTCAACTTAAAACTTTGTCTTCTATTTTGTTTTAGTTTATGTTTTTCTGCTAATACCTACTATCTTTGTGTTCATTGTAAACATATTTTCCTTTACATTCTTGAGCAGTGACAATTGCTTCTTTTAAACTCATGTCTGCTGATTGCAACATTGGGATCATGAGGTTGTTCCTCATTCATTTCCTTCTCTCTAGAGAACTTGACATATCCTCCTGTTTCTTCATCCCAAATGTTGTAAAGAATATGTTGTAGAAATACTAAATTGTTTGAAGTGCCTCAGAAGACTTTTGCTTTATTTTTACCTATGCAATTAACTTGACAGAGTCAAAATGCACATTATATCTCTGCTGGGAGGACAATGATTTAACTATGAGTTTAATTCTTTTAGCTTAAGTAGGGCTGCTTGGATCATAGCGTGCATATGTGTGGGTAATGGATCAGCAAGAAATGTAAGCAAAATATACACACAAATTTTGGCTGTCTTTAAAATACAGTATGAAATAGTAGTAGAGACAGTGGACATAAGGTTTTCCTTCTGACTTTTATAGGCAACATTTAATACTATTTAATAATTACTAATCTTCCTACTTTTGAGTGTTTTCAATATCAATTGTGATAAATTTTATTAAATATCTTTTTTACATATCTGAAGATGACTGTATAATTTTTCTGCGTATCTCTATTTGATGACTTTTCTAATATTGAACAACCTTTATATATTTGTAATTTTCTAAATCAGCTATGTTGTCATGTTTAGAATGTATTGTGTATTTTGTTTCCTACATTTCTTTTTAAGGCTTTTTGCACTGATATTTATAGAGTGTTCAGCAGGTTTTATTTGAATTAAGTAGTTCTTAAGTTTTACATCAGTGTTATAAATCACAAAATGGATTTGTAAGATTTCCTTCTTTTTCTCTGCTCTGAAGTAGTTGGAATGATATCATCTTTAAAGATTTGGTAGATCTTCTCTGAGAAACCATATAAGTGGTTTATGGTTCTTTTGTATGGGTGTCTTCTCTAGTTGTTATCTTTTCCAGTTATTGCCTTATTAGACTTTCTATCTCTACTGGGGTCGATTTCAGTAAGTAGTATTCTTGTATCAATTTGTGACTGGTTTTAATGTTTTTATAGATTTGTGCAAAGTAGTTTCTTGTGCATTTTTTTTAAATATCACTTTGAATGTTACTTCTATCTCATTTTTAATTTTTTGTATTAGTGCTCTCCTCATTTCCCCCTTACACTTTTTTGAGTAAGTTAGCTAATTTGGTGTTTTAATAAATCAATTTTCAGTTGGTAAGTCCTGCAGATGGTAAAGATAGGTAACCCATTTGCTCACGCCTGCTTCCTTATCCTCTCTACCCCCTGCTCTTGGTTTACTGTGATGTTCTTGATCTTGCTTTTTTTTTTTTTTTTGAGACGGAGTCTCGCTCTGTCGCCCAGGCCGGACTGCGGACTGCAGTGGCACAATCTCGGCTCACTGCAAGCTCCGCCTCCCGGGTTCACGCCATTCTCCTGCCTCAGCCTCCCGAGTAGCTGGGACTACAGGCGCCCGCCACCGCGCCCGGCTAATTTTTTGTATTTTTAGTAGAGACGGGGTTTCACCTTGTTAGCCAGGATGGTCTCGATCTCCTGACCTCATGATCCACCCACCTCGGCCTCCCAAAGTGCTGGGATTACAGGCGTGAGCCACAGTGCCCGGCCTGATCTTGCTTTTTGAATTGGGTCTTTCATTTACTTATTTTTACTTTAGCAATTTTTGTTGATATTGTTATTTAATTCATTTCTTTATCACCTAGTAACTATTTTAGTTATAGCTCATAGATTCTAATAACATGTACTTTCAAGAAATTCTGTATTCTTTAAAAATTTTCCTTTTAATTTATAATTTATTTAGTGATAAATTACAAAATGTAAAGGTGGAAGAGTACTTTTTGTTTAAAAGAATTCATTGTATTTTCATTGTGTTATGATTGGAGAATTCTGGTTATGTTTTTTCCTACATTTTGGAATTTATTGGGTTTTTTTGTAGTGGACTGAGACATTATCAGTCCTGCATGTGGTCTTGAAGAGAAGCTTCATTCTCTTATTATTGGGAATTCAAGTTCAATCTGTAAGATTTTTCTGCTGAGTCTGTTATTTAAGTCATCTACATTCTTATGTATACACTGTCCATCTATCTCACCTGCACAGATAGAAATGTACTAATACCTACTTTATTAGGGTGATTTTGTCTGTTTCTCCTCACATCTTCTCCAGTTCATGCTTTGCCAGAGCTGTTAACAAGCTGTGGATATTACTCGCTGTTATGTCTTAATGGAGACTTGTAGCCTACAGAAGTTTAAAGTGATTTCTTTCCCTTTAATGCTCCTTAGTCAGATACAAAAATTGCATCTCTTGCTTTTATATGTGTGTTTGCCTGGTGTATCTTTGTCTATCATTACCTTTTCAGTCTTTCTGGGTTTCTGTTTTAGATGTGTCTGTACTACGAAGCATAATTTGGGATTTAGCTTTGCTGGGTTATTTGAACAATATTTATCCTTTAATGAGTGACTTAAGCTGATAGATACAGGCACTCTATCTAGAGTCAGTGTTATACTGTTATGTTAATCATTCTTTTCTATGATTATAGACACATGAGACTTGTACAGACTTATTCATTATATGGTTTGTAATTTTTTCTTTTCGCGTCTCTCTCTTTTTAGTTTATTTTTGGGTTTAACTTTAGTTTATATTTGTGTTCTAGTTAGCTTTATATCAATCTTTATATCAATTTCTTTCTATCATCTTCCCTTTTATTTCTCTTTATCCTAGGAGAAACAATAGTTACATTAACTATAAACTTCATCCTTTTCTTTCTCGTTTATCTCTCTGGCCTCTGATAAGAAGTAATATCCTTGTTTTCCCATTAATAGCTTTAAGGCAATGTCATTTTTCATAGGATCTGTTCATCATCGCTCAGTTTTAATGGTTGTAATTTATCTACATTTTCCAAGCATATAGCCATTACACACTATAATCTACACCTTATCATTATTACTTTTCTTTGTTCTACAATTAAACATTTAATGCTCACAAACAGTTCTTATACAGAATGTTTTAGTAATATTGGCTGTCTGAAACTAATTTTCTAAGAGAATTTTCAGTGCTCAGTAGAGCAATACATCCTAAGTTTTTGCATATTGATAACTAGTTTTAAAAATGTATTTTATATTTAAGCACTAGTTTAGCTGGATATCAAATCCATTACTCACTTCTATCTTTGAATACTTTAAAAGTTTCTATTATTTTTGGCATAAAGTTTTGCTATCAAAAATTTGTATGACAATCTGATTTTCTATTTTTTCATAGGAGGCTTAATTTTTCACTTTGAATTCAAAAGAGTTTTTGTTGTTGGTGGTTTTCTTTAAAGCCCAGTAGCTTGACATTAAAATATTTCAATATTGGTCATCATGATGTTTTTTCTTCTTTTTCCACTAAGTGGACTTTTAAATACATAGCTGTAAGACTTCTGTTTTTCAGAAGTTGTCCTATATCTTGTTCTTCTGCCCCCTTGCTTTGCTTCCTTCTTCTGGGCTTCTTTTTTGTTGTTGTTGCCCAGGCTGGAGTGCAGTGGTGTGATCTCGGCTCACTGCAACCTCTGCCTCCTGGGTTCAAGTGATTCTCCTGCCTCAGCCTCCTGAGTAGCTGGGATTGCAGGTGCACACCACCACGCCCGGCTAATTTTTTTTTCCGTATCTTCAGTAGACACGGGGTTTCACCATGATGGCCAGGCTGGTCTCGAGCTCCTTATGTCATGATCCGCTTGCCTTGGCCTCTCAAAGTGCTGGGATTACAAGCCTGAGCCGTTGCGCCCCCGGCTTCTGGGCTCCTCTTCTAATTGGGTCAGATCCTCCTTGATCTTTTTCTGTTAGTGTCATTTTCTTTCAAATTCTCTTCAACATTCTCTTCATTTCTTTTTCGCTTGTTAATATTTCCTTCATTTCGCCTTCTATTTCTTTTAAGCTACTCTCTGTTGTGTTTACTCACCCTGTGTTACTTCTAGCTTAGTCTTTTTAAAAATGATTCCTTCCTTGTAAATGATTCCTTCCTTGTTTTCTTGATCTTTCTTAAGGTCTATCACCTTGTATCTCAGCCTTTATGATTGTGTTGTTGTTGTTTTTTTTTCTCTACCATTCATATATTTTATCAGGTTCTTAATTCTTTAACTTGTCTTAAAATACACTAAAATTAATGTCTCTGAAATCTAAAACTACCAAAGGAAAATGAAAAAAAAAATAGCCCATTGGGAAAATGTACTTGCAACATACGTAACTTAATTGTGATAAGTATCCTAAATATATAATGAAGTTTTACATATTAAATTGAACCATTTTTAAAATCAATGTAAGGATAACAAAATATACATATAGACACTAATCATTAAAATATTTGGCCGACTTTTTTCTTTTTTTCAAATCGACAAGTACATAAAACAGAAGTGAAAGTGGTAGCAAGACTGGCTGCGGAACAGGGAGAGTCTCCCAAGAACGGTGTACAGTTTTCTGCCGTATTCACGGTGCCGATGAAAGTCGAATTTGGCAACATTTCTAGAAAATTTTTAGAAAATATGCGTGAAGAACCATTTAAAGAACCATATATTAGGAACTTGTGAATCTACTTTTAGGAATTTACTATAAAGAAATAATCAGAGGTGAAAACAGATTTTTATTTTTGTTTCAAAAGATGTCAAAAAGTTAAGAGTAAAGATAATTTTAATTTTATATTTATTAAAAATAATTATGCCCCACCATAGAATATTTATTTAAAATGTTTGGAACACACAAAATATAGACTATTACACAGACACTGAAATAATATTTCAGAACCATGTTTAATTTTATAAAGAAATGCTATCCTATGCATTGAGGGAAAATTATAAATTACCTTATTTATAAAAGAAAAAGTATTTTAAGAAACTGTACAGATAACATAGAATCAATTTCCAACAAAAATAGCCATAGTAATATGAATATATATATGTATATGAGTGTATATATGTATATATACGTATATGTATATACGTATATATATATGTGTGTGTGTATATTTATATATATGAATAGTTCAAAGATATTTGAAGTGTGAGACTACAGGAGACATTTTATCTTCCTATGCTTTTTAAAATTTTCTAAATTATGGATATATAACTGATTTTACTTGAATAATCTATCTAATTTTAAAGAAAAATATAACCTAAAGGAAAAGCTTGTTGCTGCTACTATTTTTTTCTCTTTGGATTTTTCTTTGCCAATTCTTTCTATTGAAATAATGCATTTGTAATCTAATTTTTAGAATAAAAGCTTATTTGTAAATCAGAATACCTTTCTACATTCAGTCATTTGTGACCGTGATAACTGATTAACATAGAAATGCGGTACACTCATACTACATTTTTAAATAATTGGCTACTTTGTTAACAGGGTCGCCTTCCAGTTAATTAAAATTAATTCATGTACCATAACTAAGAGTGATGTAATCTTCACCACGTTCTTTCTTTCGTTGAGGTTCATCACATTACAGCTGAGAATAAGCCAATAAAGGCTTTTGTTGAGGTGTAAACTCAAAAACATTTTGGCTTCCTTAGAAGTTATATTTTAGTCTCCAAGTGTTGAGATATTAAGTTGTCAAATTTGCATACAAAGTTTAAATTTTAGAACCATATATGAAAAAAGACTTCTAGACCATTTCTTTTCTTTGCTAACATGCCCCCTATTGATTCTGGTCACAGAGCATTAAGTGTGTGGGTGTGTCTGTGTCTGTGTGTCTGTGTCTGTTTCTCTGTGTATCTGTGTTTCTGTTTGTGTGTGTGCATCTGTGTTTATCTGTGTGTGTGCGTCTGTGTATCTGTGTGTGTCTATGTATCTGTGTGTATATTGTCTATGTGTCTGTGTGCCTATATATCTGAGTGTGTCTGTGTATCTGTATGTGTCTCTGTGTCTGAGTGTGTCTGTGTGTCTATGTATCTGTATGTGTCTATGTATCTGCATGTGTATGTTTATTTGTGTGTGTCTATGTGTGTCTGTGTGTCTGTATGTGTCTGTGTGTGTCTTTGTGTCTGTATGTGTCCATGTCTATATATCTGTGTGTTTCTATCTGTGTATCTCTGCATGTCTGTCTGTCTGTATGTGTCTGTCTATGCATCTCTGTGTGTCTGCGTGCCCATATGTGTCTGTGTGTGTGTCTGTCTGTATGTCTGTGTGTGTCTGAGTGTGTCTGTGTCTTTGTGTGTTTGTGTGTCATGTGTGTCTGTGTGTGTCTGTGCCTGTGTAAGTCTGTGTATCTGTGTGTGTCTGTGCCTGTGTAAGTCTGTGTATCTGTGTGTGTCTGTCTGTGTATCTCTGTGTGTCTGTGTGTATCTCTGTGCACCTGTCTGTGCCTGTGTGAGTCTGTGTGTCTGTGTGCGTCTGTCTGTGTATCTCTGTGTGTCTGTGTGTATCTCTGTGCGTCTGTCTGTGCCTGTGTATCTCTGTGTGTCTGTGTGTATCTCTGTGCATCTGTATGTGTCTGTGTGTGTCTGTGTGTATCCGTGTGTTTGTCTGTGCCTGTGTGACTCTGTGTGTCTGTGTGCATCTGTCTGTGTATCTCTGTGTATCTCTGTGCGTCTGTATATGTCTATGTATGTCTGTTTGTCCACTGGCCCCAGGGGAGTGCGTCTGTGCTGCCCTGGCCCCCGCAGCTCCCAGGGAAGAGGCGCAGCTCCCCCACTCACATTCTCCTCCCCATCCCTGGGATCCACAGGTCCCCTCAGTGCTGCCTGCGTCACCTGCCCACAGACCTGTCCCAGGCTCTGCCTCTGGGGACTCAAGTGAAACCCATCTTTTAGGCTTTGTTGTTGTTTAAATGAAGACATCTCAATTATTTTTAAAAGTGGCACCTCTTGCCTTCTCAATCAGAGCATGCTCAGCTGAGCGCCCTGGACAGAAATGGCTGGGCCTTGCTTCTGAACCTGGTCCCAAGTGGAGGGGCCCTGTGCTGCGTGTGCCACTGCCCGGGGCATCGCCGCGCCCTCTTGGCCCCGCCTAACACGGGAGAGCCACGCTTCTCTGGCAGCGGGGCTGAGTGAGGAGCTGGGAGGCCTCCATCTGCTACTCAGGGTCTTTTTTTGTGGAAAATTCAGATTCTCCAGCAAAAAAGGGACATGGCCCCCACCCCAAAGAGTTGTTCTCACTCTGTAGGTAGAGAAAGGAACCTGGTTTACAGGAGTGGGTGGCTCTGAACTTTCTAACTGCTGCTGCTCTCAGGCAAAGTCAAATCCCCCTTAACCCACACTGCCGACTGCTGTGAGTGTGGCCGGTAGACAGCTCGCACAGATGAGAAATACCCCATCTGTGTTCTTAGACACACACCACACACACATCACACACACCGCACTTTCACACACACAGCCCACACACATACACAGAGCACATATATACAACCATGCACACACCACACATACACGCCCTGCACTCATACCACACATGTACCACACACACCACACACACACACACCACTCTCTCTCTCACACACACACACACAGAAACACACACAGGCTTTCTTTGAGGCAAATAGACTTTGAATGATTGGAGTTGTAATTTTCAACCTATATCATTTTATCTTTCTCCATGAATTAAAATCATTCCAATGAATGATTAAGTTGAAAGGTTTACACCTGTCCATACATTAATCACTTCCAAAACTCGTTGTCATTAGAAATCCCTTACAAGATATCCGTCTCTGGCAAGGTTGCTTGTTTGGTTTAATTAAAGTGTTAAGTGAATTAGAAGTGACATCATTATAGAGAAATGGATGAGTGGGCTGGAAGTGGGTCAATGCGTCCTCACAGGAATACGGCGGAGGGCCTGGAGGCATCGTCATATTAACTTATTAAAGGGTTATGTGTTTCATGCAATTAAAAGAAATCTTACACGTTCAGCCTCCACACCCTACCAGCACCCTTCTCTCCAAGGGTAAAATGTGTCGTACTCTATAAAAAGTAGCATCGATGAAGACTACGATGTTTCTAAAAAGGCAGTTCATTTTACCCTGTTTCCCCCCACCCCAGGATACTTGGAAGATCAATTCTTAGGCTCAATTTTAGTAGTATTATTTGTATACGGTGCATATATAATTTATGTGTAAGTCTCAGAAGAGGAAATGGTTCTTTGGGTTACTTTCCGATGTTTGTATCGTAGTTTATATTAAATCATAAGCAGCATCACTCAAGAACAGAATGAGCTTGCTTCCTGCTCCAAAGCCCAAACTTGGCCACACCTCATTTACAGGTAAGCGCAGTGCTCTCCCTGTCTAATGACACAATGCTCAGGACCTTTGCAGGGTGGTGCTGCCCGAGTGTTTCAGATTCTCTTGCAGGGCTGAGACAGCCTGGCCCTGCCGAGCTGAGAGGCGGGAGAGGGGGCTCTGCAGGGCCAGGCAGGACATGGAATCTGCCACCGGCTGCTTAGAGGGGCCCCTTTGCTTTGCCAATTTGACCAAAGTTTTAGAGCTAAGCGCTGAGACTGATGGCCCGGGGCCAGTAGCAGGACTCCCACAGTCAGTGCTGATGTGGGGAAGTGAATGGAGGCGGGCAGGGCTGGCCACGCCCAGGAGGAGGCTGTGCAGGTGCGGAGCCCCAGGCGGCTCTCAACACCTCTTCCTAGAACTCCCTGTGCTGTTAGCATCTCTGAGGCTTCTGTGTTACAAGACATGTCCAGAAAACATGTCTAATTCCCCCGCTGTAGTTATCTCTGTGCTCATCTGTACCCATAAACAAACTGCATCCTGGGTGCTGGGTCCCAGGGCAGCTGCCCAGAGACAAAACCCACAGCATGTGCAGGCAGCGTCCCGCTCTCCGCTCTCCAAGCAGAGTCAGACAGCGTCTGCACCGGACGGGCTGCCGGCAGCTGCTCAGAGGCTGTGGACCTGGCTGCATTTTGCTGGGGACAGTTCTGCAAATTCCAGTGTGCACATTGGGGTGGAGGCTCCCAAGTCCAAGGTCTAGGGCCATCGTACCAGCCACACTCCTCTGGTGTCATGGTGCGGACGCCTCCTAGATTTTAGAGTTTGATGGTCTCAATCTACACTGGGAAAAGGCCATCTCTGGAAGTAGAGAGATTGCATGAGGGAAGTCTGCAGTATCCCAGCCCCTCTTTGTAAGACACAGGTGGGATTACCCTCACACCCCCAGGCCCAGCCTGGGTCCTGGGCAACCGCTTACCCTGGTGCTCAAGCCTGAAGCTCCTTCCTTTTCCTCCTTTCCCCTGACGCATTCCCAATATCCAACCCAACAGCATTCCCAAGGTTTTAGCTGGAATAGCCTCTCAAATGACCTGCTCCTCTCACCTGCACAGCCTCCCCTCTGTCCAAGCTGCCATCTCCTACCTGGGGCAGCCCCTGGACCATCCTTCCACGTCCACTCTGCCCCTCCAGCGACTCGCTACCATCCTCTGGAGGGACCTTTGAAGAACGTTCACGTCACGAGGCTGCTTCAAATTCATCGCAACCTCCCTGGACCTCAGGATAAGCCCTGCGCTCCTCCCTGGGACCCCTCAGGCCCCATCGCCACCCTCTGCTCTCACTGGGTCACCCACATGGGCTCTGCTGGGGCCTCAGCTCCCAGCACGGGTCTCTCAGGGGTCGACGCCTTCTTCTACCTTCCAAGGTTTCTGCCCTCCCTCGCCTGTGCTCCCTGCCTCATCTGTCAGGGCCTGGCACCCTTCTCTGCAACCCCCTCGGTGACTCCCCTGAGGCCCCCTCCTGTCTGCAGAGCCTCAGCTGTGCTGTGCTGCTGCAGCTCCTTTGCTGGTCTGATGTGAGCCGCCCAGCCTCCAGGACACGGGAACCACAGAGACCTCACGTCCCTGCCTCAGTTCCAGTGCCCAGAGCTCAGCAGGGATTTTTTCACTGGGGAAAGGGAGGTGTGGGGAATGGAGAAAGTCAGAATGTCCGGGACCCCCGGGATTTTCACAGGATGTGTGAAGGGGACACCGGGGCACTAGGCCCATTCTATGGACGGTGGCATTCAAAGTGCTTCCCAGGTAAGCTGCCGCAGCACTGCCTGGTGACTGAGAAAGGTGGGTTCTTGGCTCCCAGACCACCCCTCCTGGGTCAGAACCTTCCTGGGCTTTCTTCCCGACTGGCTTGCTTGTTGAAGTTGGGAATCACTGGCTTAGTGGGTGAGCAGGTTTGCTTTCCTTTTTTTTTTTCATTTTTGAGACGGAGTCTCACCCTGTCGCCCAGGCTGGAGTGCAGTGTTGTGATCTCGGTTCACTGCAACCTCCGCCTCCTGGGTTCAACCAATTCTCTTGCCTCAGCCACCCCAGTAGTTGGGATTACAGGCGCGCACCACCACGCCTGGCTAATTTTTGTATTTTTAGCAGAGACAGGGTTTTACCATGTTGGCCAGGCTGGTCTCGAACTCCAGACCTCAGGTGATCCGCCCGCCTCGGCCTCCTGAGGTGCTCGGATTACAGGCGTGAGCCACCGCACCTGGCTGGCATAGTTATTCTTAAGTCACTGATTGCAGAATTTCCCTGCGTTGTCCATGGAAGGCACCACCCATATTACACACCTGCATCTGTGCTTTCCTCAAAGGAACTTTTGGAAATAGGTATCACCATTTACAAAAAGCAAGTCACAATGCACGGTTTGAATTGCTATAATGATCTGTTGGCCCTGTGCCTTCCCCATGGCCCTGGTCCCAGGCAATCTGGGGAGCCCTGGGGAAAGCAGCCGCATCCCCCAAGTCCATTGCCCAAGCATCTTGGTGTCACAGGCCATGGGCTTCATGGCAGCCAGGACACACTGGGACCATCTCTAGGGCAGAGTTTCCACCAAACCCAGTTAGGTGACTTGCAGTGCCATCAGTGGCTGAGGCTGTGAACGTCTTCATAAATTGGCGTTCATCAACTGGTTAAAAGACAAGATCAGGTGTCTGAGTTTGCCCTGCAGTTTGATGGGGGAGTTTTCTATTCACTAGTTTTGCCTATCGTTGTTTAGGAAATGTTTAGACTTTTGGAAATGCCTCGTAGAAAGTCACTGTGGCTCTCTGGTGTCTTACAATTGCTAATTCATTTACACTGTCATCTGTTGTGCCTTGTCAGTTCTTTTACCATTATGCTGTACAAAATAAAGTTTTGTGATCATGGGCAGGCCTTGTATCCTATCTCAACAGGAGCAAATATTCTCTCTCTCTCTCTCTCTCTCTCTCTCTCTCTCTCTCTCTCTCTGTCTCTGCCCTCCCTCACCTGTGTCTCCTAACAGCGCATGACACAAAACTCTGCACCCTTTATCAGCATTCGATTAAGTCTGGGAAATAGCTGATTGATAGAAAGACAAAAACGGTGAGTAAAGAATGTAGGAGCTTTGGAAATTTGGCACTGAGAACAAATTGAAGCCCAATTAAGAAACAGGAAGAACTTGAAGTCATGCTTGCTGTGGAAACCACGTCTGCTTCTGTCATCAGAGCTAGATGGAGATAATGCACAATATTAGAATGTAAATTTGGAAAGGTGTGGCTTATTCAGACATGCCTGGCCAAAACAGACTGGCTATCACCCCATATTCTAAATAGAATATGTATGTCAAAGACAGATGGAGAGAGGGACCTTGAAGAGTTGAAAGCACTTAAATGTTTTTGTGCAGTCAAATCCCTATGAACCAGCTTAATAAAATAGGTAAGTCTCTGCTGAGTGTGAGCTCAGAACGGAAATGAGAATATTGCTGGCAGCAAATCAAGGGAGCCCGATTGAGCCACATTACATGAATTAGACAGCCCCACCCAAGTGTACACAGAGGCACGCTCATCACTCCACCCGGGTTGGTGATGAGTACCCTACACCACGTTTTCCAAAGAGAACTCGCTCTATCTTCAGGCGCCACCAAATTAAGGACATCAAATTGTATCCTATTTTTTCATTGCATTGAGTAAAACACATTTGTTCTCCCTTTGTCCTGTTTGGGTCAAATGGCATGTCCATTGTTTTCTGGCAGTGGCATCTTGGAACCATCGCTGAGAACGCCACTGTATCTGAACTCCTCTTTGCGGAGGCCTTTTCTTCCCTTCCTGTCACCTGCTGTGGCTGCTCACAGAAGTGTTGGACAGACAGGGCTAATGTTGATGGACTGTGGGTCAAATGTTAACTAGGAAAGATGCCACCAAAACTCAGGCACACACAGAACATCCTCACAGAGGAATAATTAATATTTTATTTCCGTGACCAAAAGGAAAAAGTCCCTAGTAAAAGACATAATAAATGCAAATCAAAGGGTCACTTTTCTCTCAATAGGTGCATTCATAAGTGCTCTTGTGAAATAGCAAAGCAAGCAGAAGAGACGGCAGGTGCGGCGAAGGGAAGACCGCTGAGTCCTCTGCCATCGGGATGGCCTCCCCAAGGCTGGGGCACACCACCCGGGTCCTTTCCCTGTGCACTTGCTGGGTTCCAGCTGTAAATAGATTTAGAGAATTTAGTTGTACCACATACCTTCAGAATTCCATCCAGCAAGTCCAGTGTTCAAAGTGTTAAAATACAGGTAGTTCTAAGCCTTACATGCAATCACAGTATCCTCTAATGTTAATTATTTTTGTGCCGTCTTATTGGATATCTTAAAACAAAAAACTCATATGAACTCATTCATCCTTTTAGGATTTTTATTACGTTTTAAAACAAATCACCAAAAGAGAACACTAAATGGAACAGTGTGCTGATTATTTTGGATTATTAGGCTTCCAAAAGACCAATCTTACTCTGCCATAGGTTAGAGAATGCCAGGTGGATTACCCCATCCATCTGCAAAATACTTAAATCCAGGTTCCTTGGGATATCTCTAGGATTCTGGCTAGACTCAGAGCCAGAATATCCACTATGGCTGAGTAATAAGTGATAAAAAACAGCAGGTTCAAACAGCGTGTGTTCATAACCTGGCTGTTCGGCGGGTCAGAAGTCTGGGCACGGTGTGGCCCGATTTTCTGCTCAGCTTCTCTATGGGTTTAGATCAAGGTGTCAGCCAGGGGTGCCGTTCACAGCTGTGGCGGGGGGTGCTCTTTCAGGCTCACTGGCTGTTGGCAGGTTCACTTCTTTAAAGTTGTGGGACTGAAGTCTCCATTTTCTTGCCATGCTTCACCTGGGAACCACAATTAGGTCCTAGAAGTCCTCTGAGGCCCCCTCCCTGTGGTCCCTACAGGTGGCCCATAGGGCAGGTGCTCGCTGTCAGGCCAGCCCTACCTAGTCTATCTTCCTTACTTTTCATACCCCAGCTGGGGAAAACTCTGCTTTGCGAGGGCTCACCTGATGAGGCCAGGCCCACCCAGGGCCTTTCCTTTCCATGTGGCCCAGTACAATCGTGAGGACGGCGCTGGTCACAGTCACAGCTTCCACCTTCCTCCAAAGGCCGCAGCTGCACAAAGCCTGGGGCACTGGGGCCACCTGAGAATTCTGCCCTTGGGAGGATGGGTGCAGATGAGGAAGAGAAATCCATGCTGTGCTCAGGAGCCAACCCAGATTGCTCCTTCTGGGATGGCCACCGCATGCTCTTCTTTAGGGGCCCAATGTGGCCCAGGCATGAGCCCTACGTCTCAGGAGGTGTCAAGGCCTGATTGTCCCAAACTTCCTCTCTGGTTCTGCAGGACTGGAGTTGGGTTTCTGCTTCTGAAGTTCTTCACCACATGAGCGGGGACCACCACTCCCTCCAGCAGCCCCTGAAAGGACGGAGATGGCCCAGAATGGCACACATAGGAGGCACAGGGGGCCAGAGGGGGTGACACCAGATCCCGAATGATGGGGATGCAGGCACGACAGAAATTCACCTTTCCTGAGTGTGTGGGTGGAGAGGGCTCTTTGAGAAAGTTTACACGGAGGACATGCCAGGGCCCAGTTCACTCAGGATTGACCAGAGCATTTACTCCAGCCATCACTTTGCCCTGGTTTGTTCTCAGAAGGTGAGGAAAGCAGAGGCAGGGACAGGCAGCAGTGAGAGCAGGAAGCACACCTGCAGCCCAGGCCTTAACTCCGAAGCCCTCCACTCTCCACCACCTATGCATGGCTGTGATGGGTTCCCATGTCCAGGCATCATGCCCTGACCCTCACCTCACACACAAGGGAACACACCTACATTCACTCAGGCATGCACATGTTACCTCTCTTCCTCCACTCCCCAAATAGCAAAAGTAAAAATACACATGTGACCTGAAGTGAAAGGAGAGGAAATAAGACTTCATCCATGTCTCCTTTTGCTTTCACAGTAACCGTGTACCGGCACCTGTTCCTCTATCTGCAGGTGAGCAAACTGAGGCTTCTTGCTCATGCTGCATGGCCAATAGAGCCAGGACCCAACCTGAGTCCACGGGATGTGCTCCTGGCCACTGCTCCAAGTGGGTCCTACATCCCTACGTGGGAGACACTATCTGCCAAATGGCTCTGATGACTCCAACCACCAACTGGGAAGAAAGTTAAATTTTGTGCAGAGAATGAGAATAAGCACAGAAGCTACTTTCCAGCAACCCACACAAGGCTTCTGTGTTTTCCCCAACACAGGCTCTCAGGAAGGCACCAGGTGCGCTGGGGTGACATGCCGGGTCTCGTCCAGTAAAGGAGGACAAGGTTCTTGCCCTTGAGAGGCTGGCTTGCCTTGGCTGCCCAGAGCATTTCTGGTGGGCGATAGCTGTTCCCAGATAGAGACTCCTTCAAACCAGAGTTGTGCATGAGCCGACAAGTGATTTCCACTTTAAGGCAGTGCATGGGGAGAGGGAGAGCCTAGAGTAGAAAGAACTGAGAGGAGACAAAAATAAGAGATCCCAGAGAGAAAACACTGTGGTTCCCAGCTGCATCTCCAGCACCCAGAACCAGCGCCTGTTCAGTAAAGCAGCACAGGGATGCTGACCAGTCCTGAGTTCCCTCTAGGACCCATGAGGAGGTGTGGTATGGAAGGGAAAACCAGGACATCTAGGGTTACTTTAAGTTTTTACTAAGAATACTTGAGCCATTCATCCATCCATCCATCTATCTACCAATCCACCTAACACTCATCCACCCATCCATTGACTCATCCACCCACTTATCCATTGGTTCATGCATCCATCCACACAAGAACCCATTCACTCATCCATTCATCCACCCATCCACCCACCCAATCACCCACCCACTCATCTATCAACCCGTCCACCCAACCATCCACCCATCCATCCATCCATCCATCCATCCATCCATCCAGTCATCTATCCATCTGCCCATCCACCTAGCCATACACCCACCAATATATCTGCCCATCCACCTATCCATACAACCACCAATATATCTGCCCATCCACCCAACCATCCATCCACCCCACCACCTATCCACCCACCCATTCACCTGTCTATCCATCCACCCATCCACCAACCTGTTCATTTATCCATCTCTCCACCCACCCATCTATCCATGCATTCACCCGTCTACCCATCCACTCATCCATCCATCCATCCATCCATCCATCCATCCATCCATCCATCTATCCATCCATCCAACCATCCATCCATCCATCCATCCATCCATCCATCCATCCATCTATCCATCCATCCACCCATTTACCTATCTGTCTGTCCATCTACCTATCCACCCATTCATCCATCTATCCACTCATCTGTCCATCTATCCCTCCATCCATCCATCCGTCCATCCATCCACCCATCCCTCCACCCATACATTCATCCATCCACCCATTCACCCAAACATCCATCCACCTGTCTAACCAACCATCTACCCAATCAGCCATCCACCCAACAGTCCATCTGTTCATGTATCCATCCACCCAACCACCCATCCATTCACCCATCCACCCAACCATCCATCCACCCAAACCATCCATCCATTCATCCATCCATCCATCCATCCATCCATCCATCCATCCATCTGTCTGTCTGTTCATCCACCCATCCACCCATTCACCCATCTACCCAAGTATCTATCTACCCATCCACCCAGCCATCCATCCACTCAACCACCCATCCGTCCATCCATCCACACATTCACCCACCTGTTCATCTATCCATCTGTCAATCCACTCACCCATCCATTTATCTGTTCACCCAACCATCCATATTTTTATCCATCCATCCATTCATCCATCCCTCCATCCATCCACTCGTCCACCCATCCACCCATCTACCCATCCATCCATCTATCCACCCATCAACCCATCCATCCACCCAAACTTCTATACACCCACCTCCCATCCACCCATACATTCATACACACATCCACCCATACATACATAGACACACTCACCCATTCACCTGTCTATCCATCTATCCATCCATCCATCCACCCACTCACCCAGTCATCCATGCACCCGTCTACCCAACCACCCATCCACCCAACCACTCATTCATCCATCCACTTAATCATCCATCCATCCATCCACTCATCTACCTGTTCATCTATCTGTCCATCCACTCATCCTTCCACCTATCCGTCCACCCAACCCTCCACCCATATATTCAACCATCCATCCATCCATCCATCCATCCATCCATCCATCCATCCATCATAGTGTACATTTCATGTACATCAGACACTATTCTGGGCCCAGGATAAAGCAAGCCCTTGAACAAAACACCTAATCTTTCAACCTCAAGCTTTCTCCTCTGTAAAAATAGATAAGAGCACCTACCCCTCACCACTTTCTCTGAAGAGGTGCCAGTCCATGTCCAGGAGACAAAATCAATGTCTCACTTGGATAACGGCCCAGGGATAGGCTCAGGGAGGAATCCAAGGATTCCTGGATCAGAAGACCCAGTCTACTGTACAGTGATAAATGTCTGCTTCTGTCAGTCACTAAGTGTATGGTGATTTGTTACTGCAGCAATAGAAAATGAACACAACTTCCATTTTTTTAAAGCCAATGAATTGCATTTAGATAATGTTTCTGCAATATTTTAACACTTAGGGCAGCTTGTTCTGAATCTCTTCCTTAAATCGACCCTTTGCACTGGCTTTCACCTTCTCCTGCTTAGCTCCCTTAGAAATGGATCTCCACTCTCTCTCTGCCTGAATCTTTCGATTCATCAATTGACCAAGTTCTTGGTTTATTCCCTCATTCAACAAATAATGAATGGGGACAGCCCATTCACATTGGCAAGTGAGATGTGAGAATGAACATGCACAGAGACCTGCATAAGGAAACTCACCCAGAGAAGGGAGACACAGGTGAACAAAGCGTAAGTGAAGAGTAAGAGGCATGAGCAGCGAACATGGCTCCATGGGGTGCAGAGGAGGCCAGACCAGGGAGCAGAGGGGGAGATGCGGCCGATCTGGGTGTGTCATGGAAAATGCCTGGGGAGGAGTCCAAGTGCATTTTAGTGGAGGCATGATGGACATTAGCGGAGCTGGGGTTCGGGAGCTCCTTCTGGCTGAGAAGGCACTGCAGGGAGAAAGAAGTTCAGTTAGGGGAGACAAGACAGGGTTACACAAAGTAGCCTGTCTAGACGGAGAGTCTGGGAGACAGGATGGGCGAGATGGACCCTGGCATCCACCGGGCAGTGGGTAGAACAAGGCAGCACCACAGATGGAAAGGACAGTGGAAGGATGCCTCATGTCACCAGGCTGCTGCGGGATGCTGGGCAGTGACACTGCGGGGCTGTGCAGGTGGAAGCAGAGGCCACAGCAGCCATGGGAGCCCCTGAGGAAACGGGAGGGTGCAGTCTCCACAGAGGAACCCAACTGTGAAGAGTTTGAGAAGGGCCAGGAGAGGAGAGAGAGAGTGGAACAGGAACAGGTGGAGCCGCAGAATAGAAAGACAGACAGAACTGCAAGAGTTTCCACAGTAAGTGACAAACATTGACAATGAAAGTAGAATTTTCCAAAATTCCCATTAGCTTTGGCAATCAGGAAGTCAGGGGTGACCTTTGTAAAACATGTCAGCTGGTTGGCAGGGGCGGGGACCCTGCATGAAGATGGAATGTTCAGGAACAAGCAGTTCACAGAGAAGAAAAACATTTCACACAGGCAAACGACAGTGCATGTGTGTGCGTGTGTGCATGAGTGTGGGCATGCATGCACATGTGTAAATTAGTGTGTGCATGAGTGTGTGTGTGCGTGCTTGTGTGCATGAGCTTGTGTGTGTACATGTGTGTGGGCATGCATGAAAGTGTGTAAATGAGTGTGTGCATGAGTATGTATTTGCGAGTTTACTTCCCATGTGTAGGAGAGACAAGTAAAATAAGTCAGCATGTGTAGATGGTGAAAGAAACAAGCCAGCACAGAAGAGAGAGTTGAAAAACAGTGTGTGGACAAAGACAGCCTCAGGGAACAGGTCCCAGACCCAGAAGAAATAGGAAAGGGTTGGACCAAGACCAATATAAATAAAGGTTTCCAAATCTGATCACATCCCTGTTGGGGAGGGCTCAGTGGGAATTACACAGCCAGGTGGCATCAGTGGGTGCCTATGCTGATCCAGCTCTTTGTGCTCCACTGCTGGGACCCTCCCAGTTTCCACCTGTGCAGCCCTGTGCCCAGCGGCCCCTCTTCTGGACTTCAGTCCTAGAGACAAGCATACCCCTGCCCAGGGACTGTGGGCAGAACCCAGTTCAGCAGCTGTCACGGACTCATGGAGACCTGGACGCCCACAGCAGGGGCACGTGCAAGAGCACAATGACTCTCTAGCACATCAGAGCCAGGAAGGACTTCAAAAGAAGGAAGCAGGCCCAAACGCTGTCATGCACACGCATGCCTGTGGCAGCGCTTGGGGAGGACAAGAACACCGTGCCAGGCAGGGCGCAAAACAAAGGCTGAAAAATGTGAGAAAGACAGAGAAAGACATAAAGAGAGACAGAGACAGAGAGACACATAGAGACAGAGAGAGACAGAGGGAGATAGAAACAAAGAGAAAGAGAGAGAGGGACAGAGAGAAACAGAGAGATATGGAGAAACAGAGAGACAAAGAGAGACAGAGAGAGTCACAGAGGAAGACAGAGAGAGAGAGACAGAGGAAGCACACACACATCTCCAAGCCCTCTCCGGGGACCAGTGCTCCCAGCCATCCCATGGGAGTGACCCTTCTCCTTTACCACCTCCTGGAAGGAAGGCCCAAGAGAATGTGCAGCTCAGCTTAGAGGAGAGGCAAGAGGAGACCTCACTGCTCCCTTAGCCACTCATTCCAAGAGCTTTTGCAGAGGACCTGCCACGTTTCTCCACACTATTCTGGGGAAAGGTGAGAGTCAGACCTGGCCAGGTGACAGATCAGCACCTCTGGCAGCCACCCTGGGACCCATGTTCCTCTTGCCCAAATTTCATTTACTGGCCGCTGAGGGAATGCCACGAAAACCAACCCTGGCTGAGTGCGGTGGAGTTTGAGACCAGCTTGGCCAACATGGTGAAACCCTGTCTCTATTAAAAATACAAAAAAAAAAAAAATAGTTGGGCGTGGTGGTGGGCGCCTGTAATCCCAGCTACATGGGAGGCTGAGGCAGGAGAATTGCTTGAACCGGGGAGGTGGAGGTTGCAGTGAGCCGAGATCACACCACTGCAATCCAGCCTGGGCGACAGAGCAAGAATCTGTCAAAAAAAAAAAAAGATGAAAGAAAGAGAGAGAGAAGAAAGAAAGAAGAAAGAAAGAGAGAAAGAGAGGAAGAGGAAGGAAAAAGAAGAAAAAAGGAAGAAAGAAAGAAAGAAAGAAAGAAAGAAAGAAAGAAAGAAAGAGAAAGAAAGAAAGAAAGAAAGAAAAAGACAGGAGGGAGGGAGGGAGGAAGGGAGGGAGGGAAGGAAGGAAGGAAGGAAGGAAGGAAGGAAGGAAGGAAGGAAGGAAGGGGGAAAGAAAAGAAAGAAAGAAAGAGAAAGAAAAGAGAGAAAGGGAGAGAGAAAGGGAGATGGAGGGAGGGAGGGAGGGAGAAAGGGAAGGAAGGAAGGAAGGAAGAAAGAAAGAAAGAAAGAAAGAAAGAAAGAAAGAAAGAAAGAAAGAAAGAAAGAAAGAAAGAAAGAAAGAAAGAAAGAAAGGAAGGAAAAGAAAGAAGAACTACGCCATTCCTGGCAACTCCATCAGATTTTTAGAGAAAAATGGAAATAATTCAAGCATGCATCATCATTAAATCTATTAAATCTAGGAATTACTAAATGTAACAAATCGTAGTTTAAGAAATGCGATGGAGATTTAAGCACTGTCCTAAGATGTCACTTTTATTAAAAAGACAATTTCTTTACGTAATTATAAAAATAACCTGTGTAGTGGCGCCAATTTATTTCTATGCCCATATTCTCTCTCTCTGCTTTTTTCAACTCCTCCCTATCTTACACACACACACACACACACACACACACACACAGACGCACACACACACCTGCTTCCTCTGTGAACTGAACCCTTCTCTCTAGTAGCTTGGGAGCCACTGTGTGTCCTGAGCCCCAGCAGAGATGACTGGCCCTCTGGTGTGTCAGATGACCCCACCTGGACCCTGGAGAGCCTTCACTGGGAATTGAAAATGCAAGTCAGAGAGGCTGTTCTTTGGAAATCGGGAGCTCTGAGTTTGGGCTCTGTGAGGCTTAGGCATCTTCTCCAACATGCGCTAGAGAGAGATCTGCAGACACTCAGGTGAGAGAGGAAGTCCTGATAGCACACATCTCCTGGCTCCAGATGGCCCCTGAATGGTGCTCATTCTGAACTCTGAGGGAGTCCAAAATTTGCCTTCGTAAAGTCACCTATTGCTTTCAGCCTAATCAAATTTGATTTATCTCATTGCATCCATGGGAATCCTCACTAAAAACACGGGAGGAAGTCCAGCACAAGCTTCACAGTGTACTGCTTCCTGATGGAATTGGGGTGATTTTCATTTTTGTGCATCCTCATGGCAAGAGGCCTTCTTGAAGTTTTAATTTGTCTTATTCTTGCAGCTTAAGACTTCAAGAAGTAAAAAATCAGAAAAACAAACAGATGGCAAAGATGTCAAAGCTACTTAATAAATTGGCTATCTAGTTTGTATCTTATACCATTGATTATTTTTGTCATAATTATTTTCTGTCCGGTAATGAGACAAAAATAATGAATAGTACACAGGACAGATAGCATTACCTGATAATAGACAGACTATCTACAGGGAAGCGTCTATCCAAAACATGGGCTGACGGGAGATGAGATATGTGTGAACAGAAGTTAAGTTAATGATGCTGGTGCTGAAGACTGGGCCACTTTAAAGAACCTTCTGGAAGTTCTTTTCCTAGAAGAACTATTTCATAGCCCAAACCACTTCCACTTCTTTCAGTACTTTTGCATATTTTTCAGAGGTTGTTAGTCAAAGGATATAGGGGCAGGCCTCTTTAGGGAGCTTGCAAAGAGCTTATAATTTCCACTATAAGAGGACACACTTTCAAAATTTCTGCTACTGTAAATTCAGAATGTAACAAGGTTGTCTCCTCTTTCTCAGGTGTTCCTGTGCAGAGCCACAGTGATGCCGGCTGATTCAGAGGTAAGAGTGCCATCTACTGAATCTAAGACCTCACTTCCGGCAGTCCCATGGCTGATCCTTGGAGATTGCCCACCCAAGACTCCAGCGGGCCACCTGCATGTGGGGGAGGGTCAGGCACACAGGGCACAGGCATCTAACAGCCCGAGGACAGGACACAATACCAGATCAGTGCTCACAGGAGAAAGGAGATGGGTTGTTGTTTGCTGGTTCAAAAGATAATTATGGCACCAGATCTGAGAAGACTTGCAGATGCAAAGTCACCGAGAGTCCCCTGGGAGAGAGGAGTGCAGACACCCAGTTGAGAGCCTGCCATGAGCTTGACCTGCCAGGGAGAAGCGTGGAGGGTGGAGTCAGGTGGCCCAGGCGTGCGTCTTAGAAAGAAAGAAGAGCCCGTTAAAATCACAGAGCCGCTGATGGGGCTAGGCGCCCCTTCCCCAAGAACAGGGACCGCTTGGATGCCTGAGGTTCTGACTCCACTGTGTGTGTGTGCATGTGTGTGTGCGTGTGTGTGTGCATGCGTGTGTGTGTGCATGCATGTGCGTATGTGTGGTGTCCAGGGCATTCATATAACCACTTTTCCTTAGTTTTCCTGTAGGCAAATCACAGGTGATAATAGCGCACCCGTGCACCTACCTCACTTCACTGTGGTGGAGATTAATTCGCTACTGTTTTGAAGTAGCTTTGAAGATGCTAAGCGTTATTATGATAATTGCCACATAGAGTTTCCGAAAGAGCTTAAAGCGAGCTTGAAGTCTATTTGTTTCACTTTCATCTATGTTGTCGAGCTACCCATCTTGTATAATTTGTACAGATACATGATAACACTTGAAACAGCTGTGTCTCATACAAAGGTTACATGACACATGCAGTGAGAATGGCCACATTCCATTGCCTTGGGTTTGGATCTTGGACTGCCTTGAAGTCCGTGGGCAGAGGGTGGTGAAGAAGTCGCCTATCCTATTAGAAGCCTCCTCTATTTTCTGGGGGTTAGGATTGGGGTAAAAGGATGGAGAAACCTAGACCAAATGGAACATGTAATATTTGGAGAAATAGCATCAAATTCAGAGAGGAAAATGAAGGAGGAGCCATCGTTCCTGCCCTCAAGCATTTTTAGAAGATTTGGGTCCCCAAGCGCCCACGCGTGCTGGGCTGAGAGCCGGTCCTGCAGCCTCTGTGACCAGGGCTCTAAAGACGCTTTCTCTGCTCACCCTCCAGCGGGGAGATTTCTCCTCCAGCTTCCACTCTGCACTGGTCACTCTTAGTGGCTAGCTTGGCCTCTAGAGCATGAAGCAGCATTGATGAAGCTGGCCGAGCCAGCCCGTACTTCCACAAGGGGACCACAGTTCTGCTTAGAAATCAAGGGGTAGACGACAATAGACACACGCTCAAGGGAGTTGAGAACTCTTGTTTAGGAGGGTTGATCAGTGGCCACATGAGAGCCATCCAGGCCATGCACGAGTGGCCACTGGGTGGGAACACAATGGGGCAGCCCCCCCTCTGCCCTGTGCACAAGCTTCCCTGCTCCCCAGTGATGCGGTCACCCCCGGCCCAGCTTCCACCCCAGCCTCTGAGCTCAGCACAGCTGCTCTCCTTCTCCTACCCTAGATGCCTGGAGATCCCCAACACCGGCCTGGGCAGGCACACAGCTCAGCCAGTCAGAATCAGACCTGGAAGGTGGAGACCCTCTGCATCAGCAGAGGCCCCTCAAGGGAGAAGGGGTGACTGTACAGTGCCTGCAGACATCTCTTTAAACTTCTAAATGTGGGTTGTGGCTCCATTGTGTCTGAGAAACTGGAGGACTGTTGGCAGGACACAGGGAGCCGAAAGCAGGGAGTGGAGAGGGTCCTTCCTGTGAGAATCTCGGGCGCTAGGGGAGCCTGGTGCTGGCCCAGGTCACACAGGGCTGGCAGAGGACCCCCAGGCTGCCTTGTTGCACCGGCTTCCCAGGAGTCCACCAAGGCTCTTTCTGGGCAGTGGTGAAGGGGCTGTTCCTGGAAGCGGATTTGGGTCTTCATGCTGGCACACAGCGGCCACAGCAGGGGCACAGGGACAAGGCAGACCCACATTCACAACCTGGGATTCTCAAACATGACTGGAGCTGCTTTTGAGCAAGCCAGCTCACCCTGTGGCCAGAGGGCTTGAGGTCGCCATCGTCAGAGCTGGAACCCATTTACAGCTTCAGTTTGATGGGCTGGAGTCAGCCCTCAGGCACTGGTTTGGCTTTAGGCAAGAGGACCCCATGTCTCAGAGTCACAACAATACAAGCATGAGAACCTGCTAGGGGCTTGGCTGCCCACCGGGCTTCAGAGTCCAGCACGTCATCTTCCTACTCCAGAGCTGCATTTTGTTACCCAGAGGGGCCGGGGCTCCAGGGCCAGACCCATTGCCCTGTGACGGTCTGCTGGGGCTGCCGTGGCACAACACCACCGACCAGGAGCTTAAACAGGCGTTACATTCTCACAAGTTTGGACGCTGCAAGTCCAAGGTCAAGGCATCTGCAGGCTTGGATTCTCCTGAGGCCTCTCTCCGTGGCTTGTAGCCGGCTGTCTCCTTCCCATGTCCTCACACGGTCTTTCCTCTGTGTGTCCATGTCCTCATCTCCTCTTCCTGTTAGGACACAGTCATGTTAAATAGGGCCCACTGATATGACCTCCCTTTACCTTAATTACCTCTTTCAAGACTCTATCTTGAAATACAGTCTCCAGTTTACTCTATCTTGAAATACACTTTACCTTCATTACCCCTTTAAAGACTCTATCTTGAAATACAATCCTATTCTGTACTTGTGGAGTTGAGGACATCAACATAGAAATATTGGGAGGGACACAGTGAATTTGGGGGATGGCAACATCACAGGGAAAGAATAAATAAAAGCAAGACAGCTGTGATTTTATTATCCTATGAAAAGCAGGGTATGACAGAGATTCTCGGTTATTCCTTCAGGTAAAGGACCTGGATAAGAAAAAGAGATAATTTTTTGCATCACTAAACTCTCATTACATTTTCTTTGATGTTTTATTGCTAAATTCTTTTTTGCGTGGTCATATTCCGATTTAAGAGCAGGCAATACACATTGCAGCCAAAAATATATTCAAGCTACTATAAATATGTTAGCTAATATTTTCCTTTCCAGGTTATTTTGGTGATAATTGATGTGAATATTTTATAGTCCACTGAATTTTCAGCTGAATGAAGGCTTATAAGAAAAAGTGGTACTGAAATATTTGAAATGGTCAAAGCTTCTTCGTTGGTAAAATATTATGGCAGAAAGCAGAAAATGTGCTTCAGATCTTCTGCCTTTGATTCAATGGCCTAGTAGCCCATAAAAATGTATGATTCAGCCATGAGTCAAATAGTTTGGTAAGGAAATTATTAACTAATAAAATGTCTTCTCCCCCCACAATCTACTGACTATCTGGAATAACTTAATCACAGAGAAGAAAAATCAATGCTTAGTGTTGCAAAAAGAGAAAAATCATTGAGACATGTGCACAAATGTATATTGGAAAATGTCTAGAGTATTGAAAATTAAGTGGATGAGAGCCAAATATTGGGAAGAACACGGATTCATATGTGAGAAGTCTCTGCAGCTGAGTGGATTCTTAGTTCCCACCCAAACGCCCATACATTCTTTGGAGGGTTAGTTGATAAGCATTCTTTACTCTTCCCATGGAACTCACAGCCAGTGAGGCTGCAGATAAAAAAGGCACATCCTGACTGTTGAAGGGTTAACTTCATTTAAGGCAAAGAACTTTCAACAATCTGAAATTTCAGTGAGTCTCATTTTCTCTTGGAATGTAGTGGTTAATGTGCAGCTACAATTGCCCAGGAGGCAAAGTGCACAGAGGGGACCCCTGCCCCTCTCGGAGGGGATGCGGTTGGAAAGCCTTCCTGCTGGGTGAGGGGGAATGTTTTGTAAGCTCAGGTGAAGCTGGGCCCCTAGGGAGGCTTCTAGCAGGAAGGACGGAGGCAGGACACAGCAGGGCTCCTGCTCAGGGGTCCTGCCTAGGTTTGCCTGTGCAGAGATTGGGCCAAGGGGGTGAAACACATCATAAAAAAGTTGTGACTTCTCTTAGAGGAAAACAAAAGGATATTGTTAGGGGCACTTTGGGGACATTTTGGTTTGGCATGCAATGTATCATATTTTCAATACGGAACATACGTCACCATTAAACATTTCTGTTAGGAATGGAATTTTCCCCAAAAGTATTCAATTTCTTAAAGGGAAAACTGACTTTGAGTTCACATTACCAGCATCTTTCTCTTCCACCCTCCCACTCCCACCACTCATTGCTGCTACCATGTTCATCCTGGGATTCCACAGTAGCCTCATTTCTGGTATCCTTTTTACCCTGGGCCATCTTTCTAATTCCTTCTTCATTTGACCACTGCAGTGATTTTTTAAAATAACATATTTACTGAGGTAAGGTTTATATGTAGTCCAATTCACCCTCCTTTAGTGCACAGCTGATGAATTTTGATGAATGTATACCATGTGACATGCATATGTGTATACTGTGTGACATGCACATGTGTATACCGTGTGACATGCATATGCGTATACCGTGTGACATGCATATGTGTATACCGTGTGACAGCCACCATGATAAAGACTTAGGGCATTTCCCCAACCGAAAAGGCACCTCGTCCCTCATGCTAGTCCATCCGTCCCCCAACCCTGGCAATCACTGACCTGCCCCTGTGACTCAGATTTGCCTTTTCTAGAATTTTAGGTGAACGGAACCACTCCTGCAGCTCACTAGCTTCTGCCTGGTGACTTTCACGTGATCCCACGCTCAGGGATCCATCTGCCCATGGTGGCTGCGTCCTTGGTCTGCCTCGTTTAGTGCTGAGCAGTATTCCATTGTGTGCCTAGGCCACCCTCCGACTTTGCACCCATCAGATGATGAACATTGGGCTGTTTCCAATTTTCATCTATTAAGAATAAAGCAGCTGTGCATATTCGGTTACAGTTCTTTGTGCAGACGTGTTTTCATTTTCCTTAGGCAACTGCTTAGGAGTGGGATGTTTGACTCATGTTAAGTGTATGTTTAACTTTATGAGAAAATGCCACCTGTTTTTCAAGGTGGCTGTACTCCTGTTTTGCTTTCCCGCAAACAATGCATGAAAGTTTCAATGGCTCCACAACTTCAATACTCAATGCTTAGTATTATTATCAGATCTTAAAATAACTAATTTCATTTTGAATAAACTGGTGATTAATGAGGTTGAGCATTAATCACTGGTTATTCATTGCACTTATTTACCATATATATCTCTTTTGTTTCACATTTCTTCAAATGTTCTTCCCGTTATATTTTTATTGGGTTGTCTTGTTCTATGTCTCATTATCAAGTTGTAAAAGTACTTTTTATTTGCAAACACAAGATTTTTTAAAATAACATATATGACTTAATTATTTTTCCCAGTCTGAAGCTTCTTTTTCATTTTCCCTAAAAACGTCTTTGAAACAGCACATTTTAAACATTTTAAAAGTCCGATTTATGTATTTATGTTAGAAATGGTATAGCTCAGACTTTTGATATGCTATCTAAGAACTCTGACCAATCCAAGGTCACAAGGACTTTTCTCCTCAAATATGTTATAGAAGTTTTAGAGTTTTTGCTCTTATGTTTAGGTCTATGAAGTATTTGAGTTAATTTTTGTATATGATGTAAAGTAAGGATACACATCTCCTTTGCTTTTTAAATTTTGCATACAAATATCTAATTATTTCAGCACGATTTGTTTCTCCATTGAATTGCCTTGACATCTTTGTTGAAATTCAGTTGACTCCCTATATGTAGGTTTATTCCTGGGTTCTCTAATAGGTTCTATTATTTTCATGTCTCTCTTTATGGTAATATCACACTTTCTTGATTACTGTAACTTTATATAAATCTTAAGTAATATCGATGTCCTTCATTATTTTTTACTCAAAATTGAGTTGGATATAATAGGTCCATTGCACTTTCCTTTTAATGTTTTTAATGTATTTTGTTAAATTTATTATTGAATGTTTCATGTATTTTGATGCTATTGTAAAAGGCACTAAAATTAATTTCTAAATAATTGTAGATTGCATATAAAAACACAATAGGTTTTGATATACTCTCCTCCACCCAGTAAACTTTTCTTAGTTTCAGTAGCTTTTTGTGTAGACTGCTTCACATTTATTGACACACATGATCAAGTCACTAAAGCTGGAGATGGTTCTTCTTCCCTTCCAACCTCTGTGATTTTTTCTCTTTATTTCTAGTAGTCTGAGAGTTGTTGTCATGAATAAGTGTCAGACTTTACCAAATGCTTTCTGTATCTATTCATAGGATCATGTAACTTTTAATTATTTTAGCCATATTGGGTAAATATATTGGTTGGCTTTCAAATGTTAAACCAATTTTGCATTCCTGGAATGCATCAACCTTGGTCATAATATATTATCTTTTTTCAATTGCTGGGTTTGATTAACTAACAATTTTATAAGAAATTTTATCACTGTTAATATATTTATGATCTGTAGTTTTCTTGCAAATTCTCTGCCTGGTTTTGTTATATGTTGGTTTCATAGAACGAGGTGTTAAATGTTCCTTCATTTTCCAGTTTTTAAGAGTTTCTATAGAATTGGTACCATCACGTCTTTAAATGTTTGATAGAACTCACCACTAAAGCCACTGGGGCTGGCAAATTTCTTTGTGAGAAGGTTTCAAAGTACGGCTTCAATGTCTTCGACAGAAACAGAGCTATGCACATCAACTATTTCTTCCTCAGTGAAATTTGGTAGTTTGTGTCATTTAAGAACTTTGTCCACTTCACCTAAGTTTTTGAATTTATTGGCGTGAAGCTGTTTATAACATGCCCTTATTTTTCTGTTACTGTCTGTGGTAGCTGTAGTGATGTTTCATCTCTCATTCCTGATTTTAGGGCAGGATGCTTAGAAAGCCCCAGGCCTGAGCCTCAGGTGCACAGAGCTCAACTGAATTGATATCAAGGTGCTTGAGTCTGTTACATTTCCTCACTTCCTTTTGTAAATGCCTCTGAAATCACGGCAGAAGAGGGACAGGGTACATTCACATATTCATTCTCTAAAACACTCCCAACGGGGGTACCTCACCTCACGCCCAGGCTTTCCATCCCCAGTGTCTCTGGATCTCAAACATCTTTTCCTTCCAGCTTCCTTTGAGCCTTGGGACACTTTGGGCAACAGTCCTCATACTTTCCTCTGTGTTTCTGACTGCCCGTCACATTCTCCAACACTGACTGCATGTAGGTGGGTTTGGTGCTACCAGTAAGACCTCCATCTCTGAACCTAGCATCCGAAGCATAGGAGGTGCTTAATAATGCTATGAGAGTGAGGGAGTGAGCGAATGAGTGAGCTGAAAGGCACTGAGGAAGTGGAAAGTTAGGAGCAGAGACATCCTATGCTCTGGCATTATGTACTACCTAATGTGTTCATCAACATTCGTTTCTCAGCATGCGTGTCCTAGGTTCTTGTATTTTTATGGCACTGCTCATTCTAGGCTGCTCAAAGTAAGGGAAATGTATGTTCATGTGTAACAATGACAGGCTGCTCAAAGGGTTGAATAAACATTGTTAGACAGAAGTGGAAAATGTCTTCATGCTAAAAGCAAAGGAAAACAAACAAATCAAACCCAATTCTCACTGTGGCTTTTTTTTTCACATCCTCGTAAAATGATTATTCAACAAAAATGTATTTCTCTAATAAAAGCAGGACTACATGGGATTGATGGACTAGTAGCTAATGTCTTCACCTTCATTATTCATGGAGAAACAGTCATAATTATTGAGAGTTTGAGTAGCAGAATTATTTTAGAAAACTTGCTTTAATGAACAATATTAATAAACCCATAAGAACAGTAGCTCCCTGTTGAATCCCTCTAATACTTCAGCACTGTACTAAGTATTTCACATTATTAACCCTTTATACACATGAAACTACCAAGAGATAGGTATGTCTTTTATCCCTATTGTAAATAAAACAAAACAAGACAAAACAATACTATGCACTTAGAGAGAATATATGATCTGTGCAGATTTCACAATGAGTTGTTGGCGAATTGGGACATGAGCTGAGATTCTCTGACACCAAAAGCACATTCTCACCCCTGTGTATTACTGCATTGTTAGAATAGTTAGGAATGATTTGTTACGATCATAACTGTTTAATTATAAGTGCTTATCTTGAAAATGTTTCTCTAAAATGCTTGAAATATTTGCCTCGTAATTCTAACAGGGAAGGGGGACTATTAGGGTGAAAGAATTGTCTGGAAAAGGCTCAGAGATTTGATGCTTGCAAAATGAGCTTGAGATATTCTATCCAACTTCTGTTCCCTCTGAGGTCACTTCTTCTAAGACCTGGCACTGCCTGGGGACGATTACAAACATTCAGGAACTAAATGCGGTAACGGAGAGCGCAGCAGCGGCACATGTATCCTGACACTGACCCACTGATTTTAATGCCTCTGTTACAAGCAGGGAGTACATCTATGAATGAAGAGCCTGGTGTTAGTCTTAGTGCTGTGCTCTTCATTTGTCTGTTTTGCTTCCCAGAATAAAGCACCGGTGATTGGGAGTGGATTTAAATGTGTCTGGGCTTCCCGGTGTGTTTTAATTTCTCATGCATTGCTTTGGACAGCAGGGGTCCGGACTGACTTAGGGCTCATGGACTGACACGGCAGCCTCCCTGATAGCTTTGGATTTTATTCTATGTCTAAAAGTGAGAACGTGAGCAACACAAAACAAAACCAAAAAGCAAATAAAACAACAGCAAAACTCCCCACGCCCCTGAAGATGTGAGCATGACCAACAGTTGTGCAGAATTTTGTCCCATTCAAATTTCCACACTGGGGACAGGTGTGCCTGTGTTTAGATGACCCTTATATCAGGGGACAGACGGGGTGGAGGTGGGGCCTGGGAAGGGAGGACCTGAGGGCAGAAGAGTGTCAAGGTCCACTCAGGCAGGTGGATGAGCTGGAAGCCAGGCTCGCTTGTGAGAGCATGGAGAGGAGGACAGAGAAGAGGAGGCGGAGGAGGCCACAGCATCTGCCTCTGCAGCAGGTGCGGGCTGTTGAGTGAAAGAGCAAGAGTGCCTGGGTTTCCCTTTCAGCAGCCACATGTTGGCGGCTCTTCCTCAAAATAATGTAAAAGAGGCTGGTTAGAGAGTAAGAAGGACGTGGGTTGCAGGTTCTGAAGGCATATCGGTGATGTTCAGAGGAGGTGGTCACCAGCATGTGACCTCGGAGAAGAGGCCACGGCTGGAGACGGCATCAGGAGTATTCAGCCATGTGTGTGGGCCGAGGCGGAGATGAGAATTGGGCCTCAAGGCATAGTCTTCAGAAGGGTCTGCAGAAGAGGAGGGGCCTGCCAATGGCCTCTCTTCTCGCCCTGGAGCCTGCAGGGGTGCAGGAAGTGGGCAGCCTGACCCTAGGGACGTGAGGATCACAGTGGCCCACAGCATTCCACCTTCTGGAAGGTTCTTGCCTGCAGGGCTGTACTGTCTTGCTTCGTCCTGCATCCCTGCTTCTCTGTCTCCCAGATCCTTGCCCTCATCTCTGCTCCTCAGCTTCCCTGAGACTGTTGTCAGGCATCTCAAGCCCTTGAGACATCCAAGCCCACAGCGACAGCTTTCAGCTTCCTTGGAAGCTTGTGCAGAGAAGTCTTTCCGGCCTGGTCTGAATTTCATCATTTCATTTGACCTCTGTGACATTCACCAGGGTTCACTTGACAAGTCAGGAACCCTGCTGGTAGGCTAGAATGACACTGAGCATTGTCCCGAGCTAGGAGTCTGTGACATGGCCAGCCTGACATGCTCAGGGAGGACTCCTAGTCTGGATTTTGGAAGAGCTGCCTTAATACCTAAGTTGGTGATTCGGCTTCCTCTCTGCTGTGGTTCACTTGGGGGAGTGTGTTCAGTGCAGGTCCAACGGTCTCTGGAGGAAGTCCCTGGGTATGTTTCCTGCCTGTGGGTGCTTTCTCAGTTGTGAACTTAACAGCAGGACACTCCCGGCTGCCCGCCACGGCCCCTGCAGCCTAGGCCTCGGCTTCTCTTCGGCTGGAAGATGACGCTTGTTAATTATATTGCTCGTCTCTTCCAGATCATTACTCAAGATTATCTCCTTGACCTATCAGTCTCTGAGAGCAGCCTGCTAAAGCCTGCAACGGCTATTGTGGATTTAAAAGCTGCTTTTGCCATTCTCTCCATGTCTTCATCGTGCTCTTTGACACTACCTTGACAAGTGTGTGTACAGATTCAGGATTTTTATACCCCTGATGAGATGATACCTATCTTTTTCATGGTGAAATATTTCCTTAATCTTAATATGTTTGTCTTAGAGTCCATTCAACCAATGCTAACATCAAGCACTGTTTTGTGATCATTGGAGATGGAGGGGAAGCGTGGTTAGGATCAGTCCTTGTGTCAGAATGTCTGTGTTTCCTTCTGGCTCTTCAGTATCCTCTCTTTCCTGATCCTCGCCCCAGGAGGGGACCTGCATGGGCCACACCATCAGCTCCCAAGTTGTCTGGCTTCCAGATGGCTTTGGCCATTGAGGAGCCCACAGGAGACAAGAGGAAGAGGTTGGAGGGGTCGGGAATTGATGTCTGCCTCTCCCTACCCACCCTACTCCTGGAAGATGCCAGGTTGCTCCCACATTTGGGTTCCCACTGTGCCTCTCAAGGCAGCCGACTTTACAGGGCACTCGCCCTGCAGGCTCCAGGGAATGTCCCCTCCTTCCCATCCCTTCACACCTGCAGGCAGCATCTGCTGATGTTCACCTGCCCTGCGGCTGCACCACCCCTGGAAATAGCTTGTACATTAACTCTCCTCAATCCTACTTATTCTTTTTTTTATTTTGGGACAGGGTCTTGCTCTGTTGCTCAGGCTGGAGTGCAGTGGTGCCATGATGGCTGACTGCAGCCTTGACCTCCCAGGCTCAAATGATCCTCCCAACTCAGCCTCCCAAGTAGATGGGACTACAGGTGCACACCATCATGCCCAGCTAATTTTTTATTATTTGTAGAGACGCGGTCTCACTATGTTGCCCAAGCTGGTCTCAAACTCCTGGGTTCAAGCAGTCCTCCTGCCTTGGCTTCCCAAAATGCTGGGATTACAGGTGTGTGCCACCACACCCAGCCTCTCCTCAATTATTCTGTGTGCTTGCTGCCTATTTTGGGGGTGGGACTCTGATGGATACATTCGGCATATCTTTTGTCCATTTGTTTTATTCCAATCTGTCTACGTCATTTTTATTTTGTGCATGTTTCTCTTAAACACTACATGACTGGATTTCTAAAAATATGCACTCTGAGAACTCTTTATTTTTGAACAATTGATATATAATTAGTATTACGGTTGGATTCATTTCCACTGTATTATTTTGTGTTCACGATTTTTCATGCCGGTTCTTTGCTCTTTTTATTTCTCCTTTTCAATCTTGTATTGTATTGATTACTTTTTTATTACTTTTTTCTCCTCTGTTTCTATGTAAGTTATGTATTCTATTTATATTCTTTTGGTGATTACCCTTAAAATGTCAACAAGAATACTTGACCTACAAAAGTCTAAAGTTAATCAATATCTCTACTCTTTACTCCAACTCTCTAAGGACATCTCAAATTTCATATTATTTTCAATATTTTTCCACCTCCTTTTAACCCCCAAATTATTCATCTTGATTACTATTGTTCCTACAGTCACAGTGTGCTCAGATTAACCAAGAGTTTCGCCACTTTCTTTGTTCACTATTGCTTCTTACATCTAGTCCTTTTATTTGGGTTAATTTTCTCCTTACTCAAGTGCATCCTTTGGTGAGTTTTTCAGTGAAGGTCAATTCATCTTAGTATATTTTTTTTTGCTCATTACCCCACCCTCACCCTTTAATAACTGCTTGCCGGGTGCAGAATTCTTGCTGGACGATTATCGTCTGGCAGTAATTGGCAATCATATTCCTTTCTTTCCGGCCCTCTTAGTGTTAATGAGGTCGATCTGATTATCTCACTGACACTCTCCTTAGAGGCCCCTCTTTTCCCTGGATGCTTCTAAGACTTGTCTTTGGGATTCTTCAGTTCCACCAGAATATTAGCGTCAATGTGTTTCTACCCCTGTCACTTGAACTCTGGGATTCCTCAGTAAAGCTCTGTCTCTTTCATGAAGCCTTGGACAGTGGATTCATTCCATCTTCTAGAGCTCCTCATTGTGGCTTTTATGCTTTCTTCAGGAACTCTATTATCTCTTTCTCACCTCCCTGGGCCTCCCTTCTTCCTACCTCTCTGGGCCACACAGTACGTCATTCATGAAATCTCTCTCACACATATTCAGTTCACTGTGAAATCCGTCCATTGAACTTTACCTCAGAGTGACTAGAGTTGTTCTCATTTTTAGAAATTATAACTTATTTCTTTCAAGTGTATCTCACTTAAAATGGATTCCTAGCTCTTCTTTGGTAGCTTAAAGTAATGGAAACACAATACTCTACAGTCTCCTTAATAGTGATACTGGCCCGGCACAGTGGCTCATGTCTGTAATCCCAGCACTTTGGGAGGCTGAGGGGGGCACATCATTTGAGGTCAGGAGTTCAAAACCAGCCTAGCCAACATAATGAAATCCTGTCTCTACTAAAAATACAAAATTAGCCAGGAATGGTGGAGCATTCCTGTAATCCCAGCTACTCGGGAGGCTGAGGCAGGAGAATCACTTGAACCCAGGAGGCAGAGGTTGCAGTGAGCCAAGATCACGCCATTGCACTCCAGCCTAGGAAAAAAGAGTGAAAACCCAACTCAAAAAAAAAATAGTGACACTTGTTCTCTCTGTTAGGGGCTCATGCTTTCATTTTCTGTGTCTTCTGAGTTTTCCTCACAGTGATTCATGATCTCGATGATTCATTATTTGTGTGTTTTCTATGAGAAAACCGTGTGCTGGATGGATGGCCCTACAGAGTTTCAGTCTGTGTGTGTGTGTGTTTTTTTTTTTTCATTTTTTCTTTTTGCCAGGGCATAGATAAGTCTGTAGTCCCTGAACACTTTATGTCTTAATTCATCAATTTGCAATTCTTGTATGATCCCAGTCATATGCATGTGGACCTTACTTGCAAGTCACACACTGGAGCTTTGATTGAAATGCAGGGTCTTTTTTTTTTTTAACTTTAAATTCTGAGATATATGTGCAAAACGTGCAGGTTCGTTACATAGGTATACATGTGCCATGGTGGTTTGCTGCATCTATAAACCCTTCACCTAGGTTTTAAGCCCTGCATGCATTAGGTATTTGTCCTAATGCTCTCCCTCCCCTTGCCCCCCACGCCACCAACAGGCCCTGGTGTGTGATGTTCCCCTCTCTGTGTCCATGTGTTCTCGTTGTTCAACTCCCACTTGTGAATGAGAACATGCAGTGTTTGGTTTTCTGTTCCTGTGTTAGTTTGCTGAGAATTCTGGCTTCCAGCTTCATCCATGTCACCGCAAAGGACATGATCTCATTTATTTTTATGGCTGCATAATATTCCATGGTGTATATGTGCCACATTTTCTTTATTCATTCTATCATTGATGGGCATTTGGGTTGGTTCCATGTCTTTGCTATTGTAAATAGTGAATGCAGGATCTTTTTGAAACATTTTTCTTTAAGCTTCCAGCAGATGACCAGCTACCTTTTTGCTTTTCCAGGATAGCAGATGGGGTCTTCTTTTGTCCCTCAAGCATCTCCATAGTGAGAAACCATCTCATTTCACACGGTGCAGAAACTGTTCTTCCAGGCCCTTGAAGAAGCAGACACCAGCATGTGTCTCACTGTGTGAGGAAAAGTCAGGAGAACCACGGCCAGGCTGGCCAGCATGGAACCAGGACGGAAGGGTCCTCTGAGGGGAGGAGCCAGGAGAAGCTGGGGAAAGGGACACAAGGGAGGCTTGGTTAAGCTTCAGAGAGTCTTCCAGCCAGTGTGGGCTGTCCGGGGAGGCCCAGGTCTCAAACAGAGGCAGCCCCCGGGCAGCTTGGTGTCTACACAAATATGCCATGAGTCTTTGAGAACATCAGCAACCCCAGACCTCCCACCCATGCTTCATCTGGAGTCTGCGAGGCCCATTCTCATGACGGCCCCAAAGCCAGGGGACAGGTCTCTCATGGAGGCTGACCTAACCCCAAGCCCGGGGCCCCATTGCAAGGGTTCTCTGAGCAAGCTTGGAGCTCCCTGTTCATTTCTGACATGGAAGGACTTCCTGTTTTTTTTCTAACTCAGCTATGTATTTATGCATTTACTTATTTTAATTAATATTTCTTTATGTATTATTAGGGAGACAGTTTCAGCTTTAGCGGGGGGGGCCTGCACATGAACAAAGTAATATGTTGTTTACAGTTGTAGACAAAGTGTAAGGCTTTCAATTTGAACAGTTTCTTGGAATGCATTGCCTTGTTCTCTGTGATGTGTCTCCACCCTCTCTTGACACTGAAAGCCATCCCAAGTGGATCCCGGGCCTCTCTGGAAAAGCTAATTGGTGTGTATTTACGGCGACAGGGAAGCCTTGCCCGTGAGAATCAGCTTAATCAGCTTTGGTTATTTGTTACTGTTACTTAGTAACCCATTGGTTCTCTGTAAGGGTCTCCTTCCCTTTACATTTCTGAACTTATAAGGATCTGGTTTAACAGATAGCTTCCAGAAGTTTCACAGGTGTCTTCGTCGTGGTGATGAAGTGAACAAGCACTGAGCTTTCTGCAGGTGCAGTTCTGATTCCGGCTCAAGCACTCATTACCGCCAGCCGCCGTGCTCCCTGCATTACCGCCAGCTGTAGTGCTCCCTGCGTTACCGCCAGCTGTAGTGCTCCCTGCGTTACCGCCAGCCGCCGTGCTCCCTGCGTTACCGCCAGCCGCCGTGCTCCCTGCATTACCGCCAGCTGTAGTGCTCCCTGCGTTACCGCCAGCCGCCGTGCTCCCTGCATTACCGCCAGCTGTAGTGCTCCCTGCGTTACGGCCAGCCGCCGTGCTCCCTGCGTTACCACCAGCCGCCGTGCTCCCCTGCAGGGTGGGAAATTGCCACTTCTTCCCTTGGTACTTTTCCTCCACCTGCAGCACCCTCCAGCCCTGGGCACAGGCGACCAGCAGAGCCTGTAATCCATCCCCACCAGTTGTCTCTGCTTCAGGGCCTTGCCCTGGCCCCTCTGGATCCAGTCCTTTGTTGACATGACTAGGAAACCTTTCTTTTTTAAAACAGATCCCATAAACATCACCCTCTGTCCTCGCCTAACTCAAAGGAGAGGAGAAGGAGGCCCGGTGCAGACAGCAGTGATCCCATGACCCCCGGGATCCACACTGCTAAGGAAGGCAGAGCTGAGCTCCAGGTGGAGACAGGTGGGGGATCACAGAGTCCCTGAGTCCAGAATCGAGCCTGAATTTGCCTGACACTGCGTCTGCACTTGTGAGGCCAGCACATCCAGGCAGAGCTGCCATTTTCTTGCCATCATATGCATCCTCACCGACAGGTTACTTCAGGGCTGCAGCCTCACTGCTCAAATTAGCACGCACTCCCCAAAGCTTACCCCAGTGTGCTCACAGCCCCCAGCATGTAATTAGCTGATGATAAATATTTGTTGAACTGAAATGAACTCTCTGGAAACAAAATTATTTGAACATGATTAAATAGTTTTTTGATGACTCAAGGTCATCATTGTGAACCATAATTATTCCATTTTGTTATATTGAAGAGGTGGCTTGAGGCACTATTAGTCTGGCCAAATTACTCCCAGTAGCTATTCCTTTGGGGTCCATCTTCTTTTCCTTCCTCTCCTCATGGACAGCTGTCTTTTGCTGCAGGTGCTCTGACACTATGTCTCCTATGTCTCCCACCCTGCCGCTCAGGGTAACTCAACATCAGGACCTGCACGTAGGCCACAGCCTTGCAGGAGAGATGTGCCCTCCAGTTCCATCAGCAGCCTCAGTCTCCCTCCTGGTACAGAGTCCTCCGGTTGTGTCTCAAGAGTTAGACATTGACACTTCCAAAGAGGGGAGCACACAAAGGCTCCAGCCTCCAGGTCCCCCACACCTTGGCATCTCCTGCTGACCTCCAATCTGTGGCCAGATGTCAGAATGTCCCGACCACTGGAAAGTCTGACCCCTGGAGGTGGTGGGAATTACGGTAGCTACTTGTCAGAAACTGATGCCAGGAATGATTCATCCAGCCCTGCCCAGGATCGAGAGTGGCACCAACAGCTCTGGAGAGCCTGTCATGTTCAGTAAGAACTGAGACCCCCAGACTCCCACAGCAGCAGAGGCCCTGATTCAGCAGGGCCGGCTCTCTACGGTTGCTGTGGCCTCAATAGTCTCCACAGTGCCCCACCCACAGCACAGACGTGGGTTCTGCACGGTCACCAAGCTGGTGCTGGTCTGGCCGTGCTCACGTCCACTGCCTGGGCCCTCCCTGCTCTTGTCTGTCTTCCCCAACTCCCTTACCCACTGTCCAGTGGCTCTGGGTGCCTACACAATGGCAGGCACAGGCAGATGCTGGCAGGAGACTGCAGAGTGGGAGATGGGGAGCCAGGGTGTTCCTCCTCCTCCTTTTCTGCTTTGACTGCACCTCCGTCAGTGCATTCCACAGTCCAAGGTTCCTCTAGCTGCAGATGGTCCCCCTTTGTGAGGTCCCTGGGTCTAGCCTTCCTCAGTCCCACCAGCCCTGTGTTCCGGCAACACCTCACCTCAGCCTCTCCTTCCCGGAAGCACTAAGTGGATTGCTGCCATCACCCTGCCGATTGCTGAATCCTTTGACTTTTCAGTTTTCCTGGTACCTTTGTAACACCCCTGTCCCATCAACTGGCTTGGATTGTTTTCTTGACTGGGCTGAGATGAATATGTAGCTTTTACACTACCTGCTGAACTGGGAGTCTATGGTTTGGATCCATAATGACTAAATACCCATAGGGTGTTCAGCTAAACCAGGGAAAACGGAAGGTCATTTCCTTCCTGCCACTGCTGCGAGTTGGTTTTTGTTTTTAAATCTCTTCATCAAAGGTCATATCAAAAAGTTGTCGCCTTGCAGAAAGACCTAAAATCCACTTATTTCACAAGCACAGTTGAGTAGGGCTCCAACTGAAGTGCTGACTCTGCAGCGGGTGTAGATGGGCTGGGCCGTCCCCTGTGACAGTGTTCACAGCGCGTGCCCGGGAAAGTGCCGATGCACACACAGAGGGTGTGGAGTGTGATGTGTGTTGCCGGCACAGGCACAGGAAGGAGGACACACACAGGCTGATGACACACCACCAAGCTCCGGGATCAGCCACTACACTGCGCCCTTCAGCTGGGCTCAGACCCAAGCGGGTGTCTGGGCTGTGGCTGCCAGCGGAGCATCAGGAAGCTGTGTTGGCATGAATGAAATTCGGATACTCACATTTTGACACTGGAGATCAAGCCAGGATTCTACCCAGAATATTTAAGCTGGAGTCTTGACAAGTAGGAAATACGTACCCGAAAGTTTCTTTTTCACTGGAATATCGATGTCTTATTATATACCAAGGCAGATGCTTTGATGTTTAGGCAAAGGAAGAAATAAAAAAAAATCTTCATCCTGGACTTATTTAATGTTATACATCCCATGTTTGCTTTATTAATAAAAATAGCTTAAAAAGATTAATGAAAAGAAAAGAAGACATTTCCAGTCCTTCAGGAAAAGTTCTCCCACAGCGTGAGTTTGTAAGTTGCTGCACCAAAGGCTATGCCTGTGTGCCTGGGAATTGGCCAACATTTTAGATTGTCCCAATGGGCTGATAATAAAAAAACAGTAGATCTATGTAAATGATCAGTGACAATGCCCTTTTCCTTCGGTGTATATCCATGAATACAACCATACAAATGTTGATTAAAAATCAGCTGCCCAAATGGACAGGTTCACCTTAAAATAATGACTCTCAAATGAATCTAATTCCTAAGAAACATGAAAACATTTTATTTTACTTTATTTTTTATTTATTTATTTATTTATTTTTGAGACGGAGTCTCGCTCTGTCGCCCAGGCTGGAGTGCAGTGGCGCGATCTCAGCTCACTTCAAGCTCCGCCTTCCAGGTTCACGCCATTCTCCTGCCTCAGCCTCCCGAGTAGCTGGGACTACAGGCGCCCGCCACCACGCCCGGCTAATTTTTTGTATTTTTAGTAGAGACGGGGTTTCACCATGGTCTCGATCTCCTGAGCTCGTGATCCACCCGCCTCGGCCTCCCAAAGTGCTGGGATTACAGGCGTGAGCCACCGTGCCCAGGCGAAAACACTTCATACTCATAAGTAGGCGTGGTTGACGTTTGGTGTCTATCGTACAAGGAAACGCACGGTGGTGGGGCCTGCATTGCGCTTGGGGAGCTGCCTGCACATGTTTGGAGAGTGGACCACATTCTTGTGCGCACCAAGCTTCGTGCTCACCCCACCCCTCTTCTGCTCCATTCTGGGTAGGTGCAGCTATCCCACAGCTCTGCAATCTTTTCCTTTTTTCTCCCTGTCAGGAATCCACCGCCCTCACTATGGCAATGGCCATTAGGAGCAAGAAATACATCACCTAGACACAAATTGTCTTCTTTCTCTTGTGTGACAGTTTCCAATTCTGTTTTCGCATTCTGGTTCTCATCTTGCATGCAAAATAAACCTTTTGTAAATGACTCAGTACCTTGCACCCACACCTTCTCAGTTTCTGTGGAATGAGTCTTGGTCCTGTAGGCCCCTAAACACTTAGGTTTGCTCTGAAGCTTGCAGAAGAAGCTTGTAGCACAGCTGTGCTACATGAACCCCTCAACTGTGGGTGGACATCGCTGCAGAGGGGTGTGTAGGTGCTGGGTCACTGCTCAGGACGCAGACACTTCACTGAGAGTCTGAAACTGCAAGCGTTGCTGCATTTAAGGTGTGAGACTTTGGTCTTACTTAATGTTCCTGGAGTTTCTACAGGAGCCAGAGTACATGCGGTCTTTGCATCTGCAACAACTGTAAACTAAAACCAACGTTTCGATTGACTTAGTCTTCCAGGAGGCATTACAGCCAGGCTACATTTCTTAATCAGGGATATCTCATCATGCCGCACGCGTGGGCCCTTAGATAACTTCTTCTTCTGCTGAAATTTAATTCCAGTTAACAAATATGTATGACTGACGCTCACACTCTACACTAATATAAGCAAGGAGATTGGGAGAGGCTCCCTTCAGGAAGAGACAGGGTCAGAAGGAGAAGGCTTATGGGCTGGTGGCGTGGGGAGGGGGCAGGAAGGTGGGCCCTGGAGGGCGTGGGTGTCTCCCTGATGGGAAAGAGCGATGGGATCCTTACAGGCTTTCAGGGAGTGGGACGTAAACCCTCTGCCATCGTCTCCAGAGAAAGGAATTAGACCCCTTCACCCTAGCTTCTTTCAAAGACCCCTCCTCCACTGACCTCAGGCCCAGTATGCCCCCATCTGTTTGAGTAGAATCAGGAAGAGAGAACCTGTATGATCCTGTCGGGGGGAGCAGGTGACCTCACAGTACTGAAAGCATCCACATTCCAGCTCATAGGCTGGGGAGTCGATTAAGAACATGATTGTCCTTTAGCACAGCCCACTGTAGCATCTCACAATCAAACACAAAATGGATTTTGAATCAAGATGACTGACCCCACAGTTTCATAAGGAATTTTGCCAGCCTGGCTTGACTTACTACCTGCATTGAATTCAATTCAGATTTCATTAATTCCAACACATTTTCATGGACTATCTTCTCATAGACAGGGACAACCTGGAGAATATAAAGTTAAAAGAATGTGCTTCCCACCTCTTGGAGGCTGCTGTGCCCTCAAAAAAAAAAAAAAAAGAAAAGAAAAAGAAAGAAAAAGAGGAAAGAGCTGTAAGTTAATCCCAGTGCTGAAAATGAACTCTCAACTGTATTTCACATTTATCCTTTAGAAATTTTAATAGCAAAAGCTTTCTCCTGCTTCAATTAACCTGTAATTTTGTAGATGCTATCTTATTTTTGTCCAGGGAACAACATGACTGCAACACGACTCATGAGGGCATCTGATGAGTTTGGTGTGGAATAACAATCTCTGAGATAATGTAACAAACATTTCAGACTCCAATGCTCAGTAAAGTTTTTTCCTTACTGAAGGGCGGAAATCAAATGAATGAGTTAAACTTGAACTAAGGATGGTGTAAAGCAGATGCATCTGTCTCTATGTTGGTGACATTGTCAGGAGATCCCACCTTATCGGGGTTTACACGTGGCAGCCCACGGTCAGGAGCCCACGATATCTCGTGATTGCAAGCCTGCATAGCCCTTCAAGCTTGACAAGTTCTTTGTGTTCTCCTGTTTCTTTTTCTTCTCTTGAAGAGCACGCAACCATTTGTAGGGCTCTCGTAAAGACACAACGACAGCATCTCCTGTTTGCCCTGAGATGGTGTTTCACACGTTTTAGATTACGGAGCTTAAATTAGCATGTGCGATAAGAGAGACTGCATCTTTTCTTGTCATCAGGACAGCCTGTGCTGGCCGCTGAGGCCGGGATGGTGACCTCCACACAGGCGGCCTGCAGTAAGGCGAGTCGCTGTTGGAAATTATTTATCACCCGAGCAGGTCATTCCGTTTCAGACTCCGAGGCCTACGCATCTAATTGACACAGCAATAATGGCCTATGAACTTTTGATCCAATTAATTGTTAATGAGAGGTTTGATTAGCAAATAAAAGGCCTATTAGGTGAGCTGGCTGTCTTTTTTTTTTATAATAGCAGAGGTCCACATCTTGCAAAAAAAAAAATGAAAGTATTGCTGCATTCCTCCCTTTTGAATAAGCCACTTGTTCTTTGATGTTAAGTAAAGTTAACTCTGAAGTTTGGACATCCTGGGAAACTCACATGTAAACACAGGCATGCTATATATATATTTTAAAATGTGCTTATAAATGCATTTTTGATCATCATAATTCTCATAATTCTTACGATGTTTGCCCTGTGTGAATGCAATTTAGAATTTCACTGGCTCAGTGTAAACTGCAGAAGAAGCCATAGATTGATCTTATGCAATTGATTTCCTTCTTTTTTTTTTTCTAAAATGAAATGGAATTTTTATTTTTCTGATAATTAGCATACTATATGCTCATTGTAATGAGTAATTTAAAGTACTATATGCTCATTTTTAAAAAGAGAAAATCACCCATAATTCTGCCTCTGAGAGATAAAACAATTGTTAACATAGTGTGGACCATTGGGCCCAGCTTCTGCCCTAGGCTGCTCCAGGGGAGGCTGGTCATGCCATGATCTGCTTCTGTGGCTCCAGAGCTGGACACAGCAGAGGCTGCACAGTCCCTGAGGCAGCCTGCATGTGTTTGTGTAAATACTTATGTAGAATTGAGGGTCTGTGGGATTCTAAAAATGTGCTTATATTGTTTAGAATCAGTTTTCAGTATAGCAAAAATGTCAATGGCTTCCCCAAAGAGATATCATTGCTTTCTGAGTCCTCAACAAAGAATGTCAAGCCTTGACACGTCTATACTGCTGTCTTTAATTGGCATGTAGAAATGGATTCTCTGGTAGCCTAGTGCATTGTGGGTCAGGGTGGATCTCAATGTGGAGGCCCAGCATCGCAAGTGCAGCTGTTCTGCTCGGCCTGCAGCAGGTGGCAGGGACAGGCAGGTGTGCCTTACTAGAGCCACGCTGCACTCCGGATGCTGCTCACAGTGTGATGGGATGGAACCACGCAGGAGAGGCTCTGCTGCCATCTCACCGTTAAGGCTCAGCAGGTGCGGTGCTAATACATGCTTGAGAGTGAACACCTCAGGCTGTCAATCACCTCAGCTCTACAGCGTCCTGCATCCTGGCCCCCTGACTCATGCAGTGTGTGACTTTGCCTGAGTCACCTACTCCCTGAGCCCCCCACACCGCTTCTCCATATGAAGCGTGGGGATTGAGGTGAGCCTGTCTGAGATCGGAATGTGGAAAACACTCTGCAATAAGAACGTGAACCCTATTGTTCTGACTTATAACACTATTTTCGGTAACAGAACTCAGAGAGTTGCGTGTTTGTGTGATTTAGGCTCATCAAATAACCTAGTTCCTAAATGGCAGACAAGATCAGCTGTGTTGATAACACAGGAAGCAGGGCAGAGGGCGAGCATCAGCCCATGAGACGCTGCAGGTGTGGCTCACCTGAGTGGAGTATTGGCAGGAGGAGCTCCATGGAGCTCCAATCAGCGGCTCGAGGATGACGGCCTTTACTCACACTCCGTACACAGCCTGGTGGCCTCCGCATCAGGTGATAGGTTTTGCATATTTCCGCAGAGTGTTTTCATCCTCAGTAATCCCTGGCTCCAGGTCGTCTAAGGCCGATAGACGCTACACTGGACTGGCCCAGCTCACGGCCTTCATCCACCAGGAGAGGAGCGGCCCAGAGTGTTTTCAGAGCTAGACCCAGGAAGAATGGTCACCTGGCATGAGGGAAATATTTTCAGAGAAGTGTGTGTGGGAGGGAAGTGTCTGCAGGAATAAGCAAAGAGGCAGCTGTGAGGGAAGAGGTGCACCCCGGGAAGACTCATACAGGAGGGTCCAGGGGCCTAGGCTTGGTCCAGCAAGGGGAGAAGACTTCCGGGAGAAGCCCATCTCATGGCCACACTCCGTGGCTGGGGCACCAGGACAGCCGGATGGGTGCATCAGGGGCACAGCTTCTCCGATGTCTGTGGTGCCTGCTCATGATCTGATGGCCCCTGCCAGGGTGTGGAGTTGCAGGGAGAGCTGGTGGACAGGGAATGGCCCAATGCCACAGAGGCCAGTTCTTTGGGAGCAATGTGAACGGTCAGGAGGGGACTCTGGAGAAGGTGCAGACATCTCGCTCCCAGTGACCTGATGGTGCCTGTGTATCCTGGTGGGCGCCCGTCTGCACTCTAGATGGGGCATCCCAGCACAAGTCCTCAACATGGAGCCAGGGCCCTGCTCACTCTCACCACCATGGGATCCTTGGCCATGCCTGTCCCACCCCATACTCCTACATGCCCTCAGAAAAGGAGGAAGGGAGGGCCCGATTCCTATTCTGCCCTGAAGCTTACCCCCACCCTGCCCAACACATGCAACGTATCTCTATAAGACCACTCATTTTTTAGCCCCAAACATGTGCTGTTTTCCCCTATTTCCTCATTCTATCTTGTGTTTCCCTCCTGTTGTTCTATAACCTTCTAGAAGATCAAAAGCATAGTGTGCACTTAGCACAGTTCTTGTCGCCAAGATGTGAGATGCATGAATGACTCATTAAACAGGTGAGTATCAGTAGAAGCCACACTTCTTCAACACCAAAGCTAGCAAATAGGGAGACACTTCAGTCATGACAAGCATTTTGAAACTTCTGCACAAAAGCAGAAATTGTCATTTTCGATGTTTATATATTTGTACAGAAACTTACAACAAAATTTAAAAAGCAGAATGAGAATGGAAGTGTGAATGGGCACATTGAAGTGTTGGTGTTGAGTTCCATACAGCTAGTTGCGGTTCTGACCCAAAGCACTTCCACTGGACAGCAATTCTCCATGAGAATCACCCTGTCAGTGTCAGTGAATTTGTCACTTTCTCCACAGGGAATCATTTGGAAGACATGGAATACAGCAAACAATAAAAACTTAAAGTTAAAACTTGAGAAAATATGTATATTAACAATTAAGTTCCATCTGAATTATGTTTGCATGTGAACAAAAGAGAAGTTCTTAAATCAAGAGAAATAATTTGCCTAATGGCACATATAAACCTGGGGCTGATAATAAATTAATGAGAAGAATGGAGAAAATAATGCAGGAACTAATTATTTCCTCATCCAAAGATTGTATCTCGAACCATGTCTACCTGACACTAGGCAAAGCACAGACCTAGTAAATATCACATTGTTTAATCAAGAAAAGTCACCTCACTGATTTCAAGCCAAACAATTTAACTCTGAGAACATAATTACTTGAATCAGTTATCTACATTGAATAAATTAAGCAGCTAATTGTTACATTTTTAATTCATTTTCTCTTATTGCAGCTTTAGATGAGATAATACAAATCTGTTACTTCCTGGAACATGTAAATCATTTCTCTTTACCCCCAAAATGCTCACTTGTCACCATAAAATTTTCAGGTCAGAATTTCACATCCATGATGGAGTAACTGATCCTGGAGCAACCTTCTCCCTGTGAACAGCTGTAAAAATGGACAGACGAGATGAGACAGTGGTGTTCAGCCAATGTCCAGGGAGTAGAAAAACAAGGTAAACTCAGGAGGTGAACTCCATGTTCACCCAGCTCTCATGTGGGGACAATCCACAATTGCAGAACAATGTGCTGGTTTTTGCAAAGTAAGATGATCCCACTGAATTGAAGAGGCAGAGGTCAGCGTTTAAGACACCAAGACCAGTGTGAATCTGTGGGATGAGGCATTGAGACAAGAGAGCTTTGTGGTGAGGGATCTCAGAATTCCGTAAGGAGATCTCCCTGCAAGTCCATGGCTAGAAGCTGGGCTGCACATATGTGGGGTGAGAACTTCTGAGGCTTGGCACACAGCAGCTGCTATGGACCTGAGAAGAGAAAGGAGATGCTGGAGATGGGGCAGTGATGGCCAAGAGAGGATCCAGGCTGCATTTGGAGTTCCAGCCCTGCCAGAGTGGGATGGTCTCTGAAGACCTTGCTTATAGCCCTGACATCCAGCAGACACATCAGAAAGGCTGAGCTTGGCAGCAAGGAGAATCAACCAGAGCAGCGCATGTTCTACATCTACCCTGACAAAGTGCAAAACCCAGTCTGCACAAGTTAAATGAAATTAGGCAGCTATTTACTGCCTGCAAAAATAAGAATCATAATCTTTCAGGGAAAGAAAATGAAGGCCAGAATTTCTAAAGCATACTACACATTCTGACTCATTATTCCTTCAAAAATAGTTAAGGTATAAAGAAAAAGGAAAAGGGCATTAGCCACCAAAGAATTGATGGCTACAGATACAGATATGTGTACATGCATACACACACAGTCTCATGAAGTAAAGGAAAAATATGGTCATAATCAAATAGTGAAGGGATCTGAGTAGAGAATAAATGATATAAAAAATCAAAATAATATTTCAGACTTGAAAAAATAACAAATAAAATCCAATGCATGCTCTTGGTAGCTTGTAGATGATGGGGGAGAAAAACTCGTACTTGAAGGCAGAAAAATAGAAACTACCCAGTCTTAAAATGAGACAGAAAATGACTTGGAGAAAATTAAACTGAGCCTCAGAACTTGCATAAAATTATTACATGGTCTAACATTCACTGAGTTGGAACATCAGAAGGAACAGAAAGCGAGTTTGGGGGTAGGAAAAAATATATTTGAGAAGAAATTACTAAACCTTCCTGAATTTGATTTTGATTTATAAGACACTGACTAACAGATCCAAGAATATCAGTGAATCCTGTGTTTGTGTGTGTGTGTAGCAGGGGTGTGGGAGAAAGATGGAGAGATGCAGAGAGAGATAGAGAGAGACAGAAAGACAGAAAATGAACAACAACTAGATACATCATAGCCAAATAGCCCAAAACAAAGATGAAATGACAGTCTTGAAGGCAGCCAAGAAACGAAATAAAACACAACAGCAGAAAGGGTGTAGGGAACAAGGGTAAGAATATTACTGATTTTTTATCAGAAACAATGGAGACCAGCAGACAATGGAACACCATCTTTACGGTGCTAAAAGGAAGAGAAAAAGAAATCCTATATTCAAATATAATATTTTTTAAAGTAAGAGTGAAATAAAGACATTTTAAGATTTAAAACATCTGGGATTGCTGAAGGGACATTATATGCAATGGAGACTTGAATGCATAGGGAAGAATATATCGAAAGTGGAATCTGAAGAGATGAATATAAAATAATTTGAGTAATTTCTTTTCTTTCTTTCATAATCTATTTAAAACACAACTGACTTTTGCCAGAGAAAAAAACAACAGCACCGTATGATGGAGATTTTCTCTCTGCAGAAGTATATATATTTTATATATATATGTATACACACACACCTATATATACACACACACAGACATGCATATGCACATAATACGGCAATTTCAAAAACAATGAGGGAGGGGTATATAGGATTATATATAGCAAACTTATTACATATTTAAAGTGAGATGCAGGCAATATCAGGCGTAAAGTAAGAAGTTTCAAGTGGGAGAAAATAAAATATTGAACCTAAGTAGACTAATAAGTTGAGGATGCTTATTATTAGCCTTAGATAACTGCCAATAATGATAATAAATAATTGTAGATTAGAAGCTAAAAGGTGAAATCGAAAGGAATATTAAACTATTTTATTACTTCAAGCAAAACAGCAATAGAATAGCAGAGGGAGTGAAGGAATAAATGAGGACCAAAGAGTAAAATGGTAGATTTGACACAACCATATCAAGTACATTCAAATCAAATGGACTCATTATGCAAAAATACAAGACAGAGATTTTAGACTGATTGGAAAAGCCAGATCTGACCAAATTCTGTCTACAAGTGATGTGTTTTAAATATAAAGACAATCACTGAAAGTAAAAGGATGAGATAGATATAGCATGCAAAAATTAACATGGGAAAGTTGGTTTGGTTATATAGCTATACAACAAAATAATAAACTGGATGCCTTCAATTTTAAAATGTTAAGGTCTTCAAAAGACAGCCAGGCCTGGTGGCGCATGCCTGTAGTCCCAGCTACTTGGGAGGCTGAGGAGGAAGGAGGGAGGATTGCTTGAGCCCGGGTGACAGTGGGCTATAATGGCTCCACTGCACCCCAAATTTGCTGATAGAGCAAGGCCCTGTCTCAAAAAGAAAATCTTCAAAAGATGTTATTAAGGACATAAAAAAATCAATCTACAGCCTGGGAGAAATGGTCACAACACATATGTATGACCAAAGGGTTGTATCCAGAATTTCTACATACATATTTATTAATATATATACACATATATTTGTATAACACTACATATAGACATATACATATATATTTATGCAATGTACAAATTTGTGTAATACATATGTATCTACATAGATATACATAAATGTATGCAAATGAACAATAATAAAAAATGTTGTAACAAGATACATATCCTAATAAAAATGAGTGAACTATTTAAATAGTCATTTCACAAAAGAAAACACGTAAGTGACCAACAAGCATGTGAAAGGTGCTCAGTATAATAAGTTGTCACGTATATTCACAGTAAATTCACAATGATCCCAAATCCCACCGCACTTTAAAAGATTAGTAGTGTGAAATGTTGAAGTGGACAGAGCTAATGGAAGTCTCATATCCTTCTGGTAAGAGTATAAAATGTCAGAGCCATTTTGCCCAACAATTGTAAAGTCAAGCCTATATTTACTATACGCTTACTATATGACCTGCTCCTAAATATTTAACTAGAAGAAAGAAAAACTTATGCCCATACAAATATCTTGTAAAACAATGTTCAAAGCAGCTGTATCCATAACAGCCCCAAACTGGAAACGACACCCTTGTTTATCAGTAGATGGATAGATAAATAAATTTCAGGGCATTGGTGCAACAGAAGAATGTTCAGCAACAAAAACAATGAATTACTAGCACACAGCATAGGTGAACTTCACAGGCGTTATGCTGAGCAAAAGAGTCCAGATGCAGGAAGTAAATACTGTGCAGTCCCATTTATATGAATTTCTGGAACAGGCAAAATCAATCTGGACTACTAAGAATTGGATCAGCGTTGACCTGAAGAGGTGTCTTTTGGCAGGGCAGAGACCTGAGAAAACTTTCTGGGGCTTGAGAAATGTCCAGCATCTTGATGGAAGTGGTTACTAAGATGTGCGTGTTTATTAAAACTCATCATACTGTACACTTAAAATGTATAAATTTTTTGTATGTAAGTTACACCCCAGTAAAGCTGATTAAAAGCTAGTTAGCTCAAGTGAGAGTTCACAAAGCCATCTGAGCTCTCTATGTCATGTTCTCTGCAACCATCGGTATTCTCATGTGTCAGACTTTGGGTGGGAGGGATAGTCAAGCATGCAGCACCCCCAAGGAAGCAGCAAAACCAGGACAGAAGATCCTCTGCTGGCTACCCCATGCATAGTCACATCTGAATGCCTGTGGTTGCATCTCGGGAAGGTGGAGATCGAGGGCTAATCAATTCTCATGGCGTCAGCAGCTTCCATCCGGCTCTCCCCTCTGCCAACTTGCTAATTGTATTGAGAATGGACCTATTGTTTGGAAAATCTGACAAGTAAAATTGTTTCATCCAAGACTGCTCATCCATAGTCATGTTTCCGAATGAAAATGGTATAAAATGGAGCAAATTTTCATTGTTGGTCACCAATGAGTGGGTACTGTGGACTCCTTACTTTGAAATTTCTTTGCTTTCCTTAGGGATACAATTTTCTTGTAGTTACTTAAAACATCAAACATTCATGCTATCTAAAATTTTAGCCAATTATGCTTCTTATTTACTGCTTAAAGCAGTCGGGGTTATCTATAATAAACTTGTCAACTTCATTCACAATTTATATCATCTATAGTTTATGAGCTTCATAACCTTAGAAGCACTACCAATTTTGCTTTTTTTATTTTCTTTCGAAGCCCATAGAGTCTAATGTTTCCTACTTTGCTTAGATTATTGTTTTGTCATTAACATTTGTTTTGGCTTAGTCCCAGCTCTTCCATCAGCACGTTATCATCTCACAATTAAAATGTCTAATTTATTTCCTCATGTTCCTGATGTTATTGAAGTTGGCTAGCACTCTCTAGAAAGGATGCCAAAACCTTCGTCGGTACCAAGGTAACAAAACATTTGTCTCCTTTTATTTTTCGGTTTTCATTATACAAATAAAATAAAATATTTAACCTATAGTCAGATGCAAATTAATTTATCTTTATTTATTTTATGAAGAAATTACTTTGCCTTAAAGGTGCTTTTATAATCTCTCATTATCTCATTAAAAAAGGAGGTATTGTTATAAAATGTAATATTAAGATGTTAATTTTAATGAAATGGTAATTCTAAAAGATACCTTACAGCTATAGATAATGCTTTAAGGGAAAGAGAAACAGTTTATCTTCATTGTCTTTAAGCTGACATGTCTATAAATTATTAACATGATAAGCAGAATAACTGTACTGAAATTTTTAAAATGGAACTAAAATATAATTTTTTGCCTTGCCACTTAAGATTTTCCTTTGCGAAGTTGCATTTATTCCTAATATAAACGTTTACAATTAATTGAAGTGACTGTTAAATTCATCCCAAGAATAGATAGGCCTGAAGCTGGCTGGGCCGAGTGCAGCCCGTGACTGGGTTTGGAAGGCTGGGTTTTTGTGATCGATGAGGCTCTCAGCCTGTGAGGTCCCTGGAGCCAGCTCTCTGGCCTTCCGCCTATCATCACTCACTGAAGTCAGCCTGCTGGCCAGGAGATGAGGCAGTGTCACCAAAGATCAGAACGCAGCATTTATCCATATTCACTTATTCTACAAATGTTTCCTGAGATCCCACTAGGCAATGGGCTCCATCCAGTGCTGAAAAAAAAACAAGTGGTCCCTGTCCTCAGGGGAATTTCATTCTAGTGAGGGAGACATAAGAATTGAGAAATGCCGTGAGAGACCATGAAAAGGGTGGAGCTGAGCTCCTCAGTATCACAAGGCCCTGTTAGGGGACCTATTCTGGTAGTTGAAAGAGAAGCTTGGTGGGTTAGGACGCCACTTTAGCTTTAGCTCTCAGGAGTCTAAGGGGTGCCAGGGCTCAGCCGGGCAGTTGGCGCTTGGGGCCTCTCACTCTGTTGCAGTCAGATGTTGCCGGGGCTGGACTCGCCTGAGGCTCAGCCATGCTGGATACCCAAGATGGCACACTGGCACGGCTGGCGGTGGATCCTGGTTGTAGCCTGCCTGCTCAGATATCAGCCAGAGCCTGAAAGGTGACCGCTCTGTTGCTTGAGCTTCTCAGGACACAGTGGGTGGCATCCCAGAGGGAGCATCCAAGAGCGAGCATTCCCAAGGGCAAGAAGAAGGAGCCCAAGGCTCTCAAAATCTCCATCAGATTGTCGCAGTGTCACAGGCTGAGCTGCTCCATCAGAGCAATCCTAGAGCCCACCCAGATGGACAGGGGTCAGAAAAACAGCCTCTTCCCATCATGAGCTGGGCAAGATCCTACTGCTGAAGGGCATGTGGGATGGAAGAGAGTGGTGCCATCAGCTTTGGAAAACACAGTTTATCGCTGGTTCTAGGAAGGCTCCTGGGACCTAGTGATATTCATGCAGAGACCATCAAGATAATAGGAGGTAAAGCCATTAAACACTTATCATGTTTATGTGTCAAGGGTCCAAGCACCTTCACACATATTCCCCCTCATTTAGTCCTTACAACCTTCCTAAGGGATAGCTAATATTTCATGTTAGAGATAAGGAATCTGAGGCAGAAGACTTCGAGCAACTGCTGAGGTCATGTCTGCTATGAGGCTAGAACCACCCGTCTGCTATTACTCATGAGATTTATCCTCCATGATGTCACATAAAATACCAGGCAGGGTTTTTCCCAGCTTAGTAGCGCAGGCGTGTTGCATGTACCTGCCCTGAGGTGGAGAAGGACTCAGGTGGGGTGAAGAAAGGGAGTGCAAGGGGCAGGTATGAGGGCAGGGGGCTGGCACGAGGGGTCCAGAAGGGAGTCCTGGGCACATGGCAGGAGGCTCTGAAGGCAAGTCTGGGAGTTTAGATTTTCTCAGGGAGAAGGAAAACCTCTGAAATATTTTAAGCATGAGAATTTCCCGGTGACATAAGTCATCTCCCAAGGCCACTGTGGCTTGCTGTTGGAAAATGAATTTCGGGGAAAATGGAACATCAGGAAAAGAAGCCAGGATCCAGGCAAGGCTGCTGCACCTGCTCATGGGGAAGACTGAGGGAGGATGAAGGCAGAGGCAGCAGCAACAAAGCAACGATGTGTTTGGAAAGACACAGGATGGAGAGGCCGCATGGGCACAGTGCAGGAGGGAGGTGGCACGGAGGTGCGCCAGGGCCTCAGATTTCTGTAATGAAGGCCATCTTGATGGTGGCATCTGTTTCTGAGAAGGGAACCAACACTGCGGAAGGAGCGGATTTGGGGAGAAAGCCAAGAGTGCGTTGGTCGACTTTCTTGCCTCACTCTACTGAGAGTTTTCCCTGAAGACTGAGCAAAATTGTTAGCATACCCACAATAGACTATTCCACATGTCTTGAGCTTGTGTGCTCAGGTGAACCTCTCTAAGGGTTGGTGTCTCAAATCTTGGATAACAGGATCAAAATGGTCACCTTTTGGCTTGGGAAGGGGGCAGATTTTCAAGTAACATGGTGCCTGATATCACCCTCACCAGGAGCATCTCCAGGGTGTTCGCCATGAAGACCTCCAGGCTCTTTTTGGGGATGTCACACGACTTAGCACACAGACGGTCAGGAGTGGAGAAAAAAGAAGTGTGGCTGAAGTGAAGGGAGAGGGGGCTGGAGAAATGGGGGGCGGATCAGAAATGGAGGTACAGGTAGAATTTATCTATTGCTTTTCCCAGGTTGAGTTTTTCGTTGTTGTTGTTGTTTTTTACAGTGTGCCTTTTCAGTTAATTAAAATAAAAGGGCCAAAGCAACACCTTAACCCTTAAATTGATAGATAAGGCCCAGCTCCATGCAAGAGGAAGTAATGTTTTTCAGCTGCCAGGGGAGAGGACCAGAGCTGTCGGTGGCATGAGTTTTTGAGGCATTTTGCGGGGCTCCTCTCTAGAGAAGAGGCATCTCATTCTTACGAAAACACGAGTTTCAGGGAGAATCAATTCTACCACAGTGGCCATAACACTACTTGGTGGTCCAAGATCTTGGGGAGAAAGAAATAAAAAATCATTTAAATTGGGGTTATAGATAGAATTTTCTCTTTAAGATCAACATTATATACAGCTTATAAGCAGCTCTTTCAGTTTTGAAATGGGTCAGAATCTGAAAGATCTTGATGCTTTCTTTCAGTTCTTGATGCTCAAGGAACAGTTGCTTATTGGTATTTATTTTGCTCTAAATTAGCTATTTGCTTATTGACCCAAAATAGTTATCACCTCAGCTGGAAATATATTGGAACTCTGGTTGCCAAACAAATATTCTGCAAAAGATGAATAAAAGCATATGGGAGGAAAACCCTACCAAGCCTGGCCTGCCGGGGCTCTGGAAGGCGTTCTGGCTGGCAGCCATGTGCCCCGCCGCACGCCGGCATCCGGGGATGACAGTGATCGATTTAACAGTGGGAAGGTATTAATGATATTCAGCGCTGATGGCTGAGGCACTTCACCGTCATTTGCATTTCGATTCATCATCTCTGCATTTATCATTATGAAGAGGACGCCAGAGCTAATTAAAGTCTGGGCTAACAGGGTGACCGGGGAGGCTGGTGGGCACTAACACCGAGGAAGACCTGGGAAATTTTCCAGCAGGAAGGACACCAACCTTACAGCAAACCCAATTAACTTAATTCTTAACGAATCCATGTGAGGCTCTTCCAATTGGGTAGACTGGGAGATTTAATCCACACTTCATACTTTATGCTTAACTCCAGGGCTCGGCTCTAACATGGCTTGCCTGGTGTTCTCTCATTCCATCCCCCGGACCCACAAAACCCCATCTTTGAAAACCCTTACATTTTGAAATATAGAATACCCATTTTCAGTATACGTTTTTAGATAGAAACATTGTGGTTTTTGTTTGCATGGTGCTGCAAACTCCTATACTGTTCTTTCAGAATTGAAAGAAAAAATTCTCTACAAATGTAATTCAAAGAATAAATTCTGGAACATTTATTCTCTGTATTAACACAAATCATTGAGGCATATATTCAGAATAAAATGAGACAATTATAATTCCGTTGTAGAATAAATACACCACAAGTTATGATTCCCAACGTCTATTTTTCACTATGTGCAAAATTTCCTTCATGCATTTTCATCTGTGTTTTCCACCCTGAGTATCCATGACAATAAATGGCATCATTAAAGGAATTTAATTTTTCTTTATGGGCTTTAATTAGACACTGACGTTTTGATTCTTCTTTGCCACTGCATAACAGATCTACAGTAGGTTGTTTTGGAGGGTTCAATTCAGTTCTTTACTCTGAAGTTGATCCAGGAAAATTGAAGACACTCTTTGATATGATTTGGCTCTGGGTCTCCACCCATATCTCATCTTCAATTGTGATTCCCATGTGTCGAGGGCAGGACTTGGTGGGAGGCGATTGGATCACGGTCGCGGTTCCCCCATGCTGTTCTCTTGATAGTGAGTGAGTTCTCACGAGATCTGGTGGTTGAAAGGTGTTTGGCGCTTCCTCTTTGTGCTCTCTCTCTCCTGCCTGCTTCCCCTTCAACTTCTGCCATGATTGTAAGTTTCCTAAGGCCTCCCCAGCCATGTGGAACTGTGAGTCAAACCTCTTTTCTTTATGAATTCCCCAGTGTCAGGTAGTTCTTTATAGCAGTGTGAAAATGGACTAATACAGCTTTGGAGAAAGCTCTCTGTGGAGTCATATTGAAGAGAAATGGAGAAGACTGATCTTGACATTTTGTAGAACTGGGGCACCTCTCTGGGAAGCCCCCTCTCTCCCCTGCTGAATGGAGGTGGGTGGCCCTATACAGCCCCTGACTTGATGGTACAACAGAAAAAGGCAAGGTAAATAGTGGCCGCATATAATGATGTCCATCCCAAGGAATGGCTGGATCCCGATTTAAGACAAAAGTTTTACAAAGATTCTTCTCCCTGTGGAACGAGAGTGGGTGTATCATTGCTTGAAAGAAAATGGGAGATTAATCTTTGTGTCCATCTGTACCATTACTGTGCTAGGGCACACCATGGCTTCTTCATGGCCACTATGTGTGGGAGTGACTCTCTTCTTTTGTCCTGCAGATGAGGCAACCACAGGTCAGGAAGGTCAGCCTCCCACGTGGTCAGCTGGGTGGCTGCCTCTGCCCCTTCATCCCTGCGTGACCCTCACATCCAGCAGTGGAGTCAGGGCTTCTTGTCTACTTCAACCTGGTGCCTGGGTCCCTCGCCTGGAAAGGAATCCCAAGAGTACTGGGGCCATGAGAGCCTCATTTATAGCTGGGCTGTGTCTCCCGGCCCTGAACAGAAGAGTTGCACAGCAATTGTGCAGCAAACATTGGGGAAGGGAATGACAGACGAATGAATACACACGCTGGGAGCCCTCACCCGACTCTCACCCCCTGCACACTCAGACTGTACCATGGGGATGCACCCTAAGGTTCCATCTGTATCCAACCCTCACTCCTGCTCTGAGCCATTTTATTCTTTTTTTTTTTTTTTTTTTAAGAAAAGGTTTCTCTGTCCCCCAGGCTGGAGTGCAGTGGTGTGAACACGGCTCACTGCAGCCTTGATCTCCTGGGCTCAGGCAGTCTTCCCAGCTAAATTTCCCAAGTAGCTGGATGACAGATGCACACTACCACACCCAGCTAATTTTCTATTTAATTTATAAAGATGGAGATCTCACTATGTTGCCCAGGCTGCTTTCAAATTCCTGGGCTCAACGGATCCTGTTCCCTTGGCCTTCCAAAGTGCTGGGATTATAGGCATGAGCCACCATTTCCAGCCTACCCCTTCCCTCTTAAGCAGCCCCTGGGCTCCCAGCTGGCTTGAGATCTGCCCATGGAGTGGACCCTGCTGCCAGCACTCCCTGAAATGGATCGCAGTTCTGCAGAGCTTCCCATGGGCTTCTGGAATCACGGCTGGTCCAGCCCTCTGGTTTCCTCTCTGCCCCTCTCCATGAAGCCAATCTGTGATGCCCCCATGGAGGAACTGTGATCTCTGCAATGAATGTGGCACCCTGAGCATGGTAACAAGGAAAGGCCGTGTCATGCAATAATCAGAAATATATATTTAATGAAAAATAACCAAGTCTGAAATTGATGAAGTTAAGCTTTTCTTGTTACCAACTTAATGTTAATCTAGAAAGCTCACCTGCCATTTTGAACATTGTGTTTCTATACTAATTTATCTCACAAATGAACTGCTTTATTCTGAATTCACAAGTAGGAGCACATGGAATTAAAATGGTCTGGGCAGAATTAAACACTTCTGAGCCAGAGGTGAACACTTAGCACAGAAATGCAGCACCTCATTCAGTACAGCATCCATTATCCCACCCTTCATTAAGCCACTAACCTTGTGGTTCACCAAAGATATACAGAGGCCGACTTTTCCATTTCATAATCCAATTCCAGTGAGCCCGTTCTCAAAGTGTGCAAACTTCTCCCAGGAGGGAGTTCAGCACCATTATCATCCACACGGCCATTATTACCCTCAAAAGACATGTATTAAGCACTTAATTGTGCATTGCGTCGGGCTAGGTGGTGAAGAGAGAAAGTGAATTTCCTGTCTTCTGTGAACTTATTGGGCATATGAGAAAGTGAATAAAATGACAAACCAAGACAAGAAATAGAGAGTTAAAGAAAGCACCAGCCCTCTGCCAGTTCATAACCGGCCACCTCTGAAGGAAGAGAGAGCGAGCGTGAGAGGGACTCTCAGTTCCACGAGACACTCAGAGGAGGAGCTCTGGTCCTATCCCTCTTATAGTTTATGTGTTGTTTATTCTCAGACCTAACTCCTTCCCTCTGGATCCCTGTTGGCCACTGAAAATAAAATGGGGACCAGCGAGGTGATTTACAGTTATCTAGGAGCCATTTTTGAGTAGTAAAAAGAAGCAGATGTAATTTAAAAAGAAAATCTCTCAGTATAGACAAAATATTACTTCCATGCATAATTAACATAAATAATTATTGAGATATTTTGCATTTTTAATTGGACAAAGTCTTTAAAATCTGTGACCATCTAACATTTATATTGCATCTCACATCAGGTGCCACATTTTTAATCGCTTAAGTGAAATGCAGTCTTAGCAAAAAAAAAAAAAAGTCAAATTGTGTTTAATAGGAAAACAGTTGACTCAGCTTCAGACATAAAATCTCGGCATAAGTTAATTAAGATTGACATTTCAAGTTCCGGTCCTCCGTCATGCTGGCCACTTTTTGAATGTCCAGCAGCCTGTGTGGCTACAGCGTGCAGGGGTGCAGGTCTGGACTGTGGAGTGACTTGAGGCGGATACCCGGTGGCAGGACAGAAAGGAGTCACCAGGGCAGCCCCATCAATCACCATGCACTTTACAGATGAGAAGGTACACCCGCAGCCGTCGCCCCTTGACATAAATAATGGGTATGTGAAGACAGGACTTGTGACTATGAAGAATCTGAACTTGACTTGTTTCTTCCCAGGCTCCGCAGTTAATCCAAGCCCAGGAAGGTCAACGAATCAAGTATTTGAAGCACATCAAAGGAGCTGTTTGGAGAAACTTCACACTTCTTCATAGACAGTCGCGTGCTGCTCGGCTGTGTGACTTGTGCCTGGAACTGCTACTGAGGTTGGGGTAAAGGGAGAGTCACAGGCACTGTGGGCTCTCGGGAGCTCCTGTTCCATGGGGAGAGCAGGCCTCTGGGCCTCTTGGCTCCTTGCCCTGAAGGGAGCCACACGTGCCATCCTCACCCCTCCTACAAGGCCAACTCCACAGCCTCTGTCCCAGCTCTGGGACAGCGGGGCTCCTCACCCTGTGTCCCCTGCAGCATCTTCCCACTGTAGCTGGGCCCCAACACCCCCGGCGGGGTTACTGGTTCTTTGTTTAGGGGCTCTTTTCCCCAGCCAGACTGAGAGCCCTCCAAGATTGGGGCTGGTCCCCACTAATGTCAGCCCAGAGCACGTGGACAGCACTCAACCCTGAGCCTTCTCGGATGGCAGTGGAGTGGACGCTGTGCTGTAATTCTGTTCATGCGCAGACATTTCAGAACCCAGGGTGGGTATGGGGGATACATGGAAACGAGCTCTACCTCTCTTCCACTATGACTTGTGCTGATGTTTAAAGAGAAAGGGAGATGGAAGTTACCCTATAAATACGCCTCAATTTTCTGAGAAAACATCTGCAAGGCTGATTCGGAGGGACCCACAACTGCTTTCTTGTCGTCATAAAGTCCGTGGTGGAACAGAAAGGGCTTGGGCCAGAGGGAGCTGAAACCCATCATTTTAAACTGGGCTGAAAAAAGCCATTGAGTTCCACTCCATCTGAGCTTACAAAAGCCTTTGCTCAGGCCTCCGAAGACCCCAGCCACTACCCTCTCCTGGTCCTCGTGCCCCGCAGGCCACGCTGACGCAAACTGGAGGAAAACATCTTGGAAGTGTTGGGCTGGAAGGGGGACACATCCAGGGCTTGGAGGCAACACCACCACCTTGCCTGTGGGCGCTTTCGCTTTTGTCCCATCAGGAGGTGCTGCTCCACCACACAGACACGCACAGCAGGATCTGCACACGCAAACATGCACACAGGCACACACTACACAGACACACACAGTAGAGTCCACACACGCAAGCACGCACACAGGCACACACTACATAGACACGCACAGCAGAGTCCACACAAGTGAGCATGCACACAGGCACACACTACACAGACATGCACAGCAGAGTCTGCACATGCAAACATGCACACAGGCACATACTACACAGACACACAAGCATGCACAGGGACACACACTACACAGACAGAGTCCGCACATGCAAGCATGCACACAGGCACACAATACATAGACATGCACAGCAGAGTCTGCACACGCAAACATGCACACAGGCACACACTACACAGACACACAAGTATGCACATGGGCACACAATACATAAACACTCAAAGCAGAGTCTGCATATGCGAGCATGCACACAGGCACACACTACATAGACACACACATCAGAGTCTGCACATGTGAACATGCACACGGGCACACACTACACAGATATGTACAGCAGAGTCTCCACATGCGAGTATGCACACAGGGCACACAATACAATACATAGACACGCACATCAGAGTCGGCACATGCAAGCATGCACGCAGTCACACGATACACAGACATGCACAGCAGAGCCCGCACATGCATGCGTGCACACAGGCACACACCACACACACACAGCAGAGCCTGCACACGCATGCGTGCACACAGGCACACACAGGAGATCCAGGAGGAAGACCCAGAGGTTTTAACAAAATAGGAGAAAACACATACTTTTTGAAAAAGAGAAAAAACACTATAAAGGCCAAAGTTAAACTCATCAATTGCTGGTCACAGTAAGCCAGGGTTCCCAGGTATGTGGGAACAGGAATGAGGCTCTGGGGCTCTTCTGTCTGCTCCAGGAAGAGATTTTTTGCTCGTGGCCTCTGTGTTGCTAATGAAGTCAGTGGAGCCCAGCACAAATATGTGAAGCCTGCAGACCAGACCGCTGTCTGGGTCCAGGGGCCGCGTGGCATGTGACACTGAATACATTGGTCCCTGTCCCCATGGTTGTGCACCCCAATCCCAGGGCTTGAGCCTCCAGGTGAAATGAGAAGAATGGGAGGGAAAAGGCACCAGCAGCAGGTGACAGGCAGGTCAAGCCTCAGATAGCTTCACGGCTGGGACACCAGGACCGAGGTAGCCAGTGAACAAGGGCAAAGGGCTTTGCAGCAGCGAAGGCACGAGGCCAGGATGCGGTGTGCATTCCCACAACCATGCAAAGCTTGGCCTGGTGTTTTCTGAGCTTCTCTGAGGGGCACAACCAGAAAGGGAAACACCGCTGCATTTTTCCTACGAATTATTAGAGTTGTCACTCTTATCCCAACCACCAGCCAGCATTGCTAGGAAGGTCAACGTCTGTAACAGATCCTCAGAACCCAGCAAATCCAAACCTTTCTGCTCCTCAAAAAGGACACAGAGTGGGCTTGGACAATCTGAACCCATCACTGAAAAAGAAGTGAAAACTTAGAAGACACAGGGTAAGAGCAGTGCCCCCACAGTTAGTTTATTGGAAAACTGTGAATTATTTATATATTGAAAGAAAAAAAGGCATTTGCTAATGGGAAATATCATAATAAATAGATAGATAGACAGACAGACAGATAGATGACTGGATGGATAGATGGATGGATGGATGGATAGGTAGATAGATAGGCAGATAGATAGATAGGCAGATAGACAGACGGATGGATGGATGAATGGACGGACAGATGGACAGATGGACGGACGGATGGACGGGTGGATGGATGGATGGATGGATGGATGGAAGAATGAATGGGTGGATGGATGGATGGATGGATGAATAGATGGATGTATAAATGAATAGATAGATGATAGATGAATAGACAGATGAATGGATGATAGATGATGGATGGATGGGCGAATAGATGGATGGATGCATGAATGAAGGATAGATAGATAGATAAATAGATAGATAGATAGATAGATAGATAGATAGATAGATAGATAGATAGATGAATTGGAGGATGTATGTATGTATGGATGGGTAGATGGATGGATAGATAGACAGATGAATGACAGGATCGATGGTGGATGGATGGATGGATGGATGGATGGATGGATGGATGGATGAATAGGCAGGTAAATAGATAGATAAATGGTCGCATGGATGGATGGATGGATACATAGATGGATGGATAAATGGATGGATAGATAAAAGATAGATAGATAGATAGATAGATAGATAGATAGATAGATAGATAGAGGAATGGATGGATAATTGGGGGAAAATAAGTGTTGACAACCACATCATTCTTAGGACTTATTATAAGATGTAACTCCTGAGTGTCTTAAAGGTCTCTCGTATGATAAACCAGAGGCATCATGGTGGCAGAGGTCACTGGGGATGCTTCTTGTTTGATAGAGAGAGGCTCCCAGTCTGACAGCAGAAGGGACTTTGAGTTTCTCTATGTAGAACAGAGCTGCACCCACCATTGTTAGTAGATTAGTTCTCTGGGTGTAGACGCTGAGTTCAGGGTGAGGGCCCCAAGCTTCTGCTGCTGAAGGATGGCCCCAGCAGATATGTGTGTGTGTGTGTGTGTGTGTGTGTGTGTGTGTGTGTATTTCTAAGCAGTTCCTTCTGAGGGGCTTGAACCAGGTCAAGGAACATAATCCAAACCCCAGAAACAAGGGGAACCCTTGGAAATGATCATTTCCTGCTGGCAGGCCACAGGAAGTGAGAAGGGGAATGTCCTTGAGTGAGTTTCTCAAGGTGTCGTGGTGTCAAATCCGTCCCCTCCTCTCATCAAAGCAGGGGCGACCACAGCTGCTGGTTGACTAGCATGTATGTGTAACGGGTTTGGAGTTGAAAATAGAGAATCAAATACAATATCATTTCCCAAAGGAAACTCTTCAGCATTACCCGAATGACCAGGGTTGTTGAGGATCCCTTGGAGGAGTGGGGTAGACCCTCTCCAGTCAGAGGCATGTTCTCCAGTTGCTGGTGAGCCAGAGAGGCTCGTTTTGGCCTCATAAACGTTAACATGCACCTGCTAGCACCTCCACCACTTCTCCTGTGTGAGGGTGGGTAGGAAAGTTCGGGAGCTGGACCTGCTGTAATTACGGTAGGGGTGGACTGGGTGGGAGAGGAACTTACGCCTGCTCATTTGGGCAATGCCGAGGATTTTCCTTTGGGAAATGATATTGTATTTTATTCTCTATTTTCAACTCCAAACCAGCTATATGCATGTGCTAGTCAACCGACAGTTGTGGTCTCCCGGGGGGACTCAGTGGGGTGGACGCCGTGCCCAGGGCGGATTAGGAGGAGGCGAGAGAGGATGAGGAGAGGCAGGTGAGAGGCCTGCAAAGAAGGTGTGCAGGCTCTTTCCTGGTCTCCTTTTCTTTTCTCATCATTTTCTTTGCTTCCAATCTTATTCTAATTGTCTTCACTTTCACTTAAAATTTTAAAGCCACTTCCTGTTTCCTCTTTCTCTCTTTCCACTTAAAAAAGTTTTGTTTCCCTCCATCACCCCACGCCCCCACCCTGTCCGCTTCTTGCCACAAGAGTGTCTTAAACCTTTTCCGTTCGCCCTCCCCTCTGGCCTTCCTGCTGTTTCTTTTTTTACAATTTTTAAGTTATTGAGAGCCTCCTGTGGCCACAGCTCCCCTGCTGGGCCGGTGACAATGGGTGAGGCCAGCGGCTTCTATAGAAGGCCAGGCTGCAGGGCACGGCTTCCTTGAGCAGGCTGCAGAGGAGGCGGAGGCAGGCCTGAGGCTCTGGGGGACGACAAAGGCCCCTTCATGCCCTTTTGCTCCTTCAGAGGGGGCGGGTGGGCTGTACCCAGTGCACAGGCAACCTCCAGGGCCCTCTGTGGCTGCCTTTTGTGGAAAAGGTTTCCCAGAAATTCATTGCTGAATGGCTCCTGGAAACCCAATCGCTTCTCCTCTGCACTCTGCTTTCCGTTCCTCTCCTTTCTCCATCAATAAGAGGCATCCTGTGAGCTGCAGGTTCCAAAGGAGACGGTCCAACGTCACTGTCCTCCAAGAGGTTAGATGAAGATGACACTTTCTAATAAAACTACAAAAGGGTTTGTGAAAGCCTCGTTATTTTTAACTTCGCCATCTCATTGAAAGCACAGAAAAACAAACATGGAGAACTGGATTAAAACAGAAAACAGACCTAAAAGCACAACAAAAGCATCAGAGCGAGCCTTTAAAATAGCTCCAAGTTTCGGGTTTGTTCTGCCAATGAGTTTTCTGAAGAGTAGCGTATCTCCTTCCGGACTTGCAGCGGGCATGTGTGTGAGTTTAAGAGGCACAATGAGGGGTTTGTGTCCCAGCTGCATGCCCACAGACGCAGGATCGTGCAGTGCAAACAGGGAACGAGACACTTCCTCCCGATCGCCCCCCAGGATTCAGTTCAGTGACAAACACAAGAACACTGAGCCACAAAATAAAACAGAAAGACACCGTTTTGCAAAGCGCCCTGTCTATGCAAACCGAACAAACAGGGCTGTGGCTGGATTCTGCGGCAGCCACACGGCCGTCATTAGAGCTAACAAGCGGAGGAAGGCGCCGAACAGAAGTACAAAGTCACCCTCATGAAAAATAAGAAGGGGAAGGAGAAGAAACAACTCTAAACAAGTTGTTTTTGCGGCTGCTCTTTGTGATAAGGGACGCCTCTGCTGCTTGCTGTCAGCCCGGTGCCTTATGCCGCAGGAAGCCAGGGGCCCTTGAAGGAGGAGAGGCTCCTGAATTATTGATCAATGATTAGCAAATGCAATCGAAATTGTAGACTTGATGTTGTGCGGCAATCCATAATTTATGAGTGGACAAAATAGGAGGTAGCGGAGGTAGCAGTAGGTGATTTCAGCCCCCATATTGATTACTTAAAACAACAGGAGGTAAGTATACTCTGACAGATGGAACAAAAGCTGCCAGCTCCCGGGCTGTCCGTCAGCACAGCCCACGAGCTGGGGGAATACACCGACTGCAGAAGCAAATGCATTTCTATTGTGTCTCTTTGATCATTATGCTGTTCTACGAGACCAAAGGACATATTTGTTTATAATTTATGTATTCTCTTACCATAAAAGATTGATGGTTCCCTGTTAGATGCTCTCGTATCTAAATATCCAGGTAGTCTGTACCTGTGACAGCCGGCAAAGTGCTGTGAACACTGTGAATGCGTTCTCCCTCGTCCACGCGGAGGGACGCAGTATCCCGGGGTGGGGGGAGGAGGACAGCAGGGGCCACACTCACTCCAGCCACCCTCAAGGCCATGCCTCTGGGGACTCTGCTGGGACACAGCTGAAGATGACCCAATTATAACTCAACGGTCAGGTTTCCTCAGGGTGGGCATCTGTTGTAGGAGACATGTTTGCTTCCTAAGAAGAAGTTTTAAAAAGAACCGTTTAGAAGAGAAAATTCTATTTGATTTCCCACATTTATGAAAATTCTATGTTAAAAATACATAATTTTAATTACAGACACAGTAACAGGCAGTTTGGTTAATTTAGAACAGTGGTTCTCAACTTGGGTGGGGGGTGATTTTGCCCCCGGAGGGGACATTGAACAATGTCTGGAGATATTTTGGTATGTCACAACCGGCATGGGTGCTGCTGCTGTGGGTGAGGAGAGGCCAGGGAGGCCACTGGCATCATAAGCTACAACACCCAGGACCGGCCCCATCAACAGAGAACCCTCCAGCCCCAGACCCAGAGGGTGCCCAGGCTGTGGAACCCTGAGTTAGAAGATAGAAACAAAAGAGAGGAAAATAAATAAAGCACCCCTTCTTCCCAGTGAGACCCAGACATCTCCCCTGAAGGGTGCTGTCTCCCAGCTCTGTGAGCACCTGCTCAGGGACCAGCTCTGCTGTCCACCTGCCCAGGGCCAGCCAACCAGCCGAAATAAATGAGGTGGTCTCTGAACCTCTGGGTCACTGCCCCTTCCCCTGTGACATGGGGAGGACAACCATGCCACCTCATAGTGTGGTGTAGAGTGTCTCAGACAGGGCACAGAGCCTGGCACAGGGTGTGCATTGAATATAGGATAATTCATCAATGTATACATTCTGGCCATTGTTTCACTAAAGAGCACAAACTCCAGCTCAGCTCCTTCACATCAAGAATTCTGTGCAGATCTCAGCTCTACCTACTTTGTTTTACATCTGTCTGTCATCTATCTATCTATAACCATCTATTATCTATCCATCTATCCATCTATCTTTCATTTGTTTATCGATCTATACATCTGAAGAGATGAGTTAAAACAGCTCCAACAACTTTTCTAATTCCCAGCCAAAAAAGAATGTAGTGAGAACTGAGAATAAGAAGTATGGTTTTAAATAACCCTATTGTGAAGATCTGCAAAACTCTGTAAACTATTGCAGATCATATTATAAATGACAACAGAAGTGCCACAGCAAACCCTGTTTTTGAAAGTCACTGTGAAATAGATGATGGATAGAAAAACATTCTTACATTAGGGGAAAATATTCAAGGAGGCTTCTGAAATCAGTTTGAAACTCCTGCCCTCTATGGTTTTAAAAATGTAAAACAAACAAAATGGAATTTATTCACCAGCGCCTTCATGGTTTTTCATTATCTTTTTTAGAAGTATAGCTTCTAACTAAACTATATTTTTGGAGTAGTGGTTTACCAAATAAAAAAAGAAAAGAAAAGAAAAAACATGCCAGCATTCCAGTTTTCCTAATTATTTTATGGTTAAGACCGAGGAAATCATGAAACAACTACACAGGCAATAGCTTCTAATCCTTTGGAGACTGTTTACTCCTTTAGGAAATAGAAACAAGCTACACACCCATGGCACCCCACATGGCACACAGAATGCCAGGGGCCCCTGGGTCTCTGAAGCCCACATTCAGACCCTGTGACTTTGACCACTTGTTGCAACATGAGATGAGGTCTCAGGATGTTGCTATACATCATGCTTCCTCTGCAGACTTCCATTTATGTATAACAACTCTGTGAGATGCGTGACTGAGGATGCACGGAGGCCACCAAACTCATCAGGAGTAGATGATGAGTTTATTTGTTCATAAGTAGGCTTTTCCTAACTACTGAAAATAACTCAAGTTCATATAACCTGAATTTGCAACTGAGAATTAAGAACTGTAAAGTACATGATGTAGTCTGCTAAGTCTAGCAAATTTTGGTGCCTAGCTATGGATTACAGCTCAGCAACGCAGGTGTTCTCATTAGATCGTCCCACTCTGTGAGATTTCAGCTATCCTGGAAAGCCCTACGATGTCTGGCTGGGTGTGGCTGCTTTATCGGCATGGCTGCAAATTCATTGGCATGCCTCCCTAGGAAGGTGGGGCCCACGTATCCTCACCCTTGGATGCCACTTCAACCAACAGAGTGGAGCAGGAGTGATGTTATGTGACTTCTGAGGCCAGGTCATAAAAGCTAACCCAGGCTCTAACTTCAAAAACCCACTGCCATCCTGAGCTGTCACATCAGAAATACAGCTGCCCCAAGGCCACTGTGCCAGAGGGCCACATGTGGATGCTCAGGCCACATGTGGATGCTCAGGTCAAAAGTGCCAGCTGAGCTCAGGCTTCCAGCCACCCCACAAACCAGGCATGTGAGGTGTGCCATCCTGAGTCCCCCACAGCAGCCATCTGCCGCCTGAGCATCACTGGAGGGTCTCTGTCCATGCCCGTGAGAACAGAAGAACCACCCAGCTGAGCCCTGCACAATTCCTGACTCACCTCACCAAATCATGGAGTATGAAATAGTGGTTTGTCTTTTTTTTTTTTGACAGAGTCTTATTCTGTCACCCAGGCTGGAGTGCAGTGGCGCCATCTTGGCTCATTGTAAACTCCACCTCCTGGGTTCAAGCAATTCTCCTGCTTCAGCCTCCCTAGTAGCTGGGATTACAGGTACCTGCCATCACACCTGGCTAATTTTTGCATTTTAGTAGAGACAGGTTTCACCATGTTGGTCAGATTGGTCTTGAACTCCTGATTTCAGGTGATCTGCCCACCTCTGCCTCCCAAAGTGCTGGGATTACAGGCACAAGCCACCGCACCTGGCCAACGGTGGTTCTTTCAAGCCACTGAGTTTGGAGTAGTTTGTTACACAACAATAGACAACTGGAATACTGGGATAATCCAAAATTACAATGGGAAGGATTCTATGGTTAAAATAACATAAATGTATTAACAATTTATTTCAAAGGTGGCATATTATTTCAGTGGCTTTCAGATCCCAAATTACAAACCACTGTTAGAAATTGTACACACACAGTATCACACAGGAATGCTTGGCTTTATCACCTGCACTACAGTCTGGTATTTTCTCTTCTGTTTCACTCTTATTTTGTTATTAAAATGCTGGCAAAAGGAAGTGAGTTGCTTCCAGCACCTGCTGTGGGTCATGGCCCAGAGTTTGAAAAACACAGCAGGACGCACTTTCCTGTCCACAGTGACAGCTCCTATTGGCTTTATTACTTTGTTTGAAATGGAGGTACTTTATTTTTCCAACACCTGTTTGGAAAATGTAATTTCCTTTAAGGCTAGCTCTTGCTTCACTTGCTCTGGAGCTGTTGAGAGGCATGTTCAGGTTTCTGAAATGCTGCTAAAATCTGCCTCTTTTACACGTCCTCAGAATCTGTGTCTGGGGGGCCACTGGAAGTGTCTACTGCATAGAATGGCAGACTTGCAAGAAGTCCACCCTTGACCACAGAACTTTCCACATTTTTTATTAATTGACCTGGTGTTTTCATACTTCCATTTCTGCTTGATGAAAAATCACCTGATTTTAATTTTACAGGAGTATTTCATCAAATTCAGTGATTTCCCATTCCAGCCCCAGGCTCTTCCTCCTCCTCCTCAAAGCTGCATCTGTATCCTTTCCCTGGGGCTGAGCATGCTGAGCGTGCTGGGGGCCCATCCTGGCAGCTTCCCTGATATGGCTCCTGGCATCGGTGGTCACCCACCTTCTCCTAGGTCATCTCCAGTGTCCTCCATCCGACACTGGCTGTGTCTCCTGGGACACACACACCTGGTCACAGAGGAAGAAGCTGGCCTGCCTGCCCTCAGCAATGTGGGCTCCCCTCTGAGGGCACACACACTTTCTGGGCTTCCTCGCCAGACACAGGCTCCCTGCAGCCCCCCAGCTGCAGATAGCACTAGTGGGGGCCTCTCCTGATGCCCTGCACTCTGGACAGGCAGGGCTGGCCCGTTTTTGGGGGTCCTTAGTGGAGGTCTGGCCACTCCTTCCCTCCTACTTCAGGCTGCAGAGAGGGTGATGGGAAGGAGGATTCCACCTGTGCTTTGACTATATCAGTTCTTCCCTAATTTCTGCAGATGTTACTTTCTTCAGAGTCCAGGAGAACAGTTTTGAATTGAGTTTCCCTGGCTAGGAAAAATTTCTCCTGACTCTTGCTCCTGGATGAACTCTGAGTTCAAGGCTTAGGCTCTGCATATTCAACTAATTTAAAGAACAATAGTCTGCCCTTCCTAAAACACTTTTATGGAAAAATCCTGGTCTTAAAAACCAAAACGTTCTGTCTTTCACAAGAACTGATTCTGCTTTATGCTTAAAAACAAAGCAAAATAAGAAGGTATACCCAACAATCGCAACCATGAAGATGCCTGTACTTAGAAATTCATTGGATTATTTCCTCTGGATTCTGGTGTGTTCTTTCTTCCATGGGGCATGTGTGTGTTTGTGGTGTGTGTCTATCTTTGTGTATGTTTGTGTTTGTATGTTTGTGTTTGTACATGCATGTGTTTTTGTGTGTGTCTGCATGTGTTTCCGTGTGTCTATGTGTGTTTGTGTATGTGTGCGTTTGTGTGTGGGGGGGGTGTCTGTATCTGTGTCTGTGTCTGCGTGACTGCATGTGTCTGTGTGTGTGTCTGTGTGTCTCTGTGTGTGCCTCTGTGTGTGTCTCTGTGTTTGCATGTGTGCCTGTGTATCTCTGTGTGTGTCTGTGTGTATTTGTGTCTGTGTGTGTCTGTGTATCTGTGTCTGTCTCTGTGTGTCTGTGTGTTTGTGTGTCTGTGTGTGTTTATGTCTGTGTCTTTATGTGTGTCTGTGTGTGTTTGTGTGTGTCTCTGTGTGTCTGTGTGCCTATTTGTATCTCTGTCTTTGTGTGCCTGTTTGTGTGTCTGTATGTGTGTGTCTCTGTGTGTGTTTGTGTGTCTGTGTGTGTGTGTGTCTGTGTCTGTGTGTCTCTGTGTGTGTGTCTGGATGTTTCTGTGTTTGCGTGTGTGTGTGTCTACGTGTCTGTGTGTGTGCCTTTGTGTGTTTCTGTGTGTGTGTGTTTCTGTGTGTCTGTGTGTCTGTGTCTGTGTGTGTGTCTGTGTGTGTTTGCATGTGTGTGTTTATGTGTCTGTGTCTGTCTTTATGTGTGTCTGTGTGTGTTTGTGTGTATGTCTCTGTGTGTATCTGTGTGTGTGTTTGTGTGTGTCTCTGTGTGTCTGTGGATGTGCCTGTGTGTCTATTTGTGTCTCTGTGTTTGTGTGTCTGTTTGTGTGTCTGTATGTGTGTTTGTCTCTGTGTTTTTGTGTCTGCCTCTGTGTGTGTGTCTGTGTGTGTCTGTGTGTATGTGTCTGGATGTCTCTGTTTGCATGTGTGTTTGTGTGTATGTCTATGTGTGTGTGTGTGTGTGTGCGCTTTTGTGTGTTTCTGTGTATGTGTCTGTGTGTGTTTCTGCGTGTGTCTGTGTGTGTGTTGTGTCTGTATGTGTGTTATGGAGGAGGACTCCTAGAAGCATAAAGGAGACCAGAAAGACAAAGATCAGTTTGCTCTGGATTCCACCCAATCATAGATAATTACAGAGATTCATGAACTCCAACTGTCTTTTCCTCAAAACAGTGAGCATGTAAAACAGAACAGAACAAAACAAAAACTTGTCTGAAAATGAAGAGGCCAAATAATGACAATAAAACTATAATAAAAGTATACTGCATAAGAAAATTTAAAGAAACATAGGCAAGTTCACTGAAAAGAAAATCAAAGCTCTTACTTTAGACATGATTCCTGGGTTCTGTGAAGTTGAGGGGAAAATTAGAAAAAGCTGGGTGTGGCCCTTAATTCTGTCCAACCTGACAAAAATAAACATTTAATTGTGTGAGTTTCCACGTCACCTTGGCCGAGAGCATGGACGCATCAACATTCCATGAGCTGAAACGCGTGGCAGTCATAGCAGACAGTGCACTCACCCTTACTAAGAAAGTGTCCCTGCATTCTCTCACTGTCCTGTTCCAAGACGGACCAGAGTTTCAGGGGCCCTGGGCTGTTTTTTGTCACCCGCCATGCCTCTGGTGGCTGTGACTGAGCCAGTGGTGGATCTATTTTCGGGGTTGGGAGGAAAGAGTCTTTGAGGATGGAGCTGCAGGACCCTTGCTGCTTTCTCATGATTTGATGTCTCTCGAGATAGCATGGCTACAAATCCTGCCAGATGCGGGGTCCTGACATTGTGGTCGCCCTGACTTCCACGTCTTGTGTAGCTGCTGCCCTCTGATGCCAGCTTATTAAGTGAACTCTGCCTTTTAAAGATTAATTGATTCATGAACTTAAATATAGGGCTCTGTTTGTAGATGGCCTTTTTCCTTTGTGATGCTATTTAATGATTCAAAGGGGTCTCATTATAGCAGCATGGCACCCTACTCTCCAGCTGCTGTGCCATATGCCGCAGCCACCCGTGGATGGCAGGGAGGGACTGGGGGCCTCTGCCTGGAGGAGAGGCCCATGGCCGAGAAGGAGCTTCTCTCTTTCTGGGTCCCTGGTTTCTGCCTTGCTGACCAACACTCCAGAGCTGAATTACTGTTCACCTTCAAGTAAAGAAACTTAAGACATATTTTAAAGGAAAACGAATCACAAGCCAGTGTGGGACACGAAACAGCATGTGCTTTCTGTTGGAATCTTGTTAGGATGTTTTTCCAGAGGTTCGCGGTGTGAGGCTGTGTTAAGATGAGTTATTTTAGACCAAGTCTCCTTTGGTAAATCAGTTACTACACTCTTTGGATGGCATGGTACATGAACACACTTTACAAGACATTTGGTTTCTTAGCAAACTATATTCTAGTAAATGTTACAAGGAGTTCCAGCAAAAGGCAGTGCAGGGTGATTGTCCTGCTGGAGCCATTGCGGGGGTTTAGTGGGGTGAGTGAGAGAGGCAGTCGGGCAGCCCCATGGCCCAGGACGGAGAACACTGCCCCTGCAGCCCCACGACCCAGCACTGAGAACGCTGTCTCTGCATCTCGAGGCCAGACACTCAGGGTTGGAAAGGAAAACAAGGATGAGAGAGTCTGTGTTGCCTGCATGAGATGGAAAGTAACCTCCGAGAGGAGCTGGAAGCTGGAGCAGCTGCCACTGTGAATCTCCAAACACTGTTAGAAGGCAGGGCGATCAGAGGGGCCAATGGGTTTTTCCCACCAGATACGGAAAATTAAGTGCCACTCTTGGCTTCTTGCCAGTCTGTGAGGTGTGGCTGAGTTTCAGACTGCAGGTCACAGATGCTGGACAGTTGACCTTGACACCATGGAGTCCCCGGCTGGCCTTGGGTGGCACACACTTCTGCAGGTGACTGCCCTGAGCCTGGGTGTTCTGTATTTGTGGGGTGTAGAGTCTATGATCTGATGCTATTTGGTGTCATCGAAACCCTTCAGAAAGCAAGGTCCACGTGGATGTCGCTTTATCTGAAATCATTCCACAGGCCCTGCAGGAACTACTAATATATTCATTCTGAGCAAAGACAGCATGAGACACAGCTGCAGAAAGACCTCACCTCTCCGACTGCAGCCACCCCTCCACTTGAGGCAGAGCAGAGGAAAAGCTGGGAGAGAACCCATTTCATACTTAACATAGAGACTTCCATACTTCCCTGGGATTTTATCATTTATTTTGGCATTTTGTTATCTGAGTGCCTTCATACAGCATTGGATCTCTGATACCCTATGCGAGGCACTAAGGATAGACTAGGAGTGAGTTCCACCCAGATGCAACAAGGTCAAGGAGCTGCTTAGATCGACCTACAGATCCTGTGCTTTTCCAGCCCATGATGGAGCAGGAGCTGCCTCTATCCTGGGACTCACAGGGAGAAAGGCCCTGGCCACCCACCTTGTCCACCTCTTAAAATCGGCTCTATCAGCCCCCATGGGCTGATCAGCACCTGTCCACTCTGTCTTTTCCCACCAGCTCCAACTCGGGCAAAGAAAACAAGAAGGCAATATTCTCAGCTCCTCAAATTCAGTGAAGACACGCCAGGCCAGGTGCAAGCAGCTCACACGCTTGTGTTCTTTCAATCTCAAAAGAATTCCATGGAAGGTGAAGTGTCACCATCTCCACGCTATGGCCATGGTCTGTGATTTTCCGAGGTCATGGGACAGTAGGTGTGTGGTGAGATTTGAGTCCAAAAAGCCAGACCCCAGAGACTACTTCTGGTCACTGGGCCACACTGGAGGTTGCACATGGGGAATCTTGTCCAAGACGGGACCCTGGATCACGGGGTTGGAAGCCAGCCTTGATGCTTAAAGGGGGTGGGAGGGAAGCTGCATGTGGAGAAACCAGCAGATATCTTTGAGCTTCTATGAGTATGGGGGCAGCTTTCGTTCACCTTTAGGACACTCTGGTTTTGTTTCTAGGAAAAGATTCCAGTTGGTGCTGTGGTTACACTGGGCATTTTCATTCTTTCTTAAATTGAGAGATAATAATTGTACCTATGTATGGGGTGCCATGTGATGTTTTGTTGCATGCATACATTGTGTAATGATCAAATCAGGGGAATTAGCATATTCATCACCTCAAACACATGTTATTTCTTTCTGGTGAAAACATTTAAAACCTCTCTTCTAGCTAATTTTGAAATGTGCCATGCATGATTGCTAACTCCAGTCACCTCCTGTGCAACAGAACCCCAGCATGTGCTTCTTCCATCCAACGAGCTTTGTGTCCAGTGACCACACTCTCTCCATCTTCCTGCCCCTTCCCTCCCTCACCTCTGGTAACCACTGTTCTACTCCTACGAAATCAACCTTTTAGATTCCACATATGAGAGAGATCATGCAGCATTTGCCTCTGAGTCTGGTTTATTTTACTTAACATGAAGTCCTTCGGGCTTATCCACATTGTCAAGAATGACAGGATTTTCCTTTCATGGCTGAATACTATTCCATGGCCTATACATACCACATTTTCTTTATCCATTCATCCACTGATAGACTCTTGGGTTGATTCCATAAGTTGGCTACCGTGGCTAAAGCGGAAATAAACGTAGGAGTGCAGGTGTCTCTTTGATGTACTGATTTTACTTCCTCTCAATATATACCCAGTAGCTGGATGGCTGAATCTTATGGTAGTTCTATTTGTAGCTTTTTGAGGAACCTCTGTACTGTTTATACTGTTTTCCTAATGGCTTTACTAATTTACATTCCCACCAACAGTGTGTTATGATTCTCCTTTCTTCACATCCCCACCAACAATTCTTATTTTTTGTCTTTTTGATAGTAGTCATTATAACAGGTATGAGGTGATATCTCATTGTGGTTTTGATTTGCCTTTTTCTGATAATTAGTGATGTTGAACATTCTTGTAAATACCTGTTGGCCATTTTTATGTCTTCTTTTGAGAAATGTTTCTTCTGGTCTTTTGCTTATTTTTAAAATCAATTATTTGCTATTCTGCTATTGAGTTGTTTGAGTTCCTTAATACACTGGAGATTTCTAAACCTGGCTGCATGTGAGAATCACCTGGTGGTTTGAAAATGCTGATGCCTGGTCTTCTTACCAATCCGATTAGTACGTACTCCTGAGAAAAGCCGTGCCAGCAGGTGTCAGTGATCCTTTTTCAAAGATTCACAGTTATTTTAACGTGCACCCAAGTTTGAGAACAAATTTACATGAAGTTCTCATTCATCACTGATTTGGAGGAATCTGCTTTCACTAAGAGGCCAGGCTCATACAAGTACAGTGGGTTCTTGCTCTTCACTGTCCTCATGTTCTAGAAAATCACCTCAAATCTTGAATTATTGAATGCTGAGCCATTGCTCCTGGGGAAACACAGGGTTCAGGTCCTGCAAGCCTCTGGTCATATTTTCATCAATCATTCAATACATAACTTCATTTTTTTATGTGTTTCTGTGTAAAGACAACTTATTAAATACACAATCATGTGCCTCATAAAGACATTTCAATCAATGACGGACCACATAGATGATATTGGTTCCATAACATTATAAGACTGTATTTTTACTGTAGCTTTTCTATGTTTAGATACACAAATCCCTACCATTGTGTTACCATTGCTTGCAGCATTCAGTACAGTAGCATGGTGTGCAGGTTTGTAGCCTGGGAGCAATAGGGTGTACCACGCAACCTAGGTGTGTAGTAGGCTAGACCATCTAGGTGTGTGTAAGAACACTCTACAATGTCTACACAATAACAAAATTGCCTAAAGATGCATTTCTCAGAACGTATCCCCACTGTTAAGCAATGCATGACTGGTTATAGTTGATTTGTTAACATTGAACTTGCAGCCACCTGCTGTATAACTCATGCCTGAAGCAAGCTCATCTAACACACCTGTTTTCTCCATAAGGCACATCACAGCCTTCTTGCCCTGGACAGCACTGTAGCAGTATGTATGGGGAGTGTTTTAAACTGCAAAACCACAAACAAAAAGCACAAAAATGCAAAAAAAAAGAAAAAAAACCACCCCAAACATGTGGCACTAAGTAGGCTACAGAAAGGACAATTATGTACTGCATGAGTGCTGAAACAAGAGGGTGCACACACACACAGGCACACACACATACATGTATAATACACACACATACATACACAGGCACACAAACATACACATAATACACACACACATATACACACAGGCACACACACATACACATATAATACACACACACATATATAACACAGGCACACACACTAACACACACATATACACACAGGCACACACATACATATACACACATGCGCACACACACATTAATACCTGCACACATATACACACAGGCACACAATACACATATAATACACAAACATACACACAGACACACACACATACACATATACACACACATTTACAAACAGGCACACACAAATACACATATAATACACACATGCTTACATACATACAAACACACAGACATGCACACACAAAATACACATATATACATGCTTACATGCACAGACACACACATGCACATACAACACACACATGCATACACACATACATATACACAGATATGCACATTCATAATACATGCATACACACATATATATGCACACACATGTACACATATGCATACGTACACATACATATAATACACACATACACATTCACACTTATAATACACACAAACACACATATACACACATACATACATAATACACACATACACACATACATACATATACACACATACATACACACAAATACACACTCACACACACAGTGCCTTAAAGACGGGTCCCATTTCTCCAGGTTGTCTGTGTGCGTTGCAGCCCAGGTCAGCTCTGAGCAGCAGCCTTTGGGAACAAAGCTGTCAACGTCATACGGTAATTTCCTATCAAGTCTCTTGGCTCATCTCCAGAGACAGCCTCATATTTTTGCCCTCATATTTCATGAAGTGAAATGAGATTAATTTCAGCTTCTTCATATATGGTATGATTGATTCAATGAAAAATTTATTCATTCATTTGTTCATTCAGACATTGGCAAAGGCACCCTTAGTCTCTCTGCTAGGGGTTGGGGTGGTTTGTGGAGAAGAAGAATCAATAGACTTGCTTTTGCCCTAAGTCACATTTTGTCCCCATCACTCCTTTCCTTCCTTCTTTTATTTCTTGATCATATTCTGTATGTCCTAAATATCACTAGAGACAAAAATATGAGTCAGAAGTAATTCTGTCTTCAGGAATGTGGCTTCCAGGATGGTGTTTGCAAACAGTGCCCTGTGATGTATCAGTGTTCCTTGATATTAGGTATCTCTTGAAAAACTGGCTTCCCAGGGCACTTCCCCAGATCTAGCGTCTGCCCTAAGTGCCCGTGAGGCTCATAAAGGCTCCAGTCTAGAGTAAATACTGAACTTGGTTAAAGCCGCTAATGTGAGACCGGGACAGTGCGAGCCATGGCTCCAGTGCCTGGGTTTCTAGGTAAGCCCATCTCCAGGATCCTAGTGAGAGGAAACCAGGCTTAAACAATCGAGAGCTGCCCGCTGCACTCTCACTGAGGACTTTCCACCCGGATGATCCCGGCAGGGCTACTGGCCCTCTTCAGATGGCAACAATTTTCCTCGCCTGGCTGTGTTTACCATGCAGTCTTCCTCCTGCCACGCCGGTGAAGCCAGGACCAGCTTGTCCAGAGCTGCCGGGTTCCTGCAACCCCATCTGCTCAAACCAGCTCTCTGAAACCGGAATGTGCCTCAGTTTATCTTCTAACAATGTTAACGTAGTGTCTCCCAGGCCTGAGACCTGCAGAGTGGGCACCATTGATGGGTGCAGGGGGACGTCCGGGTAGGGAGGGCACAGAGGGGCTGGCTCAGTGTGGGCAGCGATGGGCCAGGTGGGCGGGCAGAGCACCCACCCCTTCCTGAACTCTCAGAGGAGGGAGCCTGCCTGTTCCCCCTACATGCTGGAGAAATTTCCCTGGAAAGAAATCATGTTCCCATTAGACACGAAGCCCACCTAGAGTGGTGGTGGTTCTTCTGGAATTGTCTTTTTGGCACAGGGTCCCACTGTGTGTTCTCTTCTTCTGTGAGGAGTCTCAGGAGGATGCGGGGCCAGCATCATCACCTCCTCTACCTTTTCGAGGAGAAGACAGGGAAACTTCCTTCTGCCAAAAAGGCCTCAAACTGCTTCTGGATCCTTGGAAATCCCGGCTACTAGAATTTGTTTACTGATTTCCTTTGCTTTCTTTACATCCTTAACAGTTCTACAAGTCCTTATGATTCTTCTGTTCATTTTTGGGTTATTAATAGCTTGCGTACAGCCCTTGCCCCTGTGTTCACTGGGAGAATTAAAGGTCTTGTTGATTTGTAATATGTGTTGCATGTCACTGCACCATCCCAGTGCACACCCTCACTGCCCCAGGATCGAGGTACTGTGGGTTCTGCTCCAGGCACTGAATCTCGGTGGCCAGATAGGGCTTCAAACTGTTGGTTGACAAACCAGCCAGACAATGGTCATGAAGCCACGGAATCAGCAATTCTCCGGCCACCTCTGTAGCCTCACCTATGTCTCGGGGACTAAAGAAGTATTGAGGATGAGACTCAAAGTAGTTCAAGCTCCAGCGAGTTTGCCACAAACGTGGGGCAGAGGATGTCTTCAGGCAGAAAAAAATGGCTCATCTGGGCTCTTACGGTGAAGTTAGGAGGTGAATGACAGCTGATTATTCACTCAAATAGCACAAGGCAAGACTGCGTGGCACTCAATGGACCACTGAGTTTCCTAAGAAAAAACTGCTGAAAGTGGAACCGAGAGCGGCATGCAGAGTACAGCCCAGGCACTGGACAGGAATCTCCCTTCCATGCTGTCGGGTGTTCATTCCAGAGGCGGTAAGTCAGTGGGACAAACAGGTCAGGGAAGTAGAAACAAGTGAGGCCGCGGAGACAGCCTATGCTTTCCCTTTCGGGCACGCATGTGGCCGCCTGGGAGCACTGGCAAGGAATCTGCAGCAGGCAGAGGGGCCTGAGAGCCCCACCTGTGCTGGGCCTGAGAGGAGAGCAGGCTGCTGGCTCAGCTGCCGCTCCAGGAGTGTCTGGACCGAGTCTGCCCTGCCCTGACTTGTCGCTCAGTCTGCTCCCATCTCTCTGTGCCGTGCGCCTCTGAGTATCCTGAGCCTGAAACTTTCAGGGCTCCTCCATGGACTGCAGTCCTCAGCCTTCCTGAACTGTCTGTAGTGCAGAAAGGCTGGTGTCATCTCAGGCTCCGGGGAGCAGAAGGTGGCCCCTCTGGGACCCTACCCTTATAGACTGTGTGCCCGGTTTGCTGCACTTGTTGAAGTGTTACTCTGAACTTTGCCTGAGGAATCTGATGAGCGACTCTCAGTTTATTAACGAATGGCGATATTCGTATTTTATGATTGCAAACTTGCACATAATGTGACTTGATCTGGCTAGCAGAGGAGGCTTTGCCTGGGTAGTGCCCGAGGAGTGAGTTCTGAGTTCACAAGGAGACAGGGCCTTGTGTTATCCTCAAGAATGAAGGCTCCTCCCACTTCCCCAGCTTCTCCATTGAAAGGATGAGAGGTATTTCCTCTAGAAATATCCAGGCTGTCTTTCAAGAAGTTAATTTTATGATTTGAAAACTATGGCCCTATTTTGACTTTTAGAACAGATATTTACTAGTCTGTTCTCACACTGCTATAATGACCTACCTGAGACTGGGTAATTTATGAAGAAAAGAGGTTTAATTAACTCACAGTTCCACAGGCTTAACAGGAAGCATGGCTGGGAGGCCTCGGGAAACTCATAATCATGGCAGACGGCAAAGCGGAAGCAAGCGGGTTTTACCACAACGGAGCAGGAGAGAGTGAAGGGGGAAGTGCCACCCGGTGACACCATCGCATCTCCTGAGCGCTCACTCACCACCACCAGAACAGCAAGGGGGAAACCCGCCCCCATGAGTCAATCCCCTGCCGCCCGCCCCTCTCCCAACACTGGGGACCACAATCTGAGGTAAGATTTGGGTGGGGACACAGAGCCAAACAATATCAATATGCTTAAGGAAAGTAGTTTTTATTATTGATTCCTTTATAAAGTTGAAGGTGCAGGAGTCTCCATGTTTTTGAATCATATTTATAACATCTGAAAGACCTGGGCAACAATATTTTAAGAATTGCTGTTTATTTTCAAATTCTATCCAAAATATGTGCATATGATCCCAGCATAGGCATAGTGTGTATTCATTAGAAAGTGAGCATTTAATTGTAGAAATAATGTCCAACCGGTCGTGGGTGTTCACTATTCAACTTACCTTGTGGAATGTCTAACATAAGCAACGAACTAGGAACTGCCTGAAATGCTAGAGATGTCTGGTCTGAAGTGACTCACACTTATTTTTGTTTGTAAGCAGATCTGTGTTAAACAAATAAAATCACACTTGTCGGCTGGGCATGGTGGCTCACGCCTGTAATCCCAGCACTTTGGGAGGCCGAGGCGGGCAGATCACCTGAGTTCGGGAGTTTGAGACCAGCCTGACCAACATGGAGAAACCCCGTTTCTACTAAAAATACAAAATTAGCTGGGCATGGTGGCACATGCCTGCTACTAGGGAGGCTGAGGCAGCAGAATCGCTTGAACCCGGGAGGCAGAGGTTTCGGTGAGCTGAGATCACACCATTGCACTCCGGCCTGGGCAACAAGAGTGAAACTCTGTCTAAAAAAAAAAAAAAAAATCACATTTGTCCTGGTGGGAACACAGGAGTGGAAGACAGGAAGGGAGAAGAAACACAGGCAGAGAGCTCAGAGCTCCGAGTCCAGCGCCCAGCCAGGCTGGCAGCCCACAGGGAGCTCTGCAGCCAGGCCAGCAAAGGAAGATTCAGAATCAGGATTTCTAAGGCAGGTTTTGTGACCCAGGGATGAGCAGCTTGCTTTCCGGGAACAAGCACAGCAGCGTCCTACAGCCTTGGCGGCTGGGTATTCAGACTCGACCCTCTCTATGGTCACTATAGTGGGGCCCGTGCTTGAGAATCTGCTTAAGAATCTTACTTTTCTGTGCACCTTCTAATGAGTACTTCATCCACAATAACCTATTTTTTTTCTCAAAAAATAGTATAAATAGAGTCATAGCACAGGCTCCTCCTTTTATCGGGTGACTCTGCAGGGACAGTCCTGTGTTAGCAGCCTTTTTTGGAAGATATATTGGACTTTAATAAAATTTGATCAATCCATTTAAGTCAAATTGAATGATATGTAAGTGGATAGGGTTGACATATGTTTCAATATCTGCGAGTGATACATTATTCTCCAGTGAGCATACAATTTAATGAAATATAAATACCCATTAATCCTCATGTTTCAACCAATCAGTCACTGTTGCTCCTGCCTGCTGTGAGCAGAAGCAGGCCCAGAAAGTCATCTGTTTCATCTAAGCAGGAGCTCCAACCTGGAAAGACATCAGAAGGCTGCAAAAGAGAGGAGGCAGAGGCTGGGGAGGCTGCCAGCACCTTTGTGGGGATGCCTCGTGCAGCAAAAAAAACCACGCACAGAGTCTGCGAGCAGAGGGGCTGGTGCCTTTGAAGTTGTCTGGGGAGAAGTACAAGAGTAGAGCGACAACTCCTTTTTCCCTGAACATATTCTTGCCTTCTTGTGTTAAAGTTGATCTGTTGCTAGACATTGTGCAAAGTGCCAGGCTATGCCAGTTCTGCCACCAAGAGACACACAAAGCCATCAGGCTGCACAGGAAGACCGGGTCCTTACCTTGTCCTGCATGGGGAATGGGGCAAATTGTCACCAGCAATTTTCCCTTCAAATGTATACACTGGGATAGAAAAATAGAATAAGAGAAGGGGGCCAGGCGCAGTGGCTCATGCCTGTCATCCCAGCACTTTGGGAGGCCAAGACGGGTTACTTGAGGTCAGGAGTTTGACACTAGCCTGGCCAACATGGTGAAACCCCATCTCTACTAAAAATACAAAAATTAGCTGGGCGTGGTGGCAAACCCCTGTAATCCCAGCTACTTGGGAGGGTGAGACAGGAGAATCACTTGAACCTGGGGGGCAGAGGTTGCAGTGAGCTGAGATGGCACCACTGCACTCCAGGCTGGGTGACAGAGTGAGACTCGGTCTCAAAACAAAAAAAAATAATAAAAGAAGGGGTGAAACATGGTCATTTTCATTTCTAATCAAACACGTGTTGGACTGCACTGGTGCCTGTGCCTTTTTCCTTTGCTTCTAAGAAGGAACCAGAACTCTCAGCATCACCACCTTCAAGACTGAGTGTGCAGCTGCTGCATGCTTGTCCTCTGAGTCCCATCTCCATGCTCTGAGGATGCTCTGCCCCCAACTCTGGGCCTGGGATGTCACTCATTAGTTGTCCTATGCCCTCAGGCCCCATGAACAAAAGAAGCACTTGGATAACTGCAAACCATTGGCCACAAATCATGTGCTGTTATGTGATGGACTTTTTATCCACAACATCTTCCTTCTGAGGGGCTGCGTTGTATTTCGCCAAAAGTCTCAGACAGGGGTTGCGGTAATGTCTTCAAAATGAGACCCAACAGCCAGTTACCTGGCTGGTTTAATTAAAGTGCAAATGCATTCACTGAGCTCCAGCCCCATGAGCCACACCATGCTTGGCAATGGGAGAGCATTGGGAAAGAGCGAGGTGTGTGCCTGGTTCTGGGCCGTTAGGGAGGCTAGGGGGCCAGAATATCGTCATTAAGAGGATCCATCAAAGCCCAGAGGTATGACAGCCACGTGTGTGAGGGGCTTCAGGGAAGGGAAAAGTCACCTGGAATGGAGGGGAGATGTGCATAGGAATGGGGGGCAGCCCCCATGGACAGGAGGAGCTGGCATCACATCCCCAGGGAGGAGAGGAGGGCAGAGGGCAACCAGCAGCGGAACATGAAGGAAGGACCTGAGGCTGCCTGAATCCCTCTTTCTGACTGCAGGAAGCCACTGAGCAGGCGGCCCTGGAGTTATGGATTGAAAACCCATCATGGTGCCTCCCAGGCCGGGCTTTCTGCTGCCCCAACTGTACCTAAGTCTTCACGTGTTGCAGCTGGGATACAGGAAGAAATAAGCAGGCAGCCATCCTGGAAGGAAGGCCAGTGTGGCTGAGACGGCCCCCAGCTCTGGGGCTCCCAGGCAGCTCTGCTCCCTGCAGCCATTCCAGGGACCCAGGGCTGAGGCTTTACTTCTGGGGGCAACGCGACTAGGGCCCAGGTAGGGAAGTGATCAAGTGCCCGCGGATGGAACCAGAGCTGGGGGGTGGAAAATGTGCCCTCTTCCATGCTTAATGCCAGCGGGCAGTGTTTTCACTTGAGATTTTCTTTTTAAACACAGGAAAGAAACACACACTCACAGGAAGATTTGTAAACTGGTAAGAGAGGTGAGACCCCCAAAGTAAAGATGGAGTTTTTGTTAATTGGATGGAGATTTATGATGCCACTAATGTATTTATTGACATTTTTATTTTTCCATATGCTTAACTCCCAGTTAATTAATTTACATACCATTACATGGAGAGGACTGCTCTTCTCATTTTTATTTCACAGATGAGAGCCGTAAAATTAGCTAAATTTAAACAGCCCACAGCAGAGAAGGCACGCGTATTTCTGCCTGTTGTCCATAAACATAACAAGGGGAAAGCCAACGAGACGCTGACTGCCCCACCAATTGGAAATCCAGTGGTGAATTTTAGAGAGCGATGATTTTTGTACACATTTTGGAATCTAAATGATGTGTGGTGATAAAGGCCAATAGACTAAAAATCTGTTTCCTCGTGTGTGGGATAAATGAGGGCCACCAATTCCGGGAGCTTCTCAGGAGGTGCCTGGGAGTCTGCTGCTGTGCCAGGCCTGACGAGGCCCAGCCTTCTTCTCGGGGCCACCTCAGGTCACACACAGGGCCTTGGGGTCCTGGGAAAGGTACATTTTAACTCTGGATTTTAAGACGCTGGGACAGTGCCTGACTTTACACACATGAAGCAGAATTCAAGTTCCTTGAGGTAAGATTTACATCTGGTTTTGACTTCTTAATGCACTTTGAAATATGTTAAAATAAGAGATAATGTGCTAAGTGTCTTAACAAACACACAAAATCCACAAAAGATCACAAGGGAATTTTGGAGGTGATGGACACGTTGACTACCTGGATTGTGGGGACTCTGTCGTAGGTGTGTGTCTATGCTGAAACCCTTCAAAACGTTCCATTAAATATGTGTCCCCGGATAAGGGATGGGAAGAGTCACCGTCATGATCAGGAGCCACACAGACTGCTGCTGGCACCACCCAAAGCCGAGTGACACCATGGCCACGTTCCACCATGGACCTTTGAGAAAGTCAGGAGAAGCACCCAGGTGGCCCTGGAGTTATGGTTGGAAAACCCGTCGCAGTGCCTCACAAGCCCGGCTTTCTGCTGCCCCACCTGCACTGAGAGCCGCATAAAGCCGTCAGGCTACAGTGTCAGAGGAGCAGGTGGGAAAAGAGAAAGTCCACTGTGGATGGTTTTAAAATTAAAACAAGCTTTGATTTTAATTTTTAAGACTCTGTTTTCAGATAATCCACCTTTCAACACTTTACACTAGTAAAAAGAAAACATCGGCTTCGGACGCCCCTGCCCTCACTGCCAACTGGCACCTAGGGTTTCGGGTCCTTTGAGGTGCAAGGAAATCTATGTCTCCCACTTAGTCTCCAGGGACACGGGACAGCAAAACTGCAGCATCTGCCAGCAGCCACACAGAGCTACGTTACGTTATCCACCCAAACTCGGGCAGTCTCCTAGCCAGAAAGGCCCAGTGTGGCCGGGGCACAGTTGTCAAGTCCCTGCAGAACACATCTCATGATTTAAATGATCCACCATGGAAGCTTAAAGCTGGAAGCTTTGCACCGTGGATGGTGCTCAGCCCTCTCTGGGTTGAAGAGAGAAGCAACAGCTTGCTTGTCTGTAATTCAGTTTGGGCTGAGCTCCTTGTGTCTGTTACTAGCTGTGGCCACTTAACTCCAAACTCACCCTCCTGCAGTAAACCCAGCCTTGCTGCACGAGGGTTGGCTCTGCCAGGACGTCTCTTCCCTGCCAACTTCATCGTGTTGGACTCCGCCAACCTGGGCACCCGTGGAAACCATGGGGCTGGGTTGCCCCTTCCTCCTCCTAAGTTGCTGTCATTCCTGACAGCATTTCCCCTGCAATGGCCTCTAGCTGGGTATGGTGTCCAGCTTGTGCAGTCCCCATGCAGCCTCATCTCACGGCCATGAAGACCCCAAGTCAGCCACCAACACATGCTCCTCCTCAGGGGCCTGGGGTCTGACTCCTGCTCCTCACAGCCCCTCCCCGCTTTCCTGGGGCCTCAGTGCAAGGGGCGCAGATTTTTCCATTTCAGGATTCTCATATTATGTTTTCTTTCTCCAGTATCTGTCTAATCAATTTCCTACATCAAAATATTTCTGCTAAAATAGTGAGTGTCATTTCTGATTTCCAGGCTAAACTTTTGACTGATCACTCACACATCTAGCACACCAAAAAAAAACTAGAACATGAGAAAGAATATTCTGAGACAGCAAAATAGGTGCCCTGGAGTCTATAACCACAGGTGTGTTTTTCTAAGTTACGGACTCCCTGTTGTGTGCCCAGCAATGTGGTAAATGCGGCGGGCACCAGGGCCGAGCAGCTCCTGCCCGCTGAACATTGGATCAGAAAGCACAAGAAGTCAGCCACAGGTACCACCTGCCATCGAATCAGGAGACTGTGGGATTCAGAAGACAGAACAATTAATTCTGATGCTGTGGATTTCACAGGGGAGGCAAACCGGAGCTGGACATTGAAGAATGAGAGGTTTGGCCAGCAGAGTGAGGGATGGGGCTCTCTGCAGGGAGGAAGCGGCGTGAGGCAAAGCATGTCACTGGGAGGAGGAGCTTCCAACCTCACCTGGATCCTTCCAACCTGGCCGGCAAAACCAGGAGTGGACACTTAGAAAACTGTAGAGTCCCACACCAATAAGCCTAGAGACGTTCAGACCCGGAGGAGTAAGACCAGGCAGTCTATCGGCAAAAGAGGCATCAAACCACAGGATTCCAACACAGGCTTTCTTAAGAAGAGTTCAGGGCAACGCTCCCTGGGTGCGTCACTGGGCTTTGGGGCCCTGCTGTCCCACAGTTCAGGGCAGGCTGTGACTGCAAAGTGACAGCTGAATATACCTGAGGTCCGTAGCCAAAGAAATTCTGTCGGCAGTTTCAGAAAAGAATAAGGTGATGTAATAATTTTAGGAATGATGAAGGGAAAATGATTTCAACACACACAAAAAAGAAGTTTTGGAGTCTAAAGGGGGATTCATTTGGCTTTTTGGGAAACAGGATTTCGCATTGTCCACCCCTCCCTGTTGGGGAGGAGGAGAGCTCGCTGGAGTTGGAGGCTGCCTGGGACCTCTGCATATGGGGACAGTGAATGCTCTGTCCATGTTCATGACGTGCACTGGGAAAAGGTGCCTTTCAAAGCCTAACTCCTGTGAAAAAGCCATTCTATGCCCATTTCTCACGGGGAACACTAAGGCGCTGATAGCCACACCAATGCCCAGACGTGCCAGCCAGCAGCAGAGACACCATGCTGCACCCAGGATGTGCACCCTGGGACCCGAGCCGCAGAGCGCCCACCGAGGCCTGTTCCCACCCACTTCAGAGCCTGCGGTCAGTGCCAGGGATTTAAGAATAAAGTGCCCACTTCCCCTCCTCTCATTCAACGTGCTGTTTTCTCTCCCCGCTGCCTTTCACGCCAAGCCTCCGAAGCTGCAACTTCAAGACAGGCCTTTTCATTCCAGCGCTGGCGCGGCCCAGCCCCCGGCTCTTTGTGCCGCCGTCTGCCCAGCAGCCCAGGCTTGGCGACCGCGCTGCACAGCTTTTGTGATTCTGCCGATGATCCCAGCCTTTATGTTCCATCCGACGCTATTTCCATTTTCCTGAATTCCTTCCTGCGAGGATGCCTGTGGTGCAGCCAATGCGCTGCCTCATCTGGGACCATCTTTCAATTAACCTCGCAGACGAGCCGGGCCCATCTCGAGAATGCCAGAAGAGAGCTTCCGAGGAAGAAAAACCTCAAGGTCGCAGAGCTCTTCAGATTTAATAAGCCGGCTATGATCTCGCAGTCCCACTGAATGGAGAGAATACGGGAAACAGCTCTGGGCAAGCACGAATCCTGAATGGAAGCAAAGCGCTGCTTCCTTTTAAAGAGAGAACCGTGACCCCATGGGATACGGTGGCCCATTCTGCCCCGGGGAATGGACAAGCCCTACTTGGCACAGGCAGTGCTCAGGGAACCTCAGACCTGGACTCACACCGCCTGGAAGCTCTGGGCTGTGTGGTGTGATCTGGCTTGACTTGCTTCCCGTGACGAGGATGCCAGAATGATCCAGAATGTGGCCAGAACTATATACTCTAAAAGCAACCAAACAAAATTCATACAGTCTTCTGCTGCCTAAGGATGTCTGGTCAAGAATAGACTGTGTGTAGGATGGTGGCCCCATAAGATTGTAATACCATATTTTTACTGTCGCATTTCATGTGTAGATCTGTTTAGATACAAATCCTGACGATTGTGTAACAACTGCCTGCATTATGCAGCACAATTGCAGGTCTGTAGCTTAGAAGCAATAGGCTAGGCCATACAGCCCAGGCGTGTAGCAGACTAGACCCTCTAGGTGTGTATAAGGACACCTTGTGACATTCACACGGGGAGGGAATCACCTGAGCATGCATTTCTCAGGACATGTCCCCATCGTGATTTGAAGAGACGAGTGACTGTACTTTGTGGGATACAGTTTGTCTCATTTCCTCAGTCCTGTGAGTCCCTGCAGGGGACTTTTAACAAGCTGCCAGATGCTTTGTTAACTGTTTAATACACATTTTTTACTTAAGCCTCTCAACCGCCTCTAACTTGGATAGTATTACTATCCCCTTTTAACAGATAAGATTACTAAGATTTTGAGAGGACAAGTAACTCAGCCAGGATAAAAAGTCAGCAAGTTTGTGATCTAATTTCAGAGAGGCCACACTGGGACTCACTGTGCCCTATTCCCTGTTCCCCTCTCTCCGATGAATTGCAGCATCATTCTTCAGGTCTGTGAAAGGGTATTGCATGCCTACAAACACCAAACCCTGTGCTGTGCACTTCTGATCACATAAGTTGCTGGAGAAGATACATGAGAAAATGATAAACAATGAATAAGCCTTCAAGGAGACCTTGAATAGGAAAGATGGGGATAACCAGGGATAAATGCAAGAAACACAAGCACTTTGAAAACTGTGTGTGTGTGTGTGTGTGTGTGTGTGTGTGTGTGTGTGTGTGTTTGGGAAAGAAGAAAGGACAGTAAGATAACTCTTCAGTAAAATTATTTTAATAAGTATAGATGCATATGTGTTTTTTTCCTTGCAAGTATTTGATTGTATTCAGATCTGTAGTAAGTGAAAAGGACTCCATTTCCTACCTGGAAGAACAGAAAAAGTCAAGGCTGGACAAGCCTTCTTGAGTAAAACTCCAATCTGTTGAAAACTCTATATTACTCCACAGAGAAAATGGTTTTTAGCTTTCAGGAAGAATTTTGCTATTGTTTCAAACACGTTTTGAAAAATCAATATGGTACACTAGAATCACATTTAAAATTTTTTTTATTTAGTATTTCTAAATTTAAAATTAATTTGAATAACAGCCATATTTGTGTGTTTTGAAAAATCCAAAATCATTAGCCAAAGAACATTGTAGAGGCACCGGTTGAACTGTCAATTGGTCTACTCTGCTGTGACCTCCGGCTGGCCAGGTATGCCTCTTTCCACAGACTCAGACAGGTCCTATCAAAAGTCATACAAATAAAGCTAGCAACACGTTTAAAGTTGCTCAATAGCCATATGGCTAAAAGGCAGTGCCCACCTAATAGATGTTGTTTCATAGAATAAAGCGAGGCTCCATCCTGTACACAGTGCAGGACTCAATAATATTTGTGGACTTGCCTTGAAGTAAGCAGACAGAAGCACAGACAGAGAGGCTGCAAAATCCTTGGGGGATATTTGCTTGTTTCCTGGGAGGTGGGGGCTCCGTCCACCCACAGATTCTCAGCAAAATAAAAGTGAAAACGCTTAACCAAATTCTCTACCTATATTAATATTCAAACCATGGTAACCACTGAGCTATGCATTGAGCAAGAGTCAGGCATTTTCTTTGACCTTTTTCATATAATACAGAGAAAAATAAATCTTAACAACATAGACTTCTGTGCTAGGAACTACAGACCCAAACTAAAGGGATTTTCTTCTTTTGTGATAGAAACTGAGCTACGTGTCACAGGCCATGTTTAGAGCTCTATTTCCTATTCATCTTTCTACCCCACTCACTCCTCTCTGTGAAGTCCAGGGTCAACCAGCCCAGCTGTCTAACTCAAGGCTGTGAGACTTTTCTGCCTCCTAAATAGAAGTACACCTTGGATGCCCAAAGCTGGCTCCAGAGCAGAGCCCTTGCCTCTCCCTGGGCAATAGGACCACCTGAAAGGGAGCTCAGAAACAGTAGGTGCACCTGCTCACCAGCCATCTCCCTGGGCTCATCCCACTGGTGTTGGAGGAGCGAGGCTTTTCTGAAGCCCCCTGAGTAGCCTGTGTATAGTCAAGGTTGAGAAGCACCAGGACAAGAGCTGGAAACCTCCGCATCAGAGGCCTGGCTAGGTGGTGGCCTCCACCTGTGCTTGGTAACTGAGCTTCTTGCTTCCATTTGATTTTTCTTTTCTTTTTTTTTTTTTTTTTTTGAGATGGAGTCTCACTCTTTTGCCCAGGCCGGAGTGCAGTGGTGCGATCTCGGTTCACTGCAAACTCCGCCTCCCGGGTTCATGCCACTCTCCTGCCTCAGCCTCCCTAGTAGCTGGGACTACAGGTGCCCGCCACCACGCCTGGCTAATTTTTTGTATTTTTAGTAGAGACGGGGTTTCACTGTGTTAGCCAAGATTGTCTTGATCTCCTGACCTCATGATCCTCCAGCCTCGGCCTTCCAAAGTGCTGGGATTAGAGGCGTGAGCCACCACGCCTGGCTAATTTTTTGTATTTTTTAGTAGAGACGGGGTTTCACCGTGTTAGCCAGGATGGTCTCCATCTCCTGACCTCGTGATCCACCCGCCTCGGCCTCCCAAAGTGCTGGGATTACAGGCGTGAGCCACCGCACCTGGCCCTCCATTTGATTTCTATTAAATCCTCCAGGCTTGGCCTGTAGTCCCTCAAACTGAGACCAAGATCCATTAGGCTTTTTAAAAATTTAATAAGAAAATAGTGGAAGGGAATGACAAGTTTCTCCTTGATCTATATCTTTGTGCCTATGGCCCTGCATTGCGTAGGGAATCCCTGTTCACTGGAGGACAGTAGGAAATCCAGATGAGCAAAGAAAAAAATCCCAGTCACTCATTCAGTACACACTCTTCGTCCACAGGGACGTCTGCCTGCACTGCAGCTGGGACTGTCTTGGAGACTGTGCAGACCCGGATGGGCATTTGGATTGCCTAGCTCCACCCCTCCCACCTCCATGATCTGCAGACAGCAGCTCCGCAGGTACTGCTCACCAGGTGCAAAACCAGAAGAGTGTGCTCTCAAGCATTTGCTGATAAATGGAAAAATGAAGAAATAGCCCCTCTGCAGAGTCCAGGTCAGCCTCAGACAGACCTGAGCACTCCTCCACAGGGAGGGTGGGCAGGCTTGGAATATTGTTGAAGGGCAGGGAAAAGCTGACTTGCCTACACAGGACTGCAGAGGCAGAAAGAGTCTCAGCATGTGTCCTCTGAGGCTTGCTTGTGGCGTCACCTCCTCCAGGGAGTGTTCCCATGCCAGTCTCTCTGGCCGAGATGGACACTGGTCTCTGTCCTTGCACAGTGCTCTGTGTGTGTCTGGGATGGCCAGTGTGGTGGGGTGAGATGTTGCTCTCTGGCCGTGTGATGAGGATGAATGTGACTCAGGAGGAGGTGATGTCTTACGTGTCTTTGCACCAAGCAGGAGGCTGCCTCCAGGGCCCCTGAGCACATGCCCTTGTGGTGATCACACTCCTATCGGCGTCTCAGTGATTAGTACGCCATAGCCAGGCTGTGCTCAGGGGGTGGTCTGTCCCACCCAGATCTTTAGCCTGAGTCAGAACAGCAGCCCGTTCTCAGTGTGACAGGAAATGAGACACCAGCACATCCTAGAGCAGCATCCCCACACTGGGTTCCATACAGCACCCGTCTCCTACAGAACGTTGGCACCATTCCTCAAAGAAAGGGCTGCATGCTTATCATACAGCTCAGAGAACACTTGGACTAAAGTTAGTACCTTTGTCTTCAACTCGTCAAAGGGCTCATGATGGCCTTGTTTCATTTGGCCAAGTAAACCCCTTGATCAGGGCAGCATCTATTTATGATCCCAGGGACAGTCTGACATTTCTGCAAGGGGCACTGGGCCTCCACTGGACCCAGAAACGGAATCACCAGGGCTGGGGTAAGTCTCTGGGAGGAAGGGGCTGAGAAGATACTGCTTAGAAGCTGGGAAGCGATTCTTGAATTCCAGACCTTGCTGCATCAACCAAGGACACCGGAGAACAAAGAAAGACACAGGCTTTTGATCCACTGATGTTCCGGCCCTTTCTCTACCATGCATTCATTCAACGTGCACTTCGGAAGAAGAATCCCCAACGTGTCCAATTACACATTTTTATAAGGCCTTCTCCTTCCCAACACTGGGGTTGGTCTTGACCAACATGCCCCAGTTGCCATCACCTTGACTCACTTAGCATCCACCTTTCCAAAGGCACCATGTTCCCTCCAAACTGATGGCTTTTTTTCACGTTCTTTCTGTTGCATGGCAGGGATTTCCTATGGTTGTGAAAGAAGATGCTCACGTTGAAGCACAGACAGGGGGTCAGGAGGGGCACGTGAGTGTGGGGTCCTGAAATCCACACTCAGAAAGTGTCCTGGTGCAGGAAGCGATCAGCCGTCACCTGCTGCTGCTGAGTGGACTCGGGGCTCACCAGCCTATGTGTCACTTGTGCCCTTGACAGGAGCAACATTCCGGCAGTGGTGGGGCCGGCATTCTGGTTCAAAGGGGAAAGAGGAAATAGAAATTGGCGAAAGACACCAACAGACAATGAACTCAGGAGGGCAACCACTTCGAGTGAGCTCACGAAGATCATTTGAGGCTTTGTTTCTACTGCGTTTGTTTAAGAACACACACACGACAAAAACAAACAGAAAAGAACTCTTTTCAATACTCATAGTTTTGGTGTTAGACTGACATCGTTATTCCTAGGTTGTTTCACACCTGGTGTAGGATAAAGCAAGTGAGAATTTATGTTGATGTCACTCCAGCTGGGATTTGCAGCATAAAAGGAAGAAAAACAAAGATAATACAAACAAGGTTAAAAAATGATTTCGCCAAATTTGAATCGGAAATGAGAA